>NC_000004.12:54193951-56593951 GCF_000001405.40 Homo sapiens
TTGGCCAGGCTGGTCTCAAACTCCTGGTCTCAAACGATCCACCCACCTCGGCTTCCCAAAGTGCTGAAATTACAGACATGAGCTACCACACCCAGTCCAGATTACCTTTTTGTAAGGGTTAAAGCAGAGGGGACTTCCTTATCATGCTGTATAAAACTGGCCTGTTTAGGGATTTGGCTATTTTTCTTTCCTGATTTCTTGGAAGGTCAGATAAACAACTTAGTTTTGGCTTGGTTTAACTCCATTTTGGTCTGTTAGGCCTAGGGTAGGAGCCCAGTCTGAACCAATGCCCTCCTATTAAGTTTTATTTAATTAACACTGATGATGTTCATTTTGTATAATTTTTTTAACACACTCTAAGAAACCAGAATAATGTTGTTGTTTTAGAGATAGGATCTTGGTCTGTCACTCAGGCTGGAGTCTAGTGACATGATCGCAGTTCACTGCAGGCTCAAACTCTTGGGCTCAAGCAATGATGATGTTCAGCTGGATCACATGATTACTGTGGTGTCTGCCCGCTTTTTCACTGTAAAGAGACTCTCTTTTCCTTTATAATGAATAACTATGTAAATGTCCCATCCCTTCAAACTCTTAATTTACTCATGTTTTAATGTACATCTGAATGGGCTCATGATTTCTATTTTAGCAAATAGATTATAATTTGTTACTATAATTATTTAATTTAATGTTCAAATCCTGACCACACCGGCCAGGGGAAGCCCATTCAAGTTCACTTCTGTGTCCTTTGACAGATCCTCATCATTGTTGGAGTACTGTCTTGATTTCTGGTACAAGATGTTCCAGGCTCATCGTGTGCATTCTCAGTCTTAACTCTAGAATCTGCCAGCTCTCCAAGAAGTCCTCATTCCTTTTAGTGAAAAACAATATTTAGAAACCAGATCTGAGCACTAGGTGTGTTCATTGCTCATGGGGTGTCGCTGCTCTCGGCACACGGAGCTAGGGAATAGAAATGTATATGCATATATACACATTTAAAACTATATTATTCGTTGATCTCTATATATGATAAACTTTAAGTTTTCACCAACACATCTAATTCTGGTTCAACAATTCAGAATTTATCCTAGTTTTCCTTATTTCCATAGAGACCTGGCTGTCATTATTCTTATCGCATTTATTTATTTGATCAATCCTCTGGAGTACGGCTAATATCCCATCTCATTCTCCCATGTGACAGGCTTTCTCTCCTGTTTGAGTCCTGACTTCCCATGCCAGAGGCTGCCCTGCTTCATGGACAACTTGCTCACCTCTCCTGGGTGCTGACACCCCACATCCCTTCACCTGGCATCCCACTTATGCATCCTGCCCAGGCTCTGCTTCCTCATGCTGGGCCACTGTGGATTCCTCTGTCTCCCAACCTTGGAGGTCTACCATGCTCAATTTACCTAAAAATTAGAGGGAGGGGGAGAAGAGAGAAGGGAGGTAGAAGTGTAGGGAAGTGAGAAGTGGAAGGCAGATGAAGGAGGGAGGGGAGGGAATAGAAGAGAAGTGGGGTGGGTAGAAGGAGAATGGAAGAGAGGAGGAAGAGGGGGAAAAGAAAGAGAATGAAGAGGGAGGGAAGGGTAAAGAGAAGGGTGGAAGAGAGGAAAGGTGAGGAAAAATGTGTAATTTTTAATCTCTTTAAAAAAGGCAATGGCTAGGCTGGGCATGGTGGCTCACGCCTGTAATCCCAGCACTTTGGGAAGCCAAGACAGGCGGATCACTTGAAGTCAAGAGTTCAAGACCAGCCTGGCCAACATGGTGAAACACTGTCTCTACTAAAAATACAAAAATTAGCTGGGCATGGTGATGCATGCCTGTAGTCCCAGCTACTCGAAAGGCTGAGGCAGGAGTATTGCTTGAACTAGGAAGGCGGAGGTTGCAGTGAGCCAAGATTGGGCCACTGCACTCCAGCCTGGGGGTGACAGAGCTAAACTCCGTCTCAAAAAAAAAAAAGAAAAAAAGGCAATGTCCAGGTGCGATGGCTCATGCCTATAATCCCAGCACGTTGGGAGGCCAAGGTGGGAGGATCACATGAGTTTGAGACCAGCCTGGACAACATAGTGAGACCCTGTCTCTACAAAAAAAAATTTTTAATTAGCCAAACATGGTGGCATGAGCTTTAGTCCCAGCTAATTGGGAGGCTGAGGTGTGAGGATCCCTTGAGCTCAGGAGGTTGAGGCTGCAATGAGCCATGTGGGCCTCTGTACTCTAGCCTGGGTGATAAAGTGAGAGTCTGTCTCAATCAATCAACCAATCAATAAAAATTAAAAAAGCAAAGGCAAACATGATAAAATGTTAAGTTTTGACAAAGGCTGGGTAATGGCTAAATGAGTGTTTGGTGGGTTTTTTTTCTTTCTTTTTTTGTATCGTCTGTGGTTTGCTTTTCATACTATGTGTGATAGGGTTTCCTTCTTCTTGAATTATTTCCATGCCATTATGGACTGACATTCTTATAAATATACTAAAAATGAATAAATAGAAAAGTGAAATAGCAAACCAAAGACATGTAAAATATAGGCTCCCCAATTTTTATTATTAGATTCAAGAGACATAAGATTATTCTGTGAAAGCACTATGAAATTTTCTAAATGCATTCTCTCAATTTCTTCGTTTCTCCACTGACCAGTAGTAAGAGCCATGAGGAGCACTGTCTGTTAGCAACCCACAGTTTGAGTAACACTGTAGTCTAGATTTTTTCTTGCTCGACATATGACTTTTAAAAATAAGATGAAAAACAGGCCAGGTGCGGTGGCTCACACCTCTAGTCCCAGCACTTTGGGAGGCCGAGGTGGGCAGATCATGAGGTCAGGAGTTCAAGACCAGCCTGGCCAAGATGGTGAAACCCCATCTCTACTAAAAATACAAAACTTAGCCAGGTGTAGTGGTGGGTGCCTGTAATCCCACCTACTCGGGAGGCTGAGGCAGGAGAACTGCTTGAACCCAGGAGGCAGAAGTTGCAGTGAGCCAAGATGGTGTCACCGCACTCCAGCCTAGGCGACAGAGTGAGACTCCGTCTCAAAAAAAAAAAAAAAAGAAAAAAAAGATAAAAAACAAAGACTAAGAGTCTGGCTTCTGCTTCGAAAAGTCACAGCTGTGTTCATGAATTTGTGGGTGACTAGGTGAGGCCTTCTGCAGGCATTCATTCCACTGCCAAAGCATCCTGCCAAAATAATGGTGTTTAGGGACTGGTAAGCTGCCCTGACCTTGACTTCCTGGAATCCAGGGATGAAAGAAACAAAAGAGACAGAGAGCAGACTGGGAGAACCAAAGGGACAGAAGCCCAGGCAGACAGAAGCCCATTAGAAGGCTCCTTACAGAACACAAAAACTTCTAAGCAGAGAGAGGAGATGGGCAGGCCATTGTAAAGAGATTACTTTCAAAAAATTGCATCTGTGGGTCTGGATCTTCCCCAGACAAGGCAGTCTCCTTTCCAGTCATTCCTGGTCCATGAGCCTGAGTAACTTGGAGTGTTGGCAGCTACTCTGAAAACCACGCCTTTGGCTCCACGTTTTGCAGACAGTGACTACCCCCTGAGAGCCTTGTCTCCTGTCATCTGTGTGGAGATTCTGCAGTCCCCATTGTTCTGGGATCCTGTAAACAAAATCACAGTGGAAGAGGGGAGATAAAGAACAGATGTGACCAGCACATCTGAAATACAAAACAAAGCACGACAGAAAACAAGGGCGCTGCACAGTTTTCTCCACAGTGGGGATCAGGTTTCTATGGGGTTTGACTTCGCCTTGGCACAGGGCGCTCTGAGTGGGTAGTGAGCGTGCTCAGCACAGGAAGAAAGGGGCTCTCTGTGGTGTTCATTTTGAAGGTTTATGTTTTTAGAGCAGCCATTTTGATTTGAAAAATGTGTCAGCTTAATGCCTTCTCCCCAGGGGCCTGAAAGACCATTTCTTTAAGTGTGAATTTCCCAGCAAAATATTTACTAGATTTTTGGGCTTTTTTTTTTTTTTTAAGTATAGTTAACCTGGAATTTTCCCTAATAGTTAGAAGTGTTTTTTTCTTTAAATGAACCCTTTAGCGCAGTCGTGTAGAAAATACTATTCTTCATATTTCCTCTGCTAGAAGGCTTTATGTTGCATTTTCCTTCCCCCAATGGCATTTTTATCCATGCCTGACAAGCCACTTTGACAGGTGGCCCTGGGAATTCTCTAGAGGCCAGGATGAGGTCTGGATACCATTCCTGGGTGGTCTGAGAGCAGGGTATTTAAAGCTAACTTTTCACATTCTGGGTCTGGAATTGTTTCTGAATCCATTCCTCAGAGGTCTGCTGCTTGTTCTATGAGACTTTTCCTTCCAGTATATGAACTGGGATTTTGGCTGCATGTGCTCATTAAGAAAACCATGTCACTTGTCTCAAGTGTAAAAAAGAGTGTTTCAAATGTTCCTGGAAAACTTTCAGCTGGTCTACCTCCATGCCTAGGTCCTTCTTATAATTTCCCGTATTCCTCCCTGCCCGGGTTGTCCATCAGAGTTATTTCTGAGGCAGAATGACTGCCATGGTTCAGCCAGGCAGACTGGCTGCCTGTAGGTGATGGGTAAAGTCATTGATTTGGATGACTGACTGACACTGTAGAGTTCCTTAGAGAAGGGGCTCAGGGGTGAGGAAGGTGTTCCTAGGCTGGATTTCTATTAGTGTGGCCAAGACAGAAGATTTATAACAACCCTTCAAGGATTTAATACCCTTTTGTGGATATGATCCCAGAGGATCTTATTAATGCAGAGGCTCATTCTAAAGCGAAGAAACTCAATAGACATAAAAGCAGGGGGGAAAAAACCTAGCCTTTATTCCCAAAGATTTACTTAGGATGGAATTTTTTTTTCTTTTTTTTTTGAGATGATGTCTTGCTTTACTACCCAGGCTGGAGTGCAGTGGCACGATCTCAGCTCACTGTAACCTCCACCTCCCAGGTTCAGGCAGTTCTCTGCCTCAGCCTCCCAAGTAGCTGGGATTACAGGTGCCCACCACCACGCCCGGCTAATTTTTATATTTTCAGTAGAGATGAGGTTTCACCATCTTGGCCAGGCTGGTCTCGAACTCCTCACCGCGGGTGATCCACCCGCCTTGGCCTCCCAAAGTGCTGGGATTACAGGCATAAACCACCGTGCCTGGCTAGGATGGAATTTTTTTTAATGAAGCCCCATTCACGTGTAATTTCTTAAATGTTTTTGAGCCTATTTACCTAATTATTTTATCTTCTATTTTTTAATTGACAAATAAAAATTGTATATATTTATGGCATACAACATAATGTTTTGAAATTTGGAGTGGCTAAATCAAGCTAATTAGCCTATGTATTACCTTACGTTATTTATTATAATTTTTAATTGAAAAAATGTTTGGTGTGATCCTTTTGGATTTGTTGTCAGCATCAGCATGGCTATGAACATACACAACTAAGCACTTAGAGACTGTTCTGAGTTCTTCAGGATATTTTTTTCTGTTTTTTCCTTTCTTTTCTTTCTTTCTTTCTTTCTTTTTTTTTTTTTCTTTTGAGATGGAGTCTCGCTCCGTTGCCGAGGCTAGAGTGCAGTGGTGCAATCTTGGCTCACTGCAACCTCCGCCTCCCAGGTCCAAGTGATTCTCCTGCTTCAGCCTCCCAGGTAGCTGGGACTACAGATACCTGTTGCCATGCCTGGCTAATTTTTGTATTTTTAGTAGAGATGGGGTTTCACTATGTTGGCCAGGCTGGTCTTGAACTCCTGACCTCAAGTGATCCACCTGCCTCAGCCTCCCAAGTGTAGGGATTACAGGCGTGAGCCACTCTGTTTTTTCCTTTCTCATCTATTTTGTGAAAGAAGGTAGTCCTAAAGTTATGGCACTGGGCAACACCGACCTCAGGGGATTAAGGACTATTAACCTGCATTCAAAACAATATCACTCTTCTTTAAAATAAATAAATAAATTGAAACAGGGTCTCACTCTGTTGCCCAGTTTGGAGTGCAGTGGCATGATCATGACTCACTGCAACCTAGACCTCCAGGGCTCAAGCAATTCTGCCACCTCAGCCTCCCGAGTAGTTGGGATTACAGGCGTGTGCCACCATGCCCGGTAAATTTTTGTTTTTTGTTTTTGTCTTTTTATATTTTTTTTTGGTAGAGACAGGGTTTTGCCATGTTGCCAAACAGGTCTTAAACACCTGGGCCCAAGCAATCCACCACCTCAGCTTCCAAAATTGCTGGGATTAGAGGTGTGTCTGGCCACAGTATGACTCTTAAGGGAATGAAAAGACAAGACTGGGAGAAATTCTTTGTAAAACATGTATCTGATAAAGAATTTAGGCCAGGCTCATTGGCTGATGCCTGTAATCCCAGCACTTTGGGAGACCGAGGTGGGTGGGTCACGAAGTCAGGAGTTCAAGAACAGCCTGGCCAAGATGGTGAAACCCCATCTCTACTAAAAATACAAAAATTAGCTAGGTGTGGTGGTGGGTGTCTGTAATCCCAGCTACTTGGGAGGCTGAGGAAGGAGAATTGCTTGAACCTGGGAGGTGGAGGTTGCAGTGAGCCGAGATCGTGCCACTCCACTCCAGTCTTGGCAACAGAGCAAGACTCCATCTCAAAACATATATATATATATATATATATATATATATATATATATATATATATATATATACACACACATATATATACACACACACACATATATATACATATATGTGTGTATATATATATATCTGATAAAGAATTTGTATCCAAAATATACCAAGAACCCTTAAAACTCAGCAATTAAAGATTTTAATTAAAAATGGACAAAAGAGCTGAACAGACACCTCACAAAAAAAGATATGCAGATGGAACAAACATGAAATGATGCAATACATTATATGCCATTAAGGAATTGCAAATTAAAACAACAATGAGATATCACTGCACACCTATTAGAATGGTAAAAACATATTTTAAAAAACACTGACACCACCAAATGCTGGGTGAGGATGTGGAGCACCAGGAACTCTCATTCATTCCTGGTTGTAAATGCAAAATGGTACAACCATTTTGGAGGACAGTCCGGCAGTTTCTTACAAAGCTAAACAGTCTTACTACATGATCTAGCAATTGTGCTCCTGGGTTTTTACCCAAATGAATTAAAAACTTATGTCTACTCAAAAAGTTGCACATTGATATTCATAGCAGCTTTATTCATAATTGCCCAAAACTGGAAACAGTCAAGATGTCCTTTGAGAAGTGAATGAGTAAATGGTAGTACATCCATAAAATGGAATGTTATGTGATGATAAAAAGGAAATGAGCTATCAACTCATGAAAAGACATGGAGGAAACTCAAATGCATATTTCTAAAAGTAGCTAGTCTATAAAGGCTACATATACATACTTTATGATTCCACATATACGACATTCTGGAAAAGGAAAAGCTTAGAGGCAGTACAACGATCAGTGGTTGCCAGGGGTTGGGGAGGAGGGAGGGAGGAATGGATGTGGGTGAAGCATCACTATTCTGTGTAATATTACAGTGGTGGATATATGATGGTATGCATTTGTCAAAACCCATAGAACTGCACAACACAAAGAGTGAATCCTAATATAAACTATGGCCTTGGCCAGGTGTAGTGGCTCACACCTATAATCCCAGCATTTTGGGAGGCTGAGGCAGGAGAATCACTTGCGGTCAGGAGTTCGAGACCAGCCTGGCCAACATGGTGAAACTCTGTCTCTACTAAAAATACAAAAATTAATCAGGCATAGTGGCACACAACCTGTAATCCCAGCTACTCGGGAGGCTGAGGCAGGAGAATTGCTTGAGCCCGGAGGCGGAGGTTATAGTGAGCTGAGATCGCACCACTGCACTCCAGCCTGGGTGACAGAGCGAGTCTCCATTAAAAAAAAAAAAATCACTATGGCTTTTGTTAATAACAATATATTAATATGGGTTCATCAATTGTAACAAATGTACTGCATTAATTCAAGATGTTAATAATAGGGAAAACTAGGGGAGGTGGGAGTATATGGAAACTCTTTGTACTATCTGCTCAATTTTTATGTAAACCTAAAACTGCTCTAAAAAGTAAAGTCTAATAATTTTTTTTTAAAAGAGACTCAAAATGATCAGTTTCATGATGAAGGGAAACTCTGTCTTCTACTATATCTCATATCTTTGCTTGTTCCTCAAGGGCCCTGGTCTAGCTTGTTAACCATCGTATTCCCAATGGCACATAGATGCTCAATAAAGACTGCTAAATCAGTATGTTCAAAAGGCTTAGCCATTAAAACCTGCTCTTGGCTGGGAGCAGTGGCTCACGCCTGTAATCCTAACACTTTGGGAGGCTGAGGTGGGTGGATCGCTTGAGGTCAGGCATTGGAGGCCAGCCTGGCCAACATGGTGAAACACTATCTCTACAAAAAAATACAAAAATCAGCCAGCTGTGGTGGCAGCCACCTGTGGTCCCAGCTACTTGGGAGGCTGAGGTGGGAGGATCACTTGTGTCCGAGAGTTCGAGGCTGTAGTAAGCTGTGATAACACCGTGATCAGCCTGGGTGACAAAGTGAGATCCTATCTCAAACAACAACAACAACACTTTTGTTCTTATCACTTTATACTCTGTTTGACAGACAGAACTTGACCAAGCACAAACCACTGAATTATTAGTTATTATGTATGGAACATTTAATGTGTATCAGCCATTTTTCTAGAATCTTGACATGTAGTACTTAATAATTCATTTACTCCTCATGAGAACCTGGTGAAATGGTACTTGTTTTACAGATGAGGAAACTTGGCCATAAAGAGTTTAAATAGGCCGGGTGTGGTGGCTCACACTTGTAATCCCAGCACTGTGGGAGTCTGAGGCAGGTTGATCACCTGAGTCAGGGGTTCAAGACCAACCTGGCCAACATGGTGAAACCCCATTTCTACTAAAACACACACACACACACACACCAAAAATTATCCAGGCGTGGTGGTGCACGCCTGTAATCCCAGCTACTTGGGAAGCTGAGGCATGAGACTCGCTTGAGCCTGGGAGGCAGAAGTTGCAATGAGCCAAGGTCATGCCACTGCCACTCTAGCCTGGTCAACAGAGCAAGACTCTGTCTCCAAAAAAAAAAAAAAAAAAGAGCTAAAATAACGTGTTCAAGGTTACAGAATCTGTGAGTTATAGAGCCAGGATTCAAACCTAGAGAGTCTAGCTCCAGAGGCCACACTCTTTGACAACTCACTACAATAAAGCTGTGAGAATAAAGACGTGTACTTCCTCACTTAAGGAGATTTCAGTATACCAGGATAGTGAGGCATGAAGACTACAGACTATTGTAGAGAGGGCTGATCTCTGTCCTCTGGAGGGCTCACCAAGCACAGCTCTAATGGATACACCTCAGCGGGGTGGCTTGTTTATCTACATCCTGAGCCTAGTTTTCCCTTCAGACACTATCACAGTCGACATTACTTACTGATCCTTTCTTCTGTGTTCATCATTTCCCCCAATTAGACTCAGACTCCTTGAGGTCGGGGATGACTTCTTATAATTGGCTCTCTACCTGCATGGTGAATGGTTGTCTTAGTCAGTTCAGGTTGCTATAACAAAATACCTTAGACTGGGTAATTTATAAATAACAGAAATTTATTTTTCACAGTTCTAGAGGCTAAGAAGTCCAAGATCAAGGCACTGGCAGGATCCCTGTCTGGTAAGGGCTGCTGTCTGCTTCCAAGATGGCACCTTGTTGCTGAGTCCTCACATGGTGAAAAGAGGGCAAAAGACCCAGGGAGCTTTCTGAAGCCTTTTCTATAAGGGTATTAATCATATTCATGAGGGCTCCATCCTCATGGCCTCCTCACCTCCTAAAGTCTCTAGCTCTTAATACTATCACATTGGCAATTAAGTTTTGACATATGAATTTTGGGGGACATATTCAGACACTAGTAGTGGTTAATAAATACTTTTGGATTGATTCACTGTTGGGAGAACACTCAATAAGAGAACAAATTCAAGTCCAATTTTGAATAAAAATAGAGTTGAAAAGTTATTGGGTTTGTGTTTGTTTTTTAGGATGTTTGGTAGCAGATTTCCACTTTATTTACATTTGGTTAACTGTGAAGTCATAGTGTTTGATGTTAGCCATATCTTTGATGGCCCATTAGGGGGCAAATGCTTGTGTAAACCATTCATACAAAAGCAGAGAGGGGTCCCCACTGGATCCCAGAGTTAAGGGGTCAGGAATCACCAGACTTGGTGGAAGGGGTCAATCTTCGGGGAGTTGGAGAGCTATGTTTTAGCCTAATATCGTCACTGGTGCTGTGTCTGGGGTAGGTCATTTAACTTCTCTAAGCCTCAGTTTTCCCATCCATGACATGAAAGGTCTCTTTTTTGTGGGGGTGGACAGAGTCTCGCTCTGTTGCCCAGGCTGGAGCACAGTGGCGTGATCTCAGCTTACTGCATCCTCTGCCTCCCTGATTCAAGCGATTCTCCCGCCTCAGCCTCCAAGTAGCTGGGATTACAGGCACACGCCATCATGCCTGGCTAATTTTTGTATTTTTGTAGAGACAGAGTTTCACCATGTTGGGCAGGCCAGTCTTGAACTCCTGACCTCAGGTGATCCACCCGCCTCGGCCTCCCAAAGTGTTGGGATTACAGGTGTGAGCCACCACACCCGGCCAATGTGAAGATAATTTTACCTGCCCTGCCTACTTTTTGTGTCAACTGAGATTTTGGTAAGTAAAAGATCAGGATGTTATGTAAATTGAGAGAGAACATGGTAGAAAAGGATAGTGATTAAATATTTTGTACTTCATTTGACATTAATTCTGCATTAGAGGCTTATTGTTTGAAACAGGGCATTGTATAAACACCTTTTTTTTGCTGTTGCAGGATATGTTAAGGGCTTCTGAAAGAGGGTTTTGGTCATCTGGGTTAGCTGTTGAAGAACACCAAGTGAATGTCCTCTTTTCTCTCTAAATAAATTTCCCTCTGCTGGGCATGGTGGCTCATGCCTGTAATCCCAGCACTTTGGGAGGCAGAGATGGGAGGATTGCTTGAGGCCAGGAGTTTGAGACCAGCCTGGGCAACATAAGGAGACCCCCATCTCTACAAAAAATGAAAAGAAAAATTAGCTGGTCTTCATAGCACACATCTGTTGTCTCAGCTACTTGGGAGGCTGAGGTGGGAGGATCACTTGAGTCCAGGAGGTCAAGGCTGCAGTGAGCTGCGATCGCACCACTGCACTCCAGCCTGGGTGAAGAGGAAGACCTTGTCACACACACACAAAAAAAACATAAAAATAAATAAAATAAAATAACATATATAAAACATCCAGCCCAGTGTCTCACATGTAGTAAGAGTTTGCTGGTTGTTATCGTTTCACATGACAGCCATGTTAGGTTTATTTGCATATATGCCAGTCAGTCCTATTTGATTATAAGTCCCCTGGGGGCAGGCTCTGAGTGTACTTATCTTTGTCTTTCTTCTTCTGGAACTGAGAACTCCCTGAAGGCAGGGACTGTTTCTTATTCTTTTCTTTTTTTGTTTTTTTTTGAGACGGAGTCTCGCTTTGTTACCCTGACTGGAGTGCAGTGGTGCCATCTCAGCTCACTGCAACCTCTGCTTCCCGGGTTCAAGTGATTCTCCTGCCTCGGCCTCCTTAATAGCTAGGATAACAGGCGTTTGCCACCATGCCCGGCTAATTTTTGTATTTTTAGTAGAAACAGAGTTTTACCATGTTGGCCAGGCTGGTCAGTTCAGGTTGCTATAACAAAATACTTTAGACTGGGTAATTTATAAATAACAGAAATTTATTTTTCACAGTTCTAGAGGCTAAGAAGTCCAAGATCAAGGCACCGGAAGGATCCCTGTCTGGTGAGGGCTGCTGTCTGCTTCCAAGATGGCACCTTGTTGCTGCGTCCTCACATGGTGGAAGGAGGGCAAAAGACCCAGGAAGCTTTCTGAAGCCTTTTCTATAAAGGTATTAATCATATTCATGAGGGCTCCATCCTCATGGCCTCCTCACCTCCTAAAGTCTCTAGCTCTTAATACTATCACATTGGCAATTAAGTTTTGACATATGAATTTTGGGGGACATATTCAGACCCTAGTAGTGGTTAATAAATACTTTTGGGTTGATTCACTGTTGGGAACACCTGACCTGAACACCTGACCTCAAGTGATCTCCCCGCTTCGGCCTCCCAAAGTGCTGGGATTATAGGCATAAGCCACTGCACCCAGCCCATTTCTTATTCTTGTAGATATTTGTTCTTAGCAAACAGCAGGCACATGGTAAGCAACATAGAAACTAGGTTGAATGAGTGAATGAATGAATGAATGAAGGAGTAAATGAATGGATGGAAACCCACAAAAATGAAGAGAATGGAAACCCAGGAATAGAGTGTGATTCCATATGCCTGTTATTTTTGCTTGACATTAATTATCAGATCTTCTCTGCTAGGATCTTGGCTGACATGCATTTGCTGGAGTTGACTGGATTATATAATTGCTGTTTTCTGTCTCTGCTGTGATTATGACTGAAACAGTGGATACATTTACGGTGCTACATAAATAATAATTATTTTAATTATGGTTTGACCTGTACAACATATTCTAGCAACGTAGCTGACTGTGCATTTGTGTATGTGCTCCCTTGAGAGTCCTGGAGAAGACTCCTATTATGAGGGTACAAAGGAATCTCCCCTCTATGCACATGGTAATTTTACAATTATAACATGGAGAATTACAATACCACTGTAATTATAGCAAGTTTTCAGAACAAAATGGCTTTGAAATAATATATAATCTAGCTGTATTGTACATATGTAGTATAAAATTTAACAATATTTTATTTTTGGTGCCAGGAAAAATGGATGTATGGCCATTTTTCCAGCTTCCTATAAGAGTACAAAAGTGACTTATAAATTTTAAGTGAGACTTAAGCAACATGATTTGTGTAACATGCTTAACTAAGTGCCCAGCATGTAGTAAGTGCTCAGTAAGTATTAGGTAACTGAACTTAACTAACAACAATGATAAAAAAAAATCGGTATCATTTGGTCATAGTGTATCTAAGTAAGCATTTGATATAAATGATGGTGTCTCTGCATTTTAAAAATGATCCTAGGGAACTCAGATTTGGTCCACATGCCACCTGTAGGCCCTCACCAATTCAGCGAACTTTTTTTTTTATCCCACTTGTACTGCATAGGGGACCATGCTAGGCACTGGAGGGGTTGAAGAATGGTTTAGGCCCATGGAGCCCATGGGTAGGACACAAAGATAAATATGATAATAACTGCTGCTATGAAACTGACAATGTAGTGAAAGAGACAAGACAGTCATGGAATAATAGAATTCTCACTGAGCACTTACTACATGTCAGGCAGTACTCTATGATTTTACTCATGAAAAATCATTTAATCTTCACAGAGACAAGGAAACGGAGGCATAGAGAGTTAAATAGGGTGTTACAGATAAGCAGCAGTTGAGATTCCAACTCAGGCTGTCTGATCAGAGTCTACACTCTTGACTGCTATATTATGTTTTCCCCTTTACACCTCACACCTTTAGTGTGCAAATAGCAGTTATATAAATATAATTTGCAGAGAGGGGTAAGAGAACTACTGTGGGTACATTACAGCCAAGATATTGGGACTACTTCTCCAAGGAGTGAGATTGAGTAAGAAAGAACAGCTGCCTAGAGGTTTTGACTGACACTCCCCATTTCCACCAAGTCTGGGGTAGACTACTCCTATGGGATCCCACAACAACTATAATTACCCCTATTTGAGCCCTAAGTACATTTTACTGCAATTGCCTGTTTATCTGTCTCTTGGCCATTAAATATATAAGCTCTTTGACCTGCTTGGACATATTTGTATCCTGAGCATTCAGGAGACCCTCAAGAGTTCACTGAGGGCTGGGCAGAGTGGCTTGCACCTGTAATCCCAGCACTTTGGGCGGCCCGGGCGAGAGGACCTCAAGCCCAGAAGGTTGAGGATGCAGTCAGATATGATCATGCCACTGCACTCCAGCCTGGATGACAGAATGAGACCCTGTCTCTTAAAAGAAAAAAATTTACTGATATGAACTGTCACCATTTTTTTCCCTGAAATTAGATGTTTTACACAATAAAATGAATACAGTTAATTTAAAAGACCAGATGCCTTGCAGAAATGCTCATTTATATAGTGCTAAGATTTGTTGAGCATGTAGCTCAGGATTTGAAACAGTTTTGTGGCTAAAAATCAGTAGGATTACTGGAGCAAAAGTAAACCTTTTAAATGCATATGTCATGGAGGATGAATGTTTCCCAATTATCTGGAAAGTTAATATGGCATTTTAAATGAAATAACAATAAATCCTCCTTCTGCTCTCATTTGAATGCTCTGTGCTTTTCTATTCTATTCACACATAAAGGATGTTCAGCCTTTCCAGTCCAGTAGGAAATACATAGCCATGGTTGTCAGACGGGTGCTATTTAATTGAGTAGACAATAGAGGGAAACCAGGTTCACACAAGAGAGGATGACCATATTTCAGAAATGAACAAAATTAACAATTTATGATAATTAATGTATTCTCAAATTCCTTCCAAGGAATACTATTTTTCATGTTATCAAATTCTGCCTCCATTGTTATTGAAATGTTAGAATATTAGAAGCATATTCTTTCTCACACCAAAGTTACTGGCTTCAGGATCTGAGTCAGCTGATTTCTAAGGGCACTCTCTCCTGGAAAACATTAGGGTGCTTTTTGGAGACATGGAGGGCTATGCGTTTATTTTTAAAAATTCATTTCCTAGGCCAGGTGTGGTGGCTCACACCTGGAATCCCAGCACTTTGGGAGGCTGAGGCGAGTTGATCATCTGAGGTCAGGAATTCGAGACCAGCCTGGCCAATATCTTGAAACCCTGTGTCTACTAAAAAATACAAAAAAATAGCTTTGTGTGGTGGTGCACACCTGTAATCCCAGTTACCTGGGAGGCTGAGGTAGGAGAATCCCTTGAACTCGGGAAGTGGAGGTTACAGTGAGCCGAGATCGCACCACTACACTCCAGCCCCAGCAATAGCATTAAGACTCTGGCTAAAACAAACAAACAAACAAACAAAAAATGTATTTCCTAGAAGACACAAACCCTCCCCCAGGACTTAAGCCATACTCTGCTTCTTCAAGAGCCCTCTTTGGGTTCCCCCTGATGCTTTTTTCTCGAGGCTCCTGGCTCACAGACAAGCTCTGAGCTGCCTGTCTATGCATTGCTTGGTCTGCCACTCAGGCCCTTACCATGTCCACTTTTGGCAATGTTTTTCATGCATCTTCAGTGAGTGTCAAAACTCCATCCCCAAAGGTGATATTTGACATTATTTTGGCTGGGCACGGTGGCTCACACCTGTAATCCCAGCACTTTAGGAAGCTGAGGAGGAAGGATCCCCTGAGGCAAGGAGTTTGAGACCAGCCTGGACAACACAGTGAGACTCCTGTTTCTACAAAAAAAAATAATAATAGTAACAATAATTAGCTGGGCATGATGGTTCGTGCCCATAGTCTCAACTACTAGGGAAGCTAAGGCAAGAGGATTGCTTGAGCCCAGGTCAAGGTTGCAGCAAGCCATGATCACACCACTGCACTCCAGCTTGGGCGACAGAGCAAGACCCTATCTCAAAAAAAAGAAAGAAAGAAAGAAAGAAAGAAAGAAAGAAAGAAAGAAAGAAAGAAAGAAAGAAATATATATATATAACACATTGTCTGAAATAGACTGGATTCATTCATTCGTTCCTTCAAAAAACATTTGATGAATGCCCAGTATATGCCAAGCACTGTCTGGCAGGCACAGGCACTAGAGTGGCTTATGAAGTAGTGAGGCTCCTTGTTTTCATGAACTTTATACTCTAAAGAGAGGAACAAACAAAAAAACCAAGCAGATGAGTATGTACCTATAAACTGTGATGAGTGCCATGTGGTAGCCCTATGATGAGAATAAGAACAGGAAGGAGGGGTCAGGGACTTCCTTCCTAAGGACAGACATTAAATCTGAGATAGGAGGGGTAGGGAGGAAGGCTAGCGAAAGGGTGGGAGAGAAGGTGAATGGAGAAAAGTTTTCCAGGCAGAGGAAAGCAGTGTGCAGATCCAGAGGTGGGAAAGAGCTTGATGGATTTTAAGAAGGAAAAGACCATTGTAGTAAGGAAAAAGAGTGGTATGAGATGACATTGGAGAAGATAGGCAGAGCCACATTTAGGTGTCTGGGTTTTGTTTTAAATTCAATGGGAAGCCATCGAAGGCCACTAAGTAGGAAGTGACACTAATCAGATTTACGAAAGAGCACACTGCCCATGAGAATGGCTAAGATTAAAAAGACATCAAATGTTGGCAAAAATACAGAGCAAATGCAACATTCATATCTTTCCAGTAAGAGTATAAATTGGTATAACTACTTGGGAAATTGGCAATATCTACTTAAGTATGCATATCCCATGCCCATCAATTTCATTCCTAGGTATATTTCAACAGAAATGCATACATACACTCACCAGAAGAAAGGCATGAGAATACTCATGGCAATATTATTCATAATAGTCAAAAACTACTTGAAAACTACTCAAGTATCCATCAACAGTAGAATGGGTAAATAAACTGTGGTAAATTCATACAATGAAATACTTCCCAGGAATAAGACTAAACAATCTACAACTACAAGCAACAACATGGATGAATTGCATCAACAAAATGTTGAATAAAATATGCCAGGTACAGAAGAGGATGCATGGGATGATTCTACTTACATAAAGTTTTAAAGCAGGAAAAACCAATCTTATGGTGTTGGAAGTTAAGATAGTGGTTCCCCAACCCAAATGCTCATCAGTGACAGACCGAATAAAGAAAATGTGGCACATATACACCATGGAATACTATGCAGCCATAAAAAATGGTGAGTTCATGTCCTGTGCAGGGACATGGATGAAGTTGGAAACCATCATTCTCAGCAAACTAACACAGTAATAGAAAGCCAAACACCACATGTTCTCACTCATAAGTGGGAGTTGAACAATGGGAACACATGGACACAAGGAGGGGAACATTACATACCAAGGTCTGTTGGAGTCTGGGGGGCTAGGGGAGGGATAGCATTAGGAGAAATACCCAATGTAGATGACGGGTTGATGGCTGCAGCAAACCACCATGGCACGGGTATACCTATGTAACAAACCTGTGCATTCTGCACATGTATCCCAGAACTTAAAGTATAATAATCATAATAGTAAAAAGATAGTGGTTCCCTTGGAAGGAGGGAGTGTGGAAGGGGCGTGAGTGGATGTCTGGGATGCTGGTCATGTCTTATGTATTGATCTGGCATTGGTCACATGAGTATGCTCTTTTATGTAAAACCACTGAGTTATACAATATGGTTTGTGTTTCTTTGTATATAAGTTATATTTCAATAACATACATATAACTTGCATAAAAAATAAGACTTTATTATTATTTTTTTTTTTGAGATGGAGTTTCACTCTTATTGCCCAGGCTGGAGTGCAATGGCGCAATCTCGGCTCACTGCAACCTCCACCTACTGGGTTCAAGCAATACTTCTGTTTCAGCCTCCCGAGTAGCTGAAATTTCAGGTGTGCACCACCACGCCCAGATAATTTTTATATTTTTAGTAGAGACGGGGTTTCAACATGTTGGTCAGGCTGGCCTTGAACTCCTGACCTCAGGTGATCCATCTACCTCAGCCTCCCAAACTGCTGGGATTACAGGCATGAGCCACCACACCCGGCCAAAAATAAGACTTTATGTTTTAATAAGGGTACCCCCTGATTGCTGTGTGGAGAATGAATTGCCAAAGGCAGGAGTTGATGTAGGTAAGCAATTGGAAGGTGATTCCTTGAGAGAGGAACCTCTTGAGATTAGGTGGATGCCGTGGAGCAACAGAGGAGTAGACAGATTTGAGAGACTCTTGGAAAGTAAAAATCAATAAAACTCGCTATTGGCTGGGCACGGTGGCTCACGCCTATAGTCCCAGCACTTTGGGAGGCCAAGGCAGGTGGATTGCTTGAGGTCAGGAGTTCGAGACCAGCCTGACCAACACGGTGAAACCCAGTCTCTACTAAAAATATAAAAATTAGCCAGGCATGGTGGTGCACGCCTGTAATCCCAGCTACTCGGGAGACTGAGGCAGGAGAATTGCTTGAAGCCAGGAGGTGGCAGTTGCAATGAGCCAAGATCATGCCATTGCACTCAAGCCTGGGCCACAGAGTGAGAATCCGTCTCACACAAAAAATTAAAAATTAAGGCCAGGCGCAGTGGCTCACACCTGTAATCCCAGCACTTTGGGAGGCCGAGGTGGGTGGATCATGAGGTCAGGAGATCGAGACCATCCTGGCTAACACAGTGAAACCCCGTCTCTACTAAAAAATACAAAAAATTAGCCAGGCGTGGTGGCGGACGCCTGTAGTCTCAGCTACTCGGGAGGCTGAGGCATGAGAATGGCGTGAACCCGGGAGGTGGAGCTTGCAGTGAGCCAAGATCACACCACTGCACTCCAGCCTGGGCGACAGAGCAAGACTCTGTCTCAAAAAAAAAAAAAAAAATTAAAAATTAAAAAAAAATTAAAGTGGCTGGGCGCGGTGGCTCACGCCTGTAATCCCAGCACTTTGGGAGGCCGAGATGGGCAGATCACGAGGTCAGGAGATCGAGACCATCCTGGCTAACACGGTGAAACCCCGTCTCTACTAAAAATAGAAAAAATTAGCCGGGCGTGGTGGCGGGCGCCTGTAGTCCCAGCTACTCGGGAGGCTGAGGCAGGAGAATGGTGTGAACCCGGGAGGCAGAGCTTGCAGTGAGCAGAGATCATGCCACTGAGCTCCAGCCTGGGCGACAGACCAAGACTCCATCTCAAAAAAAAAAAAAAAAAAAAAAAAATTAAAGCTTGCTATTGGCCTGAATGGGAGTTAAGAGAAAAGGAAGAAGAAAGTAAACTACTAGATCTGGAGTCTGGGTTACTGAATGGTGGTGTTATCATTTGAGATGGGAAAGTCTAGGGGATAATCAAGCTTGGGTAAAAATCTACAGTTCAGGACTCAAGGCTTCCCATCATGTCTATTGGTGCAAGGCTGATTTTAGAGGAAATGGAGAAAATCAAAATGACTCAGAACACCTATAGCTTTGCCAGCTTTGACAAGGACTCTCTGGACAAAAAGAGGGAACATTCACATTCTAAAGAATTTTCTTCCCAGGATTTCACAGTCTCTCCTCCAACTCTTCTCCACTCCTTTAGCTCTGGATCTGACAAGCAAACTCCTGCCACCAGAAAAGTGGTGAGGATATCCTTGCATTCCTCTCTCTGCCAGAAAGTGGAAAATTCCCGTGTCTTCTTTTTAGGTCAGAGAGTGTTGCAATTAAAGAGAAGACTTTTCCTAGGATAAGAAGGTAAGGAAACAAAAGTACCAACCAGAGAAAACAAAGTGGAAGGAAAACGAAGAGTGTTTTCTGAGCTGCCGGGGTTCTGACCCGAACAACACAATGTTGAAAGAGCTGCGATGCTGGAGCTGCAGGGTGCAGGCGGGGGTGTCCAGGGCAAGGCAGGAGAGGGCGTCGGGGATCCTATATTATATGGTAGGCATGGTAGGTTCTGCAGAGGATTCCGGCACTCAAGCTTATAGTCATTGAACAACTTTGAATAACACAGTGTGGTCTGCATTTCAGAAGGATCCTTATGGTAAGATTGTGGGGGGTGAGGAGAAGAGGTGAAGATTGGAGTTGGGAGATGCAGTTAGGAGGCTGTGACCATAGTCTGGACAAGAGAAGGCAAGGACTTGAACTAAGGCCCTGGAGGCAAGAAGGAATGAAAGAAAGACTTGGTGCCAAGAATGATTTGGGAAGTCAATCTGGAGATTTCCCAGTTTAGGGAACTGGGCAGATTCTGATGGGGAGGGGAATGGGCTAGTCAAGGACAACGTCCAAGCTGAAGGGACCCTTGGAACTGTGACATCAACAACTGAGATAATACAGGACAAGAAGGAGGTTTACAGGAGCTTGAATAGGATTTGTTGACTCCTATGATCTGGTGAGAGCCTAAATCCTGTTTCTGCAAAAGTCGTCATTGTTCTGGTCAATCGATGCCCCACCCAGGCACTGAGTCACTGGTTCCATGCATTTGTTCATATGCTAATTTGTTCATAAAGTTCTGGGAAATTACTTTCTATTTCTTATCTCCTTGCTGTTTCTTCCTGGTCACCAAATACTCAGCCTTGCACGTAGAAGGTACTGTATCCAAATTACCTTTTGAATTTAGTGGCTTTTATACAGTTTGAACCATAATGCTAGGAAAAGGACACAGGAAGCCAGGCGTGGTGGCTCACGCCTGTAATCCCAGCACTTTGGGAAGTGGAGGCCAGCAGATTGCTTGAGCTCAGGAGCTAGAGACCAGCTTGGGCAACATGGCCAGACCCCATGTCTACAAAAAATACAAAAATTAGCCAAGTGTAGTGGCACATGCCTTTGGTCCCAACTACCCAAGAGGCTGAGGTTAGAGGATTGTTTGAGCCCGGGGGTTGAGGCTGCAGTAAACTGTGACTGCGCCACTGCACTCCAGCCTGGGTGACAGAGCGATACCTTGTCTCAAAAAGAAAAAAAAAAAAGACAAAGGAACACTAAAGCCCACCCCATTTAGATGAGAGGAGAAAAAGAATGTTTTCCTTTGAGTTCTTTGGTTAGCAACTCTGTCCCCATTATGTGCACATAAGTTATTTCAAATGGCAAAGAGCACAATGATGTTTGAGATATCATTGCTGAGAGCCAGGAGGGTCCCTGTTCTTTCCTTATCTGAGTATGACAGTAGCTTGAGTAAATCAGTGACCTCTGCTACTCAGTTTCTTTTTTTTTTTTTTTTTTTTTTGGAGACAGAGTCTTGCTCCATCACCAGGCTGGAGTACAGTGGTGCCATCTGGGCTCACTGCAACCTCTGCCTCCCAGGCTCAAGAGATTCTCATGCCTCAGCCTCTTGAGTAGCTGGGATTACAGGTGTACACCGCCATGTCAGGCTAATTTTTTTTTTAAATTTTAGTAGAGACAGGGTTTCACCATGTTGGCCAGGCTGATCTTGAACTCCTGGCTTCAAGTGATCTGCCCACCTCAGCCTCCCAAAGTGCTGGGACCACAGGTATGAGCCAGTATGCCCGACCTTCTACTCAGTTTCTGTGTGCAAATGGTGATAGAATGCTGCCCTTTCTTTCCGTGGCTGTGAAGAGCATCAAATAAGCTCATATATTCAGATATGCTTTGGAAGGAGTAAAATGGCATTGGAAATACCGGGCCATGTAAAATGGAATAGCAAAACTAAACTGAAAGGAAATGACCTGTATACTTCTATTGGTCCATCTGGATTTTGGAAGTATCAGGGTAATTGAAATATTTATTTTTCATTCAACCTTCAGGTAAAATGTAGACCCAGCTGGTGTTTATCCTCTAAGTGGTGTGTGTAATTGCACGTGTGACACAAGGATGAGCTATTTGTCACACAGCTTTAGAATGAAACTTGAAAAGGTCACAGAGAGGGCTGTGAATTTTAAGCTGTGCTCCAAGATGGAGTGCTAAGCAGCACCTATCAGAAAAGCTCTTCCTTTGTCCTCCAGGTGGGGTGAAGAGGGAACTCTTGAATCTCCAATGCCACTTTCTCAGGTTCTATTGGTGGCTTCAGTGAAAGCAAACAGGACTCAGACAGGCAGATAAGATAACCACTATCTGAAGTGTGAGCCTGCAGTTTTAAATTGCCTTTTATTTGGAAATACCTTCAATCTCATTTGGATGCTAAGGGAAAAACTTAAATCTATCACACACAGCCCTAGACAACTTGTTTATTAAATGTGCAGAATAAAGATTTGATGCGAACTTCTATGGCAATAAACTAGGTTCATGGGTGGGTATTAGGTTAAACCAAATGAATCGCTGACATTCAAGGGATTTTTGGCTGCAACAGTTACACAGGCCAGAACTGCCTAATCTAATCCAGGTTCTGTCACTGGCAAATGCGAATCACCTACAGGAATCTTTGACAGAATTTATATTAGTCATTCCTTACTTTTTGTGTGTGTGATAGTCTGGTGTGTCTCTAATTATCTCAAAATGTATTGAAGTATATCTTAAATCAAGTTTACTTTCATGTATCTTTACAAATAAAAATATGTCATTGCACTCTTATTTAGTACAATACGTGTTAGAGAATGAACACAAAGCTTGGAAATCATCACGATCATGCCTGAATTTGACCAGAATAGAGACAGGCATTAAATCCGAATTATCAATATTTGTGTGTGTGTGTGCGTGTGTGTGTGTGTGTGTGTGGTGCTACTGGTGTCTGTAGCAACATAACTCAACCACAAATACATGAATCTTGTAGTTGGATAAATCATTTTTGTTCAGCCAACCTTTATTTTCTCAAGTGAACAAAATGCAGCTTCCCTCAATAATATCAGGTTTTTCACAGGGCTGCCATATGATATTATTTGATAATAAATATTTTCTATAATGCATGCTTGTTTTAGAATGTTATTTTTATGGAAGAGCTTCAGAAAGTTAAATCTTTTAATTCCACAACGAAGGCTAGTCTGTCAAAATACTGTTTTTTGTGATAATAAATGCAAAACCTACTATGCCATTTCTTACCAGCAGCCAAGATTTTTTTTTTTTTTTAATGTTTGAGAATTTCAGCAGTTGATGCAAAGTGGACATTATGAGCCACGGATCTATGTTACAGGAGCCAATTTTAGACATTTTAATTTGAGTGGAATTTAAGTTCAGCTCCTCCCTTATCTCTTTGAAGTTGCTGGGGCCCTGTTGCATTTTAAATCTACTCAAAAGTGCCCATAGGAGCAAGACTCACCAGTCGCAGCCACTGATGGAGTTCATGGCCACCCCTCTCCCTGCTCCTGTCCCTATGCCTTTGTTCATGCAGTTCCCTCTAGAAGAAACACACCACTGGTCGTTCTTCTCTCTCTCTCTTTTTTTTTTTTTGAGACGGAGTCTCACTCTGTCGCCCAGTCTGGAGTGCAGTGAAACGATCTCGGCTCACTGCAACTTCCATCTCCCAGGTTCAAGCGATTCTTGTGCCTCAGCCTCCCAAGTAGCTGGGACTACAGGCATGCGACACCACACCCGGCTAATTTTTATATATTTAGTAGAGACGGGGTTTCTGCATGTTGGCCAGGCTGGTCTCGAACTCCTTGCCTCAAGTGATTCGCCTGCCTCGGCCTCCCAAAGTGCTGGCAATACAGATGTGAGCCACCGCGCCCGGCCCGTTCTTCTTACTTTTTTTTTTTTTTTTTTTTTTTTAATGAGACACAGTCTCCCTCTGTCACCAGGCTGAAATGCTGTGGCTCGATCTCTGCTCACGGCAACCTCTGACTCCCTGGTTCAAGCGATTCTCCTGCCTCAGCTTCCCAAGTAGCTGGTATTACAGGCATGCGCTAGCATGTCCAGCTAATTTTTGTATTTTTAATAGAGACGGGGTTTCACCATGTTAGCCAGGATGGTCTCGAACTCCTGACCTCGTGATCCGCCCACCTCGGCCTCGCAAAGTACTGGGATAACAGGCGTGAGCCACCGCGCCTGGCCTGGTTCTTCTTACTCTTAAAGACAGCTCAGACAGCAGCCCAAGAAGCCCCCCGCCCCGCCCCCCAAATCTCTTAGTTTGGGTAAAGCGCCCCGATTCCGTGTGGTCATGGCTTTATATTTGTCCCTCTTCCTGTTCAAATAACTTGTGCGCCTATATAGGGCCTGGCCCGCGGTGGAATGGACGCGGCTGCAGCTGGAATCGCATCACTCCCTCCTCCCCTCCCCCAGCACTGACATACGAGCCCCAGTGTCCTGAGGATGACTCCAAACAGCGTCGGACCTTCAAGTGGAACCTCAGGCTTGTTAAGGAGTGGCCTGGAACTGCACCAGATTTTAGGGGTGCCTGGGGAGGCTTAGAGATGGGAGACGCCCTGACTTGGTTCCTTTCCAGAACATTTGGGAACACTTGGCTTGGTTTCAGTCACCAAATGCGGACTCGCCCAGGGTGGACTTAGTTCTGAGGTGGCCTCTTGCTCCCTCTAGTGGTTTAGAAATCACTGCAGGCGGGTTAAAGACGGGTCTGGTTTTTCTCCGAGGAGGAATCCGCATTAACCATTTAGACATCTACTGCGCAGTGAAGTCAATTCATGACTACGTTTTTGAGCAATCCAATAATTAACCAAATGCACACACAATAAGGACTTTGGACCGTCTTGTGGATCCTTGGAGGACCTTGGGTTCATTTTACAATGCAAACCTAACAGGCTGTAAGTACCCAAGGGATAATTGAAAATATGCTTTAATCAAAGGCAATCACCCTGTCATTGTCAGCCTGTGAAACATTAGCTCGTGGAGCGGGATGAGAGCACGCAGTTCTCTTATCGCTCCAAGATAACTCCACCAGGATGACAGAAAAGCATCAGATTTGGAGATGTCACCAGTCTGGAGTCTCAGTTACATTCAAATTTCATGATAGCCTATCCTTGGGGAACTGAATTGTCTCTTTTGAACAAAGACAATTTCTTAGTTGAGTGAGTTCAGTCATTTTTTGATTCAATATCAGATCATTACAGTTCCTTTGGGACATAAAAACTATCGTTTCCAGAGGCAGAGGAGTGTACTTTGCTATGTTTGTACCTGCCCTACACACAAACTTCTTATGCAACATACATTTTCTGAATGACTTAAAAATAATAGCTGAATATGGCATCTTTCTTCAGAATTGCACGAAGCTTTAAATATCACCTACTGTGGGGTGCAGCGGCGCATGCCTGTAATCCCAGCACTGGTAAGGCTGTAATGGGAGAATTAGGCTTTGATTTTCGGAGTTTGAAACCAGCCTGGGCAACATAGGGAGACACTGTTTCAATTATAAATAAATAAATATCACCTCCTCAGAGAAGATTTCCTGAGGCAGCAGACCAGCTTGGGCTTCCCACAGTGACGATGGCCTCCCACAGCACTGGGTGACCACAGAGCACTAGTCACGCCTGCCATTTAATGAGGGCCTGGTTTGTTTTCCGTCTGTCTCCTCTGTCCAAAGCTGAGCTCCGTGGTTGGTTGTTTGTCCATGACAGCATGCCAGAGTCTAGCGCAGTGCCTGGTATAAGAGGTGCTGAATAAATATTTGTCAACTGATACAATCTAGGGGGGTAAATGCTGAGGAGACAGACAGCAGAGGAGAGCTGGTGCTGTTTTTTTTTTTTTTTTTTTTGAGACAGGGTCTCACTCTGTCACCCAGGCTGAAGTGCAGTGGTGCCATCTCGGCTCATTGCAACCTCCACTTCCCAGGCTCAAGCGATTCTCCTGCCTCAGGCTCCCAAACAGCTGGGATTGCAGGAGGTCACCACCACACCTGGCTAATTTTTGTATTTTTAGTAGAGACGGAGTTTCACCATGTTGGTCAGGCTGGTCTCGAACTCCTGACCTCAGGTAATCCACCCGCCTCAGCCTCCCAAAGTGCTAGGATTACAGGCGTGAGCTACCGTGCCTGGCCTGATTCTTATCTTAGGGCTGTGAGGGAACCCTTCATTCAGATTATAAGCAGAAAAAAATACCTGATTAAAGACTCAGGAATAGTGAGGTGAAGGGCTGAGATTAGCACCCAGGTGGCCAGTGCACATCTGTAACCACAGTGCAGCGAAGAGGAGAGAAGCCCAGAATTCCCCCACTCAGATCCCAAGTCAAGCAGGAATCACCATCTCCTGGCTCGTGGAGCTACATTTCTTTGTCAACGGCCTGATGGAAACTGGCCTAAGCTCTGGGGGATGGTTTACCAGCAGGACTGTCCTATTATCTTAATATGTGTGGGATGTTTACCTTAACAAAGGCATTTTTTTTTTAAACAGGCTGGAGTGCAGTGACATGATCTCAGCTCACTGCAACCTCAGCCTCCCAGACTCAAGAGATCCTCCTGCCTCAGCTTCCCGAGTAGCAGAGATGGCAGGTACATGCCACCACACCTAGCTAATTTCTCTACTTGTAGGTGAAATGGGGTTTCACCATGTTGGCCAGGGTGGTCTTGAACTCCTGACCTCAAGTGATCCACCCTCCTTGGCCTCCTAAAGTACTGGGATTACAGGTGTGAGCCACCATGCTTGGCCTCTAAAGGCATATTTTTAAAGCACTGAAAATTAAACAATAACAAAATACCTGGAAGCTCTGGAGGCAACAAAGACAGAAGGCCAAAAGTGTGCAGACTGTAAGAATAGAATACAGAGTAAGGGTAAGACTATAAAGAGGAATGAAAATATGAGGCCAGGAGAAAAGATACGGAAAAGAGAACGAATGTGTTCCTTCTTGTGTGTCCTTCAGCTTTCCTTCTGTATCACTGACTATCCAAAGAAAAATTTAGTTAAACAGGCAGCAAGTATGAATTGAATGCTGGGAAAGACACACATACATTTAAAATCCCACAGGAAAGTTATAAATGTGAGTAGGTCAGCAGAGAGGCACCCAGCCTTGGTAGGCCTCCTGGGATGTTATGTAGCTGGGTGTGTGTTTTCAGCCCTGCTATACCCCAGATTTCATTTTTGAGTGAGGGTGATTGCATTTGGAGTTAGAATGAGTAAACCATTTTTGACTTTATTAGTTAGGATTGTTAAGGTTGGCTGTAAGTAATAGAAAAAAAAAATCAAAATAAGTGGCTTAACAAGAGAGAGAGAAGGTAGAATTTTAGGCCAGGCACTGGCCTAAATTTGTGGCTCGCACCTGTAATCCAAGCACTTTGGGAGGCCAATGCAGGAGCCCAGGAGGTTGAGGCTGCAGTGAACCATGATTTCACCAAGGCACTCCAGCCTGGACAACAGAGTGAAACCCGGTCTCAAAAAAAAAAAAAAAAAAGAGGCCAGGTGCAGTGGCTCACGCCTGTAATCCCAGCACTTTGGAAGGCCGAGGCGGGTGGATCACCTGAGGTTGGGTGTTCGAGACCAGCCTGACCAACGTGGAGAAATCCCGTCTCTACTAAAAATACAAAAAAATTAGCTGGGCGTGGTGGTGCATGCCTGTAATCCCAGCTACTCGGGAGGCTGAGGCAGGAGAATTGCTTGAACCTGGGAGGCGGAGGTTGCAGCGAGCCGAGATTGCGCCATTGCACTCCAGCTTGGGTGACAAGAGCGAAACTCCATCTCAAAAAAAAAAAAGAGAGACAATTTTCTCTCTGCTGGCATGGCCGACTCATGAGGGCATCTCAGAAAGACAAGAAGCCCAAGAGGTCAACCTGGAAGTTTAATTTGGACCTTACTCATCCAGCAGAAGATGGAATTTTTGATTCTGGAAATTTTGAACAATTTCTACGGGAGAAGGCTGGATATCTCGGGAATGTTGTTCACATTGAACGCTTCAAGAATAAAATCACAGTTCTTTCTGAGAAACAGTTCTCTAAAAGGTATTTGAAATACCTTACCAAGAAATACCTTAAGAAGAGCAGTCTTCATGATTGGCTTCGAGTGGTTGCATCTGACAGGAGACTTACAAACTTTGTTACTTCCAGATTAGTCAAGAAGATGAAGCAGAGTCGGAGGACTAGGCAAAGGCTTCCCTTATAGGGCTTTGCTGATTAATAAAATAAATGAAGTATATGTGAGAAATACCAAGAAATTGGCTTTTAGTTTATCAGTGAATTTTAAAAAATGCACCCTTAAAAAAAAGAGAGACAATTTTATTTCTGTTACATTTTCAAGAAGGCAGGAGGTAGCTTATCAAGGTTTGTTTGGGGCTTAAGGGTGAGGGATCTTCTACTTGGTAGTACCACAGTGCTCAGTTTCCCTTTTCAAGGTGGCCTCATAGTCTAAATTGGCTGCTGAGGCCCCACTCACACACCTGCTTTCTACTCAGCAAGAAGACCAGACTGAGAAGGATGCATCCTTTTTTTAAAGACGCTTTTTAGCAGTTGCACCCACAACTCGTGCTTACATCTTGTTGGCCAGAACTTTTCTTCATGACACATCGACCTGCAAAAAAGTTGGTGAAAGGAAGACTTCTGTTCCGGGGGGAAAAAAAACAAACTAAAATTAAAAATCAAGGACTCTATTACTGAGAAGGAAAGGAGAATGATTACTGGAGGCCAATATGCAATATGCAATCTACTTCACTGGAATTGAACATATATTTTTTTGTTCCTGAAAATGAGTCCTGCCTCAGTCTCTCCAGGGCATGGTGAGGGGTGGGAGTGGTAGCTGGTAGAAAGCTAGTGTCCTTAAGACAAGGATTGGCTTTAATCCTGCTTTGGGTCTTTGGGTGATTTGAAATCCAAATGTGGATACAAATGTCTACTTTTTTTGTTTGTTTGATTTTGAGACAGGGTCTCACTCTGTCACCCAGGCTGGAGTGCAGTGGCATGATCTCGGCTTACTGCAGCCTTGACCTCCTGGGCTTGGGTGATTCTTCCACCTCAGCCTCCCCGAGTAGTTGAGACTACAGGTGCCTGCCACCACGCCCAGCTAATGTTTTGTATTTTTAGTAGAGATGGGGTTCCACTATGTCACCCAGGCTGGTCTTGAACACCTGAACTCAAGGAATCCACCCGCCTCAGCCTCCCAGAGTGCTGGGATTACTGGCATGAGACACTGCACCTGGCCACAAAAGTCTATTTAAGAGTACAAATGAGGGAAAAATAATCTAGTTTTGCCAATTATATTATCACTAAAGCTCTTATGTTGTTGTAAAAAGTCACCAGACATATTGTATAATGTCACATCCGTCTTTCTTTCTTTCTCTCTCTCCTTCCTTCTTTTTTTTTTTTTTTCTTTCTTTCCTCCCTCCCTCCTTCCCTGCTTCCTTCCTTCCTTCCTTCTCTCTCTCTCTCTCTCTCTCTCTTTCTCTTTAGAGACAGGGTCTTACTCTGTCACCCAGGCTGGAGTGCAGTGGTGTGATCATAGCTCACTAAAGCCTTGAACTCCTGGGCTTAAGCCTCCTCCCACTTCAGCTTCCCAAATAATGTTGAATTTAGATGATAAGTTTACACAGGTCTTTAAATTCAACCAACTCTCATCCTATGGATTCAGAGACAACAGCTGACTATCCAGGAGATAAAGATTCCTGGCTGTTCCTTCTCACAATCTTCTTTGCTTATTGGAAAATGCTGGAGTTACCCCAAATTCTGTCCTGTTTCTTTTTCTTTCTCTCATTTTAATCCTTCTTGAGCTTTTTCAAATGTGTCATGTTTAAAAGTGGACTCATCCTTTCTTTTCTTTTTTTTTTGTTCTTCTTTCTTTTTTTTTGAGATGAAGTTTCGCTCTTGTTGCCCAGGCTGGAGTGCAATGGCGCGATCTTGGCTCACCACAACCTCCCTGTCCTGGGTTCAAGATATTCTCCTGCCTCAGCCTCCCAAGTAGCTGGGATTACAGGCTACCAGCTAATTTTGTATTTTTAGTAGAGATGGGGTTTCTCCATGTTGGTCAGGCTGGTCTCCAACTCCTGACCTCAAGTGATCCGCCTGCCTCAGCCTCCCAAAGCGCTGGGATTACAGGCATGAGCCACCATGCCCGGCCCATCCTTTCCTTTCTAACCCAGTTCCTGGTTGTCCCCCTGCTGAGTAGACAGCACCAGCCATGGCCTCAGCCAGGCACCCCACTCTCCCTCACAGTTCACATTTTCAGTGAGTGCTAGGCTTTCTACTTCCTTCTCTCTAATTCACTCTTCATTTTCTCCAAACTCCTGCTATCCCCCAGGAACAGGGAAGCATCCTCTCTTGCTAGATTATAGCAGGAGCCTCCCTATCTCCTGAGATCATCCAGGCTGATCTTGCTAAATGTTCAACTCTGTTCCTGTCTTGCCCCTCTTTAAACCATATACTTCCATAGAATTAAGCCCAGGTTCTTTTGTCAATTGTTTTCCTTTTTATTAATTAATTAATTTTTTTTTTGAGATTGAATCTTGCTCTGTTGCGCAGGCTGGAGTGCAATGGCGTGATCTCGGCTATCCACAACCTCTGCCTCCTGGGTTCAAGTGATTCTCCTGCCTCAGCCTCCTGAGTAGCTGGGACCATGGGCACACACCACCATGCCTGGCTAATTTTTGTATTTTTAGTAAAGACGGGGTTTCAGTGTTGGCCAGGCTGGTCTTGAACTCCTGACCTCGTGATCTCCCCACCTCAGCCTCCCAAAGTGCTGGGATTACAGGTGTGAGCCACTGCACCCAGCCTTATTATTTTTTAGAGATGGTGTCTTGCTGTGTCTCCCAGGCTGGAGCGCAGTGGTGCGATCATAGCTTACCTCAGCCTCGAACTCTTGGGCTCATGCATTCCTCCTGCTTCAGCCTCCTGAGTAGCTGGGAATACAGGTGTGCACCACCACATCTGGTCAATTTTTAAATTTTTTGTAGAGATGGAGTCTCACTATGTTGTCCATTCTGGTTTTGAACTTCTGGCCTGGAACCTTCCATCGATCCTCCCATCTCTGCAAGCCTAGACATTTAACATGGTCTAGAAGGCCTCCATGAGCTCCATCTCACCTCTTTTTTGCTCCTTCCGCTCCGGACCTTTACAAGTTGTGGCCATTCCAAACTCCTTTCACTTCTGATTATCTCATGTTCTCTCTCACCTCCCCGCCCATGCAATGAGGTTCCTCCCCAACTAGATTCTTATTCCTCTTAGATTCTCAGAGAAGCCTTCCCTGAAAGAAGCCGTCTCCCATCTCCCAGATTGGGTTAGGCTCCTCCTGTGTGCTGACTTCATTGTCTCTCTCCAACATTGCTTAGAACGCTAAGTTGCAACTTTATGTCTAATTGATTGCTCCACTAGTCCATAAAATCTAGGAGGAAAGGGCTGTATCCTTAGCCCTTGACACATGGCCTTGTACATCTTAAGTTTGCATATGAACCGCTTTATTTACCTGGGATATTATCTTACTTAATCCCCAAGACAACCCTATACGTTGTGCATGATTATTCCAATGGTCATTACTGTTATTTTAAATAGAGATGGGGGCTCACTATGTTGCCCAGGCTGGTCTTAAACTCCTGGGCTCAGGTGTTCCTCCCACCTTGGCCTCCTAAAGTGTTAGGATTACAGGCATCAGCCACCATGCCTAGTCGATTATGCCCCTTTTAATGGATGAGCAAAGAGTCGAGGTTCCACTGGTTTTCCACTGCAGTGTCTCTGCTGAAGGATTAAAAAAAAAAAAATCACAGGGCTGTGCTGGACTCCTGGGACTTCCAGAGGACAAGTCCCTCTCTTCAGTGAGGCTGACCTACACAGAGCCAGCCCTCCTTCCCCTCCCAGCCACAGCTGTGTGTTGGAAAGCTAGAGGCCTGGGCCCCTAATAAAGAGCAGACCTCCCAATCTCCTCGTTCCTTCCCCCTCCCCTCATATGGTTTTTCAAATTAAAAGCAACTAAAACCAAAGACCTAAGGAGCAGGAGAGGGCAGAGGCACAACAACATCCCTAAACTGAGGAAGGGGGCTCTCTAGCGAGGGAGGGGGTATCCAAAAGCCAGATCCAGAGGGTTCCAGTCCTACCAGTCTGTCCCAGGCTCTAAGGAGTGTATGGCCCACCGGGCTGGGCTGGACCAGGAAACAAGCTCTTGTCCTCAGGTCTGTAAACAGGCTGCGTTGTTAGGAACCCTCTGCTTCTACTTCCTGAAGAGCAAGCCCCCCAAACCCAGAAGAGAGGCTGCACCTTGAGATCCAGCCAGCAAGGTGGGTGCGGAGTCCTGGGGAGGGAACTTTCACCTCAAGCTGCACAGACCCATCTCGATCTTTTTAGAGAATTCCTCCTTTTCCAGGACTAGTGCCGTTCTGAATTCTGAGCGTGCAAAGAGACTCCTTAGAGCTAGCTTCCGAGCCTCAGCTGGGGCAGACCAGAGGCCAGGGCGTCTCTCTGTCTGCGGGGACCCCCCACATCTGTGCGTCACCTCCACCACCTCCGGGCAAAGGACCCTTCCTCGCTGGACCCAGGGAGGCGGCTATTCCAGATGCAGCCAAGGGTTAAAGGGGGTGGGAGAAGGAGCAGTTAGCACCGTTTTCTTTTGCAAACCACCAAACGGGCCCTTCATTTTCAAATTGTGAAGCCAGAAACATCCCCCGTTCCCTTGCCCCGCCCATCACCATTTGAAAAAAAGAATTCACAAGTTTAAACGTGATTTTCACAACTAACGGCTTTGATAACTGTTAAATTCGTACGGCTTCTAGGGCAAACGGACCTGAATTCTTCAAGGAAAGTAGAATTGGCGGTGGAGCTGGGGGGCAGAGGAGGAGAAGACACAAAAAGCCAACTCAGTGGGAAGCGCCCTCAAAGCCAAAGGTGTGGCGCTCGGAGCTGTGGCCGCCCTCGCCCGGGAGTCGGGGCCAGGAGAACGGGCCCTGGAGGCAGGGCAGGGCACGGCGAGATTTTGCTTTTGTTTTTAGTGACCATTTTGATCTGGTTGTAAAAAGTTTACGAGGCCTTCTTTTTGAAAGTCAGCTAATCGACTGCACCTTTTTATACCCTTGCCCTCAATTTCATGTCGCCTGCTGGCCTAGACGCGCAAGGCGGAGGACAGAACTGTCACAGTCCCTACCCTTTTCTCCCAACTTCTCGGCCCGGCTCAATTCGGGAGTTGGGCCTCCTTCCTCTCGGCTCGCAGCCTCCCCGACTCCCACTTTGGGGAGAAAACCCACATTCTTAACCCCTTGATAATCCCTCAAGGAAAAAACAAAACAAAAAACCCCAAGAGGTTGAAAATTAGAATCCGGGCGCGGGTTGAGATCTGCGCAGAGCTGCCCAGGCCAGTGCATGTCGCTCCTCTCCTCCGGGTACATATGGTGGCCTGGTCCCCTCCCCCCACCCCCCACACGGTGCCCAGTGAGAAGCACAAGAAGGGGAGAAAAGACCCGCAGCCCGCCTCAGGAGGGCAAGGTTTCTAGCCCCCTGCGGCTCCGGGACCACCCAGGACCCGGGGCGTCGTGGGACCGATCTCGAAGGATCTTAGAACGACACTGGGAGAGCGCGGCAAGAACTAGCCCCACCTTCCCCCGACGCCCCGGACTGACTGCCGGGCGCAGACCCGACTTCTCCCGAACCAGCCTCGGACCAGCCTTAGAAGGCGGAAAACAGGATTCAAACCCGCCTATGAGCAGTGGTAGGGGCGGGGGCTGTGGGGGCAGGACTCGGTTTAAGGAACCAACCGCCTCGGTTCGAGGGCCTCCTGTCCGGAGGTTGCTCCTGACCACTGGGTTTATTTTGCTTTTGCAGAGGAGGCAGATGTTGACCTCTCTTCTTTGCACAGTCTCTCCGCAAAATTTTCCCCCAACCATTTGCTTTCTTGCGCCACCCCCCACCGGGGCACTATCCCTGGAGTCAGCTCCTCAGGCCTTTAAACCTTCCAGAATGTCACACATGGAAACCTTTAGCAAATGTTTGTTAATGATCATAACAAAGGCATCATTCAAATTAGGCAGGTAATTACTACCAGAAGGACAACTGGGTGCTCGCTTGCTCATCCATTGCTTTCTGCTTTAAACTCCCGAGGAGTCGCTGCCTGGAGACACTCCCGCCCGGACTGCTTCTCGGGCCCCATTAAACGGCTCTGAAATGAACTGTGAAGTTACCATTTGTGGGCGGAGAGCGCTGGGGCCCTGCGGACGGAAGACCCTGGCTTGACCGGACTAACAGTGTCGCCGAAGCAAAGCAGCCCCTCTGGGTAGGCTGTCTGTCTCGCCTCCTACCCTCTGGGGCAACTAGCCTAAAAACCCGGTTCTCAACTTAACAGCATGTGGCCCAGCACCCGCTTTTGCCTTTTATTCCGCACTCTGATTTTTGGGGGGATCGTTTGTTCCCGCTCATTTTCTACAAACATTACGGTATCCTGTTAGCATTCCGAACAAGGGGCTGTTCATATATTTGCCTTCAATGATTTCCTGAAGGGACATGTGGAAGTAATAGCGAGCGGTGCAGTCACCCAAGCTGAAGATGCACGAGAGCGGGTCGCGTAGAAGAACTGCGGCAATGGGACCCCCAGCGCAGCCCCAGGCGCCCTGTTTTCGAGGCTGACATCCCAAGATCCTGTCCTGGTTAGGCACAGCACCGCGCCCGTTGGAGTACTTCTCTGTGACTCTCCCCTGTCCACTGCACTGTGTCCACCCTCCTGGTGAAGGAGGAGACGGCTGTTGGACATGCCAGTCCCAACCTGGCCACTTTGGCCATTTTCAGAGTGCGTGTGTTGGGGTGGGGTTGAGGGAGAAGGATGAAGGATGACCCCCAACCCCAACAGGAGAATTCAAAAATCAGAGAGCGATGAAGGTGAACGCGCTCCCCTCCCCCGCTGTCGCTGGGAAGCCCCACTCTGCCCAGGTCTGGTTCCTGGAGCATCAGCGCCCCCTTTCCCTCGCCGGCAGGATCGTTTCCTCCCGACACTGGCCTCTCGCCTTGGGCGCAGGGTTTGGGGCTCAGCTGTCAATTCCAAGGAATTCGTAGGGTTCGACCCACGCGGCGGGAGGGAACGGAGGGAGAATCAAAAGGCATCCTCCCCCACGACGCGGAGGCGGTGGTACGATTCCTCAAACGCCCAAGCTTGAGCTTTTTTTGTATGCGAGATAGAAGCCAGGGCAACCTCGCCCAGATAACCCCGAAAACAAAGGCACGACCAGATAAGTGACTTCAAGGGAGTAAAGGTCGTTCTATCGGAGAACGTTCCAAACCTACACAGACCCTCTTTTCTTTGTACCGTATTTCAGACCACCCAGTCTTGTACACACACACACACCACACAAAACAAAAACCCATCATTGTCATATTGGACTCAACAGTTTGCCCAATCCTATTAAATAACTAGCAACTATATAGCCCTTCCCCTAAAAGACCCCTAGTTCAAAACGGCGCAACCGCTTGGAGATTTCTCCCGAGGGCCCTATTTCTCGTTGGGCCGAGTTTGTAGAAGGGACATTTCTTGATTCTAGATTTATATTCTCTCTGGGTATTAAATGCAATTTTGTATGTTCCTTTTCTTCTTTTCAAAGAGAATACAAAACTATAGCAGTCTAAGAAAATAACCCCAAAATGGGGAGGCAAACTCATTCTGGAAATGATGGGCTGTTTGTAGTTTCACAAAACCTCTTTCCCGGCAGAGCACCAACACCTCCCCCTTCCACCACCCCCCATCCCATCTGGTCTGCTTCTCCCCGCCCCCCAGTTGTTGTCGAAGTCTGGGGGTTGGGACTGGACCCCCTGATTGCGTAAGAGCAAAAAGCGAAGGCGCAATCTGGACACTGGGAGATTCGGAGCGCAGGGAGTTTGAGAGAAACTTTTATTTTGAAGAGACCAAGGTTGAGGGGGGGCTTATTTCCTGACAGCTATTTACTTAGAGCAAATGATTAGTTTTAGAAGGATGGACTATAACATTGAATCAATTACAAAACGCGGTTTTTGAGCCCATTACTGTTGGAGCTACAGGGAGAGAAACAGAGGAGGAGACTGCAAGAGATCATTGGAGGCCGTGGGCACGCTCTTTACTCCATGTGTGGGACATTCATTGCGGAATAACATCGGAGGAGAAGGTAAGGGAAAAGAAAAAATGATTTTTTGTTTATAAGGGAAGTCCCTGATCAGACTCTGGGACTGGAGAAAGCGAAGTAACTTCAAACTTTGGGCGACAAGAAAAAAAAAAAGGAGCTGGATTCCAGTTGTGTGTCCAGAGAGTAATTTTTTTTTTTCGGAATAAACTTCACTTGGGGACGGGTGGGAGATAACCATAGAGTTAGAAAGTCTAGGTATTTTTTTTAAACACACATTTTCCAGACCTATTTTTAAAAACAATGTTTTTCTAACAACCCTATGGCCTCCCAAAGAAATTGTTTAGGCTTACATTTTTGAGGTTTCTTTTGGGAGTGGGGGTGGTGTTCGTGAATACTGGGCCGAACACCAAGGAACTGGGGGTGGAGGCAGAGGTGTTTGCCCTCTTCTTGGCAGTGGGTCCTGGAAGGCGACAGGTTTTAAATGAGTGTTTTCATTCCTCGCCTGCGGTTTGGCGGGACAGCGCTGCAGCCCATGGTGTGGAGCGCGGCTGGGGGACCAGGGGGAGGTGGGGAGAGGGGAGCGTGGAGGGGAGCGTGGAGGGGGGCGCGCGAAGGGGTTGCGGGGCGCAGGAGGCGGGCTGGGCTCGGCTGGAGACCGGACCTCGGTGTTGGCCTACAGCACAGGGAGCCGGCCGAATGCGCGTGATTACTGGACGGCGCTGCTCTGGGAGAGAGTCGGGGCCAGATTTGGCGCGGCGGTGAGGCGGCTGCGGGACAAGCAGAGGCGCGCGGGCGTGGGCAAGGGTTTGGGGCGCTCTGGAGCGGTTTGTTGGGTCAGTGAGGTGCCAGGGAGAGCGGGTGCCTGCCGGGCAGTGTGCTCGGGTTGCACGCCCTAGCGCGGGGGCGACAGCGGCGGCGCGGGCGGGCGGTCTGGAATAATGACAAACACATTTGGCCCTGAGTGAAGAAGTCGTCGTCGCCTCGCATTCCAGCAACTGGGATTTGAGGAATTTCGAACCGCACACCAAGGGGCCCTCATTGTGCTCCGTGGCCCCCGCCCCCGCCTGTCTTCCCGCGCCCCCTCCTCGGTGGAATCATTTCTGCATTGCCCGGGGGCTCTGCTTTCGCTCAGTTCTGGCCGCAGGCAGGAAGAGAGGAAAGGTCTCCAGGAAGGTGCCGAACTTCTTGTGAGGAAGTTAGGGACGACTTGGAACTGGGGAAACTTGTTTGCAGGTAAGACAGAAAGGTGGGAGGTAAACCATATTCTCCCTCCGGGCACCCGAGCCCTGGACACCCCCTACCCGGCACCCTTCTCCGCGCGGGGGTGCGTGGCACTTGCCGTCTGAGCTCGCCCAGCGCTGCTCGGTCCTCTCTAGTTGGCCTTTTTTCCATTCCTCTCCCTGCCGGCTTCAGAGCCGTCTGTGCGTACTTCTCCTTCCTCTGCTGTCTACCCCCATGGAAACCAGATTTACACACGAAATTAACTCCGCCCGGCTGCGCCCAGGGAGCGGGCGGCGTCCATTTGGCATTGAATATGTGGGATCAGCTGTTCTATTCCGGGAGGGTGTCGGCCAGGTCGGAGCGACGAGTGTGGCCCAACCCGAGTACGTTGCCAGAGGGAGCCAGGAGCCTGGGCCGGGCCAGGTGTGCGAGAGCTGCCGATGGCCTGGCCTCGCGTCTTGGTCGGGAAGGACTTGCTGGCCTGGCAGGCTGTGCGTTGTGCATCCCTCCCGCAGCCAGAGCGCCGGTCCCGCACTTCGCTCCCCGAATTGTGCTAAGACCTCAGGATGTGCGCAAGGAGTGCCTGGAAGAACTTGCCACTCACTCCATCTTCCTGGGTGGGAGGCAAGCATGGATGGGGCCCATATCAGGTCCCTACCGCCCCGCGTCCGAAAAGCCGCGGGCTGGGCGGTGTGGGAAATGGCTTTTTGGCTCCGAGGCCAAATTGCTCAATGTTTTGGACCGACTCGCCTCGCCGCGGTCGCTCCTGACAAGAACTAGACAGATTTTTGGAGCAGGGAGCATCCAGGGCAAACGCACGACAGTCCTCCGCAGTGCATCTCACCGGACAAACATCCCCGGAGCCACAGGAGGGGAGGAAGGGGCTCTCCGGGCGTGCGCACCTCCCCAGCCGCCGCGCTGTCCCATCCCCGACCCCTAATCTGGTCAACCTGGACCCCGGCACTGCTGAATTGCATCCCCTCTTCTCCCTTTCTCCTCGGCCTCCTCCTTTCCACAACCCTCAAGATGAGGAGGCCCTGCCTCGACTCCCCGACAGGCGCAAGGCCGACCAGGCTCGCTTTGACGCCCTGGTCAGGCCCTGCTTCGGAGCTTGCAGTTTTGGGTTGACCCAAGTGCAGCTGGACCTCGTTCACAAGAGTGAGGGGAAGCCAAGAATGAACCCGTCGTTAGCCCCCGGTGCCCTGGCTCTTGTTTAAATCCTTAGATCGAGAAGGACTTGAAGGAGATCCCAGGCTCCCAGCTCTGCGCCCCTGGGCCAGTTTCCTCTCGGGACGCGGACTGAGGAGGGATGCAGGGGGAGGGGCATTGGGCCGGGCTTTCCAGCTGCAAACACGTCTGGCGCCGAGGCGGGCCCATTTTGTGCCTCCTGGGGACGGACCGTGGGCGGCGCGCAGCGGCGGGACGCGTTTTGGGGACGTGGTGGCCAGCGCCTTCCTGCAGACCCCACAGGGAAGTACTCCCTTTGACCTCCGGGGAGCTGCGACCAGGTTATACGTTGCTGGTGGAAAAGTGACAATTCTAGGAAAAGAGCTAAAAGCCGGATCGGTGACCGAAAGGTGTGGGTCTCAGGGTTCCCCGGGTCTAACTCGCCGGGTCCAACCGCAGCATCAGCCTTGGGGCGGCAGATAATCTTTCGGTCTCGCCTGGGGCGCAAGATGCAGGATCGGGGGCAAATGGCTTCTCCCAACTTCCCCCTAATTCGGGTTCTGCCAGATGGTTGTCGTTTGCTGAAGTGGCTCGGCGGCATTTCCTTTTGTTTTAAACTGATCAATGAGCGAACCTGGGATGGGCTGAAAAAGTAGATTGTAGGAGGGAATAATGGGAAACCCGACTTGGGGCGCCTCCTTCCCTGCCTCCTACTGCAGTTTCTCGGCCCCCGCGAAAGGGGAGCGACAAGCGCGGGTGGGCGCGGACTCTTGAGGGGGCAGAGGCGGCTATGGCGCGTGTCGGGCAAGGTGGCACCAGAAGGCACTTTTGTGTGTGTGTGTGACAAGAGTCTCGCTCTGTCGCCCAGGCTGAAGTGCAGTGGTGCGATCTCGGCTCACTGCAACCTCTGCCTCCCAGGTTCAAGCGATTCTCCTGCCTCAGCCTCCCGAGTAACTGGGATTACAGGTGCCCGCCACCACGCCAGGCTAATTTTTGTATTTTTAGTAGAGACGGGGTTTCACCATATTGGCCATGCTGGTCTCGAACTCCTGACCTCAGGTGATCCGCCCACCTCGGCCTCCCAAAGTGCTGGGATTTACAGGCGTAAGCCACCGCGCCCGGCCAGGAACGGTTCTTAAATGCCGAGAGGGCGCATGCTAGCTCTCCTCAGCATTCCCGGTGAGCCGCTACCCACGGCCGTGCGGCTCTCGTGCCCATAGGAGGCGCTGGCGAGCTCCTGTAACCCTAAACCCCTCGGCCCCTTTCCCCCCACCCGCCCGGATTCTCTTCCCGCTCTCCCCCCTCTCTCCACACCCGCCCGGCCCCCTCTCGGGTCTCAGTTGAAAACAATGCAAACGCAGAGCGTCGTGCCTGGGGCGCAGCGGCCTCTGCAGCTCTGAGGTTCAGAGCGCGGCGCGCAGGGGCGCAGGGGCGCAGGTCCCCGGAGCGGCTGGGCATCGCCGCCAACCCCGGGACAACCAAGCCGCCGAGGACTTGGTGGAGGTGGGAGGGAGAGCGGACCGCGCAGTGTTCCTCTGGGTCCCGGGGTCAGAAGCCGGACAGTGGCGGGGGCTGGACAGTCCGAGCGCAGAGCCTCCCGGGCGAAGTCTGCGCGCAGCACTCCCGGCTGCGCTGTCGGGGACCAGGAGCCTGGGCTGCGGGCGAGCTAGCTGGCGAGCCGGGTAAGATTCGCGGGGCTGTCGCGCCCTCTAGTGGGCTCCGGGGACGCATCCCGCTTTCCCCAGCCCCGGGCGGTCGGCGCCGCTATCTCAGTGGAGCGCAGCGCTGGAACCCCGGGGGCCCGGAGCGGAGGCTAATCTGGGTCACCTTTCCCCTCCTCCGGGCAGCCAGTGGACTCCTCGCAGGCTCTGTGTGGGCCCGGGAGGCGCCGGGTGGACGAGAGGGGGCCGAGGTCTCTGGGTTTGGATTGAGAATGGGACGTCCTTGTAATTCAATGTGGGAGAAGCAGGGGAGTGTGGAGGAGGACGGGTCCCGTGCGTTCTTGGGGGGCAGGCGCCGTCTTCTGCGTTCCAGCCCCTCGCCAGCTCCCTTGCCCCGCGGGCGGCCTGTTGCTGTTTGTTTGTTTTACGACCCTGCGTTATTGTGCAACGGTAACAGTCGTTTCCAATCAGCTGCGCGGCCGTCGCGGCCCTCGCCAGGCTGGTTTATGGGGGCGGCGGTGGCGCGCGGACAGATAGGACAGCGCGGCCCGGGAACGGCGTCGAGGTCCAGGCGGTCCCCCTGCCCCGAGGGGGCGGAAATGCTGAGGTGGCGAGAGCGTGGGTTGCACAGAACCCTAGTAGCGAGTCCGGCTGAGCCTCTGCGGCCTAGCCCAGCAGCGTCGTCTTCCCGGCTCCGAAGACGTCTTCCCGAAGCCCCGCTGCCCCGGCGCACCAGCTCCCGGTGATGGGGATGATGATGGGGATGATGGGGAGATGTCCCCGAATTCTCCTGGGGTCCCGAGGAGATTTAGCCATTTTCAACAGCAGTTTTCCTATTTCTGCTTAAACCCCGCGGGCTTTCAACTGAGGTCACCACGAAAGCTAAAAGTACAACCTAAGGAAGGAAGAGACTGGAAATTAACATTTGGGGTAGTGGAGCTCAGAATTCCTCGCAGCGGCGTCTGTGTCGCAACCCGTGGACGCACGTCCTTGGACCAACACTGCCATCTGCTGGCCACTCGTAAGAACTACTGCGACCCGCTGTGAGAATGGGCTTCGCGGAGACCATTAGGAAGGTGCTTTATTTTTTATTTTTTATTTATTTTTTGCTCAGTAGGACCGTAATAGGTGACTGATTTTCTTTTGCTGTGAGGCTACAAGAATTGCTGGAAGACAACATTTTTATTTCGTGGAAATTTGTGTTGTGTTTCTCCTTGGTTGTTAATGCTTTGCATTTACATAGTGAACATCTTATTATCAGAGCTGGCCTGTGAGGAGGGTAGTGGGGGGGCATTGATGTTCCCGTTTCTGAGTGAGGAGACCTATGTCGGGGCCTTGGTGACCTCAAGCCGAATGCTCAAACTGCTACTGCTACTCCTAAGGTTGTGCCATTAGGAGTCACACCCGTTTGGTGATATTCAAAAGGATATGTCATTTTATTCTCCCGTGGTTAAATATATGGTGAGAGGAGAGCAGGCATGTTTATGAGCCCAGATTGTCCCATAAAAGGCTCCTGTTTAAAAACACTCCAGCCCCCTCCCATTACTGGAATGTCTGATGGAGCTCCGGGAGATCAAAACAACAAAACAGGCTCTGGTAGGGTGCAGAGGTCCTGGTAAACACACCCTCTGCTGGAAAACAGGGAGAAGTTTCCACCAGTGTAGACCTGCACTTGGTTTGCCTGGGCTGAAGTTAGGAGACTGCGTAGAAAAAGGAAAATGTGTAATTTTCACAGTTAGAATTAACTTAGGAGAGCTGAAATTAACTGAGCCTCGGAAATCTGAATCTTGAAGTCACCAGTGGCTTTTGGGGCTGTGAGAGAGTCTCCTGTGGTCTTTAATCATGTGAGGGTGGGGTGAAATTCAATATTCAGTGGTTCTGCAATGGGATGCACTGTGCAATTGGTGATTGAGAAGCCAACTCTCTGGCTTTAGGAGAAGAATGTCTTGCTGTTAGTCCTTCTGGAAATAGAGCCTTGCATTGCCTACTGTCTGTTTACACTACCTTTGCACATTGCCTTTGGTTATAGAGTCATGTCCAATGGCTCTTTACTTCTGTTTGCAGGGCAGGAGATGGCACCCTGTTAAAGAGAAAGGATAGTAGCTGCAAAGTCATTTGTTTCTCTGTTTCTGTGACTGTATATATTGGCTCATCTTTGAATGGTCTTTATAGCCACACCAGGCTGGAGGTAACAGGGTCATGGGAGTGGACTGCTGGTGTGGGCTGAATCAGAGTTCAGATCCATGTCTCCAGGAGGTAGGAGGTGCAGGGCAAGTCATGTGGCTTCTGGGGCATCCCTCACTTTCTTAGTTAAGGAGAAGTTGAAGGAGCCGATCTAAAATATCTTGGGAGTCTGCAGAAAAAGTCGTGAAAATCAAAGCACTTTCAATTAAACTATATAATTTAGTCCTTACAAGAATGCCACAGGGCAAGCAACCAGTCAGGCCTTGGTAGTCGTGCTTCCTAGAAGAAAAGACTGAGGTTCAGAGAGTTGGATAGAGTATCAGATTTGGGATCAGTGGCTAGTCCAATGTGATTTCCATCCTTTCTTCTGAGAGAAAGCATAAGAAGGCCAAGAGGATGGTGGAAAAGCACAAGTCACCTGCCTGAGAGTCAACAGGGCGGGGGGTCTCTTTCTCAGTTTGTTCCTCTAAGTTATGGCAAATGTTTTTTGAGCTGTGATTATTGAGAATGGGGGCTGAAGTTCAACATGTAGTTGGCATGAGGGAAGTAATTATGATTGAAGAAAAGATTTGGGTGAAATCTAGTGTTCTTCCCTGCAAAGGGGGTTGTTCTCACGGATTCTTATGGTGCCATGTTTCTCAGAATTTGTAGTTTCAGTTACTTATATTTGCACACCTGACTTTAGATGAGCTCCAGAATAGCAGTTACTAATTAAGGATGAGCATTTAGAGTAGATAAAAGTGGCAGGAACAGCAAGACTCACTCCCAGAGAGCCTCACTACAGGTCTAATAGGTGAGGAAATTCCCCATGTTTCCCATTTTTCTTCATTACCTCCCTGTGGGGCAAGCACTGCCATTATTCATGAGTAAACTGTCTGAGTTATAGATAAGTAATGACATGAAACTTCACAAACACGCTGAGCACAGTGGCTCACGCCTGTAATCCCAGCACTTTGGGAAGCCGACGTGGGTGAATCACGAGGTCAGGAGTTCGAGATCAGCCTGACCAACATGGTGAAACCCTGTCTGTACTAAAAATACAAGAAATTAGCTGGCCATGATGGTGGGCACCTGTAATACCAGCTACTCGGGAGGCTGAGACAGGAGAATCGCTTGAACTTGGGAGGCAGAGGTTGCAATGAGCTGAGATCATGCCACTGCACTCCAGCCCAGGCGGCAGTGCAAGACTCCATCTAAAAAAAGAAAAAGAAAGAAAGAAAAAAGAAAAAAAGAAAGTTCACAAACAGGCCTGATTTCTACCCAGGGAACCACTGTTATCAGAGATTGGGGTTTGGAATCTTAAGCAACAAACACATGTTTATTCTCTTCCTTCCTGATGGCTTGCTCAGAGGACCTGTTTCCATTGCCCACTTTTTTTTTGAGACAGAATCTTGCTCTGTCACCCAGGCTGGAGTGCAGTGGCGAGATCCTGGCTCACTGCAACCTCTGCCTACTGGGTTGAAGCCATTCTCCTGCCTCAGCCTCCCGAGTAGCTGGGATTATAGGTACCTGCCGCCATGCCTGGCTAATTTTTTGTATTTTTAGTAGAGATGGGGTTTCATCATGTCGGCCAGGATGGTCTTGAACTCCTGACCTCAAGTGATCTGCCCACCTCAGCCTTCCAAAGTGTTGGGATTACAGATGTGAGCCACCACGCCCGGCCTCATTGGCCACTTTATATGTCAGTAAATAATCTTTCCTGGCAGAGGGTCCACTGTATCTGGAGGCACTGAAGGAAATCTGGGAGTGTCTGGCCAGGGCAAAGCACTGCTTAGAGCTTGCACAGGAAAAGCAGTGAGCCCTTCTTTTAAGCTGGAGAAAGCTTTAAAGATGCATCTTTGGCAAGTCTTGCCAAAGAAATATGGGTTCTAAATGTGATAAAACCAAAGACATCAAGCTGGCTCTGGAGGCCTTGTTTGAAGTTTGCTGAGTGGATTGTCAGTGGGAGGCTGATATTTATATGTACAAACACACAAGCATTACTGCTAATTGTGGTAAATCAGGCTGGCCAGCCTGGCTCTGGGGCCCACTGTGCCTGCCACCGCAGCAGTGTGGAAGCCTTGCATCCCAGGCACATGTCAGGATCCTCGGAGGCCATCAGCCAGCCAGCATTGTGTGAATTGCATTTGGGTTCACAGCACTGTAATTGTGTTTCTCCTGCTGTGGTGAGCAAAGGAGGAAAATGGAAGGAGGAGGTATAATTTGCCCTAGGAAATAGTCAGGCAAGTAGGTGGCACACAGGGGTGGGATATGGCTAAAACACTGACCTTCCCTTGAGAGAGACCATATGGTGAAGTGGAGAGGGCATGGCGTTTGTATCACACGACCTTGTGTTCAAATCCTGGCTCTGTCACTGGCTGTGTGACTTTGGGTCATTTGCAAAACCTCTCTGAGCCTCAACTGCCACTTCTTAAAATCAGCTCTAAGTAATCACAGGGTTATTCTTCACAAACACAGCATGCACATGCAAACTTTGGCTTAGTAAATAATGGTTTCTCCTTCTCTTACTTTGTTTTCTACATACCCCACTCCCCTTCCTGTGAGGAGCCTTCCACCTTTTTCTCTGTGTTCTCTTCCTCTCCCATTTTCCTGGTAGCATTCAATAAAACAGAAATCTGATTTCTGCAAAGTAGGCCACCTTACGGTAGAAATACATGATTAGGCCCCACCAAAAACTTTGATTAGGCTATTATCTTCTGGATCCTGGATCCCCTCCAACCAAACCAAACCCAACTAGGGCTAAACACAGCAATATATGAATACATTGAATTTCTCTCTCACTCTTTCTTTTTTTTAAACCAGTTTACTCAGGAATCACATGCACACATATTTTAGCTTCCAAAGCCAATGATGGAACAAATTGTGTCCCATTAGGCTCACTCCATTGTATGAGTTAGCATCAGAGGAGTTCATACCAGAGTGACTTCATCTTGAATAGGGCCTAGGTAAGAAGAGGATGAGACCTGCTGGGCTGCATTCCCAGGAGGTTACACATTTGTAGTCACAGGAGAGAAAGGAGTTGGTATAGGAGTTGATAGATACAGGTCATAAAGACCCCAGTGATAAAACAGGTTGCAGGCCAGGTTTGGTGGCTCATTCCTGTAATCATAGTACTTTGGGAGGCCAAGGCAGGAAGATTGCTTGAGCCCAGGATTTCAAGATGAGCCTGGACAACATAGTGAGACCTTGTCTCTACAAACAATAATTTTAAAAACATGAGCTGGGCATGATGGTGCAGGCCTATAGTCCCAGCTACTGGTCTGAGGGGCAGTTGGGTGGCAGGCTGAGATGGGAGGATGGAGGCTGCGGTGAGCTGAGATCAGGCCACTGCACTCCAGCCTGGGTGATGGAATAAGACCCTGTCTCAAAAATAGATAAATAAATAAATAAATAAGCCAGCAAAACCAGAATGCAGTGAAGAAGCTGGCCAAAACCCACCAAAACGAAGATGGTGATGAAAGTGACCTCTGGTCATCCCTACTGCTTATTACACACTAATTATAATGCATTAGCATGTTAAAAGACACTCCCACCAGTGCCATGGCAGTTTACAAATGCCATAGCAATGACCAGAGATACTCTATATGGTCTAAAAAGGGGAGGAACCCTCAGTCCTGGGAATTACCTGTCCCTTTCAGGGAAAACTCATGAATCTTCTACCGCTTGTTGAGCGTATAATCAAGAAATAACTATAGGTATACTCACTCAAGCAGCCATGCAGTTGCTGTGCCCATGGAGTAGCCACTCTTTTATTCTTTTACTTTCTTAATATATTTGCTGTCATTTTACTCTTTTGGCTTGCTCTTGAATTCCTTCCTGCATGAAGCCAAGAACCTTTGTGACCTCCCAGGCTGAACCCCAATTTTGAGTTCCACCCTATGACATCTTTTCTGGTGACCAATGAAGGGACAATGGTAACCTCCCGTTGACTTTAAATTAAAACTGATTGGCACTGTTTGGGCTTCACCGGTGGGTGAGTCTCTCCTTGCCCAGATTCAACTTGCTAACATTTTTTTCTCTTCAATTTTGGCTCCTTTGTCCTTCCTAATGTTCTTCATTTTGGACAGATGGGAAAGTGGCTGTGAGGCCTCTGGCTTAGCAGCCTGATAGCAGCCTCCTGTTGTCTGGGTGCCCCAGATGGGAGCACGCCTGGCTGGCCACATCTTTTGCAACCCACCTTGTCATCCCTTCTCTGGGACCTTTTCTCTTTAGTTTCTTTTTTAAAAAAAATTTTAAATTATTTATTTATTTATTTATTTTTAGAGATAGCATCTCGCTGTGTTGCCCAGGCTGGAGTGCAGTGGCATAATCATGGCTCACTGAAGCCTGGACCTCACTGGCTCAAGTGATCCTTCCACCTCAGCCTCCTGAGTAGCTGGGACTATAGGCATGCACCACCACGCCTGGCTAAATTTTGTATTTTTTTTGTAGAGACGGGGTTTTGCCATGCTGCCTAGACTGGTCTTGAACTCCTGGGCTCAAATGATCTGCCTGCCTCAGCTTCCCAAGGTACTGGGATTATAGGTGTGAGCCACTGCACCTGGCCTCTCTTTAGTTTTTAATGACTGGCTGTTTGACTTCTCTGCTCTTCAGGCTGAAATTCTTATTTCATGTTTGTAGTCTTTGCCTTGGCTATTTGGCAACTGTTTAAGGCAAGACACTTGGTTTTGAGAGTTCTCCCGTTGTGTTGACCCTGGGACACCAGGGTCATTGTTCTGTAGCTCCAATTATGTTAGGTCTCATGCTTTTGGGTTTCACTATTGGCCACCCCCCAGATGCTCTGGGGTTTTTGGCATTTGGTGTGGGGACCCTTGTTAGCTGATACTCTGGGCTTTTCGGCATTTGGATGCTCCAGGGTGTTTGGCACTGACATTCCCCTCTAGCATTGTGGGTTAGAGTCCCACCCAGGGGAAATCTTGGTTTTGCCTTTTCTTGTTTTCTACTCTAAAGTTATCATTTTCTATAAAAACATTTTCTTTTCTTATTGTCACTTTGTTTAATGCTTTGCTCCAGGAGGTGGGAATTTGCAGGGGAAAATAATTGGGCTCTCCCTATACTTAGAAAAACTTCTGTGTCTAGTAGAGATCCTTGTTAGACAAAGGGACAGTGGTGAGTCCCAGAGAACTCGTCACTAGGGTGCCTTTTAGGCAATTGGAGCAAATTCAAATTAGCAAACTAAGTTTGGCCATTTGGATAAGTCCCAGTTTTGTCAGGGAAATAATTTGGGTCCAGCTATCTTTTATAAAATAGTGCGTTTGCGTTCCTACATTATGGCTAGAGCTCAAAGATAAAAGCTATTGGATCTTTGTTTATGTGTGTGTATAAATGTCTAGATGTGTTTATGTGTATGTACATTTATTATGTTATATATTGTATCTACAGGGTACCAAATTGGCTTATAAATAAAAGAGTGCTCATAAAAAGAGTAAATAAGTCCAAGCATTTCTCAAGCTCATGTAACTTAAGTTTACTAAAATTTAGAGTTACTAAAAATTCATATATAACTCTGTATAAATGTGCCAAAGAAGATATGCTCTTAGTGAAAATAAATTCTTTTTGGCCAATTCAGATGTCATTTATATGTGGGGTTTAAAATATGAATTTCGAAAGAAAATAAAAACAAGTAGAAAGAAATAAAAAACAATAAGCAGTGGAGAGAGATGTGAGGAAAGTTATGAATATGAAGACGTATTTTTGGTAAGGAATGTTATAAAGAAATTTTATGAGAAAGGATCTTATATGATAAATTCTTGTCCTAAGGTAGAATGACTGATTGTTTAGAAAAGAAGGAAATATAGGACAAGTCAGAAAGTCCAAGCATGTTGTAGATGACCTATGTAAGTCACGATAAAGTTTATACAAGAGAATTTATTAAAATTTAGATGTAATTAGCCATAACTGAAAGGAAATTTATTTATTTATTTATTTATTTATTTATTTATTTATTTATGATTTATTTTGAGAAGGAGTTTTGCTCTTGTTGCCCAGGCTGGAGTGCAATGTCATGATCTTGGTTCACTGCAGCCTCCGCATCCTGGGTTCAGGCATTTCTCCTGTCTCAGCCTCCTGAGTAGCTAGGATTACAGGCATGCACCACCACACCTGGCTAATTTTGTATTTTTAGTAGAGATGGGGTTTCATCATGTTTGTCAGGCTGGTCTCAAACTCCTGACCTCAGTTGATCCACCCACCTTGGCCTCCCAAGGTGCTGGGATTACAGGCATGAGCCACCTCATGCACCCAGCCAGGAAATTTATATATAATACTCTATCTAAATTTTGGTGCCCTATGTTAAAACAAGTTTTTCTTCAAGTATTGGTTTGCTTTCAGTAAGATTGCAAGAAATATTGACTTTTAATTCTAGAATCTGTTTCCTTTGAAGGCCTCTCAGATTTATATCTTTTCCTTTTCCCTTGAAAAGGTATAGCCTTTGCAAGTTCAAAACTGACTTCCCTAGACTCCTTTTAGGAAAAGCAATACAGTGGTTGTTTCAGGCTGTGGCTCAATAGCTAAGCCTTTGTTCTTTCATGGTGGTGGCCTGGGTTCAGTTCCTGGCTTAGAGAATGAGAGGTTTCCAGTTTGCTACTTCTGGGACTTTTGTCATTTATTTATTCTTTTTGTCTCCATCGACAGCTTCTGATTTTCTCACTTGAATTTTTTTTTCTGTGAGCTACCTTAAGGGTAATGTTGGATCTTGTAAAAATTGCTTGCCATCTCTTTGGAGATACCTCTTGTGTCCATGGTTAAGTTATAACCTTGGTTAAGGCCTGTTGGTTTCACTAGGGAAAATACCTTTAAAAAAAGGCTTAAAAGCCAGAGATGTTGGCTATTTGTCCTGGCTAGAGTCTGGTATTAAGGGATTTAAAAGGATTTTTTAAAGGACCTCTATAGTTATAAGTCAGCTTAATTAAAAATGGATATTCCATAGTCATATTTATATATATATACACACACATATATATGTATGTATGTGTGTATATATATATATTTAAAAGACCTGTATGATTTTTTTCTTCTTGGAACTTATTTTTTTGAGAGAAAGTGTTTTGTGTGTTTGTTGTTTGTTTTTCTTCTCAGTGGACTGAATTATTTCTCCATTCTGTCTTTTTACCCCCTTTAATGACCATATTAGAGGACCTAAGATAATTTCTGACAGCCTGGGACTCCTTGGGAGGAAACAGAAGGTGCCACAGACCTCGTTTTGGGAGAAACCTCTGTTTTCCTCATGGAACCCCAAGAGCTGTAAGCAGAGAGTTCTCCCTCAGAATCCAAGGCTCTGCTCTGTTTACGTCACATTACCTGACCTTTGTGACTTTTGGGGGCATCAGAAATTACTTTGCATTATGAGGGAACCTTTAGCATTGGTGTGTATTACCTAGGTAGGATGTGTACTTTTAGGGATTGCAGTTGCTTACATGAGTGGTTATTACTACAGACCAATACTTCTTTCTTCTCACATTTAAATGAAAAAAAAGCATGCTCTTGGGCATCCACCTATGAATGGAGGATGGGCTGATTTGCTTTAGGTTGGCCACCAGCCTTTGGGGAACATCGTTGCAGTGAAATGCTTGGTGAAAGCATTGCACTGTCTGATCGCATAGTGCACTTCTATGCACTTCTGCCTGATGTCCTAGGCTCAACACCTGCTACATAATTAAGATCACTTACTTATCAGGTTTTTAATCAAAATGAAATGTTGCTAAGAGTTAACATTATAGCATATGTAATTGAGATTACTGGAGAAAGTTTTACCTACAAGATATGTAAGGAAAGCAAAATGTGTTTTTGGTAAAAGATTATAGGAAGGTGTGCCAGTATAGTTTTTTATTTTGCTTACTTTAATGGGTTAAAGGATTGTTTTAAGTTTGATAGGAGAAAGCTGAAGCATGAGCAAGTTGTGGAAGGTATATGAAAGATTAACATTTTAAAAGAAATTCTGTGTGTAAACATTGGCTAAAGTTAAAGGAGGAGGTTGGAGCCAAGATGGCTGAATAGGAACAGCTCCGGTCTACAGCTCCCAGCATCAGCGATGCAGAAGATGGGTGATTTCTGCATTTCCATCTGAGGTATCAGGTTCCTATCACTAGGGAGTGCCAGACAGTGGGCGCAGGACAGTGGGTGCAGCGCACCGTGCGCGAACCGAAGCAGGGCAAGCCATTGCCTCACTCGGAAAGTGCAAGGAGTCAGGGAGTTCCCTTTCCTAGTCAAAGAAAGGGGTGACAGACGGCACCTGGAAAATCGGGTCACTCCCACCCCAATACTGCGCTTTTCCGACGGGCTTAAAAAAAGGCACACCAGGAGATTATATCCCGCACATGGCTCAGAGGGTCCTACGCCCACAGAGTCTCGCTGATTGCTAGCACAGCAGCCTGAGATCAAACTGCAAGGCAGCAGCGAGGCTGGGGGAGGGGTGCCCACCATTGCCCAGGCTTGCTTAGGTAAACAAAGCGGCTGGGAAGCTCGAACAGGGTGGAGCCCACCACAGCTCAAGGAGGCCTGCCTGCCTCTGTAGGCTCCATCTCTGGGGGTAGGGCACAGACAAACAAAAAGACAGCAGTAACCTCTGCAGACTTAAATGTCCCTGTCTGACAGCTTTGAAGAGAGCAGTGATTCTCCCAGCACACAGCTGGAGATCTGAGAACGGGCAGACTGCCTCCTCAAGTGGGTCCCTGACCCCTGACCCCTGAGCAGCCTAACTGGGAGGCACCCCCTAGTAGGGGCAGACTGACACCTCACACAGCCGGGTACTCCTCTGAGACAAAACTTCCAGAGGAATGATCAGACAGCAGCATTTGCGGTTCACGAAAATCTGCTGTTCTGCCGCCACTGCTGCTGGTACCCAGGCAAACAGGGTCTGGAGTGGACCTTTAGCAAACTCCAACAGACCTGCAGCTGAGGATCCTGTCTGTTAGAAGGAAAACTAACAAACAGAAAGGACATCCACACCAAAAACCCATCTGTACATCACCATCATCAAAGACCGAAAGTAGATAAAACCACAAAGATGGGGAAAAAACAGAGCAGAAAAACTGGAAACTCTGAAAAGCAGAGCGCCTCTCCTCCTCCAGAGGAACGCAGCTCCTCACCAGCAATGGAACAAAGCTGGACGGAGAATGACTTTGACGAGTTGAGAGAAGAAGGCTTCAGACGATCAAACTACTCCGAGCTACAGGAGGAAATTCAAACCAAAGGCAAAGAAGTTGAAAACTTTGAAAAAACTTTAGACGAATCTATAACTAGAATAACCAATACAGAGAAGTGCTTAAAGGAGCAGATGGAGCTGAAAGCCAAGGCTCAAGAACTACATGAAGAATGCAGAAGCCTTAGGAGCTGATGCGATCAACTGGAAGAAAGGGTATCAGTGATGGAAGATGAAATGAATGAAATGAAATGAGAAGGGAAGTTTAAAGAAAAAAGAATAAAAAGAAACGAACAAAGCCTCCAAGAAATATGGGACTATGTGAAAAGACCAAATCTACGTCTGATTGGTGTACCTGAAAGTGACGGGGAGAATGGAACCAAGTTGGAAAACACTCTGCAGGATATTATCCAGGAGAACCTCCCCAATCTAGCAAGGCAGGCCAACATTCAGATTCAGGAAATACAGAGAACGCCACAAAGATACTCCTCGAGAAGAGCAACTCCAAGACACATAATTGTCAGATTCACCAAAGTTGAAGGAAAAAATGTTAAGGGCAGCCAGAGAGTAAGGTCAGGTTACCCACAAAGGGAAGCCCATCAGACTAACAGTGGATCTCTCAGCAGAAACTCTACAAGCCAGAAGAGAGTGGGGGCCAATATTCAACATTCTTAAAGAAAAGAATTTTCAACCCAGAATTTCATATCCAGCCAAACTAAGCTTCATAAGTGAAGGAGAAATAAAATACTTTACAGACAAGCAAATGCTGAGAGATTCTGTCACCACCAGGCCTGCCCTAAAAGAGCTCCTGAAGGAAGCACTAAACATGGAAAGGAACAACCGGTACCAGCCACTGCAAAATCATGCCAAATTGTAAAGACCATTGAGGCTAGGAAGAAACTGCATCAACTAACGAGCAAAATAACCAGCTAACATCATAATGACAGGATCAAATTCACACATAACAATATTAACTTTAAATGTAAATGGACTAAATGCTTCAATCAAAAGACACAGACTGGCAAATTGGATAAAGAGTCAAGACCCATCAGTGTGCTGTATTCAGGAAACCCATCTCACGTGCAGAGACACACATAGGCTCAAAATAAAAGGATGGAGGAAGATCTACCAAGCAAATGGAAAACAAAAAAAGGCAGGGGTTGCAATCCTAGTCTCTGATAAAACAGACTTTAAACCAACAAAGATCAAAAGAGACAAAGAAGGCCATTACATAATGGTAAAGGGATCAATTCAACAGGAAGAGCTAACTATCCTAAATATATATGCACCCAACAATACAGGAGCACCCAGATTCATAAAGCAAGTCCTGAGTGACCTACAAAGAGACTTAGACTCCCACACAATAATAATTGGAGACTTTAACACCCCACTGTCAATATTAGACAGATCAACGAGACAAAAAGTTAACAAAGATAGCCAGGAATTGAACTCAGCTCTGCACCAAGCGGACCTAATAGACATCTACAGAACTCTCCACCCCAAATCAACAGAATATACATGTTTTTCAGCACCACACCACACCTATCCCAAAATTGACCACATAGTTGGAAGTAAAGCACTCCTCAGCAAATGTAAAAGAACAGAAATTATAACAAACTGTCTCTCAGACCACAGTGCAATCAAACCAGAACTCAGGATTAAGAAACTCACTGAAAACTGCTCAACTACATGGAAACTGAACAACCTGCTCCTGAATGACTACTGGGTACATAACGAAATGAAGGCAGAAATAAAGATGTTCTTTGAACCGACGAGAACAAAGACACAACATACCAGAATCTCTGGGACACATTCAAAGCAGTGTGTAGAGGGAAATTTATAGCACTAAATGCCCACAAGAGAAAGCAGGAAAGATCCAAAATTGTCACCCTAACATCACAATTAAAAGAACTAGAAAAGCAAGAGCAAACACATTCAAAAGCTAGCAGAAGGCAAGAAATAACTAAAATCAGAGCAGAACTGAAGGAAATAGAGACACAAAAAACCCTTCAAAAAATTAATGAATCCAGGAGCTGGTTTTTTGAAAGGATCAACAAAATTGATAGACTGCTAGCAAGACTAATAAAGAAGAAAAGAGAGAAGAATCAAATAGACGCAAAAAAAAAAATGATAAAGGGGATATCACCACCGATCCCACAGAAATGCAAACTACCATCAGAGAATACCACAAACACCTCTATGCAAATAAACTAGAAAATCTAGAAGAAGTGGATAAATTCCTCGACACATACACCCTCCCAAGACTAAACCAGGAAGAAGTTGATTCTCTGAATAGACCAATAACAGGCTCTGAAATTGTGGCAATAATCAGTAGCTTACCAACCAAAAAGAGTCCAGGACCAGATGGATTCACAGCCGAATTCTACCAGAGGTACAAGGAGGAACTGGTACCATTCCTTCTGAAACTATTCCAATCAATAGAAAAAGAGGGAATCCTCCCTAACTCATTTTATGAGGGCAGCATCATCCTGATACCAAAGCCAGGCAGAGACACAACCAAAAAAGAGAATTTTAGACCAATATCCTTGGTGAACATTGATGCAAAAATCCTCAATAAAATACTGGCAAACAGAATCCAGCAGCACATCAAAAAGCTTATCCACCATGATCAAGTTGGCTTCATGCCTGGGATGCAAGGCTGGTTCAATATACCCAAATCAATAAATGTAATCCAGCATGTAAACAGAACCAAAGACAAAAACCACATGATTATCTCAATAGATGCAGAAAAGGCCTTTGACAAAATTCAACAACCCTTCATGCTAAAAACTCTCAATAAATTAGGTATGTAAATGGGACGTATCTCAAAATAATAAGAGCTATCTATGACAAACCCACAGCCAATATCATACTGAATGGGCAAAAACTGGAAGCATTCCCTTTGAAAACTGGCACAAGACAGGGATGCGCTCTCTCACCACTCCTATTCAACATAGTGTTGGACGTTCTGGCCAGGGCAATTAGGCAGGAGAAGGAAATAAAGAGTATTCAGTTAGGAAAAGAGGAAGTCAAATTGTCCCTGTTTGCGGATGACATGATTGTATATCTAGAAAACCCCATTGTCTCAGCCCAAAATCTCCTGAAGCTGATAAGCAACTTCAGCAAAGTCTCAGGATACAAAATCAATGTACAAAAATCACAAGCATTCTTATACACCAATAACAGACAAACAGCCAAATCGTGAGTGAACTCCCATTCACAATTGCTTCAAAGAGAATAAAATACCTAGGAATCCAACTTACAAGGGACGTGAAGGACCTCTTCAAGAACTACAAACCACTGCTCAATGAAATAAAAGAGGATACAAACAAATGGAAGACCATTCCATGCTCATGTGTAGGAAGAATCAATATCATGAAAATGGCCATACTGCCTAAAGTAATTTATAGATTCAATGCCATCCCCATCAAGCTACCAATGACTTTCTTCACAGAATTGGAAAAAACTACTTTAAAGTTCATGTGGAACCAAAAAAGAGCCCGCATCGCCAAGTCAGTCCTAAGCCAAAAGAACAAAGCTGGAGGCATCACGCTACCTGACTTCAAACTATACTACAAAGCTACAGTAACCAAAACAGCATGGTACTGGTACCAAAACAGAGATATAGATCAATGGAACAGAACAGAACCCTCAGAAATAACGCCGCATATCTACAACTATCTGATCTTTGACAAACCTGAGAAAAACAAGCAATGGGGAAAGGATTCTTTATTTAATAAATGGTGCTGGGAAAACTGGCTAGCCATATGTAGAAAGCTGAAACTGGATCCCTTCCTTACACCTTATACAAAAATTAATTCAAGATGGATTAAAGACTTAAACGTTAGACCTAAAACCATAAAAACCCTAGAAGAAAACCTAGGCATTACCATTCAGGACATAGGGCATGGGCAAGGACTTCATGTCTAAAACACCAAAAGCAATGGCAACAAAAGCCAAAATTGACAAATGGGATCTAATTAAACTAAAGAGCTTCTGCACAGTGAAAGAAACTACCATCAGAGTGAATAGGCAACCTACAAAATGGGAGAAAATTTTTGCAACCTACTCATCTGACAAAGGGCTAATATCCAGACTCTACAATGAACTTTAACAAATTTACAGGAAAAAAACAAACAACCCCATCAAAAAGTGGGCAAAGGACATGAACAGACACTTCTCAAAAGAAGACATTTAAGCAGCCAAAAAAACACATGAAAAAATGCTCACCATCACTGGCCATCAGAGAAATGCAAATCAAAACCACAATGAGATAGCATCTCACACCAGTTAGAATGGCAATCATTAAAAAGTCAGGAAACAACAGGTGCTGGAGAGGATGTGGAGAAATAGGAACACTTTTACACTGTTGGTGTAAAAGTGTTGGTGGGACTGTAAACTAGTTCAACCCTTGTGGGACTGTAAACTATTTGGTTGGTGGGACTGTAAACTAGTTCAACCCTTGTGGAAGTCAGTGTGGTGATTCCTCAGGGATCTAGAACTAGAAATACCATTTGACCCAGCAATCCCATTACTGGGTATATACCCGAAGGATTATAAATCATGCTGCTATAAAGACACATGCACACGTATGTTTATTGCGGCACTATTCACAATAGCAAAGACTTGGAACCAACCCAAATATCCAACGATGATAGACTGGATTAAGAAAATGTGGCACATATACACCATGGAATAGTATGCAGCCATAAAAAATGATGAGTTCAGGTCCTTTGTAGGGACATGGATGAAATTGGAAATCATCATTCTCAGTAAACTATCGCAAGAAGAAAAAACCAAATGCCGCATATTCTCACTCATAGGTGGGAATTGAACAATGAGAACAACACGGACACAGGAAGGGGAACATCACACTCTGGGGACTGTTGTGGGGTGGGGGTAGTGGGGAGGGATACCTTTAGGAGATATACCTCGTGCTAAATGACGAGTTAATGGGTGCAGCACACCAGCATGGCACATGTATACATATGTAACTAACCTGCACATTGTGCGCATGTACCCTAAAACTTAAAGTATAATAATAATAAAATAAAAAAATTTTTAAAAAATAAAGTTAAAGGGATATTATTATTATTATTTTTGTAAGTTAAACATTAGGATTAAAAAGCACAACAGAGTTTTCTAGAGCACTGATCTACTCTGTAACAGAAAATTGTAAAGGGTTTAAAAGGTTTATGAGAATCTTACCTTATGGTCAAACTGGTTAAGATTGGGAAGATTTGTCTATAAAGTTTTATTAAGAATTGGGTTTGACATTAATACTACACTAATGCAAACGTGAAATGTGGCTTTCTCTCTTGAATAAGATTTTCATGTATTATTACAAGATAATGAAAGATTTTTATTTGCTTTTTAAATAAACTATAGGAAAAATAAGGGAGAGAAAAGTGACAGATCATTTGGAAACCCAAGTCTCCCCTATATCAATGAGTAAAAGTTTTTACCTTTTTGAAATCTTTGAGTTATCATTTTGGCTAAATAAATGCTTTATGGTGACCTGGGATTCTATTTTGTAATATCAACTGTTTAAACCTTTTGTATTTGACAAACGTTCCAAACTGAAATTCTAATGTAAGTCTTTTTCTGACCTGATTAGTCCTTCTAGATATTAGGTCCCCTAAAGTCCAAAAGTGACATATTTGGCTTATTAGATATATTAAAATCATACAGGAAGCACTTTCAAATATAAAATGCTATTTGGCTTTCTTTGGACTATACTTATATAAATGTGTTATTGGTATATGTTCCAAAATTATGCAAAACTCCTATAATTCTGATATGACTTAGTGTACATTATCAGTCATAATTATAGTTCTTATGTTACATTATTGTGTGCTACAGAGTTAACCAAATTTCTTTGTCAATTGCATCTTTAATCAGCTGTCCTAAGACTTTTGTCACCCACAGACAATTGTCTTGTTTTAATCCTTTTCAAAAGGTGGTTTATAATCAGCTATAGGACTCTGATGGGTACTCTAAAATGCAAGCCTCTGATAACTTTGAAAATTGTGCCATTGGCTGGGCATGATGGCTCACAACTGTAATCCCAGCACTTTGGGAGGCTGAGGCAGGCAGATCACGTGGGGTCAGGAGTTCAAGACTAGCTTGGCCAGCATGGTGAAATGCCATCTCTACTAAAAATACAAAAATCAGTCAGGCATGGTGGCATGCACCTGTAATCCCAGTTACTCGGGAGGCTGAGGCAGGAGAATCACTTGAACCTGGGAGGCAGAGGTTGCAGTGAGCTGAGATCGCACCATTGCATTCCAGCCTGGGCAACAAGAGGGAAACTCCGTCTCAAAAAAAAAAAAAAAAAAAAATTGAAAAAGAATATTGTGCCATTGAAACAGAAAAGAAAACACAAATAAACTTCCAGGATTCTCATAGAAACTTAATATATTCATAAGGAATGTGGCCCAATATCAGGCAAAACAAGAGTTAACAGCATGGACTAAACTAATAAAAGACCAAAACAATCTTTTAATGACTTTTTGCTTAAAACATTGCATATCCTTTCTGTTTTGCTTTTCAGAGTCAAGAAAACTTTTCCTTTGGAAAGTATTTACTGCTTTTAACAATTGAAAAAAGTATACTACTATGGACAAAATTTGGAGCATATGTCTTTCTTTTTACCTGATTTCTCCAGAATTTGAAAACTATTTGGGAGTATTCTTAACTAATAGCAATATAGTTATTTGCCTAAGTGCAGTAAGAATCTTTTCTTTTGTAATAGGACACAATTAAAGAAACTGCTTATTTTATGAAGGCTTTGACTAGAATGGTGTGCTTTCAGATACAAACAGACTGCTTTAAGGGATCAAAGTTGACTTATAGAGCCAATAAAAGCCACTATGGAAAACTGGCCTTATTCTTTGTCTATGCAGTCTCTGTATGGGGTTCCTGACCTGTGGTAAGTGAAGAATGTCACTTTCTGACAGGCCCAGGAGCCCCAAGTTATCTTGGGACATCAAGAAGAAAGGAATGCACCCAACTTATACAGGTATTTGCAGGCACAGATAAATCTGTGGCTGGCTCAAGGCTTTAAGAAGCCTAATGTGAGATTCTTTTTAAATTAAATTTCCATCGAAACCAATTTTAACAAGAGCCTATGTGGCAAATAATTATTTTTGCTGCACTTTATACAAATAATCAGGCCAAATTTCATAAGATTAAAACTTTATGGCAAACAAATTTGTCCCACTATGATTTGTCTTTGGTAAAAATGGAAGCTAGAGAGAGAATTTGTTTCAAAAACTATGATACACCAGTTATTAGATTCTAGTCTCGTCTGTTGTTTTTGAGTTTCTTCTGCAATTTAGGCAGACCCTGCTTATTCCTGAGAATCAACCAGTGATCTATGGCTGTTGCTCAGAAGAAATAAGAGGGATGGCTAACGTAAAGATCTGGATTAGTATTCTAATTCTAGGCATGTATTAGAATTGGCTAGTGACCCCATATCAGCTTGGTTTTAACAATTACCCAGTTCATGGAAAGCCTTCTTATTTAGTTTACTTGGGATAATTGTGCTGATTTTGTTTTACTGTTGTGGAATATATTGCTGTTGTCCTCTTTGTGTAGGAATGCAGGAAAAGCTTACTTAACATTTTCTTAAATTGAACACTTATTAATCTTCCAGATTTCACCTTTTGTCAGAACTCAGAGTTATGATTTGTCCTCACTGTACTGACAACAGGCTCTGGTAGGGTGCAGAGGTCCTGGTAAACACACCCTCTGCTGGAAAACAGGGAGAAGTTTCCATCAGTGTAAGCCTGCACTTGGGTTGTCTGGGCTGAAGTTAGGAGACTGAGTAGAACATTTGCTGCAGAAAAAAAAGAAGATGTGTAATTTTCACAGTTAGAATTAACTTAGGAGAGCTGAAATTAACTGAGCCTCGGAAATCTGAATCTTGAAGTCACCAGTGGCTTTTGGGACTGTGAGAGAGTCTCTTGTGGTCTTTAATCATGTGAGGGTGGGGTGAAATTCAATATTCAGTGGTTCTGCAATGGGATGCACTGTGCAATTGGTGATTGAGAAGCCAACTCTCTGGCTTTAGGAGAAGAATGTCTTGCTGTTAGTCCTTCTGGAAATAGAGCCTTGCATTGCCTACTGTCCGTTTACACTACCTTTGCACATTGCCTTTGGTTATAGAGTCATGTCCAATGGCTCTTTACTTCTGTTTGCAGGGCAGGAGATGGCACCCTGTTAAAGAGAAAGGATAGTAGCTGCAAAGTCATTTGTTTCTCTGTTTCTGTGACTGTATATATTGGCTCATCTTTGAATGGTCTTTATAGCCACACCAGGCTGGAGGTAACAGGGTCATGGGAGTGGACTGCTGGTGTGGGCTAAATCAGAGTTCAGATCCATGTCTCCAAGAGGTAGGAAGTGCAGGGCAAGTTATGTGGCTTCTGGGGCATCCCTCACTTTCTTAGTTAAAGAGAAGTTGAAGTAATCATTCTGAAATATTATGGGAGTCTGCAGAAAAAGTAATGAAAACCAAAGCACTTTCCATTAATCTCCATAATTTAGTCCTTACGATAATGTCACAGGGCAAGCAACCAATCAGACCTTACTAGTCGTGCTTCCTAGAAGAGACTGAGGTTCAGAGATTTGGACAGAGTGTCAGATATGGGATCAGTGGCTAGTCCAATGTGATTTCCATCCTTTCTTCTGAGAGAAAGCATAAGAAGGCTAAGAGGATGGGGGTAAAGCACAAGTCACCTGCCTGAGAGTCAACAGAGCAGGGGTCTCTTTCTCAGTTTGTTTCTCTAAGTTATGGCAAAAGCTTTTTGAGCTGTGATTATTGAGAATGGGGGCTGAAGTTCAACACATAGTTGGCATGAGAGAAGTAATTATGATTGAAGAAATCTAGATGAAATCCATTGTTCTTTTCTGTAAAGGGGTTGTTATCCCTGATTCTTTTTTTCTTTTTTCTTTTTTAGATGGAGCCTTGCTCTGTTGCCCAGGCTGGAGTGCAGTGGTGTGATCTTGGCTCACTGCAACCTCTGCCTCCTGGGTTCAAGTGATTCTCATGCCTCAGCCTTTCCAGTAGCTGGAACTACAGGAGTGTGCCACCATGCCCGGCTAATGTTTTTATTTTTAGTAGAGGTGGAGTTTCACCATGTTGGCCAGGCTGGTCTTGAACTCCTGACCTCAAGTGATTCACCCACCTTGGCCTCCCAAAGTGCTGGAATTACAGGAGTGAGCCATTGTGCCTGGCCTGTTCTCACTGATTCTTATAGTGCCATGTTTCTCAGAATTTGTGGCTTCAATTACTTATATTTGTGCACCTGACTTTTAGGTGAGCTCCAGAATAGCATTACTAATTAAGAATGAGCATTTAGAGTAGAAAAAGTGACAGGAACAGCAAGACTCACTTCCAGAAAGCCTCACTACAGGTCTAATAGGTGAGGAAAGTCCCCATCTTTCCCATTTTTCTTCATTACCTCCCTGTGGGGCAAGCACTGCCATTATGCATGAGTAAACTGTCTGAGTTATAGATAAGTAATGACATGAAACTTCACAAACAGGCCTAGATTTCTACCCAGGGAACCGCTGTTATCAGAGAAGGGAGTTTGGAATCTTAAGCAACAAACACATGTTGATTCTCAGTATTTGCCTCCTGATGGCTTGCTCAGAGAGCCTGTTTTCATTGCCCACTTTATATGTCAGTAAATAATCTTCCCTGGCAGTGGGTCCACCATGTCTGGATGCACACAGGGAAATCTGGTGGGGTCTGGCCAGTGAAAAACACTCCTCAGGTTTTGCAGGAAAAGCAGTGAACCCTTCTTTTAAGCTCGAGAATGCTTTAAAGATGCATCATTGGCAAGCCTTGCCAAAGAAATACGGGATCTAAATGTGATAAAAGCCACGACGACATCAAGCTGGCTCTGGAGGTCTCCTTTGAAGTTTGCTGAGTGGATTGTCAGTGGGAGGCTGATATTTACATGTAGAAGCACACAAGTGTTACTGCTAATTGTGGTAAATCAGGCTGGCCAGCCTGGCTCTGGATCCCACTGTGCCTAACACCAGCCCTGCATCCCAGGCACATGCCGGGCTCCTCAGAAGCGATCAGCCAGCCAGCATTGTGTGAATTGCATTTGGGTTCACAGCACTGTAATTGTCCTTCTCCTGCTATGAGGAGCAGAGAGGGAAAAGGGAAGGGAGGGTTGTGTAATTTGCCCTAGGAAATTGTGGGGGAGGGACAGGCACTGGGCCGGGTGGGGGGCGGTGCGACATGGCTAAAACACTGACCTTCCCTTGAGAGAGACCATATGGTGAAGTGGAGAGGGCACAGCTTTTGCATCACACAGGCCTTGTATTAGAATTTTGGCTCTGACACCAGCTGTGTGACCTTGGGTCATTTGCGAAACCTCTCTGAGCCTCAACTGCCCCTTCTTAAAATCAGCTCTAAGTAACCACAGGGTTATTCTTCAGAAACACAGCATGCACATGCAAACTTTGGCTTAGTAAATAATGATTTCTTTTTGTTCTATCTACTCCACCTCCCTTTCCCATTAGAAGCTTGCTACCTTTCACTCTGTGTTTTCTTCCTCTCCCATTTTCCTGGTGGCATTCAATAAAGCAGAATTCTGATTTCTGCAATGTAGGCCACCTTAGAGCAAAATACATGATCAGGCACCACCAAATTAGGCTATTATCTACTGGATCCTGTTTAACCAACCCAAACCCAACTCAGGCTAAATACAGGAATACAAGAAAACGCTGAATTTCTCCCCTTTCTTTTTTTTTTTTTTTTTGAGACAGAGTCTTGCTCTGTCACCCAGGCTGGAGTGCAGTGGCGCGATCTTGGCTCACTGCAAGCTCCACCTCCTGGGTTCACGCCATTCTCCTGCCTCAGCCTCCTGAGTAGCGGGGACTACAGGTGCCTGCCACCACGCCCGGCTAATTTTTTGTATTTTTAGTAGAGACAGGGTTTCACCGTGTTAGCCAGGATGGTCTCCATCTCCTGATCTCATGATCTGCCCGCCTCAGCCTCCCAAAGTGCTGGGATTACAGGCGTGAGCCACTGCGCCCTTCCCTCCTTTTTTTTTTAAAACAACAACAACAACAACAACAAACAGTTTATTCAGTAATTATGTATACGTATTTTAGCTTCCAAAGTCAGTGATGGAACAAATTGAGTCCTATTAGGCCCACTCCATTGCATGAGTTAGCATCAGAGGAGGTCAAACTAGAGTGACTTCATCTTGAATATGGGCTAGGTAAGAAGAGGATGAGGCCTGCTGGGCTGCATTCCCAGGAGGTTAGGCATTTGTAGTCACAGGATGAGATAGGAGTTGGGTAGGAATGGTTTCATAAAGACCACAGGATGCAAGCTGGGTGTGGTGCCTTATGCCTGTAATCCCAGTACTTTGGGAGGCCAACGCAGGAGGATTGCTTAATCCTAGGAGTTCAAGACCAGCTTGGGCAACATAGTGAGACCTCATCTCTACAGATAATTTTTATTTTATTTTATTTTATTTTTTTGTGATGGAGTCTTGCTCTGCCGCCCAGGCTGGCGTGCAGTGGCATGACCTTGGCTCACTGCAACTTCTACCTCAGGGGTTCAAGCGATTCTCCTGTCTCAGCCTCCTGAGTAGCTGGAATTAGAGGCGCACACCACCACGCCTGGCTAATTTTTTTGTGTTTTTAGTAGAGATGGGGTTTCACCATGTTGGCCAGGCTGGTCTCGAACTCCTGACCTCAGGTGATCCACCTGCCTTGGCCTCCCAAAGTGCTGCGATTACAGGCATGAACCACCGTGCCCAGCCTCTACAAATAATTTTTTTTTTTTTTGAAATGGAATCTCAGTCTGTCGCCCACACTGGAGTGCAATGGTGCGATCTCAGCTCACTGCAGCCTCTGCCTCCCTGGTTCAAGCGATTTGCCTTACAAATGATTTTTAAAAAATGAGCTGGGTGTGGTGGTTTCACAAGATACGGGTGATAAAGACCCCAGGATGCGGGCCGGGTGTGGTGGTTTATGCCTGTAATCCCAGCACTTTGGGAGGCCAAGGCAGGAGGATTGCTTAAGCCTAGGAGTTCAAGACTAGCCTGGACAACATAGTGAGACCTCATCTCTACAAATAATTTTTTAAAAATGAGCTGAGTGTGGTGGTGCAGGCCTGTAGTCCCAGCTCTTGGGCTAGGCATGGGGGTCAGCTCAGGTGGGAGGATTGCTTGAGCCCAGGAGTTCAAGGATACAGTGAACTATGATTGTGCCAGTACACTCCAGCCTGGGCAACAGTGCAAGACCCTGTTTCATAAACAAATTAAAAAACCCCAAAAACCTAGGATGCAATGAAGAAGGAAGCCGAAACCCACCAAAACCAAGACGGTGATGAAAGTGACCTCTGGTCATCCTCACTACCCATTATATGCTAATTATAATGCATTAGCATGCTAAAAGATACCACCAGCACCATGACAGTTTACAAATGTTGTATTAATGACAGGAAGTTACCCTATATGGTGGAAAAAGGAAGGAACCTTCAGTTCTGGGAATTTCCTCCCTGTTTCTGGGAAAATCATGAATAATGCACCCTTAGTTTAGCATATAATCAAGAAATAACCATAAGTATACTCAGTTAAGCAGCGTGGCTGTTCTGCCTATGGAGTAGCCACCCTTTTTTATTCCTTTATTTTCTTAATAAATTTGCTTGAATTCCTTCCTGGGTAAAGCCAAGAACCCATGTGGCCTCCCATGGTGATCTCCAATTTTGGGATTCACCATGTGACATTAGGAGCAACTTAGGGATCTGGTGCATCCCAGGCCAAGACTAACATGGTGATTTTTGGGGGGTTATGTTAAAACTGGGGGCTCTGCCCAGGCCCCTCAGTGTGGCTTCTTGAGTCAATACCTGGGTACTTACTGGCCCTAGCACCTACAAGTTCATTCACAGTTCCTTCTCACTGACTTCACCAGTGACCACTATCAGTGACTTCAAGGGAGAAATGAGGGGGGAGATAAAATAAAGTGAATGGGGAAGAGATAAAGAAGAGAGGTCTTTTCACAGTTTGCCAGAATAGTCCCTTCAGTGGTTTTACCCCAGGGCAACAGGAGCCCCCTTTTAGTTTCTTTCTCTTTTAATTTTCTTTTCCCTTCCCACTTTTTGCCCACTTTTTGCCTTATTTGTGTCTGACTCAATTTCCGTCTCTTTCTCTACTTCTTCATTCCCAGATTTGGCTGTAGAAAATTAGAAAGTTCTTGAACTTGGTTTGCACGGGTGCTTTTACTTTAACATGAAAATGAATGATCAGCCTCCTTCTAATTTCATCCTAGAGTCTACTGCATCCCTCCTACCCCCTGCACAGGAATTTAGTCACACTTATCTCTCCCACTTTCTCTCCCTTCTTCACTTTCTCTATTGCTCCTCCTTTCATGCTTGTACCTGCTTTTCCATGCCCTGTTTAGCCTGGCTTGGGATCCAGCAGGTTCTCCAAGGGTTCCTGCAAGAACCCCGGCTGGGTGCCCAGGTCTGAGCCTGGTATGTGCCTCAGTATCACAAAGGCCTCCTGTAAATGACACACATTGTTGGAAGTTTCAGAAATTCTAGGTCAAAATGGCACTGAAATATTAAGGTATTTACCCCAACCCAAGCAACTTTTCTAAAAGTTGTAGAGAGTGTGACCTCTTTATTAATTGAAACGTGAAAATCAGCTCTAGTTTGGAAGCTGAGAAAAAATATATATATATGTATTTATTTCTTTGTTGTTTGAATTCTTAATATAAATGGTTTAAAGGACCATTGAAAACTGCATGCAATCACAGAAGGTTTTGGCTTCAGGCAGCTCCCGCCATGATCTTGGGGCCCCATTGATTCTTTCATCTTTCAGGCGTCTTACTGTTTGAACCTTGAATTTTAACCTGGGACATGTTTGACTAAAATGATGCTGTTAATATTTTCTGTTGTGCAAAACACAAAGAGAACTAGGCTCCAGGGTTGTTTCTATTTGCTAATGCTGTTTCTGTTGACTTTTGACTTTTCTAGTTTCCCAGAGCTATGGGGACTTCCCATCCGGCGTTCCTGGTCTTAGGCTGTCTTCTCACAGGTACGGAGCCCAGTCCTCTCTGAGTTCCTTGTTTGGGTGTCTTGTTTTTTTAAGCTTTGTGCTGCATGGGTTTATTACCAGTACTCTGCATACACAGTCCAAAAGAGTGAAAAGAAATAGAAAACTATAGGACGTTATCCAGAATGACCACAAACCTTCAGTTCCCTTTGCTGTATTGCACTTACTCCATTTCAAAAGGAATGCTCTCCAGTGGCAGTTTTAGTACATATATAATGTTGGCATTGAAATGTTGTTAGTAATAATGTCTAAATTTACTTACTACTCTCTTCCTTTTCCTAGGACAAGGCTTCTATTAGAGCTGGATTAGATAAATTCAGGAATGGTCAGCTGTGGGAGGTGGCACATCTGTTGTCCCAGCCCCTTGAGCAGCTGAGGTGGGATGATCCCTTAAGGCCAGGAGTTCAAGGTTGCAGTGCACTGTGATTATGCCTGTGACTAGCCACCACACTCCAGCAACATAGCAAGACCTCATTTAAAAAAAATGTTCAAAGGAAATAAATAATAGAAAATTCTTGCCCAAGAAATCATACTTGTCTTAAATCATAACTCTCTTGAGGAAAGATGCTTACATTGCTTCTAAATCTCAGAGTCACCTTTATCTTCTCTAGGAATCAAATTGATAGATGAATGTTTGGCTCTTGGAAAATCTTAAAAACTTTCCCACCAAAAGGATCATTGGGGTAATTTGTTGAAGTGTGTATTGGACTGTCTTAGTTTTCCTCCAGATATTTATGCACTGCAGATGTTCGCCATGAAACCAGTGCTCTTCTATTCTGAGGAGTTAGCTCAGCCCGTTAGTGTCTTTGTCTTACCCATTTGGATATGGTAGAATTGAGCAAGACCAGAGATTCAACAGTTCTAAGCTCCACTAAGTATACCCCATCTACAGAGTAATAGGTGATCCAGATGTACTTACAAATCCTATCTTAACAAGCTTTAGGAATTATAGTGGTCATATATTGAAGTTGGGTGGGAGTCTCACACCAGGTTCCAAGGGAGATTACAAATCACTAATTAATAATTAAGTCATAATATCTCTTCTATCAGTCTCGGGTTTCTTGTTTTCTAAGTTCTGTGCTCCATGGGTTTATTATCTGTACTCTGCTTACACAGTCCAAAAGAGTGAAAAGAAATAGAAAACTACAGGACGTTATCCAGAATGACCACAAACCTTCAGTTCCTTTGCTGCATTGCACTTACTCTATTGCAAAAGGAGTAAGTGCAATTTCAGTCTAAATAAGCGAGACTGAAATTTGAGCTTCGAAGATGAACTTAGAGTTTTCACTCTTGGGTTTTACTTACCAATTGTGAATTAAAATCCGTATCATCTGGCACCACTGCACTCCAGCCTGGGTGACAGAGCAAGACTCCATCTCATAAAAATAAAGAAATAAATAAACAAATAAATCCACATCATCCTGCTTTGGCCCTGGAAGTCATGAGGGAGAGACGGCATGCCCGAGGGCTATAAGAAATGGAAGATGTGGAATTCTTGAGCACAGATGTGCTTTGTGTTTTCTTCAGTCTGTGTCCTTGCCTCCATTCTTATTCCATGTGGGTTTTTTTTTTTTTTTTTTTTTTTTTTTTTGAGACAGGGTCTCTCGCTCTATTGCCCAGGTTGGAGTGCAGAGGCTGACTGCAACCTCAATCCCCTGGGCTCCAGTGATCCTCCCACCTCAGCCTCCAGAGTAGCTAGGACTACAGGTGTACACCAGCACACCTGGCTAATTTTTTTATTTTTTTATTTTTTGTGGAGACCAGGTCTCACTACGTTGCCCAGGCTGGTCTCGAACTCCTGAGCTCAAGCGATCCTCCCACTTCCACCTCACAAAGTGCTGGGATTATAGACATGAGCCTCTGCGCCCCAGCCTCATCTCATTTTAACTAAAGGAAACCTTTGCAGTGATTGTGAACCATAAAGAACCCATATGTGCTTGAGCCCGTGCCATCTTGGGATATTTTATGGTTACACATAAGAGTCTGAAATATGGAATTGGAATCAGACATCCTCTGTCTATTTGAGTGTTTGGAGGGGTGAATCTAGTGGGGCTTGGTGGAGCTATTTGGAACATTTGCTGCTCTCAGCAGATGCAGTGGCTGTTATAATGGGGGAGCTTTCATGGGCATCCAGGCTAACGGATTTTTGTGTAGAAATGGTCATTGTTCATCTAAGCTGCTACTGTTGCTTCTCTCAGTTGTCGGGATGAGACTGTCCTTTCTGACTGCATCCTATTCAGAGCGTGCTTCCTTTTGCAGGGCTGAGCCTAATCCTCTGCCAGCTTTCATTACCCTCTATCCTTCCAAATGAAAATGAAAAGGTTGTGCAGCTGAATTCATCCTTTTCTCTGAGATGCTTTGGGGAGAGTGAAGTGAGCTGGCAGTACCCCATGTCTGAAGAAGAGAGCTCCGATGTGGAAATCAGAAATGAAGAAAACAACAGCGGCCTTTTTGTGACGGTCTTGGAAGTGAGCAGTGCCTCGGCGGCCCACACAGGGTTGTACACTTGCTATTACAACCACACTCAGACAGAAGAGAATGAGCTTGAAGGCAGGCACATTTACATCTATGTGCCAGGTGAGTTGGCTGGGTCTCCAGGACCAAGCTTCTTCTCTTCCTGTCTCTCCTGTTAAATGTACTAAGGTTTTAAACATATATATAAATAATTAATATTTATTGCGGGAAGTTTGAAAAATGTAAGCGAACACACACAAAAATCATTTGTAATATTATCAAGAAATATTCATTGTTAGCATTTCAGAGCTGTATTAAGTTTGGAAAGTCATCTTTGTTATGACATGTCCTGTATTGATACTGTATAAACAATCTGAAATATACTCATCTCTATTCAGTTCATTCAAGTTGCACACATACTCACAGTGTGTCCAGCACTGGGCTAAGTGTTGAGTACACAAAAATTAATAGGTAAGCCCTGTCTTGGAGTTGCTGATAGTTCATTATAATATCTTCCAAATAAACACTCGATTTTTCAGATTCACTATCAACATACATTTATTCTTGGAGAGTTGGAAGGAATTTTCTTTTTCCTTTTAAAAAAGTTACATATATATATATATATATATATATATATATATATTTTTTTTTTTTTTGGTAACAGGGTCTCACTCTGTTGCCCAGGCTGGAATGCAGTGGCATGATCATCATAGCTTACTGCAATCTCAACTCCCTTGGTTCAAGCGATTCTCCCACTTCAGCCTCCCCAGTAGCTGGGATTACAGGCATGCACCACCACGCCCAGCTAATTTTTATATTAGTTGAGACGGGGGTTTCACCATATTGACCAGGCTGGTCTTGAACTCCTGACCTTAAGTGATCTGCCTGCTTCGGCCTCCCAAAATGCTGGGATTACAGGCGTGAGCCACTGTGCCCTAATTTTTATTTTTATTTTTGTAGAGATAGGGTTTCACTGTGTTGCCCAGGCTGGTCTCAAACTCCTGGGCTCAAGTGATCCACAGCCACCTCAGCCTCCCAAAGTTCTGGGATTACAGGCACGAGCCACTGGGCCTGGCCTACTCCTGCATTTTAATTAAAAGGACAAAAGGGTCGAGCACAAGTGATGGCAATTTCAGTATGCAGTTGGGTAAATTAAAAAGGACTATGGCTAGAATCCTTGGTTTTAGAACAAAACCTAAACTGTTTATGATTCTTGCCATCCTTGCTGTTTTGGCATAGGTGTGTCTTCCTACCTTTCTGCCTTTTCTTTTTCAGTTTTTAATGGGCTCCTCTTCCTACCCTCTATAACTACGAGTGTCCCCAGGGATCTAGACCCTCTTTACTTTTTCATGATACTCTTATTCATATGAACCTTCCTTCTTAACAATTAAAAAAAACCAAAAACTTTGTTTTGAAAAGGGAAGGTATTTAGAATGTCACTCCAACTTCATTCACACTTAGATTCCTTCAGGAAAATCCTCTAGGTGTGGAGGGATTTTCCCCTGCTGTGAAGAGAATGGTAGGAACGTGAATGTGTTAAAGGCACACGAGTCCCTGAAGTTTTAATCCGTGTAAGATTGTCCAAAAATTCTTCTTGTTCCAGCACAGATGCCATCCAAGTAGCCCCTGCATCGCTGTCTGACTGAGATCTTTTTATTCGCAATCATGCAGACGTAGGGGCCCTTTCTGCAGCTGATGTTTGAGACTGTTAGAACTTCTTACCACCGTAGCTTAAGTAGCTGTTTTTCTTTTGGAAAGGAAATTCTCAGGCTCCTTCTCCTTCTTTAAATTTTATGTATTTCTCAAAGGATTACTTTTTAATAAACAGATTTCTATGCTATTTTTGAATCATACTGACTATAGGTGGTAAGAGTTTTTAAAAGCATTTCATAATAAAACTCGAAATATTTTTTCCTGTTTTAAACAGAGTTGGACTGTATTATTTTATTGTTAATTTTTGTTTTTAGTTGTTTAAATTTTGATTTAGATTCCTGGTTAGTATTTATTTATTTATTTGTAGAGACAGGGTCTCTCTATGTTGCCCAGGCTGGTCTCAAACTCCTGAACACAAGCAACCCTCCCACCTTGGCTTCCCAAAGTGCTGGGATTACAGGCATGAGCCACAACTCCTGTCCAGTATTGATATTTATCATCAGTATTATCCATCAGGAGACAGGCAATTTGGTATTATTCATACTTAAAAATCACTTTGTAGCTGTCATGATAACTAATGCCAGTGGGGCAATTCTTCTGGATATATGTGTAAAGGTGAACTTCATACCTAATATCAATAATGCCAGTGGGATAGTTTTTCTGGATTTATGTGTAAAGGTGAAATTAATGTCTAATAGAGTCTTCATTCTTTTTTAAACCACAGACCCAGATGTAGCCTTTGTACCTCTAGGAATGACGGATTATTTAGTCATCGTGGAGGATGATGATTCTGCCATTATACCTTGTCGCACAACTGATCCCGAGACTCCTGTAACCTTACACAACAGTGAGGGGGTGGTACCTGCCTCCTACGACAGCAGACAGGGCTTTAATGGGACCTTCACTGTAGGGCCCTATATCTGTGAGGCCACCGTCAAAGGAAAGAAGTTCCAGACCATCCCATTTAATGTTTATGCTTTAAAAGGTACTTGTATCATCTCCTTCCTTCTTTAAATAAGAGTAACAGGCAAAATCATAAGGTGCGTGTAGGATTTTTTTTTTTTTTTAAATCATCATCACTGGTGATCCTAAATTCTGATTTGGGGATTTAGGACCCCAGCTAATACAATGTCTGTGGCTATAATAATAAGCTTAAAATTACTAAAGGCCAAAGCTTGATTACCCATGCAAGATTTCATGTTTCATCAGTTGACTTCAAAATACTGTAAGGAATTCTTTTCTTACATAAGCCTCTTACTTTCATTCACATTCCTGACTATGGCGGCCCTAAAAACAAACATACACCCAGGGGGTTAGATGCCTAGATTAATTTTAGTAACTTAAGAAAAGTGATTTGAAGAAAGTAGTTTAGACTTCAACCCTTTGATGTCCACAGTTAGTACGCTTGGGGAAGTATAATACATGCTGAGGTCAACAGATATTTCCTGAACACTATATTACATGGAGGAATGGGTAGCAGCAAGAGTACACTGTTTTAAAATCAGAGCACAGCTAATTTTGTGCCAGGCACTGTGCTAGGTTCTGGGAAAGTACTGAGAATAACTGAGGAGCAGAGTGGAAGAGAAGAAGAGAAGAAACAATTGGATAGAAACAAAGTGTCTAGAGCAGTGTGGATCAGCAAATGTTGGTTGATTAAATGAATAAATTTATTAGTCAAGGAGATTGTGGACGAGTATAACCATAACTAACCCACTGCTGAGGAATGCGGTGTTCTGTTTGATTGGAATTTATTTTTATTGTTATTATTTTGTAATTCTGTATTATAACTATATGCCTAATTGTTGTACACCATCTCACAATCAAGCCTTGTGAGATTTTCCAAATTTTATCTTGATCAAACTGGTTTGCAAATTATTTTTCAGGGTTTTCTTAAAAAAAAAAAAAAAAACCCAAACTTTATAAGATCCTGGCTATCCTGTGGATTTTTAGGCCCTTGTATTTGTTCTTTTTTATAGCAACATCAGAGCTGGATCTAGAAATGGAAGCTCTTAAAACCGTGTATAAGTCAGGGGAAACGATTGTGGTCACCTGTGCTGTTTTTAACAATGAGGTGGTTGACCTTCAATGGACTTACCCTGGAGAAGTGGTAGGTACCCTCAAAACGTGCAATGGCTTGGAGCAGAGCAACAGGGCTCAGAAGACCTGCATTTGAGCTCGGTCTGTCACTGATGGGCACATCACTGAGTTTCTCTAGACCTTAGCTTCCCACCTCTGGGATGAACACATTTGATTAAATGGCCTTTAGGACTCCTTGATCAATGGGAGAGTTTGAAATGATAGTTCCTGGACCAGGCCCTTCAGAATACATAAAGAGTGTGCCGTAAGCCTTCTTTTTCAGAAGTCAGACAGAAATAGGAAGGTTCTCTGGCTACAAGATATCAACCAAAAAATTAGAAGAGCAAAAAAACCACTGGATTTTACTATTGCGGAGACAGTGATTGATTCTCATCGTCTTGGCTTCTGTGCCCTGAGGTTTGATTCATCTGATAGTGTTGATTGCCCGCACCCCTTCCTCTTCTGCCTTGTTGGCACCCAGGACAATGTGTCTTCCTGTTCCACCTCCTATGTGCCTGACCTTTGCATGGCTCACCTTCAGTGAACCGTTATGATGTAATCATTCAGCAAAGGTTTAATGAAGTTTGCTCAATCCCAAGCACTGTACCAGAAGCTGGTTCAGTATTGCAGGAAGAAGGGAGGAGGGGAGATGGAAGTGGGGAAGGGGAGCCACCATGCTGCCTCTTGGTCACTGGAGATTTACAGAGTCTCAGTCATTCTAATGCATTGTCACTAAGTGTGTAAGACAGCCATGTGTAAGAGGCTATGAATGCCCAAATGCAGGAATGACTAATATTCTTATGGAGAACAAAAACGAGATATATATATTTCTTGCCTCCACTCCTGACTTGTAAATTTCTGCTCCCTGTTCTTTTAGGCATTTGACAGCTTTCTGTCCTTCTATCCATTGATCTCCCTCCTTTTATCCGTTTCTCTCTCCCATGCATTTGCCGCTGCTTTTCATTTGTCCTGGGGCATCTGATAGGAAGTTGGGCATTTTCACTATTGCCTCACAAACTTCACACAGTGAAGGGACATTTACAGTCCAACAAATGTACATCTTCCCTGAAATATGAAGTGATTTGGTTCTTCTGTTCATACTTGATTGACTTTAATCCTTAACACATAAACACTGCTTTCTATTTATAGGAGACAGCAATTTTTTTTTCCAAACCGAAGTACATGCTATTTGGCTTACAAATATATAATCAAAGTATTGTTTCATACAGTATGTTTTTTCCGATTATAAAAGTAATGCAGGTTTATTGCAGAAACTTTGTAAAATATGGAGAGACAAAGGAAAGGCTACTTCCCAGAGCATCACTGTTTATATTTTAGGGAGATAAAGCTTTTATTTTTCATTTGTATTTCTTTCTTTTTTTTTTCTTTTTTCTTTTTTTTTTTTGTTGTGGAGATGAGGATCTCACTACATTGCCCAGGCTGGTCTCAAACTCCTGGGCTTAAGTGATCCTCCCACCTTGGCCTTTCAAAGTGTTGGGATTGATTACACATGTGAGCCTCTGAGCTTGACTGAGATAAAGCTCTTAAGTATTTCTTATCCATAGATAAACATTGAATAATAGGTGTTATTCTTTAAATGGTAATTTATTACATTCTTTATCCTTCAGCAGTATAGCACAAACACCTTATATGTGTCATTAACTGTCCTTTTAAAAAATGGGCTGGGTGTGGTGGCTCATGCCTGTAATCCCAGTACTTTGGGAGGCTGAGGCAGGAGAGTCACTTGAGGCCAGGAGTTTGAGATCAGCCTGGGCAATGTATCAAGACTCCGTCTCTACAAAAATTTTTAAAAATTAGCCAGGTGTGGTGGCATGAGCCTGTAGCCCCAGCTACTCAGGAGACTGAGGTGGGAGGATCACTTGAACCCAGGAGGTTGGGGCTGCAGTGAGCCATGATTGTGCCACTGCACTCCAGCCTGGGCAGCAGAGTGAGATTCTGTCTCTAAAAAAATTAAAAACAAAATAAAAAATCTCATGATTTTCTAAGCAGCTAGCTTTTATTCTTTAGGTTTTATCTTTTAGAGCAGTTTTAGGTTTACAGCAAAATTGAGAGGTACAGAGATTTCCCATGTGTTCCCTACACCCACACATGTGTAGCCTCCCACCTTGTCAACATCCCTACCATCCATTTGTTATAACTGCTGAACCTCCATTGACACATCCATATCATCCAGAGTCCATAGTTTATCTTAGAGTTCACTCCTAGGAGCGAGCTTTTTAAAAGTCGGTTTTCTTCCCCTTTTGCTGTAGAAAGGCAAAGGCATCACAATGCTGGAAGAAATCAAAGTCCCATCCATCAAATTGGTGTACACTTTGACGGTCCCCGAGGCCACGGTGAAAGACAGTGGAGATTACGAATGTGCTGCCCGCCAGGCTACCAGGGAGGTCAAAGAAATGAAGAAAGTCACTATTTCTGTCCATGGTACATTCCGCTTTCTAAAATGTCAGTTGTCCATGCTGCTCGGGATCCATATGTGGTAATCATTATTTAATGGAAACTCTTCCCTGTACAGAGAAAGGTTTCATTGAAATCAAACCCACCTTCAGCCAGTTGGAAGCTGTCAACCTGCATGAAGTCAAACATTTTGTTGTAGAGGTGCGGGCCTACCCACCTCCCAGGATATCCTGGCTGAAAAACAATCTGACTCTGATTGAAAATCTCACTGAGATCACCACTGATGTGGAAAAGATTCAGGAAATAAGGTAAAGAAACTCTCTGCCCAAGTATGCCTTTTTTTAGTGTGCATCAGAGGCGGACTGAGGTTTGTGTGTGTCTTACAACCCAGACCCAAAGTCAGTCTAGAAAATGTAACAATCTGAGTTAAGAGATGCTTGAAATCACATCCCTTTAATGATAACATTGCAAAGTGGTATTAGTATGCTGGTAAGTATTTAATGAGAAGATGAGAAGAAAGAACTAAAAGCTCTGGCCCCTGGGGAAAGACAGGTCACTGGATTCAGCTAGGGTGGAAGAAAGGAAGTAAAATTGGACTCACCAGGATTGAATAGATTGAATATATTCCCTGATGTTCATCATCCATATCGCAAGTAGACAGATATGGTGATTACACCCATGAGGCAGTTATCACATCACCTTACGTGAAAGTTAACGTCATAGGCTTAATCTGGAACCCATTTGCCCTAATTGAGGACTCCACAGGAAAGAAGAGTAGAGCCTGGCTAATCAGGAGAGAGATGTGCAGTGAGTTGCTTGGATCCCTACCTTTTAATCAGAATGGTAGATTGCTCTCATCTCTTAATTGGTGGTGGAGTTTTGAATGAGTCACCCCTCAGCCACAGTTTCCTCATCTACAATGTAGGATAAACAATACCTTATGTCCTTCAAGGCAAGGAATTGGATCAGATGATATCATGAGGCCTCTTAAGGTTTTAAGCTGTGATTAGAACCCAAGAGTCAGAAGATACATCTCACAGCACCCAGCTAACCAGCCCTATACTTTTGTCAGAAATCATCTCAGAAAGACAAAGTCAGTCCTGTATTTCAAGCCTTCAGGAGGAAGAACAGAGCCTTTCTCATCAGTTCCATTCACCTCAGGATTTGCTTTCTTCTTTGTGAACTAAATTCCACGTGTAATTGAGAAGCAATGTCTGAGAAAATGGAATTTTACAGCCTCTATAGAATAGTAAAGGAAAAATGAAGTGGGATACTGAATCTGGAAGGCTTTCTGTTGACACAAAATGAAGGTGTACAACAAGGAGGGCAGCTTTCCACGAGGAACTTCCATGAGGCTGTGCAGCCAGAGAGGAATAGGGTAACAACCCTGGTACAGCTAACACCTCCAACACGTGTGTGAGCACTGTCTGCAAGCCATAATCCATAGCAGTGGCAGGACAGGCTCGCCAACTGAGTGGTTCTGGAAAGCTGCCTTTTCCTTTTAGTGATTCAAGGATGCTTCAACGTGGATTTTTTAGTTCCTGTTATGAGCCAGTGAATACAAAGATGAACATGGTAGATGGGGGATCTGGCTTCCTGGAGCTTAAAACTCCAGGATGGGGGATCTGGCTTTCCTGGAGCAAGAAAACCAGTGGTTTTCTTGGCCGAAGAAGTGAAGAGAACAAACAGCAGAGGATAATTTGGTAATCAGCATCCTAGTGTGCCCCAGGGTACTCTCTTAAGGAAATCCAGTCCTGGAGCACACCCAGTATGGTCCAGCCTGCTGTCTTCGTAGGTCTGAGTGCCCCAGTATTTGCAAAGTGTTTTGGAGCCTATGAAATGCTTTCACACATACAATCTCCTTTAATTAACTCTCACAATGACTCTGTGCTATGTGTACAATTATCACGTTTTACACACAAGGAAACTGAGGCATGGAGCATTGTAATAATACCCGAGATCTTCTCACTCCATGACCAATGCTTTTCTTCTCCATTCCAGTTGCTTTTTCAACTGTGATGATTTATAAAGGACAATCAAATGGGCACATACTATATTTATGCACATACATACACACACACACACACACACACACACACACAACCAGATGTCATTTATAATCCATGTAAAATATTTTTGGGGAAGTTTCTCTTTAATAAAGTTTGAAGAGACATATATTTTTTTTTTTTGAAGAGGCATATTTTTTCTAACTTTTTTTTTTTTTTTTGAGATGGAGTCTTGCTCTGTCACCCAGGCTGGAGTGCAGCGGTACGATCACGGCTCACTGCAACCTCCGCCTCCTGGGTTCAAGCGATTCTTCAGCTTCAGCCTCCTGAGTAGCTGGGATTACAGGCATGTGCCACCATGCCTGGCTAATTTTTTTTTTTTTGTATTTTTAGTAGAGATGGGGGTTTCACCATGTTTGTGAGGCTGGTCTCGAACTCCTGACCTCAAGTGATTCACCTACCTTGGCCTCCCAAAGTGCTGGGATTACAGGTGTGAGTCATCACACCCAGCCTATAACTTTTTTTTAATAGGTGATAGAATCCCGTGCTTGAAAAATAATCAAACAAAAAGAGAATGCATTGTAAGAAGCCTCACTGTACTCCTGTCCCCAGCTGCCCAGTTCTCCCCTCCTCCCCACAGGGAAACATCTTCATTAGTTTCATTAGGTTCTTATGAAACCTTCCAGAGTTTCTTTAAGCAAAATACAAGCAAGTAGGACTGTCATATCCTGCAGACCGCTACATACAAATACATAGAAAGTGTCCTCATTCTATCCTCCAGTGATATTCCATTTTTTGGCTGAACCACCTAAATGATGGATATTTAGGGGAAGCAAGTATTTTTTAAAAAAGGTAAAAATCAAAGGTTTTTATTTTTTATTTTTTTAAAGAAAAGTTGGTAGGCTGTGTTTATTCATTCAGAAGTCAGGCCGTGGCTGAACTGATAGCTCTTGGAGATGGCCATTGCTCATCTCTGAATGTCTGGTTTTCTCTTGTAAGAATTGTGTGTATGATCCAGACCTTCAGTGTGTGCACTATATATTGAGAATTCCAGAAGAGATGATATGGACAAGAAAAAAAGATGACTTTACTTTTTACAGTAAAAATAAAACTTAAATTGAAGAGTACAATTGTTTAAACAATTGGAACTTACTTAGCTACTGCTTGTTGAAACAAAATCCTTTTTTTAAAAGGTATCGAAGCAAATTAAAGCTGATCCGTGCTAAGGAAGAAGACAGTGGCCATTATACTATTGTAGCTCAAAATGAAGATGCTGTGAAGAGCTATACTTTTGAACTGTTAACTCAAGGTATGTAAAGGGAGTATAAAGATAATGCTAGCTCTGTAGATGAGTGTCTTCCAAGGAAAGCCTGGCACTTTTCTCCCCGGTCATGGAAGAAAAGCAGCACTTAGGGGAGAAGCAGTGTCTGCATATGTCACATATCGGGAATACCTCTGCTGGACTCATGAATTCAGGTATTTCTGGGAGGTTCTGGGTTACTCTAGAGTAGGCGAGGAATCCCTAGGCTCCACCAGCTAGCTTTATTTTTGTAGAGATGGAGTCTTGCCATGTTGCTCAGGCTGGTCTCCTGGGTTCAAGCTATCTTCCCACCTTGGCCTCTCAAAGTACTGGGATTACAGGTGTGAGCCACTGCACCTGGCCTCCACCAGCTTACTTAGCACCTGCTTCTCAATCTGAGAAGAGAGAAGCAGATGACCTTAGATTGTTCTGGAGAGTTTTGCTACAAGTTTTCCTTATAGACATTGTACAGTGGTCCTTACCAGAAGGGAGTGCCCAAGTCTGTTTACATTCAGGCTCAGCACCTATCCAGAGTCCCAGCCATGAGCCAGGTGCTGTCTGAGGTGCGCTCATGTGATCCTCACAGTAAAACCTGTGATACAAGCAACACCGTATATCTAATTTATTTGACCACAGATTTAGAAAAGAATCTTTAAAACCTAATAACATACCACAGATGCATTTTGGTAAATGCTGCTTTAGATTATACTTTAGCTGAATCCATTAGTTGAATCCTAAGCTATAATATAATTTTAAGAACCTCCTTGCCTTTCAAGCCAAATAACCAAGGGACTTTCTCTCTCTCTTTCCCTCCCTCCCTTCCTTCCTTCCTTCCTTCTTCTCTCCCTCCCTTGTTATCTCTTTTCCTTTCCTTTCTCTCCTTCCTTCCCTCTTCCCTTTTTCCTTTCTCTCCTTCCTTCCTTCCTTGCTTCCTTCTTCCCTCCCTCCTTTGTTCTCTCTTTTCCTTTCCTTTCTCTTTTTCTTTCCTTCCTTCCTTCCTCACTCACTCTTTTCTTTTCCTTTCTCTCCTTCCTTCCTTCCTTCCTCCCTCCCTCACTCTCTCTTTTCTTTGCCTTTCTCTCCTTCCTTCCTTCCTTTTCCTCCCTCCCTCCCTCCCTTGTTCTCCCTTTTCCTTCCTTCCTTCTTTCCTTTCTTCCTTCCTTCCCTCTTCCCTCACTCTCTCTTTTCCTTTCTCTCCTTCCTTCCTTCCTTCATTCTCCCCTCCCCTCCCCCCTCCCCTCCCCCTCCCCTCCCCCCTCCCCCCCTCCCCTCCCCTTCCCTTCCCTTCCCATTTTTCTTCTCACCATGTTGCCCAGGCTTGCCTCAAACTCCTGGGCTCAAGTGTTTCTCTTCCACCTCAGCCTCCCAAGTAGCTGGGGCTACATGTGTGAGGCATCACAACCATGGACTTTTCACTTTCTTCACTCCAGGTTAAAAACATCACAGGGATAAATCTCAAAACACCAAAACTGTGAAAATGCTGCTAACCATGTGGGTCTGTCTAAACTGGAGTGTTACTTGTACAACTGGTTTCAGCCCCTCCGGAGTGTTTTGAATGCCATGTAGATGAGTTGTGAACTCATATTCCACTTTGTAGTCTCATATGTTCTGGGACACGAGCTATTCCATTCTGACTTCTTTCTGCCTCTTGCAGTTCCTTCATCCATTCTGGACTTGGTCGATGATCACCATGGCTCAACTGGGGGACAGACGGTGAGGTGCACAGCTGAAGGCACGCCGCTTCCTGATATTGAGTGGATGATATGCAAAGATATTAAGAAGTATGGAAAACAGATGTGTCTTCTTCTTTCGTGGTCAGAATATTTCTCCCTTGACACAAATGATGTCAAATACATTTTACTTATTGACTATAAGATAGGGTTTTGGGTGTGATAGCTTCAGGGTGTGTATCTTTTGTCATGAATAGCTGTGAGAAGAAGGTCCAGGGCTCTCATTAGACCTTCAAAATGTCTCCAATCTAAAAACAAGAGTGAATTTTAAGAACCACTGTTCTAAGAAGATTTTTACTACCCTGGCTCACATATCTTATTTGGTGAACTTTGTTTGGTAGTCGGACTGCATGTAAACATAAATGTGACTGCTTAGTCCCTTATCTGCCCACCTGCTGTTTGGTGGGTTAATTCGCCATTCCCTCCTCCCTCCCCCGAGTCCTCAGCCTTCTTAAATGGGCACATGAGCAATGTGTTTACACTTCATCCATGGTAACTGGTTGTGTTCAGAAGCCTCAGTTGTTTCTTCCTCTAGACAGAGACTCCTCATCTTAACTTCTAGGGCTAAGAACAGACTTGGATGTTGACTGGGGTTTCTAGTAGATTCCAGTGTGGAGCAGGATTCTAGGTCTTATAACTCAATCTGAGGATCATCGCAACCCTAGTGACACCCTAGGGGCTCTTCCCAGTGTGAGTGTTGAGAAGGGAGGGCTCCAGGCCTTTTTGAAGGGGTGGGAGATTGAGATCATTAAATATGGTTGAAGTTGAACTGTTCAGTTTGCTCATAGGTTCAAGATTGGGGAATGGTAGTCATATTTTATTAAACTTGATTATCTCTGCCTGCTATGTAAACACTTAGCTTTCAGTTGTTCATGTGTGAGTTATTCCCTCTTCAGCACATGCAGACAAGTTTTAATGTTCATCTGCATGTAAAATAAATCAGTGTGTATTGCCCCGAAATGCAGACAAGGTCCCAACTCCTTGCCATCTTAGAGTGTTCCCGTGGCTCCACTCATTGCCATGACTCTCAGGAATTGGCCCTATACTTAGGCCCTTTTTCTCTCTAGATGTAATAATGAAACTTCCTGGACTATTTTGGCCAACAATGTCTCAAACATCATCACGGAGATCCACTCCCGAGACAGGAGTACCGTGGAGGGCCGTGTGACTTTCGCCAAAGTGGAGGAGACCATCGCCGTGCGATGCCTGGCTAAGAATCTCCTTGGAGCTGAGAACCGAGAGCTGAAGCTGGTGGCTCCCAGTGAGTTCCTCAACAGTCAGGACAACTCATCAGCTGAGCCGCATCTGCCCCAGGCGGAACTTTGAATCCCAGATAGGGGTTATATAGAAATGAAGGTCCCAAGGCAGAAATTCAGTTATGAATGCTCTTAAAGTCATGTGGGACTTTGTTTTATTTTGTTTTGTTTTTTGAGACAGAGTTTTGCTCTGTGGCCCAGGCTGGAGTGCAATGGCACAATATTGGCTCACTGCAACCTCTACCTAGGACGTTGTTTTAGATTCAGATCCAAAACTGCATTTTTGCAGAGGCCCCTCAACATTTTGCTTGTCTAATAATATAGCTACAGTCTCTACTTTGAATGTCTGTGTATGTGGATGGAGTGTGGGGAAGGATCTTCTGTCTCATTGCTCCTTAAAAGATAGATGAAGCCAAAAGCAATATAAGCAAAATGCAACTTACAAAATAAGCTTTATAATAAAGCATATGAAGTAGAGGTGTCTGCCCATATAGTAGCTGTCAATTGCATTTATCCTATTCAAATTCTGTCCACAAGGTTACTGTTGGAGCAACTTTGGAGAAAATACTGAGTTCTCCTGATTGAATTTTGTCCCCTTCTTGTATAAGGAAAGAGTTGATGTAGTTTCCTGGGTGTAGATGGTTTGAGAGATGGTACTGCCTATCCCTAAAATGAACCAGGCAGCCCTCACACTTCCCCACCAGCAGTGAGAGATTCCTGGCTCAGACACAGCCACACTACCTTGCTGCCCCTGTGCATGTCTGCCAGGAAACTTTTCATTGTGCCTCTCTCTCTTGTCACGTAGCCCTGCGTTCTGAACTCACGGTGGCTGCTGCAGTCCTGGTGCTGTTGGTGATTGTGATCATCTCACTTATTGTCCTGGTTGTCATTTGGAAACAGGTAGATATTTTCTCATAAAACTAAAGATCTTTGAAGCCAATGAGAACAAGCATAGCAACCTAGTTCAGTGCTTGGCACAGAGAAGGAGCTCAGCAATTACATGTGGAGTGAACGTTGTTGGACTCTACTGTGTCCAGTCACTGTGCTGCTTCAGTGAAGCTCTGGTGCACTGGGACTTTGGTAATTCACCAGTTACCTGTCCTGGTCATTTATAGAAACCGAGGTATGAAATTCGCTGGAGGGTCATTGAATCAATCAGCCCAGATGGACATGAATATATTTATGTGGACCCGATGCAGCTGCCTTATGACTCAAGATGGGAGTTTCCAAGAGATGGACTAGTGCTTGGTAAGTTCCATGGGGTAACCTCCCAAGACTCCCTTTTCCCTTGCACACAACTTTACAATTTATAGGCCTTGGCAGAATAGAGATCTGAGCTTGTGCTTAGTAAGAACTAGGCAATGGAAATTTGCTTTCAGAAATACATTTCTGTCTTGACAGTAAGTTAATTGGATCATTGCAATGATTTTTTTAAATCTCTTTCCATAACAAATTATAGTTAAGGAAAATTTTACAAAGGGAGAAGAGAATATGAAGAGGGCTGGCAAAGATACCCACCAAAATTGCTTTTCTTTAGAAATGACACAAATTGAAAATGAATTTCTGTGACTAAAAATGAGCAGATGAGAAATGAATGAGGACAACCACAAAATGTATTTTGATTCAGTACATTCTGAAGATGCATTAGATACTCCTTTTTACATATTTGGAATATGGAATATAAAAATATAGGTACATTTTGAGGCAAAATATGTAAAAATAAGCAAGCCAACTTATCACAAGCATTTCAAGTATTTCAATCCTGGGCTGAGACCAAGTATATGAAGCTTTAGTCCAAGGGAGTATTTCTTTTTTAAATCACATTCCTAATGAATGAAAGCAAGACAAAGGCAAATGAAAGTAGAGGTAGAGGTTGTGTTATGATGAATGATCTAACAGTATATATGTTAAAGAATGCCAAATGCAGGTTTTAATTATCCACCGGTCTCATTGCAAAATACAGAAGAGTTTAAGTCTTCTTAGAGAGTTAGGTAAACTGAAATCAAGCAAGGCACCAGAGTGAAATCACCTTTGCAAAAATTGTAACTGAGGAAATTATGACAGTGAATGAGATATGACCTAACCAACTCCATTTTGCTTTAGCCTCCAAGTTGTCCTTGTTCCTTCCTGGGCATAGGCCGAACTAACTTTGAGAGGAACTTAGTTTATAGTTTGACTTTGAAAAAAAGACAATAATAGCCCTTTGCCAAAACAAACCCTCTTTTTCCCTGGGAACTAGACTGCCTTTGCGGGACTAACGAATTAGCTACAAGATTAGAAAGTATGGTTTAGGGGTCACTGTTGTAAAACCTGAGGTCAGTGCTTGAGATATTTTGGAGACCCTGTATTTCGATGCACCAGCTGACACCACCCAGGTCAATAAACTGGCTCATCTGATCTTGGGGCCCCTACCTAGGAACTGACTCAGTGCAAGAGGACAGCATCAGCTCCCTATAATTTCATCTTTGACCCAACCAATCAGCACTCCCCTTTTCACCCCCTACCCACCAAATCATCCTTAAAAACCCCATTCCCCCAGTTTCAGAGACACTGATTTGAGTAATAGCAGAATAGTAGAAATTCCCCCAGTTTCAGAGACACTGATTCGAGTAATAGTAGTAATAGTAGAATAGGTCTCCCGTACAGCTGGCTCTGTGTGAATTAAACCCTTTTTCTATTGCAATTCCCCTGTCTTGGTAAATCGGCTCTGTCTAGGCAGCGGACAAGGAGAATCCATGGGGCGGTTATAAGAGCTGCCCCCCAATTTCAAATATTTATATCTAAGCTTTCTTTATTTTCCTGCCTATTTCCCAACAAGGGATGAGGAGCTTAGGGAGTTAAAAAGTAGTAAAATATGGGGAAAAGGGCATAATTCCCATTATACCAAGAGGCATTGCTGGTGAAGCAATACCTTTCCAGGTACGATTTTCAGTAACACAGACGTGCAGTAAGAGGCAGTGTTGGCTGTTAGTGTCTTTTATGAGCCAAGTCTTTTCCTGGCTTGGCTATCCGTGGTGAGACTGACACCCCGGGAAATGTTTCTCTCAGGGTGAGCTCTTTCAGGGTGGGACAACAGCTTCAGTGTCTTTACGTATGTCTCCTCCCAACATGAAGCTAATTGCTGTGCTCTCGGGCATGTTTAGCTCTTGGTAGAGTGGCTTTCCTAACAAATAGGGAGCAGTGAGCCCAGCCTGAAGTTTTTATTTAGTCACTCCTTAGAATCAGTGATATTTTGAATACTGAAGTATTTCCAGTGGCTAGTAATTTACTAAGACAAAAGATGCCCCTGTTTGCATATGGAAAACAGAAGGGGAGAGAGCCAGGAGGTGTGGGTGAGAGCCCCGAAGGCAAGAGGATCCCAGGGGCTGGCCCAGCACGGAGCTGGTAGACAGCGCGCTCACACCAGGGAGGGCTGCACCCTCCTTTCTCCCGTCTGTGTTTTCTTTCCCTTGCAAGTGTTATTCGACAAAAGCAATTATGCTAATTTCCTTCCCTGTGGGCTCAATTCCTTTTTTGACACGATGACTTGGAGGAGTCATTATGATTACTCCAAACAGGAAAGACACTCGCCCAGCTGTCCGCCCGCAGAGAGCTGGCTACGGTGCAGAAAGCTGAGGAGGCGTCTGGAGTTTTTGGGTGTTAATGATTCTGCCTGCCCACAGGTCGGGTCTTGGGGTCTGGAGCGTTTGGGAAGGTGGTTGAAGGAACAGCCTATGGATTAAGCCGGTCCCAACCTGTCATGAAAGTTGCAGTGAAGATGCTAAAACGTAAGTGCTCCTTCCTGGGGATTTTTTGAGCACGGGGATTTTTTGAGCATGGGGATATTAAGGGAATTTCTCAAAATCATGCAGCTAGTAAATAAGACATTTAGGACTAGGTCCTGATTATTTTGACTCCAGGTTTTATGTGTATTTAGATTAGGTTTATTTAGATTGCTCTTGCTGCCTGTATGTTGGAAAATTAAGAGCTTGTTATTTCCAGTGACTTCTTTTTACTAGAAAGACCAGGAATTAGTTATTAGCACTGAGGCCAAGTAGCTATCTGCTTCTTTTAGACTTCTGGTAAATAGAATGATATCCAATCACAGGATTAGTCATATTCTTGGTTTTTTTCTGAGAACAGGAAGTTGGTAGCTCAGCTGGACTGATATGTGATTTATTCTTTCAACAGCCACGGCCAGATCCAGTGAAAAACAAGCTCTCATGTCTGAACTGAAGATAATGACTCACCTGGGGCCACATTTGAACATTGTAAACTTGCTGGGAGCCTGCACCAAGTCAGGTGGGCTCACTGACCTGGAGTGAGGATTTTCACTGGACACATGTGGTTGTGAAAACTGTTCAATCAGGCTTAAATCCTCCACTCTCCATCCCCACACATGGCAGGGAATAGAAGTCCCTTGAATGGAGCTGACTGGTCCCTTGAATTGATGGAAGCTCATTGGTTTTTGAGCAAAATCTGTTGCCAGTCCAGTCATAGCCATTCATGGCTCTTTATTAAAAAAAAAAAAAAAAAAAAAAAAAAAAAACTTTTTTGGTATCTTATTTTTTTCTGTGCCATATGGTCTGCAGGACAATTCATGGCTTTTCTGTTCTTCATTTTCATACCCATCTCCTAACGGCTTTTGTCCCCATAGGCCCCATTTACATCATCACAGAGTATTGCTTCTATGGAGATTTGGTCAACTATTTGCATAAGAATAGGGATAGCTTCCTGAGCCACCACCCAGAGAAGCCAAAGAAAGAGCTGGATATCTTTGGATTGAACCCTGCTGATGAAAGCACACGGAGGTGGGTGCAAAGAGAGATGTTGCTGTCTATCATTATCTTACAGGCATCACAAATGGAAAGACCCATGTCCTGATAGATATCATGTCTGCAGATTCAGTGCCCAAGGTAGCAAGACTTAGAGTCAAACCACCCTGTCCAGTCTTTCCATGGTCATGCAGAGAGATGCATGATGTCTAAAGGTGTTTTGGACTGGGGTGTCACATGGGAAGGCCTTGCTGATAGGTTTGAATGAGAGTGAGTTAGAATGACTCTGGGAGCTCTTCTGCTATTTACATGTGATCCACTTAGACCTATAAAATGCAGCTCTGGCCAGGGATGCTTGAGTTCTGGAACCTTGCAAGAACTGTCTGTGGATCTCCAAGCTCGAGGTCCTTGCTGAACCTGGACCTATAAATGACGTCAATGATAGTGATCCCTACTGCAGAAATCTACAAGTGGCTATAAAGAACTCTGTAGGTAAGAAATTCTGTAAGATCAGAAAGTACAATGAATTCACTTCATAATAAATTACTTGGTGGACACCAAATGGGTGCTAAATTGATTGGGTAGAAGGAATTGTATGCCCAAGCCACATGGCCACACGGCTCAAGTTCCAACCAAGGCTTGTGAGTTGAAAAACTGAGAAAGAATAATGACAGACTTAACGTAGTGAATTCTTCAAACTTTAAGTGTAATGGACTTACAGGTCCATGGGAGCACAGCCCCACTGTCTTAGATGTGGCTCTTCAGGATGTGCGGGCTCCTGCTAAGGATGTGCAGGGAACTGGCTCTGAAAACAAGTGAACAGTAGTCATCATGGCAGCTGACATTTGTGGAGTCCTTTGTATGTGCCAGGTGCCATGACAAATATTCCGCTAGTCTTTCCCATCTTTGTCAGTGGGATCCATTCTACGTCTTCTGAAAAGTGCTTCCTTGACCCCCAGATCAAGTCATTTTCCTTACAAGCTATTGAAACCTTTCTTCCTTCACAACACAGCTGAGTTTGAGTTGATCTGTGTATTTATTTTGTTTTTTACATTTCTTTTTTTCCCTATTTAAAAAATTTTTTTATTTCCATAGGTTTTTGGGGAACAAGTGGTATTTGGTTACATGAGTAAATTCTTCAGTGGTGATTTGTGAGATTTTGGTGCACCCATCACTGGAGCAGTATACACTGAACCCAGTTTGTAGTCTTTTATCCCTCACCTGCCTCTCAATTTTTCCCCGAGTCCCCAAGTCCATTGTGTCATTCTTATGCCTTTGCATCCTCATAGCTTAGCTCTCACTTATGAGTGAGAACGTACGATGTTTGGTTTCCATTTCTGAGTTACTTCACTTAGAATAATAGTCTCTAATCCCATCCAGGTTGCTGCAAAAGCCATTAATTCATTCCTTTTTATAGCTGAGTTACATATATATATATATATATGCACACCTACACATACATATGTATAGATACACTGCAGTTTCTTTATCCACTCCTTGATTGATGGGCATTTGGGGTTGGTTCCACATTTTTTCAATATGTGAATTGTGCTGCTATAAACATGTGTGTGCAAGTATCTTTTTAGTATGACTTCCTTTCCTCTGGTAGATACCCAGTAGTGGAATTGCTGTGATGCATGTATTTGTGCGACTATTTGATTAATGCTCATTTCCTTGACTAGATCACCTCATGTGAAAGGTATGGATTGGTTTTGCTTTTACCCAGTTAGCTCCCATGCCTACCTCAGTACCTGGCACATAATCATCATCTACTGAAAGTGGAATGACCACTTCAGAAGGGCACCCTGGGTAAGATTTCTCTTTCTGTTTTTACAGCTATGTTATTTTATCTTTTGAAAACAATGGTGACTACATGGACATGAAGCAGGCTGATACTACACAGTATGTCCCCATGCTAGAAAGGAAAGAGGTTTCTAAATATTCCGACATCCAGAGATCACTCTATGATCGTCCAGCCTCATATAAGAAGAAATCTATGTTAGGTAAAAGTGTCTATACTCACTCTGGGTGTTGGGACTTTCCAGTGGTTTAATATGATACTTAAAGTATTTAGAGGGAAGTGTATAGGGATGGTAAGTGAACCTGGCAGCCCACGTGGTCTCTAAATGCAGGTCTGCACAACCAGTTCTGTGACATGTTTCCAGGTTTGTGGCCTGTAAATTGAAAAGAATAAAAGCTGACAATGTAACAAATTTTTTAAACTTTAAATTTAATAGTTTTAAAGAATTTTCTTGGTGTGTTCCTGCAGTAAACATTTTTTAAAAAAAATAATTATTTATTCTGATATAATGAACTTCCTTTTTTATTGCTGTCTTTTTCTTTTTTAATGAAAATATGGTGATTGATTTTTTTTAATGCCCTTACTTGGCAGAATTACAAGTTGGCTGTCTTATGTTGGTTCCTCACCTTGCTTTTTTTCCCTTAAGTTTTAGAAGTCTCTGATGTCTATGAGTTCAGTAACCCTTGCTTTTACTTTTCCTAACATTCAATTTGTGATAGGAACTCTAGAGTAGATAATTTGCAGTTATATTTTCTGGACCAGTGTTTCTGTTGAATGTATTTTGAAGGTGGGTCTATCTGTTTTTCAAGTACATGAATATGTGGCAGGGTTAAATTGATTTATAAACTCCAGGGAGTCCAGCTGATGCCCAGACCAGATGGATCACTTCACATCTGCTCAGGGTGGTTCCTCCAGAGCCCTGAACTGGTCACAGACATGAAGCTGGAAGTCTGACATTGGCTTGTCCTGTGAGCTTGCCTTTTTGGGTCTGAGCCTTCCCATTAGTCAATGCAAAAAAGTGTTGAGCTGCCCTGGACATTGTTTTGGAAATTATTGATGTGCTCTGAATGTTTTCAGGTTCTTAAGTGAAAGGTACAATCCATTTAAAAAAGAATGTGTTTGTTTTGCAAAGCTCAGTACACAATATTTTCCATTTCTGCGGTTCCAAGTTCCATTCACTTCTCATTGCCAAATGGGTGAACTTCCAAGCGCTTTTAAAAGATTAGCCAGTGAGAGTTATCGGAACCAGTACTTCCTCTCCCCTCCCATATTGTTAAAAATAGTTTACATTGCTTCCCAGGCTGGGCTGGTGGAGTTGGCACGAGATGTCAGAGGAACCTGAGTCATGCTCAGGCCCAAGCCCTGTTGGCAGGCAGACCACTGCTTTCTGGCCTTCCGTGACTATCTGAAAAAAATCGTGAATGGCTAGAGCTACTCTTCACTTGCTGAACATTTTCAAAAAGAATTGAGAACTTCTGGATTAAATTGCCTTCTTCCTCGAAAACCCTGGGACCCTTCCAGATGGGACTAACTGGGGAAAGTGGACAAGTTACAAACAAAGAAACTCAAAGGAAAGTCATTGGCACTGATCTCTAAGATGCTATCACATGTGATTGGTGGTTGATTTTATTAACAAATTATAAGCAAAGTACTACAAAGGTGGCTTTAAAAAGAAAATAAAGCAATTCACAGAAACTACTTTTTCATGTAGCTTGTATGTGTGCTCCATGTATTTCATCATGGAAGATTTTAGTGTGTGTTTATGTGTATGTGTGTTTTAAAGGTAGCTGAGATGATTTGCTAATTATGGTTGAAAAAAAGAAATTTAGGAGGTAAACAAAATAATTATGTGTAAGATTGGTCCTTGTGGCTGTGTGTGTGTTTTGTGTGTGCGTGTATGTCTCTGTGTGTTTTAGGCTGTTCTTTTATTGCTATAAATAAATACTTGAGACTGGGTAATTTATAAGGGAAAGAGGTTTAATTAGTTCATGATTCTGCAGGCTTTACAGGAATCAAGATACTGGTAGATCTGCTCAGTTTTTGGAGAGGCCTCATGAAGCCATGAAGTCATGGCAGAAGGCAAAGCAGTGCAGGCACATCACATGGCCAGAGCAAGAGCAAGCGAGAGAGAGAAAGAGAGAGGTGCCACACACTTCTAAACAGTCAGATCTTACAAGAAGTCACTTACTATTGCGAGGACAGCACCAGAAGGATGGTGCTAAATTGTTCGTAAGAAATCTGTCCCCATGATCCATTCATCTGCCACCAGTCCCCACCTCCAATACTGGAGATTACAATTCAACATGAGATTTGGGTGGGGACACATATTCAAACTATATCATACTGACCCTGGACCCTCCCAAATCTCATGTCCTTCTCACATTTCAAAATACAATCATCCCTCCACAATAGTCCCCTCAAGCCTTAACTCATTCCAGCATCAACTCAAAGTCCAAAGTCTTATCTGACACAAGGCAGGTCCCTTCCACCTATGAGCCTGTAAAATAAAGAACAAGTTATTTACTTTCAAGATACAATGGGGTTATAGGCATTGGGTCAACATTCCCATTCCCAAAGGGAGAAATCGGCCAAAAGAAAGGGGCTACAAGCCCCACAGAAGTTCAGAACCCAGCAGGGCTGAAAACTCCAAATAAACTCCATTGACTCCATATCCCATGTCCAGAGCACACTGATGCAAGGGGTGGAGCTCTTGGGAGGGATGGAACACCCTGTGGCTTTGCAGGGTTTAGCCCCTGCAGCTGCTCTCAGGGGCTGTTGTCGAGTGCCTGTGGTTTTTCCTGGTGCAGAGTGCAGGCTGTTGGTGGATATATTATTCATGGAGGATGGTGGCCCTCCCCTCGTAGCTTCACGAGGCAGTGCCCCAGTGGAGACTCTGTGTGGGGACTTCAACCCCACATTTCCCCTCTGCAGTGCCCTAGTAGAGGTTCTCTGTGAGGGCTCCAATCCTGCAGCATGCTTCTGTCTGGACACCCTGGTTTTTTAATATATCCTCCGAAATCTAGGCAGAGGCTCCCAAGCCTCAACTCTTAACACTCTGTGCACCCACAGGCTAACACCACATGGAAGCGGCCAAGGTTTATGGCTGTCACAAGCTGAAGCAGCAGCCCAAGCTGCACCTGAACTCCTTTGAGCCACAGCTGGAGCTGGAGTCATAGGGATGCAGGGAGCAGTGTCTCGAGGCTGCACAGGGCAGTGGACCCTGGGGCTGGCCCATGAGACCATTCTTCCCTCCTAGGCCTCTGGGCCTGTGATGGGAGGGGCTGCCATGAAGGTGTCTGAAATGCCTTAAAGGCCTTTTTCCCATTGTTTTGGCAATCAGCCTTTGCCTCCTTTTTAGTTATGCAAATTTCTCTAGCAAGTGGTTGCCCAGCAGCCCTCTTTAATTCTCTCCCAAAAAAGCTTTTACTTTCTCTGTCACATGGCCAAGCTACAAATTTTCCAACCTTTTATGCTCTGCTTCCCTTTTACTTTTTTTTTATTTTAAAGAGATGGGGTCTCACTATGTTGTCCAGGCTAGTTTGAACTCTTGGACTCAAGCAATCCTCTCACTCATCCTCCCAAAGTGTTGGGATTATAGGTGTGAGCCACTGCGCCCAGCCTCTGCTTCTCTTTTAAATATAAGTTTCAACTTCAAGTCATTTCTTTGCTTCTGCATCTGACTGTAGGCTATTGGAAGCAGCCAGGCCATATCGTGAACACTTTGCTGCTTAGAAATTTCTTCCACCAGATATCCTAGGTCATCACTCTCAAGTTCAAACTTCCACATATTCCTAGGGCATGGACATAATGTGGCCAAGTTCTTTGCTGAAGCTTAACAAGGGTGACCTTTACTCCAGTTCCCAATAAGTTCTTCATTTTCATCCGAGACCTTGGCAGCCTGGATTTCATTGTCCATATCATTATCAGCATTTTGGTCACAAGCATTTAACCAGTCTCTAAGAAGTTCCAAACTTTCCTTCATCTTCCTGTCTTCTTCTGAGCCCTCCAAACTCTTCTTATCTCTGCCTGTTACCCAGTTATCTTTACAGCAATTCCCCATTCCTTGATACCAATTTTCTCTATTAGGCTGTTTTTGCATTGCTATAAAGAAATACCTGAGACTGAGTAATTTATAAAGAAAAGAGGTTTCATTGGCACATGGATTCTGCAGGCTATACAGGCATTTGCTTCTGGAGAGGCCTCAGGAAGCTTCCAATCATGGTGGAAGGTAAAGGGGGAGCAGGCATATCACATGGCCAGAGCAGGAGCAAGTGAGAGAGAGACAGAGAGAGAGAGAGAGAGAGAGAGAGAGAGAGAGGTGCCATACAGTTTTAAACAGGCAGATCTTGTAAGAAGTCACTCACTTTTGCAAGGATAGCACCAAGGGGATGGTGCTAAACCATTTGTGAGAAATTCACCCCCATGATCCAGTCACCTCCCACCAGGCCCCACCTCCAATACTGGGGATTACACTTCAACATGAGATTTGGGTGGGGACACATATCCAAACTATATCATTGCGTGTGTGTGTGTGTGTATAATTTTTAAACCAGATATATGTTTCTGCATATCTCTTTCCTTTCTTTCATTCTTTCTATCTTTTTTTTTTTTTTTTTTTTTTGAGACAGAGTCTCACTCTGTCACCCAGGCTGCAGTGCAGTGGTGTGATCTTGGCTCACTGCAACTCATTGCAACCTCCTCCTCCCTGATTCAAGCAATTCCCCTGCCTCAGCCTCCTGAGTAGCTGGGATTACAGGCACATGCCACCATGCCTGGCTAATTTTTTTGTATTATTAGTAGAGATAGGGTTTTACCATGTTGGCCAGACTGGTCTCAAACTTCTGACCTCAGGCAATCCACCCACCTCGGCCTCCCAAAGTGCTGGGATTATAGGCATAAGCCACCATGCCTGGCCTATATATCTATTTTCTAAGATAGAATCTTTGCATAGTGATATTCATCTGTGAGATCTAAACATTCTACAAAAAAATTAAGAAAATATTTTTGGATGTGTTCTTTGGGCATGCCTCTGCAACCTGATGATTTCCTGCTGCCTGCCAGCACCAATACATTTAATTTCTTTTCTGCAGACTCAGAAGTCAAAAACCTCCTTTCAGATGATAACTCAGAAGGCCTTACTTTATTGGATTTGTTGAGCTTCACCTATCAAGTTGCCCGAGGAATGGAGTTTTTGGCTTCAAAAAATGTAAGTTCAAGGAACACAGACCTTTTTAGACCCAGATTTCAGTGAGTGGAGTGTGGACGGAGATGCTAGGAGATAGATGTTGGAAAGGCCATTAATAACAGGGGCCTCTTACTTACCTGTCTCTCTCCTTCATCCCCTACGCAGGTCAGGGAGTCTGAAATCATCAGGCATCTACTCTTCTCTAGAGCTTTCTCTCTGTTGGGAGTGGGTGGAGTGAGAACCTGGGAGAAGGCCAGCCCTTTATATCCAGGCAGACAGCTCCAAGTGCCACCATGGATCAGCCAGTCTTGCAGGGGTGATGCTATTCAGCTACAGATGGCTTGATCCTGAGTCATTTCTTCCTTTTCCATGCAGTGTGTCCACCGTGATCTGGCTGCTCGCAACGTCCTCCTGGCACAAGGAAAAATTGTGAAGATCTGTGACTTTGGCCTGGCCAGAGACATCATGCATGATTCGAACTATGTGTCGAAAGGCAGTGTACGTCCTCACTTCCCTCACTGGTCAGGCTCATCCTCCTTCACTTTAATCTCTAAAGTCAGGTGTTGCTTCTAGAGATTCGGTGCCTGTTTTTTAAAACATCAATAGATTTCAAGGGGTCAGTACACTGCCTTGGCAGCAGATTGCCCAGGTTTGAGTGCCAGCTCCACCACTTACTTAATTTGGATTTGGGGCTAGATACTTGACTGTTCTGCCCCTCTGTCTCCCTGATTGTAGTGGGAGGTGATAATAGTACCTATTTGCTGAGTTGCTATGGGGATTAAATCAATGAATTCATGTAAAGTGCTTAGGACAGTGCCTGGCATATAGAAACAGCACTCAATAATGTTAGCTATTTTATTTATTTATTTATTTATTTATTTATTTATTTATTTATTTTCTTTTTTTTTGAGACAGAGTCTCACTCTGTCACCCAGGCTGGAGTGCAGTGGCGCAATCTTGGCTCACTGCAAACTTCTGCCTCCCAGGTTGAAGCAATTCTCCTGCCTTAGCCTCCCGAGTAGGTGGGATTACAGGCATGCACCACCATGTTCAGCTAATTTTTGTATTTTTAGTAGAGACAGGGTTTCACCATGTTGCCCAGACTGGTCTCGAACTCCTGGCCTCAAGTGATCTACCTGCCTCAGCCTCCCAAAGTGCTGGGATGACAGGTGTGAGCCACTGCATCTGGCAAGTGTTAGCTATTAATATGTCAATTGCGTGTATGCATGGACAAGCATGCATTCCCAAGGATGGTGTCTTTACATTTTAAGCTTTTATCAGATTTTCAAAAGCCATCTGTGACCCCTAAAATAGATTGGAACCATTTGGGTTTATGTATCTTGGAGGCACAGTTTCCTTAAAGATACTCATTTTGTTGTCTACTTGAACCATTCTTCCCATCCCTTCCACTTCTCAGCAGATGACATAGCTCCCTGTGGGGATATATCTGCTCCCTGTAGGTACAATTCCAAATCACCTCACTGCACTGGATGTGAGACAGCTTATGGCAGCTGCTGCTTCCACCTAGAGAAAGACATGGGCCTGCATCCATGCTGTGTGTGATTCATGTACTCATGTGGCCGTGATAGCTGTAATCGGCTCATAGATCATTGGATCTGTTCTTAGTTTTGTTCCCAGGAATATCTAAAAATAGGAAACTGGTCCATTCAGGGCTTACACCTTTTGGGTGAAAATTCAGGATTAATGTTTTTGGATATTATTCCTTTGGAGGACATAAAAGGCAATATTGACCATTCATCATTCATCTAGTATTTATTGAGCACCTACTATGTGCCAGGGACTGAGAGTTCAGTAATGAACAAAACACATGTAAAAGACACTCAAATGGGACAAGATAATTAGCACAAGTTATTAAGAGCCCAAGGGGAACCCTTTTCTATTTCCACTGCTGTGGATCATCAGTGAGTAGACATGGGTTTAACTGTCTCCCTCCTTCCTTGCAGACCTTTCTGCCCGTGAAGTGGATGGCTCCTGAGAGCATCTTTGACAACCTCTACACCACACTGAGTGATGTCTGGTCTTATGGCATTCTGCTCTGGGAGATCTTTTCCCTTGGTATGGGCCTGACATTGCTGCTTATTTGGGCTGTTCTGAAACACCACTGGAAGGAAAATGTGTTCTTTCAAGCCCCAGGATGTAGACAGTGTTAAGATAACCTGGTGTGAGGCCAGTATGCTGCAGCCACCTCAAACCACATGTTGTGCCTTATTGTGTCTGAGATAGGCCCATGCAGGTGGAGATGGGGGTTTTTGTTGGGGGTTGCGTCTTACTCCTGGCCTCTGCCCCTCCTCTCCTTTGGGCTATGCCAGAGTGACTTCCTCCCACTGGAAGTGGTCCCAATGACATTCGCATCCCAGCTGCTTTTTCATTTTGGGCTTTGGGTCACATGGGTTCACCCATGGAGAGTGGGCCCTCCCTCACCTGGTGGCGATTGATGCTCAGGTGAAAAGGGGTACGTGGCGGGAAGGGCAGGGCTCTCATTCCTGGTTGTCATTGGCCAGTCTTGACAACCCAGGTGCTGAACAACCCAGGTGCCCTGGGCTATCCGGTGAGGTCCCTAAGAGAAGGATGAGCCATAACCCTGACATCTGGATGGTTCATCTGGGGAGATGAGACTTACACACTTAGGGATAAACAGTGTGCTGCTGATTTAAAATTGTAATTTGAGTCTTGAGTAAAGAGAAAGGAGTCCTGGAATAGTGTGGGAAGGCTTCAGAGAGGGAACTTAACTTGACCTGGCCTTGGCTTTGAAAGTGTGAAATGTTTCATGAATTTATCTGTGATCAGGATGTAATAGTAAAGTGTGTCTTCCTGCCCCGTCTCCTTTTTCATCCTAGTTCTCCCTCCATGGATGATCACAATGGATCATCCCCCAGTGGCTTAATGGAGTCCTGTACTCCCTTAAAAGCAGAGAGGCCACAACTTTGATTTTTGCTTTAGCTATTTGAACATACCTGGTGAAAAAGACTCTCTGGGTTTTAATGATTCAGAATTTCTCCTTGCTTTTCTAGTTCATTTTGTCTGTGTTGATCCAGTAGTCATACACATTGAAAAACACTTGAACGCTTATTTCTAAAGATGTAGAATTTTTGTGATGGTACTTGGACTTGACCAACCTGGAGTCCTAATTAAACTTAAGGTTTGAGCTGGTCTCTGAAGTCAAGGAGATGATGACACTGAATTTTCTTGAAAAAACCAGTGCTTCAAGGCTATAGGATCTGAAAGGTTTTCTAACAGTGTTCTATCATGCCAAGTGTTTCAGCAATGCACTGAGCGTTTGTTAGTCCTGGTGTTTTATTGTTTGGCTTTTAGGTGGCACCCCTTACCCCGGCATGATGGTGGATTCTACTTTCTACAATAAGATCAAGAGTGGGTACCGGATGGCCAAGCCTGACCACGCTACCAGTGAAGTGTGAGCTCCTTCCCCATCCCGGGGGCCTGTGTTCACAGTCTGTGGGTCTAGGGGGAGGGAGGGGCCCTGAGACTTCCCCCTGTGCCCACTCTTGAGTTCTGTCCCCACAGCTACGAGATCATGGTGAAATGCTGGAACAGTGAGCCGGAGAAGAGACCCTCCTTTTACCACCTGAGTGAGATTGTGGAGAATCTGCTGCCTGGACAATATAAAAAGGTGTGTTTGGATCTGTGGGTGGAAAGGTCTGGATAAAGCTGGAAGTTATACCAGTGAGCTGTGCTGTTCCGCAGTTCTAGAGGAGCATTTTCAAAAGAGGCAAAAGACTGTGTGATCCAGTGGCTGGGCTTCATGGCGGTGCTCCACGAGACCCTAGTAGCAATGATGAATGAAAACCCTCCCCTTCCCGTGGGGCTTTCCTTTCATCTTATATGTACAGTACCTGTAAGCACTATTCTCCAGATGTTTGAGTATCAGAAGTTAGTGTGCAGTTAGAAGACTCAGGGCATCCATGGCCATTACATCACTAATTTGAGTGCACTTAAATCCATGCGAAATTGGCTTTTACCAGCGGACTGGAAGGAACAACCTCAGCTGTTATCTGTGGCACCAGCTGGTTTTTTGTGGAATGGGAAGCATTGTTCAAAGGAACAAATGTAATTTCTTGGAACCAGGCAGGATATGTAAATGAATGAAACAACTTTCTGCTGAGGTGTTGAGAGGAAAACTCAGACATAACCTCAGTTTCTTAGATTGAGATTAGTCCCTGTGTAGACTTTTTATACTTATCATTTTTCTTCCTTCTTCTCAAGGAGGAATAGTGTTAGGAGATTGTGTGCCGAACTGGAAGTTAAATGCTTCTGTCTGTTAATTATCTCACTGCCCACTACAACTTTCACAGGTGAGGCAGTGAGGAGGCAGAAGGAAATTAACCCTCAGTTGGTCAAAGATGCTCTGACTGGTGGAAATGTGTTGGTGGGAAGAGATTGAAGTTATTGTTGAAAATAGGGTCTTTTCACATCCAATGTTAGACCTCTCCAATGTTTAAGGATCATGAAGGCTTTGGGTATTATCCACCCAATAGAAGGCCTCACTGCCTCTCTATGGGACCCATCCAAGCCCTGGAAAGGCAACGTGATGGGGACCAGAAGGATTCTCAGTTGTAGCTACTGACTTGGAGAAGGGGCTACTGGTATCTTAGCACCTAATGGCAGAAGCTCTTTACCATTGGTGGCCCCTTCTTCATGTTCTATGTCTCTGGGGATAGTTGACATGACTCTCCTTCAACTAAGTCCCACATCTTCCAGGTAGTTTGGAGATATGTACAGTTAAATAATAGTAAGTTCTGAGTGTCTCTATTCATTTTTGAGGTTTGGTTGTTAACACTTGATTAAATATGTTCAATGAATGTTTATAGAGTTATGAAAAAATTCACCTGGACTTCCTGAAGAGTGACCATCCTGCTGTGGCACGCATGCGTGTGGACTCAGACAATGCATACATTGGTGTCACCTACAAAAACGAGGAAGACAAGCTGAAGGACTGGGAGGGTGGTCTGGATGAGCAGAGACTGAGCGCTGACAGTGGCTACATCATTCCTCTGCCTGACATTGACCCTGTCCCTGAGGAGGAGGACCTGGGCAAGAGGAACAGACACAGGTAGCTGTGGGGGCAGCCTCGGTGTCTCACCTTTCCCCTCCCCTATAGGCCCTGAAGGAGAGGACCCATTTTCCCGATAATGGTGCACTCCCGGTTGGTAAATATGTACTCAGGGACAAGTTGCAGAATCCTCAGGAGGTCCACGTGGTTTTGAAAATGCTTCCCAGATGATTCTAATATGTTCCCCCTGGGGCTGGGAGAGGGATGTGCATGTTGTGGGGAGAGGGACATGCTTCCCTGGTGGAGAATCTTTGAGCTAAATTCTCAGGTAATTTGATCAAATTGATACAGAACTGTGATTACTGAGATCATATAAGCCTCTCCTGCCATTGTCTTAAATAGTCATTGAACTGGGGAAAAAGTGAAGAGAGGCGGGACTGGGTCCTTTGACGCTATACCCTACCTGTGAATTGGAATCACCTGCAGAGATTTAAAAACTGCTGATCTACAAGCCTCACCCAAAACAACAAATTAGAATCCCTGGGGGTGGTGGCCAACTGCTCCCTGGCTGATTTGTTTCTTCTTTCTTTTAAATTTTGTATTATGGAAGATTTCTAACGTGTGCACAATTCACATAGTATAGTGAGCTGTTCAGTATTCGTCACCCAGCTTCAATGACTATGCCCTCTGCCAGCCTGGATGCACACATGGCCATGTCTGTCTCTCCTCAGCCTCCTCTGGATTGTTTGGAAGCAAATCCTAGACACCTTATCATTTCACCCATAAATATTCCAGTGTGTGTCTCTTAAAGATAAGGGCTCTATTTTAAAGAAGAACAACAGTTATTAAAAATAACTACAATGCCGTTATCTCACCCAAAACAGGGACAATAAATCGTTAAGGCATCAGGCAGCCAGTTAAAGTTCAAATTATCTCACAAATATTATCATACTCCATTAAAAAGTGGGCAGAGGACATAAGCAGACACTTTTCAAAAGAAGACATACCTGCAGCCAACAAGCATATGAAAAAATGCTCAACATCACTGATCACTAGAGAAATGCAAATCAGAACCGTGATGAGATACCATCTCACACCAGACAGAATGGTTATTATTAAAAAGTCAAAAAATAACAGATGCTGGTGAGGTTGTGGAGAAAAGGGGAAGCGTATACACTGCTTGTTGAAGTGCAAATTAGTTCAGCTATTGTGGAAAGCAGTGTGGTGATTTCTCAAAGAACTTTTAACAGAATTACCATTGGATCCAGCAATCCCATTACTGGGTATATAACCAAAGGAATATAAATCATTCTACCATAAAGACATGCATACGTATGTTCACTGCAGCACTATTCACGATAGCAAAGACATGGAATCATCCTAAATGCCCATTGACAGTAGACTGGATAAAGAACATCTGGCACATATACACCATGGAATACTATGTGTTGATAAAAAAGAACAAGATCTGAGATACCATCTCCCACCAGTCAGAATGGCTATTATTTAAAAGTCAAAAAGCAACAGATTGTGGCGAGGTTGTGGAGAAAAAGAAACACTTTTACAATGTTGGTTGGAGTGTAAATTAGTTCAACCATTGTGGAAGACAGTGTGGCGATTCCCCAAAGACCTAGAGGCAGAAATACTGTTTGACCCATCAATCCCATTACTGAGTATATACCCAGAGTGATGTAAATCATTCTATTATAAAGGCACATGAATGTGTATGTTCACTGCTGCACTGTTCACAATAGCAAAATCATGGAATCAACCTAAATGCCCATCAATGATAGACTGGATAAAGAAAATGTGATACATATACACCATGGAATACGATGCAGCCGTAAAAAGGAATGAGATCATGTCCTTTGCAGGGACATGGATGGAGCTGGAAGCCGTTACCGTCAGCAAACTAACACAGGAACAGAAAACCAAACACCACATGTTCTCACTTATAAGTGGGAGCTGAACGATGAGGACACATGGACACATGGAGGGAAACAACACACACTGGAGCCTTTCAGGGGTTGGGGATTGGGTGGAACATCAGGAAGAATAGCTAATGGATACTGGGCATAATACCTGGGTGATGGGATGATCTGTGCGGCAAACCACCATGACGCATGTTTACCCATGTAACAAACCTGCACATCCTGCATATGTACCCCTGAACTTAAAAAGTGGAAAATACAAAAATGAAATTAAAAAAAGAACAAGATCATGTCCTTTGCAGCAACGTGGATGGAGCCGGAGGTCACTATCCTTAGCAAACTAATACGGGAACAGAAGACCAGATACCGCATGTTCTCACTTATAAGTGGGAGCTAAAACTACGAGAACACATGGACACAAAGAGGGGAACAACAGACACCAGGGCATAGTTGAGGGTGCAGGGTGGGAGAAGGAAGAGGATCAGAAAAAATACCTATCGGATACTGTGCTTATTATTTGGGTGATGAAATAATCTGTACATCAAACCGCCATGACATGTGATTTATCCATGTAACCTGCACACGTGCCCTTGAACATAAAATAAAAGTTAAAAAAAAATTATCATACACTTGTTTTGTTCTGTCTGAGATCCAGATAAGAGTCACACATTGCACTTGGTTGCTATGTCTCTGTAAGTTCACTATGTCTCTATTTTTTGCCCTCTTACATATTATTTGTGAAGAAACCATAGTGTTTGCCTGTGGAGTTCCCACAATCGGCATTTTGCTGATTACATCCTTGAAGTGTCCTTCTCAGGTGCTTCTGTCTTCTCTATGTGTTGTAAACTGGTAGTTAGTCTAGGAACTTAACCTGACTCAGGTTAGATCTTTGGCAAACATGCTTCATAGATGGTTCTGTGTGCTTCTGTCAAGAGGTATGCACTGTCCAGTTGTCTGCCTTTTGTAACATTATCAGTCATTGGGTGATCATTACCTAGAATTTCTTTTTTTTTTTTTTTTTTTGAGATGGAGTCTCGCTCTGTCACCCAGGCTGGAGTGCAGTGGTGTGATCTCAGCTTACTGTAACCTCCACCTCCTGAGTTCAAGCCATTCTCATACCTCCGCCTCCTGAGTAGCTGGGATTACAGGCACATGCCACCATGCCCAGCTAATTTTTGTATTTTTAGTAGAAATGGGGTTTCAGCATGTTGGCCAGGCTGGTTTTGAACTCCTGACCTCAAGTGATCTGCCGGTCTCGGCCTCCCAAGATGCTGGGATTATAGGCATGAACCACCTCACCCGGCCTAGATTCTTTAACTCAGCACCAAGGTGGAGCTAATGCCCAGGCAGGACTGAGAATCACTGGCTGACGTGGTCAGATGGAGGAGACCATGCCCCAGTTCTCCGCTGTCTTTGCATGGCCCTTGGACAGAGGTAGGAGAAGGTGATGATAGTGGCCCCTAGTTCAAGGTCCAAGTTGCTTGTGTGTGTGTGTGTGTGTGTGTGTGTGTGTGTGTTTTCCTCTTCTTTCCCATCAGAACATTATTTTGGAGGCTTATGACTGTGACCTTTGTTAACCAATTTAGGTATAATATGTAGACAGCCCTTGTTTATTTGTATGGACTGGGTAATTTTGAAAGTATGGCTTTTCTATTTTGTTTTAGAATATGTTATGTGATTTGAAGATGGGACACAGTGGCCCATCAGTCTTCGGTTTTTTATTATGCTTTGCTCAGGCCAGTTTTTATAACGTGTTTATATCTCTTGAGCATACGGTGTTCCTCCAAGTTTTGGGGGTCTGCGATGGAACTTCACGGGGGTCGGGGAAGGCTGGGCAGTGAATCTAGGGCTCTCTGTCTCAGATCCTTTCTCAATTTGGTTACTTTGTGTTTGTGGGCTCTGAATAATATTTGAGTTGTAAGAGGGTTCTGCTTTTATATAAAGTTAGAAAGTCACATTGGAATAAATAACATGAGAAAGGTGCCCAGAAGTTTTCTAGGGCTACAACAGGCTGAGCTGCAGAATTTGACACGCCAGGAATTGAACTTTCTCAGTTGAAGTTCACGTTCAAGTTAAGTAACTTGTGTGGCATCACACAGCTAGTAAGTGGGGGGACCATTCCAGACCTAAGGCTTTCTGACTCCAGAACTCCCCTTTCAGCCACTTCTCTAGTACGTAAGGAGCCGTCACCTGGGCCCTCAAGTTGGGGGTTGGTGGGGGGGCATTTGATGTCAAGAGAGAGGGGAAGAGGGCATTCCAGGCAAGTGGCAGGAGATCCTGAGAACACAGTTTGGATGCTCAGGAGGCTTCCGGGAGAGCACCTGATGGGCCTGGCTGCAGCTTGCACCCTGATGGGCCTGACTTCACCCCCTGCTCTGCCTTCCCAGGCCTTTGGATCAGGCATTGCTTATGTTCTCTTCCACTAGGATTGAGTAGGGAAAGTAGAAATTCTTGCAGCTTGTCAGTAACTTTGATGAAAGACCCAGCAGAAAAGCAGGAAAGCTGAAGAGTAAAAATGATGGGTGGACCTTGGTTTTCCACGTGGCCTACCACAGCATGTCAGGCCTGGGGGCAGAATCTTGCCATACTGTGCAGCCCAAATTTGAATGCCAAAGGCTTTCGTTTGTCTCTGGGGGGCCACAGTCTAGGTCTAGTTCTGTGCAGGAGTTGTAATATTTGCTCTTCTCTCCCTCCTCCAGCTCGCAGACCTCTGAAGAGAGTGCCATTGAGACGGGTTCCAGCAGTTCCACCTTCATCAAGAGAGAGGACGAGACCATTGAAGACATCGACATGATGGATGACATCGGCATAGACTCTTCAGACCTGGTGGAAGACAGCTTCCTGTAACTGGCGGATTCGAGGGGTTCCTTCCACTTCTGGGGCCACCTCTGGATCCCGTTCAGAAAACCACTTTATTGCAATGCAGAGGTTGAGAGGAGGACTTGGTTGATGTTTAAAGAGAAGTTCCCAGCCAAGGGCCTCGGGGAGCGTTCTAAATATGAATGAATGGGATATTTTGAAATGAACTTTGTCAGTGTTGCCTCTTGCAATGCCTCAGTAGCATCTCAGTGGTGTGTGAAGTTTGGAGATAGATGGATAAGGGAATAATAGGCCACAGAAGGTGAACTTTGTGCTTCAAGGACATTGGTGAGAGTCCAACAGACACAATTTATACTGCGACAGAACTTCAGCATTGTAATTATGTAAATAACTCTAACCAAGGCTGTGTTTAGATTGTATTAACTATCTTCTTTGGACTTCTGAAGAGACCACTCAATCCATCCATGTACTTCCCTCTTGAAACCTGATGTCAGCTGCTGTTGAACTTTTTAAAGAAGTGCATGAAAAACCATTTTTGAACCTTAAAAGGTACTGGTACTATAGCATTTTGCTATCTTTTTTAGTGTTAAAGAGATAAAGAATAATAATTAACCAACCTTGTTTAATAGATTTGGGTCATTTAGAAGCCTGACAACTCATTTTCATATTGTAATCTATGTTTATAATACTACTACTGTTATCAGTAATGCTAAATGTGTAATAATGTAACATGATTTCCCTCCAGAGAAAGCACAATTTAAAACAATCCTTACTAAGTAGGTGATGAGTTTGACAGTTTTTGACATTTATATTAAATAACATGTTTCTCTATAAAGTATGGTAATAGCTTTAGTGAATTAAATTTAGTTGAGCATAGAGAACAAAGTAAAAGTAGTGTTGTCCAGGAAGTCAGAATTTTTAACTGTACTGAATAGGTTCCCCAATCCATCGTATTAAAAAACAATTAACTGCCCTCTGAAATAATGGGATTAGAAACAAACAAAACTCTTAAGTCCTAAAAGTTCTCAATGTAGAGGCATAAACCTGTGCTGAACATAACTTCTCATGTATATTACCCAATGGAAAATATAATGATCAGCAAAAAGACTGGATTTGCAGAAGTTTTTTTTTTTTTTTTCTTCATGCCTGATGAAAGCTTTGGCGACCCCAATATATGTATTTTTTGAATCTATGAACCTGAAAAGGGTCAGAAGGATGCCCAGACATCAGCCTCCTTCTTTCACCCCTTACCCCAAAGAGAAAGAGTTTGAAACTCGAGACCATAAAGATATTCTTTAGTGGAGGCTGGATGTGCATTAGCCTGGATCCTCAGTTCTCAAATGTGTGTGGCAGCCAGGATGACTAGATCCTGGGTTTCCATCCTTGAGATTCTGAAGTATGAAGTCTGAGGGAAACCAGAGTCTGTATTTTTCTAAACTCCCTGGCTGTTCTGATCGGCCAGTTTTCGGAAACACTGACTTAGGTTTCAGGAAGTTGCCATGGGAAACAAATAATTTGAACTTTGGAACAGGGTTGGCATTCAACCACGCAGGAAGCCTACTATTTAAATCCTTGGCTTCAGGTTAGTGACATTTAATGCCATCTAGCTAGCAATTGCGACCTTAATTTAACTTTCCAGTCTTAGCTGAGGCTGAGAAAGCTAAAGTTTGGTTTTGACAGGTTTTCCAAAAGTAAAGATGCTACTTCCCACTGTATGGGGGAGATTGAACTTTCCCCGTCTCCCGTCTTCTGCCTCCCACTCCATACCCCGCCAAGGAAAGGCATGTACAAAAATTATGCAATTCAGTGTTCCAAGTCTCTGTGTAACCAGCTCAGTGTTTTGGTGGAAAAAACATTTTAAGTTTTACTGATAATTTGAGGTTAGATGGGAGGATGAATTGTCACATCTATCCACACTGTCAAACAGGTTGGTGTGGGTTCATTGGCATTCTTTGCAATACTGCTTAATTGCTGATACCATATGAATGAAACATGGGCTGTGATTACTGCAATCACTGTGCTATCGGCAGATGATGCTTTGGAAGATGCAGAAGCAATAATAAAGTACTTGACTACCTACTGGTGTAATCTCAATGCAAGCCCCAACTTTCTTATCCAACTTTTTCATAGTAAGTGCGAAGACTGAGCCAGATTGGCCAATTAAAAACGAAAACCTGACTAGGTTCTGTAGAGCCAATTAGACTTGAAATACGTTTGTGTTTCTAGAATCACAGCTCAAGCATTCTGTTTATCGCTCACTCTCCCTTGTACAGCCTTATTTTGTTGGTGCTTTGCATTTTGATATTGCTGTGAGCCTTGCATGACATCATGAGGCCGGATGAAACTTCTCAGTCCAGCAGTTTCCAGTCCTAACAAATGCTCCCACCTGAATTTGTATATGACTGCATTTGTGTGTGTGTGTGTGTTTTCAGCAAATTCCAGATTTGTTTCCTTTTGGCCTCCTGCAAAGTCTCCAGAAGAAAATTTGCCAATCTTTCCTACTTTCTATTTTTATGATGACAATCAAAGCCGGCCTGAGAAACACTATTTGTGACTTTTTAAACGATTAGTGATGTCCTTAAAATGTGGTCTGCCAATCTGTACAAAATGGTCCTATTTTTGTGAAGAGGGACATAAGATAAAATGATGTTATACATCAATATGTATATATGTATTTCTATATAGACTTGGAGAATACTGCCAAAACATTTATGACAAGCTGTATCACTGCCTTCGTTTATATTTTTTTAACTGTGATAATCCCCACAGGCACATTAACTGTTGCACTTTTGAATGTCCAAAATTTATATTTTAGAAATAATAAAAAGAAAGATACTTACATGTTCCCAAAACAATGGTGTGGTGAATGTGTGAGAAAAACTAACTTGATAGGGTCTACCAATACAAAATGTATTACGAATGCCCCTGTTCATGTTTTTGTTTTAAAACGTGTAAATGAAGATCTTTATATTTCAATAAATGATATATAATTTAAAGTTATACTAAGGTTTCAGCATTTTTGTTTTTAGTTTAATCATAAGAATTAAAGCAATCCTGTTCTATTTACTTTCTTAGCAACATTTGTAGGACTCTATATTAGGCCTTTTTTTTTTTTTTCCTGAGACGGAGTTTTGCTCTTGTCATCCAGGCTGGAGTGCAGTGGCGTGATCTCAGTTCACTGCAACTTCTGCCTCCCGAGTTCAAGCAATTCTCCTGCCTCAGCCTCCCAAGTAGCTGGGATTATAGGCGCCTGCCACCATGCCTGGCTAATTTTTGTATTTTTAGTAGAGATGGGGGTTTCATCATGTTGGCCGGGCTGGTCTCGAACTCCTGACCTTAGATGATCTGCCTGCCTCGGCCTCCCAAAGTGCTGGGATTACAGGTGTGAACCACCACGCCTGGCCTTTATTAGGCTTTTGATGAACCAATAGAATATCTAAGGTTTAAGACATTATATGAGCTAGATTGTTCCACGACACAGTATTTGACTTAAAGATGATTGGCACTTGGCTCATCTTTGGTCTCATCATTTTTTTGATTGTTCATCTTTATCCTGTGGTGTTTTCTTCCCCTGCATAAGGAATACAGGACTGCAGTAACTCTGTACAACATTCAACTGTCGTAAAAGTGTAGGAAGTAAAATGTTAAATTATTTTTTTCACCGTGTCTTCTTCCCTGTCCCTGTCCTGTTTCCAAGAGGCAGAGCTGCACCACTTGGTGTGTCTTTTAAACTTCCAGTTCCCTTTGTATGCATCTGTGTATATATATTCCCATACACACATCTCTACGTTTGCTTCATATCTACCTAAATGGGTTCTCACTTTATGTAATCCTTTGTAATGTTCTTTTTTCTTTCCTTTTTAAAACTATTTATTAAAGCAGTTTTAGATTTGCAGTAAAATTGAGTAGAAGGTACAGAGATTTCCCCTGTGTGCCCTGCCCCCACACCAACATAGCATCTCCATCACTAACATTCTCCACCTTTGCTACAGCTGATGAACCTACATTGCCAAATCATTACCCATAACACAGTCCACAGTTCTGTTTTTTTTTTAATGCTGTTTTAGCGATCTCTGTGAAAAGTATACAGAGGTATTAGCTCCATTGGATCCCATTATGTAAATGTACCATAATTTATGCAATCATGGTCTTGTAAAATGGATTTATAGTTTCCAGTTCTTTGCTATTAAAATGATTTCATGAACATTTTTGCAACATACATATTTGCATACAAAAATGTGTTTTGTAGAATGGATTTCTACAAATGAAATTGCTAGGCCAAAGGGTGTGCAGAAATAAATTGATGTTGAGCTGAAGTCTTCAGATAGGATTGATACATAAGTTCTTGAGCATCTGCACGTGAATCACTGGCTTTGCACATTACATGCAGTTTTCTAGTCTCTGCTCCACATTGCCCAGGAATCATGGTCTTCAAAATAGGATTGGAAGAAATACAATGTGGTAAGTGTGAGAGAATGTGGGTTTTGTGTTCTGAAGCATACTGAAGCAAGTGACTTTAGGAATTTAAAAAAATGGTACAACTCACCTTATTTTGAGCTCACGGATAATGAAAATTGATTATGTTGTTAATAATCAGAATATAGCACCCTATTCCAATATAACTCCTTATCCAAATTCAAGTAGCCTGCAGCTGGAAGCATACTTCTTTGGAGTTAAACCTCCAAGGAGGGATTCAGAAGATCATGGCATATGAGAGGCAAGACTAGATTGCAGCTCAGGACAGAGCAGCATGCAGCAGCTTGCATTGTGAATTTTAGCTCCAGATCCTGAGAGGACCCACAGACCCTCTGATGGAAGTGGACTTCTCCTGCAGGACCGGGGAGACACCCCAAATATTGTGAGTTGCCCCAAATGCGGAAGTGGTACAGGGAGACCCTCCTCTACCGAATGCGCAGTCCCACTGGAGCAGCTGAAGTTTTGCTTGCGGGAGAAGTTTCTGACTTTACCTCAAGCTGAGTCAAGTTAGAGAGCTGAGCAAAATACAGGGGTGGAGGAAGCAGCAGAAAGGCCCTGGGAGCTCGCTGAGTCCCCAAGCAGCCCATTCCTGCCTGGCACCACAGGGATCCATAGGGAGGGTGGCCAGAGGAGCAGGGGGTAAAACTCCACAGGGAGAAGGAAATCTCTAGCTGAACTTTGTAACAATTTGAAAGGGGCAAGAAGCTTCCTGGCCGGAACTCGGGGGAGGGTGCAAATCGGGCGTACAGACTTCACAGGCAGAGGAAGAACTAAAGCCCTTTTCTCTCCCAGCTGGGAGGAGGATAGCCTTGGGCAAGTTTTCAAGCCCATCTTGCCCTCTGCCTGGAAACAGACTCAGGGCTGTTGAGGTGGGCAGGGTGGGAGTGAGACAAGCCCTTCGGTTTGTGGGGGAGCTGGGTGAGGCTTGTGACTGCCGGCTTTCCCCTACTTGCCTGACAACCTGCATGACTCAGCGGAGACAGCCATAATCCTCCTAGGTGCACAACTCCAGTGACCTGGGAATCTCACTCCCATTTCCCCCCAGCAGCCTCAGCAAGACTTGCCCAAGGAGAGTCTGAGCTCAGACATGCCTAGCCTCACCCGCACCTGATGGTCCTTTCCTATCCACGCTGGTAGCATAAGACAAAGGACATAATCTTGGGAATTCTAGGGCTCCGCCCTCCACTGGTTCCTCTCCACACTACTATAGCTGATGCTTCCTGGGAAGTACCACCTTCTGGCAGGAGGCCAACCAGCACAAAGATAAAGCATTAAACCACCAAGACTAAGGACCCTCATGGAGTCCATTGCACTGTCCACCACCTCCACCAGAACAAGCACTGGTATACATGGCTGAGAGACCCATAGATGGTTCACGTCACAGGACTCTGTGCAGACAACCCCCAGTACCAGCCCAGAGCTGGGTAGACTAATTGGGTGGCTAGACCCAGAAGAGAGAAAACAACCACTGCAGTTTAGCTCATAGGAAGCCACATCCATAGGAAAAGGGGGAGAGTACTACATCAAAGGAACACCCAGTGGGACAAAAGAATCTGAACAACAGCCTTCAGCCCTATACCTTCCCTCTGACAGAGCCTACCCAAATGAGAAGAAACCAGAAAACCAACCCTGGTAATAGGACAAAACAAGGCTCTTCAACACCTCCCAAAATCACACTAGTTCACCAGCAATGGATCCAAACCAAGAAGAAATCCTGATTTACTTGAAAAAGAATTCAAGAAGTTAGTTATTAAGCTTATCAGGGAGGGACCAGAAGAAGGTGAAGCTCAATGCAAGGAAATCTAAAAAATGATATAAGAAGTGAAGAGAGAAATACTCATGGAAATAGATAGCTTAAGGAAAAAACAATAAAAAATTCAGGAAACTTTGGACACACTTTTAGAAATGTGAAATGCTCTGGAAAGTCTCAGCAATAGAATTGAACAAGTAGAAGAAAGAACTTTAGAGCTCAAAGACAAGGTCCTCAGATTAACCCAATCCAACAAAGACAAAGAAAGAAGAATAAGATGCAGCCATAAAAAAGGATGAGTTCATGTCCTTTGCAGAGACATGGATGAAGCTGGAAACCATCATTCTAAGCAAACTATTACAAGGACAGAAAACCAAACACCACATGTTCTCACTCATAGGTGGGAGCTGAACAACAAGAACACATGAACACAGGCGGGGGGGAACATCACACATCAGAGCCTGTCAGGGGGTGGGGGGCCGGGGGAGAGATAGCATTAGGAGAAACACCTAATGTAAATGACGAGTTGATGGGTGCAGCAAACCAACATGGCACATGTATACCTATGTAACAAACCCGCACATTGTGCACATGTACCCCAGAACTTAAAGCATAATAATAAAAAAAAGAAAAAAGAATAATATGAACAAAGCCTCCAAGAAATCTGGAATTGTGTTAAACAACCAAATATAAGAATAATTGTTGTTCCTGAGGAAGAAGACAATTCTAAAAGCTTAGAAAACATACTTGGGGGAATAATGGAGGAAAACATCCCTGGCCTTGTGAGATACTAGACAGCCATATACAAGAAGCATAAAGAACACCTGGGAAATTCACTGCAAAAAGATCTTCACCTAGGCACATTGTCATCAGATTATCCAAAGTTAAGACCAAGGAAAGAATCTTAATAGCTGTGAGACAGAAGCACAAAGGAAAACCTATCAGATTAATGGCAGATTTCTCAGCAGAAACCCTACAAGCTAGAAGGGATTGGGGCACTATCTTCAGCCTCCTCAAACAAAACATTTTATCGGCCAAGAATTTTGTATCCAGCAAAACTAAGCATCATATATGAAGGAAAGATACAGTTGTTTTCAGACAAATAAATGCTGAGCGAATTCACCATTATCAAACTACCACTATAAGAACTGCTAAAAGGAACCCTAAATTTTGAAACAAATCCTGGAAACACATTGAAACAGAACGTCTTTAAAGAATAAATCACATAGGGCCTGTAAAACAAAAATACAATTTAAAAAGCAAAAACAACAAACAAAAAACCAAACCACAGAGGCAACAAAGAGCATGATGGAAGCAACAGTACATCACATTTCAATACTAACATTGAATGTAAATGGCCTAAATGCTCTACTTAAAAGATACAGAACCACAGAGTGGGTAAGAATTCACCAACTAACTATCTACTGCCTTCAAGAGACTCACCTAACACATAAGGACTTACACAGAATTAAAGTAAAAGAATGGAAAGGGGCATTTTGTGCAAATGGACACCAAAATCGAGCAGGGGTAACTATTCTTATATCAGAAAAAAACAAACAAACACTTTAAAGCAACAGCAGTTAAAAGAGACAAAGAGGGACATTATATAATGGTAAAAGGCCTTGTCCAACAGGAAAATATCACAATCTTAAACATATATGCACCTAACACTGGAGATCACAAACTTATAAAACAATTACTAATAGTCCTAAGAAATGAGATAGACAGCAACGCAATAATAGTGGGGGACTTCAATACTCCACTGACAGCACTAGACAGGTCATCAAGACGGAAAGTCAACAAAGAAGCAATGGATTTAAACTATACTTTGGAACAAATGGACCTAACAGATATATACAAAACATTTCATCCAACAACCTCAGAATACACATTTTATTCAACAGCATATGGAACTTTCTCCAAGATAGACCATATGATAGGCCATAAAATAAGCCTCAATAAATTTAAGAAAATTGAAATTATATCAAGTACTCTCTCAGACCACAGTGAAATAAAACTGGAAATCAACTCTAAAAGGAATCTTCAAAACCATTCAAATACATGGAAATTAAATAACCTGCTCCTGAACGAGCATTGGGTCAAAAACAAAATCAAGATGGAAGTTTAAAAATTCTTTGAACTGAATGCCAATAACGACACAACCAATCAAAACCTCTGGGATACAACAAAGGCAGTGCTAAGAGTAAAGTTCATAGCCATAAATGCCTACATCAAAAAGCTTGAAAAAGCACAGACAACCTAAAGTCACATCTCAAGGAACTAGAGAAACAAGAACAAACAAAACCTAAACCCAGTACAAGAAGAAAATAACCAAGAGCAGAACTAAATAAAATTATAACCAAAAAAAAGATAAATGAAACAAAAAGCTGATCCTTTGAGAACATAAATAAAATAGACCATTAGCAAGATTAACCAAGAAAAGAAGAGAGAAAATCCAAATAACCTCACTAAAAAACAAAACAGGAGATATTACAACTGACACCACTGAAATACAAAAGATCATTTAAGGCTACTATGAACACCTTTATGTACATAAACTAGAAAACCTAGAAGAGATGGATAAATTCCTGGAAAAATACAATCCTCGTGGCCTAAATCAGGAAGAATTAGATATGCTGAACAGACCAATAACAAGTAGTGAGATTGAAATAGTAATTAAGAAATTATAAACCAAAAAAAGTCCAGGACCAGATGGATTCACAGCAGAATTCTACCAGACATTCAAAGAAGATTTGGTATCAATCCTTTTGACACTATTCCACAAGATAGAGAAGAAGGAACCCTCCTTAATTCATTTTATGACGCCAACATCACCCTAATACCAAAACCAGGGAGGACACAACCAAAACAACAACAACAAAAACAAACAAACAAACAAACAGAAAAAACACTACAGACCGATATCCTTGATGAACATAGATGCTAAAATCCTTAACAAAATACTAGCTAACTGAATCCAATAACATAAAAAAGATAATCCACCATGATTAAGTGGGTTTCATACCAGGGATGCAGGGATGGTTTAACATATGCAAGTCAATAAATGTGATACACCACATAAACAGAATTAAAAACAAAAATCACATGACCCTCTCAATAGATGCAGAAAAAGCATTTGACAAGATCCAGTATTGCTTTATGATTAAAACTCTCAGCAAAATTGGCATACAAGGGACATACCTTAATGTAATAAAAGCCACCTATGACAAACCCATATCCAACATAATACTGAATGAGGAAAAGTTGAAAGCATTCCTTCTGAGTACTGGAAAAAGACAAGGATGCCCACTCTCACCACTTCTTTTCAACATAGTACTAGAAGTCCTATCCAGAGCAATAAGACAAGAGAAAAAAATAAAGGGCATCCAAACAAGTAAAGAGGAAGTCAAACTGTCACCGTTTGCTGATGATATGATCATTTACCTTGAAAACCCTAAGTAAGGACTCCTCCAAAAAGCTCCTAGAACTGATAAAAGAATTCAGCAAAGTTTCTGGATACAAGATTAATGTACACAAATCAGTAGCTCTTCTATACACCAACAGCGACCAAGTGGAGAATCACATCAAGAACTCAATCCCTTTTATAATAGCTGAAAAAAAAATACTTAGGAATATACCTAACAAAGGAGTCAAAAAACTTCTACAAGGAAAACTACAAAACACTGCTGAAAGAAATCATAGATGACACAAACAAATAGAAACACATCCTATGCCCATGGATGGGCAGAATCAATATTGTGAAAATGACCATACCACCAAAAGCAACCTACAAATTCAATGCAACCCCCATCAGAATACCACCATCATTCTTCACAGAATTAGAAAAAACAATTCTAAAATTCATGTGGAATCAAAAAAGAGCCTGCATAGCCAAAGCAAGACTAAACAAAAAACAAATCTGGAGGCATCACACTACCTGATTTCAAACTACCCTGTAAGGCCGTAGTCACCAAAACAGCATGGTACTGTTATAAAAATAGGCACATAGACCAATGGAACAGAATACAGAACCCAGAAATAAACCCAAAAACTTAAAGCCAACTGATCTTTGACAAAGTAAACAAAAATATAAAGTGGGGAAAGGACACCCTTTTCAATAAATGGTGCTGGGATAATTGGCTAGCCACATGTAGAAGAATAAAACTGGATCCTCATCTCTCACCTTATACAAAAATCAACTCAAGACGGATTAAGGACTTAAACCTAAGACCTGAAACTATAAAAATTCTAGAAGATAACACTGGAAAATCCCTCCTAGATATTGGCTTAGGCAAGGAATTCATGACCAAGAACCCAAAAGCAAATGCAATAAAAACAAAGATAAATAGCTGGGACCTAATTAAACTAAAGAGCTTTTGCACAGCAAAAGGAATAGTCAGCAGAGTAAACAGACAACCCACAGACTGGGAGAAAATCTTCACAATCTATACATCTGACAAAGGACTAATATCCAGAATCTACAACCAACTCAAACAAATCAGTAAGTAAAAAACAAATAATCCCATCAAAAAGTGGGCTAAGGGCATGAAGAGACAATTCTCAAAAGAAGATACACAAATGGCCAATAAACATGTGAAAAAATGCTCAACATCACTAACGATCAGGGAAATGCAAATCAAAACCACAATGCGATACCAGCTTACTCCTGCAAGAATGGCCATAATGAAAAAATCAGAAAATAGTAGATGTTGGTGTGAATGCCATGAACAGGGAACACTTCAACACTGCTGGCAGGAATGTAAACTATGACAGCCACCATGGAAAACAGTGTGGAGACTCTTTTTTTTTTTTTTTTTTTTTTTTTTTTTTTTTTTTTTTTGAGACAGAGTCTCACTCTGTCACCCAGGCTGGAGTATACTGGTGCAATCATGGCTCACTGCAACCTCTGCCTCCTGGGTTCAAGTGATTTTCCTGCCTCAGCCTCCTGAGTAGCTGGGATCATAGGCACCTGCCACCACTCCCGAGTAATTTTTGTATTTTTAGTAGAGACGAGTTTCATCATGTTGACCAGGCTGGTCTCGAACTTTCTGACTTCAGGTGATCCACCCACCTCGGGCTCCCAAAGTGCTGTCATTACAGGTGTGATCCACTGTGCCCAGCTGAGATTCCTTAAAGAACTAAAAGTAGAACCACCATCTGATCCTGCAATATCACTACTGGGTATCTACTCAGGGGAAAAGAAGTAATTATTCGAAAAAGATACTTGCATACACATGTTTATAGCAGCAAAATTCACAATTGGAAAATTGTGGAACCAACCCAAATGCCCATCAATCAACGAGTGGAAAAAGAAACTGATATATATATATACATATGCATATATGAGATATATATGTATGATGGAATACTACACAGCCATGAAAAGGAATGAATTAGCAGCATTTGCAGTGACCTGGATGAGACTGGAGACTATTATTCTAAGTGACGTAACTCAAGAATGGGAAACCAAACATCGTGTGTTCTCACTGATCTGTGGGAGCTAAGCTATGAGGACGCAAAGGCATAAGAATGATACAATGGACTACGGGACTTGGGAGGAGGCATGGGAGGGGGCGAGGGATAAAAGATTACAAGTATGGTGCAGTGTATACTTCTTGGGAAGTGGGTGAACCAAAATCTCACAAATCACTACTAAAGAACCTAATCATGTAGCCAATACCACCAGTACTTCAAAACTTATGGAAAAATAAAATAAAAACCTCCAAGGAACTAGCTGTAGGTGGGATATTGGCTGTATCTCAGTTCCAGCTCCAGGAAGAAGACAGATCATTGGGAACAAGAACCCTGCTGATTAAACAATAGCTGCCTAATACGGCAGCAACACAGGGTACTCCAAACTTGCTTGGATAATTTTGTCCTTTTAAAATGTACAATTCTACTTCTTAATACAATGCAGACAACTCCATCTACTTTATCTAGTCATAATAAAATGAAAATGACTTTTACTCTTCGAATACTTAAAACTTGTTCAAAGATTCTTTCACATTTACTTCTTTTGATTCTTACAAAAGAAGGGAAGACATTTTATAGATGAGGAAACCAAGATAGCACAAGACAAATGACTTTTAAAAAATTGTGTAACTGAATACTGACAGCACTAGGATTAGAAACTGCAAAAATACTAATGCCAGTGTCATTTATACTACAACAAACCATGGGAAAAGGAAGAGGTACAGAAAAATATCTGCGCTCAGAAGTAGGTTGCTTGCTTCTTGAGATATTTCAAAAGACAAGTGATGAGCTAGTCAGCCTGTGGAACTATTCTACACGTTTGTAATCAGAACAATTTCTTTTCAGGGTATAATACACCAGTTCTAATAATGGGTATTATGATTTTAATAGCTATGTGCTTCACAAAATGCAGTTCAGGAAAATGGCTAAGAATATCTGAATCCATCATAAACTAGGCAATTTTCCCTGGGATAACAGTGATAGAAATGTTTCATTATCTCTCGTTCTAAATACATGTAAGGATTAAATCCAACTACATTGTTATAGCAAAATTAATATACTGTGTTTATAACAGACACAATTTTTCACCCCCTCCCATTAAGATATATGTGAAAATACATATGTGGCTTTAATTAGCAGATTATAACATTCTGTTCCACGCAGTTAGATACATAGCACCTGTGTCTTAAAGAATAATGAATATATTCTCCAAAATCTATTCATCTATGGGTAATGTTTCCATCACTCACACTTTCGTTTACATATAAAGTGATGGAGACATCAAGGACACATGGTCTCACATGGCAGAGGGAGCATATTTGCTCCCTGTTTCTGGTTTATAGGCTAATTGGAATTTTAAAAAGATTTGCCACATTATGCTGGCAGATGGTATTTTGCTTTATCATTATTCATGGGTATTAATGACTTCCCTCTGGAGCATGTGTATCCTGTCTATTTTGAATTTCATTACATTTCATGCTGACTGCTCTGAACAGAATCGGATCCAGTATTTTCTGTGTGGTGTTTGAGGTGCAGATTGTGTGGCTGGTCAAAGTTTTAGACTTGATTAAGAATTAAGTAACTCTTTGAAATAAAGAAAACCTTTTTGGTCTCTTTCCTGAGTATTCCATCAGACTTCTCATTTTGTTCAGCTTGCTATCCCACAGGGTTGCATATAATATCAGGTGTATATGAAGGCAATTCCAGAGTAGATTCGTCTTTCATTACCCTGAGATTATTAGACATCCTTTCTTTCTTTCTAGAAAGACTACGACTTGGTTTCCTAAAAGGAGAAAATGCATGAGAACACGCTGTAATAATCCAGTCACAGAAAGTCACTTTTTATTAATTCCTTCAACAAATATTTATTAGAGAACAGCCTCCTCTTTGTTTAGCTGATCTCTGAAATGCGTAAATGAGACAGCTGGTACAGTTGATTTCAACCAGCTAATTACCTGAGGGAAACACTACATCATAGAGAAGAAAACTGTGGTAGGTGGAGGCCACAGTCCTTCCTTAGAGTGAAAAAGTAGAAAGCCGATGGAGTAGGATAAAGAATAAAGCTTACTGGAGCCTTCTGATAAAACTGAAGCATTCCTGCAACCAGAGAACACAAAGTATGGTTGCAGAATTTGAGAACAGGGAACTAAGTAAGGCCGGGGTAACCATACCTGGTAGCTTTACTTCTGCAGTCCCTGTCTTTGCTTTAATTCCAGATACTTTCATGGCCACCTTCACATCCATCCTCCCTAACTATTCTTCAATGTTATTGAGCTCGGCACTGCTTTAGGTCCTGAGGTTTGGTAATTAATACAACAGACAAGATTCCTCTCTATCATGGAAGAAAGAGAGAGTCCCTCTCTGGAGCAGAGGGCAGATTTGCTTGAAGTAGGTCCTGAGGTTTGGAAATTAATAACAACAGACAAGAGTCCTCTCTCTATCATGGAAGAAAGAGAGTCTCTCTCTAGAGCAGAGGGCAGATTTGCTTGATGTGCAATATAATAAAGATGATGTCTCCTTCTGGGACAAACGTTTGTCAGGTTTGCTTGCAGCTCATTATAAAAGATTGGGGTTTCCTAAATGTTGTAGTTTTTAGTGCACTTATATATACATTGTTAACTTATTTATAAGTTATATATTTCATGTTTTTAGCTGATCCTATTGTAAATGGTATTTTTAAAATTTCTATTTCTATCCAGTTTATGGAAATTCAATTGACCTTATCTTCTGCAACCTTGTATATTCCTTAGAATTTTAGATGTAGACAATGTTAACTGCAAGTAAAGACAATTTTGCTTCTTCCTTCCCAATGTGGATGTATTTTATTTCTTCTGCTTACTGTATTGCACTGGCTATGAACTCCAGTACAAAGTGGAATGGAAATGGCAAAAGCCACATCCTTGCTTGATTCCTGATATTAAGGGGGAAAGTATTCAGTCTTTCACCATTCAATATGATGTTAGCTATAGACTTTTCATGGACATTGTTCATCAGTTTAAACACGTTTCTTTCTGTTCCTAGTTTGGTGAGAGGTTTTTATCTGGAATGGATGTTGGGATCTGTGGAAAGTGTTTTCTGCATCTCTTAAGATTATCACATAATTTTCATTTTTTCATTTCTTAATACAATCAGCCTTTGAATCTGCAGGTTTCACATCTCTGGATTCAACAAACTGTGGGTGAAAAATATTTTTAAAAAACAAATAAAAAATAATACAGCAATACAAATAATACAAATAAAACAATCTAGTATAACAATTATTTGCATGGCATTTACATTGTATTAGGTAGTATAAATAATGTAGAGATTTTTAAAGTATACAGGAGGATGTGCATAGGTTTTATACAACGCCACATCATTTTACATAAGGGACTTGAACATCCTCAGATTTTGATATCTGCAGAGGGGTCCTGGATCCAATCCTTTACAGATACTGAGGGATGACTATATGGTAAATTACACTGACTGGTTTCCAAATGCTAAAGCAATTTTGCATTCTCCAGTTCACACCATCTTAGTTATGATATAATACGTTTATATATTGCTAGATTCAACTTACTAATGTTTTGTTAAGGAGTTTTAACTCTATGCTTATGACTGATATTGACCTGTAGTTTTCTATTCTTGTCATGTTTTTGCCTTCATTTGGTAACAGAGTAATAATGGCATCACAGAATGTGTTGGGAAGTTTCCTCCTTTTCTATTTTCTGGAACAGTTTGTGTAGAATTGATATTTCTTCCTTAAATGTTTGATATAATTTACCATTGGATCCACCTGGACCTGGTAATTTTTTGTTGAAAGTTTATAAATTACTAGTCCAATTTCGTTAATAGACATAAGGCTATTCAGGATAATTAATTGATTAATTAATTACTTTTTAGTGATGAGCTCTCCCTCTCTCATCCAGGCTGGAGTGCAGTGGCACAATCATAGCTCTGCAGCCTCCACCTCCTGGGTTCAAGCAATCCTCCTGCCTCAGCCTCTCCTCAGTAGCTGGGACTACAGGCATGTGCCACCATGGTCAGCTAATTTTTAATTTTTTGGAGAGACAGGGTCTCGCTATGTTGCCAGGGCTGGTCTCAAACTCCTGGCCTCAAGCAGTTCCCCCAACTTGGCCTCCCAAAGTGCTGGGATTACAGGCATGAGCCATCATGTCCAGCCAGGATATTTACTTATTCATGAGTAAGATGGGATAGTTTGTGTTTTTCAAGGAATTTGTTGATTTCATATGTTATTGAATTTATTAGCATGAAGTTGTTGATGACATTATTTTATTACTCATTACTATTGTAGGATCTGCAGTGTCCCTTCATTCATTCATGATACTGACAATTTGTGTGGTCTCTCTTTTTCTTTTGATGATTTTGCCTAGAGGCTTATTAATTTTAGCGATAATTTCAATGAATCAGCTTTTGGTTTCATTGTTTATCTATTCCCTATTATTTGTCCCATTTTATATCATTGGTTTCTACTCATTATTACCTCTTTCCTTCTGCCTACTTAGGCTTAATTTGTTATTTTTCCCTTACTTTCCTATGGTAGAAGCTTATATAATTTATTTGAAATCATGATTTTTCTGTTTTGTTTTTTTTTTGAGACAGTCTCACTCTGTCACCCAGGTTGGAGGGCAGTGAACGATCTTGGCTCACTGCAACCTCCAGTCAAGTTCAAGCGGTTATCCTGCCTCAGCCTGTCAAGTAGCTGGGATTACAGATGTGTGCTACCATTTCTGGCTAAATTTTGTATTTTTAGTAGAGACAGGGTTTCACCATGTTAGCCAGGCTGTTCTCAAACTCTTGACTTCATGTGATCCGCCCGCCTCAGCCCCTCAAAGTGCTGGGATTAGAGGTGTGAGCCACCGCACCTGGCCAATTCTTTCTAATACAAGGATTTAATGCTATGTTTCCGTCTAAGCATTATTTTAGTTGCCTTCTACAAATTTTGATTAAATGCAGTATGGTAGATAATTCAAAGCATTATCAGACTACAAAGGAAAGAGCTTTTAGTCAGGCTAGGAGAAGTTGAAGAGAAGCATTTGAGTTGAGTTTTGAAGGATATTTTTTTCTAGTCAGAGAAGAAGGTAAGAGTATTCTAAGCCAAAAGAACAATAAGCCATAATTCATTAATTGATATTTCTCTTATAAGATGGGTTCATGAATATTTAATAACTATAATCTACAGATAGAACATCTCTTTGAAAGGCAGGGATGGAGCCAGTCATTCCCATAAACCAAAAGTGATGATGGAGCTGCAAGGTTGTTTGGCTCTTGAAGTCATCCTCTTGAGCTGATCTCATTTTAAATGAGAATGGTATTGGTCCAATATAGAGTTAAAACAAAAATTCTCACATGTGAAATTCTTGGATATTGATCAGAATAAAAACAAAATGAGGTTCAAATGGAAGCAATAGGGTAGTGGTCTGGTTATAACTCTCAGGTATAGGTACAAAGTCATTTAGATACATATATTTATCAGAGAGATATTACCTTGGACACTCCAGCTTTCTATTTATTTCTACAGCCATAAGATCCTTATTGTATCATTTCTTACCCTCTGCTGCAGATGCTGTATATATGACTGAGTAGATTGGCTCACTGAACATCTTTTCTAAACATTGCCATTATTACTTTTTTCTAATGCAAGTGTTGGAAATCAATGTACTCAAATTCCCTTGCAGATGGAATTTTATTCTGGCCAGTAAGATGTAGGTGCAATTTCTTGGGAGGACTTCCTTAGTGCACTGAAAAAGTAAAAGCTTGAGGAAAAGGTTCTGTCTTTCTCATTTTGCTCTTCCCATTTCTTTCTGCCTGGAACTTAGAATTACTGCCTGGAGTTGCAGCAATCATCTTTTGACCATGAAGTTAAAAATTACACACTGAAAGTGGCAGTCCAGGAGACAGAAGACAGGCTTTTAAATGACATTCTTGCATAGGTGCATTAGCCCTGACCTATCTACCTCTAGATTCTTTTTTGCATGAGAAAAATACATCTTTAGGCGACTATTTTCAGTTATCCATTCTTTGTAACAAATAACATTTGTAAGCATAAGCGATACAACCTATTTGCAACAAACTAAAAAGTTGTATGGGGATATCTGTCATTTTAATTTTTAATGTATGCTTTCTTCATTGTGCTTCCAATATATCAAACTCTCTTGGTATTTCTCCTGCATTACAGGTTGTTTTTTTCTCAGTTGCTTTGCTGATCCTTTTTTTCCTGGCCTCTATTCATGTTAGAGTGCCCCAGGTCTCTAGGTTAGGTGCTGCAGACTCTCTAAGAGTCTTGTTTGTTTGTTTTTTTGGTCTCATCTAACTTCAGGGCTTCAAATACTATCTATATGCTGGCAGATCCTAAATGTATATTTGTAACCCAGGCCTCTCTCTCTCTCTCTCTCTCGCTATCTCGTTGTGTGTCCAACTGCCTACTCAACATCTTCATTTGAATGTCAAATAGTTGATCTATCTATCTATCTATCTATCTATCTATCTATCTATCTATCTATTATCTATCTGTTATCTATCTATCTATCAGCTATATATATCTGTTTTAGAGATGGGGTCTCACTACATTGCCCAGGCTGGACTCAAAGAGATCCTGTGCTCAAGAGATCATCCTACTTCAGTTTCCCAGTAGCTGGGACTGCAGGCATGCCAGGATATAAAGTAGCTGATCTCTTACCTTCAAAACAATTTCCATCACTTGAGCCCAGGAGTTTGAGACCAGCCTGGGCAATGTGGCAGAACCCTGTCTCTACTAAAAATGCAAAAAATTAGCAAGACATAGTGGCCCATGCCTGCAGTCCCAGCTACTCAGGGGACTGAGGTGGGAGAATCACCTGAGCCCAGGAAGTCGAGGCTGCAGTGAGCTGTGATCATGCCACTGCACTCCAGCCTGGGCGACTAGAGTGAGACCCTGTCTCAAAACAAAACAAAACAAACAAAAAACTTAACTTCCAAGCCAGATGCGATGACTCACACCTGTAATCCCAGCACTTTGGGAGGCTGAGGCAGGCTGACCATGAGGTTAAGAGTTTGAGACCAGCCTGACTAACATGGTGAAACCTCATCTCTACTAAATACAAATATTAACTGGGCATGATGGTGCGCACCTGTAATCCCAGCTACGCAGGAGGCTGAGGCAGGAGAATCTCTTGAATCCAGGAGGCGGAAGTTGCAGTGAGCCGAGATTGTGCCATTGCACTCCAGCCTGGGTGACAGAGCGAGACCCCATCTCAAAAAACAAACAAACAAAAAAACCAAAAAAACAAAAAACTTAACTTCTTCCTTCTCTCAAGCTTGATCCACCATCAGTGTCCATCATCTCAGTTGATGGCAACTCTAATTTTCCAGTTGCTCATGCCCCAAATCTTGGAGTCATCCTTGGCAATCCTCTTTCTCACGTTCTGTGTCTAATCTGCCAAGATTCTGGTTCTCCCTTAAGCATACCTGAAATCTATTCAGAATCTGACCGCTCTCACTCTCTCTAGTGCTGCCACCCTGGGCCATGCCATCATGACCTTTCACCTGTATGACTGCAGTAGGCTCCTCAAAAGTCTCCCCACTTTGCTGTTTTCCCTCCCACAACAGACTATTTTCAAAGCAGCAGCTAGAGGAATCCTTTTAAAATGAAGTCATGATCACTCTTCTGCTCAAAACCGTGCAATGTCTTTTCGTCTTACACTTATCAAGGCCTGTCACGATCTGGCCTTCGTCACCTCTTCAAAGTTCTCTTCCGTTCTCTTTGTTCACTTCCTTCCAACCTCACGGGCCTCATTGCAGTTTCTAGAGCACAACAAGAACACACCCCTGTCATGGCCTTTGAACTGGCTGTTCCCTTTGTATGGAATGCTCTTTCCCTAGTTATCTTTGGATAATCCTCTCACTTCCTTAAAGTATCTCCTTAATTTCATCTTTTCCAAGAGGCCGACTTTGACAGTCCTATTTAACCTTGCCATCGGCACCATCCCACCATGTCCACCTCTATGCTGCCCCCATCCCCAGCACATCCCATCCCACCTACCCTGCTCAACTTTCTCTTTCTTCCCCTACAACGTATAATCTTCTAACTTACTGTATAGTTTATTGACGTGCTTTTGGTTATTTTCTGCCTCCCCTTCTAGAATGTAAACTATGTGATGACAGAATTTGCATGTTTTGTTCACTGATACATCCCTGGTGCCTGGAACAGTGCTGGTTCAGAGTAAGTGCTCAGTAAATATTTGTTGCAGGATTGAATAAATTACCCATTCACAGAAGGATTTATGGGGGAGCTTCGGGGCAGCAGACTAACTGAGAAACCAACACTCAAATCTGGCAACTCCTGAAGCCAGATTGAATGTTGACCCCGAAGTTCCTTCCCATGTGCATCAACTCAGAATGCTTACAACATAATGACTGTGGCCGTCTCTAGTGAAAAAAGAACAACAGTCTTGAGAGTGACTGTATGGGAAGCTTTTAGTAGGGACACAGCTGAAAAGCACCCTTTGCAGTTAAATAGAGCTTTTCTTGAATCTGGAAAAACCAAACACTCCACAGAATGCACTCATTTGCCATCAGACTTATGGGAATAATTGTATCCCAGATTTAAAAAAAAACCCAGAGTTTTACTGGCAACCTGTCCAAGCCTGGAGTGAGTGAGGCTAAAGGAAGAACTAGATATAGGGAAATTTTTTACCCCAAGCACTACTGGAATTAAGTACGTGGGTGATCTTGGGTGGTGGCTACTTTCATAAAAGGTGTTTTTGTAGAACTTGTGAATTTCTCAGAAACACTGACTTGTACCTCACTGAGGCTGAGAGTTTGTTCTACTTCTGGTCTGAATAAGCAAATGTTTAGTTTCAGTTCCTCTTCAAATTCAGGACTGTCGTTAGATTTCTATGAAAGCTACTTGGCAAAGGACCCAGTCCATCCATAGAGGCCTGCTTCAGCGTGGAGTACAGCATACAATAGTGTGTATTTAGACTATGCTACAGCTGAGGGCTAGCCACTTGATAGAGCTCCTCTATGTTAATGGTGTTAGAATGGAAATTCTTTATCCTTGTAGCTGTACCATAGGGTGGGGACCAGGGACACTCAACAGAGTTGGGAGTCCATGTGCCTCCTTAAATTTTGCACCTCAGGCATCTCACATGCCTCATTCTGGTTGTGATCCTGCTGCAATCTGTTCTCACTCTGAACCACATGGAGTTAGCATTAAATGCTATGGGAAATCTAGAAATTTTCTCATGCTGAGTTCCTTTAAAGAGAGTCACCATCTTGGTTCTGATACTCTCTGACTGGTATTGGACAAGCCTTTCTTTGTTAGCAACTTGAAACTGTGGGAGGCTCTCTGTAGAATTACTGTTATGTTTTGGAATAACAAGAACAGCATTTTGCTGCTGGAAAAGGCCATTTTCCTTCTGTCTGCTTTTTTTCATGTATTGCCTTTCTTTTCTTTCTAAAACATCTTTTGTTTCATTTTTGTTCTCAAATCATTGTGTTTAGAACAACAATAATTGAGAGTCTAGCGGGAAGTTTTTATAAACTAACAATTGGGTTTAAACAAAGGCTTAATAGTCAAGTTCTGAATAGTTGGACTCCTGAAAAGTTCTAGCTAGAATGATCATAAATATAACATTTAAAAAAATACACAGGGGGAGTCCTTTTTACTAATTTTTCTCTTTTAAGTGAAGAGTTTTGTATGCATTAGGTAAGACCAACCAATCCTGTTTCTCATAGCTCTATATCTGTTGCTTGGTCAGATCACAGTGAATTTACCTGGGTTATAGGATGCCCTGCATCTGGACAGGGGTGATGCTTCATGAACATGAATTCATTGACAATATTGTGCCTGTAAGAAGCTGAGTTTGCTGGGAAAAAGGCACTAGCAGATCACATTCTTGAGAGTTAGTGATAATAATGAACATGATTATAATGTGCAAAGACTTTTATAACTTTTCTTTTTTTTTAAGAGATGGGGGCCGGGTGTGGCAGCTCACACCTGTAATCCCAGCACTTTGGGAGGCCAAGGCGGGTGGATCACTAGGACAGGAGTTTGAGGCCAGCCTGGCCACTATGGTGAAACTCCATCTCTACTAAAAATACCAAAGTTAGTCGGGCATGGTGGTGCACGCCTGTAGTCCCAGCTACTCAGGAGGCTGAGGCAGAAGAATTGCTTGAATTTGGGAGACGGAGGTTGCAGTGAGCCGAGATCATACTACTGCACTCCAGCCTGGGTGACAGAGTGAGACTCTGTCTCAAAAAAAAAAAAAAAAAGAGATGGGGGTCTCTTCATGTTGACCAGGCTGGTCTCAAACTCCTGGTCTTAAGTGATCCTTTCATTTTGGCCTTCCAAAGTGCTGAGATTACAGGCATGAGCCACCACACCCGTCCTGTTATCATATATTTTAAATAAGCCTCATGACAATCACATAAATTTTTTTTATTACTCATATATTTTAGGTGAGCAAAAGAAAATTCAAAGGTAGTAACATAGCTAGAATTACAAAGGAAGAGGTGTGATTTGTGCTCATGTCTTAATTTTTAAAGCAAATTGAGGCCGGGCATGGTGGGTCAAGCCTGTAATCCCAATGCTTTGGGAGGCTGAGGCAGGAGGATCGCTTGAGGTCAGGAGTTCCAGACCAGCCTGAGCTGGTGAGACCCCCGTGTCTACAAAAAAAAAAAAAAAAAAAAATTAGCTAGTCTTGGTGTTGGTGCACACCTGTACTTCCAGCTACTTAGAAGGTTGAGGCAAGAGGAGCGTTTGAGCCCAGGAGGTTGAGGCTGCAGTGAGCTGTGATAGCACGACTGCATTTCAGCATAGGTGACAGATTGAGACCTTGTCTATAAAAACAAGATAAATAAAAGGAATTGAGTGGTATCACACAGAAGTTAATGCCATTGAAAGATTTTTACTACATTTCCCAAGAGGAGAAGGCATGTCATGTGACACAGGGTCACATGGGGAAGCATAAGAGGTCAAGAGGCAGAAGGGGAAAGCATAGGCCACAGCCTGGACTGGGATTTCTGCAGGAAAGGCAAGGCGGGACAGGGTAAACAGTGTAGGACTGGCTAGTCTACATCCTTCTAGCAGGCTTTGGGGCATTGGGACATTCTCTAGTCACCTGGTGCCTAGCCCTTGGGTGTGTGAGTTTGATAGGGGAGGTGATTTGGGGTACGGACTGAGGACTGGTTGGAAGGTCTGTAAATGATTTTCATGCACCTGTGGAAGCTGGATTTCTGGGGAGATGTTAACAACTTTGGCCATTAGTTTGGCCCTCTGATTAATGGATGCTACATAGAAATGGATGCCAAATAGAAAACAGAACAAAGTAGCATCAGGGCAGGAGCCTTACTCCAGAGGCAAAGCTCTTTCCATGAAACCATCTAAACTCATCCAGTTCTCCTCTTCCAATCTCTCCACCCCTTACCGTACTCCACACATCCTGTTTGCAGTATCAGTTCTTGACGATCCCAGCCACTGAGTTGTTTTAGTTGGAAATCTGGCCATTTGCTAAGCCCTTCAGTTCTCATCACACATGTCTCTTCCAGTTCTCATCACACATGTCTCTTCAAGCTCTCCTTTTCTGTCTTTATGCCTCCACGCTTGCCTTGGGTCAGCGTCTCCTGACCCAAGTCAGTCTTGACGTCACAGTCTCCTAATCCATATTCTCCCCCCAGCCCAACCAAGCTGCACCCTGTTTCCAGGACGATCTTTTGTAAATAATAGGTTTGATCGTGTCACCTCCTTACTTACATCCTACCTACCTCCCTATTGCCTTAAAATTTCCCAGCAGAACACAAAGGGCCCTTCATGAGCCGACCTTTGCCTACTTCCTGGCTGTCTATCCTACAGAACTGTGGTATTGTGTCCATTGATTTACCTGAGCACAGATTTTATGAAATGTTTGGAGAACGGGGGAGACAGAGAGAGATTCTTAACCCAACTGGTTCTCTTACAGAATGAGCTTCACTGGTGTTCAGAAAATTGATGCATTGCTAGTTTCTTTTTGGCTACTGTGAACTTTTTTTTTGAAAGGTATATGAGATTCTTGTGCCTAGAAGAGGGATTCTAATGCATTTGAGGTATCGGTTTCTTAGGGTTCAAACCTCTTGCAGCTAAGAGCAGGCCCTGGAAGAGGCACCGGGCTGCAGATTGTTTCAAGTACCACAAGGGGCTGCTAGAGAGCAACAGAAGCGCCAAAGAAATTTCTTCAAAATTTCCCCTTTTTGTCACATCCTCATTTCCTTAGTCTTGGTCGGAAGTAAAATGCTTTCCTCTTTTTGGAGTTTATATTAGTGGCTACAGCTCGGTCACAGGTTATCCATACCTGTCTACCTGTAATAAATTTCTGTGTACCAATCCCTCAAAGTGCTCATCTGCCTACTCGGCTGTTTGGAGGGACTCCTGATACGCCTTCCCATGCCTCAGCTTCTTGAATGCCATTTAGAGGAGCAACGTGAGTGCATGTATCTACCAGGGGACTTGCTAATGCATTAGCATCTCAGTGTCAATTGCCAAAGGATGCCTCTTAAGGGGGACAAATTGTAAAAAGTGCTGCTGCCTCCAGGCGGAACTGGCCCTACCCCCAGGTAGCCTTTGGGCAGAAAGACCAGGTTGGATTTTGGCCTTCACATACCTCCTTTGTCAGGCAACCTGGAGACCAACTTCTAGAAGAATTAGTGGACTAACAGGAACTGAGAATCACGTTTATATATATATATATTATATATATAATATAAAATATATATAAAATATAATATATATAAAATATAAAAAATATATATAAAATATAAAAAAATATATATATAAATAAAATTTTCTGGAAATTTTGCAAGCAAACTTTGTACAGAATGTGAATTCCAAGCAGTTGAGATACCTGCACTTTCTAAATTGTCTGAAATAAACTTTGCAATTATTCAATTATAGTTGTTAGGTCTTAATCACATTGAGCACAGTTTTTGTACTTGCTTTCAGTATATGGAATTGACATGCCCTTGTGATTTCAAAGATGCAGTTGCTAATAGACTCCCAAGGGGAGAGACTTGGGACGTTCTGCTTTGGTTGTTGCACTCCCAGTTCAAGACATTGAAAGAAATGTGGAAAATTTCCCTGATGATATAAGACAGAACATTTTCTTCTTTCATGCAGCAACCCGACCTGCATTATCCTTTCTTGCGTATTCCTATATAGTCTCTTGAATTCACTGTCATGTTTGATTATTGTATGAATGATCTATCAGATTAAGTTTGACTGCATAAATCACAAAATCCAAATATCAGTGGCTTATACAATGCAGAAGCTTATTTTTTATTTCATGTCAAAGAAACCTGGAAGTCACCCAGACTGGTAGGGTAACTTCACAGTCATCAGAGACCCAGAAACTATCTTTCTGCTCATTTCCCCACCCTTAGTGTGTAGCTTCCATCCTCAAGTTTACTTCATGGTCCAAGAGGGCCAATGAAGCCCCAGCCATTAGGCCCAAGTCCCAGGGAGGAAATAAAGAAAAATAGAAGAGCCAAAGGTTATATGCCTCCTTGCTGAGTCAGCCCCCCTTAGGACACTTTTTAAAAGTCTCATTCAACAATTTCCATTTTTACCCCACTAGCCATTTTTATCTGCAAAGGATGCCGGGAGGCATAGTTTTCTAGCTGGGCACATTGAGACCTTTGACAATAGAGGAGTCTGTTGTCAAGGCAGAGGAGAGAATAGGTATGGGGTAAGCAACCATAGCCTCTACCACATATGAGAATTTAATTATCTGATGCCCATGAAAATGCAGACTAGAAAACAAAATGCAGGAAGAGTTACCACACAGAGTTGCTGCGTTGCCCTAGACAGTCATGGCAGCCTAGCCACTGGCCTGTCGGTGGACTCCCTCAGGCTCCTCTTACCTGGACCCGCCCCGTTCATTTACCATTCACACTCTCTCTATTTCCAGCACTGCCCTCTCTCAGGCTCCAGACTTGCATAGCAATTACTGACCATATGGCTCCTCACAGGACACTAAATTCAAGATGCTCCCAAATGAGCCAGGAACTGCTCCTCTTAGTACCTGTGCATCAGCTGCCCAAACCGCACACCTGGGTGTTATCCCTGACTCCTTCTTCTGACTCATACACTTTACAAGTTCTTCCTGAATTACTCCCGGATCCTCCCCATCCTCCTCATTTCCAGGACTGCCACCAAGATCAAGCCTGCATCACCTCTCACCTGGACTGCCGCTGCAGCCTCTTGACGGGCCTTGCCTTCTTTATTCTTCCCTCTGGCCAATCCATTCTCCACACAGCAGCCAGAGAAATTCATTTTTTTAAAAAAAAAAACAAACCTGATTATGTCACTGCATGGCTTACTACTCATCAATGGCTTCTTACTACCCTTAGAGAAAAGCCCAGCCCAGTAAGGACTGAAGGCCCTGTGTGATCTGGCCCCTGCCCCCTCACTCCATGCCCTTCTCCCCTTCGCTCTGGCCCAGCCACAGTGATTTTCTTTCCCTCTTGCTAATGAGCTAATCCCTTCCCTGCCTCGGGCCTTGGCATACACAGTTCTGTCTGCCTGGCACTCATTTTCCTCAGATTCCCACCTCTTTGTTTAGTGCATTAAACAAAGCATTTTTTGAGGCATTAAATTCATATACCCCCAAACCATGCCAGGTTGCTGGAGACTCTCATAGCTCACTGCCCTTGTGCTTTGAAGCATTCCTCAGCCTTCTAATTACTTGCTCCACTGTCAGATCCTTGAGGCCAGGCCTCCTCTCTCTGTTCCTCTCTGGACCCCTTGTACCCAACACAGCACTGAACACCTATTCATTCAGTGATCCAGCCCTTCATTCATTCACTCATTCACTCAAAGACATTTGTTGTCATTTCTGTCCCCATTTCTGGTTTGGTAGTGGAAAAAGACTTAGTGAAATAATTGCCCAAATAGTTTATTTGTTAGAGTTAAAATCAGGCCTGCAAGCAGAAAGAGAAGGCATTATGAACGATGTAAACAAGACATAGGAGGTGCGAGGAGAACGGAAGATGGATTTTCTATCAAGAACAAGAATGGGAAGATTTTCTGCCATCTTGACTCTAATTCTTATCTCCATTTTCACCCTGAACCTTACACTAGACCAAGTTACATAAACCCAGTGTGAGACAAGTTTAGTTGAAATATTCTTTTAACCAATTAATTGCCATTAGTGCTGCCTCCTTGGAGCTTCTGACTTCAGAAAAATAATCCAGGAACGTTCTGCCACTAATTCTTCTACCTTGCCCGCCACCATTTTTCTGATTATTTTTCTACTCTCAGACACTCTCTCCATCATAGGCTGGCTCTGCTCGTCTTGGAGCCTGTGTAGAACAGGACTCCATGTGCCAAGCTAAATCTGCTCCGCTTCATCATCGCTTAGGCTGCCAAATTGGGTCAATATAGTTTTAGAATGTAAAAATATATTTCTATTCAGTATATATATTATATATATATTTATGTGTTCCAGTATATATATACTGAAGTACATATTTATATGTTCCAGTATATATATATATGTATATATATACATATATATATACTGAAATATATATATGAAATTTATAAATTGTATTTATACATACATAAGGAAAGAATAGAAACACCAAGGAAGGCCTGAGGGCAGCTTTGATGAAGATTATGGGATGGTTAACCACCAACTCTTCTCTTCCCCAGTCATCCTGGACAATTGGCCATTGCTTTCAGCCTATTAACACCCTCAAGATGCACTGAACATATGTTGACAGTCAAGCACTGATGTGTCTTAGAGCATCAGGTGGTAAACAATGATGAGTTTCCTGGCTGGAATTTGGAGGTCAGAGACTATTCTGGGGTCCCTAATCTTCAAACACCCAGATTTCTTGTGGGCCAATCTGTCCTCCACCTGCCTTGTCCACGAAGGAGTAGAGAGTGGATGAAGAAGCCGGATTCTTCACGTGAAATCTCTGAGCCTGGGGCATGGGAGAGCCCACCCAGGCTCAGGCCTCAGCCCAGGCATCTTACCTGCCTAAGTGGTAATCCCTGAACAGGAAGACCTTTTGGAGAATTCTTTACCTCCTGTCCAAAGTGGCAAGTTGGCCACAAGGGGGAAGCATCACACAAAGATAGTGCTCTGGCCGACCTGCTCTTTGCTCTGACTTTCCTATTGTTATCTGGGCCAGGAAGGCAGGTGAGGAGGGCCCACTGCCGAAGGCTGTGGTTCAGCTGAGACCATGCCCACCTGATGTCTTGAATATGGCCATGAAGCCAATGAACACTCGATGAATAGTAATCGACATGTGATGAATATTCAGGATTTAATTTATTAATGAAATTAAGCAGAGCCCTGGAAAAGATAAGCGTAGGTGGCAAAATTCTTAGATCTGAAGATTCATCATATGCTGAAAACTGGGAATTGAACAATCTGGTTCCAACATGGGCCCTGCAATGCAGTCACTGGTCGTGGGCTTTTCAGGCCATCTTTTGGCCTCGTCTGTCATTCCCCTTTCTGTCTTTATTACAGTGCTGCTGTGAGGATGAAGCAAGAGAATATGAAACTGGTGATGAGGTATTGCAAATGTACAAGACCTACAACTCAGGCAAGCAAAAAAAATGCAGCGCAGCTGATCATTACTGTAGATGGTCATGACCTTCCTGAGGTGGGGGTGCGTGTGTGTGTGTGAGAGAGATTCAGCCTGGCATAATTTAGTTTAAATCTTAGGTCAACTTAATAATCGAAATAGCCTTTTAAAGCTAGGGTGCCAACCTTCCTGTTTGTCAGGACTTTTCCAGTTTTGATACCCCGGAGTCCTGGGCCCTGGAACCTCCATCAGTCCGAGGAAAACCAAAACTCAACTCAAGTCTCCTCAGGCTCTCTGATCCCCTCCCCATCTTTATTTATTCTCCAAAAAGGCTCTGGGTATAATTGTGGAAGGCCGTGGCTCCCAGACTCTCAGCAGGAAAGAAGAGCCCAGACCTTTGGGTCTCTGTGCAAAACTCTGAACCCTTTCTGCCTCTCTTGAGGGTGGCAGGACTGGCTTTGCAGACTTGGTGGGCTCCCATGCTGGGGCCCACTGCTAGAGTCTGCGGCTTTTGCTCTTTATCTCAGTCTCCACTGACTCCATCCCCTTAACTCTGCTCTCTGGCCAGGCCAGCAGCCCTCATGCCCACCAGGGCCACTCCCTCTGCCTGTGCACTTCCCAGTCATCTGCTCGCCATGGGGAGGACTTGAGCAGCTGGAAGTGCTGCCTTTGACTCATTTGATCATCCATCTCCACAACAATGCCTATCACTGCTCTTGTCCCATTACAAGCTGCTGTGGCAGACAAGGGCTTTTCCCAAAGGCTTGCGGCCTCCCCAGAATGACTCGGAACACGAGCACTAGCAACATGTCTCCAGCCTTCCTCACACATCAACTGGGTACCAGTGACGGCTTGTCCTGGGCAGAACTTGAAGATGACCACCAGGATTCCAGGCCCTTGGTGCACACACCTTCTCCCAGTATTCAAACACTCACCTAGGTGCTGTGTGTGGTGAAGGGCTTTTGCAGATGTGATTAAAATCCCAAATCAGTTGATCTTAAAAGAGGGAGATTACCCAGGTGGTACAGACCCACTCACATGAGCCCTTTAAATACGTGTTCAGAGGTCAGGGACAGATAAGTCAGAGAGATTGGAAGTGTGAAACAGCCAGAAGGAGAGGCCACATGGCAAGGAGCTGAGGGCATCCTCTAGCATTCGAGAGCCATCCTTGTACAAAAGCTAGCAAGACATCAGTCCCACAACTGCCAGGAAAGGAATTCCGGAATTCTGCTAACAGCTGGAACATACTTGAAAGTGAACCTTTCTCTAGTTGGTCCACCAGATAGAAACACAGCCTCTTTTTTTTTATTATTTATTTTTTATTGATCATTCTTGGGTGTTTCTCACAGAGGGGGATTTGGCAGGGTCATAGGACAATAGTGGAGGGAAGGTCAGCAGATAAACAAGTGAACAAAGGTCTCTGGTTTTCCTAGGCAGAGGACCCTGCGGCCTTCCGCAGTGTTTGTGTCCCTGGGTACTTGAGATTAGGGAGTGGCGACGACTCTTAACGAGCATGCTGCCTTCAAACATCTGTTTAACAAAGCACATCTTGCACCGCCCTTAATCCATTTAACCCTGAGTGGACACAGCACATGTTTCAGAGAGCACAGGGCTGGGGGCAAGGTCACAGATCAACAGGATCCCAAGGCAGAAGAATTTTTCTTAGTATAGAACAAAATGAAAAGTCTCCCATGTCTACCTCTTTCTACACAGACACGGCAACCATCCGATTTCTCAATCTTTTCCTCACCTTTCCCCCCTTTCTATTCCACAAAGCCGCGATTGTCATCCTGGCCCGTTCTCAATGAGCTGTTGGGTACACCTCCCGGACGGGGCGGCTGGCCGGGCAGAGGGGCTCCTCACTTCCCAGTAGGGGCGGCTGGGCATAGGCGCCCCTCACCTCCCGGATGGGGCGGCTGGCCGGGCGGGGGGCTGACCCCCCCACCTCCCTCCCGGACAGGGCGGCTGGCTGGGCGGGGGGCTGACCCCCCCACCTCCCTCCCGGACGGGGCGGCTGGCCGGGCGGGGGCCTGACCCCTCCACCTCCCTCCCGGACGGGGCGGCTGGCCGGGCGGGGGGCTGACCCCCCCACCTCCCTCCTGGACGGGGCGGCTGGCCGGGCGGGGGGCTGACCCCCCCAACTCCCTCCCGGACGGGGTGGCTGCCGGGCGGAGATGCTCCTCACTTCCCAGACGGGGTGGCTGCCGGGCGGAGAGGCTCCTCACTTCTCAGATGGGGCAGCTACTGGGCGGAGGGGCTCCTCACTTCTCAGACGGGGCAGTTGCCAGGCATAGGGTCTCCTCACTTCTCAGACGGGGTGGCCGGGCAGAGATGCTCCTCACCTCCCGGTCGCGGCCGGGCAGAGGCGCTCCTCACATCCCAGATGGGGCGGCGGGGCAGAGGCGCTCCCCACATCTCAGACGATGGGCGGCTGGGCAGAGACGCTCTTCACTTCCTAGATGGGATGGCGGCTGGGAAGAGGCGCTCCTCACTTCCTAGATGGGATGGCGGCCGGACGGAGAGGCTCCTCACTTTCCAGACTGGGCAGCCAGGCAGAGGGGCTCCTCACATCCCAGACGATGGGCGGCCAGGCAGAGACACTCCTCACTTCCCAGACGGGGTGGCGGCCGGGCAGAGGATGCAATCTTGGCACTTTGGGAGGCCAAGGCAGGCGGCTGGGAGGTGGAGGTTGTAGGGAGCTGACATCACGCCACTGCACTCCAGCCGGGGCACCATTGAGCACTGAGTGAACGAGACTCCGTCTGCAATCCCGGCACCTCGGGAGGCCGAGGCTGGCAGATCACTCGCGGTTAGGAGCTGGAGACCGGCCAACACAGCGAAACCCCGTCTCCACCAAAAAAATACGAAAACCAGTCAGGCGTGGCAGCGCGTGCCTGCAATCGCAGGCACTCGGCAGGCTGAGGCAGGAGAATCAGGCAGGGAGGTTGCAGTGAGCCGAGATGGCAGCAGTACAGTCCAGCTTCGGCTCGGCATGAGAGGGAGACCGTGGAAACAGAGGGAGAGGGAGACCGTGGGGAGACAGGAGAGGGAGAGGGAGACCGTGGGGAGACGGGAGAGGGAGAGGGAGAGGGAGAGAAAACACAGCCTCTTGACACCTTCTTCTGCCTTCTTCCCTCGGCTGAGGGCCCACCTAAAACATGCAGTCTCCTGACCCATGGAAACTGTGAGATAATAAATATGTGTCATGTTAAGCCACTAAGTTTATGATAATTTTCTACATGGTACAGAAAACAAATTCATTGCCCCTTCTTTGCGTAGATGGGAAGAGGAACCACCTTTACATATTCCTTTCTCCCCAACTCCTTTCTCCCTTCTCCTTCCCTACAATCCTTCCAATTGGACAGGCAGACTTTTCCTTCCTTAGTACAGCCAGACCTGTGGCCTTACTGCCATGTGGGAAGGAGTCTTTTCTCAACAATTCCAAAGATGTACATGATTTGAGACCTCCAGGTGTAAAATGACTGTGCTCTGAATACCCTAGCATGATTTGGAATTGAAGATAACTGAGGATTAATATGGTGGTTTGCCATTCCCCAAATACTATCCCCCTTACACGTTATGAAGATGCAGATGTTATATATGATTACAGCAAATGCTGCAAGTGGTGGTCTGAACAAGGAGCAAAACAAGTTTTACTCCTTGACATTTTCTGAGTAGATGCTCAAACTTACTAATCCAAATTTATTTATTTCACTAATATTGTCTATTCCAAATTAATTTATTTCACAAATATTGTCTCAACTTTCTGTTACTGGTTGTCAACATAGACTTAGTATTGGCAAATCATCTACTCATATTTGTGAAATGTGTGTCCATTACCAGGGGCCACTAGGCTATGTGTTAAGGCCAGTTAGAAGCCACAAGAATCAAAGCAACACTTTAAACTGGAGGGTCAATTTTATTTGAAGATTGTTAGAAAAAGCTAAGTACTTTTGATTTGTAATTCATTTTATTATTTTTTTGAGCTGGGATCTTGCTCTGTTGCCCAGGCTACAGTACAGTGGCATGATCACGGCTCAATGCAGCCTCAACCTCCCAGGCTCAAGCAACCATCTCACATCAGCCTCTTGAATAGCTAGGATCACAGGCACACCACCACACCTGGCTAATTTTTTTTTTTTGAATTTTTTTTTTTTTTGTAGAAACACGGTCTCACTGTGTTGCTCAGGCTGGTCTTGAACTCCTGGGCTCAAGCGATTCTCCACCTCTGCCTCCCAAAGTGCTGGGATTACAGGTGTGAGTCACCACTCCTGGCTCAATTTGTCATTTAAAGCTTATTTGTAACATTTAAAAGGAACAGTGATCGGTTGTGGAGGTGAATGGGATCATGCATGAAATTTCGAGACAAAACAAGTGTTTTCAGAGAATTTATAGGCTTGATTTAGCCTGTGCCACAGAACTCAGGGGCCATGTGACCACTCCCTTCTATCATTGGCAATCCATTTGGGGATTAGAAGACCATTACCTAATCACATGTAGAAAATGGATAGGGGAGAGAGAAAGGAGGAAGAGGTATCAGGGTTTATGAGAAGAATCCAAAAATTGGTGGTGTTAGGGGTCTACTCCCATGGTAGGAGCACCAAAGACCCAAGGCTGGTTGGGTTAAAGTCATAGAATCATAGCACATTTGAACTAGAAAGCTTTAGTTAGTCAGTTTTTAGATGTGTAAATGGTACTATGTTTTTATTTGTACATTATTTTCACATATTCAACTAGAGGTACAGTCCCTCAAGGAGGACTGGGATTTTTATAGTTGGGATATGAAGAGAATTAAGAAGTCAATGTTAAGATTTTGACAACCAGAATTCACTCTCAATGCCCATTTCAGGAATAGTAGTTGGGAAAGCCACACATTGAATTGCAAGAGCCAGACACTTGAGAGAAAAAATAGCATATTTTTCAAATTCCCAAAGCTTTTCTTTAAATATTTAGTAACAGAGCTTGGAGGACCAAGCATAAATTTTTTACTATAAACCAAAAAGCTAGAAGAATGTAGGATATGACAAATTCAATTTCCTGCCACACAGGAAGGCAATTTTAAACTTTCTGAAGTGGGAAGAAGAGCTTGGAGGGAGAGGAGAGGAGAGAGCAAGAAAAGGCAAATGACCCTGGGAGAAGGTGAGCATTGGACACTCCCTAGGCAGGTTTGAGGGTGAGAGGAGAGAGGAAATGTCTATGCCATACCCTGACTGAAACTCTGTGGGGATGGAGCTCATCAAACACCCTGGGCCTATGCAATAAGATAATTAAGTTAACATTTAAAATCTTGTGTGATCTTTCAGCCCTGAATTCTGTGATGATAAATCTTCCTACGAAGATTGGATGCATATTTTGGAAATCTAGAATACTGGCTTTACTGAAAATTTTTTTGAGTTTCTTCTGATTGTGAAATGTTTGTCACATTGGGGTTATGAGCACTGCAGAGAGGTGTGAGGTAGTGATCAGTATTCCTCTGCTCACAGCCCCTTTTTCTACTGTGGGCTGAGGGTGGGTCATCAGCTTTCACAGATGACCTCTGTGAAATTCTGTGAGAACTCTGACAGCATGAGCTGTTGGGTTTCCTTCTTCGTGCTTATAAAGTAATTAGGAAGAAAAACCAGTGACCAGTGGAAGACAATCCCAAAGGGGAGACCCATATGAACTGCCGGTAATTGCCTCATCTTATACTTCATTTTTAAAATGGGTTTTATTGCAATATAATCCACATACCATACAATTCAACCAAGGGTACAGTTCAATGGTTTTTAGTATATTCATAGATGTGCAGTTATCACAACTTTAGAACATTTTCATAACACCCAGAGGGAGCCCCGTAATGCTTTAGCTATAATTTTTTTCCTCTCCTTGACCCACCTCCCCCAACCCTAGGCAACTAATAATCTACTTTATTTGCTTAAATTGAATTAAATTTATTTATTTAATTATTTTATTTATTTTATTTTTTTAGAAACAGGGTCTTCCTCTGTTGCCCAGGCTGGAGTGCAGTGGTGCAATCACAGCTCCCTGTAGCTTCAAACTCCTGGGCTCAAGTGATCCTTTTGCCTCAGCCTCCTGAGCAGCTAGGACTCCAGTGCCATGCCACCATGCCCAGCTAATTTTAAAAAATATTATAGAGATGGGGTCTTGCTATATTGCCCAGGCTAGCCTCAGGCTCCTTGGCTCAAGCAATCCTTTCACGTTGGCATCTCAAAGCACTGGGATTATAGGTATGAGACATTATGCCTGGCCTACTTTCTATCTCTATAGATTTTTCTGTTCTGGACATTTTATACTTAGGAATCATATAATATGCAGCCTTTTGTGACTGGATTCTTTCACTTAGCATAATATTTCAATGTTGTAGCATCCATCAGAACTTTATTCCTTTTTATGGACAAATAATATTCCATTGTATAAATATGGCACATCTTGTTTATCCATTTATCAGATATGAACATTTGGATTGTTTCCTCCTATACTACATTTTGTGTGTCCCCTAGCATCTGAGGTTTTACTACTAAGCTCCTAACAATGAGACCTACTTCCCTTTTCTGAAAACATAGGTGGACTAAGAAACCCTGTTCCCTCTGGAATTCAGACAAATCAAATTATATATGTGTTGAGTGACACTTGAGGTAATGCCAAAGACAGAGGCTTAGAGAGTACCTTGCAGTGGTTTGTAATGATGGTGATCCAGGCAGAACCTGAGAGGTTCAGGGTCTGACATTCCCTCAAAGGTGATCAGGCTCAGGAGGCCTGACTCACATCAAACTCAACTGAAACCCCAACCTAAACCCAAACCACCTTAGAAACCAGGAAGCTAATTTATAATTTTATAATATTTCCAAACAGACCTGGAGGCCAGAGTTGGCTGATTTACATATGACCTTCCTGTAGGGAAGAGTACAGGAGATGTCAGGTTACTATCAGATAATTGCCTTGCAGTGCAGGCATAAGGGACCGGATAACTTTAAAGAATTGACATTTAAGCCATAACAGTTGGACATGCTTCCATATATGCCTGATAAGCTTTCTTCTGGTCATGACACTGCTTCTCAATAGTACTGGATAAACACTGACCACCTCTTGCCATTTTCACCATCTCCTTCTTCTCATTCCAAGTTGAGCACTAGCCTTTTATGTATGCTGAAATTTTAGAACACAATTATTTAGAACAGTAATTTCCAAAAACATTTTGGGGAGTGCTAATCCCATATATATTTATTTATAAATTATATACATGCACTAAAATTTATTTGTATATTAATTTATATGTTCAATGAAAGTTTATTTCTATAAATATTTATTTTTTCCAAAGTCAACTAAAGATGGATATTTCTATAAATAAATAAATAAGTAAATAAATAGTCTTGTTCCCCCCATTTAACGATCTCTGTTTTGGATTTTGTTGTTGTTGCTGTTCTTGCATTAAATCCATCTCAGGTCTACAGTTCTATTTTAACCATCTGATCTTTTGGTTGGGTTTACTTTCATTTGTACCAGCCTTAGAAGCCCATCTTTTAAGGGAGGTTATTTAGAAGAGGGCAGAAGGGCTACCTCATCTGTTTTATATTGATTCCGTTAGTTTCAATTTTAGCTGAGGTGACATTTTTTGTTCATCTCCCGAGATTCCAGAGAGAAGCCCACTGCAGCCTTCTAAGCACTGACTGAAACCTTGCAGGGGAGTTATATTACGGACTTAGGCTTCTCTGAGAAGAGAAATGGTAGGAGATGAGTGTCTGGAGTGGGTGGGGAGAGTTACTTCTAGCCTAGCAGAAATGTGGGTTAATGGCACCAAGATGGTGAAATTGGGGGTAGTAAAAGAACATGAGAATTGGCAAGAATGATGGAGAGCCAATGCTCATTAGCAGTTAGCCTGTTGGAAGTAGGCACTGTGTTCTGCCTTTGAACTACACTCAGTAATGGACTGTGGAGATGCTCAGAGAAATTGAAGTGAAGCTGGATCCCCTAGAGCACAGAACATGATGGTTCCAGAAAATTATCTGGTCATAAATGAGAGACACCAGTAAATTAGAATTTGGGTACTCTAGAGGGAAGAGTTTTGGCTTAAAAAAAGAATGAGTTGGGTTTCCGATGAAAAGGAACCTGCTTCCTGGGAGACCAATGTTGCTAAATGAGAGAATTCTACCCTTGGACGGTTTTTAAAGTTGCAAATTGGAATAACCTGGGAAGCCATAAAAATGCTGGTGCCTGAGTCTCAGTCCTAGACTTTCTGATTTCATCCATTTGAGACGAGGTTTGGCCACTGAGATTAAAACAACCACATACAGAAAACCTCCAGATGATTCTAATGTGCAGCCAAGGTTGGGAACCATTGCACTAGAGGATGGAAGAATGGAGTGGCCTAAGGAAATTAGAGGAGGAAGCTTGGGGAGGAAGTGGAGGGACCTGAACAGCCTAAGTAATCCTAGAAGGCTGAACCTCAGAGCCTTTGTGACTTCATCCGCCTCACTCCCATAGACACTGGAGAAGGGATTCACAAAGAAAAGGAAACAGGAAAAGCCTGGGATTTCTACTGCATGTCAGGAAAGTGACCATGAAACTGAGTCGTGGAGCCTTCTGTTTAGGAGCTGACCTCCGTCTTGGTTGCAACTGCAGGTGTTACTCAATAATTCCCTTGCAAGCCCAGTGCTGGAAGCAGCAAAAGTCCTCCATAATTGGTGTCTCTTATTGGGTCCGTTGCCTTCTCTCCCTTCTCTGCACCAAGCCCCCCACCCCCACCCTAGCCTCTGTGTACAGGGAGCCCTCCAGCCCAACCATGGATTTCTCTTCAATTCTACCATTTTCCAGGCATGAGAAGGAAGGGGAGGGAATGACTTCCTTTGGCCTAGAAATATCTGGGAGAATATGCTATACGGTCCTTGAGCAGACACAAAAGAGAATATTCTGGAGCTGCATTTTCCAAAGTATGTTTCTTAGATGCTGGATCCTCAAGGTGTTCCTCCCTGTGTCCGCGCAAGCTTGGGAAATGCAGCAGGCTTCCGCGCCCTCGTTGAGATTCACACTGCCTGTGAGTAGAGTAAATGCTTTGAGATCTGGAGAAAGAAACCTGTTTGTTTTTCTTTAACCCTCACATCCCCAACTCATCTGGCCATGGAATTGTTTTTTTCTGCTTAACACATTAACATCTTGCCTCTTTCTCATGACACTTTTGGGAAACTGCCTCAGAAGCTACAATCAGTGGCTTCATTCACAAAGGACAAAGAAGGCAGCTGCATCCTGCACACATGAAACGGGGCAAGAACTCCAGTTAGGCCCTGGCCTCTCTTGGTAATTGTGCCCTTTTTCCACCCCCTCTGCAGCACCCCCTTCCCGTTGCCATGGCAACGCCCCAGAGAGTAAGGACCAGGTCTTCTATTTCTTTCTTACATCCCTTCTCCTCACCCTGCTCTGTGTCTAGAAGAGAGCTGAACACGCAGTAGGTAATGTTTGCAAAATTTGATTGATTGAGGGTTTGGGGGGTTTCATTTGGGCCATCTGCAGGTGGGCTGGGTAGCAGAAGAAGGCCTCCCATGGTTTGCTTCTATGTATCTGGGTAGAGGAGTTGGAAAAGACGGTGGGAGAGTGCAGGTCTGGGAGCTCACACAGCTTTGGCACTGCCTGTTTTTTTTTTCGTTTTGTTTTTGTTTAATGCTACAATAATAAATATTTCACAAATTAGGAATGGTGAAGGGCATGACAAAAAAAGAAAACGTTTTGATTTCTTGGTATGTCAGGGTTCAGGGGTAAATTTTTCTTTCCATAAAATGTCTGGTCATGTTGCTTGTTATAATTTTTTTTTTTTTTTTGGTAACAAATAATTTCCTTTTAAGTTGGAGGAAAAAAGAGAATGTCTTACTTTTGCCTATGTCTCTAAATGGTGACCATATTTTCAAAGCTCCAAACCAGGACACAGAGCCTGATACACAGCCTTACAGGACATTTGAAATGGGGGGCTGCCAGGACAGAGTATTTGGAGTGGAGGTATCTGGCCTCCTAGCTGCTGTGCCCAATGCCTTAGGAGTAACATCATTTCTAAATTACAGATGCAGTGAGGCCAATTTGGATATCCAGTGGGGAAACCTGGGGACCATATATGTTCTAAATTGATATCTGCCTATCTATCTAACTATCTATCTATCTATCTATCTATCTATCTACCATCTATCTATATTTTTCTATTTATTGCCAGAAAGTCAAGAGCAGCCTTCCCAGAGGACAAGACAACAACAAAACCTACAGAAATTCTCTCTAGGGTCTCAGTACATGCAAGATCTGGCTCTTTGCTGCCTGTGTGGCTGCCCAATCCCAGCCTCAGCAATGTCTGAATGAAGGGTTTGTGGGCATCTGCATGATGCAAGCCATGAGCTGGGGAGCCGCACAGTATGGGTTCTGTCTTCTGGCTGGCTGAAAAGGCTTCTCAGGCTCTGAAAGTACCAATTCTTCAGGCATGAGTGCTGGTGGAGGATTATCTTTTAAATCAGCTGGTTCTTATTTTCTTAAGTGTGAAAGAAGGAGGGTGGTCAGGAGTGTGTTTGCGTATGTGTGTGTGTGACAGGCCAACATTAGTATAGTATCTGCCATGTGCTGAGAACTTTATGCAAATCTTGTATATAATTGCCATCTATCTATAGATATGTATAGATATATATATAGATGTATATAGATATTTGTGGATGTAGGTATATCTAGAGATAGATAGCAATTTATATATGTTTTATATATATTAGATATATAGCTATATATATTTCAGATATATATCTGAATGTATATCAATATATCTATACACATCAAGTTATTTTATTTTTACAATACTCTTTTAATGCTGATAAACAGAAAAGAAAATGGGCTGGGCACAGTGGCTCATGTCTGTAATCCCAACACTTTAGGAGGTCGAGGAAGGAGGATTACCTAAAGCCAGGAGTTTGAGACCAGCCTGGGCAAAATGGTGAGACTCCCATCTCTACAACAATTTTTTTTTTTTTTAAAGAGAGAGAAAAAAGGAAATAGAGGCTGAAAGTGGGAAAAAAGAAGGCTTACTTTGGTCACACAGTGGGAGAGCAGCTGAGACTTGTTTGGGAACTGGCTCAGGTCTGTCTGAACCAAAGAGTTCTCTCCATGTCACCATCTTCCCTGCCATTTCAACCTTTAGAATACTAAGGACTAAGGCAGGAATGAGACTGAAAATATGGGCCAAGGATAGTGCAGCAATCCCAATGCCTTCCTGAAATTTCCAATTGAAAATCCTACTCTCCAGGCACTGTGGCTCATGCCTGTTGTCTTGACAGTGTGGGAGACAGAGGCAGAAGGATCAGTTGGGGTCAGGAGTTCACTACCAGCCTGGGCAACATAGCAACACCCTGTCTCTACAAAAAATAAGAAAGAAAAAACAAATCCTACCTTCCTTCCACACCACACTTCCTGTCCTTCCTTCCTTCCTTTTTTCCTTCCTTCCTTCCTTCCTCCCTCCCTCCCTCCTTCCCTCCCTTCCTTCCTTCCTTCTTTCCTTCCTTCCTTCCTTCCTTCCTTCCTTCCTTCATTTTTCCTGGGTCTTCTTCATGGCATAATCCTGGACCTGGACTCTCCTCTCTTTCTCCACAGTCACTTCCTAGATTATTTTACCCATTTCCAAGGCTCTACATACCATCTCTACAGTCTGATAACTTGGAAATTTTTATTTCTTGCAAAGATTTCTGTCTTCCATACTTCAAATCTATGTGTAAAATCATATATTCAACATTTGCCTTTGGATGACTCATAGTCGTTTACCCAAATATGGCCCAGATGGAATTTATGACCCATTCCTCGGCCTGCTTCTTTGAGTTTTCTATCAGCAAATGAAGTCCATGCCCCAAGTTTCTCACACCGGAAACCTTAGGGTGTTTCTTGATGGCGGCCTCCTTCTCATCCCCACATTCAATGAGTCCCCAGATACTGTCTGCTTTACCTCATAAATCTGTCCAGAACCTGTATTCTTTTTATTTTAATGAGATGATTTATTTATTGGGCAACTAATGTGAGCTAGGTACAGCTTTGGTAAAGGTATTTGAACTGCCTAAAAGCCCAGGCAGGTAGGGATGGTTTTCTCTATTTTCAGGTGAGAAAACAGAGGCTAAGAGAGGTCTGTTACTCTCCCAGCATCACATAGCTATTCATTCAAGCCTCTTGTTCTTTTCAACACATTTCGATATCTACCCTTGAAGGCCCTCCATAAAGAACTCAGGTCCCAAGTTCTCAAGAAGGTCCTAGTAGTTCAGAAAGACATTTCTGGAAGCTTCTGGATTAGAAGTAGATGCCAGAGCTGTGCAGGAACTCTAAAAGGGGGTGAGGGACAGGAGGTGGGTGAACAATGGAGCCTGGAGAATCATCTAGGCAATTCTGACAGTAGTTATTCTTGAAAGAAGAAAAGAATCGGGCTCTGAGGATATTGCAAATATGGAGAATTACTAACATTGGCCTGGGCAGCGATGGTTGTCACCTTGTAGAGCAAGACCTGGTTACTGACATGCTGGACAAGTTTCCTAGGGGGAAGAGTGGGGAAGGAAGTACTTACACCTTCCTTGGAATGCTTTCTGGTGTGCGAAGCCAGCTAATAGTCGATAAAAATTAGGGAGGCTGTGAGACTTGTTTCCATTTTAATTGGTCTTGACCCTTGGCAGTGATAGTCACCCAATCTGTCTCTTAAAATATTTTTTTCTTACGCTTTGCCAGTTTATAGCCTTTATAGATCAATCTTTATATTTCATGTAGGGGAGAGAGACAGAGAGAAAAAAGCAAGGTTATTGATGACCTAAACTGGATTAGCAGAACCTGTATTCTTTTTTTTTTTTTTTTTTTTTTTTTTTTCTGAGACAGAGTCTCGCTCTGTCACCTAGGCTGGAGTGCAGTGGCACGATCTCAGCTCACTGCAAGCTCCGCTTCCCATGTTCATGCCATTCTCCTGCTTCAGCCTCCTGAGTAGCTGGGACTATAGGTGCCCGCCAACTCGCCCAGCTAATTTTTTGTATTTTTAGCAGAGATGGGGTCTCACCGTGTTAGCCAGGAAGGTCTTGATCTCCCGACCTCGTGATCCACCCACCTTGGCCTCCCAAAGTGGTGGAATTACAGGCGTTAGCCACTGTGCCCGGCCAGAACCTGTATTCTTATGCCCACATTCATCAGCTTAGTCTAGGCCACTATTATTTCTCACTTTAGTTAGGAGGTATAATAACTTCCTAACTAGACTCTTAACATTCATTTTTGCCCTCTTTCCAGTATATTCAGCATACAGTAGTCAAAGTAATCCTTTAAAATGTACATTTGATTATGTCAGGCCACTGTCTACAATCTTCTAGTAGCCTCTCATTAGATTTAGAATCAAGTTTAAAATTATTTCCATATTCTGCAGGGGGATGATATTCAAAATATTTACTCCCCTATACAGCAGAAGCACAAACCAATTAGAACTGATGTTAATTTCGGTGCTGGAGCAAGATTTGGAGATGGGTGCCTGTGGTGCTGGTGTCACCTCTTTAATCCCAGGGAGTCCAAGGGGCTTCTGAGAAGGGCCACAGCAGCAGGGAGTCGGGAAGTGTCATCCTATTTGTTGTCAGCATTCAGTTTAGAAAACAAAAATCACCCTAGGTATTTCAAACACAAGGGTAATCAGGAAATCTGTTACACAGATGCCTGGATATGAATAACTTCAGGAAGCAGCTACCATTCCTAGGACTGAAGCAATTAAAAGGGAAGAGGTGGGGCCAGAAAGTAGCAACTCAGAGGAGAGACTCCTGCCTACTGGTCCTGGCACCTCAGGTGGGACACGGTGGGGCTGGTGATGGGTGTGACAAAAGCGGCACAAGTCTGGAGGAGCTGCCGTGTGCTGTGGGAGTGACAGGAACTGATATTTTTGCACTCTGTACATCCAGCCCATTGTATATTAGCTGACTGGTAGCCCTGCCTCCAAGGATGCCTTGGCCTGCCTCCTCCAGCCCCTTCTGTCTCCTTTTACTGCACAACCTCCCTTGCTCATTGTGCTCCAGTCACACTGGCTTCTTTTCATGTCCTTGGACAGGTGAAGCTCTTCCTGCCTCCAGTCTGTCACTCTCATTGTGTACTCTGTCTTCTGTTTACCTATTGCTATATAAATGACCACCCCAAACTTAGTGTTGGAAAACAACTGTAATCATTTATTTTGTTCACGCAGCTGCAATTCGCAGGGATTGGAGGGAAGGCTCGTCTGCTCCATGCAGCATCACCTAGGGTGGACTGACTAAGGGTCACAGCATCCCCTCAAGGCAGTTCCCTCATGTGGCTAAAAATCTGCTGCTGTCAACTCAGCCACGGCTTAGGCCTGGGGTCTCAGTTCATTCCACAGGGGCCTGTCCATGTGGCTGGGTTCCGAGGGTGAGCTTCTAGGAGAGGAGGCTGATTGGAAGCTGCATCACCTTTTATGACCTACCTCCAAAGTTAAACGACATCATTTCAAATATGCTTTCTTGGTTAAAGCAGTCACAAAGATCTGTCCAGGGACAGAAGGAAGGGACATGGACTCTGGCACTTGATGGAGGAGGGGCAGGTTCCAGAAGGGCATGTGGGGCAGACTATGGTTGTGACTAGTTTTGGAAAATACAATCTGCCACTCTTTTTTTAACTAGTCATTTCTGAGAGTCTAGTTTAAACTTCACCCATTTCTCTAGGTTAGGTACCCCAGACACAAATACAATCAAGGCATTCCTCTCCTCCTTTGTGGCTCTTATCATAATTTCACAATATACAGTAATTTATGTAACATTTTTGTTTATTGTCTTTTGTTTCTTGTCTGTCTTTACTTTAGACTGGAAGCTTCTGAATCTAAAACCATGTCTTCCTTATTTGGCCCTAATCTGCAGTACTTGTTTCATCACCTGGCATGCAGCAAGTGCTAAATAAAATCTCACTGAATGAATACTGTAATAAATGTTGAGCAAAATCTGCCCCCTCCCCTCCAAACAAATCATGAATTCAAGTCGTATTTGGTCATAACTTCATCACGAACTCATGCATTAAATGACCGCAAATAGAAAGGAATGGTAACACAAATTTCAGTTATGACTTTGTAAATAGCTAAAAATTTCTTGACTTAATTTCACTGTTGTTGATAGATGTTCAGTACAGAAAACCATATATTCATGTGGGCATTCCTCCCAAAAAAAGCTCTTTTCAAACCAGAGAGAAGTTTCATTTGAGAGGCTGTTGGCCCAAACAGCCTGATTATCACTCACAGGGCTGATATAGTAATCTTCAGCCAGGGGGAGTCTGGCAATATCACAGAAAGGACAATTTCTCTCCTTGACTTGTAAACTGTTCACCTTCAGGCTGAGTGTGGTGGCTCAGGTCTATAATTTCTGCACTTTGGAAGGCTGAGGTAGGAGAATCGTTAGAGTCTAGGAGTTCAAAACCAGCCTAGTGAGACAACATAATGCAACATAGTGAGACCCCATCTCTAAAAATTTTTTTAAAAAATTAGCCAAGCATGGTGGTGCATGCCTGTAGTCTCCACTAATTGGGAGGTTGAGGTGGGAGGATTGCTTGAGCCTGAGGATTGCTCGAGGCTGCAGTGAGCCATAATTGCGCCACTAAGCTTCAGCCCAGGCAACAGAGGGAGACATTGTCTCAAATAAAATAGAATAAAATAAAATAATTAAATTGTTCACTTTTGGTCAGAGACTTTGAACATCAAATCAAATAAAAATATTAGTAATTTATTCAAACTCAGAATCCTAAGATGTTAGAGAAGCCACTGCTGTCGTTTATGAGGTGGGGGCAGGGATGAGACGGAGGAACTGGTGGAATGGAGAAGGGGGTTCGGGTGGGGTTCTGGGTGGAATATTAATACTGGTTAAGGACAAGCTTCCTCCCAGGTGCTTTACATGTGTGATTTCATCTCAACCTTACCATAGTCCTGTGAGGTAGGTAGGGCCATCCCCATGTGAAAGATGAGAAGATCAAGGGTGCAAGTGGTTCAATACTGCGCCCACAGTGACACAGTTCACAAATGGATGTGTTAGGATTCCTTCTTCAGTTCTCAGTGGTTCCCCAGCCCACATAATTCCTACTGCACCAAAAATGCAGGTTCAATTTAAGAGATGTCAACAAGCTGTTTTTGGGGGCTCTCAGGTACACCAAGAACTGAGCAAACAGTGGCCTAATAGGGACCACATATACTTCCTCCATTTGCTGATATGGGTTTGATATGGGCCCAGTTCTTCCAAATCCTAAAATTATAAGAAAATAGGGATATCAGTGGCAGAATAAATTGGTATATTTCAGAATGTCAATTTTCCAAAATGTAGTAAGAGACTCAAAAATCTTTTTATCCTAGAATTCCACAATTCTTCAAGGAAAATATATAATCAAGATCATGCACGAAGCCAGGTGCAGTGGCTCATTCATGTAATCCCAGCACTTTGGGAGGCCTAGGTGAGGGGAATGCTTGAGGCCAGGTGTTTGAGACCAGCCTGGGAAACGTAGTAAACCCCATCTCTACAAAAAATAAAAATTAGCCTGGTGCGGTGGCATGTGTCCATAGTCCCAGCTACTCGGAAGGCTAAAGTGAATGTATTGCTTGAGCCCAGTTCGAGGTTGTTGAATTCCAGATAAGGATGGCCATTGTAGTTATACCTACAAAATAAAAAAGAAAAAAGGAAGGCAGGAAATCCAGTAAGGGATTTAAAAAACTGTGGTATTTTTATATAATGGAATGTTATGCAGCCTTTACAAATCACTCTTTGGAAAAAACATATAACATAATAACAAGGAAATGCTGAAGATATATTTTTAAAGTGCAAAGAAAAAGCATATACTCTTATTCAAGCTTGGCTACTTTATCCTTCCCTTGCTACCCCACAGTAGAGCTAAGATACAGCTCTAGCATTTGACTGGACCATATTATAGGTTTAGGGAAAATGAAAAATACAAACAGAAAGAGTAATAAGAACTAGAAAGGCTGGCCTGTGAATCGCAGGTTATTCATATTCAGCTGTGACTCCATAAGGAGATGCCTCTTTCTCTGACCCTGGTGATGGGCAAGGGGCATGGTTAAGCCTCTGATAGGAGAGTATCTTTGGGAGTGAGAAATAACCAAGTCTCCTCATCTGCCCAAAAGGCCCATATTCCAAGTTTCAGCCTCCTGTCTGCCCACCTACCTCTTCCTGAATTATCAATACAGGGAACACCCAGCTTGTCTGGAGAGGACCACAGGACTATAGATTGGAGGTGCCAAGAGATCAAACAGCATCAGAATGGGCACATGAAATACAAAAACTACTTTTAGTATATACCAATATAAAAATCTTGTTTCCCCCAGGTAAATGGAAGGAAGCATCAAATCAAACAAATCAAGACTATAATCTGAAAGGCTAGAGCTTTGAATTGTGTTGATTTCTAAAAGAATGGCTTGTTAGCTCAAAGTAGCAAATAATTAATGGAAATTCTGTGTCCTCCCTTAAGAGTCTAGACCAGCACTAGTCCAATAGAAATATAATAAAAGCACCTATATAATTTAAATTTTTTTAGTAGGCACATTTAAAAAGTAAAAAGAAACAGGTGAAACAAATTTTGTATTATATGCAATTAATAACATGTTATTTAACCCAACATATCAAAAATATCACGTTATCATATAACATAATGAATTATTAATGAGATATTTTATATTCCTTTTTGGCATCAAGTCTTGGAAATCTGGAGTGCATCTTACATTTATAACGTATCTTAATTTGGACTGGCCACATTTCAAGTGCTTGGTAACCTTGTGGGGCTGTGGCTACATGTTGAATACCAGGTCTGGACTCTAAAATAAACCTAAATAGAAATTGGAACTAGAGGATCATGGCGGATGGGAGGCAGGACTAGATTGCACCTCTGGAGAGAGCAGCGTGTGGAGGCTTGCATTGTGAATTTTAGCTCCGGATTGACTGCAAGAACAAACCAGCAATCCCGAGAGGACCCACAGACCCTCTGAAAGAGGTGGACTACTCCTGCAGGACCGGGGAGACACTCCAAATACTGTGAGTGCCCCAACTGCAGAAGTGGGAAAGGTAGACCCTCTTCTCCCGAAAGCACACCCCCATTGGAGAAGCTGAAAGTTTGTTTGCGGGAGAAGTTTCCGACTTTACCTGGAACTGAGTCAAGTTAGACAGCTGAGCAAAATACAGGGGTAGAGGAAGCAGCAGAAAAGCCCTGGGAGCTCGCTGGGTCCCCAAGCAGCCAATTCCTGACTGGCACCACGGGGATCCATAGGGAGGGCGGCCAGAGGGGCAGGTGGTAAAACTCCACAGGGAGAAAGAATTCTCTAGCTGAACTTTGTAACAATTGGAACGGGCGGGAAGCCTCCTGGCCAGAACTCGGGGGAGGGTGCAAATCTGGAGTACAGACTTCATAGGCAGGGGAAGAACTTAAGCCCTTTTTTTCCCCCACAGCTTGGAGACAGATAGCCTCAGGCAAGTTTTCAAGCCCTTCTCGCCCTCTACCTGGAAATATACTCAGGGATACTGGTTGGGGGTCACGGTGGAAGTAATACTGGCCGTTCAGTTTGCATGGGAGCTGGGTGAGGCCTGTGACTGCTGGCTTTACCCTGCTTCCCTGACAACCTGCAAGACTCAGCAGAGGCAGCCATAATCCTCCTAGGTACACAACTCCAGTGACCTGAGAATCTCACCTCCATCCCTGACAGCAGGTGCAACAAGATCCACCCAAGGAGAGTCTGAGCTCAGACACACCTAGCCCTGCCCCAACCTGATGGTACTTCCCTATACACCCTAGTAGTGAAGACAAAGGGCATGTAATCTTGGGAATCTAGGGCCCAGCTCACCGCCGGTTCCTCTTCACACTACTGCAGTTAATGCTTTCTGGAAAGCACCACCTCCTGGCAGGAGGCCAACCAGCACAAAAATAGAGCATTAAACCACCGAAGCTAAGGACCCTCTCAGAGTTCATTGCACCCTCCAACACCTCCACTGGAACAGGTGCTGGTATCCATGACTGAGAGACCCATAGATGGTTCACATCACTGGATTCTGTGCAGACAACCCTTGGTACCAGCCTAGAGCCAGGTAGACTCGCTGGGTGGCTAGATTCAGAAGAGAGACAACAGTCACTGAAGTTCGGCTCACAGGAAGCCACATCCATAGGAAAAGGGGAGAGTACTACATCAAAGGAACACCCCGTGGGACAAAAGAATCTGAACAACAGCCTTCAGCCTTAGACCTTCCCTCTGACAGAGCCTACCCAAATGAGAATGAATCAGAAAACCAACCCTGGTAATATGACAAAACAAGGCTCTACAACACCCCCAAATAATCACACTAGTTCACCAGCAATGGATCCAAACCAAGAAGAAATTTCTGATTTACCTGAAAAAGAATTCAGGAGGTTAGTTATTAGGGTGATCAGGGAGGGATCGGAGAAAGACAAAGCACGATGCAAGGAAATCCAAGAATAATAGAAGAAGTGACGGGAGATATATTCAAGGAAATAGATAGCTTAAAGAAAAAACAATCATAAATTCAGGAAACTTTGGACATACTTTTAGAAATGCGAAATGCTGTGGAAAGTCTCAGCAATAGAATTGAACAAGTAGAAGAAAGAAATTCAGAGCTCAAAGACAAAGTCTTTGAATTAACCCAATCCAACAAAGACAAAGAAAAAAATAATAAGAAAATATGAACAAAGGCTCCAAGAAGTCTGGGATTATGTTAAACAACCAAACCTAAGAATAATCAATGTTCCTGAAAAAGAAGAGAATTCTAAAAGCCTACAAAATATATCTGGGGGACTAATTGAGGAAAACTTCCCTGGCCTTGTGAGAGACCTAGACAACCAAATAAAAGAAGCACAAAGAACACCTGGGAAATTGACTGCAAAAAGATCTTCACCTAGGTACATTGTCATAAGGTTATCCAAAGTTAAGATGAAGGAAAGAATCTTAAGAGCTGTGAGACAGAAGCACCAGGTAACCTATAAAGGTACATCTATCAAATTAACAGCAGAGTTCTCAGCAGAAACCCTACAAGCTAGAAGGGATTCGGGGCCTATCTTCAGCCTCCTCAAACAAAACAATTATCAGCCAAGAATCTTGTATCCAGTGAAACTAAGCATCATATATGAAGGAAAGATACAGGTCTTTTCAGACAAACAAATGATGAGAGAATTTGCCATTACCGCCACTACAAGAACTGCAAAAAGGAGCCCTAAATCTTGAAACAAATCCTGGAAACACATGAAAACAGAACCTCTTTAAAGCATAAATCACACAGGACCTATGAAACAAAAATACAAGTTATAAAGCAAAAACCAAAAACAAAAAAACAAAAGTACACACATAACAAACTTTAAAGCAACAATGGTAAAAAGAGACAAAGAGGGACATTATATAATGATAAAAGGCCTTGTCCAATAGGAAAATGTCACAATCCTAAACATATATGCACCTAACACTGGAGATCCCAAATTTATAAAACAATTACTAACAGACCTAAGAAATGAGATAGAGAGCAATATAATAGTAGGGGACTTCAATACTCCACTGACAGCACTAGACAGGTCATCAAGACAGAAAGTTAACAAAGAAACATTGGATTGTTTCTTGGAGCAAATGGACCTAACAAATATATACAGAACATTTTATCCAACAACCACAGAGTACACATTCAACAGCACATGGAACTTTCTCCAAGATAGACCATATGATAGGCCATAAAATGAGCCTCGATAAATTTAAGAAAATTGAAAATATATCAAGCACTCTCTCGGACCACAGTGAAATAAAACTGGAAATCAATTCCAAAAGAAACCTTCAAAACCATCCAAATACATGGAAATTAAATAACCTGCTCCTGAATGAGCATTGGGTCGAAAACAAAATCAAGGTAGAAATTAAAAAATTCTTTGAACTGAATGATAATAATGACATAACCTATCAAAACCTCTAGGATACAGCAAAGGCAGTGCTAAGAGGAAAGTTCAAAGCAGTAAATGCCTACATCAAAAAGTCTGAAAGAGCACAAACTGACAATCTAAGGTCACACCTCAAGGAATTAGAGAAACAAAAACAAACCAAACCCAAACCCAGCAGAAGAAAGGAAATAACAAAGGTCAGAGCAGAACTAAATGAAATTGAAACAAACAAAAACACACAAATAATAAATGAGACAAAAACTGGTTTTTTGAAAAGATAAATTAAATAGATAGACCATTAGCAAGATTAACCAAGAAAAGAAGAGAGAAAATCCAAATAACCTCACTAAGAAATTAAACAGGCGATATTACAAGTGACACTACTGAAATATAAAAGATAATGCAAGGCTATAATGAACACCTTTACACATATAAACTAGAAAACCTAGAAGAGATAGATAGATTCTTGTAAAAATACAACCCTCCTAGCCTAAATCAGGAAGCACTGGATATCCTGAACAGACCAATAACAAGCAGCAAGACTGGAATGGTAATTAAGAAATTACCAACCAAAAAAATGTCCGGGACCAGATGGATTCACAGCAGAATCCTAACAGACATTCAGAGAAGAATTGGTACCAATCCTTTTGACACTATTCCACAAGATAGAGAAAGAAGGAACCCTTCCTAATTCATTCTGTGAAGCCAACATCACCCTAATACCAAAACCAGAAAAGGACACGTCCAAGAAAGAAAGCTACAGGCTGAAATCCTTGATGAACATAGATGCTAAAATCCTTAACAAAATACTAGCTACCTCAATCCAACAACATATCAAAAAGATAATCCACTATGATCAAGTGGGTTTCATACCAGGGATGCAGGATTGTTTAACATATGCAAGTCAATAAATGTGATAACATCACATAAACAGAATTAAAAACAAAAATCACATGATCCTCTCAATAGATGCAGAAAAAACATTTGACAAAATCCAGTATTGCTTTATGATTAAAACTCTCAGCAAAATTGGCATACAACAGACATGCCTTAATGTAATAAAAAAAAGCCATCTATGACAAACCCACATCCAACATAATACTGAATGAGGAAAAGTTGAAAGCATTCCCTTTGAGAACTGGAACAAGACAAGAATGCCCACTCTCACCACTCCTCTTCACCATAGTACTGGAAGTTCTAGCCAGAGCAATCAGACAAGAGAAAGAAATAAAGGTCAGCTAAATCGATAAAGAGGAAGTCAAATTGTCACTGTTTGCTGATGATATGATCGTCTATCTTGAAAACCCTAATGACTCCTCCAGAAAGCTCTTAGAACTGATAAAAGAATTCAGCAAATTTTCCAGATACAAGATTAACGTATGCAAATCAGTAGCTCTTCTATACATCAACAGCTACCAAGTGGAGAATCAAATCAAGAACTCAACTCCTTTTACAATAGCTGAAAAAAATGAAATACTTAGGAATACACCTAACCAAGGAGGTGAAAGACCTCTATAAGGAAAACTACAAAACAATGTGAAAGAAATCATAGAAGACAGAAACAAATGGAAACACATCCCATGCTCATGATGAGCTGAATCAATATTGTGAAAATGACCATAGTGCCAAAAGCAGTCTACAAATTCAATGCAATCCTCATCAGGATACCTCCAATCATTCTTCACAGAATTAGAAAAAAACAATTCTAAAGCTCATATGGAACCGAAAAAGAGCCTGCATAGCCAAAGCAAGACTAAACAAAAAGAACAAATCTGGAGCATCACACTTCCTGATTTCAAACTTTACTATAAAGCCATAGTCACCAAAACAGTGTGCTACTGGTACAAAAATAGGCACATAGAACAATGGAACAGTATAGAGAACCCAAAAATAAACCCAAATACTTACAGCCAACTGATCTTTGACAAAGCAAACAGAAACATAAAGTGGGGAAATGACTACCCTTTTCAACAAATGGTGCTGGGATAATTGGCTAGCCACATGTAAGAGAATAAAACTGGATCCTCATCTCTCACCTTACATAAAAATCAACTCAAGATGGATTAAGGACTTAAACTGAAGACCTGAAATTATAAAAATTCTAGAAGATAACATTGGAAAATTCCTTCTAGACATTGGCTTGGGCAAGGATTTCATGACTAAGAACCCAAAAGCAAATGCAATAAAACAAAGACAAATAGCTGGGACCTAATTAAACTAAAGAGCTTTTGCATGATAAAAGGAACAGTCAGCAGAGTAAACATACAACCCATAGAGTGGGAGAAAATCTTCACAATCTATACATCTAGTAAAGGACTAATATCCAGAATCTACAACAAACTCAAACAAATCCACAAGATAAAAACAAACAATCCCATCAAAAAGTGGGCTAAGAACATGCATAGACAATTCTCAAAACAAAATATACAAATGACCAACAAACATATGAAAAAATGCTCAACATCACTAATGATCAGGGAAATGCAAATCAAAACCACAAGGCAATACCACCTTACTCCTGAAAGAATAGCCATAATAAAAAATAAAAAAATAGTTGATGTTGCCATAGATATGGTGAACATGGAACACTTCTACACTGCTGGTGGGCATGTAAACTACTACAACCACTATGGAAAATGGGGTGGAGATTCCTTAAAGAACTAAAAGTAGAACTACCATTTGATCTAGCAATCCCACTAATGGGTATCTACCCAGAGGAAAAGAAGTCTTCATATGAAAAAGATACTTGCATACGCATGTGTATAGTAGCAGAATTCACAATCGCAAAAATGTGGAACCAAACCAAATGCCCATCAATCAACGAGTGGATAAACTGTGGTATATATACACAATGGAATACTATGCAGCCATAAAAATGAATGAATTAACAGCATTTGCAGTGACCTGGGTAAGATTGGAGACTGTTATTCTAAGTGAAGTAACTCAGGAATGGAAAACCAAATATCGTATGTTCTCACTGATATGTGGGATCTAAGCTATGAGGATGCAAAGGCATAAGAATGATACAATGAACTTTGGTGACTTGGGGGGAACAGTGGGAGGGGAGTGACGGATAAAAGAATATAAATATGATGCAGTGTATACTGCTTGGGTGATGGTTGCACCAAAATTTCAGAAATCACCACTAAAGAACTTACTCATGTAACCAAATATGACCTGCACCCCAATAACTTATGGAAAAATAAAAAAATTATAAAATAAAATTACCATAAATTAAAAAAAACCTAACTAATATTTATAGAGGTGAAAAAAGGAGCCTATTTAAATATTTGACAATGCTGGATTGGTTAAATAAACAATAATCTATACAATGGAACCTTATGTAGTCATTAAAAATACTGTTTTTTTGTTCGTTTGAGAGTGTCTCACTCTGTTTGTTGCCCAGGCTGGAGTGCAGTGGCACAATCTCGGATCACTGCAACCTCCACCTCCCAAGTTCAAGCGATGCTTCCGAGTAGTTGGGATTACAGGCGTGTGCCACCATGCCTGGCTAATTTTTGTATTCTTTGTAGAGACAGGTTTTTACCATGTTGTCCAGGCTGGTCTCCAACTCCTGACCTCAAGTGATCTGCCTGCCTCAGGCGGCTCCCAAAGTGCTGGCATTACAGGTGTGAGCCACCACACCTGGCCAAAAAAAAAAAAAAAATATATATATATATATACTATTTTTAAAAAAGCAGGTAACCAAATGGACTTTTTGGTACTATTTTTCTAAATCATGTGTTGTATGTGTGTATGTACATAGACCCCCATGTCTCTCTCATTCTGTAGTCCCTTCCCTGCTTCTTTTTTCTTCTTAGCTGAAATCATTCAATTATATAACATATAATATGATACATTTGCCCAGTCATTTGTTCAATTTCTGTCTCCCCCGAGAATACAAAAGCCTATTGTGCATAAAACATATTTCTAGGTCCTGAGTATCAAACACCGAACGAAAATCTAAAATATGCCCCTGTCTGCCTGAGGCTTAATTTTTAGTGAGGGAAGACTGTAAACAAACAACCAAATGAGCAAATCTGCCGTATCATATATAACCTCCCTCCATATTTTATCATCTCATATGTGCTTTAATGAAAAGAGCAACACAGCAAAACAGAAAAGGCCAAGGATGAAGCACAATGAGGGGGGAATGGGGAGCCCCTTTTTTAAGTAGGTGCTGAGGGAGGATTTCATGGCTGCTGTTTAAATAGGGACTTGAACGAAGTGAAGGAGCAAGCCAAGCAGGTATCTGGGGGAAGAGATTTCCAGGCAGAGGGAACGGTAAGTCCAAGGATGTTTACAGAAATGGGAAAGACTGTGAGAAAATGGAGTACTAGCGGGCTGGAATCAAGATTTCAGTGTGGCCATTTTAAAGTTGAGATGCCTTCATCAAAGGACTATATTTAAAAGTATCAACTGGTGTCCAACAGGCTGGTTAATCAGAAGGGATTTTCAATGAATCAGAGCTGATACCACTTATAAACAAACAGTAAGGCCATATTGGAGCCTACCAGGGATGCCTATTAGATGTCCAAGTGGAGATATGTAATTCTGGAGTTCAGGGGAGAAATTTATATCAGGGCTGGAGATACAATATGGGGATTATCAACATATAGGTGGTAATTTTAGGTCCTGGGACTGAAGAGATCACCAAGAAAGTTGGTATAGAGATAAGCAAGTGAAAAGGTTGAGCACTGGGCCAATCTTAGGGTTGGGGAGAGGAAGAACTTGCAAAAGTGAGAAGTGGCCGTGGAGATAGGAGTAAAACCAAGAAAGTTGGTGTGCTGGGAAACAAAAGAAGAACGTGTTTCAAAGAAAGTGGGATAGATGTCAAGTGTTCCTGCAGGATTAAGAAGAGCACTGAGGGCTGACCATTGGATTTGGACATGGGGAGGTCACTGGCCTGGACAAAAGCAGTTTTAGTGGAGTGGCAGGAATGCAAGCCTGCGTGGAGTGTGTTCAAGGCACAACAGGAGCCAGGGAGTCTAGACAACTTTGAAGATTGTGTGCTAAAAAGGAGAGCAGAGAAACAGGGCTGCCGTGAAAGAAGGATGTGGGGGCCACAAAGATTTGTTCATTGTTTGTTTCTTTGTTCTGGATGGGAGAGATTACACTATGTTTGCTTACTGATAGAAATCATTTGGCATGGGGGAACCACTGATTAGGAGCTAATTGCATAATGAATCTCTGAGTAGGTAAAAGAAAATAAAATCAAGCGCAGAATAAACAGTAGGAACATGGTCAGTTCATCCCTTGTACCAGGAGGGAAGGCAGGGTATATAGACACAGATGTGGGGTTGGTAGACTGGTTGGGGAGAATGTGGAAGTTCTCTTTTTACTGATTCAGTTTGCTCGGTGAAATACAAAGCTAGACCATTATAGCTGGAAGGAGCTATGTCAAGGTGTTAAAAGTGGCTCTCTCTAGTAAGTGGAATTACAGGCATTTTTTTTGCTTTAATATTTTAAATTTCTCTCTAATATGATACATCTTTTCTTAATGACAGGCAGCATCTTTAAGTGCCCTCCTTTTCTGCTGCTTATAAGGATGAACCTAACCTGCCACTTACCAGTTGTATGTCTTTGAACTAGTTACTTACATTTTTTTTTAACTTTTCAAAATTTAAAATTTTTATTTTTTAAATTGGCAAATAGTTGTACATACTCATGGAGTACATAGTGATGCTCCAATACATATAATGTATAGTGATCAGATCAGGGTTCTTAAAATATTTGTAATCTCAAAGTTACTTATTTTGGGGGGGTCTTGGTTTCTTATTTGTAAACGGAGATGATAATGTCTGTGCTATTTAGTCCACTGGTCTGGAAGAATCTTAAATGAGAAAATGTATATAAAAATAACTTGAAAGGAACTAGTATGGCATGGATAGAAAATGTTCCTATTGTGGTTATTTCTGGTCTCTGTAGGGAAGTAGGAGGCAGGGGAGGGATCTAAGAATAGGCTGGAATCATCAACTCATTCCTTACAAACTATTCAATAGTGGTAAGAGCAAAAACTACTTTTCTGATTCAGATAGTGCTGCATCCTTTTATCAAACTTTTGACTAATATTAAAAGCTTTGTGTTCAGCCCTGGAAAACAAAACACAAAATATGTTTCCTTTGCTTTTACGTTGAGTTAACTTTATTATTTGACACTCTAAGTTAAAATGTTTCCTAGTGAGCCAGGTTTTTCTTTTTAGCTTTAGATACATTAATTTTGAACATTTACCCACATTTTTGCATTTGAATTCAAAACCAGCCAGAGAATATATAGCTATGATTATTCTTTTGTTATTTTTTCAAATTACTGTGATTGCATTGTTAGATATGCTTCAGCACATGGGTCCTGCTGGCCTGTCATCATTAGACAGATTCATAGAAATCTACTAAATAAAAAATCACAAGATAAAGATAAAACCACTTATTTAAGGCACTTTGTACGAATTAAGTAATGATAGTGGAGTCACATAACTCTTCCTCAAGTATAATTCTGAACTGCTTTTGTGTTTCTTGGCATTTGAATATTTCATTGTCAGCCTAAAGATTATAAAATAAAAAGACAATACCGAGCTTTCACTGTTCTACAATGTGTATACTATTGAAGATAAATGCTTATTAATCTTTGCTTTCAATTTACTTACAGCCCCCCACCCTTTTATGGTAAGAAAGTATAACCCCAGCATTAAAGAACATTTTGAAAAATGAGAAAAACACGACCACTGCATCATCAGAATATAATTATTTTCCCTTTTGTGTGTTCCTGGTTTACCTTTGTCTTTTTATGTACATAGCTTTACATGGTTTCAATCTCAGTATGCGTACAATTTTGAATATAAATTTAGGGTTTCATTTAAAAGAGAATTTTTTCAGGCTACAGCATAATTTCATGTTTCTACCTTTTGTCAAAACTTGACTATGTCAAACAAAGCCTGAGATCAGGAGACCTTGTTAAGACATCTGAAACAACTTCAATGATCTCACTGCTCTGTGCTCCTTCAGGACTGCAGAAATAATTGATCACCTTGGGTACCTAATAAACCCCTCACAGGGCTGCTATGATTTCATTCTGAAGGGGCCCCAGACTTGGAATCATCTTCCATAGAATCATCAGGAATCAAAGGACTCTTCTTCCAGAGCGGGAAATGCCTCTTAGGGGGTGGGTCAGGGACAAGATCTGATGAGTGTCTCCCATGTCTTCTCAGATGGTCCTTAATTAAAATTTTGAGTACTTTTTGGTTTTCATCTTGGTGAAAATCCTATGATCTACCCTGTCTCAGGATAATTACAACAATGAAGCATATTTCATAATTGTTGCTTATTTCCTGTACCGTTATGTTTCCAGTTTGTGGTAGATTGATCGCAAACATGGCCCCAATTTTCCCCCCTTCTTGTATCCATACCCTTTGCAGCATGACTTTACGACTATTCCCCATTTGGAATCTGGGGTGGCCAATGGAATGCATTAGAAGTGATGGAGGATTAGTTCTGAGTTTAGAATTTAAGAGATTGTGCCCACATCCTCTCTCCCTGGTGGAACACTATCTAACTGCCATGTCCACTAGACTGCCTTAGCCTGCTGGAGAATCATGTGGATTAGGAACGAGTCAACCGAACTGAGGCCCAGACCCCAAACCTGCTGACCACACATGCCCGGGGGAGCCCAGTCAAATTTAGCTAAGCCCAGTACAGGTAAGCAGAACTGTCTAGCTGAGAAATCATACCTAATTGCTATTTAAGCAAGTAGGTGTTTTTTGTTGTTGTTGTTGTTTTTTAAGACAGAGTCTCACTCTGTCACCCATGCTGGAGTGCAATAGTACAGTCTCAGCTCACTGAAACCTCTGCCTCCCAGGCTCAAACCATCCTCTTGCCTCAGCCTCCCAAGTAGCTGGGACTACAGGTGTGCACCACCATGCCCCGCTAATTTTTGTGTTTTTTGTAGAGGCAAGGTTTTGCCATGTTGCCCAGGCTGGTCTCAAACTCCTGGGCTCAAGTGATCCGCCTACCTCAGCCTCTCAAAGTGCTGCTATTACAGGTGTGAGCCACTGCGCCCAGCCTACGTTGTTTTTAAAAATTATTTATTCATTTTCCATTTTTTGTTAATGAAACACATTTAATGCCTATGCCCTTTGACCCAGCAATGCCATATCTAGAATTTACAAATATGTATACATTTACACATGTGACATGACAAAGTACAATGACTTTGGTGCACTGTTTATGATAGTAAAATACTAGAAACAGTCTAAAGTGGTTAAATAAGTTATGTGCATTTATTTATTTTATTTGTACAAATTTATGGGGTACAATTGTAATTTTGGTTACACAGATATATTGTGTAGTGGTAAAGTCAGGGCTTTTAGGGTATCTATCAAACAATGTATATTATACCCATTAATTTCTCATCACCCATCCCCTGCCACCCTCCCACCCTTCTGAGTCTCCATTGTCTATCATTCCACACTCTAAGTTCATGTGTACACATTATTTAGCTCCACTTACAAATGAGAACATACAGTATTTGTCTTTCTGTGTCTGAGTTGTTTCTCTGAAGATCATGGCCTCCAGTTTCATCCATGTTGCTGCAAAAAAAAAGAAAAACCCATCATCTCATTTTTTTATGGCTGAATAGTGTTCCACTCTGTAGACACACTACATTTTCTTTATCCAATCATCCACCGATGGACACTTAGGTTGATTCCATGACTTTGCTGTTGTAGATACTGTTGCTATAAACATGTGTATTCAGGTGTCTTTTTTTTAATATAAAAATTTTTTGGGGTAGATTTTAAGTAGTGGAATTGCTGGATTTTATGGTAGTTATTTTTAGTTCTTTGAGAAACCTCCATACTGTTTTCCATGGAGGCTGTACTAATTTACATTCTCATCACAGTGTAAAGTGTTCTCTTCTCTCTGCATCCTTGTCAACAGTTGTTGTTTTTTATTAAGTGACTACGTAGTTGGGTGATTTACTGTACAGCAGTATTTTGGAAATACATATTAATAAAAGGTTCTATCACATTTTAGACAATTATTTTTTTCCTCTTGGGTTCCTATTTGTTGCGAAATTGAGGTGGGGGGCCATAGAGAGAGAGAATATGCCTTCCTCCCATTACCACTACTTATATTCCATGAGAGGCCTAAGATTTTTTGAGGCTGTAGATTGAATGAGGAGGACTTCTAACTGCCCCTGCCCCTGAATTCTTGAGCTCAGACAGCCGACCTTAGAGCTTTCTTGCTGCTTTCTTAAATAAGGTTAGTGTGAAGTAGGACTACCTTTATTTTATTTTTTCTCCTTTTAATCCAATCTATGAACCTATAATGTCTTTTCAACAGATTTTCAAGTGAGCAGGAAACCAGGAAAGATAAATGAAAAGTTGAGTGGTATTGTTAAAGGAGAAATGGTCTCTACGGCTGTAAGGTAACATATAATTAACCTCAGATTCAGGCCAGGACTCAGATAATAGAAGTGCTCAATTCAAAAGAAACTCACAAACCACCTGAAATGTAAGCAATTCCTCTTTACATAGGAAATATGCTGTTGCTTTGTTGTTATTTATTTTCATTCTAATTTTAAATTATTTATGATATTATACTCACCTTTATCTCAGATGTAGCATTTCTTAGTACAGCATGTATATAACTACATAATTCATCATATAAAATTATGTTGTTGTATGGGCTTAGGTATCTCATAGACCAAGAAATTCCCCAGAAATAGCAATAATTCTTCAACGACCAGGCCCAGCATGAGCTAGTCTTGGTCCTATATGTGACACTAGGTTCCTGATTTCTTATTAACGTGCTCTGATGAGGAAGTTGATTGAGTTATTTCAGGAAAAGAAAGAGGTGAACTAAATCTGCCCTTCTCTTACATTTAAACATTCATTTTCTACATTTTATTGTAAATAAACACATAAACATATACACACACAACTAGTTTTAGAAATTATCAAAATACAGAAAGTAGAAGGAAGAAAACTAGCCTCTCATAATCCTATCACCTCGAAACAACCACTATGAACAGCTTGGAATATTTATTTCCAGTGTTTAAAATTTTTTCCTATACCTAATTGGAACTGCAAATACATAAACAGAAGACACTCATATAAAACCTAAGTGAGAAGTTGGGCATGGTGGCTCTCACCTGTAATCCCAGAACTTTGGGAGGCTGAGGAGGGCAGATCACCTGAGGTCAGAAGTTCGAGACCAGCCTGGGAAACATGGTGAAACCCTGTCTCTACTAAAAAATACAAAAATTAGCTAGCGTGGTGGTGTGCGCCTGTAATCCCAGCTACTTGGGAGGCTGAGGCAGTAGAATCGCTTGAACCTGGAGGTGGGAGTTGCAGTGAGCCAAGATCACAGCATTGCATTCCAGCCTGAGCGACAAGAGCGAAACTTCATCTCCAAAAACAAAACAAAACAAAACAAAACAACAACAAAAGCCTAAGCGAGGATAAGAGCAAAGTCAGAAATTCTTCTGTATTTGGAAGACAAGTGCATAGCTCTCCACCCATTTCCCCCTGTAAAGGGTGAGCACAATGACAGTCACAGGGAGAGTGGTGGTGATAGTGAAGTGAAGTCGTGGACAGACAGGCTTAGCTCAGGACCTGGTAGAGTGCAAAATTCACCATTAATCACAACAAACAGAGCAAACATCAGTCTAGTGCTTACTACATGCCAGACACTGTTCTAATGACTTCCTGTATTTTAACTCATTTAATCCTCCCAACAATTCTGCTAGAAGCAGGTACTAGAATTCCCATTTTACACCTGAGAAAATGAGGCACAGAGCCATTAAGTAACTTGCTCAAGATTGGAGCCTGGATTAAAATTCACAGTCTGTTTATGGTGTTGTTTCTCTTAAACACCATGTGCTCATTTTATTATTTTCTTTATCGTAATTGTTCATCTCACTCCCTCATGGACTCCAATAGGCACTCTGGCCATTTTGAAGGAGCCCATTTGGCACAGCTGTGGAGACTTCGTCTCACCATTGCAATCATTTATCGACTTAAAAGCATATTCCTTTGAAACTGAAATCTGAGTATCATCCATCACAATTCATTTGTATTATTGCCCATCCATACCTTTTCGTCTTTCCACTTTTCTTTCAGAACACAATAAATTATATTCAAATGGCAGTCAAGGAGGAAACTTTTCTTCCTCATCAACAAAGCTGATCGATGGGGGCTGAAGCCCCAGGGAAGAAGCATCTGTTGTAACTCAAGGATCCCGGCTTGAGCTGAGGATGGAATTAACAGGCACAGAGTGGTTGGCAGCCCAACGTTTGTGCAAGTCTGGCACATGCACACATCATTAGCAACTATGCTGGAGAAGAATGATCAAGGAGGTGAGGAGGGGAATGGATCTGATTAAAGGGATGTTCAAGAAAGGAAATTCCAAGCACTTGGGTAAAAGCTTCATAGCTAAAATGAATGAACTCGTGAGCAAAGCAAACAGCCAGGTACATTTGGGAGATGCTGACAGACAATCTGGATAATTTTGCCTCTGAAACTTTCAAAACAAAGTCATTTCATGCAGTGAATTCCCCAGAGTGGCTGCCTCTTTCACTTAGCTCCTTCGGCTGTGTCTCCTTCACTAAAATGAAGCCCCCATGAAGGCAAAAATTTTGCTGTCCTGTTCATGGCTCCAATCTTGGCTCCTGGTTGATAATATTAAATATTCATGGAATAAGTTAATGTATACTTGTGTTGACTCAAGCTAGGCAGATAAGCGCTGAGATATTCAACAGCATTCAAAAGCAATGTGCATGCTGGAAGAATGGCATGGTTCAACTAAAACTGATTGTTCACAATAGTGTATAGAATCAGTGGTGAAATACTGGCAGAATATCTCTTTGTGTGCCCACCACTACTGTAAGCAATGGAAGAGATACAACAGAAACATGATCACGATCAGCAGCAAACATTTGCCGAGGGCTTGCTGTTGGCCCAGCATGTTCTAAGCTCATTACTCGCGTTAGCATGTTTAATTCTCTCAGCACCACCTATGGGGTAGGTAGGTACAAGTGTAATCACCCCCATTTGACATCCAAGGCAGCTGGTGCCAGGGCGATTTAGCAACTTGCCCGGAGTCCTATAGCTAGTACACGGTAGAGCTGGGATTCCATCTGCTCTGCTGTTTCCTGCCAGTCTCTGTAGTCCTGACCCTCCGGGAATTTACCCTTAATTTAAGGACACAAAAGGGACACATATGAAGCAGAGAACAATTAAGTCTTAAACTCTGTGGCCCTGAAAACAAAAAAGAGAGGAGTAAGTGTAGGCTTGTTTTCAGAGAGACCTTCTGGAAGGAGGCAGTACTTGCGCTGTCTTGAATTTCATCATTAGTTTGTATATCCATCTACCCAACCTCACATCTAGTCATCCTCTCATCCTCCCATATACTCGCCTAACAAACATTTATTAAGCTCCAACTAGGTGCCAAGCCCTGAGCACTGAAGTGTGGGTTTTGTGCTGAAATACTCATATTTCAGTTGCTTGCTTATATAGGGGGTCTTCCTTAGGAAGGACAGATTGGTGCTGTTGATCAAAACTGAAAATGCTCACACCCTGGGTACAGCAATCCCAACAGAATTACCCAAGGTGAAATGACCTGTGTTCAAGGTTATTCTCTGCAGTACTGTTTTTGACAACAAAGGATTAGAAATAGCCCACATGTTCATCAAAAGGGAACTGCTTAAATAAAACATGATAGCACACCTAAAGAGATTACTAAGCTGCTGTGACAGGAGTGAAGAAGCTGAGAGGGAGAAATCTTTAAGACATTTAAGTGAAAAAAGCAAAGAGGCTATGTATAGGATGCCACCATTTGGATAAAGGGCAGAGGGAATAGAAACATCTTTGGTTTGTTATCTATAAAATATTTCTGGAAAGATACACCAGACGCTGATAAGATTTATGGCTTTCGGTGGAGGGAGCAGGTAGTCAAAAGGCAAGAGGAACAGGAGGGGTTTTCGCTGAATGTCCCTTGGTATGTTTTAAATTTTGGGCCTTTTTGGGAATGTATTGTCTATATTCCCCTAAAAACACACACACACAAAGAAAAACCAAAACTCATGTGCCCAGACCCCAGTGTTAATGGTATATCAATGGTGGAGTTCTAGTTTGGTTCCTTAACTCTCCCAAGGCACTTAGAAGGGAATGCTGGGTGCCAGGATGGGTTCCTCAACTGCCTGACTTGCACCTAAGTGACATATAGTTTCTGTCCTTGGCTGAGCCAGGTTCCCTTACAGAAGTCCTCTCCTTTAGCCAGGGAGCTTCTTCCTCCATCTAGTGTTTGCAATTTTCCTCCAATCTAGTGTTTGGAAGAGGGTGGCCAACATGGGCCTGATTGGGAGGGTGACATTTGTGCAAAGCCTGAAGTAGGTGACAGCATGAGCCCTGAGGGCATCTGAAGGAAGGGAATTCCAGAAAGAGGGAATAGCAAGTTCAAGCATTGGAGGCAGACATGAGCCAGGCCAGGTGGCAGGTGTGCCTGGAATAGAGTAAACAAAAGGGAGAGAAGCAGGAGGCAAAGACAGAGGGAATGCACATTTTGTGTGGGAGTGAGGGCGGTGTGAACTGTGCTGAAATAATCATGCATTTCCTTGGAAATTCCACATCCAGACACTGCTGTTTGTTTGCTCTGCTGTTTGTTGGCACTGAAGTCCCAGTTCTACTAATTGGCCTACCTATTGGTTCCTGAGCCCCACTCCCCATCCAGCACTCATGACTGGTGTCGGTGTCCCAGCCTCATTCCCTGTCTTGGTAACCAGCTCTGTAGCCTGGTCTCTCCCAGCTGCTACCTGGGAATGGGGACGTGTCATGGAATCCTGGTCTGGGCTGGAGAGTGCTCCCAGTTCATACCCTGCGGGGACTACAGGACCATGAAGAGGAGAGACTGCAACAGGGAATCCAGGAGCTCTTCCTTCAGCCCTGGTGCTAAGGCGGTCTTCCTGATGTCTCCCAATCCACACACCTTTACCTCAGGTAACTGAACTTGTTGACTTTGCACAAATTACTTCCTCATTTTGCTCAGGTGAAACATCCTTGGTGTCCTCAGAGAGGTACTCCCTGACCTTCTGATGTAAAGTAGCCACGTTCTAGCCCAGTCTCTGTCCCCTTACCCGTGTAATTTCTTTGCTGCATATATGGTTTTGTTTATTGTCTCTCTCTCCCCACTGAACGCCAGCTTGAGGAGAGTGAGGGCTTTATCTAGGATCCCAACACCTGCAGGCAGTTTGGCCCTCCTGGTACTTGTTTCAGTGAGTGCGTCTGGTTCTAGATTTGGTTTCTCCAAGTCAGCCCTCTGTCTCACTGGAGTGCCAGACTCTGACCATGGTGGGAATGGAGAGTCCTAGGAAGTTGGATGAGATGTGTGACCACACAGAATGGCATATGGACGGAGTGCTAGGAACACAAAGCCCTTAGCCCTGGTCCCCATCCTGAAGCAGAGGTGACAGAGACAAGAAAGGTAGCGTTCACCAACACTTTGCAGAAAAAAATACAGGGTCCTTTCACCTGCTCAAAATTGTGCTTCTTTGGTATTATCAGAGCTTTAAAATGAGTGTAAAGTGCTTATTATTTGAAGGGTCACAGTTGTCATGAGATGGCAACCCACTTTTATTATTATTGATTCTTTACTCTTGAGAAGCAACTTTGACACCAGTGGATTTGGGTTCAAATTCTGGCTCTCATACTTGCTGCCTTTGGGCAAATCAAGCCTTGCTGAGCCCATGTCCTCATTTAAGATGGGAATGGGGCAGTGGGAATGAGGGGATAATATCTACCTTCACCACTGACAGGATATAACATGTGGAGTAGAGTCTTTAGTACATAGTAAATGCTCAATGAACGTTCAACATTTTTCTTCTTCCTCAGCCCTCCTCCACATCTGCCATTATGAAAGGTAGTTTTCAGGTACTTAGTGGTCTACAAGATTAATACTTGCCTGGAAATTGTGAGGACTATGAAAATAAAGTCTATGATCTCTGAGTTCATTCTCATTTATTATGTTCTTTTATGTTCAATATCCTGGTCACAGATCTAATATCCATAAGAGCTCATCAATTAATATTTTTCTTGTATTGGAGTCACACTATAATTCAGCCCATATCTTTACCAATGCACAGGTGTGTTAGTCAAAGGCTCAGCTGCTGTAACAAAAATACTCCCAAACACAGTAGCTCAGTGATAGGAGCTTATGTCTTCTTACATGATAATCTGGGAATAAGTGGCTGGGCTGAATTTGTGGCTCTGATCTAGAAGGATATCCAGAGGCCCAGGTTCCTCCTCTCTTGTTGCTCCACTATTCCCTAGGGTGACACTTTTGTCCACACTATCTAAAGGAGAGCAACACCACTATATCCACACTTTAGTCTGAGGGGAGAGAGAGGAAGTCAAAAGCTTATCCTTTCGTTTCAAAGAAGTTGCATTAACTGCTTCTGCTCCTAATCTTTTGGCACAAACTTAGTCATGTGGCTATGCCTGGCTCCAAGGGTGCTTGCAAAATTTTATCTTTACCTGAGTGGCCGTAGGCTCTGTGAAAACTTAGTAACTGGAGGTCTATCACTAAAAGGAAGATGAGGACCAAGGATATTGGAGGAGGGGAGTGGGGGCAGTAGACTTCTTAACACTCTTGGTCTGAATGGAACCAGATGAGGGTATGACTGACTGGCTTGGGGCAAGCCAATGGCCACTAGAGAAAAGCAACTGCTGACAGATGCCCAGAGCTTTCTTTGAGCCTGCAGGTGGTAGGTTTTGAGTAAACAGTGAGTACATACCTTTTTCCCCTACCATTAAAAAAAATGATGTCATCCAGCAAAACCAAGGATAAACAGTATCATGCCTGTATTGTATTTTTAATTGTTTCATACATTTGGATCCATATAGTAATTGCATACTTGGATCCAGATTGCTTTAGAACTCAGCTGAAGTTTGTCTGAAATTCAGAACCAAGATGTTGTAGCTCAGGAGGGCCTCGTGACCATTGGCCATCTTTAGGATCAGTGCAGAAACTGAAAGCCGATGCAGATCATGTGCTCCTTCGATGGTGTCTGTGGTTGCACAGAAAGCTGCACGGTCACAGGAAAAGCCTCTGGACCAGGGTGCCAGGTCTTAGGTTTTCTAATTCCAGCTCTTACATTGATAAACTCTAACTTCAATTATCTCAGCATTCATGCTTCCAATTCCATTTCCATTAAGGCCAGAAGGAGCAGGATGCCACAGTATTTGGGGGAAAGAATAACTTTTAACAATCATGAAGTTCTCTACAAATGTCAACTACAACTGCATGGTGCTAGGATCTTCAGAATCCTCAGACTGAGGTGAAACAGACACAGCAGAGAGCACACTTTGCTTCTGCTTGTATTCTCATTTCAGTTCAGGGAACAACTGTATACCCATTCTCTCCTTTGAGCCTCTCATTTGAAGTGGATAATTATTGTATTATTGTTATTATTTTCATTTTACAGATGAAAAACTGAGATGCAAGGAGATTATGGGTATGATTCAAGGACATATCAATGATAGGTGGTTCTCTGCTGCCTCTACTTCCATGATATTGAGATCGATTTTTTTTTTTTTTTGAGACGGAGTTTCGCTCTTGTTGCCCAGGCTGGAGTGCAATGGCGCGATCTTGGCTCACTGCAACCTCCGTCTCCCGGGTTCAAGCGATTCTCCTGCCTCAGCCTCCCAAGTAGCTGGGATTACAGGCACGCGCCACCATGCCCGGCTAATTTTGTATTTTTAGTAGAGACAAGGTTTCTCCATGGTCAGGCTGGTCTGGCACTCCCGACTTCAGATGATCCACCCATCTTGGTCCCCCAAAGTGCTTGGATTACAGGCATGAACCACTGCACCTGGCGAGATCGATTTAAAAAATTACATTAGGACATACCTGTGAAACGAATGGGTAGTACTGGTTAAAAAAAAAAAAAGCAGTCATGTTAGAACACTTTAGACTTTGTCCTACTAAACAGAACTCCTGTGAACACTTCAGTTAACTTTCCACCCACTCCTGCTTTGGGTATCAAGATAGGGAATAGTATCAGTGCTATGGAACAGGTAGTCTTTTGGGAATGTCTCACGTGTTTTGGCCACACTCTGGTTGATAAAGCAGGTTCACACAAATCAACAGGCCTGTGAGCTGAAGGAGGATGGGACTGAGTCATATTTCTCTTTGCAGGTGCTTCTAAAATCCTATGGGATGAATGCTCTTGTTTGGTCCTTAGGACAGCTCAGAAATATAAGCATTCCATGACATTTCCATGGAATAGGCCCAGAGATGGAGGCTGGAGGAGGCCTTGTCACAGGCTGGGTGTCACAGAGCTAAGACACCACATGGCTGGGGCTGGACAGTGGTTCCCCGTTCTCCTATCTCAGTGCATCTCTCGCCCCACACCCTGCTCAGCCCTCCAGCTGCCTTGTCTCTGAACCCAAAGCCCTCACTTGTATGCCCTCTGAAGCCTCCTGTGATTATCCATTTTCTCTCAGAAGAAGCTGAAGTCTTTTCTTCAGGGAATAAATTCAGAACTTGAGACAATTGGCCTGCTTCTTGCTTTCAACAAATATGGAAATGCAGCCATTAAAACACACAGTTCCTGCTCTCGAAAATACAACTGTGTTTTCCTCCCCTTCATCCTTGCTACAGAGATTTGATCACAGGTCTATTTTATCACTTGGTTTTTCTAACAAATGAACAGAAGCAGCAGAACTATCTTCAGAGTCCCTGAGGCCTCCTCTTGTCCTCTGTCCCAGAAACCCAAGTTTCATTTTCCACAGCCTAGTCTCTTTTTCCACAGTTAAACTGAGGTAAATTCCAAATTTTTCTGCAGATCCTATTTTGATCTCCATTGACTCTAAGATTCACCACCCTACTCTTTGCCCCTCAAATCGGACCCTCTTTTTTTTTTTAAAAGAAATAATAAATTAATTCATCAATTTATTCAGAGACAGGGTCTTGCCCTGTCACTGAGGCTGGAGTGAAATGGCATAATCATAGCTCATTTTAGTCTTGACCTTCTGGCCTCAAGCAATCCTCCTGCCTCAGCCTCCCAAAGTGCTGGGATTATAGGTGTGAGCCACTGCACTCAGCCTAATTCACTCTTTTGATAAATGGTACCATTTATAAGTAAAATTCCCAGGCACTACCTCCCTACCCCTCATGGCAGGTGGATTGTAAAATGACCCCAATGATTCCTGGTGCTCACCTTCTTGTGTAATCCCTCTCCTTGAGTGTGGGCAGGATGTGGGGATGTGGGATTGGCTTTTTTTTTTTTTTTTCCTGAGGCAGGATCTCACTTTGTTATCCAGGCTGAAGTGCAGTGGCGCGATCTCAGCTTACTGCAGCCTTTACCTCCCAGGTTCAAGTGATCCTCTCACCTCAGCCCCGCTAGTAGCTGGGACTACAGGTGCACACAACCACACCTGGCTAATTTTTGTGTTTTTTTGTAGAGATAGAGTTTTGCCACGTTGCCCAGGCTGGTCTTGAACTCCTGAGATCAAGTGATCCACCTGCCTCGGCCTTCCAAAGTGCTGGGATTACAGGCCTAAACCAACATACCTGGCCTGGGATTTGCTTTTAACCAATAGAATATGGCAAAGGTGATGGGAAATCACTGTTGTGATTAGGGTAATACAATTGCAAGTCCTATTTTGTTAAAAGACCTAGTCTTTCATTGATTTTGATAGTTTGCGAGTCTGGGTTGGGAAATGGGCCCCTTGCTGTCTTCTCCAATCCCTAATCTCCTCCAAGCAGACCCCTGCTGCCGTGCAAATCGGCTCATGCACATAGATGCATCAGACAGGCTTGAGGCCTGGGCTCAAACTGGTTCCACCTGTTTCGTGTGTTTAACTGCTGGAGCTCTGCAGGCAGGACTGCGTTTTGTTTTTCTCTGTATGCCAGCAGTGTTGCGCATGGTGGGAGTGTGATGAATATCCTATGGATGGACGACCTGCCCAGCATTCCCCGAGGAAGTGGACTGAAGGATGCCCACAGCAGCTGGGTCTTAGCAGCAAGAGTGTCATCTGTAACCATAACTACCCTTTGATAAGAAAACGAGAGCAGGACCATCTGTAGGCCATCTGGGAGACCCAGCTCTGGTGACTGGGTCCTGGCACATGTATTTGCTTTGGCTGCCTCCTTTTTCTCTAGAGAGCAGGGACTTTGTATCCCCAGAGTCCAGCACAAGCAGGACCTCAATCAATGTAGGTTTGAATGGGGTTTCCATTGCTATCCAGTGTCTTAGCTTGGATTCTCCTCAGAACAGACCCTAGGACAAGACTTGGGTGCAGGTCGTTTGTTTAGGATGTGATCCCAGGAAGCAGAAGTAGAGGAAGTGATATTGGGAAGAGAGAAAAGTCCACGAAGGGCACGTTATTGTGTGAGTTACTGCTGTGGGCCAGTGGCCTTAGTCCTGTCAAAGGGTCCATGGGAAGCTTGTGCAGCCTCCACAGAGTCACCCACCAGAACACAGGGAGGCTGGGGCAAATTCGCCAACTCCAGTCCCATTGGTTATATGTTGCAAAAATAAATAAATAAATAAATACAAAAAAACAAGGTTGCCTCCCTGGGGACTTAATTTGCCACACTTCTGGGTTGTTCCTGACATCAGAGCAAGCTCTGGGATGTGAGAAGCCCTCAGGCGGAGGAGCAGAGAGTGTGACAGGCCAGAGATGGGAAGCTGTCAGCAGGCTGAAGCTAGTTGTCCACCTCCGCCGCAGGTGAACGCAGGTAGATGCAGGTGGACACAGGCAACTTGAGATGTGGCGGGGGTGGGCAGCAAGGGGCTCTGCTACCCCAGCCTCTGGGATCGGGAGGGGAAGGAAGCACAAAATCATTGTTTTTCATTGAAAAACATCTGCTCCTGGAGTCAGTCTCTTTGAGGCAGGCTTGACAATTTATTTTTGGAAAACACAAGAAAGATCAGTATTTTTAGTCATTAGTTTTAGTAATTATTAATGACACCTCCATTCTCCAAAGAGTTCTGCTTTGGAAAATAAATTGTCACAATACCATTAGACGGTAACTGTGACCACACCCACCCATTCCCACTCCCATCACTAAGAGCTTGTTGCACGTGTGTTCTGTGTCCACCTCTGTTCTGAGCCAAGAATCTTCGAAGCTGGCTAGGTGCAGTGGCTCATACCTGTAATCCCAACACTTTGGGAGGCCGAGGCAGGTGTATAACTTTAGGTCAGGAGTTCAAGACCAGCCTGGCCAACATGGTGGAACCCTGTCTCTACTAAAAATTCAAAAATTGGGCATGGTGGCACACACCTGTAATTCCAGCTACTTGGGAGGCTGAAGCAGGAGAATTGCCTGAACTCAAGAGGCAGAGGTTACAGTGAGCTGAGATCGCGCCATGCACTCTTGCCTGGTCAACAGAGCTAGACTCTGTCTCAAGAAAAAAAAAAAGAACAAGAATCTTCGGAGCCAATAGGTGACTCTGTGAAGGCTGCACAAGCTTCCCCATGGAACCCTTGGCGGACGGAGCCCACTGGCCCACAGCAGCAGGTCACTCAATAATGTGCCCTTCATGGACTTTTCTCTTCCCAAATCACTTCCTCTACTCCCTCACTTCTGCTTACTGGGATCACTTCCTGAGCTCAGAATCTTCTAAGCCAATGAGATCTAAGACTTCAGGGTCAGGAGCTGGCTTCATCCCTATTTATACAGGAGAGCGGGACACCCAGAGGGCCAGGGAAGGGCACCCCTTTCCCATTAAATTCGCTGCAGCCTGCCTTCCTCCCTACACTAGCAGAGTGCTTGGCCCGTCACTTGTTTAGCTTTCAGTCCATCCTCCTGTCCCAGGTTCCATTCCAAATTCCTCTGGGACTCCCAGGTGTCTCAGACCCCTGGTCAGCTGGCGCCTTGACCTTCTCATCTTCTTCCAGCCCCTTTTCTCTAGGGCTGGACCCAGCTTTCCGATCCTTCCCTGACTTACGGTGCTAAATATGAAGCACCCACATTTTTGCCAGAAGCCCTCTCCATGCCCCCACACCCTTGGCTCAGACCTGAGTCCTGCACTACATCAGAATTGAGTTCATTGCACCCCTTGGCCTTGAATCTGGGCTGCTGGAAGGGTTTGCCTTCTGCTGCTGCCTCAGTTGCTTTTCTCTCATTTCCATTTCAAGCAAGTCCTGGTATTCCCAGTGTGCTCTTTGACCAAGACAGAGTCTGGGTCATAACAAGATTTGGCACAGAGGGTGCTGAAATAAATGAGAAAAACTGAAGGAACAGAAATGATGAGTTCCATGAGATTTATTCATTCATAAAAGTATGACTGAAATATTGAGCAACACAGTTCCAGAATGACAGGAGCTACTTAATGCTTATGGACTTGCATAGACACAGGAGCAGGCCCAGAAGTCCCAGGGCTTCTGACAACCAGATGGGTGAGAGTAGGGAGGCATCATCCTCATTCATTTCCCATGCAACTCAGAGTGCGGATTCCTCTTGTGGCTCAGGAAGGATGGCGTTTGGCCAGGAAAAGTGCATTGCATGTAGTGTATCAGCTACATGGCCCTGGAAATAGCAATAGTGTTGGGATGTTTTTTGCTCAGGCCTCGAGTTTCCATGAAGCAGGTAATTCTGTCCTCTTTCTGCCCACTATTCACTCATCCCCCTGCCTGCTCCTAACCTGGTTGCTCACAGGAAAGACACATTCAGCTCTGTTCTAAGTTTTATGGGGCCAGGCATCTGGAAGCAATTCTGTGATAACCCCCTGTTGCTGGGGCTTCGGTGAGGAGTCCAATACTGGGCTGCAGCATTAGAAAGCCTAAGCCTTAAGCCATGCTCTCCTTATTGGCTACATTGTAACAAAGGATATTTTGATCTCATTTTCCAGATACTCATGCCTATCTATCAATTAGTTCTCAGCTCCAGTGGGAACAGGGAGGTTAATCATTGGACTTCCTCAAAACTCACCGTGTCATTCCAACTTCATAGCGTCGGTATAAGGATTAAATGAGTCTTTAGAACAGGGCTTCGCACTTAGTGAAAGTTCAAAAGAGTTAGCTATTTTTTTTATTATTAGTAATAATAACAGTAACTCAGCCCCTCATTACACCTACATGTTGAGAAAAAAATGAACAATATAAAGTATGTACTTCAAGCATTGGCAAATAACATTTGGGACAAGGGAAGGAGAAGTGGATGGAATAGCATACAGCAAAATGAGAACTGGGAGAAAAAAGTGGGCCCTATGGGATCAGTCACTCCAAGACCTAAGGAGAGGCACAGACTGCCTCCCTGAAGGAAGGCTCAGGACCTTGCCTCCAGCTGTGGGCTGCTGTGGGCAGTTGGTCAGCTCCTTCCAGCAGCAAATCCTGAAAAGGATCATTCTACCATTGTGTGGCAGGAGTGCCACACCCATTGTCACCTCAAAGGCCAGGAGTGGGGAGGAAGGTAGTATCTTTTTCTCTTTTTCCATTTCTTGCTCCTGGAGGGAAAATGGAGAAAAGGAGAAAGCAGCCCAGAGCCTCCAAACCATATTAAGTTCAGGTCTTGCTGAGGCAGAGAGGAGGGCCATGAATGCAGATTTCTTCATTTGTTCGTTCAAAGTCCTGTTGATGGGAAGGTTCATCTGTTCTCATTATTTATAATTAAAATATTGACGGATTGGCTACTATGCATCTACCTCAGCTCACTGTTTAATTTGGGTGTTAACTTGCCCGGGGAATATCTCTAAGAAAGATGCCAATAACTCATTAGCAGCTTATAAAGGATCCTTTTACTTTTCTTCCAAGCTATTTTAAAATGCAACAGTTGGGAGATTTATCAAGCATTTGTTATTATAAGTTATTACTGGGTGTTTCTTATAACTTGCCTGAGGGTGGCAGCATTTACAGGGGTCTCTCTAATTTTCCAGTGACTCCCCAAATGCACACTATGACTTTCATTTTTATTTTGAAGGAATTCAAGGAAATTTAATATCCTAAGAGGGGGTGCAAATTGTGGAGAGATAGATATCATGGAAATGGAAATGTTCCATTTTACATTATTCACAGAGACAGCTAAAGAGCCTTGCTGGCAGCCAACACATTGTTTAGAGTGTCTCTAGAAAGTCTGTGCTAGGAGTAGTGGGTGAGGGGGAAGACTTGGTGCCCCTGGCCCTTCTAGTGGTCTGATCTCAGGACATTCCAGCCTCACCTGGTCCCTAGTGATCCAAGATGAAGCAGTATTAAAGGAGAGCCACTTCTTCAATCCCTTTAGTCTCTCTATGTGACTCTTTCTTCTCCCCTGAGCACATAGTTGGGATTGAGGGGGGACTATGATGTTTGGCTCCACTAGCCAAGGGACCCGAGTCTAGGATTGGGTTTGGGGACTAGAGCTCTAGGTGCATGACTGGGTGGGATTGCATGAGAGAGACTCTAAGAAGCCTGATAGTACATAGTACTGAACCCCTAGGCACCTCAGCACTCCCTCATTTATGGGGATTCCTACCACTCCCCTAAACCTGACTTATTTAACAGGATAACTCTTATTGCTATGTAGAGAATAATTATGGAGAAGGAGGCAAGAATGGAAGCAAAGAGAACTGTTAGAAGGCTACAGAGATAATCCAGGGAAGAGATAGTGTCTGGGACCAGGGCAGGTTCTTCACCACTATTAATAGTTTATGTTGGATAATTCCTTGTTGTGGGGGGCTGTCCTGCGCATTGCACAATGTTTGGCAGTATCCTTGACCTCTATGCACTAGATGCCAGTAGCACCTCTACCAGATGCCAGTAGAACCCTCTCCATGTGACAATCCAAAATGCCTCCAGATATTGCCAAATGTCCACTGAGATGCAAAATTGCCAAATGGGATTGAGACCAACTGGACTAGGGTGATAGCAGTGAAGATGTAAGAAGTGATCAGATTCAGGATTTGTTGAGTTTATGCATGAGGGATGAGAGAGGAATCAAGGGTGACTTCAAGGTTTTTGGCCTGAGTGAGGGGAAGGATTGAGTTTCCATTTACGGAGATGGGGAAGACCATTGGTGGAACAGGGTTTGAGGGCAGGGCAGCCTGGAGTTCATATGAGAGTTCTGGACTGGAGTTCAGTATATGTATCACATTGCTTATGTAATTTCAGAAAAGACAGGAAGGAGCTAATGGCTAAGTTCATGGAGATATAAATGGTATTCTAATCACTACAGGGAAAGGAAGCATTGCCAAGTCTTCTGAGGACCTTGGGGCCACAGATATATTCTAGGCAGTCATGTCTTCTCAGGTTTGAGACTTAGGGTTAGGTATGTCTTATCTCAGTAAGGGTCAGTGGTCACCCTGCACTGTAGATTCTTCCTATCAGAGAGGTCAACAGGATGTCTCTGGACCTTTAGAATCAAAGCAATGGGCCAGAGCCAAGTCTCTGATGTCCACAGCCTTGGGTCTGTATTGAATTATTTATGAGTTCATATTTGCCTTAATTATTCAATGTTTGATTTCACCACACGGAAGAGGAAGGCATAGTTTGGAGAAGAAACTGACACTTGAATGACTTGCATATCTGATTTATCAAACTGAAAAAAAAACCATTTTCTTCATTTGCAAAAAGTCCATTGTGCTTTACCTAACATCCTTTGGATAGAGCCTGAGCTGAAAAGTATTTTGCTAAAGCACAGCTATATATAGAAACTTCTCATCTGTCTGAAGATATAAACAACTGCAGGAAGTTTGGAATATGTTGTTAAGACTGTTCTCTTGGTTTCCTCGTCACAGATCCTCTTGCTATTCTGCAGAGAATATGTTGCTGTCTATTTGGTGTGTGGTTTCCGCTGCTCCTTTCTTCCTAAAATTTCAGCGGAGGCTCTTCTTACTTCACTATGTTGAAGATACTGACTAAAAAGAAAATGGCGCACTGCTTTCCAATTGAATGAGCAGATTTTTTCAGTGTCTGGGAAAACAATAAAATCCTCTTCTCTTCTCTTCTCTTCTCTTCTCTTCTCTCTCTCTTCCTCTCTCTCTCTCTCTCTCTCTGACAGGATCTGTCACCCAGGCTGGAGTGCAGTGGTGTGATCACAGCTCACTGCCGCCTTGAACTCCTGGGCTCAAGCGATTCTCCTGCCTTAGCCTCCCAAAGTGGTGGGTTTACAGGCGTGAGGACAGTGCCCAGCCAAAAATCTCACTATTTCAGAATGGAGCTTGCAGGAGAGAGGGGTCAGGAGGTAGAGACAGAGGCCCTTACTTAATTAATAAAAATTCTGCGCTAAAGAATTTTGTTTTTACTTTATTTCTTTTGAGTAAATACAACAAAAACTAAGCTAATAAAAATTCTTTAAGCAGAAGTTCTGCTGGAATATACTTTAATAAGTGTAAAAATATATAATATGTGCACATTAAGTGCTTTTTAAAGATTGCCTAAAAAGAGAATTTCCTTTAGAGTTTCTATATAATTAACTAAATTGGTACATTAAAAAAATTGCAATTTCACAAAGTCTGTGTTAGTGGATTAAGATCAATGAGGTTTTATGCCTGATGCTCCCTTGCTGTTACAGGGCTTGCTAATTTGCCTAACAGATACGGTCTCTGTGGCGCGGCGATGGCATTTCAAACATAGGTTAAAATTAAGAGTAATAGGAGTAATTACCTTTTTTTTCAAGTTTGTGCCTTAGGTCCATGAAATCATAAGTTTATTTTACCTTCTTAAATTCAGATAAGCCAACTATTTCTCTGTTTGTTTTTCTTTTCAAAAATCTTGTCTTCTCAAAGAAATATAAAGAGAATTGCCTACATTATATTCAGGGTCTAAGATCTGGGGTCTTCATTTTCTCACCACATCCTTAACAAAACCACCACCAAGCACCTCCCTATTTCCCCAAAACAAAACTTTTATGGGCATTTAGGAGGTTTCTAGGTTCTGTCCAATAGAACCTTCTGCAATGATGGAAATGTTCTACATCTGCTTTGTCTAATACAGTAGCTCTTGCCACTTGTGGCTATTGAGCATTTGAAATATGACTGATGATAAATGGAATTTTTTATTTCAATTAATTTTAATATTAATAGCCACATGTGGCTACTGGCCACCGTATTGGATAGTCATACTAGCTACACTGTTTCAAGACAGTGTACTTAAGAAATAGAATTCTGTATACGCTTAAGACTGTCCCTTCCCCCTTCCTCTCCCCTTCATCTCTCCCATCCTCTGTCTATCCTCCCTTAAACCTGCACTAAGTACCTACCACCTGCGGGCACTGTGTTTGGCACTGGGGAGCAGAGACTAAATACAGCCTCTTTAGGAATCAGCAAAGAAAAACCAAAACCAACTCTAGGAACCAGCAAAAGTTGGGAAGACAGTGACAAGTTGTAGGAGAACAGGTATGCAGTCAGTGCCCAGTGAAAAAATATATTCATATCTCGGGTATCTATTTTTGCCCAATCCTATTTTTCTTGTATGCTAAAACTCACCAAAATATTAATCAAAAGTAGCCCAGTAAGGTTTATCAAAAAAATTTAATGAAAGATTGATGACTTTGAGATCCTAAAAATGTAGAGTGAGAGAAGTCATGAGGAAACAGAGAAATGGGAACAAGAGGAACTGGGGGTTAGTCGGGGATAAGTGGATGGGGAGGCTCCAGCTAGGGGCATTACTTGGTGGCCTTAAATGGGTTAGGATGGTGAAGGCCAGGGAGGAGCTGCTACAGGAAGGATTCAGGGCATGAGGATGGGAGAACCTAGAGAACGGCATAAGTACCTAGGTCCCAGTTTGTCTTGGCCTAAGAATTATGCCTGGAAACCTAGGCAGGAAGGATCTCAGCTTTTTTATTTACATAGTTGCCAACAGAGGGTTCTGGGTTGGACCCAGAATAAAGGGGAAACAAGAGATTAAGAGGCTAACGATATGTTGGCCAGCCAGGCTGATGGAAGCCCAGGTCATGTTCATGATTGTCTCTGGAATGTACTGGGCTCTCCAACTGTGATTAATGCTATATATAGTGTCTGTCCCAGTCTTGCAGTGCTGTCCTTGATCCTACACTCCAATGTATGTCTGAGTGTGACATTACTAATGAGTCATCTACGAAGAGGGCAGATGAACTGTTCTGCCTTGGGCACATATTAGGAATGAGGGAATAAAAAGGAACAATCTGAATTCCAGTGACTAAGTTAAAGAAGGCACTTCCAGAACTTGAACAGTGGCAGTGAAAGAAGCGGGGAGTCTAAGACAACAGATGTCCTGTTGGAGGGTTGCTAGGCACTTAGGGTTCTAGCTGTCATTCGCTTATTCTATTACTGCGTTCATTTATTCATTTATATCTGTTCAAGACCTTTAATATTCATTCCAGAGACTGTGCTAGGTACTGTGGACACAGTAGGGAAGAAGACTTATGATGCAGTGGGGCAGAAGGATGTTAAATAATTATAAAAAGTACAATAATTGATTTATGTTTCTGACATATGCTGTGAAGAAGAGTTACAAGGTGCATTATATAGGAAACTGACATAACTTGGAAATCAGGGTGGCATTTTCTGAAGATGTGATGCATTAGCTGAAGAGTTATGCAGGACAGGGTGGGAAAGAAGAGCATTTTAGGCAGAGGGAACAATACACTGTACTCTTCCTTCCTGGCACCTTTTGCACCTGGCATTATGTAGCCATTTATTTAATTACTGGTTGATTCTCTGTCTCCCCATCCAGACTACCCACTCCAAGAGGTCAGGGGATGTATTGGACTTGGTTACTGCAACATGTTCAGTGTCCATCCTAGTGCCTGGCACATGTGAGGTCTCAGTTAGAACCTATTGAATGTACATGTGTGGAAGCTCAGAAGGAATTTGGAGCATTTGAGAGTCTAAAAGGAGGTCATTGTTGGTGAGCACAGAGTGGGGGGTTGAGAGGTTCAAAATAGGATGGAAAAGTTACCCTGGGCCTTGTGAGCCACATGAAGGATTTGGGGCTCTATTTAGGGCAATGGGAAATGACCAAAAGGTGTTAAATAAAAAGTGATGAGATCAGATTTGTAGTTTAAAAATAACATTCTGGCTGCTGTATGAAGAGTAGGTTGGAAGGGAGCAGGAGTGGGCACAGGAAGATCATTTGGGTTGCTTATGTAGTGGTCCAGCAAAAACATGATGGCATCTTTGACTAGGAAGATGAAAAGAGATGGACGGACTCAAGAGGTTAGCTAAAAAGACAACTGCAGACTAGGCACGATGGCTCACGCCTGTAATCTCAGCATTTTGGGAGGCTGAGGCGGGTGGATCACCTGAGGTCAGGAGTTCGAGACCAGCCTGACCAACATGGTGAAACCCCATCTCTACTAAAAATACAAAAATTAGCCAGGCATGGTGGCATGCACCTGTAGTCCCAGCTACTCCAGAGGCTGAGGCAGGAGAATTGCTTGAATCTGGGAGGGGGAGGTTGCAGTGAGCTGAGACCATGCCACTACACTCCAACCTGGGTGACGGAGCGAGACTCTGTATCCAAAAAAAAAAAAAAGGACAATTGCAAAATGGTCAAAGGATCTGAGTAGACATTTCTTCAAAGAAACTATGCAAATGGCCAATGAGCACAAGGAAAGATGCTCAACATCATTAACCATCAGGGAAATGCAATTCAAAACCACAGTGAGCTATCACTTCATAACCACTGGATGGGTAGAACTGAAACGACAGATTATAATGAGTGTTGGTGAGGACATGGGAAAATTGGAACCCTCAAACACTGCTGGTGAGAATGTATAATGATGGAGCCACTTTGGAAAGCCATCTGGCAGTGCCTCAAAATGTTCAACATTGAGTTACCATATGACTCAGCAATTCTGCTCCTAGGTATACACTCAAGAGAAATGAAAACAGATGTCTACACAAGCAGCTGTACACAAACAGATGTCTACACAAGCAGTTGTACACAAGTGTTCATAGCTACATTATTTATAATAGCCAAAAATGGTAACAATCTAAATGTCCATCAACTGAAAAATGGACGATAAAATATGGTATAGCTATACAGTGAGATATTATAAGCAATAAAAAGGAATAAAGTATTGATACATGCTACAACATGGATTGACCTTGAAAATACATGAAGTGGAAGAAGCCAGGCACAAAAGACCACATATTGTATGATTTCATGTATATGAAATGTCCAGAATAGGCAAATCTATAGAGGCAGAAAGTAGATTAATAAAAAGGCAGAATAGAAGGAGAAAATGACAGAAGTGAGAAGGACACAGGAAGGGGGGATGAAAAACCATAAAAGGGAAAATTTAACTAATAAATCTGAATATTTTTCAAGTTTGTTTTCAGGAACCTGGCAAAGTGGTTCCCTATATGGAGCCTCTAGTTTGGGCACAGAAAATTGAGGTTTTGAGAAAATCCCCTTAATAGCTATAGGTTGCTTATTTAAACCACTGTCCAGTGGAGGAAACAATTTTGAGCCTTCTAGAAGCACTTACACTTTAAAGACCCTCCTGTCTGCTGTGTCATTAGGGGACCAGCATGGCAGCCATCAGATTAATTTAATAGACTTTTATGTAGCATTTATCAGCATCCGTATAGCAGCGATATCATACAGAAATGCCAGCAGGGGATGTACAAAGCCTGTAACTAGTGAGAGTGAGATCAGTGGGGAGCATGAGGGAGCTGAAGGCCCCTGATTCATGTTAAATAATAACATCTTCCCTGGGGTCACAACGCCACCGCAGATGAGAGGGTCTTTAAAGTTTAACTGCCCTCACTGGAGAAGCTGGCAGTTTTATCCCCAGGGCAAGCCATCAGAGAGGGGACAAAGCAGTGTTAGGCAGGCTCATGGATTAAAAAGAAATGTCTTTCTATGAGTGGCATGTGTAATATGTGGATTTTGGTTAATCCCTTTTCTGTCCTGAGGCCTGGAGATGCTCTGTGATGTTTATGTGACCCGAGGAAGGGATGGGGAAGCAACAGGGGCTCCTGGAGTGGAGCAGTAGGATCTGAGATTGCCAGGATTTCAATTTAAAAGGAGACCAGGCTCCAGAGGCCAGAGACATCTGTGAAAGGAGAGGAAAGGCAGGAAGGAGTCAGTGAAAAGCGAGTGAGGCTGAGTTAGGATGGGATGGCCAGCAACAGGAGTTAGAGGTGGAAGGTGTGAAGCTTTCTGGATGGAAGCTGGTTGGACAGGGGCCTTTGGAGCTTCAGGAATTACCTGGCAAAAGTTGAGACTCGGAAATAGCTCAGGTCTGGAGAACAAAACAGAAGGGACCTGTTACCTCGGCAGCCACAGAATCATTGGTTCTTGAGGATATCTCAGAGGTCATCTGGTTAAACCCTAGGTCTACAGAGGTGACACATCCCTGAGCTGTTAGGGGCATGAATCCCCTAGTCCAAGTCCCAACTCTGGCAAACATGAAGGTGAATGGGATCTCCCAGGAAGCAGGTTTTCTGGCCTCAGCAATTCTGTAGCGAGAGACAAGCGAAGCACCATGGTGGCCCAGTACTAACTCCCTACTCACCGTTCGGAAAGGATCTGGGGCTCAGTGTCCCTAAAAGCCTACGCTCCATTCACGTCTGAGATGTCAGAAACACAGCACTCAAAGGGAAATGAAAATTCAAGATATGCTGGAAGGAAAATAAATTTCTCAAATAAGGCCCAGTGCCTAAGACTACCACCACTGCACATTTCCAACAAGGCCTTGCTCAGCGTGGAGATGTTTCCTCCCTAAGACTGCGTCACCATTATGCCCTGCATGGAAGAATATCTCAACTCAGCTTAAATTCCAGCTCTGGGCCTTTAGTGCAGATCCTGGGAAGACTAACTCTGCAATTTTTTTTCCCTCCTCAGATATCCCCCCAAGTCTCTGCTATCATCTTTGCCAACATGACACACTAATTCCAGGAACCTAATTTTTTCCAGGAATCGCTGAGAGTGCTTTTGTTTCCCAAATTTTGTGGGTAGGAAGCTAGTGCTATAATAACTATATGTCATATTACATCTTTGGATTCTCTAAAAAGATGGCATTATGCGAGACTTTGAGGCTTGAAGAAACTGTATCCATCCCAATGAGAGGAAGGTGAGAATCACTGCAGAAAGAACCTGAATCCCCTCCCTGCCCCTCACCTGAGTTTTTGTTTTTTGAATCAAGAACTCTCTAATTTCGACTTAAGAATTTTGGGCTTGGGACTCATAAGGGCAACATCATTTGTTTTAAAAATTTGTTTTCTTTCGACTTTCATTTACAAGAGGATTTAGTCCTTGGATTTAAATTTCTCCCCAAGAATTTAATAATAAAGAATCATTTTTATTATTGGAATATGTTCATGTTGTCAGTAAATCTAATTTCAGAACCTCTGATGAGCCGTATTGGATGATGTATTTTGGTATGGAAAACACAAGAGAGAGTGAATTTTCAACCTTAGATTAATGCCCTATTTGAGATTTTGATTCATGTGCTGGTTAGATCTACTTGTGAACCTTGCGGTGGGTAAATCTGCACTTTCACCTGTAGACCCAGGAGGGTCCCCAAAGGAGCAGTGATGGGTGGTTACTGGGGTACTGCTTCATGGAAGTGGAAACAACACTGACTCAAGGATACTGTTTTCCTCAAATAGCAGCCCTAGCTCCTCTCTGCCCTATGTGAGTGGTGAGTTTGGGAACAGGCTCTTCTCTCTTGGGCTCCACCTGCCTGCTGAGAAGGTACACTCTACTATGTATGCACAGCCACAGGTAAGTGTGGCAAAGCAAGTCCTGTCCATGCAGAGGATACTGTGTGCCCCATCACTACCCATGGCTGGTGGATTGGTTGAATTCAAGGAAGCAGAGTCCACTAGCTGGCCCACTTGGTCAGACATTGGGGCCACATCCTCTAGCATAGCTTTGGATCAGGGATCCCCATCTGTCTGACTCACGTGTCTATCTTTTGTTCTCTTTTCTATAGAAAAATCATAGTGTGTACATTGCTTGAATGATCCTTTTGGGTTTGGCTGTTACTCACAGATGAAGGAGACATTTCCAAGGTTGTAACCAGAGTCATTCTAAGCACAGTCCTTGCAGCAGTAGAGACAATCCCAATGACTACAGGAAATCCTCAACTCTCATCCAGAACCTGTAAGCTCAGGACATGCATCATAGGAAGGATGTGAATTGCTGAAGTGCTTCCATGGTAGTCTTTTGCTCCCTGCCTACGTGGGCAAGAAGCTGTAGACTCTGGGATAATTTGGACGATCCCAGCACGGGTATACTCCACTCTGCTTCATGGCACTTACCAAGGCTGGAGAGAGACCACACCCATCCCTTCTGTTTTCCATTGCATTCCCTTCCCCAAACTTTCCATCCAGAAATTCTTCTTTGGTTGACCCTGCCACATTGTATATTCTTGTTCTCCCCCCATGATGCATTTTATTTCAGTATCCTTAGATTCCTAATAAATCAATTATTTAAACATAGACAATGTCTAGATTAATTTCCTACACAAAAATACAAATGCTAGGGTTCCTATGACACCTTTTACAAGGTGTGGTCTAGTCTTCTTATACTCTATGTTGACAGTTTTCATTTCAACAAAAATTTAGGTGACTGCTTAGTCCGTACATCTCAGTGTTTCTGGCATTGTGTTAGGTGTGGGAGACAGTGAAATGAAAGTCACAAGCCCAGTTGTCAAAGATCTCACTCTCTTGAGGGCAAAGAGTAAGTAAAACAGGATTAGAGAACAGTACAATGAGTGAAAGAATGGAGGTATAAAGGGGTTGTAATTTGTGTATAGAGGCTAAGGGGGAGGGCATTAAGCTTAGGGAAGACAGTGCACCCTACCTGGTCCAGTGGGTTGTATTACATGCAAATGATCAAGTTTCACTGCATATTCGATTTTCACATTTCACGTATGTCATGATTTTATACATACTGCAATATTCAGAACCCAATATCTTGCTATTGGATTTGCTGAGAATATAACAAAAGCCTACAGGAAAGAGACGTTTTTGAAGCAGCTCCCCTGGTGTCTTTGGTTTTCTTTCCGCAGACACATAGTGGCCAGTGACTGCAGGTGTGAGGAACCTCATCAGCTGCAAAGAGTAGAGAAACTCCTTCCACTTTCCTCTAGGAATGGTGGTGCAAATGGTTGTTATCAACATAGTGGGAAACATTGCAACCAATGCTTCTCATGCTTTAACATGCAAATGAATGACTTGGGGATTTGTCAAAGGCAGGTTCTGATTCTAGTAAGTCTGAGATTCTGAGATTCTGCACTTCTAACAAGCTTTCAAGAGATGCTGATGCTGCTGGTCCTTAGATCACACTTTGGGTAGCAATAGTTGAAGCATGTGTAAACTAATAGGATGCATATATACAATTTTCCTGTTTCCTTGGATAACTGCCCTGTGGGGCTTTATGTTCTGATCATCAGGACTCCCTTCTGAATGCCAGAAGCCTTCCTGAAATAGGCTTTAGGTGCTCTCAGCCTTTATAGGGAATGACCAAGGATGGCCAATCAAGCACCCCTTCCTTCTCCCAAGACTCACCATGTTCCCTGTGTCATTCATGGGGTGCCTACAGGAGCTGCCACTTTCTAAAATATCACTAATGTTATCTCCTATGCAGATGAGGAAACTGAGGCACAGAGTGACAGTTTCTCACCAGGCTAGGATTTGAACCCAAGTAGTCTGGATCCAGAGCCCAATACTGTGCTTTTCTGCCTTTCAACTATAATGCTCTGATCACAGATGACTCACCCACCCAAGGGTTGACCCCTGCTTTAAAGAAAACAAAAGGCCAAGCATGGTGGCTCATGCCTGTAATTCCAGCACTTCAGGAGGCTGAGGCCTTGGGTGGATCACCTGAGGTCAGGAGTTTGAGATCAGCCTGGCCAACGTGGTGAAACCCCATCTCAACTAAAAATACAAAAATTAGCCAGACATGATGGCAGGTGCCGGTAGTCCCAGCTACTCGGGAGGCTGAGGTGGGAGAATCACTTGATCACCGGGAGGTGGAGGTTGCAGTGAGCCAAGATTGCGCCACTGGATTCCAGCCTGGGTGACAAAGAGAGACTCTGTCTCAAAAAGAAAAGAAAAGAAAAGAAAACAAAGAAAGAAGTTATATTGAGCCCTGTGGAAGGGTGTTACCTTTCCTCTGAGACCTGAGTTCTTTCTCATTTCTTCTTCTTTTTTTACAATCTGGAACTAAACCAGTTAAAACATTCTCACACACAAACTTGAAATCAATTTAATATTACATTTATTTTCTTCTATCCCTAAAGAACTCTTTAATCCTTCAAAGTAAAAAGAAGGAATTGGAAAAAACAACTGTATTAGCCTGCCCTGGCTCCCATAACAAAATACCACAGACTGAATGACTCAAACAATAGAAATGTATTTTCTCACTGTTCTGGAGGCTGAAATCTGAGATCAGGGTGCAGGCATGGCTGGTTTCTGATGAGGGCTCACTTTCTGGCTTATAGATGGCCGCCTTCTGTGTCCTTACATGGCAGAGAGAGAAAGAGAGCAAGAGAGAGAGAAAGCTCTGATATCTCTCCTCCTAAAGGCACTAATCCCATCATGAGGACCCCACCCTTATTACTTATTTAAACCTAGTTATCTCCCAAAGGCCTCATTTCCAAATGTCATTGCTTTGGGGGTTGGGGTTTCAGTTTTAGAGAGACAAAATTCAGTCTGTAGTAACAACCCAGGGATGGTCATTCTTCTGTATGCTCTGGGTCCAGAAAAGCTTGTCCTCTTCAGAGCAGTCACTGTGTCTCAGAGCAGGACAGAAACAGTGTGGGGAGTGGCACGTGTGACAAGGGACACCTCACAGGACCTTACTGGAAAGTCCCATGGGCTCTAAGATGTGAGTTGAGGGTGGAGTGGGCAGCATGTATCTGTGGTAGGGGCGAGAATATACTTTCTACTAGTTTTACAAGTGGAGAACAATTATTTGGAGTGGGCATCTGGAGGCATATCTTCCTGCCTCCCAGATTCCATCTTCTCAGCTTAGTCAAAATTAAAATAACCTAGCATGAGGGAACAAGCATTCTGCAAGACAGCCTACACGAGAAATGAATGTTTTCTTAATCAACTTTGCTGAAAGGAAGAATTGAGATTGGCATAAAAAGCTGGATTTGGTGAGACAATTAGAAAATGAGGAATTGGAGTTTTTCTACATGTATTTTGCACAAAATTGAGGGTGGGCAGGGGATCTCTTCCACCATGTTTCCCTAGAAACTCAGAGTTTGGAAATAGTGCCCTACAGCTCTGATCTCACCTGGGCCAGTGGGTATCTTCCCCAGGAGTTTCTGGGTTTGGGATGAGAAAGATGGGAGAGTCTTTCTAGTGACAGAAACCATAAGATGAAAAAGTTTGGGCTGTTGGCAGCCATGTCTGCAAGACTTCAGACAGATGGATTGAATGGAGAAGAAGGGGTTAGAGATGGAGGTTCAGAATGGCCTGAATTATGCCTCGCCCCTGCCTCCCACCCCACCTAAAAAATTTATGTTTAAGTCCTAACACCCAGGACTTCAGAATGTGACTATATTTGGAGACAGGGTCTCCAAAGGGTTAATCAAAGTGAAATGAGGTCATCAGCGTGGACCTTCATCCAACCTGACTGGTGTCATATAAGAAGAGGAGATTAGGACACAAATGCGGAGACCACATGAAGAAACAGAGAAGACGGCCACTTACAAACAAAGGAGAGAGGCCTCAGAAGAAACCAGTGCTGCCAACACCTTTATCTTGGACTTTGAGCCTCGCCTCTAGAACAGTGAGAAAATAAGTTTGTGTTGTTTAAGTCACCCCGGTCTGTGGTATTTGCGATGGCAGCCCTACCAAACTAATATGACCCCGATCTAAGAGCTTCTGAAGCCTAAGCACATTCCTGTTCTTGGAGTCCATGAGACAGCTCACTAGCCCAGTGATAAATTCCTGATTTCTCCAAGCGATTTGATGATGCATCACTTAAATCACATGGCTGTCTTCTTCCTGTGTGTCTTGATATCATACTCCCTTTTACATGTGTGTCTCTGTGTCCAGTTTCCTATTTACATAAGGACACCCATCATATTGCATAACGGCCCACCCTAATGACTTAATTTTGACTTGATTAGCTCTGTAAAGACTTCCTGGCTCTTCCTTCCTTTCTTTTCTTTTTCTTTTCTTTTTTTTTTTTTGAGACAGGATATCACTCTGTAGCCCAAGCTGGAGTGCAGTGGCGTGATCTCGGCTCTCTGCTACCTCCACCTCTGGGGTTCAAGTGATTCTCATGCCTCAGCCTCCCAAGTAGCTGGGACTACAGGTGTGCGCCACCACACCCAGCTAAGTTTTTGTATTTTAATAGAGATGTGGTTTCACCATGTTGCCCAGGGTGGTCTTGAACTCCTGAGCTCAGGCAATCCACCCGCTCGACCTCCCAAAGTGCTGGGATTATAGGCGTGAATCACTGTGGCAGGCCCTAGCTCCTCTTTTCTTCCTTCCTTTCCTTCCCTCCCCTCTCTCCTTCCCTCCCTCTTTCCTTCCCTCCCTCTCTCTTTCTGTTCCCTCTTTCTCTCTCTCTCTCTCTCTCTCTCGCACCTATGTGTGCCCATGTGCACGCATAATAGGATCTCATGTTGCCCAGGCTGGTCACAAACTCTTGGGCTCAAGTGATCCTTCTGCCTTAGCCTCTTGGGTAGCTGGGACTATAGGCACACACTACCGCACCTGGCTTTTTTTTCTTTTTTTTTGGTAGAGATGGGATCTGGCTCTGTTGAACAGGTTGATCTTGAACTCTTGGCCTCAAGCTATCCTTCTACCTCTCCCAAAGTGCTGAGATCATAGGTGTGAGCCACTGCATCTGTGGTACTGGGGGTTAGGACTTCCACGTATCTTTTTTGGAGGTCACAATTCAACTCATAACAGTGGACTCCTCCTTCCTGGACTGACTGGCTTCCTGGTATTTTGGAAAGATGGCAGTGAGACTCAAGAAAGAAAGGTCTCGATGATGTGGCACCCAGTTTGAAAGACCACAGGCTGTGCAGGATCTGAGCAGCCATATCAACAGGTTACTGAGGGCCAACCTATGGACTGTGATGCTTTCTCTGTGCACTACAACCCCAACCCCCAGATGCCCTGACACCCTGGAGATTTAGGACAGTGGCACTAACATGGCACATAGGGCATGCTTACCTCACAAAGAAGTGAGGTTTACTGTTGAAAGTTCTGAGAGATAATTAAAAAGGTATGTTTCTTGTATACTTAAGCATGTGCACCAAGATTTCTGCCACTGCACCTCTGACCAGTGCCCCCGCCACTAGGCCTGTCATTAGTGTCTGTACCTCTCTTTTTGCTCCCACCTTCAACAAGCCAAATGCTGATCATGCCAGCAGTTGTTTCCTAGCACATGTTTATCACTGACTGCTTGATTTTTCTCCCCTCTAAAGTTCTTTTTGTTCAATACTACCAGTATCGATATTAATAAATGTTATATTAAAAAAGCCTATTGCATTTGTGAAAGAAACAGATGGTGAACTCTCATAAATAACTTGCCTGGTCATTGTATCTTCTTTTTATTTCTCTTCTTCTTTCCCTTTTTTTAAAAAAAATCTTTTATTTGATATATACTGCAGACAGAAGCAAAGGGAAAAAATACGTAGAAAAGAATATGATTTCATAATCATAGAAGGAATTGTGTTCAGAGCTAGAGAACATGCAGTAATTTTCTATAGTGAAAAGCAATTTCCTTCAAACATAAGCCATAACTTTTTACCCTGTTCACAATAATTTTGCAGTTTCCACATTTCCCTGGGAAAATAACCCCCAATTTCCTGACCTTGCTTAAAAAGTTCAGTTTGGGAAAGCAGCTCCTGAGTTCATCCCCAGTCACTGGTTTATGGGAGGAAGCTTCATTCTGCAAGAAATAAACAGCTGGAGGTGCCCTAGGCCCTGGTCTCAAACCCCTTACATGTCTAATTGGCTGTGTGATCTCAGAGAGGAAATAAACGAAGGGCTTCAGTTTTGCTTTATCTCATCAGAAAACACTAATGTAAAAAATCAAGTATGCATTGTTCTCTTCAGTTGTTCCTTTATCAAATATTGAGTGCCTACTATATTTGAGTTTATAGCTCAGCTGGGAAGACAAGCAAAAATGTGAAATTACAACCTAGATAAATGCTAAGAAACGGAGGTTAGGAGTGCATACAAGGGGAATTTGAGCTAGTTAGGGATTCAGGGAAGACTTATCTAAGGAAGGACCCTGCATGCTGTCGTCTTAAAGACTGAAAGATGGGGTGCAGACTGGTGTGTGATGGGCTGGAAGGTAGATAGGGCCAGCATGTGCCCATGCAGAGCTTTCCAGACCGTGGTAAATATTTGGTCTTTATTCCAAAGCAGTGACTGGGGAGCATGTTTTATGTGTGTGTGTGGGAGGGCAGGGGTGCGATTGTTCATCCACATCAAGTCCCTGGTGACAGATGTCATGATAAAAAGTGAGTCTCAGCCAGGCACTGTGGCTCATGCTTGTAATCCCAACACGTTGAGAGGCTGAAGCAAGCAGATCACTTGAGCCGAGGAGTTTCAGACCAGCCTGGGCAAGATGATGAAACCCCGTCTCTGCAAATAATACAATTAGCTGGAAGTGGTGGCATGCGCCTGTTGTTCCAGGTACTCAGGAAGCTGAGGTGGGAGGATTGCTTGAGCCCAGGATGTCGAGGCTGCAGTGAGCAGAGATCACACCACTGCACTCCAGCCTGGGCAACAGAGTGAGACTCTGTCTCAAAAAAAAAAAAAAAAAAAAAAAAAAAAAAAAAGAAGAAAGAAAAAAGCAAATCTGTATAATTCTTTGAGAAGTTAATGTTAAAGACAGTTTTTGGTTTATCAGATCCTTGGGTATGTTATTTGGTTCACAATGCATCCACAGAGAACCAGAGCTGAATTCTAATTAGTATATAAGCCATCTGTAGCCACAAGATTGTAAAGGATGATACAATATTTATTAAAAATATTGATAGACAACTAGTTAGTCATGTAGATTAGCTGGAAGGATGCATATCAAAATGTTGTTAAGGGATTTGTTGGTGACTTTTGATTTTCTTTTTTGGTACATTTTATATTTTTCAAGTTTTCTGGAAGTAATTTTTTTAAGAACTCCCTAAAAATATAACTGAGTGTCAGAGGCACCAGGCATGCATGCCCTTTTTATTTGGGAATTGAACAGTATGGGATCAGGTTACTGTGAGGCAGGGGCTTCAAAAGAATAAAAAACACTGGTGTGCTATAGACCAAATTATGTCTTCCCCAAATTCATGTACGGATGCCTTAACTCCCAGTATGGCTATATTTGGAGTAAGTAAGTAATTAAAGATAAATAAACTCATAAAGGTGGAGCCGTGATGTGATAGGTTTAGTGTCCTTATAAGAGACACCAGAGAGCTCTTTCTCTTTCTCCCCACCATGTGAGGTTGCATGAGGAGGCACCATCCATGAACCCAAAAGCAGGCCCTCAGTAGAAACCCAATTAGCTAGCACCTTGATCTTGAACTTCCCAGCCTCCAGAACTGTGAGAAATAAATGTCTGTTGTTTAAGCTACACAGTCTAAGGCATTTTTAAAAAGCAGCCCAACAGACTAAGATGGGTGGTTAAATTCCATGGCCACAGTTTTTCTGAAAAGATGCCACAGAAAAGGAGAAATGTACGCTGCATCTTGTTCAATTTTATTACATTTCATGTTCTTTTTGTGATGAAAAAAAATGCTACCATCTAACGCCTACCAAAAAAATCAACAGATCCTCACAAGAAGCATTTGAAGTATGGGAGCATGTCTAAATGTACATTTATGTGCATGTAATGCTTGGAGAGACATAAACACCGGCCCCAAATAAAATCTGAGCCAAGTTTTATCCACAGAGACCGAAACAGGATTTTTGCACTGTGCTGTCTGCTGAAGGGTCTACAGGCTTCTGAGAGTCAGAGAACTTCTTTGTTCTATGAGAAGAGCAACATTACAGGGGCTTCAGAGATGGGAGGAGGCTCTTCCCCAGGCAGAAGCAAAGAGTCTCAGGGGAAGGGATGTTAAAGCTGCGTTCTGAGGTATGGATAGGAGTTCACCGAGTGGGTGAGGAGAGAGAAAGTTCTCTTGTGAGTTTATGAGAGCAGGAACCAGGTCTTCTTTTTCTCTGTGCCTGGTACCTCCGTGGTGCTTTGTGGAGTGTATGAATAGAGGAGCGCAGAGGTCAGATGAAGCAGTATGTAGAAAGGTCCTGGGGCCAGAAGCAGTGTGAGATGTTTGAAAGATTCTAAACTGTCTGATATTGTTTGTGTATGTGTGGGGCATGGGAGCAGGGTGGGGTAGTGAGGAGGGGCGAGAGGATGGCTGGAGTAGAGGGAAGTGGAGCACAAAGGAGGTAAGGATGGAGAGATAAACAGGGGTGGGATCATGCAGGGCCTGTATACTGCGCTTGGAAGTCCAGACTCGGCTGTGTGGGCAATGGCATCGTAGATTTGCCAGCAGGTGGCAGAATCAGAGTGGTAAGTGGGTCTTCAGATCTTAGACATGCTTCCTCCATTTCCTTCCAACGTAGTTCTCTTTATCTATCATGTAACTTCGCAGGGAGATGTCTGGCCTTAGAGGTCTGGGGTCACTGCCAGGCATGGGGATGCACCTGGGTGAGTTTTCCAACCCTCCCCACTACCCTGTCCTCAGGCAGAGCTGTAGAGGGGCAGGCCATCTTCTCTTTCCTTTTTAATTCTGTCATTCTCCCACACACCCAGAATCCCCGCTGCTCATTTTCCTGAAACCGTGGAGCTCCTCTCCGAGTGGCATGTACCAATTTAGGGTTTGCTGGGTAGGAAACTGTACAAACTCTGAGGTGGGCCTGAGGCAAGGTGAAGGGAGATTGTGTAGAGCATAGCCTGGAGGAGGAGCTGGGATCCCTGTCTCCCTGGAGCCGGTGGAGGATGCTGAAGAATGGAATCTGAAGATGCCCTGAGAATGTTTGGGGATCATGAGAAGTTTATGAGCTCCACACATCTCCAGCAAAGAGCAACACAGAAGATGGGCTTTTGTGTGTTAGGCAAAGAGGATGGCAGGAGGCCAGGAGGCTGTTCTGAAGGATGGCAGTACCCTGAAGACTCATCACATACATTGGATGTGTAATGTTACCTCCCTATCTCTGTGCCATACACACCCCCAAACCTCCAATACACCAGGTGTGATCCCATAGCCAGCTCCTCCCTTCACCTTCTGATGCCAGACTGGCAGAAACAGTAGTAGGAGGCTCCCCACCATAAGGAACCCAACTGGAGTGAAAAACCCCAGCCCCACTGCTAGGCTATCAGGTGCCCGTGCAAACCAGACAGATACCCCTGCCTTGAGCCATTCTGTAGCCACCTGCTGCAAACAACCTGCATCACCACTTTTACCTATCCCCAGTGCTCCCCAGCTGTGTTAGTCTTACTTTGCAAGTCCTCTGTCCAAAAGAGACTCTCTCAGAGGATCATCCTGTAGACAGAGAGATCCAAGATTAAAATACATTTTTAAAGGGCATTGTCAAGACTACATGGAGAGAAATTGCATGAAAGACAAAAAAAAAAAAGCCCAAATCAAAGATGCAGTTGCCACTGGCTCTCTGTCTCTGTCAGACAGGTAACCGAATCTCACAATGAGGCCCCCGGATGCATCCATGGGACACACTCTGTACGTGCCACAGATGGTTCTCACTTCATACATATTTCATCTGTTTGAGTGTATGTGGTTTGGGGCAAATAAAAGCAAAGCGATTTTTGTGTCTCCAGCTCTGCCTTCAATATTTAGAGATTGTATTTCCACCAGAGCCTCTGAGATGTAAGTAAATGCAAACGATCCCCGCCAACGAGTGTTTGAGCTCTCTGTGGAGAGGGGGGCTCAAGGTTGTAGATTCCCATTAGCGAATTGGCATCTCATCCTCTCTTCTCCCCAATGGGCCCTCGTATGAAGCTGAAATGCCAAGTTATTTCCTCAGAGAAATGTTTCCCTCACATAGAGTCACACGTCCTCAACTGTAACCGACTATCTCTCTGCCAGCCTCCGTCTATGGTAACTGACATCAGATGAGCACATCACATGCAAAAGTGCTGGTGCCATAAATCTTTCAAAAGATTAAAGGGAGGCAGAGAATCAGGCACCAAAGCAGGGAATAGAAAGTATGGTGAATGACAAAGACAAAGGCTGTTGTGATTTTCTGTAAGATTAAGAAACTATCAGAAATGACCAGAAGTCCTGTAATCTGCCTGGGCCTATCCCATGCAGATCTGCTGACAGTGCTTATCAGTGCCTTCTGGTCTCCCTAGGAGATTTTTAAAAAAGAAGTCGAATAGAAATAGTCATTGCAAATATCTTTATTTCCAAATATATCTCCTCTGAACATGTCAGATCTCATTCTGCCACCTCATTGCTTAAAAACCTCTGATGGTTCTCAGTGTTCACAGAAAAAAAAACACAAATTTTTTAGCATGCAAGTCCTTTACCTAACATCTCATCATACTTTCCTGGGCTCCTTGTCAGCTGCTCACTTGTGTGTGAATTATATTTGACCACTTGGGACTCTCATGTATTTTAATACCACATGTCTTCGCTTATGCTGTTCCTCTGCTGGAATGCTGTTCCATGCATTCTGTGCCTGGCCTCCTCTGACCCATTCTTCACATCCAGACCCCTCTAGGAGAAACCACTGCAGGAGAACTCATGCTTGCCTATGCATGTTACAAAAGTCTTTATCAATTCCTCTATTATAACATTGTTAGACAACATTGTTACTGTTTGCCCACACTTCTCTCCTTTGCTGGACTCTGAGTTCCAGTCTTGATATCTGACCATATTCATCAAAGCCCTGGCACATAGCAGGGGCTCAGTGAGCATTTGCTGGACTGAATGGAATGGAATGTTAAAGAAGAGACATAACATCAAATCCATAAGTGATGGATAAGACCCAATGGTATGTTCTGACAAGATTTAGAATAGGCCTATATAGTGTATTAGTCTGTTTTCACATTGCTAATAAAGACATACCTGAGAGTGCGTTATATATTTATTTATTTATTTATTTTATTTCCATAGGTTATTGGGGAATAGGTGGTGTTTGGTTAAATGAGTTAGTTCTTTAGTGGTGATTTGTGAGATCTTGGTGCACCCATCACCCAAGCAGTATACATTGCACCCTATTTATACTGTTTTATCCCTCACCCCCTTCCCACCCTTTCCCCAAATCCCCAAAGTCCATTGTGTCATTCTTACGTCTTTGGATCCTGTAGCTTAGCTCCCACTTATGAGTGAGAATATATGATGTTTGGTTTTCCATTCCTGAGTTACTTCACTTAGAATGGTAGTCTCCAGTCTCACCCAGATCACTGTGAATGCCATGAATTCATTTATTTTTATGGTTGAGTAGTATTCCATCATATATATATATGATGAAATACATATGTGATGAAATATATATATGATGATATATATATATACTGTGATATATATGTGTGTGTGTGTGTATATATATATATAACAGTTTCTTCATCCACTTGTTGATTGATGGGCGTTTGGTTTGACTCCATGTTTTTGCAATTGCAAATTGTGCTGCTATAAACATGTGTGTGCAAGTATCTTTTTTGTATAATGACTTCTTTTCCTCCGGGTAGATACCCAGTAGTGGGATTGCTGGATCAAATAGTTGTTCTACTTTTAGTTATTTAAGGAATCTCCACACTGTTTTCCATAGTGATTGTACTAGTTTACATTCCTACCAGCAGTGTAGAAGTGTTCCCTGTTCACCACATCCATGCCAGCATCTACTATTTTTTCATTTTTTGATTATGGCCATTCTTGCAGGAGTAAGGTAGTATTGAATTGCGGTTTTGATTTGCATTTCCCTTATCATTAGTGATGCTAAGCATTCTTTCATGTTTGTTGGCCATTTGTATATCTCCTTTTGAGAATTCTCTATTCATGTTCTTAGCCCACTTTTTGATGGGATTGTTTTTATCTTGCTGATTTGTTTGAGTTCCTTGTAGATTCTGGATATTAGTCCTTTGTCAGATGTATAGATTGTGAAGATTTTCTCCCAGTCTGTGTGCGGGTTGTCTGTTTACTCTGCTGACTGTTACTTTTGCAGTGCAAAAGCTCTTTAGTTTAATTAAGTCCTAGCTATTTATCTTTGTTTTTATCACATTTGCTTTTGGGTTCTTGGTCATGAAATCCTTGCCTAAGCCAAAGTCTAGAAGGGGTTTTCCAGTGTTAGCTTCTAGAATTTTTATAGTTTCAGGTCTTAGATTTAAGTCCTTAATCCATCTTGAGTTGATTTTTATATAAGGTGAGGGATGAGGATTCAGTTTCATTCTTCTACACGTGGCTTGACAATTATCCCAGCACCATTTGTTGAAAAGGGTGTCCTTTCCCCACTTTATATTTTTGTTTACTTTGTCGAAGATCAGTTGGCTATAAGTAATTGGATTTATTTCTAGGTTCTCTATTCTGTTCCATTGTTCTATGTGCCTATTTTTGTACCAGTACCATGCTGTTTTGGTGACTATGGTCTTATAGTATAGTTTGAAATCAGGTAGTGTGATGCCTCCAGATTTGTTCTTTTTGCTTACTGAGATTGGGTAATTTATAAAGGAAAGGGGTTTAACTGACTCACAGTTCCACATGGCTGGGGAGGCCTCACAATCATGGCAGAAGGCAAATAAGGAGCAAAGTCATGTCTTACATGGTGGCAGGCAAGAGAGCATTTGCAGGGGAATTCCCTTTTGTAAAGCCATCAGATCTTGTGAGAGTTATTCACTATCATGAGAATAGCACAGGAAAAACCCACCCCCATGATTCAATTACCTCTCACCAGGTCCCTCCCACAACACATGGGGATTATTACAATTCGAGATGAGATTTGTGTGGGGACACAGAGCCAAACCGTATAATATAGTTATAAGTAACTCTGAAGAAGAAACTGTAGAATTCTTAGGGTATAAAACCTACACTGTTTTACTTGACTACTTACTTGTGTTGTTTATTAATTTAACAGTTGCTTATTTAAGGCCTAATATGTGCTAGGCATTGTTCTAGACACCAGGGATTCAGCAGCAAACTGAATAGATAAAAATTCCTGCTGTCATGGAACTTATATTTTAGAAGGCAGAGTGTAGTGGTTACAGTGGGCTCTGAGTTCAATTCCTAGTTTCATCACTTACTAACTGTGTGACCTTGGGAAAATTACTTACCCTTCCTGTGCTTCAGTTTCCTCATTTGTAAAATGGAGATTAAAAATAGTCCCTACTTCATAGGGCTATTTGAACAATAAATACGTTAAACACTTAGAATAATGGCTGGCACATAGCACACACTGAACAAATTTTGGCTATTATTATCTAATAGTTTATTTTACAGCTGAGAAAACAGAGGTACAGACTTCACATTTAGCTGTTGTTCTTATCTCTCACTCAGGTTGTCCCCAGAAGTAATGAGCTTGTAAACTCCTGTCTGCAGGCGCCTCTTTCCTTGTGCGTGTGTTCCACCTGGAACTCCACCCTCCATTCACTCCTTCTCCTCCCTGCCTGTCTCACCCGTGCCTTGATTGACACTTACTTGTCCTTAATATCTCAGCCTAGAATCATTCTGTTTGGGAAACCCAAGGATATAGAAATTGGAATGACTTAAAGGTGGGGTTTACTGCAGATTGGCCATCTAGATAAATTGACACCATATTTAGAGCTGAATTATTCAGGTGAGTTCTTCACCATGCATTAACCTTATTGGTCACCTTCATGTTCTCTAGATCTAGCCAGAGGGAAATTCTGAGTAGTTTCAATCAGAATGAAAATCTTCTCTCGACAACTCAGCACAAGGTCTTGTCATTTACTACTTGTTTTTCCTTGAGCAAGTTATTTAGTTTCTCCATCTCTTGGTTTTATCATCTGCAGAATGGGATTTAGTTGCACACAGAACTGCCTCATTAAGTCATAGTGAGAATTCAATGGCAGAGTTATGCAAAACCTTTAGTACAGTGGCTGGAAGATAGTAAACACTCCATAAATTATAACAATTATTATTATTTAACTTCTATTTTATACAGAGTCCAGTTGTGGCCTTGTCTAATTGCTTGACTCCATGGGATGGTATTCATTGGCAACTTGAGCAGGAGAAAGCAGTGCAACAAATACCCTCCTTAATATTAATAGCCCCTTTAACTTCTCTAAAAGACTTCAAAACAAACAAATCAACTGCATTCTAACCCCAATTCCTTTCTTCCTCCCTTCAATAAACACTTTCAAGGAGAGTAGGGATATGATCCAGGTTATTCTGCAATAACAAACACTCTCCAAATCTCAGCAGCGCAAAACATCAAAGGTTTATTTCTGTTCATGATATGTGCCTGGGGTTGGCAAGGGGATTCTGCCCATTGAAGTCCCTCAGTGGCCCTAGGGAATGGGTGGCCATCATCTGAAATGTTGTTGTTGCCCCTGGCCAGACGGAAAAGAGCTGTGGATGGTTTCAATCCAGCAATGAGGTAAGCACTTCAGCCTGGAGAGGGCATTCACCACTCTGCCCACCACTTACTGACCACACTTGTCGCCTGCCCCACCCAGGCCCAAGGAATCTGGCAGTGCAATTCCAGGAAGGGGGAGAACTGGGCATATTTGAACTACCATGGCAACCACAATGCAAAGCACTGTGCCAGGCACAGTAGAAGACACGATGATACATACCCTTCCACCTTGGTCCTCAGGTTACTTACTATCTGGCTGGAGAGATAAGGACAGCAGATGGTAGAACACAGCAGATGTGATTTCTGGGCTTCCAGCAGGATTCCTTAGAGTCTAGAGGATGAATGGAGTGATGAATTCCCATGGCCCTGCTGTGAACACTGAAAAAATTCATTACCAGGGGTCTGGCAGGGACTGTAAAGATGTTATTTGGGAGACGAGAACCAGGGTAGTAATAGCTCATCATTTTTAAAGTTCTAGTGAAGGCTGTCATCACTGGCCCCATAATTTATTTAAACATCTATCTGTCTGTGTGAGGGGCCCAGTGAGGAGCAGATGGAATTCTTCCCTGGGAGAGCCTGGGAACCAGGGAGGTACATGCACAGCAGGGAGGGGATAAGACATGCCTGGGACACACTCACACTTGAGAGGATTCGTTTTCAGCATGATCCGGCCTTTCAACCACAGATGCTTATTGGGCACTCATTCAGTGCAAGAAAACAGTGAAGTCAACATGGGAAATACAGCAAAACAAAGGGCTGGCCCACCCTCGAGGTGCTTATAAGATATTAAGAGAGATAAGACAGAGATGCAGGGAAAATATCACGATCAAAACATAGTAATGATGAGTGCCTAAGTGAGTGATTTGGACACGTCCTACAGCAGCTACAGAGGAAAAGCAAGCTCCCCTGGTAAGAGAAGTCCAGGAGTGAAAAAGGAAGAGGTAAACTCTTTAGCCCTAAAAGATGGGTAAGTTTTTGGTTGATGGAGAAAAGGGACATCATGGGAAATGACGTGTGCAAAGGTGTTTAGAAAGGAAAATGAAAAGCCCAAGTAGAGTTTAACTAGAACAGGGCTTTGTATAGGTGAGCGGTAGTTAGAAAGAAAGGTTGGTGGGGCCGGGAGCAGTGGCTCATGCCTGTAATCCCAGCACTTTGGGAGGCCAAGGCAGGTGAATCATGAGGTTAGGAGCTAGAGACCAACCTGGCCAACATGGTGAAACTCGTCTCTACTAAAAATACAAAAACTTAGCTGGGCATGATGGCGGGTACCTGTAATCCCAGCTACTCAGGAGGCTGAGGCAGGAGAATTGCTTGAACTTGGGAGGTGGAGGTTGCAGTGAGCTGAGATCATGCCACTGCACTCCAGCCCTGGCGACAGTAAAAGACTCCGTCTCAAAAAAAAAAAAAAAAAAAGAAAAAAAGAAAGAAACAAAGATTGGTGGGAAACACATTGCAGAAAAATGTAGTTCCCAGTGCAGAATTTATCCAAGGGGCAATAAGAGCCTTTGAAAGGATGCAAACATTTATGAAGCACTAACAATTTAACATTTATGAAGCACTAACCATTTAACATTTATGAAGCACTAACCATTTAAGGGCCAATGTTAGACACCTTACATATATTAGCATATTTTAGCTTCTTCCCAACTCTCAGAGGTTAGCAGAAATAACCCTATTTATAGAAGAGGAAATTGAGGCTCACAGGTCATCTGGTAATAAGGGAAAGAGCTGAAATTCAGACCCAGGACTATCTGGTGTTAAAGCTGTGCCTCTTCTGTCACACCACACTGACTGTCCACAAAGACTGTGGGTTGGAACATGACACAGTTATACAACACATTAAGAAGATCAAGCAAACTGTGGCATAGAGAAGAGAGACTGCTGATGGGGAGTTTGACAAGGAGGTGATTGTGAAAGTCCAGGTTTTGGTAAGGACTTGAATTGAGATGATGATGCAGGAAATGAGTATGACCACGAACAATAGGGGAGTCATAAGAAATTGCCAAATTGGGAGGAAAGATGGTGCCTTTGATTATGGACACAGTTAGTTTGAAGAAGACAGATAGCCAGGTTATTATTTGGCAGTAGGAAAGCAGATTAGTGAAGTGTTAATAGTTAGCAGCACAGGCACTGTGCAACCTTAGGCAAGCTACCTAACTGCCATAAACCTCAATTTCCCCTTCCTTAGGGATCTGTGTAAGGATTACTTGAGGTAACGCATGCACAGTATTGAACATAAAGTTTGAGAAACAGGAAGAGTGCTAGATTAGTGGGAGTAGACATTTTATTGGAGAGAGAGGGCAGAGCCCAGGAATGTGCCTTTTCCACGGTTATCTTCCTTGGCTCGGCAGGTGTTGCCTGGTGAGCCCTGGAAATGCTGCCTACAACTTCCATCATACAATTGTCCGATTGATCTTGGGCTTGCCCATTTGAACAGTGCACTTGACTTTCGGCACCTGCACATCCATGGTCGGGAGAGGAGTCTGGTCTGCCTCATGGTGTAACGGGCATGGGATTTTCGGGCTTCCAGAAAGAGGAAGACACCAGTACCCTTCATTTCAGTCCACTGTGATTATGGAGCTGTTAAAACCTCTTCTGTGTATCATCAGATTACACTATCTTCACAGGGAGTGACTGAATGTTCTATGCAAAGTGAGAATTTGACAGAAGAGACCCTCAAACCACAACCAGCATCATCACCACAAGGTCACACAAACACTCCCTGTTCTTATCATACAGCAATATTATCTGATGCCAGAGAATTTCATAAACAAACTTGAATGGGCAATAAAAGGAAGCCCCCACACTAGGCAGGCAATCAAATTTTTACATCTTAAAAGCCCCGATGAATTACATACAGAGTAACCAGGTTTGTCCTCATAAAAGTCATTCTGCTATCCTCAAACTCATCATAAAAAGATCTATATTAAAAATCAGCATGATGATATCCATAAAAGATTGAAGCAAAAAAAAATGCAATGTTGATTCTCCCAGGGCCTAAGGCAACCCTGTCTTCAAGGCAGAGCTTCCATGAATGTCAGCATAAGTAAGGGAATCCATCAATTAGTTATTTCATAAAGCCAAGGAGTAACTGAAACCATATAGTTGTATATATGTTTAACTCTTTGGAAGCTGAAGAATGATCAAAACACATAGGTGAAAGTTTTACTGTTCTGTTAATACTGTCTTAATTTTGGTCCACCCCAACACCAAACAGGTCTTACAGGATTAAATTCTTACCAGCCTAAATATTTATTTTATCCACACAGTCTTGAATTATTTTTTCAAAATAAGACATTAGCTGTCTTGGACATTTCTTATTGCCACAATCAGCTGATTTTCCCTCTTGCTTCCTCTGTTTGTTCCCTTCCTTAAAGCCAAAGAGTTTGAATTTCTTTTCCCAGACCTGAGAGAGTTCTTGTACACTGGTAAATTGACACTGAACATGGAAGACATAGAAGCTACCTTCTTGGCCTCAACACGCTTAACTTAAGAAGAGCTGTTGGGAAAGCTGTGGTGCAGCCTGTCTGTCACTGGCAGGGGGACAGGGCATGGCATCATGGGATATGGTTTCCAGGGTCATGCAAACAAGCATGGTAGAAATGATAACACCATGGGGCCTGAGCAAAAGCCTCAGCCTTATGGAATATTCCTTGTGGCACATGGGCCAGAACGTGCTATTTCATGGCAGGTGAAGACATTGGGGCCTAAAGACTTACAATGATCTGTGAAATATCAAAGCTCAACTTCTTAAAGTCTTCATTCCGTAATCTATAAAAGGGGGGCAACAAAATAAGGATGAAATGAGATTACCTGGAAAGCTATGGACTTCTTTTCATGTTCAACCATTGCCTAGCCCTGCCTCCCTCTCTGAACAGTGGTGAAGACACATTTCTATCCCAGTCCCATCCCCTTCTCTCCGGAGTCCTTCAGTGCTGCTCACCACTTCTCCTGCACCTCCTCTCACTTCTCCTCCAAGAAGCTGCAGTGAGGAAGGTGTCCATGTGGCAGAGTTTGGGTTGAGACTCAGCCAATGATACTAGACTGAACCCACTGGCCCCTGCCAGGGCCTCTCTATAATCATGGGAGTTCTGGGCTACCTGCACAAAGAGGATGGCATTCAGGGGAGGAAGGAGGCATGGCCGTGCCTGGACACCTTCTCAGTGCTCACCTGGAGGAGAAGGCCTCCTCAGCGTTCCCCTCCCCACCACCCATCTTTGTTGCACACTCTCCTTTAAAACCAGAAGCCCTCCGTCTTTCTTCCTCAAGCAGGGGAAGTGGCCTGGCAAGGATAAGAATGAGGTTCTGAGTCAGGGGAGGCTGAGAGCAGTGGAGGGAGGATGAGAGTTTTATTCCATCAATGTTGGGGGCTGACTCCTTCGAAGAGGAGGCCTGTGCCTCAGAGCCATGGGTAAGGTCATTTATAGAAACTTTGGTTTCTATAAACGGGGTGGGGTTTCTGGAGTGGCTCATATGTGCCACAGATCAAAGCTCACACAATTGCCACCACTTCCTGGCTGACCCTTGACCTCTGGTTTGCAAGGCCAGTGCTGCCTCCCCCTCCTTCCTGACCAGTAGCAGGGACACTCCCTGAGGGCTGGTGCCTCCACACTGGTTACAGCCTCATCTCCAGCCTGCAGAAACAGGGAGGACTTTCAGTAATGAGAAACCTTCACATACCCTAAGTCCCAGGGGACAAGGTGGGAGACCCCTCTTTTAAGGTCCATCTTAGTTTGTGGTGATAACTCAGATCCAGGGGGAGAAACAGATTGGTCCATTCATCCCTATCCTTACCTTGGCATGGGAAACCACAACCCACAGTGCCCAACATTGGCCTTGGCATGCCTCACCCTTGTCTCAGCTGTCTCAGGCCATATATTCTTGGTCATGCACTGGGAGACCCTCCCCTCCAAGTATGTCTTTTTTTAGTTTTTAATTTTATTAGTTTTGAATCCCCCAAATGGTCTTCATCCTCCAAGTATATCTGTCAAGTGCTGCCACCCAACCTCTGTTGGGGAAATGACAAACAGCAAGTTTCTGCCTTCTGACTTGCCTACAGGGCCATAAGCAACTCCATCATGCTTGGGTTAGAGTGAGTAAAAACAGAACAAAATATTGGGATTTGATGTTACTGAAGAAAATCTATGTCCTGGAGCTGACAGATCTTGTCTGACAACTTTCCCAGAGGGTCTTTCTGGGTGTCATCAGTGGGACCTGGGCTTCTAAAACTGGGTGGGGAGAAACTCATATTTTGTCCTTGTCATTTTTCCCCAGAGTTATTGTCACCCAGACAGACAGGCAGACTGGAATGAGGAGAGAAGGCAAGACAAAGAGAGAAAATTAGTGTGGGCCAAGACGCAGGAGTTTATCATTCCTGAGGCATAGGATGGGGCTTTCTTCCTCTTCTGTCTCTGGGGTGCTTTCTGCATCTCTATCTCCATTATCTCTGGCTTCTGGCCTTCACAACCTACGCAAGCACACTCTAAAGTTAAGAAAACAAGGAAACAAGGGAAGGAGATAAGTAAAGAAAAAACTACATCCATAAAAGAACTGTCATTCTGGGATCTGAAGAGAGAGTGCTAAGATAGCCCTAGTAATTAAACTTATTTTGATTGGAATTTATTTATTTATGTATCCATTTCCTAAGATGTTAATTAGCAGCTTCCAACAAAAGATGCAGATATAAGAAAATTAAATCATTTAATTAGAATTAAGTGTGAGTCTAATATGTACAAAGTACTGGGTTGCATGGAGTTCAGCCTTATGCAGAGAGCAGGGGCTTTGGAATACCTTTTAGCTGTGTAACTTAAAAAAGTTAGTTAATCTTTGAGCATCAATTCCTCTTCTGTAAAACCGAGTTAATAATTGTAGAACCTACCTCACAGACTCGTGTTATGGGTTTAAATAATATATGTTGAAGTGCTTAACATAGTCTCTGGCAATTCAGTGAGCACTTAATACACAGTAAGTATTACTGTGATTATTCATTTCTGTGCTAAGAAAGAAAATGATGGTGGGGACATTGTCCCTGTTCTGAAGGAGACAGAGAGGTAGGGAAGGACTTGATGTGTTTGGGGATGGGTACACAGGTTGCTGAGTGACTAGGGTGTACACAAGGGGAAGAAGGAAGCCAGGCTGCACAAGGCTTAACTACGAATTTATCCTATTATCCTATGGGCAATGAGAAGCCACTTGGCAATCGAGAAAGATCACTCTGGTGGAGGATGGATCGAAGTAGGAAGAGATGGGAGCCAGGAAACAGTCTGGGCCTATTGAAAGACGTGAGGTAGAGAGATAGAAATAACCTTCACTGGGGCCTTGGAGTGGAGAGGAGGGCAGATTCCAAGGCCTCTGGCTTGTGTTACTTGGGTGGTTCCACTAGAATGTCAGCTCTAGGGCAGGGGACTTGTTTTGTATGTTGATGTAGCTCCAGCACCTAGAACAGTGCCTGGCACATAGTAAGAGCCCCATAAGTATTTGTTGAATGAATGGATGGTGGTGACATTACACTAGGAAGGAAATAATACAGAACAGCAAATCTGGGGATGAAGATAATACTTTTATTCTAGATATGCTGAATGTAAGCAGCCTAGGGGATATTCAAGTGAAAATGTCTCATGTAGAACATGGAAATTTGGGCCTGATACTCAGGAGAGAACTTTGGGCTGGAATAGAGTTGTGAACATATTGGTCTATAAGATGGCTGAAATCATGAGATGGTTCAGATCAACCTGTGAAATTGTGGAACAAGAGGAGAAAGGGTAGAAAATAGAGACAGGTGAAAATCCACATTTGTGGTGGGATTTAAGAAGATGAGCCAAGAGATGGAGAGGAGATAAAGAGCAGTTAATACAGTAGCACGGCAGGGGGCGGTGGCTCATGATAATCTGAGCACTTTTGGGAGGCCGAGGCAGGTGGATCACCTGAGGTCAGGAGTTTGAGACCAGCCTGGCCAACATGGTGAAACCCCGTCTCTACTAAAAATACAAAAATTAGCCAGGTGTGGTGGTGGGCGCCTGTAATCCAAGCTACCCAGGAGGCTGAGGCAGGAGAATCACTTGAACCTGGGAGAAGGAGGTTCCAGTGAGCCGAGATCATACCACTGCAGTCCAGCCTGGGTAACAGAGTGAGAAAAAAAAAAGACTGTAGCAGACAGGCTCTGCAAGGTAACTTCAAGAAAGCAGTAATAGTACTAGCTGCTGCAGAGGGCTTGAGTAGACAGAGCATCACAAAGGCCTACTTAATGTGGCAGCGAGTGTCACGAGACAGCCTGGAGAACAGTAGGGATGAAAACTTTCTTGCAGCCCCCATCCTCTTCCATCAGAATGGCTTTCTGACTGTTTTCCACTTTCTTATCCAAATAATTAGCAAATAATCACATATAATTCTAATTAAATGCAAAATCAAATAGGCACATTTATGCAATACTGAGGAGTGACTTTTTCCTCAATTTGTCATGTTTACAATAATGTCACCAATTTAAACATCAGGTTAAAAAACAGAAATGTTCAGGTTCTAATGATATCGTTCCCTTTTCCTCTTTGCTTCCATGTGATATTTTAGGTTATTCTTGTAGCTATTAATAGTGCTGTAATCCACACAATTTGGAAGCAGAATATCGCCTTGGAGGACTTTAGATTGGGTGTGCACTTCCCTCTATTTCTATGAAAATTTCATGTTTCTTAAATGTCATTTTTTGAACTTTAGATATGCAAACTTAATGTGAGACTCTAAAATGCAATGATTTCTTTTTACAGCCATGATAGATTTGTTTAAATCATTGGTCAGCTCTGACAGTTGTATTAAAATCTTTAAAAAAAAATGACAGAAACCAGAACATGCTATCTAAAGTATACATCCTCTCCTGTTGTTTTGGAAAGCCAGTGGCACATACTTCATATGCAAGACCCTCATTCTTGGGACCATTACATATGGATCATCAAGTGTTGGTTACGCATTTTTATATAAACTTGATCTTGCATAGCTCAGCTGCTTTGCTGAGGCACAGTCCTGAGGAAGGTTGCTTGGATTCTCAGTTTAGCATAACATTTGAGTGATACAGCACAGTATTCCTGTTCATATAAATATTTTAGGTTGAAAAAACTCCTTTTGTTATTTTTCTCTCTGCCTAAGAAATACTTTCATGAACTCTTCCCATAACAGAGCAGTTCTCTGACTTCAGTAACCCTGAAGACAGACAAGGAAATAGCCTCTTGGCACTTCTGGTTTTCCACAACTAAAACATTGAGAAAATATGCAGAACCACACCACTTTTAGGTGACTAGAGAGTTCCTTATTTTCTTTAAACTGTACATCCTGTCTCCTTCCCAGTTCTGTATGTGGGAAAAATTAACACTGGAGTTAGTAAGGAAGAAGGTATATGACCACACTATTAACCTCAGAGAGCCTACTTTGGAAGTTTCCAATTTCCTTCCCATTTGTGGTTGGAGTGTGACCTGTAATCTGGATTTTCATCCAATAATTCTTTCTATGAAGGCGTCTGTGACTAATTTTGTCCACAAGTTCTCTTCTCTTCCTTCCTTGTCTTCCTTTCTGCAGTGTGTGTGTGTGTGTGTGTGTGTGTGTGTGAGAGAGAGAGAGAGAGAGAAAGATTTATCTTTTTCCTTTATCCTCTTATGTTTTCTATTTGCTCGTTCATGTATTTGTCTCCCCTCATTTCTCTTGCTAACTTATAGAATACTACAAAACAAGGATTATATCTTTTTCTTTTGTTTTTCATTTCAAAGTACCTAGCCAGAGATAGAGTATCCAGGCATAAAAGAAGTGTTTAATCAGCACTCATGGATGAATTATGTTAGGACAAAAAACTAGATGGTAGGATCTAGTGTTGCACACTTTCATCCTGAATAATGCATTTTGCTCAGCAATTATCACCCCAACCTTCATTGGCGATCCGTGAACTCACCAAAAATTTAGTGTGTGTTTGTGTGTGTGAGAAAATATGTGTGGGTGTATGGTGTGTGTGTTTGCCCGGTCTGCAGCCTGCATCAGATTCAAAGGGGTTCAATCCTCAAGAGTTCAGGGAAGGAGTTCTCTCCTTTCCCTTGGTGCTGGCAGATGAAAAGTGCAAGGACTCAGCACTTTTTTTGAACCAGTCAAGGTCTTGCAGACATGAGGAAATGTACATTAGAAGTTTTAGAGGCCAGGTGTGGTGGCTTACAACTGTAATCCAAGCACTTTGGGAGGCCGAGTTGGGAGGATTGCTTCAGGCCAGGAGTTTGAGACCATCCTGGCCAACACAGCCAGACCCGGTCTCTACAAAAAATAAAAAAAATTAACTGGGCATGGTGGTGCATGCCTGTAGTCCCAATTACTAGGGAGGCTGAGGAGGGAGGATCATTTGAGCCGAGGAATTTGAACTTTCAGTAAGCAATGATTGCACCACTTCACTACAGCCTGGGCTGCAGAGTGAGACCATGTCTCACAAACAAACAAGCAAACAAACAAAAGCCTTAGGGATGAGATGGGATGGGATAAGGAGGGCTCTGAGTTGGCCAAAGATCAAAGTCCAATTTCACTTGAAGACTCTGGGGCCTAGTTATACACAGAGAACCTCTGTGGTTATCAAATACAACTCAAGCCTGCAGTGTGTTCGGCATTGGCCTTCCTCCAGGACTTTGCCTCTAACAGCTATTTCAGTTATGAATTCTGACAACAATGATTTCTTTAATATATTCTGGCCATTAATGGCTGACAGTGAGGCAAACACTTAGTAATCAACACTATAGAGTAAGAAGAAGAGGAGCTGGAAGAAGAGGAGAAGAAAGAGAAAGATTTAAGAGAATAAAGACAGTAGAATATGAAACTGGCTCCGAAATATATTAATATAAAGGATTAAGGCAATTGAATGGAAAGGCTCCTAAGGTTTCATAAAGGGAAAATTGTTCACTAAACTGGAAATAGAAAAAAAAAGAGTAATTTTAAGTGCACGTTTCAGATAAATTATCTCACTTCGTTTAGTACCAATATTTCTAATGAACACTTAGGGCTGAAATGAATCATTTCTCTGCTGACTCCATTAGGAAACCTATTGGGTGTGCAATTTGAGTGAGATTACAGAGAGAGATGTTGAGAGATCGGTGATTTAGAAGGTGGGCAGCTCTTCTCTGATAGGTTTGAGTGTCCTCTAACTCCATGAAGAGAGGGCCTGAGAAGCTCAGCTGCAGAGGCAGCCTCTGGTTAAGAGAGGCAGCACCGGATCCTTCAGAGAATGGCTGGCTCAGAGGAAATTTACACTGGTGATTCACTCATTGCCATGGTAACCACTTGAATGCAGAGGAGTACATTTGTTCATTTTTACAATTATTCTATTATTTATACTGAGGCGTCTTTGAGAGGATGATATATATATGGGGAGAAGTAGTTACCCCTTGGACAAAAGAGACAATTAACCACAAGATGCCCCAAATTGGAAATACATGTTTCCTAATCACCAGGGGCACAGTCTCTTTCCACCTAGCCCTCAGGGAAATCTTCAATATCCAAGAAGATGTTCTGCTAGCCACAGAACAGGGAAATGGGAAAGTCTCACTTATCAAACTCAGTTGTCAGGAGTAGGCCAACATTTCTTCTTCTTTACCAGATCTTTTTCTTTTCGATTCAGGATTTTCTCATAGTGCATGGTTTATTATACTTAATCACCTAAAATATGCCACTACATGCAAAAGTGAGATGGCTTTTAAAAAACTCACCTGAGAAAACGTCTTGTTTGACCCGGAAGACATAATGGAAAAGCTAGGCTTAAAATGTAATGAATTTTGGTTTTTTACAAATCTAGCAAAATAAATGAATAAATGAGCATGGTGGTACATACCTGTAGTCCCAATTACTAGGGAGGCTGAGGAGGGAGGATCAGTTGAGTCCAGGAATTAGATCTTGCATTGAGCAATGATTGCACCACTGCACTCTAGCCTGGGCTACAGAGTGAGACCGTGTCTCACAAACAAACAAGCAATCAAACAAAAGCCTTAGGGATGAGACGGGATGGATAAGGAGGTCTCATAAGCAGGGAAATAAACAAATAATCTTCCCAAACATTTAATACTTAGTGTGGATAATTTGATATACTCCACATTTTTGTTGCCTTGATTCTAAGGATTTAGAGTAAAAGGTATAGAAATGGGGGAAATTCCTGCAGAGAAATAGAAAGTGAGAGAAGGTTCCAATCAAGTGAGCGCAGATATATTGTCCAGAATAGTTCTCTAAAAGAATTGATTATTACATAATTATATATAATCAATATGCATAAGTGCATATGTAATAATTTAATACATATGTAAAAGGTATTGCATATGTAATACATAGGTACTGGGACTAATTTAAACATTTCAAAATGCAAGATATAGTTTATACAAGCAATGGAATACCTGCAGCTATAGCTGGTAAGAATGATGATGGAGGTAAAATTTGTTTACATGAAGTGGGGGTGCAGTGACTCACATTTGTAATCCAGCACTTTGGGAGACTGGAGCAGAGAATCGCTTGAGCCCAGGAATTGAAGACCAGCCTGGGCAACATGGCAAAACTCTGTCTCTACAAAAAATTAGCCGGGTGTGGTGGCATGTGCCTGTAGTACCAGCTACTTGGGAGGCTGAAGTGGGAGGATCACCTGAGCCTGCAGTAAGCTGTGATTAAGCCATTGGGTGACAAAGTGAGACCCTGTCTCAAAAAGAGAAAATTTTTTTTTACGTGAAATAATGCCTATGACATACTGAGGTTTTAAAAAGTAAGAAATGAGGGGAAAAAAGAGCAGATTATAAACAATATGTATCTTATAATCACATTTTGCTTTAAAATATTCCATTTCTTTATATATATGTCTATCTATGTTTGTGCTTATAGAGAAAGAAAACCTAGAAGTAGAGTCACCAAAGGGTTAATAATCATCTCTGGTGATGGGATGGTGCATAATTTTTCTATTTTTCTTCCTTCATAGACTGTGAGCAGAATACGTATATGATCATAGTTGTATTCTATCTATAATTTATTAATCATCTATTATGTGTCAAACACTTTATCATGTTCTGTTCTCCTAGAGCTTGTGTTTTATGACTGGATATATCAGCCGGCATTCTTAGTTGCAAACAACAGAAACCATGCTGCCTAATTTAAGTAGAATGTGATGTATTAAAGGATGGTTCTCTCCGGAATTATTCCCCAGAATTGTTGGGAGAGCTGGAGAAATAGATTCAAGGCTAAGCTTTCAAGAGCAACGCCCCAAATCACGTCGCAGAACTGAGCTGATGAGGTAGCCACCTTCACTGCTATTGCCGCTGCCAAGTAGGAAATGAAAGGAATTGACTAGTGTAGCTCCTACTGCTCCAGCACCAGTGCTACTTCTGAGCCAAGGACTTGTATTTGTAACCCCTGCCGCTCCTGAAAGCTGAACTCATCAGCTGCTACCTGCATCCGCAAAGATGGAGGCTGCATGCACATGTGGGACCCAGTGTGCAGACAGTCAGATGGTTGCTAGAGCCTGGGTCACATGCCTGCCTCCTAGCTGCCAAAGCAGCTGGAATTTGGGTTCTGAATTCTGCATTGATGAGGCTGAATTCATAATGTGGGAATTTCCCTCATTAGAGAAGCCTATTTAAATGATAAGTGGCCAGGCGCCGTGGCTCACGCCTGGAATCCCAGCACTTCGGGAGGTCGAGGCGGGTGGATCACGAGGTCAGGAGTTCGAGACCAGCCTGAAGAAAATGGTGAAACCCCGCCTGTACTAAAAATACAAAAAAACAGTTAGCTGGACGTGGTGGCAGTCGCCTGTAATCCCAGCTACTCAGGAGGCTGAGGCAGGATAATCGCTTGAACCCGGGAGGCAGAGATTGCAGTGAGCCGAGATCGAGCCACTGCACTCCAGCCTGGACGACAGAGAGAGACTGCGTCTCAAAAAAAAAAAAAAAAAAAAAAAAAGATAAGTGACAACAAGGACCGGACAAAAGTGCTTGTAGGTTATTGATAGTAGAGAGAACTTGTTTTGAATACATGTAAAGGAAACCCAATACAAAGTAGGTTAAGGAAAAGAGGGAATTAATGGGCTCACAAAACCAAAATGTCCAGGTTCATACTGGCCCCTGTCGTAACTGGATCCAGGAACTCAAATGATGTCATCAGGTATCAGTCTCTTTCTGTCCTCAGGTTCTTTTGTGTGGATAGCATAATAGCCCCTTGGCAGCCTCACACACCAATACAATTTCATTAGCAGAAATAGAGAATTTCCCCAGGGCTCAGACAAAAATGCATCCATAAAGGGACTTTGATTGGTTCAGTGTGATCACGTGACTAACCTTGAACCAATCACGTACTGGGGGACCTGGGTGATATCCCTGGGGTGTGGTGTCAACTCCACTCCTGAAATATGTAATTGGTTCCCCACAGGAAAAAAAAAGACATATTCTGGCTCCACCACATACTAATTGTATCATCTTGGACAGGTCACAATTTCTCTGAGCCTCAGTTTTCTCATCAATAAAATGGGAATAATAAGAGTGTGGCGTCACAGGGTTGTTAAAACAAGGTTAATGTAAGAATTTATATTTGTAAAGCACAGAAACAAAATCTGTTATGTAATTAGTGGTATTTAAGTGTTTACTGCTGTAATTATATTCTGTTGGTCAGAAGAAAGGAGAAGAAATGACAGGCAAGGGAAACACATATTTCTACTTCACCCTCGATCAGGCAGTTGAAAATGTGAGTCTAGAATTTTAAAAGAGGTCTTGGCTAGAGTCTGCGGAATGAATAAGAGAGTAAGTATATGACCCCTCAAGGGAGAAAGTGTGGAGATGGAAGATGAATAGGGTGGAACATAACTAACTCCATAAGTGGATGAAATTTACAATACTGATGTTTTTCACATCATACCCCAGTCAATGGAAATTCAACTTGCCAGTTTAAAACATGCTCTTTTTACTGTGTCACATTCCCACCAGGAGTCTAAGTCCTTTCTTGAGATTCTTCTGAACTCTATAAACTTTAAGGATTTTTTTAAAAAAATAACATTATTTGACCACATTGAAATTAAATATTTCAGTTCAAATAGAACAAACTATAGATAAAGTTAACAGATGGGTGACAGACTGGAAATAAATGTAATAAGTGATTAATTGATTGGGATTAGTATCTAGAATATGAGTAACTCCAAAAATAAAAAAAGTAAAAGATGTGAATAGGAGTAGAGAATTATTGATTCCTTATCACAGAGATACCCACAAAGAGGCCCATAATGCAATCTGTACATGGATATTTCTAAAAGTGATGTAATAGCACGAATTTGTGCACAACCTAGATATTCATCAGTAAGGTTATAGATACTGTATTACTGCACAGTAAGGAAAATCTTTGAACTAGATGTACAAACATCAATATGAACAGATCCTAAAACCACAGTGTTAGGTTGAAAAAAAAAGATATTGAAGTCAATGTCTTGGTAAATTAGAAATACAATATACATAAAATAACACAATGGATTTAACAAGGATACGAGCATGTTTAAAAATATAAGTATATTAGAGTAGATGACTTTTGGGGGAGAAAGGAGAGAACTGAAAAGAGAAATAAATGAAAAAAGTCTTCCTTTCCATTATTTCCTCAGAGTGTACATGTGAGAATTTGTCAGATCTCGACGTATGTAAAGGCTGAAAATTTGGGTGAAGTAATGTACTTTCTATTTTTTTAGTAGTGAATAGTTTCACGTGTGTGAAACCTGGAAACTCTTTCACATTTTGTATGCAATTAATTAGCACATCCCTTTTTTCTTCCTTCAAATTATATACAAAATCTACCTACGCCTTTCCACCTCCATTGCTATCACCTTGGTTCAATTGGTGGTCTTCTGTTGCCTTGCCTAATGTAATTATCTCCTAAGAAGTTTTCCTACCAAGACACACCACCAGCTCTCCTATTCCTAAACAAATCACCAAACCAAAGCCAAAGTAATCTTTTAAATACCTAGTTCGGATTATAACACTGTTTCATCTAAAAAGCCACCAGTGGTTTTCCATCTAAACCATCTCCATCTCCAAGATGCTACATGATCTGTCACTGCCCCATCTCTCCAAAACACCTCTTAAGACCTCAAATCCTACCTCAGGGCCTTTGCCCTTGCCATTTCCTCTGTCTGGAACCTTAATCCCTTCTTAGGTGTCTTCTCATCAGAGAAGACTTCCCTGACCACTCTCTAAAATAGTGAAGGCGTTCAGGAAATGCCACCCCCAAATATGCCACTTTGGACTTCAAACTCAGGGCACTTGGGGAACAGCAAATGCCTTGAGGGGCTTTTCTCTGAACTTTGTCTGCCTCAAGACAGATCCTTCAAAAAGATCTCAATTGTCATGAGTCCCCTCCCAAGGAATCTCATCAACTAGGGAAGATTCAACTCGCCTCCCAGGAGAGGAGACTGAGGATTGACCCCACACCCAGATAGACTTCGTCACAGGATACCACCTGTTCTTCGGAGGGCCTATTCATCTTTTCCAGAAATTATTTCTGCTCCCCTAAGTTGCCTACATCCCCAACCTCTCTCCCCTGTGAAGAGCGTACGTAAGCATCTACATCTCAGTGGGTTGGTGGATATTCATTTTTTTTCCCTGTGATCTCCCCATGCACATGATACATCTTTATTCTTTTTTCCTGCTAATCTGCCTACTGCCAATTTATTTCAGACTCAATTACCAAACCGTTAAAGGGTAGAGGGAAAGTTTTCCCTTCCTTAAGACAGAAAAATCCCCTTTTCTCCACCCAGATCTATTCTTTCTCCTGTTTTATTTTTCTTCTTGACATTTATTTGTTACCAGTTACCTCTATCCCATTAGAAAGTAAGTACCTTGAGGATAGGGGTGATGTTTTGGTGTCTATTCAATTTTTCAGTGCACTCAATAATACTAGTTGAGAGGATAAAACAATGAATGAATGAATGAAACAAGGGGAAAGAGAGAGACATAAGACAGGCAGACAGAGAAAGAAAGAAGAGAGGAACACTCTGGTGGTCCCATTATGCTTGAAGGTTTTTCTTTGAAGTAGAAATGATTCTTGTAACAAATCTTTCATCCTTCTTCCCTTGCAGACTTGCTCCCTGGCTTTCTTTCAGGTTTGATGATTGACCAAGTAGCAGCTGTAATATGGGATGGAGGCATATTCTGACTCTGCTAAGAGAGGGCCACCTCCCTGTGATATGGGTGACATTTTGATTTATTCCTCCGTAAGTCATTTTTTTCTGTACATGTTCACTCCTACCTGCTCATATCTACTTTAGAAAAAAGAAAAATGGGATTTAAAAAATGACACTTTATGAGATTGGCATTTTCCTCTGTGATATTCTTCCCCCAAACACATAACTTGAGTGTAATTGTGAGAAAAATATTAGACAAATTCCAGCTGAGGGATGTTCTACAAAATACCAGTAGTCTTTAAAACTATCAAGGTCATGAAAAACAGGGAAAGTCTAAGAAACTGTCACAATCTAGAGCAGCCTAAAGAGACGTGAGCTTTAAATGTAACATGAGATGCTGGATGGGATCCTTGAACAGAAAAAGGATATTAAGGGAAGAATGAGAAAATTTGAAAAAGTGAGGACTTTTGTTAATGACATATTGATTTTGGTTCACTAATGATAAGCGATGTACCACACTAACATACAGTGCTAATAATAGGGAAGCTGTAGGGTGGGGGGCAGTATGTGGGAACTCTCTCTACAGCATCTTCACAATTTTACTGTACATCTAATGATGTTCTAAAATAAAAAAATTATTTTAAAATGTTGTTGTTGAAATGTGAGTCCTCAAATTTATTAGTGCCCTACATGGGGGGTTGGGGGAAAGATTGCTTCTGGAGGTATGTCATGTTTAGTAGAACATTTCATCCCAATTCAGTACCCCCCCTTCCCTTTCCCGTTACTGATGAGTGAGGCAGGTAGATAAAGCTTGTCGTTTCTCATGAAGGAAATCCCTGAGTTGTTTAATTAGCTCTGTATCAGATATAGCCTGAGGATTTACATGTTTTGCCATGTTTAGGTTTCAGCTTGGAGCTCAATCCTGTTATTTTAAGATTTTTGGCCATTAACTGCAAAGGGGAAGCACGAAAAACACCTCTGTTTTTATAACAGTACGTGTCTTTACAAAAATAATTTACATGAACATGAGCCAAGGGACAAGTCTTCGAAGTCAGCAGTCCTGTGCAGAGAAACGTCTGTGTGGCATTTCCTTATTTTAAAAAATCTTTTTACATAGCCTGTTTAAAGAAGGATAGTTTCCCTCTCATTTCCTCCTCTAAAAAATAATAAACTTGAACACTGGGTCAGGTCTATTTTTAAGGAGCCACTGATAGAAATGAATTGCTTTTGGGTTTCAACTCTGAGATCTACCTTCCCCAAATTCTTCTCCAGCCCACATGCTTTTTTTTTTTTCTTTTTTTTCTCCCTTGGTGGGTGAATTCTATTAGGGTTTTCAAGTATTCTTTATTTAAGACGGCAGATACCTTTAGGTAGCTTCAAGAGTTATTAATAAAATAATTAAAATAAGAGCTATAAGCCAGACAATTTACATGTGAAAAAATGGAGGCCAGGATGCCTAATTTTTAAGGAGGTCATGAGGGTACAGGGAAAATTGCATAAATTCAAGAAAAGGGAATGCTAATTAAGGCCAATGGAAAATGGCTGCTTATTATGAAAAACAAATGGGAAGATGTATTGCTTGAGAGTAAGAGTTTCAAGAAGTAAGAAAATTGACTTATTGGGAGGAGCTGCAGATTTACATTGCAAAAGGAGAATATACAGGAATAGCAAAAATTAGGCCTGTTTTGTAATAAGTCTACCACAAGATACAGTAAATAAGGTGTGTATATATTCTCTAAGTATATGTTCTACATACACATCGCATGTTAGATCATATTGGGTATATCGGGTGCTAGATCTCTCTCTCATGAAAGCATTGAACAAATGTTATAAATGAAACACCTCTGCACTCATCACACAATTTAAGTGAGAGAATACTTCAATATATTTGAATCCTCTGTATTCCTCCTTAATCACATCCCTCATCCTTTCACTGGTGGTAGTCACTTTTCTAAATTTTATAGTTATTCGTTCCTGTTTTCTGTACAGTTATTACCACACAAAAATATATCTCTGAACAATATATTTTCAGTTTTGCTTGTTTTTGAATTTATATAAATGGAATTAGACTGAATAACTATTTCTGTGATATTGCGGGATCTGGCCAGCAGCCCACAATGCAACGGGTCTCTCTCTTTGTTCCCAGGTGGATCAGCAGGTTGAGAAATAATAGACACACACAAGATAGTGAAAGCTGGTTCCAGGGGGGTCACTGCCTTCTGGTCCTGCAGTGCCAGCAATACACTGGATATACCAGTATTTATTATTAAGTTTAGTGAGGGCGGGGTAGGTTAGTGAGGGATTTAGGGTCATTTGATTATGAGGTGAGATGGTCACATGGGGATGAAGTAATTCTTTAACATAACATTTGTATGTAGAAGTACAGTACATTTGTATGTAAAAGTACAGTATACAGAGATAAGAATTTACAATATAGTGTGTGCATCAGTAATTTCTAACAGAGCCTTAAAACAGAAACACAATCTTTCCATAACCTATGATTAGCAAGATGTTAATCAGCAGTAACAATTGCAACAAAAGCTGGTTACAAACAATCCATGGAAACAGGATGTGAAGCTAGGCAACCGGTTAGACCAGAAATTCTCAGAAGGGAGTATGCTTTAACCCTAAAGAGGCCTAGAAGAGCTGTGGCAAGATGAGGGCGTTTATAACCCTATCTTATCCATAGGGACAGGCGCCCCGCCCCCCATGCATCCATTTATAGGCTCTCCACAAGGGTCGCATTCCATTCCCAGAGCTATGAACATCTGCTTTTTTGGGACAGGAATCTTGGTGATGTGAAACCTCCCTGATCGCACATCCATTCATAGGCTCTCTGCAGGGGGAAGCACATCACATGCTGTTGGCTCATCCTGGCAGTCCAGCCTGGCGTTGTCTACACAATCCTCATGCAATTTTGTATTTACGATAATCAGGAGCATTTCATCTTTTATTCCATAGCAATAGTTTCAAGGGGTCTTCCTACACTGTGACTTTTTGAAACTCAGAGGTATAAACATTTATATGTTATGATAAGATGTTTTAAAATGTTCATGTTTATGGCTTTTAAAAATGATCTTATTATCAGTTCCACATTTAGTTACTTAGTAATTAGAAAAGATGGCCTATATGGTACTCATTTTTTGAAATTGTTGGTATGTTCTTAGTGGTCTTTTATGGAAGTAATATTCATATATATTCCCTGAGAGATTGAAAAGAATTTGAATTATTGAAATGTTGAATGCAGTGCTGTATATAGGTCCATTAGATCATGCTTGTTAATTATGTTACTCAAATGTTATATAGACTTTCTGAACTTTCTTGTCTGTCTGATCTATCAACCATTGAAATAGGTATGTAAAACTTTTCCAATATGGTTCTTTTATCATTTTCTTCTTGCAGTTCTATCAATTTCTGTTTTTCACATTTTGAAGCTCTATTATTAGGTGCATATAAGTTTAGAACCATTGTCTTTTCTTAATTAAATTATATTTTATTATCATGTAATGGCTCATTTTTTTCTCCAGTAATAAATTTTGCTTTAAAGGCTACTTTATGGACATTAATGTAACTAAACCAGATTTTTTTTTTTTTTTTTTTTTGAGACAGAGTCTTGTTCTGTTGGTCAGGCTGGAGTGCAGTGGTGTGATCTCGGCTCACTGCAACCTCTGCCTCCCAGGTTCAAGCAATTCTCCTGCCTCAGCCTCCTGAGTAGCTGGGATTACAGGGATGCACCACCACGCCTGGCTAATTTTTGTATTTTTAGTAGAGATGGTGTTTCACTATGATGGTCAGGCTGGTCTCTAACTCCTGACCTTATGATCCACCTGCCTCAGCCACCCAAAGTGCTGGGATTACAGGTGTGAGACACCATGCCCAGCCACTAAACCAGATTTTTTTTTTTTTTTGAGACATAGTCTTGCTCTGTCGCCCAGGCTGGAGTGCAGTTGTGTGATCTCAGCTCACTGCAAGCTCCGCCTCCTGGGTTCCCACCATTCTCCCACCTCAGCCTTCCGAGTAGCTGGGACTACAGGCACCTGCTGCCACATCTGGCTAATTTTTTGTATTTTTTTTAATAGAGACGGGGTTTCACCGTGTTAGCCAGGATGATCTCGATCTCCTGACCTCATGATCTGCCCACTTCGGCCTCCCAAAGTGCTGGGATTACAGGCGTGAGCCACCGTGCCTGGCCTAATCCAGATTTTTAAAAGTTAATATTTAACTAGACTATTTTTTTATCTTTTTACCTTTAGCATTTCTCCTTTGTTATGTTCTGGATATGTCTCTATGAACACCCTAAGATACAGCTTATTTTTAAAGTTAATCTGATCATCTTTGCCTTTTAACTAGAATGTATAATTTATTAATATTTAATATAATTACTTTTATTTTGAAATGTATTACTACCACTATATTGTGTACTTTCTATAGGTTCTGCTTTTTCTTTTTCTTTTTTTCTTCCCACTTGTCCTCTTTTGAATTAATTGAGTTGCCTTTTTTTTTTTCAATTTTCCCCTATTTTAGTTGGAAATATATGTTTTATTTCAGGATTATTCCAAAGTTTGTTGTTCTCAACTTAACAATATTGAAAATAACTTAATATCTTTATCTCCTCCAAAAAAAGAAAAGACCTTAGAATGCTTTAAGCCAATTTGTCCTTCTGACATATATTGTGTATTAGCCAGAGCTCTCCAGAGAAGCAGAGCTAGTAGACTATTTAGATCTAGATTTAGATCTAGATATATAGATAAATAGATGAGACAGGATTTATTATAGGAACTGACTGTGGCAATTTTTGAGGTTGAGAAGTACCATAATATGCCATCTGCAAACTGGAGAACCAAGAATGCTGATAGTGTGGCTCAGTCTAAGCCCAAAGTCTTGAGAAACAGATGAGCCAGTGGTGAAATTCTCAGTCCAAAGCTGAAGGTCTGAGAAACTGGGGGCCTGCCATCACAAGTCCTGGAGTCTGAAGGCCAGAGGACATGGAATCCTCATGTCCAAGGGCAAGAGAAGATGGTTATCCCAGCTTCAGGAGAGAGAGCAAATTCACCTTTCTCTCTGCACTTTTATCCTCAATCCATTGGATGGTGTCTCCCCACAGTGGGTGAGGGCAGATCTTCCTCATTCAATCCACTGATTCAAATGCCAGTCTCTTCCAGAAACATCCTCACCTACACACCTATAAATAATGCTTTACCAGCTATCTGGACATCCCTTAAACCAGTCAAGTTGACAACTAAAACTAAGCAATTACAAATGGTATTTGTGATCAGTATTTTAATTCCACTTTTTTCTGTAGAATTAATCAAATTTACATTTTACTTTTAATTTAGGAATACATTTAGATGATTCAAAATTTTAAAACTGTTGAAAGATACTGTGAATAGTCTCCCCATTCCAGCTACCCAATTTTCTTACTTGGAGGCCACCGATGTTAGTTTCTCATGTATCATTACTGAGACTTCTTAGGCAGGTGAATATATCCTTTTATACAATTTTATTCTGTTCTTTTTTCCTTTCCTAATGTTCCAAGATTTTCTTTTATTATTATTTTCTTTCTATTTAGAGGACTTCCTTTAAACCATTATTTTATAGTAGGTCTGCTGGTGACATGGCGACACTATCTCTTTGTTTTACTTCATTTGAGAATATCTTGATTTCGCCTTCATATTTTCACAGGTAATTCTTGGTTGAGCATTCTTTTCTTTCAGGCCTTGAAAAATGTGCCAGTTCCATTTGGCCTCCATAGTTCGTATTAGAAATGTGCTGTAATTTATTATTTTTCCCTTATAGTAAGGTGTCATTTATCTCTTGCTGCTTTATGATTTTTTTTCATTGTCTTTAGTTTTCAGAAGTTTGACTATGATGTGTCTTCCTGTGATTTCTTTGAGTTTATCCTTTTTGGATATTAAATATGCAGGTTTGTACTTTTTGCCACATTTGGGAAATTTTAAACTATTATTTATCTGACTACTTTTTAGCCCCACCCTCTTTCTCCTCCCCTGGGATTTCTATGACACAAACCCTAGATCTTTTGCTATAATCCCACATGTCCTGGGGCTTTGTTCTTTTTTATTCTTTCAGTCTATTTTCTCTTTGTTGTTCAGATTAAGCAATTGCTACTTTTGTATCTTCAAGTTTGCTTTTTTGTTAATCTACATTTTTGACAATTTCAGATTGCCAGTTTTTCCACCATCCAGTTTGGGATACATGAGGCAAGAAGAAAACCTAGGGCTATCACCACGGTGCTGTCCCTCAGGCCCCGAGGTCACTGGCTGATCTGCCTTCTTCTCTCCACCATTCAGAGTCTTCTTAGGTTTATTTTCTATATAATATCCAGGGTTTTTAATTGTACTTAGCAGGAGGAACAGGGAAAAGTCCATTAACTCCCTCTTCAACATTATTATTTTGTATAGTTAATGTCTCTATATATTTACCCACATGGTGTCTTTGCTCACTGTTCCTTCTTGCATGTCAAACCATATTTCTGGTATCATTATCTGAAGTATACCCTTCAAAAAGTTCCTTCAGTTAACTGTTGGTAGAAAACTTTCTCATTTTGATTGTATGAAATGACTTCTCTTACTCTACTTTTGGAAAAAATCATTTTGTTTAGTACATCCTTATATATTGACAGTTACTTCTCTCAGCAATTTGAAAATATTTCTCTGCTGTCCTCTGGCTTTCAATGCTGCTGTTGATTAGTCAATTGCAATGTTACTTTTCATGTCATACATCCTTTCTCTCAAAGGATCCTTTCTTTGTTATTGTTGATCTGTAGTTTTCCCATGATGTATCCACGTTTAGATTTCTTTCCTCATAGCTTGTTCAGCTTCCTGAATCTGAGCCATTAACTCAGATTGTTGTATTTCATCAGTTCTGGAGAATTCTTGGCCAATATCTCTTTAATATTATATCTTGTCCATTTTCTCTATTATTTCCCTCTCGTACTTTTTAAAAAGGTCATTTCACCAGATTCAGTGTCTGGTAAGGGTCCACTCTCTTGTTCATAGGTGGTGCTTTGTGGCTATTTCCTCACATGGTGGAAGAGGGAAGGCAGCCGTCAGAGGCCTCCTTTATAAAGGCACAATAAATGACACAATAACATCAAGCAGTGGTCCTCTTATTAGATGCACTTTAGCCTTCTGAGTCTGCCTTCCAGGTATCTCAAACTCTGATATAGCTCATTTCTTTGTTTCTCTGTGCTGCTTTCTTGGTGATTATTTCAGATCTATCTTCCAGTTCACTAATTCTGCTGTTAATTGTATCTGATATGACATATAATATGTCGACTACATCTCTAATTTTATTTAGTATACTTTTTTATTTTTCAACTTCACTTTTCTTCAAACCTCCCTGCACATTAAAAAGATATCTATTTAAGATAAAAAAAACTTCAAGCATATCAAAGTAAAAAGAATAGTGTAGTAAAGCCCTGTGTACCCATTATCCAGCTTCAACAATGAACAATTCATAGCTAATCTTGTTTTCTCTGCATCCTCACCTACTTCCTTTCCCACTCCAGATAATTCTGAAGCAATCCCAGACATCATATTATTTTATCTGTAATAGTTCAATATGTATGTCTAGTAGATAAGGATTCCCCTTTAAATAAACAATACTACCATTTTCATTCCCCCTAAAAGTCCACTGTAATACTATTTGTAATTAACATCAAATAGTCTTTTAAAAATATTTTATGGTTTGTCAATCATACTTTTAATATACTCCTTTATTTCTTCAAACACATTAAGCATACTAAATTTACATTTTATTTTATTTTTTTTACAATATATTTAGTCCTTGTGGGCCTGGTATTTTTATTTGTTTTTTTCTGCTGGCTCTTGCTCATGGTAGTTTGTTCCCTCATGTATTTGTGATTTTTTTTTTTTTTTTTTTTTTTTTGGTGGGGAGCTTATGGTCATTGGAACTCTGCAGGAATTCTTTGAGATTTTGGTTAATGTTCATTTCCCCAGAGATTTGTGATTGCTTCTTCCAGGTACTAGGCACCTTGGGCCCACACTAACCTGTAATCATGAGAATTCAATTCTCAGGTTGTGTTTTTCAGGCTATAGTGTAAATTTCACACCAAGTTTATGTGACTGTCACCTATTATTGGTAATACTTAGAAGAGCCTTTATTTTCCTTCCTTACCCACAGTCAAAGCTGAGAGATTCAAGACTGTTTATGGTCTATTGCACTGATATTAATTTTATTTTTCCAATTTGCCTTCACTAAGGCTGTTGCCTTTTGTAGAACTTGCTCTTGCCTTCACTAAGGCTGTTGCCTTTTGTAGAACTGTCTCTATGCAAGGGTCTCAATTTGCATAAACCCCAGACACTGTGTCTTGTCCCTCTGCACAAGCCTATACTCTGTTTAAAAACTCTTAATGATCATGTATTGGCAGATTTCCTGAAGACAAGATTTAGTTTCAATGCTCAGTTATTGCTTGGATTCATGCCTTTTTACTACTTTTATCCTATGAGGGTTTCTTTCACTGTGTTCTACTCAGCTAAGGATTTAAAATGGTATTATAAATATTTCATTCAGCATTTTAAGATGTTCTGTAGTAGGATTCCTCAGAATATCTGCTGTGCTGCCACATTCCTACAAAGAGGAAGGAATCCAAATTATTATGCCTTAAGTCCCACCTGATTTACTGCCAGAAATTAGCCTTCATCACAGTGTCTCCCAGCTGTTCCTGAGAGCTTCTCATTCAGGGGGCTATCTGATGTTGTCTTAGTTTATTTGGGTGTTCTAACAAAATACCATAAGCTAGGTAGCTTATAAACAACAGAAATTTATTTCTCATAGTTCTGGGGCTGGGAAGTTTAAGATCGAGATGACAGCAGACTCTGTGTTCGGGGGTGTTAACGGTGAAGGGTATACAGGTTCTTGGGGTTTCGAACAAAGAATTGGACAAAATGCACAAACAAAGCAAGGAAGGAATGAAGGGTTTTATTGAAAATGAAAGTACACTCCACAGTGTGGGAGCGGGCCTAAGCATAGGGGCTCAAGGGCCCTGTTACAGAGCTTTTGTGAGTTTAAATACCCTCTACTTGGGGTACGCCCTATGTAAAAGAAGAGGATGTAGTAAAGTTACAAAGTCATCTATGGCATTCACCCTATGGAGAGGGCATTTCCTGTTATAGCTGAAGTGTGAATTGGCCTTATGTTTCCTGCCTCCAGATCCTATTTTCCTGCCTCAATGAGGGTCCGCTCTCTTATTCATAGATGGTGACTTCTGGCTATTTCCTCACATGGTGGAAGAGGGAAGGCAGCCGTTGGAGGTCTCCTTTATAAAAGCACTAATCTCATTCATGAGGGGTCTAGCCACTTCCCAGAGGCTGCACTCCTAATACCATCACATTGGTCATTAGTTTCAACATATGAACTTTCCAGAGGACACAGGCATCCAGACCATAGCAGATTGGTTCTTTGGTTCGGATCCTCTCTCCTCTGTTCTGTCTGTCTCATCTGACCCTCATGCCTCTGCTGCTGATAACTCTCATTAGTTTATCATTCTGCTTGACAAAGCTGTCCTTTGTTGGTGACCACCAGTGCCACTAGTAGTTTTGGCAACAGACGTTGTTCTTTACTTTTACTTCACGCCAAATATGGGATAGGCCCTTGTCTTCGATTCTCTAAAGAACAGAAGGTATGAGAGAGAGCATTATAACACAGAGATGAGCTTACAAATACTTCCCAGGGCCAGAACTGGACTCAGGACTTCTGGTTGACCTGCCTCTCTGTATCTCTCCTACCTTATTGCCATGGGCCAGTGGGTAGTTTACTTTTCAACACCCAAGTTCCTCTACTCACTGATGGGCTTTGGAGTCTAGACTAAAATTCGAAGTCCTAAAGAGGGGAATTTTCATGCTCCTTTCCCCAGGCCAATCCCCACCTTCCCAGTCCCTATTCTCTGCCAGGAATGACTGCCACTCATAGTCATTGCAGGAGGATGTTTTGTGTGTGTGTATGTGTGTGTTTTCCCAGAAAAGTCCAGAGAGATATGGCTCTAACCTATGCACCCCTATCTAAGACGTTAAACTAGTCTGACACTAGTGCATTTTTTCCAGGTCTAGGTCTTTGAGTGTTGTGTGTAAGACTTTATCAATTCATCTCAGTTTAGACTTCACTGAGCCTAGTCCATTTCTTTTTCTGACATGCTATAGATAACAACTTAGATAATAAACATACACGAGCCTGCCCAAGAAACACATAATACCAAAGAGGCACAAAGCAGTCTAAAGCTGTATTTAGAAGAAAAACTGCCCTCTAAGGGACAAATAATCCTCAGTGATGCAGCTGTCTTTAAAACATCTACCCAATTTACCTGACTACACAGAACACTAAATATTCAGGTTACTTCACTGCATTTAGGTTTTTACCAACAATGTGTGGTAATATGCCTTAGATTTGCATAACTAAGAGTCTCCAGAGTGGTAGGTGTTCCAGAAAAACAAATGGAAACAATAATCAGCCTCAAAAGTCAACTCAAATCTCCACCTGGGACCTCCATCTCTCAGACACACACTTACAAACCAAAAGCTGCAACTCTTTGAATAGCAATTTTCCAGCTGCTGCATTCGTATATTTTCTAATAAGAATGTTCATCTACTACACCCCTTACATATCTTTCTTAAGCTATCATAAAGCACGGTGTCTTACTCTTAGTGGATACTTGTTAAATGTAGGTTGATGTCACACATTAGTGTGAATGATTCTTAGTGAGCATGATTCCTCTCTCTTCCTACTGTGCTATGGAAATTAGGGCTTTGATGCAGGGTGGGGTTGAGGTTTCACTGCAATATGTGGCACTTGAGATCTTTAAATCCCTGCTCTGCCAAATATTGTGTGACCTTGGGTAACTTATTTTTTCTAAGCTTCAGTTTCCTTGTAAAAATGTTAATATATTAAAGAATTCAGCAAAGTGTCTCAATGAATATTAACACTTTTCTCTTTTTGCTTCTACCACCTCTCAGCCTCAACATACCAGAGGCCACCCTGGCTCCAGGGATGACCAGAAGAAGATGCAGCCCAGACCATTCCTGCCCATGTTTCTGAGTTCTAAAGATTATTTGTAGTTATACTGGGACATCCCCAGTTCAGATGTGCTACTTGCTTTCTTTGGCTCCTTCAAGCATTTGTAGGCTATTCCCTAAAGCTAGAAAGGGATCAAGGAAGGCTCAAGCCCTATTGTTACAGGAAAGGAGTCCTGGTCCAGACCCCAAGAGAGGGTTCTTGGATCTCACACAAGAAAGAATTCAGGATGAGTTGGTAAAGTGAAAGCAAGTTTATTAAGAAAGTAAAGGAATAAAGAATGGCTACTCCATAGACAGAGCAGCCCCAAGGGCTGCTGGTTGCCCATTTTTATGGTTACTTCTTGATGATATGCTAACCAAGGGGTGGATTATTTAGGCCTCCCTTTTTTAGACCATATAGGGTATCTTCCTGCCATTGCCATGGCATTTGTAAGCTGTCATGGCACTGGTGGGAGTGTAGCAGTGAGGACAACCAGAGGTCACTCTTGTCACGATCTTGGTTTTGGTGGGTTTTAGCTGGCTTCTTTATTGCAAACTGTTTTAGCAGTAAGGTCTTCATGACCTGTATCTTGTGCTGACCTCCTGTCTCATCCTGTGACTTAGACGCCTTAACCTGGCGTCTAATCTGGGAATGCAGCCCAGTAGGTCTCAGCCTTATTTTACCCAGCTCTTATTCAAGATGGAGTTGAGCTGGCTCACACACCTCTGACACTATTAATTAGTATTTTTCAAACTGTTTTGACTCGGTGAATCTGGAAATTAGTGAATAACCAACACTTTGAAAAATTATATAGTATAATAAAAAATATTCATAGTTAGCAGAAATAATGTTTTGTGAAACTTTTGTATGAAATGAGTCACATTGGGTATACAATGTATTTCTTATGTGAAAGTTGTTAGAATCCAAACGGAGTCGCTAATGTTAAAACAAATAGAGCCTGACAAATAGAGCCAGGGAAGGCAATGAAGAGAGGGTTCTCATGACTGGTAAGAAAAACTGTCACAAAAGACTGCAAAAACTACAACTTTGAACGAAGGTCATTGCAACCTTACACAAAAAACACTTCTGCAAGGTTATCTACTCATCAGCTGCCTGTCCAGCCTTGGACTGGCACCACTCTTGTTATTGACCTCTGGAGCCAAGGATAATTATTTCAAAACAATTATGTGATAATCCTCCTCATTTTTTCCTTTAATGATCTTTGTCTTCCTTTACCTCCCTGAATACACTTTGGTTCACATAGTCCCATTGCAATACTTTATTCACAAAGAAACATTGCTTTCTTTCTTTTAGAGAGTCTCTCTTTATTATTTAGGTTGACACTTACTGTGGATTGCCATCAAAAAAATCTGAGAGACACTACGTTCAAGAGTTTTGATAGGTCAGGTGTTGTGGCTCGCACCTGTATTCCCAGTGCTTTGGGAGGCCAAGGTCGGAGGATCCCTTGAGGCCAAGACTTCAAGACCAGCCTGGGCAACATAGCAAGACCCCATCTCTACCAAAAAAAAAAACCAGATAGCCATGTATGGTGGCATGTGTTGTAGTCCTACTCAGGAGGAGCTATGATTACACTACTGCACTTCAGTCTGGGTGACAGAGCAAGTCTTTAAAATAATAATAATAATAATAATAATTAATAATACAAAGAAAAGATTAAAAAGAGTTCAGATAACATAAAAATTGTCTTAATTATATAAAAATAAAGTAACATAAATGAATATTCTCAGATAAACAAAAATAGCATGCCCCATTTAATAGATTGATTGCTCTATTGGCCCTAATTATTTACTATTCTGTATGTACATCCTATGCCACAAAACTTGTAGTACATTCCCATTCTGACCATGCACTCAGTTTTGTGACTTGATTTGGCCAATGAGAGATTAGCAAATGTGATGTGACTAGAGGCTTGAAAAGCACTTGTGAAATTAGGCTTGCTGTTAACTCTAGTCTTTTGCCATCACTGTGAAAACATGTCCAGGCTAGCCTGCTGGAGGATAAGAATCACATGGTGCAGAGAGAAATGGCCCTCATCTCCCAGCCACGATTATCCTAGACCTGGTGAAGATAGCCAAGCACCCTAGAAAAGATCAGAAGAATCGCTCAGCTGAGCCCAGTCCAAATTGCCCAGCCTGCTAATCATGAATTAAAAAAATCTTCTTTTTATATGCAATGGGGGTTTTGTAGTTGTTTGTTATGGAGCATTATTGTGGCAATAGATAATTTATATACCAAATAGGAGATTTAGCCATTAATAAAATTCATGACAATAATAATCATTGTAATAAAAGATGTATCAATTTTCCAAAGACCATCTCACTTGGTAATCTTGAAAATAACTTTTCATCTTTATATTTCACATTTTCTGAGGCCTTTACTAAGGAAAGGGTTTATTTAGTTAATTTAATAGAAGACAAGGTGGCAGAGGAAGTAGATTTGCTCAAGGTTACTCAACAAGGTTCTGTTACCTGGATTCAGTCTCCCAAGAATTCTCTTTATCAGAACAGTCTGCAAGTTGCTGACCTCTCCCATCTTCCAAAATGAAAAGCCTGATTCCTACCCATTCTTCTGGATCTACCTAAATTTTCATAAAAGTTCCTATGGGATGTCAGTTTGAATAATTAGAATTGACATTTTGCTTACAAGCAAAATAGAGGCTCTTTCCTCAGGAAACCACAATGACATTAATATCCTCTGAGAGCATTCTGTCCTCCAAATAACCTGATTTGTTTTCCCTAAATTTGCATTTTCATTTGATCATTAAAAATGAGTTATTCTTTGTAATAGGAAACCTGTGATTCTCTTGAATAGTTGAGTTTGACCTGTTGGTTATCACAGCAAGATCCTGGTGCCATTTGCTCACTGGACATTCAGTTTTCAGGTGCTACCAGTTATTCCTGCCCCTAAGAATGAATATTCACCTTAGCCAATGATGAAGGCATGGAGAATGGCAAAGTGGTAGTGGAAGTGGGAGTGGGGAGCTTTGAGGTTGCTTTTACGGAATCCATATCAGTAGGTTAAGAAAACATCCATTGTCCATATTAAAGAATTGTGTCTCTGTGTGTGTGTGTGTGTGTGTGTGTGTGTGTGTGTGTGTGTGTATTTATGTATGTCGATAGGAGAGAAATGGAACATAGGGCAAAATCCTTGAAAGCCCCCCCTTGGTGCCAGCAACCTCCATCAGAGAGACCTGATAATTTATGAATCAGAAATAGCCCCAAATACCCTGAGTCTTATTGATAATGGGGCTAGTAAGCAATAACTTCATGTATGTCTCAGGTATATTTCAATGTCACGTTTATGATCCCGAAAGAAAGGACATCTGGGGGGACACCTGCTATGTATTGGTCAGTATTTTGGGTGCTGGAGAGATACAAACAAATAAGACTCAATCCTAAACTAAGAGGACCTAGTCTGCAATTGGTTGATGTGTTTGTCTCTGTGACACCAGAGAAGAGGTCAGTGTTTTGGCTCTATGATGACTTCATTTCAAAAGCCCAATGGAGCTTCTTCCTCCCCTTAAAATTTATCTGATTCCTTGATAGCTTGGTTGTTGTTTATGTCTTCTGGTGCTTTTACTTTGAGCTGTTCTGGGGTTTGCATTTGGCACAAGTAAATATTGAATGAAAAGTATTCATTAAATAAAGATAGAAACAATGATTTTTTTAATGTCTCAAAATGAACGATCAGTTGGTTTGACAGAATTCGCAGAAGACAGTACATGTGTTTGTGTGCACACAAAAATACATTCAAGAATCAGATCTGATATATATTTTTAAGAACACAAGTACTTTTTCAGCTAAGGATCTAAGGTTGACTTGAATCAAAATTTGACTTACATTTCCCCTAGTGCTTAAAGCTTGATTCGAAGCTTAAATACTTGGGTTCAAAGTACTTCAGCGTTTAACAAAATCCTTTGGATTCCATCAAAATAGTAGATTAAGTATGCTTACTTCAATCCCCTGCCTCACAAAATGCGACTGCAAATCTATTTTAATGAATGTTTCACATAAGTCTTTTCTTGAGAAATGATTAGTAGGAAAGTTTAAGACAATCAATTTTAGTTAGAAAAGCAAAACATTTCTGAACGAATTTAAAATAAGATTTGTTTTATTAAGGGTGTTTTTTAAATCAACCTTGAAATCATGTAAGTTATAGGAAAATGAAATTTAAAAGAACATTTTTGCCGTCATGGTGCACTTAAGTATTTTTAAAATATGTTAGTTGTCATTTTTTATGTTGTTATACATTTATTATTTTTATGAAATAAAGTGGCACTCATAATGAGGTCACTATTTAGTGATCCATTATCACATTATCACCAATAATTATAATCACTGAGTGGTACACACATGTATCATACACATTTTTGTTTAGGGTTAGATTATTTTTACTCTAAGTGCCTGTAATCTATTCAACCTCATAAAATTCATACAGGATTTAAAAATAATCAATATAAATATTTCCTGAATATAGGTGTGATGGTTAATACTGAGTGTCAAGTTGATTGGATTGAAGGATGCAAAGTATTGATCTTGGGTGTGTCTGTGAGGGTGCTAATATTTGAGTCAGTGGGCTGGGAAAGGCAGATCCACCCTTAATCTGGGTGGGCTCCATCTAGTCAGCTGCCAGAACAGCCAGAATATAAAGCAAGCAGAAAAACATAAAAAGACTAGACTGGCCTAGCCTCCCAGCCTACATCTTTCTCCCATGCTGGATGCTTCCTGCCCTCAAACATCAGACTCTGCGTTCTTCAATTTTGGGACTCAGACTCATTCTCCTTGCTCCTCAGCTTGCAGTTGACCTGTTGTGGGACCTTGTGATCATGTGAGTTAATACTTAATAAACTCCCCTTTATATATATGTACATATATATACACATACACACATATATATATATATCTCCAATTAGTTCTGTCCTTCTAGAGAAACCTAATATAATAGGTATAATTTATTATCATGTATTCCAATATTATCTTCTACTTTTGAGGAGACCAGAGGGTTGTGTGATCATGTAGAAAAATGTAACTAAAATATAGTAGAGCTGGAAAGAACCCAACATAATCCAAGTCCTTCATTTAACACAGGAGATGACTTGACTCATAAAAGTTAAGTGATTTCTTGACCATTCTAACCTCATATACTAAGACAATTTCAGAAATGTTCATCCTGGAGATGGCAGTTGGAGTAACTTACACATAATTGCCTCTGCTGAGTCTTTTACCAAGCACTTTTGAACTTCCCAGAGTACAGTACAAGGGTAAAATGTCAGGCTACATATGGGAGCTAGGAGTGGGTAGTTTGGCTGATGTGTAACTATGATGTGTTCTTCATTACTCATGTAATACTCATGCTGCCAAGAGCTCACACCAGAGACTAAACTAAGAAAGGAGAGCACCAGAAAGGATAGCAAACAACTCCACTGGAGATAGCATGCTGGCTCTACACTGGCAAATATTGACTTAGAGATCAAACTTTTTGCTAGAACCGTTAGGTGATATTAGTTTCTGAATCAGAGGGTTTCACACCTGTGTGCCACTCAAAACCAGGTGTGTGGAATAACCCGGACAAGACTAAGGTTTATGAATGTCATTAGTGAGATGCCGAGATAGTGTCCCCGGTTCACGATCAATTATGATAACATTGTGAAAATTGTCTTTCAGGAGGCTGGCAGTCAGAACAAGCTTCTTCAAGAGAAATTCCATATTGAAAATTGCCAGCATTCATATGACTAGTTGAATTGGGTTTTTAGGTGAGGAGGCAGTGCAGGATAGTACAAAGGACCTAGGCTTTCAAGGGAAACAAACCTGAATTGAACCTTAACTCTACCGCATGGTGATTGTGTGGCTTGTCTGTAAAATGGGAATAATGATACTGCTCTGTCAGCATGGTTTTAAGAATTAGAGGCAGGTATATACAAGGTATATAGTCGATGCTCAGTGAGTGGTAGTCTTTATTAATTTTCCCCCATCCATTTGAAGAAGGACAATAATAGTACATGGGCTCCCATCATTAAGCCATTATTATTATTATCATTATTTGGGCGACAGGGTCTTGCTGTGTTGCTCAGGCTGGAGTGCAGTGATGCAATTATAGCTCGCTGTAACCTTGAACTTCTGGGCTCAAATGATCCTCCTACTTTAGCCTCTTGAGTAGCTAGGACTATAGGCGCACACCATCATGGTTAGCTAATCTTTTAGTTTTTTGTAGAGACAGGATTTCACTATATTGCCCAGGCTGGTCTTGAACTCCTGGCCTCAAGGGATCCTCTTGCCTCAGCCTCCCGAAACATACACTGTACCCGGCCCTGAACCTTTATTAGATGTCAGGCAAGAATTTAATAAACAATCTTTTTGAGTTCTTCACAACAACCCTATGGACTAAATATTATTGATGTAATTTGTCATAAACAGGAAACTTGGACTTGCTAAGTTTATGTAACATACCAAGGTCAAGGACACTTGGAAAATAAGATACAGAGGCAGGGTTCCAACCCGGGTCTATCCAGCCTTTCCCTACCATTCTACACCCTCTCTCATATCCTTTGGAGTCAGGAGACTGATTCTGCTCCATAGATGGTCCTTCTTTCCATGTCTGTTTAGGCTGAAAAGAAAGACATGCATGATTAACTAATAAAAACGTCTTTAAAATCTCAGAACTAACTCTTTAAAATGAATGTGAGGGGGAAATGTTCCAAATTTCTGCAGCTTTTAGTTGAGATCCTCAGAAACCAAGGTGAAACTAGAAGACAGTGAGACAGATGTTTGACTTTTAGCTTAAACAGTGAAATTTTTAGTGCTCTGTGTTTGTTTTAGAACATATTTTATAGTGGTTGTTCTTAAAATGATGAGAAGATAGAAATCTCTTTTAGCGTTTGGAAACACTTATTTTTCATTTTCGTTTGAGTTACAATGTTACAATTGGCTTTAGAAGATAAAGTTTTTAAGACATTTACCCTAACTTCCGATGTTAGCTGATTTCCATTAGCTCTGCTGTAGTAGAATTCAGGTAAACACAATTTTATTTCATGCCTTCCGTTAACAAAGTCAAGTCAAAAGATGAAAACATACAAGGTCATGTTCCTTTCAGTCTGACAAAGCATTTAGCTGGGATTATATTTATTGCCTTGGGGTTTTCTTGCTTCTAAAAGATTGTTCTTACTTCTTTGGGTTAAGCTGTCTAGTGACACCTTGTTACCTGGATTTGTAGCTGGAGATGGTGGTTGGTTGTTTTTATACCCCAGGACCTGCAGGGACCTGGCAGGGGGCTCTCCCTTTCTCCCACATCCCTGCAGGTCCTAGGGTGTAAAAACTTTGGGAAAACAGCCTATAGCAAAACTGCTCACAGCTTAATTAATACAATTGAATATCAATTTGTTACCTTACTGATCTGTCCTTCTCTCAGTGTTACTATAGTTGGAAAGACAAATTACAACCAGTTAATCCACCAACAAGTATTTTAGGAACATTTTAAAGGGTATCTAGCAGGCTATTGACACCTTGGCAGTTGCAAGGAAGTGTAGCATACTGGAACGAGCAAAGAGTTCCTGGAGAAGAAAGTTTGAGTCTGACGACGATAAGACAGTGGTGCTGCTGTAGATCATGCTGGTGGGGGTACTAACTGCCCATTACTGAGCATCTTTCAGGTCTCAGAATTAGTGATCTGTCTGTTTCTAAAACTCACACTCTTTCTAACACACCCTACTTCCTTATAACTGGTGCACCTTCTCCCGCATGGTACTAACTCTTGGGTCACTTACTGTAATGTCGCATTGTTAGGAAGTAACATGCATGATACAAATGTGATGCCAGAAATGTAAACGACATCCTTCACCTCTCGAAACTGCATTTTCCTGGGGATGATCATACCTATGAGATAATTAAAGGGTAGTTGTAAGGATCAAGGAAGAGGTCGATGCAATGTGCCAGGTGCATGGAAGATGTTTCATAATTAGTAGTAATTATTAATATTATTACTATTACTGGACACAGTCTTGCCCTCTAAGAAGTCTCAGTGATGAGAGGAGAGTTTTAAGAATACAATTAACAGTGACAAGTGCCAGAGAGGAACCAAAAGTTAAAGAAAATATGACTCAAGAAAATAAGACTCAAATATTGCTTTGTTAGCTCAGAGTTTTTGGAAAAGGAACTCAGGGAAGTCATGAGGCTGGGCATGAAGAACTCACTGAAAATTCATACACCTTCGCTGGGGGTGGTGGCTCATTCCTGTAATCTCAGCACTTTGGGAGGCTGAGGTGGGAGAATTGCTTGAGCCCAGGAGTTCGAAATAAGCCTGGGCAAAACGACAAAATTCTGCCTCTACAAAAAATACAAAAATTACCAGACATGGTGGTGCACGTCTGTGGTTTCAGTTACTTGGGTGTTTAAGGTGGGAGGATTGCTTGAGCCCAGGTGCTTGAGGCTGCAGTGAGCTGTGATCATGCCACTGCACTCAGCTTGGGCAACACAGCAAGACCTTGTCTCAAAAAATAAAAAAAACAACAACAATAAAAAGAAATTCACACACTCATTCCTGCACATACAATGCATTAGACAGTGTCTCACAGCATACTCTCTTACTTAGCAGTTTCACCCTGGGGCTGTGTTAAAACTGATTTCCGAGCCTCCTCTCCCTGGTCTTTGGGTAGCTCCATTTACGTTTCTGGGACGACTCAGCCCCATTTTTCTGTCCAACTGGTCCTGCTGAAGCCACTAGTGATGGCTTCTCTTCCACAGAGCAAAGGCTGAATATATTGAAGCTGTCTTAAATCATAGCCTCGTGGTTCGTAAGTAGCAAACTCTGAAAAGTTAGAGTCCACCAAATGCTGTACAAACAGACTGAACTGATGAGAACTATGTCTCTGCCACCTGTTAACTGTAATTGTCATTAGCTTTGTTGTCTGGTTTGTTGACAGCGGACTAAGAGACATCCAAATGCTGCTCTATTCTGCCTCTGCAATTGTTTCAGCAAATCTCAGCACTGTACTTGTTTTCGTCTTTGTTAGTTAAGAATAAATTTAAATTATGTAAACAAAATCTTGCTTCTCTTGATTATTTCAGCTTTTCTGTCTTTCCCCTGGACTGCTCTAAATCTGCATGAGAACAACACTGGGCCTCAGAAGCCCCTTTGTAGAGATATCTCAACTAACACTACTGAAAAACAGCTCATAGGTGGCATCTATTTATTTGTTTGTCATATCGAGTTTAAAAAATAGGTAATACGTGTTCATAGTAAAGTTTTCAAATGGAAAAAAAGGGTTTGTAGTAAAAAGTAGGTTTCCTTTCCCAATTTCCCTTCTAACTTTTTTTTACAGCATGTTTGTTGTATGATACAATCCGATCTGAGCACAGATGAAATTTGAGGTTTCGTGTTGCAGAAAACTTTATCAATGCTGTCAGTTTACAACTATGAATATATTGAACTTACTGACAAGGAGTGTTCCCTGTACTGAAATATGACAGCAGCAGCAACAGACAGGAAAGAAAGCAGAGGGAGAAAAGAGAGCACATTAGAGGTGGGTGAAGACAACATCCAACTTTTCCATTTTTTTCCTTTTATTTATTTATTTTTTTTGAGATGGAGTTTCGCTCTTGTTGCCCAGGCTGGATTGCCATGGTGTGATCTTGGCTCACCACAACCTCTGCCTCCCAGATTCAAGAGATTCTCCTGCCTCAGCCTCCGAAGTAGCTGGGATTACAGGCATGTGCCACCACGCCCGGCTAATTTTATATTTTTAGTAGAGACAGGGTTTCTCCATGTTGGTCAGGCTGGTCTCGAACTACTGACCTCATGTGATCCACCCACCTCGGCCTCCCAAAGTGCTGGGATTACAGGCATGAGCCACTGTGCCTGGCCGTAACTTTCCCATTCTAAGCTGGCATGTGACCAGCTCGTGAAAGGACTGATTAGGGAGCTTCATGGTGAAACGTACCATGGAAGTCAGATTCCACCCCCATGGAACTTTAGGGAAATCACCACCAAAGTCCTCTGCTCCAGCTTTGCAAAATAATTTCAAAAGTTATTTTGAAAACAAAATCTACATAGTCATCAGAATTTCAAGTAACCACTCACATTTCCCTGGCTGTCCTGAAACTCTTATTACCACTTCACAGCATGAAACCAAGAATAGAAAAATGTGTTTACAATGCTTACCCATAGGTTTTTCTTCCAAATACCTATTCTCATTTAAAAAAAAAAAAAAAAAAAAAACTAAACTGAAAACAAACAAACAGATGAAAACTCCAAAAGTCAAAGAAAAGCCTCAAGAGTCCTTCTGTGCCCCAGGATGCTCTTAATTTCTTTACAAGCCTGACTTCCTTGGGTCTCCTGCATTAGGTTCAGGGTAAGTACAGACCAACTGTTTATTTGTTTGTCGTTTACCTGCACAAAAGTATTTTGACGGAGATGGTCACTGGAAGTTCAATTAGACGCCTGCTAATGGTAAAAGATACCATTTCCAAATTTAAATATTTCACACATGGATCATAAATGATAAATTTTACTCTCACCTACCACCACTCCCTTCATCTTCCCTAAATTCTCCAGGCTTTGGAAATCCCCAGTAGAGCTAACAAACCTGCAAAACCTAATGAAAGCTAGGCGAGGTGGCTCATGCCTATAATCCCAGCACTTTGGGAGGCCATGATTGGAGGATGGCTTGAGCTCAGGAGTTTGAGACCCACTTGGGCAACATAACAAAGCCCTACCTCTACAAAAAATACAAAAGTTAGCCAGGTGTGGTGGCACAGGTTTATAGTCCTGGGTTCTCAGGAGGCTGAGGTGAGAGAATTACTTGAGCCTGGGAGGTGGAGGCTGCAGTGAGTGGTGATTGCACAACTGCACTCCAGCCCGGGAGATAGAGCAAGACCTTGTCTCAAAAAACAAAAGCCAAGAAAACAACAACAAAACACACCTAATGAATTTAATCTCAGGCCAACCAGAACAAAGATTTAATAATTATTAATTCATTATTTAATAAGATAGTTAATAATTTCTATTTCAACAACTCTTCCAAAATGATACATAAATGGTACACTATGTATTTGTCAGATTAGGTAGTTTTTTCAATTCTCCATTCTCCATAACCTAGTCCTCTTTTCTTCCCCTATTTTATTTCTAAATGTGCTTAAAATTATGTACCTTTCAGTTTACACATAGCCAGGAACTTATCCTGGGAGAATTTGCCTCTTCAGCAATATGTCATTCCTGGCATATACATTCCATTTAATTATTGATTCTAAGTTTCTTGAGGCCAGGGTCTGTGTCTTACTTTACATCACATTCATAGCTTCTAAAGTGCTATGGATTAATGATGCCTGAGTGAGTGGCTAAAAGGAAATTTAAAACTTGACATACGAAAAGACGGTTTCAAAATTTAGGAAGGTCAAAGGGGCATGACAGACATCAAAGATAATTATAAAAGATTAAAGCAGCAGCAGAGGGATAATGTATGCCGATTTCTCAGAAAAGCAAGGACCATCACAAATCATTAAAAGTTTCCAATACTTTCTTTTTTAAGTGAGAGGGACTAAAGCCATCTACTGCTTCTTTCTTTTTAAAGTTTTCAGTTGTAAAAATTAGTCTACCTTCCAAAACATGTTTAGAATATATAAGTTGTCCATCTGCTTCTTTTGCTACTTATTGGGAAGAATTATGCTCAGGGTCATTAGAAAAGTAATTCCCTCTTGATTTTTCAAGAAAATCCCAGATGTGACCTGCACATTGATAACAGAGAATTTAGTTTGCCAGCAAGAGCTAAATTGGATTTTGGTTGCATTTTTCAAGTAGAGTTGTTATACTTTCTTCCTTTCTCAAGGACAAATTCAAATATCTTTTTTCTTCTTGTCCATGACAGTTACCCTGATGGGAAACTCTGCTAGAATGTAAATATTTTGAGATGGTAAAACAAAAACAAAAAACAAACAAACAAGAAACAATTGACATGTTTTTTGAGAATCCACTTGTGAGATCAAAGTATCAAATTCAACTCTGAAATGTCATACCTGGGGATGCAATTATTAGTATACTAATCTTGCTCTCAAGAATACTACATGAGAGGGGCTGAGTGATTATGCAAACCAGATGCTGTAAATTAAGTCACTTTGTTTAAAATGACCAAGTCTTTAGTGGAAATTAATCACTTGAACCCTGGCATTATTTAGACACAAAACAGTATGATCCAATGGTACAAACTGTCAATCATGTACACACAGCATCTATTAATGTTACCTGGATGACACTTTACTCTGAATTAATGATAATAAATTTCAATCTGTTAATACAAATGATGGGCCTTATGTATTAAAGTAATTTAAAAGTGAGATAAGGAAATTATTATGAAATATATGTTGTCACATAAATTTGCATTTTAACCAAACGCTGGGCTCCATGTGTGATCTGAGGGCAACATTAATAAATTCTCTTTAACTTGAGTACAACTTCTGAAGCAGAAACTTTTGCCTAAGAGATAAAGTTCTAAAATAGGCTGGGCATGGTGGCACACACCTGTAATCCTAGCACTTTGGGAGGCAGAGGTGGGCATTTAAGGCCAGGAGTTCGAGACTAGCCTGGCCGACATGGTGAAACCCTGTCTGTACTAAAAATACAAAAAGCTAACTGGGTGTGGTGGTGCATGCCTGTAATCCCAGCTACTCAGGACACTGAGGCATGATAATCGCTTGAACCCAGAAGGCGGTGGTTGCAGTGAGCCGAGATTGTGTCACTGCACTCCAGCCTGGGTGAAAGAGTGAGACTCTGTCTCAAAAAAAAAGTTCTGAGATAACTTCCAAAGTAAATATAACATGGCCACCACAAATTCAAGAGTGTGATGGCATTTAAATTTATTTTCTTCTGAAGTATTTGATGCAACTCAAAAAAAATGACTACATGTTAGGGACTTTAGAAAAAATACTCATATTAAGAAAAACTAGAAGGAAATTTGCAAAACTGGAAATAGTCATGTTGGGCTGGTAAGATTACAGATGGGTTTTTCTCTTCCAAATTTTTGAATTGTTGTAATAAAAAGAAAATGGCTCAATTGTGCTCTAGGTCTAGGGTTTGATTGATTGGGTTGGGAGTGCTCTGGGCACTGGCTTTTCCCCTGGAACTGTCTACTGTTTGCAGAAGCTGCTTTTGTGTTTTTATTAAGACCTAGAGGAAAAGAAGAATAGATATATGTGTGTGTATTTGTATGTGTGTGTGTGTGTGTGTGTGTGTACATGGTTCTTCCTTATAATGCTGCCCTTTTTTCTGTATGAAAAAGGGTATTTTCTTTGTACACATTCTCTTTTTCCTCCTTTGCCTGCTTTCTAGGACAACATGCTGAAAAAATATCAAGACAACAAAAAAATTTTTCTAAATCTGGTTACAAGTAATTATGGTTTCCTGTTCTACATCATTGTACGTGTGTAAAAACAGTGTCATAATCTGTAGAAATGCACATGATTACCACACCCTTCAGCAGACTTTCTAATCATATTAGTAGGTTAAGGTAATTTTCAAGTCACTTGCACCATGCAATTCAAAGACACCACCTTTTGTTTGTGTAAGCAGTCCTCTACATATAGTCATTCTAGGTTAATAAATTTTGGCTTTAAATGTAAAAGTAAAACTGAGAGATAAGATAATATTGAATAGTGAATGAAGTAGGAAAATATGTATTCAAGTTTTGAATACATATTTGTTTGCTACTCTTAGTCCCTCAACAGGTCTTAGACTCAGTTTCCCCACCTCTGCAATGGCTATAATGCTCTTACCCTGTCTGTCTCAGAAGATTGATGTGAAAATGCTCTATGAGAACTGGCTGTTATCAATAGGTCTGTGCAGGTCACTCTGAGTTTCATTTTGTTGTTGTTTTCTCTGAAAACCACAGAAGAAAACCTTCAGCTCTTCTCTCCAAGAACACATCCTAGTCATCCAGCCCAACCTCCTTTTGTTATGTAGCTCACACACATTTCATCCTTTCTAGTACTACCATTCACAGGCATGGATCTACATGCAATCAGAGACCCCTTAAGCTGCCCGGACATTTATTTTCAGTGACTCATGGTGCTCATTGAAACCAGAAGGACCATCATCCAAAGCCACTGTCTCTGGCACTAGTTCTTTCCAGACAAGAGCTCTTTGCTGGCAGTAGGCTAAATCACCATCTTGCAATCATATTCTATGACCAAAATGTCTCTGGAGGACTTTTAGTTTATTGTCATTTGTGGAAAATAGGAAGCCTGCATGAGGCTTTCTAAATTCTTAATGTATCAGGTAGGATTTTGAAACAAGTCATAGCTACAGGCAGAAATAGTAAAAAATGAAGCCCAGGTTGACTTATGAAATACAGGAACTTGTAGTTGCCTGGACATCAAGCTGCTCCTAGTCTGCCTTTTCAATTTGCCAATATTTTCCCTTAAGCCTTTTGATGTGATTTTGCAGTTGTAGTTCACAATAAAAGGTAGAGATTTCAGGGTATGTCTTCCTTCCCTTCAAGAATATAGCATAGCAATAGAAACACAGAAAGTTCTTGGTCTATCCATAGGACAGAGGCAAAATTCTAGGGGTCTCTGAAATATCAGAGAAGCTGGGAGATGGGAGGCAGATGTTCAACAGGGTTTGGTGGAGCAGGGGAAAACCTTGGTTCTGGAGGAGGGGAAAGGAATACAGTGCAAAGGAGGCTATGCCCACCTGGTGAGGCACCTTCATGAAGGGTTGTAAATAGGAACCAGAGGAGAACCGTGTACATTTAAATACAAAAATAAAACAAGGAGAACAAAAACAGTTGAATGAATATTTAGTTGGGTGTGGGGACTGAGTTTCTCTGAGTTTAGGATCGTATTAAACTCACATTAAGGGCCCGGCCAGGTAGCTCATGCCTGTAATTCCAGCACTTTGGGAGGCCGAGGTGGCAGAATCACTTGAGCCCAGGAATTTGAGACCAGCGTGGGCAACATACCAAGGCCCTGTCTCTACAAAAAATTAAAAAAGTAGCCAGGCTTGGTGGCACACACCTGTAGTCTCAGCTACTTGGGAGGCTGAGGCGGGAGAATTGTTTGAGCCAAGGAGGTTAAGGCTGCAGGGAACCGTGATGGTGCCATTGCACTCTAGCCTGGGTGACAGAGCAAGACCCTATCTTGAATAAATAAACAAACTCACAATAGGGCTCGACAGGGTGGGGAAGAGGGGCTAGCATTTCATATTATCTCTATTAAACGTGGGCAAAACAGATCCATTTTCTGTTTACATGAAGCATATGGGGGAATAGATTATAGTACAATTAGACAATCACCCAGGTTGACCATAATTATAAAATGTGGGAGGTGCCACAATTAAGAGAACACCACTGTGAGCTAAGAAGAATGCACACTTATCTCACTTACACCTATTCTAGTTGTGGGTCAATAAAAGATTTCTCTAAGGTGGAGACCTTTGGACTGAGACCAGTAGGATCTCTGGAGGTACAGGAAAGTGAGGAACCTCTTTGTGAGCTGTAGAGTAAGCCAGAGTCCAGAGCAGATGGCCTCAAAGGGACCATTCTGAGACTGAGAGAGTGATCAGGAGAAAGGTATTCATCATGGATTATGGATTCCTGAGGACAGGGTGGGATCATTTGGAAAGGAAGGAAAGCAAAGCCTTGTGGGGGTGGTGGGTGAAGGCCTCATCTGCCCATTCCTGCCCCTTTGCAAGGACTTGCTTAAGCAACCCAGTATCTGCGTTTGCTGCATTGTTTACAAAGTACATCTGCCACTTCTCCAGCTCTTGACGCTTACCTGCATGGCCTTTTGTCAGAAAGACCTGGAAACTCTTAAAAGTAGGTGTGAGTACCCCAGAAAGCTGTAACACTGAACTTCTTGGAAACTCTAAGAAATGGAAAGAAATTGACCAAAAAGATACTTCTTAGGTGAGGCTGAGGACCAGGGATTTGGGATTCGAGTGACCACTGCCTCCTGCTGGCAGAAGAGAGATCAAGTGACAGTTCAGAGCTTGGGGCTGAAAAGCCTGTAATTTATACATTGAATCTCAGATCATTCCAATGCACTCAAATGGAGAGCACTATATTGGTCTAACGACCAGGAAGTTTCTGCTTTATGTCAATTTTTAGAGAAGAGTTTAGTCCTTTTCTGTCCACAATGATAGCCACTAGGCACATGAAGCTGTTGAGCCCTGAAATGTGCCTGGTCCAAATTGCAATGTGCTATAGGTATAAAATCCACACCAGATTTTGAAGCCTTAGAAAAAGGAATGTAAAAGCTCTTATTAGTAATTTTTTAATTGGTTACTTGATGAAATGATGGTGTACTGGATATGTTGGGTTAAAGAAAACACTTTGTTAAAATAAATTTCTCTTTCTTTCCCCTCTTTTTAGATATGGGTTACTAGAAAGTTTAAAATGACACCTTCATGTTTGTGCCTCTCACTCTTTCTACTGGGCAGCGCTGGTTTAATCAGACAAAGCATCACCATCTCTATTTCATTTCTTCTCCTGCAGATAGCAATATTACCCACCACAGCAATGTGATTCAGAACATCAGTGATGGAAGAGAAGGGCCACTTGATTCTGTGTTGGCTTCACTGTGCTGCATTCTCCTCACCTCAGCAATCTAAGACATAGTGAAAAAAATACTCTGACCTGTACAAACCTCTGCTTCCTTGAAGTTTCTGCCAATAGAAGGATGGATTGGCCACTCTTCTCCCAGCTCCCCTGAGCTCGTCATCTGCCTGGCTTCCTAGGCACTTGTATATTGAGGATTGTTCCTACCAGTTCTGTCTTTCACAGATGTGGCTTTGGGGAAGGACCTGCAACAGTTCTCAGGGCACGGGGGGAAAAGGTGGCATTGAGCCAGGATTTTTTTTTCCTTCCTAATATAGTGTTTACAAAGGCAGCTGCAAAGCCCTCGCTTCCCCTCAACACAGAGCCTTACACCTGACACCTCTGTTCTCCTTAAAACTGGAATAGGCCATTCCCAGGGGAATCTGCATTTTTAGGTGGATTTCTTCAAAGCCCCTAAAGCTTGCAGTATGAAAAAAAAAAATGGGCCACTAATGAAGTCGTTTCAAATCTGATGGCAGAGAGTGAGAAAGAATTCATCCCCTACTCCCTCTCCTTTTCAAGCCAGCCTCAGGAAATGTCTAGAGTTCATCTTAAAGGGACCTAATTGAGATGGATTTAGAACTGAATTCCAATGATACTGAAGAATTTGGGTTGAGAGAGAAGTGAATGTGATCATTACAGTAGTAGCTTGTGTTGATTAAGCCCCTTTTGACCCTGTTATCAATTAATCTTTGTAACAGTCCTATGGGGTGAGCACAATTATTACTTCCATTTTGCAGCAGTATAAACTGAGGCAAGGGGTTGCTACATAAGATGCTTAAAGTCATAACCTAAAAGACAGCAAAGACTCCTTCTAGCCTAACTCCAGGACCAGTGCACTCAACTTCTCCAAACCTCCCTACTACCCTGTCTCCCATATGTGAAGGGGCTGCAGAAGAAATGAGCAAGCTTGGCTTCGTCTGTGTGTTCCCATCAGTAAATTTAATTTTTCCCCATAAGTTCCAAAATTTTATGAGCCTGCAGACATTTTTGTAACCCCTGAAATATTTATGATTGTTCCTACACTTAATGCGAGGTCTTGGCTTTCCTCAGTGTTGGTGGAGAGCATATTGGATAGAAGATAACTTCCGATATGTGATATTTTAAACTTCTAGGCACTGCAGCCCACTGAAATGTAAGTTTCTTGAGGAAGGAGGTTTTTCTTATTTGTCTTTGTGTTCCGAGTTTTCATGGCGGTGTCTGGCATGTAGCTGGTATCTATTAACTACAACTAACCCTTCCTTCCAAGTCACATTTGAATAAAATGAACAAAAATACAGACTGGAAGAGTTAATATTCCCTTTCCAAAGAACTAAGGGAATAGTTACTCACTAGAAGATAATATTACTTATTATCTCTTATATAACCTTTTAAATTCCTTTCACCCAGAAACTTTAATTACCAATGGGCAAATGCTTCTCTAATTATTTGGACCTAATTCCTATGTCATAGTCAAATAATTGGACTTTTAAATTTTAACAAGAATAACTACAAGCAAGTAAACAAACTAAATAATGCAAACATTCATATTTCACAGACTTTCTTGGATCAAAAAGGAATATTTTTGGTAACTGATAATTTTAGGGAACCGATTATATTCTATTCATTGCATTTTTCTCTACTCAAAAAGTATAAAACAAATGTTCATTTTTTATGAGTCAAAATTGCAACATGTATAAATAATTGGTTTTCAATGATGCATGCAAATAATATCAAAACTTGTTTTAAATGTGGAAGCAATTGTGGATATAATTACAGAGTATGCAGTTCAACACCCTCTTGCTCATTAATATATATGGACCCTCTAATGGATGTTCATCATTCCTTGGGAATCAAATCTGGCAGGTCAGATCCAAAGAAGATCATTCTTCCTGGTTGTCAAGTAGATAATAGCCTAAAAAGCAAATCAATAGCAATATCCAAATCAATTGCACCGTTTAGAACAGCAAGGCCCACTTAAAACTCAAATTCCAATTTCGTTAGTACTCAGAAAGAAATATTAATTATAAGGATACAAAATATGCTATATAAATCTCACCTCTTCTCATTTGACCTCTCCCGCTCATATTTTAGTGGGTGGTAGCCAACAGGTATATTTTGGCTTTGGTTGTAGTGGTTGGGGATGGGTGAGAAAAGTTGCTTCCTGTATTTATATAACTCATCTGTTTGTGTGGACCTACTCACAACTATTCTTGTCATTGTTGCAAAATTCATAGTAATTTCTCAGTTTTACAGATTTTGCAAACTTTGACTTACTCACATTTGTAATTACAAACTGCAATTAAAATTCTATGGCTTTGTGCCATTTCCTCTAGAGCATCTCTTTTTGGGTAACCTGTAAAAGACAAAGGGATGAGTGGGTCCTGTAAACTCCATGAAGCTGGCCAGGATGGCTTCAAGAAGGCAGCTTTGGAAATGAAGGTGCATAGGCTCAAAAGTCCTTGGGCACTGCCAGCCATCTTTGTTATATCATCTGTTGCTGTGACCATCCCTGTTCCCAACCCTAAGCCAATGTAATATATAAGCTGATCTTGAAGTCTGGAGAAGGATTAGTGAGCTGGTGGAGGGCAGGAAGAAGGAAGGTGTAGAGAGTTTGAACAACCTGTGCCAATGTTCAAATGGCAGAGAGATGGCTCTTCTGAGGAGTTGAGAGGAGACTGGAAATGATGGAGCATTGCTTGCATGTGAAGATGAGGCTGAGCAGTTGGCAAGGGTAAGATCATGTAGACTTGGGCAGGACATGCATAGCCATATAGAAATCAATTGCAACGTTTAGAATAGCAAGGTCCAGTCAAAACCCAAACCCTAATTTTATTAGTACTCAGAAAGAAATATGAATGATAGGCATATAAAATATACTATGTAAAGCTTACCTCTTTTCAGTTGACCCTCCTTCCTTCTATTTCAGTGGATAGAGTAGGCAAAAGAGGCATATTAGCTTTAGTTTAAAGTTCATTCTGAAAGTTAGGCTATTTGGTGAAAATTTTCAAAGGTGGAGCAACATAACTAGATATCAATTTTAGAAGTGAGAAAAACCCATCCTAAAGATGTGGTTGGAGTGGTGGGGATGGATAGATCTTTAAGATGTAGAATTAACACTATTGATGACTGGCAGTTGGAGTGAATTTAGTATGACATTCACATTTCCAGGCAGGTAACTTGAAGGACAATGGTGCCATTGATTAAAACAGATATTATTAAGTATTACGGTTATTGTTAGAGAGCAAATATGAGATGAGGGATGGATATTTTAAAAAAAGAAGATAGTGGCTCATGCCTGTAATCCAGAACTTTGGGAGGCTGACATCGGCATATTGCTTGAGCTCAGGAGTTCGAGACCAGCCTGGGAAACATGGAGAAACCCCATATCTACAAACAAAAAAACAAAACTATTTTAGCCAGGCATTGTGGCGCACGCCTGTGGTCCCAGCTGCTTGGGAGGCTGAGGTGGGAGGATTGCTTGAGTCCAGGAGGTTGAGGCCGCAGTGAGCCAAAATGGGTCCCTGCAGTCCAGCCTGGGTGACAGAGTGAGACCCTGTCTCAAGAAAAAAAAAAAAAAAAGAAGAAGAAGATGATAATGTTTTATGGAGACTTTTTAGCATGAAGCTCTCTAATGTGCACAGCTAAAAGAGGAAAAACAACATCATCAAAAACAACAAAGGGATGCCCAACACCCAACCCCCAGAAATTCTGATTTAATTGGTTAGAGCGGAGCCAGGCATTAGGTGTTTTTTGTTTGCATTTTTGTTTTTATTATGGTAAAAAAAAACCCAACAACATACATGAAATATACCCTCTCAACAAATTTTTAAGTGTACAGTACAGTATTGTTAACTACATGCCCATTGTTATACATATCTGTTGTGCAAATCTCTAGAAATTTTTCATCTTGCATGACTGAAAGTCTATAATCATTGAACAGCAGCTCCCCATTTCTCTCCCTCACTAGTCCTTGGTATCACCATTCACATTTCTCCTTCCATGAGTTTGACTGCTTTAGTAGATACCTCATACACGTGGAATCATACAGTATTTGTCTTTCTGTGACTGGCCTATTTCACATATCATAATGTCCTCAAGTTCTTCTGTGTTGTAGCATGTGTCAGGATTTCCTTCTGTTTTAAAGCTGAATAATATTCCACTGGATGCACCCACCACATTTTCTTTATCCATTCATCAGTTGGTGGGCCTTTAGGTTGTTTCTACCTCTTAGCTATTGTGAGTAGTGTTGCAAGAAACATGGAGGACAAATATCTCTTCAAGATCCTGATTTCAGTTCTTTTGCATAAATACCCAGACATGGGAATGCTGGATCATATGGTAGCTCTATTTTTAATTTTTTGAGGAATCTCCATACCGTTTTTCATAGCAGCTGCTCTATCTTTTTTCCCCACCAACAGCGTACAAGGGTTCCAGTTTCTCCATTTCCTAACCAACATTTATTCTTTTCTTTCCTTCTGTTTCTTCTTTTCCTTTTTTTTCTTTTAATAGTGGCTGTCCACACCGGTGTCAGATGGTATTTTATTGTGGTTTTGATTTACATTTCTTTGATGATTACTGATGTTGAGCATCTTTTCATACACCTGTTGACCATTTGTATATTTTCTTTGGAGAAATGTCTATTCAAGTCATTTTCCCATTTTTAAATTAGGCTATTGATTTTTTTGCTATTAAATTGTATGAGTTTCTTACATATTTTCCATACTAACCCTTTATCAGATATATGGTTTGCAAATATTCTCTCCTATTCCACAGGTTGCCTTTTCACTCTGCTGATTGTTTCCTTTGCTGTGCAGAAACTTTTTAGTTCAATGCAGCCCCATTTGTCTACTTTTGCTTCTGTTTCCTGTGCTGTCGGTGTGATATTCAAGGGATCATAGGCATTAGGTGTTTTTATAAAGCTTCCCCAGATGACTCTATTGTGCAACCAGGACTTAGAACCATTTGTCAAAATTACACCTTGCTATGATGTAAAGCCTATGGTTCCATCTAGACATAAAAGTCCTCTCAGTAGAACAGCCCAGCAGCTGAACACATTTATAGTCTGTGTGGCATGGTGATCCCTACAGGGAGGAGTGTGTCTAAATTTCTGGATGGGATAGGAGTGGGGTAGTGAGAATGCAGCTGGAAAGAGCACATTCAATATTGTTAAATAATTTTATCTCCGAATAATAATTTTTTCATAACTTAAACTACAAAAAATAACAATCCACTGGAGTCACATTAGTTCAGAAAGTCTAGAATGTCAGCTCTCTGAGGACAGGGATATCTGTCTCTGTCCACTGCTGTATCTCCAGCCCCCGGACAGTGTCTGGCACATTGTAAGCACTCAAAATATATTTGTGGAAGTGGCTGAGCCGCAGATTGGCTGTGGTTCTGTCCACAGTGCCTGGAACTGTTATTTTCCTATTATTATCTAGCCTCTCAGCTCTTCCTCTTTCCTGCCAGCCTTGACTTCCCGTCTTAGCTCATAGGAAGCTGTGTCCAGCAGGCATCTTCCTTCTGTGAAGCTGTAAGGGCTGTATGCAACTGGGTCCCGAGTGCAATGTGTGTGGGGGGGGGGGGGGGAGGGCGGGGGGGCGTGGGGGACGGTCATTGGTTCATCCAGGAAATGTCCATTTACATACTAAAGTCTGATTGGTCTAGAAGAGTAGCTGAGCACAATCAGTCCTGTGTGTCCACAGACCAGGAAGCTTAATATAAGTTAAGTCCAACCATATTTAACAAAATATTATGTCACTGTAGTGATGGAGTGACGATCATAAAAGTGTTAAAATGAAAATATAAAGTATGCACTGTATTAAACTTCATCCCTTCATTGAAATCATTTTCACTTGTATTTTAACAATCTGCACACTATCAAATGACAGTCTGTTTCGAATATGCCTGATAAAATTTTAAAAAACCATTGACTTGTTTCTATAGCATAAATGTGAAAGCTTTCAGAAAGAAAAAGAAGAAATGGAATATGCATACAGTTTTTCATAATTTTTATTTTATCATTTTCGAGCACTCAGATGAGGATTTGGGAAAATCTTCATGTCACTCTTTTAATAAAGCCACAGTGAGCACTTCATGCTGCTTCCACTTCCCACACACAAACTTTCTAATTATAAAAGGACCTTTTCAGACTTATTCAGGGCATATAATCTTATTTGCAGCTCCTAATTGGAGGACTGTGTTTGTTGAAAAGAACAGAAGTCTTCAGTCATTTAGAATAAAGCTGGCCCATCAACCCCTGTGGGAAGAAAAGAACTATTTATTTTATCCGTTAATCCCAAATACAAACACAATAAAGCTGTCTTTTCTAATAGTGACCTATTTCATGTTAAATTGGGATAAAGCTAGCTTTGCTCAATAAGACTATTGTTGTCAACAAAAAAGTCAATCTTATTAGGATTCCCATTGAATAACTTCCAATAACTTATCTTTTAAAATGCTAAACCCAAATCCCAGTTGAATTCTCTACGTTGTCTGCAAATCGGGAAAGGAAATAACCTCAACCGGTGAGCCCCATCTAGTGTCAGGGAAGTAAATTGCTGGTCAGAAACCGGGTCTATAATTTTTTCTTATCTTTAATCTGATTTTTAAGATTCTTCTATTTGTGCCCAAACCCTTATGTTTTTGTTTCTTTCTGGGGTTTATTTGCCTATATTTTTATTTCTAAAACTAAACAACTTTCTATACCAAGCACATTTTTTCTTGATAACTTATAAAAATACAACATTGCTTAAAATTAGCCAGATTTCCCCATTGGTTTTATTTTAAAATATTAATTTTAAAACGTGGACAGTCATGTTCCTTGAATAGCATTACAGAGCACTCATGTACTAAACTATGTTTGATGTAAACAATATTATTCACTTATCAATTTTATTTTATCAAAAGACCCCAAAGGATCTTTCTTGATATGAGTTTTAGAGGAGCAAGACCGAGTCACAGAAAAATCCAATGGAACATCTAAGGACATTGAAGATTTCGAAGTCTACTTTCTTGGGCAACATCTACATTTGAGGATTGTATTGGCTTGGAGGTCAGTTTCTTTTAGCCAACTACATCAGAGCTTAAGTGCAGTGTGTCTGCCTTCCACGCTTCTGCATTTCTCGACTGTTAATAAACATGTCAAAAACGAGTAAGGCAAGTTCAGGGCTTAGCTCCAGTCATACATGGGAAATGCCTTTGCTAATAATTCTGCCTTATAAATGCAAACCTTCTTTGTTCCCACACACACAAAAAAACTTGACAATAGCCAAATGAAGTAGAACATATTCCTCAATTTATCTACACTTAAGATATTTCAAAATATCTTTCCACTAGCCTATGTGCTCAAACCACAAAAGCAGACATAGGTATATAGAGGTATCTGGGTTATGGAGGAAAGAACAAAGGACTGAAGTTCAAATACTAACATTGCCCTTCACTGGCTGCATGTCCTTGGGAAGCCAAATCTCCCAATAGGGTGCCATGAGTTCAGGCTATGGAGCAGACAATCCCTGTTTCTCCACCTCCCAGCTGTTAGACTTTAGACAAATTATTTCTCTAAGCCTTGACTTCTTCATCTATCATGATATTTACTTCCTTCATACAGGAAGATTGTTATGAAGACTGACTGATAAAGTATGTGAAGTGTGTAGCTCAGGGTCTGGCACATAACAGAGTGCTCAGTGAATACGACTATGACTCACAAATGGAGGGACAAGCGCCCACCTCACAAGATGGTCGGGAAGACTCTAAGACATGGGAAAATGTTGGTCAACTTTAAGGCACTCTATCAATGTAATGAGTTAGGCAAACCTAGTAGGCCCCTCCTAGAAGGCCTAAAATTAAAAAGAGAGCTGTTGAAATTGAAGAACATGGGGCTTTCATAGGTCAGCACAAGCTCTGTGAGCTGAACAGAAGTTTTGTAGGTCTAATGATTTGTATTGTTGGCTTACATTGTATTTGGGGTTGCAAATTTTTGAAAAGAAGAGAATGATAGAGTTGGAAGGGAGATTGTATTAATTTAGTTTTCTTGTTTTATTGAGGAAAAAAACCTAATGTCCCTTCCTTCTTCAGAACTCCTTGCACACTTGAGATCATTTAAGAATTTCAAAGTATTTGTTTAATGTCTGCTTTTGCTCCGACTGTAAGAACCATGTATTCAGGGGCCATGTCTATTTGGGCTGCACTGTATCTTCAGATGTGGCTCTGTGTCCAGCAGTGTCTAGTAGTGTCTAGTACCTTGTCTACACATGGTAATTGCAGACAAGCTCAAAACTGCCATATAGCAAAGTACATAAGGGCATGGACTCCTCAGGGAGGAAAGGCTGGACACAAATTGGACCTCTCTGGTTTACTTCCCGTGTGACTTTGGGCAAGCTACTTAGCCTCTCTAAGCCTCAGTTTCCTTGCCTATAAAACAGAATTAATAATGACAGTACCTATTTCATAGGGTTGTTCCAGAGCTTTATGAGCTAATTCCTGTAAAGTGCCTGGAATGGTATAATTCTGTAAATTTACCTAAATGACCAAGATAGCAAAGCCAATTAGAAAGTGTTCTGGAACTAAAACCCTACCTAGGTCTTGCTCTTTATTTTTTTTTCCCCTCCATATCTTTCAAACCCTCTGCCCAGACCACTTTTCCAAACCATTAAATCTATCAGATAAAAACAGCAATGCAAAATAAAGTATTGGTTGATTCACTCAGAGGTGCTGCAGGCCTTCCAAGTCTAGCAGCAAGTTTCAGGAACTCATTTCAATGGTGTTAAGAGGCTTATGATTGCTAATAACTTCCCAGTGTCTAAAGCACAGAGCTGAACAGAGTATTTCATATTTTGCTCTAACAGCTAGTCCTTAAGGGTTTGACTATCAGATGTAGGCACGCTAGATTATGAAAATGGCACATTTAAAAATATCTCTGCACCTCACTCCTAGATGACTTTTAGCAGGTGAACTAACTGTTAGCCTCCTGGAAGATTAGATGTCAGGATAATTAGCTCTCTGCCACATAGGCTATCTACTTTTCAAATCTTATTCTCCTTTCTTCCCTATGTCTCTTAGTAGACGCAACTCATTATTACTTTATGCCTGAGTTTTCCCCTTTCTTTTCAGCACACTCATAAACCACCTCCTTGTCATGACTTATTTCACACTCAATTCATACTGTTAGCTTTGATGTTCTCTTTTACAATTCAGTTTGTATTCAGATACCAGAGAAAACAAAGAGCAAGTTAGACAGGTAAACCAGATAACAAGTATTACCTATGATGACCCGTTCTCCTATCTCTCCTTGGTCTTCAAAATTCCATGTGCTGTGGAGGAGGTAAAATGCACATTTTCCCATTTCATGGCATGTCCAGAGGTCTGTGAGTTTCTTGTTTCATTGTCTAACATTAGGGTCTCTGAGCTTTCCCATTTCATTATTCTGTACGACCTGGACTCGGCCTTATACAACTGGGGAATAACTTTTGCTTTTCTATTACAAACGGAGCCAATGAAAAGGTAGACTGAAAAAGAGTAAGATGGAGTGGAGAATTCACCAAAGGAACCATATAATTATAGAAATTTCTGGCTAGAAGAAATTTGAAAGGCTCTCTGTTCACCTCCCTGCACTTTAGCTCTACCCCATACCAATGGGACTGGTAATTATGGCTTCTATTTCAAAAGACTTCACAGGATCCATGCCTCTGCCTTCCATTTAAGACAGTTCTTCATGTATGCAGCAAATACCTTCTCCTCTTCTAGTTCAAACTCTTGTCTTTCTATTGTTAGGAAGAAGAGTTTGTTAGTTTAATGCCACCTAGAAATATAGATGTCCAACAGGTAGAAAGGAGAGACTACTTCACTTCTCAGCTTCCTTCCTCACCTACAACCCGTAGGCTTTGCTCTCCAGCTTCTCTGGGTATTGCTACAGTTTGATTTATTGTGAAAACTCCAGGATTTCCTGAAAATGGTCTAGAACTGAGCCAGTGTTTGAAGTACAAGAAAAGAGAATGAGGAATATTTCCTCCCTTTTCGCTTTCCTTTGTCAGCATTGTTGTACCATTTCTTAGGGGCTCACTACTTCCTCACCCCACCCCACCTTCACAGCTCAGAAAATGTGGGGCAAAATCCAAGTCCTATGAAACTGCCCTTAGGCATATGCCCTTAGCTCTATCCCAAATCCAGATCTTCTCAAAACTATAATGAAGGGCTTAGAGTCCTAAGGGCCAGGAGATTTCTAAGACTTGTAGACCCAGGAATTGCTACCTAGTGACCTAAAACTGTCAGGAAATTCCCCCTACTTCACTCCCATCTGCAATCTTGACTACAGGTTCCTTAATTTTTTTTTTTTTTAATGCTGAGCATGACTTGATAGTAACTTGCTGGGCTATTTTCAACACACATCTATCTTAGTTTTTGAACACCAGTGATCAGCCTATTGAACTTTAAGTGGTCTGGCAACATGTGTAATGAAGAGCAGTAGTTTAGGGGTCAGGCTGACCTTGGTCTGATGCTCCACTATTTCATTTACTGTTGAATGACTTTTGTCAGATTGCTTAACCTGTCTAAGCTTCAGGTTCTTTCTATGTAAAATGGAGCTGATGCAGACTTCAGGGTTTGATAAGAAGATTAAAGAGAGAATTGATGTATGTAAAGCACCCAACACCGTTCCTGGCCTGCGCTAATTGTTTCAAACACATTTATTTCTCTCCCCTACTGGATAAAGGGCAAGAGCTATAGCACCTAAGGCATTTAGTGGCTTCATTAGTTAAACTGAGCTGACTTAATAGCAACATTCACTGGAATTGTTAATAACAGAAATAGCAACTTGCTGTCATAGAGACTTAATAACAGTCTCTATTGTGTACTTGCTGTGTGCCCCATATTGTTCTGGGTACTGAAGCTAGAAAGGCAGTAGGGCATAGGGTTCCTGTACTCATGAAGCTCAGAATGTAGAAGCATCTGGCATATGTGGGCCACTTCATGAACATGTAAGAGTCACATCAGGATTGGCTTAAGATTTTAGAAGACCTAAGCACTAAAAAAATTACAGTGCTGCCACCTCCATATATAATTAAAAATAAAAACAGTATTAAGTCATAATTAAGTGTAAAGAAGCAGAACAATGCTCCAATATTTTTCCTACTGTGATAACTGTCTTATTACTTCTTTTGAAATATCAATTTTTAAATTATTTTTTTCAAAGTGATATTTTTTGAGGTGTCCTCATTTTGTAGGTAACTAGTATACTTACATAGTAATCTAGCCCTGGCCCCACAACATTACCCCAAGGGCTCTCCTCATGTTCCCTGAATGGATCAGAAGCTAGAACAATGCAGAGAAGCCAGGGGTCTTGACCATTCATAAACTATTTGGTAAATTCCACAAAGAATAAAAAAGTAATTGAATATTTTGAGGCAAGATCAAATCACCTTATAAAAAAGTAAAAAGTAAAAAAGCACTGGCTCAGTTCTAGACCATTTTCAGGAAATCTTGGAGTTTTCACAATAAATCAAACTGTAGCAATACCCAGAGAAGCTGGAGAATTTGAAATTCTTTCCAAACATATGGAATATTTTTCTCTGGAATGGACTTTTAAAAATGCACAAATGGGACATAGGAGCAGTTATATTTAGAAGAGCACATTGTGGAGACAATTTTATGTTATGTCTTAAAGGACTAGCTCACTGCTCAGCTACTTACCCCAGCTCTGTTCTTATAATAAAGATAAAATGCTGAGAACAGTGGTTGCATGAGACATTCACCAGGATGCAAAGGTACTCTTTTTTTTTTCTCAGTTCCTCCCTTTCTTTAAGAGATGTTTTCTCTGAAGGCCACAGTCTGGCCGTAAGCAAGTTTGGCAGTACGTGGGGAGGCTTACCTGAAGATCTAGCTGACAACCACTGACATTTGGAGCCACTCACCTTTATACTGCAAATCTGAAAGATAAGCAACAAGAAAGACCTAAAAACAATGACAGAACTTTCTCAAGCACAGACAAAAACAATTTACACAGCCACTGTAAATAGTTAATAAAATCCATTTTATAGTCCATCTACATAGATTTCCATTACATCCTGTTCTGTTTCACACATGCATTTTTCTTTTGGATTGTTAGGCAATAAAGAGTCAAGTCATTTATCATGTAGTGTCTTAGTATTTCTTTAAAATGTTTTACCATTTTCAGGAAATTCTGTGGCTTCTATAATTAATCTCCCAGTAGAAGCTGTTTTAGAAAGACTCCAGAACAACCGAAAGAAGTCTTTTCTTTGTGGAATTGTTTTGGGTCTTGTGAGTGGAAACATTCAGAAACAGATGCCAGTGGTATTATCACATATTGCAAACTGTTCATTTAAGATAATGAGGATGAAAACAATAGAGTTCAGTCTCACTCTTGCAAAACTGCCCTGTGACAAAGCTGTTGTTAAATGGGGTCCACAATTAACTCCATGATATGCTATAATTAGAGTAACTCTACAGTGTAAACCTGGGTTTCCACAGTTCTTATACCCTAGATGGGTACAATAACACTTGGTAGAAGTAATGAGGAGGGTTCCCACCCACTAACCCCTTCCCTGCTTGGCATTAGTAATACTAGTTACTACTTAGCACTTTCCACATATCAGGCATTGTTCTAAACATTTTTACACATATTGGTTCATTTAATACTCACAACTTTCTGAGGAAGGTGCTGCATTATCCTAATTTTTATATTAGGAGACTGATATACAAAATAGTTGGAGGATTTGCCAAGGGCAGACTTCTCAAAGGCTGAGGCAAGGAGCAGAACTCAGGCAGCCTGGCCGCCCAGTCAAGCCCCTCAGCTGCTGTACTCTGTGGCCCAGCATGGTATATACAATGTTCGGTGCTCTGTTCTCACAGTCTAATTTGCACTAGTACATGGTCAGGTAGTTCAGTCATCTCATTTTACAGAAGAGAATACAAAGGCAAAAAGATGCTAAGTGGCTTTCAAAAACTCAAATGCATGATGGTTACAGGGCTGGGCATGGTGACTCATACCTGTAATCCCAGTGCTTTGAGGCCCAAAGGCAGGAGGACTGCTTGAGCCCAGGAGTTTGAGACCAGCCTGGGCAACATAGTGAAACCCTATCTCTACAAAAAATTCTTTAAAAAACTTAGCCAAGCTAGTAGTCCTGGCTACTTGAGAGGGTGAAGCAGGAGGTTTGAGACTGCAGTGAGCTATGATCACGACATTGCACTCTAGCCTGGGCAACTGAGACCTTTCTTGATGAAAAAACAAAAAACCAAAAATGAGATGGTTGGGAGCTCAGATTGCCTGATGTTTAGCCAACGCTTTCTACTTTAGAGCATTGTATCATCTCCTCATTTTCCCTTTTCACATAAAAAAAAAAAAAAGAAAAACACAAAATCTAAACTGTTGCTTTATTTTTTTCTGTGATTCATCCTCATGGGTCACAAGAAAGAGCAGAAGTTTCGTTGGCCTGTATGCTAAGAACAGCAAACCCCACTCTGGGCCCACGTTCTATCCAATGCAGCACTGGCTTTGCTTCTTGAAGGCAAATGAGCAGTTTTATTGGCTTCATCCTCAAATTATGGTTTTAAAATAGTTTAATCTCACACTTGGGCAGATTAACAAGTACTAGGAAGTGTCCCCAACTGTAGGGTGTATCTATGCAAGAGATCAAGAATCATACTTATTTTTTTCTTCAGTGTCAAGGTAACATTTTTGTTTGTTCCACTTTGTTTTTTAACAGGGTTATACCAAGTGTGGGCTCAGGTGGTTTTGGGGGCAATCTGACCTCCAGATTAACCTCATTCTGAAGCCAGTTAGGCGTCGTTTCTTCTGCATAACCACCTGATGCGCTTATTTCACAGTGTTTTCTTCCTAAATGAGGAGGAAACTGGTTGTGACGAAACCACAGGCAATGCAGAGCACAGGTGGGATTTAATCTTTCACAATGTCACTTGATTAAGCAGGCAATCATCTTCGCTGCCATGCCTGCAAGGAAAATTTCAAGTCATGTGAATGCTTATCTCATCTGTATTAGTCAGAGTGCACAAGATCGGAGATGGTATATGCAAAATAGGTATTAAATTTAGGGTATTTAATAAAGGGACTATTTATAAAAATAGAAGCGGGTGGAGGAAAATACACAAGAGATAGTGGAGTATCCCAAGGCTAGCCCGAGCAGGGAGCCATCAACTGTAGACTTAAAGAGAAAAGTTATAGGGATTGGAGAGAGAGCTGCACATGATAGGAGCCATGGCTTCCCAGAAAGACACAGACACCCACAGTAACCCAGCAGGAAGGAAGCCAAGGGAATGGATACTGTAGCCTCAACCCTCCTCCTGCCCATTGACCAAATTCAACCAGAGGACAAGGTACCTATTGAGGTGGTCCAAGGGGGACCATCTCCTAGGGCCTGGTGCAGGGGATGGGGCAGAGGAAAGACACCCAACACACCCTCACACTAAATTCTGAGGTAAAATAACTTCAACGTCCCCTCCTGCTGTGACATGTGTAGTTTAATAAAGAAGTAATTACGAAAAACAACAACGATGTGGAATTAGGTGGCTAATTTTATGCCTATGCCTATAGCAGAAATCAGAGTTGTAAATTCCTCATTGTGTTTTATGAGTCAGAACTGGATATACACAAAGGGTCTCAGGAAAACCCTGGGCCTCAAAATAGGCCCTCTGATAACAGGGCAAGGAGAGCCAGTGGAAATCAGTTCCTACCAAGACCATGAGCACAATCAAAATTAAACAGAAACATAGATTTAAGAAAAGATCACAGGGGCTTGCAATTTTTGGCCTAAAATCTATGGAGGCACCCATTGCATTGAAAGGCCCATGTTTTAATGGAATAAATGAAACTTGGTTTTGTTTTGTCCTACATGGCTTTGTTTAGTTTCCTTTAGTGGTTTAGGCAAAAGGTCAGCCAGAGGAAGGAGAGGTGGGGAAATTTGAAGATGTGTCCTGTGGACAATTTAGAGATGGCAGTGATGCCCAGAGTAAACTAGGATATAAAGAGATTATAGTGAACCCAGTTCCCAGCCATGTAATAAGAGCAAAGACATTTGGTGTTTGGATAAGAGAATGGTGTGGTGTTAGAAGCAAAGATTTGGAGTCCCAGATTGTTGCGGGAAGTCAGGTACCCCAAACGGAGGGACCATGGGACTAGAGAAGCCATGGCAGAAGAACACAAATTGTGAAGATTTCACGGACATTTATTAGTTCCCAAATTAGTTCCCAAAATTAATACTTTTATAATTTCTTACACCTGTCTTCACTGCAATCTCTGAACATAAATTGTGAAGATTTCATGGACCCTTATCACTTCCCCAATCAATATTCTTGTGATTTCCTACGCCTGTCTTTACTTTAATCTCTTAATCCCGTCATCTTTGTAAGCTGAGGATGTATGTTGCCTCAGGACCCTGTGATGATTGTGTTAACTGCACAAATTGTTTAAACAATATGAAATCTGGGCACCTTGAAAAAAGAAAAGGATAACAGCGATGTTCAGGGAACAAGGGAGATAACTATTAGGTTTGGCTGCCTGAGAGCTGGGCGGAACAGAGCCATATTTCTCTTCTTTCAAAAGTAAATAGGAGAAATATTGCTGAATTCTTTTTCTCAGCAAGGACCAGCCCTGAGAAAGAGAATGCTTTCCTAGGGGTAGGTCTCTGAAATGGCTGCTCTGGGAATGTCTGTCTTTTGCAGTTGTAGATAAGGGATGAAATAAGCCCCGGTCTCCAATAGCACTCCCAGGCTTGTTAGGATGAGGAAATAGCTGCCTAATAAATTTTGATCAGACAGGTTGTCTCCTCTCAAACCCTGTCTCCTGATAAGATGTTATCAATGACCATGCTATCAATGACCATGCATGCCCGAAACTTCATTAGCAATTTTAATTTCGCTCCGGTCCTGTGATCTCACCCTGACTCCATTTGCCTTGTAATATTTTATTCTCTTGTGAAGGATGTGATCTCTGTGACCCACACCCTATTTGTACACTCCCTCCCCCTTTTAAAATCACTAATAAAAACTTGCTGGTTTTGCAGCTTGCGGGGTATCATGAAACCTGCCAACATGTGATGTCTCCCCCGGACACCCAGCTTTAAAATTTCCCTCTTTTGTACACTTTCCCTTTATTTCTCAGACTGACCAACACTTAGGGAAAATAGAAAAGGACTCACATTGAATTATTGGGGGCGGGTTCCCCCGATACCAAATATACTACCTATTAGCTGGGTCACCTTGAGCAAGTTAGATAATCTCTATAAGCCTCAGTTTCTTGCTCAATTTAGATAATCTCTATAAGCCTCAGTTTCTTGCTCAGTGAAATGGGAAAAATACCTACCTCTCCTCTGGTTGTTTTGTGAATTAAATAAAATCATGTGTTTAAAATCCTTACCATGGTTGGGTGGCTGGCAAGATGGGTGAATACAAACAGCTCTGGTCTGCAGCACCTAGCGAGATCAGCACAGAAGGTGGGTGATTTCTGAGTTTCCAACTGAGGTACCTGGTTCATCTCACTGGGACTGGTTAGACATTGGGTGCAGCCCACAGAGGGTGAGCCGAAGCAGGGTGGGGTGTCCCCTCACCTGGGAAGTGCAAGGGGTCAGGGAACTCCCTCCTCTAGCCAAGGAAAGCCATGAGGGACTGTGCCATGAGGAACAGTGCATTCCAGCCCAGATACTATGCTTTTCCCATGGTCTTCACAACCCACAGGAGAGGAGATTCCCTAGGGTGTCTACACCACCAGGGCCCTGGGTTTCAAGCACAAAACTAGGGGGCAGTTTGGGCAGACACTGAGCTAGCTGCAGAAGATTTTTTTCGTACCCCAGTGGCACCTGGAATGCCAGTGAGACAGAACCATTCACTCCTCTGGAAAGGGGGCTGAAGCCAGGGAGCCAAGTGGTCTAGCTCAGCGGATCCCACCCCCATGGAGTCCAGCAAGCTAAGATCCACTGGCTTGAAATTCTTGCTGCTAGTACAGCAGTCTTAAGTGGACCTGGGATGCTCTGGCTTGGTGGAGGGAGAAGCCACGTCCACCATTACTGAGGCTTGAGTAGGTGGTTTTCCCTCACAGTATAAACAAAGCCACCAGCAAGCTCGAACTGGGTGGAGCCCACCACAGCTCAGCAAAGCCTCTGTAGCCTGCTTCTCTAGTCCTCCTCTTTAGGCAGGGCATCTCTGAAAGGAAGGCAGCAGCCCCAGTTAGGGGCTTATAGATAAAACTCCCATCTCCCTGGGACAGAGCACTTGGGGGAAGGGGCAGCTGTGGGTGCAGCTTCAGCAGACTTAAACATCCCTATCTGATGGATCTGCAGAGAGCAGTGGATCTCCCAGCACAGTGCTGGAGTTCTGCTAAGGGACAGACTACCTCCTCAAGTGGGTCCCTGATCCCCATGCCTCCTGACTGGGAGACACCTCCCTGCAGGGGTCAACAGACATGTCATACAGGAGAGCTCTGGCTCTGGCAGGTGCCCCTCTAGGATGCAGCTTCCAGAGGAAGGAGAAGGCAGCAATCTTTACTGTTCTGCAGCCTCCTCTAGTGATACGCAGGCAAACAGGGTCTGGAATGGACCTCCAGCAAACTCCAGTAGACCTGCAGCAGAAGGGCTGATGGTTAGAAGGAAAACTAACAAACAGAAAGGAATAGTATCAACATCAACAAAAAAGGAAGTCCACAAAAAACCCCATCCAAAGGTCACCAACGTCAAAGACCAAAGATAGATAAATCCACAAAGATGAGGAACAACCAGCACAAAAAGCCTGACAATTCCAAAAACCAAAACACCTCTTCTCCTCCAAAGGAACACAACTCCTTGCCAGCAAGGGAACAGAACTGGACGGAGAATGAGTTTGATGAATTGACAGAAGTAGGTGGGTAATAGCAAAGTCCTCTGAGCTAAAGGAGCATGTTCTAACCCAATGCAAGGAAGCTAAGAACTCTGAAAAAAGGTTAGAGGAATTGCTAACTAGAATAACCAGTTTAGAGAAGAACATAAATCACCTGAAGGAGCTGAAAAATGCAGCATGAGAACTTCATGAAGCGTACACAAGTATCAATACCCAAATCAATCAGGCGGAAGAAAGGATATCAGAGATTGAAGACCAACTTAGCAAAATAAAGCATGAAGACAAGATTAGAGAAAAAGAATTAAAAGGAATGAACAAAGCCTCCAAGAAATATGGGATATGTGAAAAGACCAAACTTACATTTGATTGGTATACCTGAAAGTGATGGGAAGAATGGAACCAAGTTGGAAAACACTCTTCAGGGTATTATCCAGAAGAACTTCCCCAACCTAGCAAGACAGGCCAAGATTCAAATTCAGGATATACAGAGAACACCACAAAGATACTCCTCGAGAAGAGCAACCCCAAGACACATAATTGTCAGATTCACCAAAGTTGAAAGACAGGAAAAAATGTTAAGGGCGGCCAGAGAGAAAAGTCGGGTTGCCCACAAAGGGAAGCCTATCAGACTAACAGCAGATCTCTCAGCAGAAACCCTACAAGCCAGAAGAGAGTGGCAGCCAATATTCAACATTCTTAAAGAAAAGAATTTCATATCCAGCCAAACTAAGCTTCATAAGTGAAGGAGAAACAAAATCCTTTACAGACAAGCAAATGCTCAGAGATTTTGTCACTACCAGGCCTGCCTTACAGGAGCTCCTGAATAAAACACTAAATATGGAAAGGAAAAACCAGTACCAGCCACTGCAAAAACATACCAATTTGTAAAGACCATCAACACTGTGGAGAAACTGCGTCAACTAATGGGCAAAATAACCAGCTAGCATCATAATAACAGGATAAAATTCACACATAAAAATACTAACCTTAAATGTAAACAGGCTAAATGCCTCAATTAAAAGACACAGACTGGCAAATTGTATAAAGAGTCAAGACCCATCAGTGTGCTGTATTCAGAGACCCATCTCATGTGCAAAGACACACATAGGCTCAAAATAAAGGGATAGAGGAATATTTACCAAGCAAATGGAAATCAAAAAAATAAAAAATAAAAAAAAGCAGGGGTTGCAATCCTAGTCTCTGATAAAACAGACTTTAAACCAACAAAGATCAAAAAAGACAAAGAAGGGCATTACATAATGGTAAAGGGATCGATGCAACAAGAAGAACTAACTATCCTAAATATATATGCACCCAATACAGGAGTACCCAGATGCATAAAGCAAGTTCTTAGAGACCTACAAAGAGACTTAGCCTCCCACACAATAATAGTGGGAGACTTTAACACCCCACTGTCAATATTAGACAGATCAATGAGACAGAAAATTAACAAGGATATCCAGGACTTGAACTCAGCTCTGGACCAAGTGGACTGAATAGACATCTATAGAACTCTCCACCCCAAATCAACAGAATATACATTCTTCTCAGCACCACATCACACTTATTCTAAAATTGACCACATAATTTGGGTCTTTTTTTACTTTAAAAAATTCTGCTTGAACAATTAATATATGCTTCATTTAACTTTAAAATATTCTGAACTTAGATTATCATAACAAAGTCTCAGATGGTTCATTTCTCTTCCATCCTCTCATCTCATCTCACAAATTGCTTTGTTGTGAAAGTGACATTTTTTTCCAAAGTTCTGACATGATTTGGGATGACAGAGGTCAGAAATTTGTGCTTAATTTTGTTTGTTGCGTTTTAATTTGGCCAGAATTGAACTAAAGATTTCAATTGAGCTATTATATTGTTAGTTCTACTTATTACTGACTGAAAAATGAACCTTAGTCTATTCATGACTATTGGTTTAAACATGTTATTATATATTCTTAATATTTTTAAGGGCTCTTAAAATGTGGTTGCCTTAGATGATTAAAGAAAATGCAAAAGGGTTCAACAATTCTGCCAGCTGCTTAGAAATTTTACTTTTAGGCTCATATCCTTGAAAGGTATTGACCCCTATAAACAGCTAATGATGGAAAAGTTGACAGGACAGTTTGACCTCCTAATTGTATTCTGTGCATCATGCATTTGACCTTCTGGAGACAACTTGATGAGTTTCTGCCATGTTAATTACTCCACACTGTTTTGCAGTGATCCTTTAGCAATTCAAACCTAGTGAATGAGTGCATGAACTTTTCTAGGCTCTAAGAAAGGATTGAAAATGGTAATTTAAAAGCACCCGACATAATTTTCCGCTACCAGGCTTGTTTTCTTCTCCTGAAATGATGAACAAAGACCTCTGAAATGATCTTGTATTTATTGTACTCTTTTACTTCTTGCAAATTTTAACACCTTCTTTCAAAAATACATTTGAAGCCCCAGGGTCTTATCAGGGATGCTCTTCTTTTCCTTCAATTACTATGCATTTGGTAATCAATATGTTTATTACTAGGCAATATTACCTGTGATGCCTGAGTCTTCTTGACTTTGTCTTAAGAGTCATTAATGAGATCTAATGTGCAAAGCGTCATTTAATTTTCGGTTCCTAAACATTCTTTGTCTGGGGTTGAGCTTTGTCTTCCTAATGAACTAGACAACAGTCATTATTGCTGACAGATCTCCTCTCCTTTCCAGTTTGTTAGGCTACATAGTTTAAGCTTTCCCTCTTTCTGTCCTTTGTGTGAAGCAGGAAGTCACCTTTGTGGGTCATTTTCATCCCCCTGCTCTCAGGCTCCTTCATGAAACATTTTGAGCCATTTCAGAATTAGACCTGCACATTCCAATGGCTGTATTTAAAAGACAATTTATAGCTCAGCTCATTCTCATGCACTGCATGAGAGTATTATAAGAAAGTCCCCTGTGTCAAAGTTTCATCTAGAATCGAACTTTTTCCTGCTCCCTGTCTTTCTCCTATCACTAGTTAGGTCTTTTTTCTTTCTTTCTTTCTTTTTCTTTTTAAAAAAATATTTGATGAGATAGAATTTCAGTATGTTGCCCAGGCTGGTCTCAAACTCCTAGGCTCAAGAAATCCTCCTGCCTCAGCCTCCAGAGTAGGGATTACGGGCATGTGTCCCTGCACCCAGCCCTAGTTAGGTCTGATTCAGCAAACTATATCTCTAGCCATATTTTCTTTAATAGCAAAATGTGATTGGAGGGGAGTCAGATAATCTAGATGGAGTTTCAGCTCTTCCATTTATATCACTGTGTTTGTCTAGTGTGTGTGTGTGTGTGTGTGTGTGTGTGTGTGTGGGTGTACTGAGTATATGCTTTGTGCCAGGTGTTACATTAAGCAATTTACACTTAATCCATACAGCAATCCTGCAAAAGAGGTACAAGGATGGATACTTTGCAGATGAGAGGTGGCTCAGAGGGTTTAAATGATTCATTGAATCAAGTTTAAATAACTTATCTACGTCAGTACTAGTGGACCTGAAATTAAAATGTGGCTTTACCTGTCTCCAGAGAATGGGCTTTTAACCACCGCACCATACTGAAAGTCTTACACAGGTAGTCAGGGCACTTGGCTTGTTGGTATCTGCACTGGGCACGTTGAGAGTCAGTGGTTGAGAACTCAGTCTCTGAAGTCAGACTGCCTATATTTGAAATCTGTTTCCTTCACTAACTAATTGTGTGACAGTGAACAAGTTATTTTACATTTCTGTACTTTAGTTTCCTCATCTGTAAAATGGGGAAAAAATAACAGCAACAACTCTTTGGGTCACATGAAGGATTATATTCATGACACATATTAGGTACACTTTTAAAGCAACAATAGTAAAATCAGTTTAATAAACGTTAGCAACAATTATTATTTCAAAAAAATTTGACGTGTACTCTAGGTGATTGCTGTAAGGATGCTGGTTGAGGCCTTGAAGGTTTTAAGGTACTCTGTTGTTGTATATTGTTGATCAAAGCCTCTTCCTCTTGTTCCTCAGACTAAGATAATGGCAGAAGAGCACTTGGGGAAAATTGGATGTTGGATGTAGACACTGGGTGTGGGATCTAAACAGCAGGAGTGATGTGCTGTCCTTCATCCTCTGCAAAAGTTGTGTGGTTAAGTGGATAATACCAGGAGAAGGAATTAAGAAATTTGGCTTCTATCAACCTATCCTGTGAGCTCCTTATCCAAAATTGAGTAATTAATACATCCAAGCTCAAGAGCATTATCATTTCTATGAAGAGGAGGATACCATATCTATGCAGCCTAATTTCAGGGAGAAATTGGAAAGCAGCAAACAAAGTTAAACATTAAAAGAACAACAACAGCTTTTTATCATCAAATGGACTCTCCTCTAGGCAGCATGAAATGAATAGCACCAAGCTAGACAGGTAGCTGCTAGGGAATAATGAAATGGACATCCAGCTATCAGTAGGATGCCTACTATGGGCTGGACGTTGTGCATGGCATCATACAAAGATGTCTAAGAAACAAAATTCCGTCTTATAAGGGAGAGCAATTTGCTTGTAAGGCAAGCTATTAAAAAATAACTAATAATAGAGGAGTTTCTGCAAAGGATGAGTGGTGCAAACCAGAAGTCTATGGAGAAAATCTTCCCATTATCAACACCAGCAACACCATTCAATTCTGAGCAGGACTTGGTTGGGCAAGTTTGTTCTCAATATTCAAAAGCCTGTAAACATTTACATAGAATTCTTAAGATTTAACCTAAACTCATTTTTTAAAGTTAATTTTAATTCCTCTGGATGTCATAGTTCCCTCTGACAACTTATCAAAAGCTCTGGACCATCTGTCAGGAAACTGCGTGGAAACTGCAAGGGTCTGCATGTAATTGTAAATGTTGACAGAGCTCCTAAAAGCCATCTATGATCCCCAAGTTAAAAACCCCTGCTCTACGAAAGAGGGAGCAACACTGTTATAGAAACTTAAGTTATTCATAGTTGCCCAAATCTTACCAGATCTCAGTTACTTTTTTGGCTTAGCTTTTGCTGTTGTAAATAATACTGTAGTTATGATTCTTGGAATTAAAATGTCTTTTTTAAAAAAACAAAAACCAAAAAGCCTCAGATCTCTTCCATACACAGTGTAACAGAAATTGCTACTTTCCCCTCAGTGCCCATTGTCTGTTTGTTCCATAGAAATAGAATTTTTAACTGGGCATGTGGCTGTCCAAAATGAAGACTACACTTTCCATCCACTCTAGGCATGGCCATGTCACTATTTTAGCCAATGAATGTCGATAGGAATAGTGATGCTGCAACAGAACCCTCCTCAATAGACAGTTGAAATGTGTCCTTCGCTGCTTCTTTACCTGTTCCTCCATCCTGTGGTTGGGAGCATGGATGTGATGGCCGAAGTGCTTTCTTGGGCTGTGTGACATGGGACACATCCTGGACACCACAAATCTGAAAGATGGAAGTGACCTAGATCCTTAAGGAACATAGAAAAAAGCTAACATAACAGTTGATAATCTTCTAGATTCTGATGCGAAAGAAAAATAAAATTGTTTAAGTCTCTGGTTGTTTAAGTCACTGCTATTTGGGGTTTTTCTGTAACTTGTAGCTGAACTGAATTCTAATTTACAGACATAATACTTCGCGTTTGAAGCAGCAATTCCCTTGCTTCCTGTTATCTATCATGACTAATGAGAAGGGTGATCTGTCTGATAGCTTTTAAGATTACCACTTTATATGGTGCATTTTCTCTTCAGTGGGTGGATTTATTTTCATTTATCTTGCTATGCCCTTGATGTTTCTTAGGTCTCATATCCTTTAAATTCTTTGCCATTACTTTTTGGATTTTGTAGCTTCAAATTTCCTCTATCCTCCTCTTCTGAAATTCTTACTGGAAATATGTTATAGGCTCACAATCAAATCTTCATGTACCTTAACTGCACTTTTAACCTATTTAAAAATCTTAACATTGCATGCTGTTCTTTAGTTTTATCTTCTAAATTCCTAATAACCTCTTGACTCAACCACCTAGAGTTTATTCTATCTACTGAGTTTTTTCTTTGCATTTTCTTTATTTCTGTTCTTTCTTTCTTTCTTTCTTTCTTTCTTTCTTTCTTTCTTTCTTTCTTTCTTTCTTTTTTTGAGACAGAGGCTCACTCTGTCACTCAGGCTGGAATGCAGTGGCGCAATTTTGGCTTACTTCCACCTCCACCTCCCGGGTTCAAGCAATTCTCCAGCCTCAGCCTCCCGAGTAGCTGGGATTACAAGTGCATGCCACTACTTCTGGCTAATTTTTAAATTTTTAGTAGAGACCATGTTTCACCATGTTGGCCAGATTGGTCTCAAACTCCTGACCTCAAGCGATCCACTTGCCTTGGCCTCCCAAAGTGCTGGGATTACAGGCATGAGCCACCATGCCCAGCCTATTTCTTTTTTTAATTAAAAATTTAAGAGGCACTTCCAAGACAGCCGAATAGGAACAGCTCCGGTCTACAACTCCCAGGGAGATTGACACAGAAGATGAGTGATTTCTGCATTTCCAACTAAGGTACCTGGCTCATCTCATTGGGACTGGTTGGACACTGGGTGCAGAACATGGAGGGGCAAGCTGAAGCAGGGAAGGATGTTGCCTCACTTGGGAAGTGCAAGGGGTCAGGGGATTTCCCTTTCCTAGCCGAGGGAAGCCATGAGTGACTGTACTTGGAGGAGCAGTACACTCCTGTACAAATACTGCATTTTTACCACAGTCTTTGCAACCAGCAGACCAGGAGATTCCCTCCCACGCCTGGCTCAGTGGGTCCCATGCCCACAGATCCTTGCTCACTGCTAGTGCAGCAGTCTGAGATCAATCTGGGATGCTGGAGTATGGCAGGGGGAGGGGCGTCTGCCATTGCTGAGGCTTGAATAGGCAGTTTTATGCCCACAGTGTAAACAAAGCCGCAGGGTAGCTCGAACTGGGCAGAGCCCACTGCAACTCAACAAGGCCTACTGCCTCTCTAGACTGTCTAGGGCATATCTGAAAAAAAGGCAGCAGACAGCTTCTACAGACTTAAACAACCCTGCCTGACAGCTCTGAAGAGAGCAGTGGTTCTCCCAGTATGGCGTTCGAGATCCATTAATGGACAGACTGCCTCCTCAAGTGGGTCCCTGACCCCCGTGTAGCCTGAATGAGAGACACCTCCCAGTAGGGGCTGACAGACACCTCATACAGGCGGGAGACCCTCTGGAACAAAGCTTCCAGAGGAAGGATCAGGCAGCAATATTTGCTGTTCTGCAGCCTCTGCTGGTGATACCCAGGCAAACAGTGTCTGGAGTGGACCTCCAGCAAACTCGAACAGACCTGCAGCTGAGGGGCCTGTTAGAAGGAAAACTAACAAACAGAAAAGAATAGCATCAACGTAACAGAAAGGGCACCCACACCAAAACCCCATGTTGCAGGAAGTCAGGGATCCCAAATGGAGGGACTGACTGGAGCCACGGCAGAGGAACATGAATGGTGAAAATTTCATGGACATTTATCAGTTCCCAAATAATACTTTTATAATTTCTTATGCCTGTCTTTAATTTCTTAATCCTGTTATTTTCGTAAGCTGAGTATGTACGTCACCTCAGGACCACTGTGATAATTGTGTTAACTGTACAAATTGATTGTAAAACATGTGTGTTCGAACAATATGAAATCAGCACACCTTGAAAAAGAACAGAATAACAGAAACTTTTAGGAACCAAGGGAAGACAACCATAAGGTCTGACTGCCTGCAGGGTCAGGCAAAAAACCTCTATTTTTCTTCTTGCAGAGAGCCTATAAATGGACGTGCAAATAGGAGAGATATCACTAAATTCTTTTCCTAGCAAGGAATATAAATATTAAGACCCTGGGAAAGGAATGCATTCCCAGGGTGAGGTCTATAAACAGCCACTCTGGGAATGTCTATCCTATGTGGTTGAGAAAAGGACCGAGATACACCCTGGTCTCCTGCAGTACCCTCAGGCTTACTAGGGTTGGGAAACTCCGCCCTGGTAAATTTGTGGTCAGACCAGTTCTCTGCTCTTGAACCCTGTTTTCTGTTGTTTAAGATGTTTATGAAGACAATACATGCACCACTGAACATAGACCCTTAGGAGTTCCGTTTTTGCCCTTTGCCTTGTGATCTTTGTTGGACCCTTATCAGTAGTTCTGCTTTTTGCCCTTTGAAGCATGTTCAAAGGCCCTGTTCATACACCCCCTCCCCTTTTGAAATCCTTAATAAAAACTTGCTGGTTTTGAGGCCCAGGTGGGCATCATGGTCTTACTGATATGTGATGTCACCCCCGGCGGCCCAGCTATAAAATTCCTCTCTTTGTACTTTTTCTCTTTATTTCTCAGCCAGCTGACACTTACGGGAAATAGAAAGAACATACATTGAAATATTGGGGGCGGGTTGCCCCAATAACCCCATCCGTAGGTCACCAACATCAAAGACCAAGGGTAGATAAAACCACTAAGATGGGAAGAAACCAGAGCAGAAAGGCTGAAAATTCCAAAAACCAGAACACCTCTTCTCCTCCAAAGGAACACAACTCCTTGCCAGCAAGGGAACAAAACTGGATGGAGAATGAGTTTGACAAATTGACAGAAGTAGGCTTCAGAAGGTCGGTAATAACAAACTTCTCTGAGCTAACGGAGCATGTTCTAATCCATTGCAAGGAAGCTAAAAACCTTGAAAAAAGGTTAGATGAATGGCTAACTAGAATAACCAGTGTACAGAAGAGCTTAAATGACCTGAAGGGGCTGAAAACCACAGTATGAGAACTTCGTGAAGCATATACAAGCTTAAATAACTGATTCAATCAAGCAGAAGAAAGGATATCAACAATTGAAGATCAAATTAATGAAATAAAGCGAGAATACAAGAATAGAGAAAAAGGAGTGAAAAGAAATGAACAAAACCTCCAAGAAATATGAAACTATGTGAAAAGACCAAATCTACATTTGATTGGTGTACCTGAAAGTGACGGGGAGAATGGAACCAAGTTAGAAAACACTCTTCAGAATATTATCCAGGAGAACTTCCCTAACCTAGCAAGGCAGGCCAACATTCAAATTCAGGAAATACAGAGAACACCACAAAGATACTCTTCAAGAAGGGCACCCTCAAGACACATAATTATCAGATTCACCAAAGTTGAAATGAAGGAAAAAATGTTAAGGGCAGTGAGAGAGAAAGGTTGGGTTATGCATAAAGGGAAGCCCATCAGACTAACAGGGGATCTCTCAACAGAAACCCTACAGGCCAGGAGAGAGTGGGGACCAATATACAACATTCTTAAAGAAAAGAAATTTTGGCTGGGCGTGGTGGCTCACAGCCATAATCCCAACACTTTGGGAGGCCAAGGTGGGTGGATCACTTGAGGTAGGGAGTTCGAGACCAGCTTGGCCAACATGGTAAAACCCTGTCTCTACTAAAAAAAATACAAAAATTAGCTGGGTGAGGTGGTGCAAGCCTGTAGTCCCAGCTACTCAGGAGGTTGAAGCAGGAGAATCACTTGAACCCAGGAGGCAGAGGTTGCAGTGAGCTGAGATCGTGCCACTGCCCTCCAGCCTGATGACAGAGCAAGACTCTGTCTCATAAGAAAAAAGAAAAAGAATTTTCAACCTAGAATTTCATATCCAGCCAAATTAACCTTCATAAGTGAAGGAGAAATAAAATACTTTACAGACAAGCAAATGCTGAGAGATTTTGTCACCACCAGGCCTGCCTTACAAGAGCTCCTGAAGGAAGCACTAAACATGGAAAGGAACAACTGGTACCAGCCACTGCAAAAACATGCCAAATAGTAAAGACCATCGATGCTATGAAGAAACTGCATCAATGAACGGGCAAAATAACCAGCTAGCATCATAATGACAGGATCAAATTCATACCTAACAATATTAACCTTAAATTTAAAAGAGCTAAACGCCCCAATTAAAAGACACAGACTGGCAAATTGGATAAAGAGTCAAGACCCATCAGTGTGCTGTATTCAGGAGACCCATCTCACATGCAAAGATACACATAGGCTCAAAATAAAGGGATGGAGGAAGATCTACCAAGCAAATGGAAATCAAAAAAATAAAAAATAAAAAAAGCAGGGGTTGCAATCCTAGTCTCTGATAAAACAGACTTTAAACCAACAAAGATCAAAAGTGACAAAGAAGACCATTACATAATGGTAAAGGGATCAATTCAACAAGAAGAGCTAACTATCCTAAATATATATGCACCCAATACAGGAGCACCCAGATTCATAAAGCAAGTTACTAGAGACCTATGAAGAGACTTAGACTCCCACACAATAATAGTGGGAGACTTTAACACCCCACTGTCAATAGTAGACAGATCAATGAGACAGAAAATTAACAAGGATATCCAGGACTTGAACTCAACTCTGGAGCAAGTGAACCTAATAGACATCTACAGAACTCTCCATCCCAAATCAATAGAATATACATTCTTCTCAGCACCACATTGCACTTATTCTAAAGTTGACCACATAATTGGAAGTAAAACACTCCTCAGCAAATGTAAAAGAACAGAAATCAGAACAAACTGTCTCTCAGACAACAGTGCAATCAAATTAGAACTCAGGATTAAGAAACTCACTCAAAACCACACAGCTACATGGAAACTGAACAACCTGCTCCTGAATGACTACTGGGTAAATAACAAAATGAAGGTGGAAATAAAGATATTCTTTGAAACCAATGAGAACAAAGACACAACATACCAGAATCTCTGGGACACATTGAAAGTAGTGTGTAAAGGGAAATTTATAGCAATAAATGCCCACAAGAGAAAGCAGAAAAGACCTAAAATCAACACCCTAACATCACAGCTAAAAGAACTAGAGAAGCAAGAGCAAACAAATTCAAAAGCTAACAGAAGACAAGAAATAACTAAGATCAGAGCACAACTGAAGGAGATAGAGACACAAAAAGCCCTTCAAAAAATCAATGAATCCAGGAGATGTTTTTTTGAAAAGATCAACAAATTGATAGGTTGCTAGCAAGATTAATAAAGAAGAAAAGAGAGAAGAATCAAATAGACATAATAAAAAATGATAAAGGGGATATCACCACCGATTCCACAAAAATACAAATTACCATCAGAGAATACTATAAACACCTCTATGCAAATAAACTAGAAAATCTAGAAGAAATGGATAAATTCTTGGACACATACACCCTCCCAAGACTAAACTAGGAAGTTAAATCTCTGAATAGACCAATAACAGGTTCTGAAATTGAGGCAATAATTAATAGCCTACCAACGAAAAAATCCAGATGGATTCACAGCCGAATTCTACCAGAGGTACAAAGAGGAGCTGGTACCATTCCTTCTGAAACTATTTCAATCAATAGAAAAAGAGGGAACCCTCCCTAACTTATTTTCTGCAGCCAGCATCATCCTGATACCAAAGCCTGGCAGAGACACAACAAAAAAAAGAGAATTTTAGGCCAATATCCCTGATGAATATCGATGTGAAAATCTTCAGTTAAACTACTGGCAAACCAAATCCAGCAGCACATCAAAAAGCTTATCCACCACAATCAAGTTGACTTCATCCCTGGGATGCAAGGCTGGTTCAATATATGAAATCAGTAAACGCAATCCATCACATAAACAGAACCAATGACAAAAACCACATGATTATCTCAATAGATGCAGAAAAGGCCTCTACAAAATTCAATAGCCTTTCATGCTAAAAACTCTCAATAAACTAGGTATTGATGAAATGTATCTCAAAATAATAAAGGCTATTTATGACAAACCCACAGCCAATATCATACTGAATGGGCAAAAACTGGAAGCATTCCCTTTGAAAACTGGCACAGGACAGGGATGCCCTCTCTCACCACTCCTATTTAACATAACATTGGAAGTTCTGGCCAGGGCAACCAGGCAAGAGAAAGAAATAAAGGGTATTCAATGAGGAAGAAAAAGAAATAAAGCGTATTCAATTAGGAAAAGAGGAAGTCATATTGTCTCTGTTTGCAGATGACATGATTGTATAATTAGAAAACCCCATCGTCTCAGCCCAAAATCTCCTTAAGCTGATAAACAGCTTCAGCAAAGTCTCAGGATACAAAACTCAAAATGCAAAAATCCAAGCATTCCTATACACCAAGAACAGACAAACAGAGAGCCAAATCATGAGTGAACTCCCATTCACAATTGCTGCAATGAGAATAAAATACCTAGGAATCCAAATTATAAGGGATGGGAGGGAACTCTTCAAGGAGAACTACAAACCACTGCTCAATGAAATAACAGATGACACAAACAAATGGAAGAACATTCTGTGCTCATAGATGGGAAGAATCAATATTACAAAAATGGCCATATTGCCCAAAGTGATTTATAGATTCAATGCTATTCCCACCAAGCTTCACAGAATTGGATAAAAACTACTTTAAATTTCATATGGAGCTAAAAAAGAGCCTGCATAGCCAAGACAATCTTAAGCAAAAAGAACAAAGCTGGAGGCATCATGCTACCTAACTTCAAATTATACTACAAGGCTACAGTAACCAAAACAGCATGGTACTGGTACCAAAACAGATATATAGACCAATGGAACAGAACAGAGGCCTCAGAAATAACACCACACACCACACATCTACAACCATCTGATCTTTGACAAACCTGACAAAAACAAGCAGTGGGGAAAGGATTCCCTATTTAATAAATGGTGCTAGGACAACTGGCTAGCCATATGTAGAAAGCTGAAACTGGATCCCTTCCTTACACCTTACACAAAAATTAACTCAAGATGAATTAAAGACTTAAGCATGAGACCTAAAACCACAAAAACCCTAGAAGAAAGCCTAGGCAATACCATTCAGGACATAGGCATGGGCAAAGACTTCATGACTAAAACACCAAAAGCAATGGCAACAAAAGCCAAAATAGACAAATGGGATCTAATTAAACTAAAGAGCTTCTGCACAGCAAAAGAAACTGTCATCAGAGTGAAGAGGCAACCTACAGAATGGGAGAAAATTTTTGCAATCTATCCATCTGACAAAGGACTAATATCCAGAGTATACAAAGAACTTAAGCAAATTTACAAGAAAAAAACAACTCCATCAAAAAGCGGGCAAAGAATATGAACAAACACTTCTCAAAAGAAAACATTTATGCAGCCAACAGACACATGAAAAAATGCTCATCATCACTGGTCATAAGAGAAAAGCAAATCAAAACCACAATAAGATACCATCTCACACCAGTTAGAATGGCGATCATTAAAATGTCAGGAAACAACATGCTGGAGAGGATGTGGAGAAATAAGAACACTTTTACACTGTTGGTGGGAGTGTAAATTAATTTAATCATTATGGAATACAGTGTGGTGATTCCTCAAGGATCTAGAACTAGAAATATTATTTGACCCAGCGATCCCATTACTGGGTATATACCCAAAGAATTATAAAACATGCTGCTATGAAGACATATGCACATGTATGTTTATTGCGCACTATTCACAATAGCAAAGACTTGAAACAAACCCAAATGCCCATCAATAATAGACTGGATTAAGAAAATGTGGCACATATACACCATGGAATACTATGCAGCCATTAAACAGGATGAGTTCATGTCCTTTGTAGGGACATGGATGAAGCTGGAAACCATCATTCTCAGCAAACTATCACAAGGACAGAAAACCAAATACCACATGTTCTCACTCATAAGTGGGAGTTGAACAATGAAAACACATGGACACAGGAAGGGGAACATCCCACACCAGGGCTTGTTGGGGGTGGGGTGCTGGGTGGCTGGGGGAGCAATAGCATTGGGAGAAATACCTAATGTAAATGATGAGTTGAAGGGTGTAGCAAACGAACGTGGCACATGTATACCTATGTAACAAACCTGCACGTTGTGCACATATATCCTGGAACTTAAAGTATAATAATAGTAAAATTTTAAAAAATACTTTCATTGAGAGATTGTAATTGTACATATTTATGTGGTACTATTTGACATACTGGTACATGTATATATTGTATAATGATCACATCAGGGTAGCTAGTACCATTACCTCATGTATATATTATTTCTTTGTGTTGAGAACATTCAAAAACCTCTCTGCTACTTGTATTTCTTATAGACAACATACAGTTGAGTCTTGTTTTTGTTTTGTTTTTATTCCACACTGAAAATCTCTATATTTTAATTGGTTTATTCAAATCATTCATATTTAAAGAGATTATTGATATAATTAGGTTAATGTCTACCATGTTTGTAGCTATTTTCTATTTGTTGCATTTGTTCTGTTTCTTTTATTTTCCTTTTATCCGCCTGTTGTGGGAAGTCAGCGACCCCTAATGGACGGACCAGCTGGAGCCGCAGCAGAGGAATATAAATTGTGAAGATTTCATGGACATTTATCAGTTCCCAAAATAATACTTTTATAACCTCTTAGGCCTGTCTTACTTTAATCTCTTAATCCTGTTATCTTCGTAAGCTAAGGATGTATGTCACCTCAGGACCACTATGACAATTGTTTGAACTGTACAAATTGATTGTAAAACATGTGTGTTTGAACAATATGAAATCAGTGCCCCTTGAAAAAGAACAGAATAACAGTGATTTTTAGGGAACAAGGGAAGACAACCGTAAGGTCTGACTGCCTACGGGGTTGGGCAAAAAGAGCCATATTTTTCTTCTTGCGGAGAGCCTATAAACAGACATGCAAGAAGGGAAGACATCGCTACATTCTTTTCCTACCAAGGAATATTGATATTAATACTCTGGGAAAGAAATTCATTCCTGGGGGAAGGTCTATAAAGGGCTGCTCTAGGAATGTCTGTCCTATGCGGTTGAGATAAGGACTGAAATACGCCATGGTCTCCTGCAGTACCCTCAGGCTTACTAGGATTGGGAAACTCCATCCTGGTAAATTTTTGGTCAGACTGGTTCTCTGCTCTCGAACCCTGTTTTCTGTTGTTTAAGATGTTTATCAAGACAATACGTGCACCGCTGAATATAGACCCTTATCAGGAGTTCTGATTTTGCCCTTGTCCTGTTCCCTCAGAAGCATGTGATCTTTATTCTGCTTTTTGCCCCTTGAAGCATGTGACCTACTCCCTGTTCATACACCCCCTCCCCTTTTGAAATCCTTAATAAAAACTTGCTGATTTTGAGGCTCAGGTGGGTATCACGGTCCTACCAATAAATATGTGATGTTACCCCCGGTGGCCCAGCTGTAAAATTCCTCTCTTTGTACTCTTTCTCTTTATTTCTCAGCTGGCTGACACTTACGGAAAATAGAAAGAACCTATGTTGAAATACTGGGGGCAGTTTCCCCCGATATCTGCCTTCTCCAGTTTTAATCAAGCAGTTTATAATTCCATTATATCTCCTCTTTTACCATATTGCTTCTACTTTTTAAAAAAAGTACTTTTTTAGTGGTTGCCCTAGAGTTTGCAATATGATGTTTTAACTAGTCTAAGTCTACCTTCCAATAACAGTATACTGCCTCAGGTGTAGTGCAGAAACATCATAATTGGGTATTCCGAATTCCTCCCTCCCATCTTTTATGATATGGCTGTTATTTATTTCACTTATCCATATGCTATAATCACCCCATACACATAGTCGTCAATGTATAATGGTTCAACTTACAATTTTTCTACTTTACGATAGCATGAAAGATATTTATTCAGTAGAAACCATACTTTGAACACTGTTACAACTATTCTGTTTTTCACTTTCAGTACAATATTCCATAAATTACATTAAATATTTAATGCTTTATTATAAAATAAGCTTTATGAGATGATTTTGCCCAACTGTAGGCTAATGTAAATGTTCTGAGCACATTTAGTGTTGGCTAGGCTAAGCGTTGATGTTTGGTAGTTTAGGTGTATTAAATACATTTCAACATAATATTTTCCTTATGATGGGTTTAATAGGATGTAACCTTATTATAAATCAAGGAATATCTGTACATGGTTACTATTATTACTTTCAACAAATAATTATTTTAGGCCTTTTAAATATATGCAAGATAAGAGGTTTTATTTCTCTTTATTAATTCCTTCTCTGCCATTCTTCCTTTCTTTATGTAGATATAAATTTCTGGCCTGTATAATTTTCCTCCTTCTTGAAGAACTTCATTTAACATTTCTTGCAAGGCAGATCTGCTGACAACAAATCTCTTCACTTTTTGTCTGAGAAAGTCTTTATTTCTTCATTTTTGAAGGATAATTTCTGTGGATATAGAATTCTATGTTGGTGGGGTTTTTATTTCCATACTTTCAATGTTTCACTCCATTCTCTTCTTGCTTGCATGGCTTCTGTATTAGTCTGCTAGGGCTGCCATTAAAAAAAAAATGCCAGACTGGTGCTTTAAACAATGGCAATGTATTTATTTATTTATTTATTTATTTATTTATTTATTTATTTATTTGCAGTCCTGGAGGCTGGAAAGTCCAAATCGAGCTGTTGGCAGGGTTTACCTCTTTGAGGCCTCTCTCCTTGGCTTCAAGATGGCTAACTTCTCACTGTGAACTCATGGGGCTTCCTCCTGTGCATGAGTCCTTGGTGTCTCCTCTTCTTCCCATAAGGACACCAGTCCTGTGGCATTAGGACTCCACCTGTATCACCTCACTTAACCTTAAACATCTCTTTAAAGGCCCCATCTCCAAACACAGTCCCATTGGGGTTGGGCTTCAACCCAACCTCAATTGCACCCGAATTGCATGCAATTCAGTTTATAACAACTTCTGGAAATAGATCTTTGGTAATTCCTATCTTTGTTCCTATACATGCAACATGATTCTTCCCCTCTGGCATCTTTCAAGATTTATGTTTGTCTTTGGTTTCTTGTAGGTTGAATATGCTATACCTAGGTGTTAATGTTTTGAAAATTCTCATGCTGAATTTTCTCTAAGCTTCTTAGATCTGTGCTTTGGTGTCTGTCATTAATTTTGGAAAGTTCTTCATTACTCAAATCTTTCTTCTTCTCCTTTCTCTTCTTTTCTTTCTGGTATTCCAATTCTGCATATGTTACACCCTTTTACATTGTCCTGCAGTACGTGGATATTCTGTTCCTCTCCCACTCCTTTTTCTCCTTGAATTTCAGTTAGGGAGGTTTCTTTTTTTTTTTTCTTTTTCTTTTTTTTTTTTTTTGAGATGGAGTCTCACTCTGTCACCCAGGCTGGAGTGCAGTGGCGCGATCTCGGCTCACTGAAAGCTCCACCTCCTGGGTTCATGCCATTCTCCTGTCTCAGCCTCCCGAGTAGCTGGGACTACAGGCACCTGCCACCTCGCCCAGCTAATTTTCTGTATATTTAGTAGAGATGGGGTTTCACCATGTTAGCCAGGATTGTCTCGATCTCCTGACCTTGTGATCTACCTGTCTCGGCCTCCCAAAGTGCTGGGATTACAGGCATGAGCAACTGCGCACAGCCAGGAGGTTTCTTTTAACATATCTTCAAGTTTACCAATTCTTTCCTAGGCCTTGCCCAATCTACTGATGAGCTCAGTAAAGGCACTCTTCATTTCTGTCACAATGCTTTTGATTTATATAATTTCCTATTGATTCCTTCTTACCATTTATACTTCTCTACATATATCACTCATATGCCCTTGCATGTTTTCAACTTTTTCCATTAGAGCCTTTAACATGTTAATCATGGTTATTTTAAATTCTCTGTCTGATTATTCCAATATCTGTCTCATATTCAAGTCTGGCTCTGAGGCTTGCTTTTGTCTCTTCAGCATTAATCTGGCTAAGAATTGGGCTCTGTTTAATGTTTTCTATAACTATAGAAGCCAGAGGTTTCAAATTATTTCAGTATTCTTGTTTTTATCTTCCCTCTTTACTTATGACTTTCCTAAGTACTTTTCCTCAGAGAGAGTGTGCATTTTGCAGCTCTTTTAGCTGTAAGCCATTGTTGTTACATTGGAGCCCTGTGGAAGTGGTGGGAGGGTGAAGGAGAGGGGAAGAGTTTTATAATCTTATGATAAAATCTCAGTCCTTTAGCTGGGTGTGGTGGCATGCACCTGTAGTCCCAGCTACTTAGGAGGCTGAGGCAAGAGGATCACTTTAGCCCAGGAGGTGGAGGTTGCAGTGAGCTGAAATCATACCACTGCACTCCAGCCAGGGTGACAAAGTGAGACCTTGTCTCAAAAATAAATAAATAAATCTCAATCTTTTAGTGGGCCTCTCTCCCTGGGCTGAGATCTTCAAAGGTATTTCTCAGCACCCTCCCACTTCTTCCCCTCTTAGATGAAACAAGAGGGATAGAGGAGGCTGGAATGGGAGAAAAGTCCTCTTCTTCACCCTGTCCCATCCTATCCCTTCCATTCTGAGCCAGGGTATGGCTCTGCTAAAGTCTTTCCCCTGGAAAGGAGGCCTTTGTGTGGAAAAGGTCCAGAAGTATTTCCAAAGAATTACTCTCCCCCTTCCTTGTCAGAACCACAAAGGAATCTTTCTCAGATCATGACCTTGAGAATCTGGTGGGGTTCCTGGAGATAAAATTTACGAAATTGTGGGGACCTCCTAAGACTGGGCCCCTAGACTCTCTCACTCTCTTGCTAGTCCATACTCAGTCTTCAGCAATTCAACAAAATTACCGTAAAAGTGTTTTTACCAGTTTATAAATCCCACATATCCCACTCCAGATAATCTGAACCCTGAATTCACCTGTCTCTTTAGTTCTCTGATGGATTCAGGAAAAGTTGCTAATTTTCAGTTTGTTTAGCTGTTGCTGGTTGTAGGAACAGAAGTGATGACTTCCAAGCTTGTTATATGTCAGAGCTGAAACTGGAAGTCACTTCTGGGATTTCTAAGTGATTTCTTTTAATTCATCTATTCTATTTCTTTTTATTTGTTTGTTTGTTTGTTGAGACAGGGTCTAACTCTGTCACCCAGGCTGGAGTGCAGTGGCATGATCTCAGCTCACTGCAACCTCCACCTCCTGGCTTCAAGTGATTCTCCCACCTTGCCCTCCTGAGTAGCTGGGATTACAGGTGCCCACCACCACGCCCGGCTAATTTTTGTATTTTTTAGTAAAGGCAGGGTTTCCCCATGTTGGCCAGGCTGGTCTCAAACTCCTGACCTCAAATGATCTGCCCGTCCCAGCCTCCCAAATTGCTGGGATTACAGGCATGAGCCACCATGCCCAGCCTATTCTATTTCTTCTTATTATTACTTCTTCCTTTGTGTCTCATGACCTCCTATTCTTTTTTATGGATGTTAGTCCTTTCTTCATTTGTTAGAGGTCCTTAAACATACTTATATAGTCACTTTTAAGTTGGTCCATTTGAGTAATAGGTGCCAGTGAAATAATAATAATAATAATAAATATTTCATATTAATTTAAATAGGTAAGTTATTTTCATGAGTGAATTGATCTCCTAATATTTATGTTATTGGCTAACTTCTTCAGATTTAATTTTCCTCCTGGGTTTTAGAATTTTGATGTATAGTGAGCAAAAGAATTTTGTTTAGTTTTGTTTTTCTCTCTGGTATCATTCCCTCCTGTGCTCCATGGATATCTAAATTAGGCTAGTTGGATTCTTACTCCAGAACTCTACTGCCTGGTGGAAACCCAGGGTGCCTGTCTTTTAGTGATGTGGATAGTGTCTATTCTGCCACTCCTGCCCTTTCCCTCTTCCCTAGGTGCCGAGCTTTGTTTTAGCTCTATGCATATTTTTCAGATACATTTTACAGGTGATTATTAGGGCTATATGTATTTTTCAGATAAATTTTTCATACCTCCTGCTTTGTGCTTCTAATTTATGCAGACATTTATCTCGGGGAATGAAGGCTGTGTCTGTTTTATTTTTTCTCATTTAAAGCTTGATATAGCATTTATTTGGAGTAGATTAGGGCCTTAAAACAAGAATTTACAATGCCCTCTTGCCTGGAAGACATGTTTCATTTATTTTAGCAATATCTCTGTGAAATATATGAAGTTAGGCTTTATGTACCCATTTTACAAATGCAAAGAGAGGGTAACAGGTAATCAGCGACAGGCCTGGCTAATTTTTAATTTTTTTGTAGAGACGAGGTCTTGCTATGTTGCCCAGTTTGGTCTCAAACTTCTGTCTTCAAGTGATCCTCCTGCCTTGGCCTCCCAGGTCACTTGGACTCCCAAAATGCTAGGATTAGGTGCCCAACCTAAGTAGGTAATATGCATAATTATATTGAACATGTATTCATAGCTCAGGCTTTAACGTTTTTTCTTGCTTATGACATTTGGAATCAGGGTGTGATGGAGAAGCTCTATGGTAGATAGGCCAAATGTTCTATTTACAACTTTATCATAAGGTTTTTCTACTTTAGAATCAGAGGTTTCTGCTTAGAGATTTCCAAGCCATTGTTTGAGATTCATGCCACTCTTTCACTGTATTCGTTCTTTCAGGTGCTCTACGCAGAAAAGTTTATGGAGATTTTATTTCCTTCTCCTTGACCTTCAATAACACACAGGTGATTTCTAATGAATTCAAATCCATTCCATGGAGGTTCTCCTCTCCCTTTAATTTCACATCTTTCTCAGATTTCATCATCTAGAGATTGGAGCCCTTGTACATGGGAGAGGTGAGAATGGGGGTGTTTGTGTTTATACGTTTCTTGAATTTTATGGCCTTCATTACCCAAAGCTGTGTGAAATTGAGGGAAACACAGTTGGCTTGAACTCTAGAGCCATCTGTTCAACCTGTTCGAGATATTGGTGGTTGACTGTTTACTAAACAGACTTCCCTGAGTGGCAGCCCAAAGGCCTAGGCAGAGGCTTCTGTTAATCATTAGGCGTTTAACAAACAGTTGGGGCCCTCGCTAGCTTTGCTATCATTGCTTTCAGGAGCAACATTCGGTGCCCTGCCATCAGCCATATAACAGGAGATGGGCTCCCTAGTGTGTTTGCTGTGAGGATTTCCCGCAGGCTTGGGTTGCCACGCCCAAGTAGCCGTGGTCAAGCATTCTGCAGGAGATGTGACGTGTGCTTTGGTTGTTGACTTTATCTTTGCCAACACATGTGAGTGTCTAATGTTGACTGGGAAGCTGGGCTCCAGGGTGGAGCCAAGGTTTAATTTTGTTGATAATTTAATGCTTGAAGAGACATGTACTTTGGTGAGTTCTCTCCCTTGAGACTTTTGCCCTTTCACTAATCCTTTGCATAAACACTGCCTTGAAAACTGTTTATGAAGTATTCACAAAGGCATGTGAAACTATTGGTAAACAGTCATTGTGAATAACATTTACTCATGATCAGATTCCTGAACTTATGTTTCTTTTTGAGATGGAATTTATTATGTGATGCAAATCTTAGTGAAGCCTCAAACACAGGTTTAAGCCCTCTGCCTGATTCTTGTGGCAGATTAGAGTTCATGACAGAAATGGTAATTTAGTCTGGGGAATGGAAATGAAACTTCTCCCAAAGTCTCTGTATTCCAATAGCAATCTCAACTAGTTGAAAGTATTTAAAAATAGGAAAAGAACCACGAGGTTGCAGAAACATAGACAGAGGCAAGGGCAACCCAAATTTTAGGTAAGAAAAGAAAATAAAAACTTCTAGGTGAATATCCCTCAGATCTAGCGGTGTGGTGGAGCTGAATGGCATGGCCCTTAATAGCAGCTCATATCTCTTCCCAGCATTGTTTTGAGAGATAGCAAGTTGGTAGCTTGCAATTGACTACAGTCAGAGCATTCACACCACAGAAATCGGCAAATGCTACCAATCGTTGAGAGCCAGTTGTAGAATGAATGTTAACCAGTGCACCACTGAAATTAAGAGTTAAGACTACCTCTTAAATTCATTTCCAAGGAGCGGGAGACGTCAGAAATAAAGACATAGCAGGGTTGAAGGTATATTCTCAGAAAAGTTGTAAGAGCTTGACTATATGATATACCTGAGTCAAGAAAGAGCCCCTGAATTTAAACTGAGCTTTTCTTTCTGGGTAAAACTACATTATTTGTGAAATAAAGCCACTTTAGAGAACTGAGAGAATAAAACTATACAATGTAAGCAATTTCCAGGACTTAGCCTTTGTATTCTGCTTGGTTTTACTGGTTTGATTCATTTTATTTATTTATCTGTTCATTTGACACTTTTTGAGTACCTCCTGTAGGCTGTTAGCTCTTCTTGGATGAACAAAGACAAGGTTGTTGTCTTCATGAAACTTATGGTTTAGTAGGAAATACAGATAATAATCAAACATCCAGAAATAAGTGTATAGTTACAGAATGTAGTAAGTTGTATAAAGGAAAAGGAGGCCTGGAGTGGTGGCTCCCCCACCTGTAATCCCAGCACTTTGGGAGGCTAAGGAGGGTGGATTGCCTAGCTCAGGAGTTCAAGACCAGCTTGGGCAACACGGCAAAACTCCATCTCTACAGAAAATACAAAAATTAGCTAGGCATGCTGGTGAGCACCTGTAGTCCTAGCTACTTGGGGGATTGAGATGGGAGGATAACTTGAGCCCGGGAGGTTGAGGCTACAGTGAGCTGAGATTGCACCGCTGTACTCCAGCCTGGGTGGCAGAGTGAGACTCCATCTCTAAACAATAAATGAATTAAAAAATATTTTTTACAAAGGAAAAGGATAGGCTGCTAAAGAAATATCGGATGACTTGGCTATGCTGAGGGTGGATGGGGAGGTTTCCATGAGGAAGTAAGGACTGAGCTGAGATCAGAAAGATTGGTAGCAGTTTCACCAGGAGAATGGAAGTAAGTAATGGAAGAGGTTTAAGCAGAGACAGCAAATGTGCAATGGCCCTGTAGTGAGAAGAAATGTGTGTACTTTAAAGAAAATTAAAAAGGGGCTGTAGAACAGAGGGCAGGGATAGTGGTGTGGGATGAATTGTGTTAATAAATTTATGTTAATCTAGGAAGAATGGAAAGCTGATAGATCAGATTTGCTTTCTGTTTTTAATTTCACTTTGGTTACAATATGGATAACTGATTAGAGGGGAAGAGGAAGATGAGGACACAAGTTAGAGTCTATTCCTGTATATTCTAGGTGAGAGATAATGGGACTCTGACCAGGTTAATGGCAGTGGTGATGTGGATAAGGAGATACATGGAAGAGACATTTAGGATATAAAACATTGAAGACACCTGGTGATGGATTAAATAAGCGAATGGCAGGGGAGGGGGTCTTATCAGGATGACTCCAAGATTTTTGGCTCTAGAGATCGAATCGATCATTGTTCTGTTTACTAAGATTGAGAACCAGCACTGGAATGGAAGCCATGAATTTGGATTTGGGATGTTTCAATATTTACAATGGAGGTGTCTAGTAGACATTTTGGATATACAGATCTGGAATAGCATGAAGAGCTGCCTGCATCTAGGTGGTAATTGAGGCTGATGTCATGATGAGGTCTGCCAAGGGGAAAGTACAGAGAGAGAAGAGGAGGGGGCCCAAGCAGTACCCTGAGAATGTTAAATAGCTAATGACTCAATAGAGGAGAATGAGCCTGCAAAGGACAGAAAGAGTGGCCAGGGAGGTAGGAGGAAAACCAAGGGAGATGGGGCTGGGAGTTAAGTGCAAATGGGCCTGAGGGATCTTATTAAAAGGATGAAACTGTTCTAAAAGTGATTTATGGTGATGGTTACACCACTTGGAAAAGTTACTAAAAAGCATTGAATTGGACACTCAAAATATATGCATTGTATGATATTGAGGTAAAATGTACCTCAAAAATACTGTTAAACAAGAAACCCAAGAGAATGTACAATGACCAAAAATAAAAAATGAGAACCCTTAATCCCAGCACTTTGGGAGGCTGAGGCAGGTGGATCACCTGATGTCAGGGGTTTGACACCAGCCTGGCCAACATGGTGAAACCCCTCTCTACTGAAAACACAAAAATTAGCCGAGCATGGTGGCACATGCCTGTAGTCCCAGCTACTCGGGAGAATCACTTGAACACAGGAGGTGGAGGTTGCAGAGTGCCAAGATCACACCCCTGCACTCCAGCCTGGGTAACAGAGCAAGACCCTGTCTCAAAAAAAAAAAAAAAAAAAAAAAAAGAGAATCTTTCAGGAAGGAAGGAATGGTTATGCCATGTGTGCTGAATGTTGATAAGTAAGATGTGTACCAATGGTCATTAACAAACTGAGGACTTTAAACAGATATTAATGCAAAAACAACAGTCCAAATATTGCATAATGTAATACTGTAAAAATACTGACCTATATTTTAAAACGATATTTTCAAAGTTATGAGAAGATGCACATACCTTGGTCCCACCTGTTCTCAAATAAACAGCCAAAGTCAAGATGTTTGTTATGTCCTCTGCATGAAACGGCAGCTGGGAAATGGATTCTGAAAAGGCAATTCTATTATAACTGGAAGTCCTGTTTATATGCAGGTAAGAATTAGTCCTCATATGTGATCAAAAAGCATATTTACTCTGGAAGTCTGAGGCACTCCAAGACTATTGTAAAACTCTTGATTTTTCTTTAAATGATCTAATGATTACAAAGGTATTATGTCACAAACAATAATCTTCATAAACATTAACATATAATCAGTACTTTATTCAGCATGTGGCACTTAGTAGGTGCTCAATAAATATTTGTTGATGACACAAACTCAGAAGTTAGAAAAGTGAGAGTGCTCATTAATTATTTGAATCTACAATGCAAATTACTACAGTAGCAAAGCTCAGAAGAGCACAATATTACATCAAAAGAAAAGACCAAATCTATGTGAGTAATTTAAAAGCTTTGTCCTTTTAGAAAGAGTCCACCAATTCTTCATTAGTCTTATTCATTTTTCACTTGATGACCCAAATCAGTTCAAGCTAGTCAACCAAATATCTGCATGTAAATAAATAATTCTTATACTTAATCATCTTTTGAAATGTATTTTTGCTATAAATGTTGTCTTATTTCCCTTATTCCCATTTCTTTGGACTATGAGTCTGAAAATGATATATTTTTTTTCTTTTTGTACTTCCCATCCTAAGCAATAGAGGCCTCTGACGTCTAGATTAGGCCTCCAAGAAAATATCTACCCAAGGATTTTTTTTTAATCAATCTGCTTAATCTAGGTAGCTGTAGAAGGCTGGTGACATGTGACTTGCAACCCAATTTTTAAATAAAACGTTTCAACTAAATTTAAATGACTTCTTCAAATTAGATTTTAGGAAATGCTTAACTCAGGCCATCTGATGTTTACTGAATTTCCTGAGCTCATCCTATACTTACAATAGCAACCCAGTTGCTATTTTCCTTTTCTCTCTCTCTCTTTTTTTTTTTTTTTTTTTTTTTTTTGAGACAGGGTCTCACTCTGTCACTCAGGCTGGAGTACAGTGGAGTGATCACAACTCACTGTGGCCTCAACTTCAAGGGCTCAAGCGATTCTTCCAGTTCAGCCTCCCAAGAAGCTGAGACCACAGGTGTGCACCACCAAGCTCAGCTATTATTTTGTAGAGATGGGAGTTTCACTATGTTGCCTAGGTTAGCTAGTGTTCTTTTCTTTTCTATCTATCTTTTTTTTTTTTTTTTTTTGACGGAGTCTTGCTCTGTTGCCAGGCTGGAGTGCAGTGGTACGATTTTGGCTCACTGCAACGTCCGCCTCCTGGGTTCAAGCAATTCTCCTGCCTCAGCCTCCCAAGTAGCTGGAACTACAGGCATGTGCCACCACACCCAACTAATTTTTGTATTTTTAGTAGAGACAAGGTTTCACCATGTTGGCCAGGATGGTCTTGATCTTTTCTGAGAGTAGGAAATCAGCACCTATAGCAGAAGTATGGTTGATAAGATGTCACTGAAAGAGGAAGATGGTGAGCACAGAGATAACCTAAAATGACCAATTCTTGATAGAATTAGACAAGGATCAACATGTATGGCATGTTGACAGTGTTCTGGTAGAACGACTACTCTAATATGTCTTTTCTTTTTATACGTCCATATTTTCTACCTGGAAATTAATTTATAATGTTAGGATAATTGTTCTGGATTAGACAATATTGCAGATGTATTTTGGGCTATGCAGCAGCCATACAAAATTAGGACATTTGCTCTTAACTCTATTGATTAAGGCTCTCCATTCACTCTGTAAACATATTAACTAATGCTCACCACACACTGAGCATGTGAGATGCTTGGTAGCTCTCTCATGGGTCTACCACTTCTGCTCCCACAAGCCAAAGTTGTATATTTACCAAGAGTTCATTGTCCCTGTACTTGTCATTGTCATGTAATTTGATGTATATATAAATATTTTATAATAATATGCTATATCAGAGAGAAAAGAATATTTCTTTGAAAACTAGGATGAATGCTTTTGAAAGACTCAATAAATTATCCCCAAAATGCTGTAGGATTAGGTGTGAACAAGGAAAATATAAGGACTGAGCATCTTTTTGTTTCAGGTTGCTTTATAAGGGTTTTAAACTTCTCACTTCACTTAAAAAGTCAAAACTGGAAATGATGTACAATGCAATATTTGCTATCTCAGAAATTCAACATGGAACACTAATTAGAAGACCATGCTCAAAGAAAAGATCTGGATCATAAATTAAAAGACCAGTAAAAAATATCCATTAATATGTTTTAAAGTCAAATGTTTAAGGCATATATAGATAATTTTCTGTAATTTTTTCACTTTAACCAATATTTTTGATGAACCAATTAACTTAGGAGTATTTCAACTGCTCTTGTGATTTTTCCCAAGGCACCCTCTCCTATTTCCTCTTCTAAAATACCCTCCCTTACTTCCTAGATATACTTCCCCACTGTACACACTCTCTCTCTCCTCACTCTCACTCCCTTCCTCTCCTTTTTTTTTTTACTGAGCCTTATTCATTCTTCAAGTCCTAAGACTCTAGCTCTGATGTTCACTCCTCTGAGGAGCCTTTCCTGTCCTAGGTAGAGAAGCAGATTGTTCTGTCCTGTATGTCACTTCTGTGCTGTGGATATAACTTTAGGACTCCACTTAAAGCACAGTTTGTATTGCATTCTAATAATTTACTTAACACACTTCATTATCTTTTAGTGTCTTTGGGGTCAGTTTCCATTGATTGTCCTTCCCTTTTGAGCATAGGTCACACTTTTCTGTTTCTTTATATGTTGAGTAATTCTGTTGGACCATATCCTGGACATTATGAATGTTATGTTGGGGTAGCTCTGGATTATGTTATATTCCTCCAAAGAGTGTTTATTTGATTTGATTTAGCAAGCAATTTATTTATTTGATTTGATTTAGCAAGCAATTTATTTAGCGGGATTCAAAGTATGATCTCTGTGTTTTGGGGGCAGCAACTCAAATCTCAGTTCAGTTCATTCATTTGTACCTTGTCTGACTGCAATCTGCCTGACACATGCATTGTTCAAGGGTTAGACAGATTCAGCCAGAGTTTATACACAGAATTTGGGTTCTCTCTCTCTCTCTCTCTTTTTTTTTTTTTTTTGATTCTCTTCTTTCTATAATCTCCCTCTCACTCACCAGTGAATTTTTTATAGGACTTTACCCACTGTACCCTCATGATACCTAAGTCTAGAAGCCATAAAAATACAGGGGAAAAAAAAGCCCAGTGTCTTTTCCTTCTTCCAAGGTAAATTTCTCTCTAGAATCTTCCTGCTCTTATTCACTCTCTGTCTTAGCCTATCCAGCTGCTATAACAAAATATCATAAACTGGGTAGCTTATAAGCAACGGAAGTTTATTCCTCACAGTTCTAGAGTCCCAGAAGTCCAAAAAGATCAAGGCATCAGCAGTTTCACATCAGGTATGGGCCCACTTCCTGGTTCACAGATGGCACCTTCTTGCTGCCCTCACATGGTGGAAGAGACAAGGCAGCTTTCTGGGACCTCGTTTACAAGGACTCCAGTCCCATTCAAGGGCAGAGCCTCCAAAGGCCCCATCCCCTAATAACATCACACTGGTGATTAGATTTCAACAAATGAACTGGCGGTGGGGGAAACACAAACATCCAGACAATAGCACTCCAGTTTCTCCAAATTGTTGGTGTCTTTTCATTTTGTATTTAAATTTTATCCAGAGTTGATACAACTCTGAGAGAGGACTGGTCTGCTAGGGGATTACATATCCTACCAGAAGCAGAAGCATTTCAGTATCCTTGAACTACTGTGTCCAAATAATGTCTGACACATTGTGTAGGCCCTCAGGAATCATTGTGTGTTGAACAGAATTAAATAGAAGAACATTGCTAAAATGAATAAATACACTAAAAGGAAGGAAAAAGAAAGGCTTGTTCTCATTAGTTTCTACTGATTTTTAAATAATAAGTGGTTGACACTTTAGGAGCAAAAAAAATGATAGTCAAGAAGACTTGAGAATAGAAACAGCACATTCCTATGATGGCTCAAGTTAGCATGAGATGGGAAGCCACAAAAGGTAGGCTCAGAGCAGTGGTGTCTATGCACCAAGAAATATCCGGGAGAATTTAAACTTGTCCTGAGACATAAATTTTCCCAAGGCCTATCCTGGACACAGATTCCACCAACGAAGTAAGTTTTCCTAGACTTTGGCATTATTATGCCTCTGCTTCATGAGAAATCCCCTAGAAAAATCTGTTAAAATCAGTTTAGAGAAGAACAGAGTCACAATTGGCTATGAGAAGATAAGCAGAGCATCACAACAAATAGCAATTATCCATCAGTGAGGCGTCTGCAGGGGTGAGAGGGGCTGGGGCTCAATCTTCGCTCATTTACTATCTTTATTAATGACCTGGGAGTGGTGAAAACAGATTGCTAATTAAGTGGAGTCAGGCCTGCAGTGAGAGCCATAGCTGGAAAGAGTGGAATACCACCAAGCTAATATAACAAGGTTAGGACTCTGGGTTGAAAACTCAAAAGGATGAGATTCAGCAGGGAAGGAATATTGTAATATTGTTACTGTGAAGAGAAGAATATTCAGGCGGGTGTGGTGGCTCATGCCTGTAATCCTAACACTTTGGGAGGCCAAGGTGGGAGGATTGCTTCAACCCAGGAGTTCAAGACCAGCCTGGGCAACATAGTGAGACCCCCATCTCTACAAAAAGTGAAAAACAGACAAACAAAAGGTCAGGCATGGTGTTGCATGCTTGTAGTCCCAGCTACTTGGGATGAAGTCGAGGGCTGAAATGGAAGGATGGCTTGAGCCTGGGAGTTCAAAGCTGCAGTCAGCCGTGATTGCACTACTGCACTCCAGCATGGGTGAGAGAGTGAGACCCTGTCTCAAAAAAAAAAAAAAAAGAAAAAAGAAAAAGAAAAAGTATAGCTTTCTGGTGGCAGAGAATAGAGACTTGAAAGGAGACACATACCTGGAAAGAATCTAAAAATGTGAGGCTGAAAGAAGGCAATTGACAATGGAGTGTGGCAGGATATTCCATAACAATCACTCTTCCTTGCAGACCATAAATGTCATTAAGATTTGAAAGAGCCAGGTCTCCCCCAAGACCCAGGAAGGAGAGCAGGCCCTGCTCCCTCTTATGCCTTCCATGGTTCCCACACCTCCTCAGTGCTGGGGACTTCCTAGTTTGAGACTGGCTGGGCTTTGCTTGGTGAGCTCCTGCCTGGCCCTGGTCCACAGGAAGGTGTCAAAGGCAGGTGAGCAGTAGGGCAGGAAATGTAGTACTACCCATTGGAAGAGTTACCTTCCACCCACGGTCATTTATGTGCCCAACTCACTTCAAAGCTCTTAGGTGTGTCATAGGTGATCTTGTTTACCTATTCATTTATTAATAATCTGTCTTCCCACAAGAATAATGTGCTCCCATGAGAACAGGGGCCTCATCTGTCTTGTTTGCCATAGCAACATCTATGTCAAGGGCAATGCCGGGCTCATTTTAACTAGAAAATAGATATTTGCTGAATGACTGATTGAAGTAATGAATCTTGTCCTATGTGCCCATTTTACAGAAGAGGACACAAAGCAACACCATGACTTGCCTCTGGTCACACAGGTGGAGGTTGAACCTGGACTAGAATCCAGTTCTTCACCTCTCTCAGGTCTTTAATCAAAAGTCACCTAATTGAGGACTTCCCTGGCCAACTATAAAAAACTCCACACTCCTACACCAGCCAACATTTCACATTTCACATTCCCTTCTGTTTTTTTTTCTTTCTGAGCACTTCTCATGATGGAAACACACTATTTGTACCTTGTTCATCATTTGTTCCTTCCTGTAGAATGTGGGCTGCAGGAGGGCAGGGGTTTTTGTCTGTGTGTTCGCTGCTGTACCACCAGCAACAACAACACCAATGGCCATGGCTAATGTTTATTGAGCACTTGCTGTGTGCCAGGCACGTGACATGGAATATCTCATTTAAAATCCCTAGCAGTTCCAGGAAGTAGATGTTGTTATTATGCCCATTTTATAGATGGGAAGACGGACCTTAGAGAAGTTAAGTAACTTGTACTTATCAGGAAGTGACAGAGGTGGGACAAGAAGCCAGATCCGTCTGACACCCAGGTCCTGTCTTTGACCACTAAGCCCTGAACTGCCTCCCAGCAAGAGCCTTTGTGGTGGGAGTTGGCTGAGATGTCAGGGCCAGCAGAGCTAATAGCCTCCTGTCCTCCTTCCCCAGGCAGCTGCTCTTTTCCTATGACTCAGCTCTACTCACAGAGGAGCCAAATGAGGCTGCAAATCAGAGCTGGTGACCAAGGCCACCACAAAGCTCCTGACATGCCATTTCGGCTGGCATTTCACCTGGTCACCCAACATCATCAGTCTCTGAGTAGGAAGACAAAGAGGCAGCCTATTCTTAACTCAGACTAATTGTAGAGAGGCTCCCCCCACCCCCTTTCTCAGAAGATCCACCTCCTGACCTACACCCCATTTGCAAACCCTCCTAGAGCAGAGTGGGAAGAGCCCAGCATGTCAGCGCTTTTCCCCTCGCCATGATTAGCAGATTGTCTTCCAACCACAGAGTCAAGTGTGCACCGTGCTGATTGATGTCCAAGCTCAGACAGAGTGAAGGGGAGCAGCCAGGTGTTTTCTCGCAGGTCCGCAATCTGCTCCCCATTTCTCATCACTCCTACCCTCTCAGCACTCACTGCAAGGGGCTTCCCAAGTTTTCCTTGGCTTCTTAGATGCAGGAACCCTATTGTGGATCCTCACAGGACAGATCAAGAGCAAGGGAGACATATTTATTGGGCACCTACTCTGAGGGTGCTATGGAAATGATGTCACTTAGTCCTTTCCCGTTATACAGATGGGATAACTGAGACTCAGCCAAGCTTGTTTAAAGCCACACAGATAAGTGGCAGGGTCAAAGGTATGAGAACACCAGTTTAGTTTTAAAGTTCAGTCTCTATTTCCCACTCTCTTGAGTTTTTGTGGAAACTGTGTTCCTTTGTGTCCCTAAAGGCTGAGGGCCATAGTCCCACTCATTCATTCCTCAGCAGAAAATATTATCTACTATGTGTCAGTCACTGTGCTAGGTGCTTGGGGTACAGCAATGAGTGCAACAGACAAAACCTCCTGCCCTCACACAGTCCACATTCTACAGAGAGGAACAGATGATGAACAAGATAAAATATAGAGAGGATATTGGTCACGGTAAATGCTCACAGGTTGAGGGAAGTGTAGAGCAAATCTGGGAAGGGAATGTGAAATATTGCTCACAGCAGAGGTTATGGAATTTTTCAGAGTTGGCCAGGGGAGGCCTCACTGAAAAGGTGACTTTTGATTAAAGACTTGAGGGAGGTGAAGAACTGGATTATAGTCTGGGTTCATCCTCCATCTGTGTGACTAGAGGCACATCTTGGTATTGCTTTGTGTCCTCTTCTGTAAAATGAGCACATAGGACAGGATTCATATCTTCAATCACTCATTCAGCAAATATTTATTTCCTAATTAAAATGAGCCAGGCATGGCCCTTGACAAAGATGTTGCAAAGGTGAACAGGACAGATGAGGCCCCTGTCCTCATGGGAACACATATTCTTGTGGCAAGACAGAAAATGAATAAATGAATAGGTAAACAAGATCACCTTTGACAGACCTAAGAGTTATGAAGTCAGTTGTGTACATAAATGACCGTGGGTGGAAGGTAACTCTTCCAATGGACTAGTCAGGGATCCTAATGTTTTGTGTTTGTGATCCTACTACTTACAGCCATGAGGTCTCCTGCAAGCAGGTTCTCTCTTGTAGGGCCTTGTGGTCTTCACCACAAGAGAAAACACTCAGCAACTAACAAGTCCCAACCACCCCATGCAGATGAGACCCAGTCATGCGGGCATCTTTCCAAAGGCGTTGCAGTTGAGAGTAGGAACTGGTGAACTCCGCCAACGGACAGCCAGCAGGTGCACAAGGTATTCAGAACTCTAAAAGAGCACGACTCTCATGAAAGCAAGCTGCAGCTTGCAGGAGGCATTAGGTTTACACTTTCCACCCCTCCTACCATTGCAAACAAGTTATTAGCAGTTTTACATTTTCCCTTAGGGGAATCAGTGTTAATTCACCTTGGCGCTATTCTGGCACCAAGCCATTCATGCAGCTCACAGCTCCTCAGTGAGAAAAGAAAGGAAGGAAATGAGGAAAGGAAGAAGGGAGGATGGAAGAAAGGAAGGAACAAAAGTGCTACCGTGAAGACTTGCTATAAAACATCACTCGTACCTTCTCAGCACTCATTTCACCCAAATGACCATCAATGAAGAGTGGGTTTTTTGGAATCACATGTACTCAATGGCATTCAATACGAAAGCATTTGGGTGCATTAGTGCATTAGGGAAGGTGCCTGAGCTTTTTTCACCATAATAACCTCTACTTTTCTTCCACTTCCTCGAGGCTTAATGAAAATCGAGGTTCAAGAGATTCAAGGCCTTTCACATCAGAGGTGGGAAAACTATGCTTCAGCCTAGAAAATAATGGCAGGCCATACAGGTTGTGTTCCTCTTAACATCAAGCTCCCTCATTTTAATTTGGCAAATCAAATTCCTTAAACATGACAGTGGTAGCTCACATTGGTCAAAGCACAAATCTGTGCCCTCACAATCATCATCTCTTTTAACTTGAATAACGTTGATCCTTGCAGGGACTCTCTGTTCCAACCCTGTCTTTGACTAGGTGGGTTGGTTTGCCTAGTTTTGGAACTGCATATCAAGAAGCCTGCAAATGTAAGCCTCATTCTCTGATATCAGCATTTTCAATAAATAAAGGTGAAATTTTGGTTTCCAGGCTGCATCGCTCTTTTGTCTTATATCTCACTTGGTTCAAAACTTGGTAAGGACAGAGGAGTGCTGGCTCCCCAGACTCCAAGAAAAGCTTATTTTGTGCTACTTCATTCTGCACCTCCTGCAGGCTTGTAGTATCTTTTTCTCCATCACAGAAAACACTGTGTGTACCCTTAACACCTCCCTGAGAATAAAGGCTGGGCTAGAGTTGGCCTCCCTTCTAAAATGGAAAGTGAGGCAAATCAATAGTCAGAGATAACTATCAAATGGAAGTCCAGATTACTATATTTAGGAAGAAGCAGTTCTCAGAATCTAGCAAGTCCATAGTTCCATCCAACAGAGATGGACATGGGAGCCCATTCGCCATACAGCAGCTGATTGAATCTAGGAGGGTGCCTGGCCCAAGACTAGCCAATCTGTAGATGTATATGGGGCCTGGCACAAAGACTTTGCCCAACAGGGGCAATGTCAATACAAAAGATGTGGACAATAACTACTGTTTATTAGACAATAGCAGCTGATGTACCAGGCATTGTGCTATGTGCTTAACACTCATTATCTAATTTAGCCTCACTGCATCAGTTAAATATTATTATCATTTCATTGATAAAGAAACTAAACCGTACAGAGATAAAGAACACTTGGTCAAGAGACAGAGAGACAGAAAGACACACACACACACACACACACAGAATTGGGTGATGGAGGAAGAGAAGGGTAGAATTCAACAGTAGAATATAACAGAGTGGTTAGATATGTGCTCAGGAACTAAAAAGCCTGGATTTGAACTTCTTACAACTGGCACTGTACATCCATAAAATGGCTCAATAATGGTACCTACATCAAATGATTGCAGTGAAGTTTAGAGGAGTCAATACTTATAAAAAGCGTAGAACAGTGTCTAGTTACTAATTTATAAGTTCAATAAATATTAGTAATTAACACCAATTTTTCCCTTACCCGCAAATAATTCTACGATATCATGTAATGGCGAAGTTGTCAAATCAAAAACAATTTCTCCTAGAATCACGATGATTATTATTTTCAACCTGTCACAGAACTGTGGGGGAGGACAATGTTTCTTTCCATGCAGTAGGAGCCCCACATGCATGCAGCTCCTAGCTGCCCTCTCTGCCTGGTTACCTCATTCTCCTTATTTGTTCATTCCATTAATATTTGTTGAACACCTTATATGTGCTGGGACAATTTTCCTAGCACTGGGAATATAGCAGTGGACAAATGGAAAAAATTCTTGCCCTCGTGGAACGTGTGTATTCAACCAAATGATATATTTTCTTGATGTTTTGAGCTTATGCAGTATTTTGATGACTTTCTGCTATCCTTTTCCTGAACCTGGACCTGGGCACTGCTGCCTTGTCACAACTTCACACCCACCAGGGCTACACTGGGAAGAAGAGTGAGGAGTGGCTTCATTTGATTGGTGAGGCTGGAAGGTGGTGCCAGGGACTGGGGTCCAGCTCTCTTCTATGCTCTGAATGTTTGTACCCCACTTCCCTCCAAATTCATATGTTGAAATCCTTACCCTCAAGGTGATGAAACTAGGAAGTGAGTCTTTTTTTTTTTTTTTTTTTTTTTTTTTTTTTTTTTTTTGAGACGGAGTCTCGCTCTGTCGCCCAGGCCGGACTGCGGACTGCAGTGGCGCAATCTCGGCTCACTGCAAGCTCCGCTTCCCGGGTTCACGCCATTCTCCTGCCTCAGCCTCCCGAGTAGCTGGGACTACAGGCGCCCGCCACCGCGCCCGGCTAATTTTTTGTATTTTTAGTAGAGACGGGGTTTCACCTTGTTAGCCAGGATGGTCTCGATCTCCTGACCTCATGATCCACCCGCCTCGGCCTCCCAAAGTGCTGGGATTACAGGCGTGAGCCACCGCGCCCGGCCGGAAGTGAGTCTTAAGGAGGTGACTAGGTCATGAGGGTAGTGCCTCACGAATGGGATTAGTGGCCTTATAAAAGGCCAGAGAGACGCTTCTCTCCCCTTCCACCATGTAAGTTCACAGTGAGGAGGTACCATCTATGAGCCAGAAAGTGGGCCCTTAATAGACACAGAATCCGTCTTGATCTTGGACTTCCCATCTTCCAGAACTGTGAGAAATAAATTTATATTGTTTATAAGCTACCTAGTTTTTGGAATGTTGTCATCGCAACCTGAATGAACTAAGACACTCCTTGTCTCTCCTGCAGATCCACACATTCTTCAGTGCTTTTCCATGCTGTGGGTTTCAGGGCAGCTGCATCTGTGGTCATCCAGTCCTGTCTATGACTAAGTGGGCTGGTTTGCCTGATTCTGGAGTTTAGCTTCAAGAAACCCAGCTGCCTACATATATAAGCCATATTCTCCATAATCATTCTCCTTTTTCACTTTATCAGTGAAAAAAAGGTGATTTAGCTTTCTGACTGTCTTATTCTTTTGTCTGATTTGCCATTTGGCTCAGAACTTCATCATGAATGAGGAGTGCCATTTGTCAGGCTCTCTTAAATGCCAAAAGAAATGTATTTTGTACTTCCAGATTCTGTACACACAGCAGACAATGTTTAACACATGGCTACCATGTAACTTTATATCCAACATTAGTCAAGGGTTGACTAATTTTCACAATAAAACAAATGACAAGAGAACACTAAGCAATTTAATTTACTGAACCAAGTGTAGAAGTTAGAGTCCAGAAATCAAAGGCATGTTTAACAACTTGAGTGGATGTTTTCTGTTTCCTGTTTATACTAAATGATGAACATTACTCAATAGTTAATGGCAGACATTAAATTATAATTATACATTCATTGTATCAAACATGTATAAATCCATATTTGTTTTATATGTGAACACACAGATTACAGTCATTCTTAGTTCAAGTTTTGTAATACTCAATAAACCTTTGGTTAGTTCCAGAGGGCTTCACTAATGTTTTAATTTTCTACAATTCAATCAATGTCAATTCACTTTAATTTGAAAAGGACAGCTGGGCATGGTGGCTCACACCTGTAATTCCAGCACTTTGGGAGGCCAAGGCAGGTGGATTGCTTGAGCCCAGGAGTTTGAGACCAGCCTGGACGACATGGAGAAACTCCATCTCTATAAAAAATACAAAAAACTAGCAGAGCATGGTGATGTGCACCTGTAGTCCCAGCTACTTGAGAGGCTGAGGCAGAAGAATTACCTGAGCCAAGGAGGTTGAGACTACAGTGAGCCATAATCATGTCACTGCTCTCTAGCCTCAGTGACAGAGTGAGACCCTGCCTCAAAAAAAAAAAAAAAAAAAAAAGGAAAAGGACAAGATACTCTACACTGCACGTTGGTGGTATGATGGTGAGGTGGACTATAAAAATGGAGGTTATGTCTAAAAATCAAAGGGAAACATTTTCTACTCTGTAATTGGAAGGTTTGAATACTTCATCAGATCTTCGAGATTCCTTTCCATCCACATTTTCATAAATCCTTAGGCTTCATATTTGTCTCTGGGCAAACCATGCAGGGTAAGTTCATCTTACAAACCAGTCTAGGATTACACCATCCTAGGTAGCAAAACTGAACTAACCAGATTCACTTATAAACTCTTAAGCCCTTTAAAGTCACAGAAATATGATTGTATTTGTGCTTACCCAACAAAAGTTTTTTTAAAATACTGGTTTAAGAGCATACAATATACTCCTTTATCTAATTCAGAGAATTAACTACAGTCATTTTGGTTATAATGTGACTTACAGTTTTCCAGACTTCAGTTCATGTCCTACAAGTTTTCCCATCGACTTCACCTGTGTTCCCCTCTCCTCATGACTTTTTCCTGTTTTTAATCCAGGTTCACCTTTCTTTACAGCTCTAACTGCCTTCAGCATCTCTTTGTTCAACTTGAAGTACCCAGTCAGATCTGCTATTTCAACTCTGAAGCCCTCTGGGCAGCTCTCTCTGATCAAACTTTTTCTAGAAAACAATAATTTCCTTCAAGCTAATGGAGGTAATAATACTGAGAAAGATGTGTTCATTTTACTCAACAGACCTTGTTGGACTCTCAGATACAAAATGGAAACTATGCTAGGGACTGATTATGTAAGGATAATCCTGGCAGTCCTGAAAAAGAAATAAGATATTAGAAATTAGATAAGGATTAGTAGTATCTGCAAAGCTTGCTATAATTTCTACCTCCAAGGCTCATGGCAGACAATGATAATCAATCACAGCACTCTTCTTCTGTTGAACACAGATTCAACATCACAGTCCATTTCAACCCCAGTGCTCTGAGCAGCTACTCTCAATGGATTGGATCCAACATGTGCGATGAAATGTATTTGCCGTGCCCAAAATCAGACCTGGGATAGAGGTGGGAATGGGGTGAGGAGCAATGATGAATTATTCTAGGCAGACTTGAGTTTGCTAAATTTGGTTCAAGTGAGATTCTTGATTAATAGAACTTGAAGTGCAAGCATGATCATAACCAACTTTCATCATACCAGGCACCATGCTAAATGGTTTCATGCAGTATCTCATATAATCCTCATAACAATCCTGTTCAGTCAGTACTGCCATTATTCCAAGTTTGAAGAAGAAACCTATGCACAGCAAGGTTATAGATCTTACACAAACTAGTGATGAAGTATAAATTCAAGGTCAAGCTCACTCAAGAGCAACACAAGTTTTCAAAATGGAGTGTGAGCCATTAGGACATTTCAAGCTTCTCTATGTATTTATTTTTCATCCAAAACCAAGACTAAAAATATACTATGTGAATTATTACTGGCACCCTAAGTCTGAATATCAAATGATCACTTGTCACACACAGCATGGGAGACACCCTGTAGGCAGAGTACAGTCCTCCAAGTCAGAGGGTTGACAATGGGGCCTTCATCTTCCATGCTCTTCATATATCAAGAGGTGCTACTATTCACACATAGTCTAAAGACAGCAGAATCATCAATACCTTCTACTGAGACGGGGAGTGAGCATGAAAATATTCTGATCAACCCAGAATTTCACAGGTTGTCTTATGGAAAAGTTCTGAATAGATTTGTCAAACTTAAAAATGAATTCCACATTTTTCTTTTATAAGAAAGATGTTTTGTATTTTCAGACTTTTACTATGATAACAAATGCTACCAAGCAGATATTTTTGAAAAAATAAGCACACTTCATCTGTCCCTTCAAGGTAAAGGTGACATTTTAACAAGTAAGAAAGTCTTTCTAAAGAAACTTGTATATTAAAAGAGCATTTTGGAAATGGTTTGAGTTATTCATCTGTTGGTACAAACAGTATAAATGTGACAAGTGTCAGCACTCTTTAAAAAGTTGAAAATGTAATTTTCTAAGCTGTTTAAAGATTTTCTAAACAAAGAATTTCAATGGCTTTTGAACCCATTTGTTAAAAATAATAACAGTAGAACAGTGCAAGTTTACTTTGTAAGAACAACTGATAGACATCAAGGAAGATAAAGATAAAAATTTCCAAGCCAAATTCAATGAATTTGCATAATTTGCAAATAAGATTGGAAAATAAACTAAATGATTTATTAATTCCAGCCAGTGATGCATTTTATCATTTGTCTTTGTGTCCCTTGGCAAAGGAAATTTTTTATTTCTGACAGTCCTGAAAACCAAGATTTAAGTTATTCTGCCTAAGTTTAGAACCAGCTCCTCAAATTGTTTTTATCATAATGGGTTTAACAAAGATTTACTGAACCATTGCTCTTGCTAAAACATGTTAATTCTTTTTGATGAAAGCAAAATATCTTTACACTGTTAGAAAATAAAATTAAAAATCAGTTTAAGAATATTATTTTATCTTTCACCTCATTTTTCAAATTTTCTTTTTTGTTGTTGCTTTTACTTTACAGAATACATTGGCACAGTAGTCCATGTATGTAATTTGTAAACAGATATGCACATATTGGGGTATGCTCAACATTTGTTTCATTAAAGATATACAGCCAAAGAAATTTTGGAGCCTGCTGCAATGCTCCCAGCAGTTTCTAGACCTGCAGTCAGTGAAAAGGAAATCAAGGCACTGAAGAGCATCAGTCAACCCACAGGCTTTATATCTTCACATATATTAAGGTTAATTATATTTTATAAAAGGAATCTAATTGTATTTAGCCACCAGATAAGAAGCCAAAACCTTAGGTTCATCCCCTGCTGCCAGAGGCCCTGAAGTTTGGCCCAGAACAATCCCATAGATAGACTGTGCCCCTCTACCTGTCATCATGTCAGAGGGGGCCAGGCTTGAGAAGAAAAATGAGTGGGGGGAGGTCTGTTTCCTAAGGTCTCTCAAAATAGCTCTCTGAACTGGTTGGGGTAACCCTAATCCTCCACTGTGCCAGCAGCGCAGCTCAGTGTGGTCCCCAGCGACACTGTCCCTCTGTCACCTAGGCTGAGAGGCTGCCCTGTCCTTCACTTCTGTTAGCACAGATAATCCAAAAGTGTCAACAGAGGAATCATGAATAATTAATGTGACCCCCCCAAAGCTTAATACACGAAGAGAAAGTTTATCTGCAAGCTCAAGGATTGCCTGGGGCTCTTTAGACATGAACAGCTACAGTAATACCCTCTGGAGTCTTCTCCTCTCTCCCCCCTCTTTCCCTTCTTTCTCTGTGGGCTTTGGACATCTCACCCACACCCCGAAATGGGCAGCCCCCTCCATCCTTGAGGCGTGTGTGGGTCTGATGACAGAAAAGGTTCATCTCTGAAGGCAGTTGGTGAAACTGACTTTCTACCCAGAGGACTTTCTTTAACTCATCTCCCTGTCTTCTAGGTAGGTTGGGACAGTCTTTGAGCATCTCTATACAGTTAATGAACAGAGCGCCTAAGCATTCTTGAAGGCCTGTATAAGCCTCCAGTCTGTGAACCCTCCTCTGTTATGTGAATCGTTATCTCTCTGGTGACAGGACTCTTTCTCAGCTCTCCCACCCCTCTCTACCCTCACCTTCCTCACCCGTCGGATTTTTTTCCTTCCCACTTCTTTCTCTAATCTCAGAAGCACCTTAGGCTAAAATGAAATCATTCTTGGTGATGGTCTGAAGGTGATTTAAAAGTATAACATGCTATTCCTTATTTTCTTTTCAAAACAAAGTGAGTTCTTAGAGAAGAAGCAAACCAAATCTGAGCTAATAGAAACCAGAAAAGCGGTTATCTCTGTGGGTATTGTCTGCGATGAGCAGGAGAGAAAGCTCTAGGGTGGTGGAAATGTTCCACAACTTGATCTGGGTAGTGATACACGTGTGTACACATATGTAAAGATTCATGGAGCTGTACACTTTATAGTGTGAAAATTATATGTCAAATTTTAAAAGGAAAGTAAAAATACAATAAGCTATATAAGCTATGTTCTTCAGGGTTTCAGAAGCTGGTATGATGCTCAGACTAGGAAGGCTCTAAGGGCGCGTGGAACTGTCAGCAGCTGGGCAGACACACTCTATCTGCTGCTTGGTACAGTGCCTAACCAGGGTTGCTGAGCTCCATGGAAATCCCTGGGTGGATTGCGCCAGGCTCTCCTGAAGGAGCCAAGAATTGTGTCATTGTTGTTGTTTTTTCCCTTGGGACAAGGCCTAGCCCTGACACCTAGACTGGAGTGCAGTGGCATGATCATGGCTCACTGTAGCCTCAACCTCTTGGGCTCAAGCAATCCTTGCACCTCCGCCTCCAGAGTAGTTGGGACTACAGGTGTGTGCTACCATGGCTGGCTACTCTTTATGTTTTATTTTTTGTAAAGATGTGGTCTTCCTGTGTTGTCCAGGCTAGTCTCAATCTCCTGAGCTCAAGCAACCAGCCTGCCTCTGCCTCCCCAAGTGCTGGGATTACAGGCGTGAGCCACCATGCCTGGCTGAGCCTAGAGTTTTAAAAATTCATCTTGAACGCTATTATGTGCCAGCTACAATGCTGGGTGCTTTATGTGCATCAACTCATTTAATTCCCCAGATAATCCTGGGATGGTGAACTGTTATCCTCATGGGGCAGTCAGGGAACCGGAGCCGCCGAGGCTGGGCAGGTGGTCCAGGGGCATGCAACTCATCATGTGGCAAGCCCCGTACTCCCTTCACACTCCCTCTGTATCACCCTCTCAATTAGAATTTCCTTGTGGACAATTCTCTTTTCTTTGCTAGTATGATGTGTCATTCTTTTTTTTTTTTTTTTTTGAGATGGAGTCTCGCTCTGTCGCCCAGGCTGGAGTGCAGTGGCGCGATCATGGCTCACTGCAAGCTCCGCCTCATAGGTTCAAGTGATTTTCATGCCTTAGCCTCCCAAGTAGCTCTGATTACAGGTGTGCACCATCTTGACCAGCTAAATTTTCATATTTTTAGGGTTTCAGGATTTAGGCCATGAAATCCTGGCCTCAAGTGGTCTGCCCTCCTCGGCCTCCCAAAGTACTGAGATTACAGGTGTGAGCCACTGTGCTTGGCCAGGATGTGACATTCTTTACCCCATGTTGTGACGACAGAAAAGTAACAGATGGATTGACCAAGAAGAGGACTTCCCTAAAAAATATTGCTCTGGAGACTTAGCCTTCCTTCTCCTCACCAAGAAGGAAAAATAAAAGTCATCTCTAATCTAGTTCCCAAGAGAGGAGTCTTTCTAGCTGTGCCTCTGTGGCTTCCCTTTAGTTCTGATGGCAGTGGCTGGCAGCCAGCCTCTGAGGATTACTCAGCATGTCTGACCTCTCCAGAGGGGATGCTTTAACTTTGTAAAGGTATGAGTGAATGAGGAGAATCTATAGTTTCTTCCCAGAGTAATCCACCTTGGCTACTTTAGGTAGCTACTCTTTAAGTCGCCAGTCCTCTGTTGTTTTGGGGTCATGCACAAGCTTCAGCAATGTCCATCACGTTCTTCCAAGGAGTAGAATATGATGCTTCAATTGTCAGGGGCCCATGTGTATTGGTATTTACCATATACCATGTGCCATATGCTTTTGGCATCTTAGAGCCTGTTCTGTACCCTGTTCTGCCTCTTGGTAGTCTCAAGAGCTTAAGTAAATTATTTAACATCTCCAAGCCTCATTTTCCTCGTTTTTAAAATGAAGATGATTGCGACAACAAACAATAATAAAACAACAATAGTCTTAATTAGGCTCATTTTATGTACCAGGCACTGTGCTAAGTAAGCACTTTTCATATGTGGACTCAGTTTAATTCTCACAACAACCCCATGAAGGCAGAACTGTTGCTATCCCCTGCTGACACATGAATAAACTGAGACACAGCCAGGACTAAGTTACAGTCAGGATTTTAATTAGGTGTACCTAATCCAGAGCCTAAACTCTTTAACTTTCATGCTTCTATTCTCACCTCAACATGTTGCTGTGAAGTGCTTATATTTGTGACAGCACTTTGTAAACAATAAAGCAAAAGCAAAATATTAATACCATTATTATTAGTTTTCTAACTTCATGAAAAAAGAGTTAAAAATAAGAGACACAGCCCATGCCTTTGAGAAATTTATAATTCAGAAGATTAGATGGGCAAAACCCCACAAAAACATGAACTAAAAATGCCCAACTGTGTAAGGCGCACAGCTAGCTGAAACTGTAGAGAGAAATGCACCCAGGGGATGCTGGAATCTCTAGAATGAGTGGAGCCAGAGGGTGTTGGTGTGAGAAGACCTTGCAGGAGTATCCTGCTGTTCAACTGGGAAACAGTGAGAGAGGTGTTTCAGGAGGCGGAATGGCCTGTTAGGTTTTGTGGGAGCTGAGCGCACAGGTTGCCTGGGCTAAGGGAAAGTGTAAGTCCAGAGAGGTGCTTAGTAAAAGACAACAGAGGAGTGAGAGCGGCCCTGGCCAGGGGACCAGGAGGCCACGTTATCCAAGGCCCTAATTGGATTTGCAACACTACAGTGAGCCACTGTGGGTGTCTGACAAGAGATGCGATGTGACAGAAAGACACACCAAAAGGCTGGTAAAGACAACAGCCCAAGGCAAGCAGTTTGTTGCAAATAGTTCAGGGATGAGATGGACATGCTTCTGCAGAGAAGGAATGTGTCATGGCTTGGGAAACTATTAAAAAGAAGAATCCAGCCAGGCGCGGTGGCTCACGCCTGTAATCCCAGCACTCTGGGAGGCCAAGGCGGGTGGATCACCTGAGGTCGAGAGCTCGAGACCACCTGACCAACATGGAGAAACCCCGTCTCTACTAAAAATACAAAATTAGCCAGGCGTAGTGGTGCCTGCCTGTAATCCCAGGTACTCATGAGACTGAGGCAGGAGAATCGTTTGAACCTGGGAGGCAGAGGTTGTGGTGAGCCAAGATTGTGCCATTGCCCTCAAGCCTGGGCAACAACAGCAAAACTCTGTCTCAAAAAAAAAAAAAAAAAAAAAGAAGAAGAAGAAGAAGAAGAATCCCCTCTCCGGAACCAGTCCTTTTGAAGGCCAGGGCAGTATCCAAGTGCTGTGGGGCTCACCCAGCACTCCCAGTGCCTGGCGCTTCCTAGGCATACCATAAATATTTATTGCATAACTGGACTTATTGAGAAACATAATGGATGTAAAATGTAAAAGAAAAAAAGTCAGGGATTAGAATCAAAGGACACTGACGGCTACTGAGGGACCAGGACACCAGAGGCACCATTGATGATTATATGAAATTGAAGAAGACTTGACATTCAGGAAAGAAATTCATTATCTTGGGTAAAGTTGGAGGTGGCGGATGTAAGCGGTGATTCCTGACTAGAAACAAGAAATGAGGTTCAAGAAATATGAGAAGTCAGATGAATGATGTAGATTTGGAAGTCCATGGACAAATGAGTATCAGTTAGGATTCTTATTTGCAAGCAATAGAAACTCCCACCAGCTGATTTAGATAGAAATAAATTTACTGCAAGGACAGTTTCTAATTCACAGGGGAATTTGGAGTCACTGGGGAATCTGGAGCACCAGGCAAAGAAGTTTTGCAGGCAGAACCCCAGCCAAGTGAACTCCCCAGAACAAGCCAGCAAAGACAGCTGTGCCACCATGGCTGAGTCCCAGGTGACATCACTTGGCTTGCCAATCCAGTGGATGTGGGATGTTAGGCCCTCCACTAGTACCTCTGGCACTGCCATGGGGACAAGTTGTTACTACCACTTCTCTACCCACAAGAAGACTCCCACTCTGTTCTTGACTGTTGTGTCAGAGTCCCAGCCTTGGGGTCTGATGGACAGAATCTAGGTCATTACCAGACCCGAACAGCAAGAGAAGCCAACAGGAAGGGGCTTTGCTTCTCACAAGACGAGTACAGTGGGGAAGGTGGTTCAGACACTGCCGCCAAAACCACACGTATTTCTTTCAGGAAGGAAAGAGGTGAATTCAGAGCAGGAAGCGCCAGGGGTTCATCCACTAGGGCTGGCTTCACTCACTGAGAGAACAGGGCTGTGCTGATAGGGTAGACCCATTCTTCAATACCTACAAACTATCTGCCATGAATCCCAACTTAATGCCTTTAATCAACAGCCATCTGTTTATGGTAAAAGTCTGTTCCAGTTTGAAATGTAAAATCCTTGGAAAGAACCACACTTTACTTTGTCATGAACCTTTCATGGGTCATTTGTTTGTTTGTTTGTTTGTTTGTTTGTTTGTTTTTGATGGAGTCTCACTCTGTCGCCCCAGATGGAGTACAGTGACATGATCTCAGCTCACTGCAACCTCTGTCTCCTGGGTTCAAGCCATTCTCCTGCCTCAGCCTCCCAAGCAGCTGGGATTGCAGGCATGTACCACTATGGCTGACTAATTTTTTTGTATTTTTAGTAGAGATGGAGTTTTGCCATGTTGGCCAGGCTGGTCTCGAACTCCTAGCCTCAAGTGATCTGCCTGTCTTTGGCCTCCCAAAGTGCTAGGATTATAGGCATGAGACACTGTGCCCGTCCTGTCATGAACCTTTCATGCACTAACTTTCAGGGTGGTGGGGAGTATAAGCTGGTACACACTTCTAGGCCCAGCATTGGAAGGGGCCTGAAACAAATGTCAATCCTTCGTAAAGATTTTTAGCTAAGCATCTACTTTTGCTTAGGGACCCCCAACTCCAGTTTTTCCCTCTCATGGATTCTCAGTGGCCCGATCAATTTGTCACAACACTGTCCAACATGGTAACTATTTTAATCAGGGAGAAATGACAGAAGAAAAAGGAGACTCATGTTTTGTGTTGCTCCTTCTACATGTGACACTGTGAGAACAGGGCCCCTATTCCCATTTGATGGATGCTGAAACTGAAGCTTGGGGTGATGTGACTTGCCCAAGGCCACAGCTGGTGTGCTGCAGAGATAGGGTCAAAGCTGGCTCCATTGTCTCCAAAGCCTGACAGCTTCCCCTGAGCTGTGTCATCTTTTCATGAAAAAAGAGGAAAATTTGTTTGCACCTTCCCAGTCAAAAGGTTAAAGGAAGGCAAGAGGTTGGTGGACTGTCCCGGGCTTGCCTTGACATGGTTGTGCAGGGTTTCCTTGGGAGAGGGTATGCAGTACTGAGGAAGAGAGAAAGACACAGAAACCAGCTCCTGTTTTATAACTTCACCTAGCACCTGTATTTGTCAAGAAATCTTTCCAGCTGCAAATACTAGAAACCCAACTCAAACTGGTCGCATAGGAAATGGGGTCTATTGGTTTGTGGGCCTGAAAAGCATGCCAGGAGTTCTCCCCATCTCTCTCTTTCTCTATCTCTCAGCTCGGCTTTCCTCTATGTCTGCTTCATTCTCAGGCAGCCTCTCCCCACGTGGTGACACAAGTGACCAGCAACAGTCTAGACTTAATGTCTCACCAGCCTAGGACCCCCTCCCCCAGCTGACACAGTGGAACTTTTCCCCAACAGTTGTAGCAATTAACCAATCTTGTGAGCAAGGGGTTGCAGCACCTTGATTGTACAGGCCTTGAGTTCATCCCTGCCCCCACCACCAAGAATTCCATCAGCCTCCCTTGCATCACAGGGTTTGAGCATGGCTCCCCCAAAAAACAGTGAAGTGCTGGCACCATAGGAAGGGATGCTGGAGGGGCAAAAGCCACAGATATCCACTGGAATGTACGCCACAAAGACAGGTAAGGTTTTTGTTTGTTTGTTTCGTTTTAAAAAAAAATTTGTTTTAAATTTATTTACCACTGTGTCCCTAGGGCTCAGAACAGGGCTGAACACCTGACAGGCACATTCAAGAAACATTTCTTGAATGAATGATGGATGGACTGCAAAAAAAAAAATGTCCCTCCAGAATATGATGTCCAGGATAGCACGAATGGGAGATTGGGTACACTGCAGGTACAGACTAGAGTAGGGAGCAGAAGCTCTGGTCCTGTAGATGAGTTGTGTGTCATTGAATGAATGACACATGACTTCTAAAATGTTGGCATTCACCACATGTCAATCACAGCATGAAACAGAGCTCTGGAATGCCAGTCTCCAGCAAGGGCAGGGCTTTTACAGTGCAGTTGCATACAAGTCCCCTGGGAATAAAGGGTGATGGGTCACTTTTTTCTTACAGGCTTGTGTCTACAAGATAGATATGCTTCATGTGCTGCTGCTTTTCCTCCCCAGATTCCCACTGTGAAATGGAAAGCCAGCATGGTGGCACCCATTCACTTGGAATGAATGTAGGGTCCTGGTCTGACAGGAGCCTGAGTGGTAGCATTCCAGAATGTCTACTCAATTGCTGTTAATCGGGTCTCATGTTATCTCTCATCAGCATGCTAACCCAGTGCCCCAGAGTGTATTCTGGGGAGAACATGTACTTCAACCCCCTGCCCAAATTACCTCCTACTCTCATTACCACCCTTTGGCTTTTCCGTGGCACATAGGAATAGCTGGCCTTTCTGAATTAGTAAGTAGAATATGCCCAGTCAATGTGTCTCAGCCAAACGTGGATTTCTTGACAAAAGACTGCGAGGATGTTAGATCTGGAAATACTTTTACAGACAAAAACAAAAACAACCCCTGAAAAGTCACTGCAATAAACTGCCTGGTTAGTATGCGCCCAGTGTATTTTGCCATTGTGGAAACTGAACTTAATTTGTTTTAACATGATGCAGCTATTTAGCATTTCCTCCCCCTCCTCCTCCTTCTAGTTAATTCTGAGTGGAGATAAATCTTGAAAACAGACTTGGAGGGCACAGCAGGAGGCCCTGCAAAGTCATTTGGGTTGTGGCTTTCACGGTGCCTCTTTGCTATTTTCTGAGCAATTAAAACTTAAGCAGGAAAATAAAGTGTTATTAAAGTGACTCATGAACATTATAGAGGCTGGGTGCATGGAATACTTAGCTTCTGACAAAGGGTTCCTTAGGCACCAATGGGTGTTCAAAAAAATTCCTATCGCCCCAGTAACTTCTCTGAACACTAGAAACGTAGGTAGAGAGGACTACACCCAGTGGGTTGTCAGCCCTTTAACTCTAACATCATTCCAGAGAGGTAGGCAAGCTACTGAACTGTCAGTTCTTAAAGTAGGGAACAAAGGCTCCAGGAGTTGAACAATTTTCCCCAGGCAATTTGTCTGAGCCAGTGACAGAAGCTCAGGTTCTCTGTCTGCAGAAACAAAGTGACAGGGCTGCACCGCATTAACCTCTAGGTCCCTCCCTTAGTATTGAGGTTTTGATCCTTGGTATTTTCTTCCTTGATCCAGGCAGCCATAACTACTGTTCGTTTTGGTCTGCTATGATTATTTGACTCTCCTTTTCACCTCCACATGCCTTCAGACACGCCATATTTCATTGAATCTAAGATAACATAGATAAGACGATGAACCACTATCTTATATACTGCCAAAAAGGAAGAAATGTTGCCAATTAAACTGTGACATGACATTGATCATGATTTAAGAGATGTTAAAATGTGGAGGAAAAAAGGAGTCATAGGGTCCACCAAATATAGTACTTTGTTATTTGTCTGCATGGATTCAGAACTCTTTCTCTTCTTTAAGAAACAAATTTAGAGGAGTATTCATTTCTCCCCTCTGATCTTGTGGTCCCACTGAAAGTCACCCATCACTGTACTCTGCTCCTCTGCCCACGGAATGAGCATGAAACCCAAAATGGACAGGTAGACTGCCCTGGGATTTTAAACACTGGAGGAAGAGAAGTGAGGGCTTTGTCTCCAGTGCCAAAGAAGATGTGGGGCCCTGGAACTTTGAGCAACCAGCGCTCCAGTCTTGTGGAGAAATCAGGTTTGAGAAAAAGAGCCGCTTATAGGAAAAACAGCTGAGACAGAGACAGAGAGGGCATCTGCAGGGTTAAACTTTTTGAATACTTATTGTCCTTGATGGGCACAGCAGCACCAGTAAATTCTCCCATGCTAAACCTAGGTTTCATCCTTTGAAGTAAGAATCTTCTCCCTTTTTTTCTTGAGACAGAGTCTTGCTGTGTTGCCCAGGCTGGAGTGCAATGGCATGATGTTGGCTCACTGCAACCTCTGCCTCCCAGGTTCAAACGATTCTCCCACCTCAGCCTCCAGAGTAGCTGGGATTACAGATGCACACCACCACACCAGGCTAATTTTTGTATTTTTAGTTGAGACAGGGTTTCACCATGTTGGCCAGGCTAGTCTTGAACTCCTGACCTCAAGTGATCCACCTGCCTCGGCCTCCAAAGTGCTGGGATTACAGGCATGAGCCACAACACCCAAACAGAATCTTCTTTTTCACAGACGCTGATAGAGTAACTAAGCCAACAGGATCCCTCCTTCTCTCTTCCGGGCATGCTCATGGGAACCCACTGTGATGTTCAGGCAATGGACAGGAACAACAAACCTGCTTCTACTTTGACAGTTTAGCCACCGTCTGCCATGACCAAGGACTTGTGAACATAGGTTCATGCCTGGTGTTTTACCAAGGAAATAGAGTTGTATTTTTTCACAGTGAATTTCAATATTTTAAAGAAAGAGAAAAACAAAATACGTCTAGTGGGGGTGGGGGCAAAGAGGTAAAAGAAAAGGGAATACATACATCAAGAAAAGACAAAAAAAGAACTAAAAAAGAACAACGATCTGATTTTCTCTCCTAAAGTCCCTTCTATTGACAATGCATTCCTGACCCTTTTTTCAAAATCTTGTTGGTGGAAAGAGTAGGCAGGGGTTGAAAATGAAGGATGAACCTTTTAAAAATTGCAGAAATAAAAATGTGGTCAAATAATGCTGAATAGAACCTTAAGTTGCCTCAGACTGTGATGCTTTTAAATTTCTGAGGTTTGCTGATGAATACTTTTCTAAAACTTTTCTATATAAAACTTTAAAGACCATCAGGAAATTATACTAATCCACTTACCCTATTTTAACTCTTCAAATGTTCCTACAGCCTCTGATTTTCTGTTGCAGAGAGAGGTTAGTGGAAAATTGCTTTTGAGGTTTCTTTTGTACAATAATAATCTTGGGCAGTGCCCACCTTGCTGTGTCCTCACGTGCGCCTTGTAAATTGATTCCAAGCTGCTCCCTTATTCAAAAACCCAATCCCCTTGGAAACCAGAAAGAAAATGAATAGTGGTAGGAGCCTATTTTACTAGTATCAAGATCAAAACCTTCATTACACAAATTTGTTTGTCCTTCGGTCCCTTTTAAGTAAGAAATATACATTATGTACTGGTGCTAATCTCACATTTCTGTAATACTTTTTAATCTAGATGGACCCCAAAGTTGTAGAGTTGTCTAACCCTTAATGACACACACACACACATACACACAAAATCATTTTCTCCTTCTGCACCTGAGTATTTTATTTATTACTCTAGTTACTTTGTGTGTGTGTGTGCATGTGCAGTAACACTTCTTTATGGTGTTTTCTGAAGGTTTATTAACTTTTTATATACAGAAATGTTGAATGGAGGTGATATTATTACCTTATGGGTCTTTGATCAGAGCTTTTCTGCCAGAGGATGCCTTTTGTGGGAAAACACTGAATGAAAGAAAACAGGCTTACCATGGAGCAATCACTTAAGTATTACACTTACATTGAGCCCACTGGGGAATGCTGTGCAGCCTCTTTTCTTTCTACAGGAGAAAAAGAAAAGAAGTTTGAAACAGTATCACTACCTATCGTAGTATCACCAGTTTTTGAAGTTATCTGAAAGATAACTGTTATTAACCTGATTCATTAGTGAAAATACTCCTTTCATCAGAATATGAATGGGAAATACTCCAGTGACGGTGGTGTGGGTCTGAGATTCCTGCTGTATATTTCTTTCTCTCTGTATCTTTACATCTGGACTCACTGAAGCCCTCCATGGGCCACCCTAACCTCTCCTTGTTTCTGAGCGAATTCCCATAGAGTCATTCACCCTTATTCCCTTATTGTTGTATCTTATGGCAGTAAGGCTGCCCAAAGGCTAGTGTACCCCAAAATATATCATGAGTATCAGAGCACCCCAGGCCTCCCTTTGTGGTATAGGCCACAGGCCCAGCTTGCCTCCATCTCCCTGTCTGGTACTCTAAGTTCCTGTTCAGACTTTAACCTCTATCCACCTGACTGTGGCTTTTGGCAGTCCCTTTTTCCAACGGGGATCTCATGAACATCTGCTCTTCTTGTCTGCCCAGCATGTTTCCCTCCTTCCTCTAATGTCAGACATTAACTTAAATTTTGGCAAACTATCCACTATCATGTTCATAGTTCATGGGGCTTGGGTCAGTGTGACATCATCTCAGTCTTAGCTCTAGAAGTTAACACATGGCCCAAACCTAGCCAATCAGTGTATATATTTAATCCTGTGGCCACAGTGATTGGTTCAGAGATAAGCAAGTGACACAAGTTGGTCCAGCGAGAATCAGTTCTGAGATTTGAGTTAAAAGTATTGAATAGGAGAAGCTCTTTCCACAATACCATTTCTCAGTGATGACACTATTGACACTTAAGTCCAGATAACTTTGTTGTGGGGGGCTGTCCCGTGCATTGTAGGTTGTTGAGCAGCATTCCTGGACTATATCTGATTAGTAACTACTCCCCCTCCCAGTTGTGACAACCAAAAGGATCTCCTGACACTGCCAAAAGTCCTCAGGAGTGGATTGATGTGGGAAAGGACAGTCACTCTTGGTCGAAACTACTGGAATAGACTGACAACTATGTGATGTGTGCCTGGAACTGCTAGGGGATCTCATGTGAAAAAATCTTGCCTGATAGTGATGCCAACACATAGAAAGGTAGGGCCAAGAGAAGACACGAAGACCCAATAACATTCTTGAAGCTCCTACATATTTTGTTCTCCTATGCATTAAGCCAGTACCAACTAAGCGAGGGTGTTCACTCTCACCACTTCTATTCAATATGGTGTTATGTAGGTCTTATCCAGATCCAGTTCCAAATACAAAAACTGCAAGTAAAAGGCATAAAGATATGGAAAGAAGAAAAATAAAATTGACTTTATTTACAGAAAATATAATCTTCTATGTAGAAAATTCTAAGGGATCTACAAAAAAAACCTAATAAAACTAATAAGTAAGCTTAGCAAGTTTGGAGAATAAAAATCAATATGTATCTTTCAATTATACTTTGATATATTAGCAATGAACAATTATAAATTTCAATTTTAAAACAGTATCATTTAAAACAGCATCAAAAATATAAAATTCTTTGGGATAAATTTGACAAATTATTTAAAACCTATATTCTGAAAATCATAAGACCTTAATGAGAGGAGAGATAGACCAGATTCATGGTTAGAAGGTTCAAGATTGTTAAGATATCAAACCTCTCAAGGTTGGTCTATAGATTCAATACAATCCTAATGAAAGGCCAAACAGAATTTTTTTTTTTTTTTTGAGATGGAGTCTCACTCTGTTGCCCAGCCCATCTGGAGTGCAGTGGCATGATCCTGGCTCACTGCAACCTCCGCCTCCCAGGTTCAAGCGATTCTCCTGCTTTAGACTCCTGAGTAGCTGGGACTACATGCGCCCTGCCACCATGCCCAGCTAATTTTTGTATTTTCAGTAGAGACGGGGTTTCATCATGTTGACCAGGCTGATCTCAAACTCCTGACCTCAGGTGATCCACTCACCTTGGCCTCCCAAAGTGCTGGGATTACAGGCGTGAGCCAGTGCACCTGGCCAGGATTTTTTTTAATAGAAATTGATGAGCCAATTCTGACATTTATTTAGAAATATAAAAGGTCTATAGTATAATAGTCAAAGCAATTTTACAAAAAAAGGACAAAGTTGGAAGACTTATACCACCTGATTCAAGATCTATTATAAAGCTACAGTAATGAAGACAGTGTGGTATTAGCATAAAGATAGATACATAGATCAGAGGTACAGAATAAAGAAGCCAGAAATGTACCCAAAGTGATATCACAAATTGGTTTTTGACAAAGGTGTCGAGGCAATTTGAGAGGAAAGAATAATCTTTTCAACAAATGGTGCTAGAGCAATTGGATGTCCATATGCCTCAAAAATGAATCTTATTTGTCTAACGTTGTATACAAAACTTAATTCAGAATAGATCATATATTAATATGCAAAATATAACACTAAAATTCTAGAAAAAAACAGAAGACAAGCTTAATGATCTGAGATTAGGCAAAAGTTTCAAAATAGGACTAAAAAAGCAAGAAGTATAAAGGAAAAAATGCTAAATTAAACCTCATTAAATTGAAGATATTTACTCTTCAAAAGACACCATTAAGAAAATGAAAAGAGAAGCTACAAGTGGGGAGAAAATATTTGCAAAAACATATCTGCCAAAGGACTTATATTCAGAATATATAAAGAACTCTTTCAACTCAACAAACGGAAGAGAAGCAACCAAATTATTAAAAAATTGGCAAAAGATTTCAATAGACACTTCATCAGGGAAGATATACAGATGTCAGACAAACACATGAAAAAAGTATTAGAAATCATTAAGTCATTAAGGAAATGTGATGCAAAGCCACAATGACTGTACTCACCAGAATAGACTAAAATTAAAAAGATTGACAATATCAAGTGTGGACAAGGGTATAGAGCAACTTTAACTTCTATACATTGTTGCTAGGAGTTCAAAATAGTACAGCAAACTTGAAAAAGAGGCCAGCAAATTCTTGAAAACTGAAACATACTATATGATTCAGCAATTCCATTCCTAGATAGCTGCCCAGGAGAAATGAAAACATACATCCACACAAGACTTACATGCAAATGGTTTTCATTTCAGTATTATTAATAAGATCCCCAAACTGAAAGTATTCCAAATGTTTGTCAGCACATGAATGGATAAACAAATTGTGGTACATCCATACAATGGAATAGTATTCAGCAATAAAAAGGAATGGAATTCATGATACATAATCAAATATTACATTATGCTAAGTTAAAGAAATGAGACACAAAGACTATATACTGCATGTGGTTCTAGTCTATATAATTCTATCATAGTCTATATTCTGTCTATTATATCTAGAAAAGGCAAGATTCTAGTAATATGAAGCAGATGGTGGTTGCCAAGGACCAGGAGTTGGGAAGGAGATTGATTGTAAAGAGCCACAGTGCAACTCTTGGAGGAATGAAAATGTTCTATGCTTTTACTTTGGTGGTGGTAAGAGGACTGTCATATTTGTTAAAGCTAACTGAATTGTACATCTTAAATAGATGTGTTTCATTGTATATAAACTCTATTTTAATAAAGCTGCTTCCAAAAGGCAAGGATAGTAGCACGTGTAGGGTATCTACACCTGTATCTTACGAACATTAGAAGGATGCCATGAACCAGGCGTCAGCAGATAGTAAATATTCTAGGTTTTTGGGCCATTCAGTCTCCGACACAGCTTCTCAAGTATGCCTTTGTTGCGCTCATGCAGCTATAGACCAGTAAATGAATGGGAGTGGCTGTGTTCCAACAAAACTTTAAGAACACTGAAATTTAAATTTTATATAATTTTCACATGTCATGAAATATTCATTTTCTTCTATATTTTCCCCTCTAACCATTTAAAAATGTAAAAACCATTCTTAGCTAGCAGGCCATACAAAAACAGATGGCGAACCAGATTTGGCCCACAGGCTGTAGCTTGACAACCTCTGGTATAAACATATGTTAGTAAAAATACAACAATTATCGTGGCTATGTCGAAGAGGTGATGATGCAGGTGAAATCTCTAATAGAGTCATATCTACATGTTAGACATCTGTGTCTACAATAATCAGCACAATACATTTTATTTTTACTTATTCTTTAATAGTGCATATTTTCTTGCCATATTAATATTACTTTTGGAGTAATGGGCTTTAAAAATCAAGACTTATTAAATGAAGTTCAACTTTAAAACAGGACATCCATATAAATTCACTTTCCCTGGTAAAAAGACATTTTTGATATATTTGATTTTTAAAAGCTTTCATATTTACTGCATCCACGCCACACATTACCCTGATTTTTTTTTCCTTTACCTTCTGTCCAATTCATAGGTTATGTGGGGGGCTTTGCACTTGCTGTATTCTCTGAAATTTTCCTATTCTACATATCAACATTTCCCTGAAGAAACTTTCCATTTTCAGTCTCTGCTGAAAAACTTATATTAATGAAGCCTTCTCTGGCCTGTCCATACTCTACCCACTCCCCACCTCTCACGATGAATAGTAAACCATGCTCCTAGTCCTTTCACTCTACTTTCCTTTTTTTCCCCATAGCGCTTATAACCTTCTGTTACATCGTATCTTTACTTGTATGCTTGTTTTCTGTCTCCTCTTATTAGAATAAGCTCCATGAGGGTGAAGATTTTGCTTTTTCCAACACTGCATAATTCCAGTTCCCAGAAGAGTGCCTAGCAAGTAGTAGGTACTCAATATGTGACTTGCTGTATGAGTAATCTGGGAATGAACAGAGTACGATTTTCACAGGAGCATCATCCAACGACTGCCATATACTGAGCAAAAATTATGCTGAGAATCATTGGCCTGAGGCATCCAGAATGGTGGAAAAAACACCACTTCACACCAGCCAGTAGGAAGACAAACAGATCACACTAAGGGGGTGTGGTGCTGTGGACCCGTGAGGAGCCCTCATGGAAAGGGCTTTCTTTTGGGAATACATCTTACAAGGTTTTGAAAAACTGCCATGTTGGAGAACTTTCAGTGACCATGTCTTCTGCTGAAAACAGAATGGCCCTTTACTTTCCCTTAGCTAAACTTAACTAAACTTCTTTCTAACGTTTTCTCATCAGAATGCTTATAAAGGAGGGCAGATTATTTACAAGGAGGGTGTTTCCCAGGTTTCACAGGGGAGTTTGGAGCAAAGCATAGTGTGTTAGATTCCCAGAAGGCAATTCAAGCCTTCTGAGTTACGGATATCCATTGCACAAAGGTTATTTTATATATATATATCTTTATAAAGCACATTTCACTGTCTCCAAACTGCAGTGTCAAATTGTAGAAATCTGTGCCTTTGAAGTTCTTGACATATAATGTTGACATTTTCAGACTCTCAGTTCTGTGATGAAAGATTAGAATGATGGTGGTGAACAAGAATGACCTATAGAAAGACATTTTCTGAAGTGGTGAAAACATTTTTTTAATGGATGGAGACATTTTCTTTTAAATTACATGTTGATCATGAAGGAAAAAAAAAGAGAAAAGAGAGAAAAGGAACATACAAATTGGTTTTAATTTTCTGTACAAAATCTTATAGGAACTAACAAATACAAACTTTGAGCAGATTTGTGTTTGAAACATCTTTGTTTTTCGCCATAGTTGAAAACATTTTCATGGGGAAAATATGGTCCATATTTTCCTAGAACATAAGAATTGTGTCAAAATGAATCTGATGTTGATGTGTAAAAATTAGCAACTAAGTTTGAATTCAGACACTTTTGTCTAAATATTTGTTCTGACTCTTGGCCTTGAAGGAGAACATTAATGAGTGTTCTCCCTCTCTCTTGTATGTATGATATTTACTTGATTTTAAGAAACACTCTTTTCTCATTTTAACACATCTAAAATCAGAATGCCTTATAATGGATGGCATCTCCTAACTACACTTGTCAGTGTTTTTTCTCTCTTTGTGATTTATAAAATAATATTGATTCTTACAGTTGATACCATCTTAGATTCCATGAAATAAGGTATACATAAAACAGTTTTATTATTTTTATTTTTATTCTCTTCCTCATCAGGGACCACTCCCTGCCTCTTTTCCCCAATTTCCTTATGAAGCTTAAGAGCAAACCCAGTACAAAAGACAGACGTCATACTATTGACTCGCGGGCTCCATATTAAGCTTCAGTACTTCAAATGATAAGTTTTCTTATAGTTTCAGAACTTATACCTTTATAAGTCACATGAACAAAGTTATTATTTGCAAGCACCTGTTTAGCACAAGTTGCTATGAATGTCTCAGATTTGATGTATTTTCTTCCCTTTCTTGTTTTTTTTTCTTTCTCTAGACGGATTTCTCACCTATTGATTGCTCAGATAGTAAATCTGAATTTAATCTAGGATATGACTTAGGAAATTATAATATTCATGTTGTGTTCTCTATATGTCCAGCAACTCACCATCCTAACAAGGGTTTCAGGACTAACTAAATGTCAGAGGTGGTTAGACAATGTCTGGAGGACTTTGCTCCAGGATCAGGCCACAAAAGTGCAGGTCAGACTCACAGAGAAAGAATAGGCTATGGGGCCAGAGGGACCTGAGTTTGAATCCTGTCATGAGGTGTGAATTTATGTGCAAGATTAGAACAACAATACCTACCTTGCAAAGTTATCCTAAAGACTGGATGTGTATGAAGTGTTTGACAATAGGAGGGCTTAAGAAATGGTGGCTAATAGTATTATTCAAGATCATGTATAAGAAAAGGTGAGCCCAGGAGAAATTTGGCAAGCCATTGCGCCCTTTAGCCTTCTTTTGTATCCTTGTTTGTTCATTGTTAGAGTCACAGCGTTCTAATATTTACACCTTTGCCCTGCCACAAATTATACACGCTTAGAATTGCTCTCAGTTGGATATCTGTTATCACCTACTGACATTTCAACACAAATTAACAGTGTGCCAGAGAGGCCTGGGTTGGAATTCCGGCTCTGCCACTCACCGGCTAACTTACCCTGGACATGTGCTTCCCCTTTGTATTCGTTAGAGTTCTCCAGAGAAGAAGAATCACTAGGATGTGTGGAGATAGACATAGATAAGATACAGACACAGGCACAGATATAGATACTGATACAGATACAGGTATGGATACAGGTTCAGATACAGGTATAGATACAAATATAGGTACGGGTAGGCCGGGCATGGTGGCTTACACCTGTAATCCCAGCACTTTGGAAGGCCGAGGCGGGTGGATCACGAGGTCAGGAGATTGAGACCATCCTGGCTAACATGGTGAAACCCCGACTCTACTAACAATACAAAAAAATTAGTTGGGCGTGGTGGCGGGCGCCTGTAGTCCCAGCTATGCAGGAGGCTGAGGCAGGAGAATGGCGTGAACCTGGGAGGCGGAGCTTGCAGTGAGCTGAGATCATGCCACTGCACTCGAGCCTGGGCGACAGAGTGAGATTCCATATCAAAAAAAAAAAAAAAAAAAAAAAATATATATATATATATATATATATATATATATATATATATAGGTACAGGTATAAATACAGGTACAGACAGACACAGATATAAATATCGATTATATAGATATAAATATAGATCATCAGAAGAAACTGGCTCATGAAATTATGAATGCTCACAAGTCCTAAAATCCGCATGGTGAGGTGAAAAGTAGGAGACCCAGGAGAGCTGATGATTTAGTTCCAGTCCAAGTCTGAAGGCCTGAGAACTAGGATAACCAATGTTTAGTACTCTAGTCTAGAGGCTTGGAGATTTGAGACCAAGAAGAGCCAATATTTCAGTCTGAGTTTGAAGGAAGGGAAAAGCTGATATTCAAAGGCAGTCAGGCAGGAAGAATTTTCTCTTACCAAAGGGAGGATCAGCCTTTTTGTTCCATTCAGACCTTCAAAAGGTTAGATGAAGCCCTGCCACATTAGGGAAGGCAATCCTGCTTTACGACCTACCGAGTTGTTAATCTCATCCAAAAACACCCTCACAGAAATATCAAGAATAATGTTTGACCAAGTACCTAGGCACGCTGTGGCCCAGCCAAGTTGACACATAAAAGTAACCATCACAATCTGAGTCTCACTGTCCTTTTTGTAAAAGGGGGATAATAAGCATATTTCATCAAGGGATTGCTGTCAGGAGCAAATGAGGTCATACATTCCAGATTCCCGGTGTTCAGTAAAGGCTAGTTTTCCTGAAGCCCCGTTATACTCATAATCCATCCTAGGTCAAGTCTACACCCTACACAAAAATGTTAATAAGTCCTCTCTACAATTGAAGCAGTCCTGCTCCAGTGAACTTCTTCACATCATTCACATATTGTGTAGCAAGGAGAGAAGAATAAATTTTACACTTAGGAAGAGTCCTGTTTCACAAACTAATGCACGTGTGTCCATCACCATTTCCTTCCTGGTCTTAGTGTTCCTTGCAAGGTAAGGCAAATCAGATGGCCAAAGTAGTCACAGTTTCTCCAGCCTAAAGCAGATTGTGAGCAGCCCAACTGCTCTTCCTTGCCTTCACTTCTTTTGTAAATCAGATTGCTCAGGCAGGAAAGATGAGATGGCGTTTCACCTGGTCAGCACTGGGGGAGTGCAGCCAGACATCACTTCAAAATCACTCTGTGTTTTCTTCCTCAATATTCCATTCAGGCCTTCTGTTTGTGTGATTACTGCATTTTCCTTTCAAGTCACACCTTAACTCCCATCCCATGTTTCTTTCCACTGTTACAATTTTCAGATTATAGTAATTTCTTTCCAGTGTGTTTAATCTTGAGTAAATCAATATGGCTATACTATTTTCCATCAGCCTAATTTTAAGTGAATTGAACGTTATTTTCATTTGGATGAGAGAGGGTTTGGGTAAGACCACATAGAAAACAACAATACTATATCACATTAGTCTGTATTATTATCTTTAGCCGCACATATGTTTTTACATTGACCTTTGCTGGGATCATTTTCGATCCAATTCCTGGTGATCTCACTTTGAGGTCCACAGACTGACACACTTCACCAAAATTGAAAGAAAAGGAACCAGTATATCACTAAATATTTGACTTTTCCTAGTATTATTAAAATAATCACACTTCATGGGAAAAATACCTTTGCTCTTATTTAAATGCAAAGTAATTGCAGATCTTGAATTTAAATCTAGGTCATCTTGACTCTCATAATATATCTAATCCAAGTGTACACATTTCTTCCCTTTGGGTCCTTTTTGGGAAATACGACATATACGGCTAAGGTTAACAACTGTTGTCAGAAAAGCAGCTCTTAATGAGAAAGATTGGTGTTTCAGAAGACTCCTGGAATGCAACTTCCTGTTCTTATGATATTTGAAAAATATACATAAAGGCTGAAAATAATTTTGACTAAAAATCAAAACAAAAATAGTCTCTTGGAAATAGTCATCTTCTGGCTGAATTAAATGGCCTTGCTCCTGCAGCACATGTTGTCTGCCTTTTGTGAAATCTCTGGCTGCATGGTAAGGTGCTTTGCACCAGGTTCCTGGCCTTATGACTAAGCGGTGGCAGTTGTGGAGGGGTGAAGTTTGGGGCATTCACTATGTCCCATCTTCTCTCTCAGTTACTCTCTGAACAGGTGGTTCCCACTAATAAGACTTTGCTTCCAGCAAAATTGCTGAAAAAGACTTGAATCCCTACATGCATTCGTGTATTTATACACTTCATTCCAAAAGAAAAGGGCCATATGATGTTTGCGTGTACGATTCTTGGCTCATTCCAGGTTGCACACAGGTTCAGAAAGTGAACCTAACTATTGTAAGTGCAAAGGTCAAGTGTTAATGACCCTGCTTAGCAACTCCTGAATAATGAAATTGGTGTTCAGGAGGAAAAAAGGGTCTGGACCAGGTGAAATGCTGAGTAACGGAGGGTGCATAAAGGAAGAACGTTTAACACCATGCACAGACATTCCCCTTGTTTATAATCTGGGGAGAGGCTTGCCCTGCCTGTTGGCATTCATCCTGAGGACAGATACTCTGTGAGGAATCTATCTACTTAAGATCGACCAATTTTCTAACCTTACAGATACACACACACATACACACACACAGAGAGAGAGAGAGAGAGAGAGAGAGATTGAGAGAGAGAGAGAGAGACTTCCTGTGCTGCCCCATCCCTTGGTGCTTTAATTCATCGCTGGCTGCTTCTCCCCAAAGCACCAACCTACAGGTTCCTGCTCCTGAAAGTATTTCCCGGCCTGGTTATGGCTTCCTTATTTTAACTGATCATTCAGAACCCATTACCTTCCACAGTCTGCCTGTATTTTGCTCAGTGAAATTCACATGGCAGGTTGCAAAATCCTACTCTATTTGTAAGACAGAAGAAAATTGGATATCAAAAGGATACATTAGGTAACAGTGCCTTCTGGCCTCAATGGTTCACTCAAGTGGCCTTCTGGCCTGGACAGTTCACTCAAGTGGCTAACTGTAACTAGCTCATTCATTCACCTATCAAGTAATTGTTGTCTACTATGTGCCAGGCCTTGCTCTAGCCATGGGAATACAATAATGAACCAAGTAGTCATAGTCCATGCTGTCGTGAAGATTATAGTTTCCTAGGGGATACTCTAAAACAGATAAACAGAGAAAGGAAACAAGGGGATTTCAGATGTTATCACGATTATCACTATGCATGAAATCAAACAAATCAATGTACTAAGAAGGGAGTGGGGATTACTTTAGATTGGATGGCCAGGGAAAGATTAGCCACAGTATTGACAGGTGGACTGAGATTGAGTGTAAGAGGGGTCTAGCCATGTATAGTGTATGCTCGCTGTAAAGCAAGCAGACATGGAAAGGAGACAGATGTTCCTTTAGCAAAATAATGTCATGTTTTTTTCTCTCTCAAGAAGTAGAGCCAAAATCATGTTAGTAAAAAGAACATTCTTGCTTTGTGTGAGATCCAACTGTGACGTATTTATAACAGTTAGTATGTGCCGAGGCATGGTGAGTTAGCCCTTAAGGAACTGAGGAGGATTCGAGCCACAGCCTTTGCTGGTGCAGGCTAGAGTGGAACTGGATCACACATGTCTTCCCCTGAGTCACTGAGCTGGAATCCACTATTCCCCGTAGGAGCCAGCAGCAACTTGGGCAGCAGGAAATCTCCATTCATATCTGGCTGAAGTTAGAGGCATCAGAATTTGACAGATGCAAGAAGGGTCAGAGGGCCAGGATGACTTGCTTATGTGAGAAGGGGTGGACTGTCCCAAAGGACAACGACGAGGAAGTGAAGACAGTCTCAAAAAAATCTCAAAAAAAGACTATGTGGGCAAGGTCGCCCAATAGCAGGACTACTTAAACCCCATCAGAGCCAGTGAGCCTTCTTTCTGGATAAGATGGAGGTGCATGGGGGAAGGAACTCACTTTTTGGAGCACTAAGTGAGCTGGAGCTTGAGGTGGGGTTTATGGACACAGCCCTCTGCCTGACCCCCAGCCAGTGAAGAGAACTACACATTAGGAGAAGAGCCCCTAGGGAAGCAGTAAGTTCCTTGACTCTATGGGAAGGGACAGGAAGGAGGGTCTATACCTTACAGGGGCCCTTGCTCCCTGCTGCTCTAGCAGCTCTGGCTAGGGCTCTGGTTTTCTGTGGTGAGGCTGCCATTCAGCATTCAAAGTAGCAGAAAGGAGACTGAAAGGTACTCAGAAACTTGAGTGTGCCTGACATGGCAAACCCAAATGTTGTTAAGAGCATGAGCTCTGGGTCAGCCTCCTTTGATGGACATGCTTGCACTGCCTTTAATGAGCTGTTAGACTTTTACTGTAAAGTACTTTTTGAGCCTTGGTTTCCTCAGCTGTTACTGGGATGATGACGGCACCTGTCCCCCAGGGTTGTTGTGATGATTAAATAAGATGGGGCAAGGTGAGGTACCTGACACAGAGAAGGAGCTCAGTAGACATCACTTCCTGTTCACTTAGGAAGAGAGAATTCTTACCATTTCCAAAACGTAGATTTTATTTTGCATCACACTGCCGGAGACATTAACAGACCTCCTGAGATTGATGGACAGATCAAATACAGGACATCCAGTTAAACTTGAATTTCAAATAAACAGTGAATACTTTTAAAATATAAGTATGTCCCAAATATTGCATAAGATATACTTATGTTAAAAACATATTTATTATTTATCTGAAATTCAAATTTAACTAGGCGTCATGTGTTTTTTAGTTGCTAAATTGACCGGAGACACAATTCATTTCACACAGGCTCTGCAGCAGCTATCCCCAAGCTGGATTCATTAACATCATTCTTCTGTGCCTCAGTAGGACTTAGGCTAGTGCTGTTCAGCTTGTAAGGCAGACAATCAGTGTCCCCAGAACCAAAGAGTTGGCCCTTTGTATAGGCCCTTCCTTGAGACATACCTTCTTTCCCCTAGAACCTTCCTCTTCACCAACATCACCAACCTTGTCAGTGGGTATCCCTCGCCTAATCCTGCTGCTATAAACAAATATTTTCCAAGTGTATTCCTCCCTCACCATCCTGTCTCTTCCTTCCTTCCTTCATTCCTTCCCTCCCTCCCTCCTTCCTTCTTTCCTTCATTCTTTATTCTTACTATTTCACAAGTGGTTTCTTTGCTGTCCCTGAAGTCACCAGTTACCTAGTGCTTTTTTCTCTGCAGCTGAAAAGTGCATTTCAAACTTTCTCCACATTTCACCTGCATGCCTAAAGCATGCATTGCAGTCAGAATACGCAGCACCTGTCTATAGAAAGTGCATTGCTCTTTAATGGATAGCCTTGCCCAACACTGCTCAATGTGCTGTGGTTTCCAGGTGAAGATTAGTAAAGGGCCTGGAAGAGTTAAGCAATGTTCACCTTTATCTCATTGAAAGTTCACTTCAGAGGGGTAATTTGTAAAGAATAGAAGTTTATTTGGCTCACAGTTCTGGAGGCTGGAAAGTCCAAGAGCATGGGGCTGACATCTGGCGAGGGTCATTCCATCATGGAAGGTGAGAGGGAGTTCAAGCAAAAGCAAGAGGAAATCAGGCACACTCATGCTTTTTGTTTGTTTGTTTGTTTGTTTGAGATGGAGTCTCACTCTGTTGCCCAGGCCGGAGTGCAGTGTTGTGATCTCGGCTCACTGCAACCTCCAACTCCCTGGTTCAAGCAATTCTTCTGCCTCAGCCTCCCGAGTACCTGGGATTACAGGCATGCACCACCACCCCCAGCTAATTTTTGTATTTTTAGTAGAGATAGGGTTTCACCATGTTGGCCAGGATGGTCTCGATTTCCTGAACTTGTGATCTGCCCGCCTTGGCCTCCCAAAGTGCTGGGATTACAGGTGTGAGCCACCGCACCCGGCCACACTCATGCTTTTTCAGGATCCCAGTCCCATGATAACTAACACACTCTCACAATAATGGCATTCATCCATTCATGAGAGCAGAACCCTCGTGACCTAATAAACTCTTAAAGGTCCCATCTCCCAATACTATTGCATTGCCAATTAGATTGCGACATGAGTTTTGGAAGGGGCATTCAAAGCATAGCAGTCCTCTTACTAGTCCTTCCTTTGCAGGTAGGAATAATAAGCCTCAGGTAAGTAAGAAAATTGCCCAAGAATTGTCACAACTGTAAGAGCCAGAGGTGGAGTTCAAACAGGGATTCAGACTGTAAAAATCATGCCCTAACCTCTGGGTTATTCCAACCTGGCCCCATCAGAACAGCGAAGGAGCCCTTTCTTGTACCCTTACATTTTTGCACTGCACTATTTCATCAAGATCTGTGTTAAATTTCATTTCTATTACTTTTGTTTACATTCTCTCTCCTAAATTACTTTAATCTCTAAATCCCTGTTATTACATTTCTTCCTGTTACAACCCTGGCTTTTCTAAATATGTCTAATATCAAGTCATGATTAAGGTCCTAACCCTAGCTTACATGCCCAAATCCTGAAAGCATCAAAGCAAAGCTGCCCAAGGCAGAAGGACAAAAAAAAAATGGAAATGTTATACTAGCATTTCAGCAATATGTTTGGAGCCCCCACGAAGAGTCAAATGCTGTGCAGTGCATACAAAGATATCCCCCTGTTCTCTAGATGGGGTCTGCTGATGTCACTTTTTTGAAAAGGGATGTTGTGTTCTCACTGTGAATTTATCCAGAGATCACTGCTGTTGAGTTACTGCTGTTGCAGATGGCTCCTGCCTAGTAGCATTCTGTGGGCATTTTAAGTCCAGAGGGAAAGTAGGTTTTTCTCCACAATACTTTAGGCATTTTCACAGTGACAGCTTTAAGAGTGTTCTTAGGAAAAGGTCACTGGTTATCATGTCTTTTGTCGGCAAGTATGTAGGAAAGAATAAGCCTTGAAGTTCTTTTCAAAGGTCGTTCAACTCTGGACCTGGCTAATGTCCCCACAGCTGTAGGCCTTGGGCCAAGGACTTCCAGAGCACTGGCAGGCCATCTGCAATGCCCTCGTTAAAGGAGTGGGCCCCAGCTGTTGTGGGAAGCCATGGGAGAGACTGGGGAGAAGCCAATCTCATGGGCAAAATGATCTGCCTTCTCTTGGATCACAGTACCCAAGGATATTTGTTAACTACCTCGAACCTACTCAACCTTCTCTGTGTTGTATGAGCAAAATTGTACTTGGATGCTTATGGGAAATGAGTCACCATATTCATTCATTCTTCCTGACTTCCAGCAATTCATTTCATTTTATAAATCCTTATTGACTGCCTACTATAGACAAGCACTGTACTAGGAACATGGGATACACATGATGAATGTAGTACTGTGATTTCAGCTCACTGTGGAAAACAAACAAAAACAAGCAGTTCATTATAATTAGAAGCATATTTACTATGAAGTTAATGAAACATAAGCTGTGAGGTCTCTCACTTGCCTTTCAAGGCCCCTAGGGGATGTGCATATGGAAAGAAGCTGGGGAGCAGGCTAGCAATTTATCCATAAGCTCACATGTTTTTGTAAAGTTTGAGAAATGCAATATTTTTTTCTTTTTCTTTTTTCTAAGAGGAACCATAGTTTACAAAGCAATACATATTTGCATTATCTTTCTTAAAGAAAATTCTGGCAAATATATAACCTTCATTCTGCTTACAATGCAAGGAGCCATGCATAGATTACCACCTACCAACAGGAGCAAAAACTTCATTCTGGCCCTTTGTGGAAAGGTAAATGTGAGACATGTCAGGCACTTGTTGTAAACAAACCTGTTCTCATTTGCCTAGTTTCTTGCACAACTGCTCTAGGTTTTCTTATATGCAAATAAAAGTTGATAACACTCAGCTGGGGTGGCAGAGGAACCTCTCTATCATTCAAAAGTAGAATTCAAAAGTAAACATGAGAGCAACACATTGTTCACTGAAAATCTACCAGTTTAGCTTCCCTGCCTTCCTTGCCACAGAGAGAAAGAAGGGAGGGAAAAAAGAATGATTTGCAAAGCAGCATTAATATTATTCTGAGGCCAGGTGAATTGGGATGTGGGTGAGATCTTGAGATGAAAGTTCAGCTGCAAGAAAATGAAAAAGCAGCCATAATCTCAGGACCCACTGAGGAGGCAGGGCTGGCTACAGGGTAATGGGCTGGAGGGAAATGATGGGAGATTACAGCAAAACCACCAGGCTGGCTAGCAGCAACCAACCACAATGGCAAGGATGTAGATGTTATCATCAACTCCACAGCAGAGAAGCCAGCTGTGTTCTGGACATTTTAGGTTGGTGATTTTGAGCCCAATTTCATTACTAGAAACACCATCATCTCTGCAAGAGAAAAACATGACAATAGGCAATAAGCAGTGTTAGGGGCTGAATTATGACCCCCAAAATTCATATGTTGAAGCCCTAACCCTCAGGACCTCAGAATGAAACTGCATCTGGACATAGGGTCTTTATAGAGATCACGTGATTGAAATGAGGTCATTAGGACACACTCCAATCCAGTATCCAGCGTTCTTATTAGAAGAGGAGATTAGGACATTAACACACAGAAGGAAGACCATGTGAAGGCACAGATCGACTATGGCTACCTGAAAGTCAAGGAAAAAGGCCTGAGGAAAAACCAACATGGCTGGCACCCTGCTCTTGGACTTCTCAGCCTCCAGAACTGTGAGAAAACGCATACCTGTTTTTTAGGCCACCCAGTCTGTATTTGTGATGGTAGCCCTAGCAAACAAATAACAGCAGTTACTGACTTCTGCATTTAGTCTGTCCATCCAGTGACAATGGAGCTCCAATTCAAGAGTAGCCCCCAAGAAAAGAAATCCTGGATGATCCTGAACAAGTGAGGCACTTGCCACTTTTCCTGGTACTTCTACTCTGTGTGCACATTGGACTTTGCAGTTTTGCCTTAATATGGCAAAACTCCACAATTTACCAATATGAATTTTGTGAGACTGAAACCAGTCAGAGGAAAAACTTCATTCCAACCATGTATGTTTTCTAGTTATAAAAACAGTAATTTGGGCCTGGGCACGGTGGCTCATGCCTGTAATCCCAACACTTTGGGAGTCCGAGGTGGGCAGATCACCTGAGGTCAGGAGTTCGAGACCAGCCTGGCCAACATGGTGAAACCCCGCCTCTACTAAAAATATAAGAATTAGCTGGGCATTGTGGCACGCACCTGTAATCCCAGCTACTCTGGAGGCTGAGGCAGGAGAATCACTTGAACCTGGGAGGTGGAGGTTGCAGTCAGCCAAGACTGTGCCATTGCATTCCAGCCTGGGTGACAGAGCAAGACTCTGCCTCAAAAAAAAAAAAGAAAAAGAAAAAAAACAGTAATATGATGACATGGAGTACCAAAGACTTGACTGATGGGTAGACTGACAGATGGTTAGATATGTACTATATAGAGATAGAAATACATTTTCCCATTTTGTTAATAAAATAATTTATCATAGAAAATTTAGAAAACAGAAAAAATAGGAGGAAGCAAAGCAAATAATGCACAGTTCCACCAGCCACATATGACCATAGTTCACAGTTGGGCATGTGTCCTTTGTGGAGAGTGGGAGGAGAAGGATAGGAAAAAAATATGACTTAACAATCCCAATATCAAATAAAAGAAACTTTAGCATTTTGTTGTTATTCCTCATGGCTTTTTTCCCTTTTGCTTCTTATACAAGGTTGTGATCACACAAAATATACTGATCTGGAAGCAGAATTAATGTTCTGAAAATCCATAAGGGGAAAGAATCAAGCATTTACATTGCCTTTCCTATATAAACTGTATTTTAAGAGAAATAGCTGATGAAGGAAAGTTCTTTTTTTTTTTTTTTTTTTTTTTTTTTTTTGAGACGAAGTTTTGCTCTGTCACCCACGCTGGAGTGCAATGGTGTGATCTTGGCTCACTGCAACCTCTGCCCCCCCAGGTTCAAGTGACTCTCCTGCCTCAGCCTCCTGAGTAACTAGGACTACAGGCATGTGCCACCACGCCCAGCTAATTTTTGTATTTTTAGTAGAGACAGAGTTTCACTATGTTGGCCAGGCTGGTATTGAACTCCTGACCTCAAGTGATCTGCCTGCCTCGGCCTTCCAAAGTGCTGGGATTATAAGCTTGAGCCACTGTGCCCTGCCAGGAAAGTTCTTTTTTATAAAAGTAGAGAAGATTGGTCCCCATGGAGTAGCTGCCTTAGCTGGTCATGGAAGTTCCGCCCACTGCTCCCACTTGCTCTCTGTGGTCTTTCTTGTTCCCTGATCCGCAGGCAGGATGGCCTGCATGCAGGTGGACTACTCAGACAAATACTTTGAGGAGCACTATGAGTACTGGCACACCACACTACCCAAACAAACTTTGTTAAAGTTTGTATGTGGCATTTAAAACAAAAAGGTAGAAATGCAAGCCATAGACTGTAGACTGAAAGAAATTATTTGTAAAACATATGTTTGATAAAGGACTAGTATTTAAAATATATAAAGAGCTCTTACAACACAATAATAAGACAATTTAAAATGGGCAAAGATTTGAACAGATGCTTCACTAAAGAAGATATGTATCATATATCCATAGCAAATAAATACATAAAAATGCTCAACATCATTACTCATTAGGGAAATGAAATTTAAAATCACAACAAGATACCTCTACACATCCATGAGAATGACTAAAATTTATTTTTGTTTTTTGTTTGTTTGTTTTTGTTTTTTTGAGATGGACTCTCACTCTGTCGCCCAGGCTGGAATGTAGTGGCCTGATCTTGGCTCACTGTAACCTCTGCTTCCCGGGCTCAAGCAATTCTCCTACCTTTTTTTTTTTTTTTTTTTTTTTTCATATTTTTAGTAGAGATGGAGTTTCACCATGTTGGCCAGGCTGGTCTTAAACTCCTGACCTCAAGTGATCCTCCCACCTCCTCAGCCTCCCATAGTGCTGGGATTACAGGCGTGTGCCACCACCCCTGGCCAGAATGACTAAAACTTAAAAGATGAAAAATAATGAATGCTAGCAAAGATGGGAAGCGATAAGAACTTTCATACTGCTGTTCAGAATGCAAAATAGTACAGCCACTTTATGAAGTAAATTGTCATTTTCTTGTAGAGTAAAACATATGTTTACCAAATGACCCAGAAGTTCCTCTCCTAGGTATTTACCCAAGAGAAATGAAAACATGTGTCACAGAGAGATTTTTATGCAAATGATTGTGGCACTTTATTCCTAATAGTTCAAACTGAAAATAACCTAAGTGTCAATCATTGGATGAATAAAAAATAAATTGTAATATAGCCATACAACAAATACTACTCAGCAATAAAAATGAATAAAACTACTGATACATAGAACATGGGTGAATGTCAAAAGCATTATGCTAAGTGAAAGAAGCCAGACACAAAAGGCTACACCTGTGATGACGTGTATATGAAATTCTACAAGACGAAAACCATAGTGACATAAAGCAGGTCAGTGGTTGTTAGGGACCAAAAATGAGGGAAAGGGGATTGTTGACTGCAAAGAGATATGAGGAGAATATTTTCAATGCTAGAGCTAGTCTATAACTGGGTCGTGGTGCTGTACATGTATATATGTTTGTGACGATACCACATATACTATGGTGCTTATATACACATGTGATGTTATATACTGTATATATTTGCCAAAACTCATTGAATGGTACACTTGAAAAGGGTGAAATTTATTTTATGCATATTACACTTTAGTAAAGCTGATCAGACAGGCTGCTCTGAGAAGTCATAATAAATGGGGGGAAAATGGGGATAGCAGAGGCAAAAATATTTAACTGCTTTCAGTATTCATATTTAGTAGTGGTAAAGTTCCTATAGCTATTCTAAAATGGTTTGGTGTGTAAGGTGGGGTCAAACCAGTGAGTAACTGTGGATTATTCTTACCCAACTTCCCCTGTTTCCTTGAAAACCGACACAAGATTATCAGTACAGAATATATAGATGCAATAGAGAAGAGGTTAAGTAAAACCTCAAGTCCTAAATTGATAGATATATCAGTATGAACAGATAAAGTACTTTATTTGTCAACTAAAATGCTATGGAAACAACAACCCAGTTTTGAAGAACACCCCAACACCCAATCTCTCATCCTGAAATTCCATTTCCCATGAATAGAAGCCAGGATTTCTTGGAGAAATGTTGGTACTAGGCCTGGGGTGGGAAAGGTATGAGATAAACCTGGAGCATCTTGTCACACCTGACAGTGAATAAGCTATCAAAGACTTCTGGGGTCATGTCAACTCTATTCAGAAACCAATTTAAAGAGGCTCCCACTGGCCTAGGAAGGGAGAAGTGGGCTTCAAAATGATAAGAATTACATTGGATTAAAAGCACACAGATATATTTAAATGCATGTTTATAATGATGTTTAAATTAAAAAAAAATGTTCACCTGAAGATGACAGGGATCTGATTTATTGCATTGAAAAATGGTAAATAAAAAGAAAAAATAAGCATTTTTCTTGCCTTTCTGATATGAACTCATTTGGCAACCAAAAAGCAGATGAGAAAAGTCTCTTTACAAAATTGTTCCAGCTAATAAATGAAAACAAAATGATAGGACTAGAATATCACCATTCATCTACTCAAAAAATTCATTGGATTGAGGTATTTGCCATCAACAGCAGCTAACATCAAAATAAACAGCAAAAATGAGACATTTTCTGTCTCCTGATGAAAGAACACACCCCCATTCTTTATAGTTTTGCCAGAGGGTTCAAATTCAAGTCTGCTCAAATCTCTGGAACCAACTGTCAAGTGTTAGGAAATACAGGGGAGAGAAGAACAGGCTGAGCTGCACCATGGGCATGCAATCAGCAATGCCAGACCATGGGAAACTCTGGGAAATATGCCAGACAGCCCAGGTTCTTTCACAGATACATTATAAGGAAAAGAAAGTAATGGAAAGGAAGCCTGGAGATTAAAAAAGACTTAGTGACATTTCAGGTTTAAAAAAAAACTAGGAAGACTAAACTTTGGTGTCTTGGTTAATGAAATTGTAAAGAAACACGAGGAAGTAATTACTACAAAAATCAGGCTAGTGATTATGTTTAGAGTGCATTATAGGCTGCTGAACCTTTTCTCCCCAAATTCATGTGATGAAGTTCTCACCCCCAGTAGCTCAGGATGTATTTGGAGATAGGGTTTTTAAAGAGGTCATTAAGGTTAAATGAAGTAGTACTGACCACCTCATGGGATGTGGGATGACCACGTCAGGACACAGCCAGAAGAGAGTCATCTACAAATCAAGGAGAAAGGCTTCAGGAGAAACCAAACCTGCTGATTTCTTATCAGGGACTTGTGGCCTCCAGAACTGAGAGAAAGACATTTCTGTTGTTTAAGCCTCCCAGTCCGTGGTATTTTGTTACAGCAGCCCTAGCAAATTAACTCAGAGGGAGATGGGAGTTCTGATTGGATGGGACACATATAGGGCATATTGGGGTGGCTAACAATGTTTGGTTTCTTGTTGTAGGTGGTGGTTACAAGGGTGTTTGCCTTATAATAATTCCTAATCCGTACATTGCTTTGCGTGTTTTTCTGTGTCTGTGTTTTATTTTACAATGAAAGGGCTGAAAACAAGAATGGAAACAACCATTAGTTGGAAGCAAAGATTATCCAGGCCACAGAGTTGTGTGACTTGGATTAGGGTGGTGGTAGAGGGTTTGCAGAGAAGTGGGTAGATTCCTGACATGTTTTCTAGATAGGAGGATGTGAAAGAGGGAGGGGACAAAGTAGCTGCCATTGGGGATGGGAGTGGGGGAGTGGGTGAGGATTTAGAGGAAACCAGATTGCTAGTAAGTTGAAAACTGTTAAAGCCAGGTGATGGGGATATGGGAGCTTATTATACTATTCTATTTTTATATGTGTTGAAAATTTTTCATGTTAAAAAAATAAAGTGAGGAAAACTGACAGTGAGAGACTGAAATAAAGTTGCTCTATCATTATTTTCCATGAGTTGTGCCTATTTACTATTCAGTTGTCACTTACAATCTTAGCCCATTTTTTCCCATGTGCTTTTCTGCTCTTGTTTCATTGAGTTCCATTGCATCCTGTTGAGGATGCTCAATGGGTCTCTACAATGTTCCAATGTTCCTCTGATTCTGGTAGTAAAACATTTTCAAAGATCCTCTGAGTCTTTAGGATAATATTACATTTTTCTTCTTTGACAATATCCTTTGCCTAGGCTTTATGTGACTTTCTTTTCCCCTCTAAGGTTTCATTGTCAAGTAAGGGGACACCTATCCAGACCTGTGCTTTCTGATAGAATGGGATGGGAAGATGGTCACTGGCGACATTCTCTGTCCATCTGGATTCTGAACCTCCGTTTCAGAGCTACAGCTCAATGGCATTTATGTAAATGATTTCTAGGCCAATACCTGGTGTCTGTTATTTTGGCATTTTTTTTTAGAGCAGCCAAATATGTATCCCAGTGAGTACACTTGAGTAATTACATGCCTTTTCATTCTTATCTTAGCATCTTAGGCTCCATAATCACTAACAATATGTGCAATTCTTTCTTGATGCATACATGGAGACCCCAGAGAAGGAATTCTCTCTTTTTCGTGCTGGGGTGGTTGCATACATTTGTGAAACTGAGCAATTGGAAGAGAAATGAAGCTGGGAGCCACTTTCAGCCAATTTGTTAGGGGCTGCCCCATTTCATCACGTAGCTGTAAGGTTCTTAGGCTGGTACTGCATGTGGCTCATAAAATGTATTCAAGTTTAGCTAGCCCAGAGGATACCACACCTCCAGCATCCCCCATCCATGTACCACTCATCCATCATCAGACACTTTAAAACTTGCTTGTAGACATTCTATTTCCTGAGTGCTGCTTTGCCAGGATCCTGGAGCTATGAGCATTTACCCAGTCTGTTAGAAACAGTTACACTGGTCCTAAGACTTTGACAATAGCCTAATAAAAACTCCAGTTCCACTGTAATGAGATGCCACTTTATGCCTATGAGGATGGCTATAATAATACTAATTCCCACTCTACCTTTAATTCCCCTCTATCCCCTATTCAGAAACAGAAGCCATATCCTCTGCAGAAAATGCAGTAGTTATCTCCCTTAATCTTGGATGCTGCTTTTTAAGGCAGCCAGACTAATATTTTCTTCCCCAATCTATACACTGCCCCCTTCTTCAGCAATGACAATTCTCTAAAAGTAAATGAGCATAGATCAGGGCCTGGAAGAGAAAGTGGAGGAAATAGACTGACAATTTGTATCCTTAGACACATAAATTAAGGTAGGATAGGCACAGTGGCTCATGCCTGTAAATCCCAGCACTTTGGGAGGCTGAGGGGGGAGAATCACTTGAGGCCAGGAGTTCAAGACCAGCCTAGGCAATATATTGACACCCTGTCTCTACAACATTTAAAAAAAAGAAAAAAAGAAAGAAAGTAAGAAAGAAAAAAATTAAAGAAAAATTCTGTATGGGAAGGAGAAAAAAGTACCCTGAAACATACTAGGGATTATATTTTTTCACTTACTTCCTCTCTTCAGTCACTCAGAAAAGTTAGTAAGAGGAAGAGAAAATCCTATTTCAGCCTCCTTGTACCTCAGGAGAAGAGAACAGAGGTGATGTTGAAAATATGTAACCACTGGAATGGCATGGGCATGGATCATGCAGAAGAGATGCTAGCCATAACCTGGTCTAACATTACCAGTGAGCATTGCCTCAGTGTGCCTTGGATGAGAGCTTTTTAGACTCCGAGAACGGACCCAGGAGCTATCATCTGGCTGACAGATCTTCACCCCAATTACCTGAGTGCCTGTATTTCAGTCTTGGTCCAGCATTGGCTGGACCTGAGCCTCTGGCTTGTCCCAATGATTCTTTTCCTCGGTGCATACAGAGAAGGCTGGTCATTATCACACAATCCACTCTCCCTTTTTTCTATGATAAGGAGTAACAGAAGTTGAAAATCCAGTCACCCAGCCAAGGATTCCATTTCCTACCATCTCTTGCATTGTTGTGCGACTAGGTCATCACCTATGGGATGTGAGCCAATGTCCTGACGTTAAAAGGGGTGGAAGATGCCTTCCTCTTGCCTAGTTCTACCATTTGCTTGGCTGGAATGTGGAAATAGCAGTGAAAGCTGAGATAGCCATCTTGGCCACAGGACAGAATCCAAGTGTTGACAACCACAGAGCAACTACAGAAGGAACTTTGTTCTCTGAAGGTTGTGGAACTATGATATCCCTCTCTAAGCCTAAATACCATCATTATAGCATCAACTGCTTAACTCTCCTTAAGTGCAGCAAGGGAACTTCAGCATTTAAACTCTATGCAAATGACGACACACATACCATACTCTATTTGGCAAAGATGACCTGTAATGTGTGCAGGAATCACCTGGGAGTCTTGTTAAAATGAAGTCTGTTTCAGTAGGTCTGGGCTGAGGCCTGACATTCAGCATTTCTCACAAGCTGTGATGCCAGTGATGCTAGTTGGGTCATGTCCTGGATCTAAAGCAATGAACCTGAGTTCGAGATGAGCCTGGTGAACATAGCAAGATCCCATCTCTAAAACTAAAAAAGAGGCAGGTGCACCTATAGTCCCAGCTACTTGGGTGGCTGAGGCAGGAGGATGGCTTGAGCCCAGGAGCTCAAGGCATGTATCAGTAGCGGAGCTGGGCAGGTAGGTATCAGAGAAGTTACCCCTTGAGCTACAGTCTATCAAAATGCCCCCTTCTCAGTAAGGCCTCACCAGGCCATTTTCTTTAAAACTACATTTTTCTTTAGAACTACAACCATACCCTGACAACTCCCTGCTTTATTTCCCTCCTCACCTGCACCTTGGAGAGCTTGTAAACATCCAAATGTCATGCATTACACGTGTTAATTTTGTTTATTTGCTGTCTCCTCCCTGTGGAATTTAAGCTACAGTCTGCATGGAGTGAATGAATGGCAGCCAGGTGAAGCTCAGTAAATGTAGAAACAGAATGCCTGCAGGTCGGCAGGCATGTGGTCCACATTGTCAACATCAGCTGGGGGGAGGGATCAGAGATAGAACCACGCCTTTCTGCAGCCCTCAGACACCTCAAATAATGCAGTGATCTTATATATAAGACTAGTCCTCAAAAATTACTCTTCCAATCCTCCTACCACTTCTGTTAATCCTCATTTATGGAGATCTCACTTACCACAGAGAGCCAGCCCCTTCCCGGCAACTCTGTAGGGCAAATATTATCAGCCCCATTCCATAGATGAAGGTACTGAGGCTTTGAGAATGTGGATATTTAGCCAAGAAGCAGAGTGCAGAACTAAATCCAATTCTATTTAGTGTCAAAGATATGAGGGTTTTGATGTGAGAGGACCTCAGGCTGCAGGTCAAATAACTCCAGTGTTGGAAAGTAAGGCTGGAGAGGCTGTGGACCAGGTGATGTGTGTATCTTCCTGGAATCTCCACCCCAGGTATTCCTTCTCTGATGACTGGCCTTAGGACCCTCTTCCAAGCAACTCCTCTGGGACCCTGCTGGCTTATCTGACCCGTGTTTTGGCTGCTGTTCCTTGTGTGAAACATATTATTCTAATGATGTCTACTCCCCACCCCCTTCAACTCTTCACAAGTCTGTCTTCCAGCAATGTCCGTCCACTGGGCCCACCTGATAGTCCCCTCTCCTTGTATCACCCTAGAGTGATGCTCGGCATAGAGTGTCACTGTGACAGCAAAAAAGCATAGATGAAGAGAACTCAACGCCCCCGCCGCCCCACTCCTCACGCTTCCTGATACATTAGGGAACACCCCTTAAGCCATAATTGCCGCTGGTGTCAGTAAACATTTTAACAGGCAAAAACATGGCCACTGCACTTCTAAGGGAATCTGAGTCTGTAAATGAAGAGAATTCTGTCGATACTCACTTCCATCCAATTCCACAAACAAGCATTCATGGAGTGCCTGTCTGCTCAGGGGCTCCACCTCTTGGGGGGATAGGGGGTGGGAGGAGGGAGTCCTTAAAGCTAAGGAAAGGATTTCTGCATTCAGCTTCGCTCCCTGCCCCCAGCCTGTTAGGAAAGCTTGCACAGGTCCTCAAACAGAATCCCGCACCTGAGACCTGCACCTTCCGACCAGCGAGTGCTCTGCCTCCATTATGAAAGTGTCTCTGCAATTACAGTGACAGGTGGAGAGTGCCTGAGAGACAACCTGGCTCTCCCTCTTCCTGGGAGTGACACATAATCATGCCCTGCATTTAGAGAGTGCCCTTCTCTGAGGAACTCGAATGGCCTTCTTGACATAATCGCATTCATTCTTCCAACTGCCTTATGAGGCCGACCAGGGACAGGTATTCTTTGCTAACCCTGCCTGCCCCATTTCTAGAGGAGAGAAGTGAGGCCCCAAGAAATTAAAGTCAAAATGAGACTATCAGCAAGCGAGTAATAAAACCTGGGTCTCCTGACCCCCATCCCGCAAACCTCCCGTTCCTCCCTTCCTGTCAGCCTGCACACAAGTGCGGATGTTTATGTTTCTACACAAGGACTTTTAAAAAAGGTTAGCTTTGTGAATCTGTGCTTCTCCGAGTAGGACAAGGTGAGCCAGCCCAAATAGAGAATTCAGGGTTTAAAATAAATAAGAAGCAAAGAGAAGATTGAGAGAGGGCAGAAAAGGGGGGATGGGAGGCCCCCAAAGCTCAGAATGGGGTCTCAGTTGATGGTAACATCTGAAGGCATAGGTGTGTGCTTTATATCAGGCATGGAACTCTGTGCATAATGTTCCACGATTCAGACACAAGGACTGATGCCTTGTTTAGTCTTCAGGGTTCGTTGGTTTTGAGAATATTCAAAACACAGGCAGATGGCCATGGTTTATGGTTCTGCACTCTCAGCTGTGGCTGCTCAGGTGTCCAGGTTGTTGATAAACAAGGAATAGAACACGGCATTGAATAGAACAATGACAGTGATAACAGCTAACATTTATTGATCACAAGCATAACTATTCACGTTTTATCATATTTGATCCTCCCAACAACCTTATGAGGTTGTACTGTTATCTCATTTTATGTTAGAGAAAACTGAGGCTTAAAGAATATGGCTGATGAGCCTAATATACTTAGCCTGACTTTTCTCTAATAATCCCAGAGTCATTTAAATGTTTCTGCAAGGAAAGACTGAAAATTGGTAGAGCAGAAAGTTTCCTAACAGTCATTGGATTTTTTTTTTATTATTATACTTTAAGTTTTAGGGTACATGTGCACAATGTGCAGGTTAGTTACATATGTATACATGTGCCATGCTGGTGTGCTGCACCAATTAACTTGTCATTTAGCATTAGGTTTATCTCCTAATGCTGTCCCTCCCCCCTCCCCCCACCCCACAACAGTCCCCAGAGTGTGATGTTCCCCTTCCTGTGTCCATGTGTTCTCATTGTTCAATTCCCATCTATGAGTGAGAACATGCAGTGTTTGGTTTTTTGTCCTTGCGATAGTTTACTGAGAATGAAGATTTCGAATTTCATCCATGTCCCTACAAAGGAGATGAACTCATCATTTTTTATGGCTGCATAGTATTCCATGGTGTATAAGTGCCACATTTTCTTAATCCAGTCTATCATTGTTGGACATTTGGCTTGGTTCTAAGTTTTTGCTATTGTGAATAGTGCCGCAATAAACATACGTGTGCATGTGTCTTTATAGCAGCATGATTTATAGTCCTTTGGGTATATACCCAGTAATGGGATGGCTGGGTCAAATTGTATTTCTAGTTCTAGATCCCTGAGGAATCGCCACACTGACTTCCACAATGGTTGAACTAGTTTACAGTCCCACCAACAGTGTAAAAGTGTTCCTATTTCTCCACATCCTCTCCAGCACCTGTTGTTTCCTGACTTTTTAATGATTGCCATTCTAACTGGTGTGAGATGCTATCTCATTGAGGTTTTGATTTGCATTTCTCTGATGACCAGTGATGATGAGCATTTTTTCATGTGTCTTTTGGCTGCTTAAATGTCTTCTTTTGAGAAGTGTCTGTTCATGTCCCTAGCCCACTTTTTGATGGGGTTGTTTGTTTTTTTCTTGTAAATTTGTTTGAGTTCATTGTAGATTCTGGATATTAGCCCTTTGTCAGATGAGTTGGTTGCGAAAATTTTCTCCCATTTTGTAGGTTGCCTCTTCACTCTGATGGTAGTTTCTTTTGCTGTGCAGAAGCTCTTTAGTTTAATTAGATCCCATTTGTCAATTTTGGCTTTTGTTGCCATTGCTTTTGGTGTTTTAGACATGAAGTCCTTGCCCATGCCTATGTCCTGAATGGTATTGCCTAGGTTTTCTTCTAGGGTTTTTATGGTTTTAGGTCTAAAGTTTAAGTCTTTAATCCATCTTGAATTAATTTTTGTATAAGGTGTAAGGAAGGGATCCAGTTTCAGCTTTCTACATACAGCTAGCCAGTTTTCCCAGCACCATTTATTAAATAGGGAATCCTTTCCCCATTGCTTTTTTTTCTCAGGTTTGTCAAAGATCAGATAGTTGTAGATACGTGGCATTATTTCTGAGGGCTCTGTTCTGTTCTATTGATCTATATACCTATTTTGGTACCAGTACCATGCTGTTTTGGTTACTGTAGCCTTGTAGTATAGTTTGAAGTCAGGTAGCGTGATGCCTCCAGCTTTGTTCTTTTGGCTTAGGATTGACTTGGCGATGCGGGCTCTTTTTTGGTTCCATGTGAACTTTAAAGTAGTTTTTTCCAATTCTGTGAAGAAAGTCATTGGTAGCTTGATGGGGATGGCATTGAATCTATAAATTACCTTGGGCAGTATGGCCATTTTCACGGTATTGATTCTTCCTACCTATGAGCATGGAATGTTCTTCCATTTGTTTGTATTCTCTTTTATTTCCTTGAGCAGTGGTTTGTAGTTCTCCTTGAAGAGGTCCGTCACGTCCCTTGTAAGTTGGATTCCTAAGTATTTTATTCTCTTTGAAGCAGTTGTGAATGGGAGTTCACTCATGATTTGGCTCCCTGTTTGTCTGTTATTGGTGCATAAGAATGCTTGTGATTTTTGTACATTGATTTTGTATCCTGAGACTTTGCTGAAGTTGCTTATCAGCTTAAGGAGATTTTGGGCTGAGACAATGGGGTTTTCTACATATACAATCATGTCATCTGCAAACAGGGACAATTTGACTTCCTCTTTTCCTAATTGAATACCCTTTATTTCCTTCTTCTGCCTAATTGCCCTGGCCAGAACTTCCAACACTATGTTGAATAGGAGTGGTGAGAGAGGGCATCCCTGTCTTGTGCCAGTTTTCAAAGGGAATGCTTCCAGTTTTTGCCCATTCAGTATGATATTGGCTGTGGGTTTGTCATAGATAGCTCTTATTATTTTGAGATACGTCCCATCAATACCTAATTTATTGAGAGTTTTTAGCATGAAGGCTGTTGAATTTTGTCAAAGGCCTTTTCTGCATCTATTGAGATAATCATGTGGTTTTTGTCTTTGGTTCTGTTTATATGCTGGATTACATTTATTGATTTGTGTATATTGAGCCAGCCTTGCATCCCAGGGATGAAGCCCACTTGATCATGGTGGATAAGCTTTTTGATGTGCTGCTGGATTCGGTTTGCCAGTATTCTATTCAGGATTTTTGCATCAATGTTCATCAAGGATATTGGTCTAAAATTCTCTTTTTTCATTGTGTCTCTGCCTGGCTTTGGTATCAGGATGATGCTGGCCTCATAAAATGAGTTAGGGAGGATTCCCTCTTTTTCTATTGATTGGAATAGTTTCAGAAGGAATGGTACTAGTTCTTCCTTGTAACTGGTAGAATTTGGCTGTGAATCCATCTGGTCCTGGAGTCTTTTTGGTTGGTAAGCTATTGATTATTGCCACAATTTCAGATCCTGTTATTGGTCTATTCAGAGATTCAACTTCTTTCTGGTTTAGTCTTGGGAGAGTGCATGTGTCGAGGAATTTATCCATTTCTTCTAGATTTTCCAGTTTATTTGTGTAGAGGTGTTTGTAGTATTCTCTGATGGTAGTTTGTATTTCTGTGGGATCGGTGGTGATATCCCCTTTATCATTTTTTATTGCATCGATTTGATTCTTCTCTCTTTTTTTCTTTATTAGTCTTGCTAGCGGTCTATCAATTTTGTTGATCCTTTCAAAAAACCAGCTCCTGGATTCATTAATTTTTTGAAGGGTTTTTTTGTCTCTATTTCCTTCAGTTCTGCTCTGATTTTAGTTATTTCTTGCCTTCTGCTAGCTTTTGAATGTGTTTGCTCTTGCTTTTCTAGTTCTTTTAATTGTGATGTTAGGGTGTCAATTTTGGATCTTTCCTGCATTCTCTTGTGGGCATTTAGTGCTATAAATTTCCCTCTACACACTGCTTTGAATGTGTCCCAGAGATTCTGGTATGTTGTGTCTTTGTTCTCATTGGTTTCAAAGAACATCTTTATTTCTGTCTTCATTTCGTTATGTACCCAGTAGTCATTCAGGAGCAGGTTGTTCAGTTTCCATGTAGTTGAGCGGTTTTGAGTGAGTTTCTTAATCCTGAGTTCTAGTTTGATTGCACTGTGGTCTGAGATATAGTTTGTTATAATTTCTGTCTTTTTATATTTGCTGAGGAGAGCTTTACTTCCAACTATGTAGTCAATTTTGGAATAGGTGTGGTGTGGTGCTGAAAAAAATGTATATTCTGTTGATTTGGGGTGGAGAGTTCTGTAGATGTCTATTAGGTCTGCTTGGTGCAGAGCTGAGTTCAATTCCTGGGTATCCTTGTTAACTTTCTGTCTCGTTGATCTGTCTAATGTTGACAGTGGGGTGTTAAAGTCTCCCATTATTATTGTGTGGGAGTCTAAGTCTCTTTGTAGGTCACTCAGGACTTGCTTTATGAATCTGGGTGCTCCTGTATTGGCTGCATATATATTTAGGATAGTTAGCTCTTCTTGTTGAATTGATCCCTTTACCATTATGTAATGGCCTTCTTTGTCTCTTTTGATCTTTGTTGGTTTAAAGTCTGTTTTATCAGAGACTAGGATTGCAACCCCTGCCTTTTTTTGTTTTCCATTTGCTGGGTAGATCTTCCTCCATCCTTTTATTTTGAGCCTATGTGTGTCTCTGCACATGAGATGGGTTTCCTGAATACAGCACACTGATGGGTCTTGACTTTTTATCCAATTTTCCAGTCTGTGTCTTTTAATTGGAGCATTTAGTCCATTTATATTTAAAGTTAATATTGTTATGTGTGAATTTGATCCTGTCATTATGATGTTAGCTGGTTATTTTGCTCGTTAGTTGATGCAGTTTCTTCTTCGTCTCAATGGGCTTTACATTTTGGCATGATTTTGCAGTGGCTGGTACTGATTGTGCCTTTCCATGTTTAGTGCTTCCTTCAGGAGCTCTTTTAGGGCAGGCCTGGTCGTGACAAAATGTCTCAGCATTTGCTTATCTGTAAAGTATTTTCTTTCTCCTTCACTTATGAAGCTTAGTTTGGCTGGATATGAAATTCTGGGTTGAAAATTCTTTTCTTTAAGAATGTTGAATATTGGCCCCCACTCTCTTCTGGCTTGTAGAGTTTCTGTCGAGAAATCCGCTATTAGTCTGATGGGCTTCCCTTTGTGGGTAACCTGACTTTTCTCTCTGGCTGCCCTTAACATTTTTTCCTTCATTTCAGCTTTGGTGAGTCTGACAATTATGTGTCTTGGAGTTGCTCTTCTTGAGGAGTATCTTTGTGGCGTTCTCTGTATTTCCTGAATCTGAATGTTGACCTGCCTTGCTAGACTGGGGAAGTTCTCCTGGAGAATATCCTGCAGAGTGTTTTCCAACTTGGTTCCATTCTTCCCATCACTTTCAGGTACACCAATCAGACACAGATTTGGTCTTTTCCCATAGTCCCATATTTCTTGGAGGCTTTGTTCATTTCTTTTTATTCTTTTTTCTTTAAACTTCCCTTCTCACTTCATTTCATTCATTTCATCTTCCCTCACTGATACCCTTTCTTCCAGTTGATCGCATCGGCTCCTGAGGCTTCTGCATTCTTCACTTAGTTCTCGAGCTTTGGCTTTCAGCTCCATCAGCTCCTTTAAGCACTTCTCTGTATTGGTTATTCTAGTTATACATTTGTCTAAAGTTTTTTCAAAGTTTTCAACTTCTTTGCCTTTGGTTTGAATTTCCTCCTGTAGCTCGGAGTAGTTTGATCGTCTGAAGCCTTCTTCTCTCAACTCGTCAAAGTCATTCTCCGTCCAGCTTCGTTCTGTTGCTGGTGAGGAACTGTGTTCCTTTGGAGGAGGAGAGGCGCTCTGCTTTTTAGAGTTTCCAGTTTTTCTGCTCTGTTTTTTCCCCATCTTTGTGGTTTTATCTACTTTTGGTCTTTGATGATGGTGATGTTACAGATGGGTTTTTGGTGTGGATGTCCTTTCTGTTTGTTAGTTTTCCTTCTAACAGACAGGACCCTCAGCTGCAGGTCTGTTGGAGTTTGCTAGAGGTCCACTCCAGACCCTGTTTGCCTGGATATCAGCAGCAGTGGCTGCAGAACCATGGATTTTCGTGATCCGTGAATGCTGCTGTCTAATCGCTCCTCTGGAAGTTTTGTCTCAGAGGAGTACCCAGCTGTGTGAGGTATCAGTCTGCCCCTACTGGGGGTTGCCTCCCAGTTAGGCTGCTCGGGGGTCAGGGGTCAGGGACCCACTTGAGGAGGCAGTCTGCCCGTTCTCAGATCTCCAGCTGCATGCTGGGAGAACCACTGCTCTCCTCAAAGCTGTCAGACAGGGACATTTAAGTCTGCAGAGGTTACTGCTGTCTTTTTTTTTGTCTGTGCCCTGCCCCCAGAGGTGGAGCCTACAGAGGCAGGCAGGCCTCCTTGAGCTGTGGTGGGCTCCACCCAGTTGGAGCTTCCCGGCTGCTTTGTTTACCTAAGCGAGCCTGGGCAATGGCAGGCGCCCCTCCCCCAGCCTTGCTGCTGCCTTGCAGTTTGATCTCAGACTGCTGTGCTAGCAATCTGTGAGACTCCGTAGCCATAGGACCCTCCAAGCCATGTGCAGGATATAATCTCCTGGTGCGCCATTTCCTAAGCCCGTCAGAAAAGCACAGTATTCGGGTGGGAATGGCCCGATTTTCCAGGTGCGGTCTGTCACCCCTTTCCTTGACCAGGAAAGGGAACTCCCTGATCCCTTGCACTTCCCTAGTAAGGCAATGCCTCGCCCTGCTTCGGCTGCTGCACAGTGCGCTGCACCCACTGTCCTGCGCCCACTGTCTGGCACTCCCTAGTGAAATGAACCCATTACCTCAGATGGAAAGGCAGAAATCACCCGTCTTCTGCGTCGCTCACGCTGGGAGCTGTAGACCGGAGCTGTTCCTATTCGGCCATCTTGGCTCCTCCCCCCCGTCACTGGAATTTTTGATTCCCGAGAAAGCAAGTGAAATGATTAGTAGTCAATACTGGGAAGCATACCTCGCTTTAAAAAATGTAGTGACAGTTTTCCTATTAGAGAAACTTCAACCAGAAAATGATCACCCTAATGAAAAATTCAAACATTTAGATAAGTTCTGTGGAGGTCTAATATAAGTTGATTTTCCTTTAGTTCTTGGAAAATAAGTTTTAAACCAAATGACACAAATAGTATTTTAAAAAGAAATTTGCAGTAGCAAGACTGTAAGCCTGTTGAGGTTAGCAAATGTATCTTGGATATCTCCCAGGACAGGTACTTACCTTTCCCTTGCTCTGCACCTGGAAGGGTTTATGAGCACTTGGTACAGTTGCAAAGGCCTGCCAGGTAGGCAATTTGAGAGAGTTGGCAGACCATTAGATTAAGAGTCAGGTGGCCAGGCATGGTGGCTCATGCCTATAATCCCAGCATTTTGGGAGGCCAAGGCAGATAGATTGCTCGAGGCCAGGAGTTCAAGACCAGCCTGGCCAACATGGTGAAACCCTGTCTCTACTAAAAATGCAAAAATTAGCTGGGTGTGGTGGTGCACACCTGTAATCCCAGCTGCTCGGGAGGCTGAGGCATGAGACTAGTTTGAACCCAGGAGGTGGATGTTACAGTGAGCGGAGATCATGCCACTGCACTCCAGCTTGGGTGACAGAGCAAGCTTCTGTCTCAAAAAAAAAAAAAAAAAAAAAGTCAGGAGACCTTAGGCAAAACACTTTTCTTCTGTGGACCTCAATTTCTTTAGCTGTATAATGGGGGGTTAACTATTAGTGCATAACTCCAGGAACTTACTCTGGAGTACAGAAAATGTTGCTGCTGCTAAACCTCAAGGGAAGGAGAGATGCCTAGTTCATACACTACCCTTCTAGTGCTTTCATTCCATAAAGATCACAGGGTCCCTCTGCTGCTTTACTACCCATTAATAAGGCCAGGAACCCCCCACTGCCCCCAAAATAGACTTGTTCAATGTCACATTCCCATGATAAATGTGCTTAGCACATAGCAGCTATTCAATAAATACTTGTAAAGAAAAAACTGAATGAATATTTGCGAAAGAGTAAATGAATACACGGACATCTTTGGGAAATCAAGGAATAAACATACCTTTGATTACAAAGAATCCAAAGCTTTTCCTCAAGATATTCACAGATCTTTTAAAATTTGATTTAACTTAGACAGTAAATTGAAAGATATGGAATACAAATGGCCAAGGAGAATATGAAAAAGTTGTTTAATCTCTAGCAATGAGGAAACCACAAATTAAAACAGTAACAAAATTTTTTTATTTAATTAGGGAAAAAATTCAATAAGGGAGGAGATGCTATTGATAGATATGTAATTTGATAAAGACCATGCAGGACAATTTGATGTTTCGCTCAAAAGTAAATGTGAATACCATTTAGTTCCTCTTCTGGCTATCTATTCTATAAAAACACCCACTTTGTACCCAGAGATGTGTATAAAGGATGTTCATTACAGCATTCTACTTAATAGTGAAAAACTAGGAACAATTTAAATGGCCAATAGGGGAGTGCCTTCATCAGAATATACTAGATTATGCTATAGTTAAAAAATAAAAAATCAGTGGCTTAACAAAGACTTTCTACAAAGTCTTCTCTGAATCTAGGCAACTCCTGGGGCAACCTCTATTCATGTCAAGATTCAGCAATCCAGGTTCTCTTGATCCTGTGGCTTTATCATCTCAATAGGAGGCCTTCTTTACTGTGGCAGGGAACAGAGGGCTAGAAGGTCTTATACCTGCAATGAAATACTGGAACGCAAAAGTGATACAAGTCACTTCTTCTCTCAACCCACCGGCTAGAGCTAGTCATGTGGCTCCAAATAGCTTCAATAAAACAAACAGTAGAATTCTCTCATGTGTCCAAGGGAAAGAAGAACTAGATATAGGTGAGCACCAGAAGTCTCACACCCAGGAAAAGGCTAAATCATATATCCATGCTATGGAATACTATACAGCTATTTAAAAGCATTAGGCAGATCTATATTTAGTGATTTTTTAAAAAAGATCTAAGACTTCAATAAGCAAATATCTTAAGCAACTTGATCTCCCTTATATTAAAAATATGTTTATATATATTTGTATGTGTGCAAATGAATAGCAAAAGGTTTATGTAGAATGATACAGTCCAACAGTGGTTATCTGGGAGCAAGGAGTTGATTGGAGGAAGACTCAGATGAAGGGGACTTTCAAGTTTCCCTGTGTATTCTTCTGCATTGTTTACCTCTTTTAAAATGAAATTGTATTCACATAATTTAAATTGCTTTTACATTTGTAAAAAGTAAGTAAACACATCTGGAAACCTATCTCCTCTAGCAGCTCTTTAATAGGCTTTGAGATTTTTTTTTCCAAAAATGCAAATATATAAATTTTAGCAAAATAGTTGCCTGTATTTTGTTGTCATAGCCAGAGGCACTTAGTCACAGAAAGGACTTAGAATATATCATTATCTTCAGTCTATACCCTGGAAACAGAATCTGACTCTGAATTGTTGGCACATGTCTGCTGGGCAGTTAGGAGCAATACCCATGAGTGGTGACAGAAGCCAGCCTGGACACCGAGAGAGACTGAACCGTCACATAGTCACAATGGAGGCCTCGGTGGATCGGATTGACCACTCTGACCTTCAGAATTGCTCTGCCTTGAGGCAACTGCCCCATCCCCATCCAGCAGCTCTTACTTAGCTGGGGCTGCCCCAGGGTGTGGGTGTGACAGTGACCAAGGACCTCCCAGAGAGGACTAAGCTGGATGCACTTCAGCCACCAACACAGACAGCAACTGGGGCAATGAGAGTCCCAGCTTGAAGCGGGGATCTGGACTGTTCTTCACCAAGGATCCCACTACCATCACATCCCCAACTTCACCCAGAGAGTGATAGTTTAACTAATGGCATAGCAAGAGCCCAACCTGGGGAGTAGAAAACTGGGCCTTACCTAGCACATAGCATACATTCAGCAAGTATTTGTTTGATGAACAAATGAATGGCGCTATCCTTGGACCAGGCTCACAGAAGCCTGAGGAGCCTGTGAGAGTGGATCAGGGAATAGGATCCCTAAAGCAGAGTCTCCATGCATTGCAGAAACAAATCCAGGTGAGTCTGGACCTCAGACTCTCTAGGCCTCACCCTTTTGATTTCTCACATTATTCTCACAGGCATGGAAGGAGGGAAGACCTGGAGGTTGCAAGAGGCTGATAAGCCAGCCTGTGATCATCCAGGCTTCCAGCTCCTCCTCTTCCCCTTCCTTCCATCTGCCCCATCTGGTCATTTCTCTGCTCCTCAGCACTTTCTTCTAAGGGCATCCATGGGAAGAAGGAGATAAAGCTCTAGACAGATGCTGTGCCACTGGAGGGTAGCCCTGGAGAAAATATTACAGCTATTAAAGGAGAGTTGGCTCCTATTGACTCCTAAGACACCAGCTAATTATTGGTTAAAATGGGTTGAAGTCCTTGGAATGTTCTAGGCCAGGGCTTCTGAAACTTAAATGTGAATACAAACCATCTGTGTGTCTTTTAAAAATGCATATTCTGATTTAGAAGGTCTGCAGCAAAGCAAAGTTTAGTTTTTTTGTTTGTTTGTTTTTATTTTGAGATATTTTCTCACTCTGTCACCCAGGCTGGAGTGCAGTGACGGGATCTCAGCTCACTGCAACCTCCACCCCCCAGGTTCAAGTGATTCTTGTGCCTCAGCCTCCTCAGTAGCTGGGATTAAAGGCACTGGCCAACACCCCTGGCTAATTTTTGTATTTTTAATAGAGACAGGGTTTCACCATGTTGGCCAGACTGGTCTCGAACTCCTGGCCTCAAGTGATCCTCCTGCCTCCCATAGTGCTGAGATTACAGGCATAAGCCACCACGCCTGGCCAAGATTCTACATTTCTAACAAGCTCCCAGATAATGGATGATTCCTATGCTGCAGGTCCAGGGACTACACTTTGATTAGCTGAGGCCTTAGAGAAGGAGAATACAGATATGTGTCACTGACTTAAGAGTCAAAATTATATATCATCATCACCACCTGACCACTAACACCTTGTTGTGCTAAATGCTTTGAACACTTTTTCTCACTTGATTTTTAAAGAGCCCTCAAAATAGCTATTATAGCCATGCCCCATTTACAGAAGGAAGAAGTGAGACCAGGGATCCTTAGTGACCAGCTAGCATGTGGTAAAGCCAGCACTGCAACACAAGTCCATCAGAGTCCTGGTCCTGGGTTCTTCACCACTTCACAGGAGAGAGAGCATAGCTTTGAAGCAGTCTCTTCTGTGATTATGTCTTCTTGGAGGGACCTCGGCTGGGCCCCAGCTTGCTAAGAAGAGAAAGCCACTGGAGTCTTTGTGTCGTCTCTAGACAGGGAGATGATGACGGTTCGCGGAATAGCTAATAGTGGATCAGCCGCTTGTGCTTAGCTGCTTCCCTGGTGCTTCGGGCAGCATCTTCCAGCTAAAGGAAGGGCTCCACGCTGAGCCATCCAGAGGATTCCTGGCTGCAAGTCCCTGGCCGGCAGGGCGGCCACTGAGCGGTCATCAAGGGCGCAGCGCTGAGCCCTGGCATGGAAACGCCGCCTCCGCCACGCCCACGTCCCCAGGCTCAGCTGCATGCTCATTGCACAGGGTCGCTGCACTGAGCTCAGCTGAGAGATTGCTTAGCTCAGCTTTGAAATCCAACCTAAATTCACCCCCTGGGCCTGCAGACACTCTGGCCAGATGCTCTTCCCCAACCAGAGCTGGGTAATAGAAGGTGACAGGCTGAACGCGGGGACTTGGGGGCGTGGCTGAGCGGCTGACAGCTAAGAGCTCTTCTCCCCAAACGCTGGACGCTGAAGGCTGAAGGCTGGAGCTGCGTTCCTGCGCTTTTTGAGGTGCACAGCTGCAGGATGGGGGTTCAGATATGCACCCAGGGGGATCAGGAATTTCATCTCTTTTTCTGGCCTAAATGTTCCAGTGTCTTCACATGCGGGGAGTTTATTTGCCGTAGGTAGCTCCTACTCCCTTGAGGAGGGAAAGGATCCCACCCGCATCTTCAGAGTCCACTGCCACAAACCCTGACAGAGTTATGGCTAATTTCTTAAGGTGGAAACAAATTGAGGTAATACTGGTGACTAAATGAATAAATAAAAATACACATTTCCGGCCGGGCGCGGTGGCTCACGCCTGTAATCCCAGCACTTTGGGAGGCCGAGGCGGGCGGATCACGAGGTCAGGAGATCGAGACCATCCCGGCTAAAACGGTGAAACCCCGTCTCTACTAAAAATACAAAAAATTAGCCGGGCGTAGTGGCGGGCGCCTGTAGTCCCAGCTACTTGGGAGGCTGAGGCAGGAGAATGGCGTGAACCCGGGAGGCGGAGCTTGCAGTGAGCCGAGATCCCGCCACTGCACTCCAGCCTGGGCGACAGAGCGAGACTCCGTCTCAAAAAAAAAAAAAAAAAAATACACATTTCCTAGACAAAATGTTTTCCATTTAGCCCCTACCCCATCCCCAATCCATATAGCACCTTGTGAAAATTAGCAAAAGTGTCCGTTTTGGGACCAGGCAGCAAATGGGGAAAGGACAGCCAAGTGGGAGGACACAAATAGTCATAGGGCTCCTGGCTTGGTGAGTAGAGCGTGGCCTAGCTTTCAGCACTAGTTTGCCCCCTCAGATGGTGCCCTTGTGCAGTGAGCAACAGCTACAACCATACCAGGTGACTGATCTTCCTTTCCTCCTTCCTTCCTTTTCGTCAATTGCTTATTGAATACTTCCTCTGTGTTTCCTGTTCCCTGACCCTCCCCTTCACACCTCCCCACTGTGTAGGTAAGGAAAACCTAAAGATAAATAGGACATAAAGAGGCTTATGGTACAATGGGGGAGGTGGACATGTAAACAGATAAACCATTAGGATTTCTGATATCTAAGACTGCACAATTTATACATGTCTAAAATTAGGGAACCTGGCTGATTCATACGATTCATACCAGGAATAAGAGCCTGGGAACTTACTTCCTTAAAGACCAGTGCCCAGTGGGGGATGCTTAGAAGTGTCACTGTACAACATTTGCTGTCCAGAATCCTGACTTTTCAGAAAGAGACATGGACAATATTAACAGGGAAGAGGCCTTTGCTCTTCAAGCACCTTGATGGGTTTGCAACGGCACCTTTGAGAGGAGGCTGTATTTGTCTGCTTTATTTAAAGGGGGAAGTTTGAAGTAGAGGTGGTGGGGGCACTGGAGTAGGAAAGGAGTAAGAATGGCAGGATCCTGCATGGACAAAAGGCTGGAGAAAAATCTCCATGGAGGATGAATTTGTAAGTTATATCTGCTATGAGCAGTGCTGTTAAAATATTTACTCCGTAACACTCCCCACCCCCCAGATCCACTCATTATCTCGAACTGCCTGGGGTAAAAGGAGGAGATCAAGGAAGAATCTGGATCCTTTAAAAATGTCATGGGTCAAAACCGTAGGAGCTAGAGGCAAAGAAAACCATGAGAATATAAATCCATGACTATTCACACAACTACTGGGGAAGTCTTTGGATATTTTTCAGGCCACGGAATTAAGGATTCAGGGGAATTTCAGGCAGCTCCCAAGGAGTAGGGAGGCCCCAGATGCTATCTACATTGGAGCAATAATATCCGTGAAATTGTTGGTCATATTTTCAACTCAGGGTCCTGGTCCTGTTCAAATGCTTACAGCAGCAAGGGAGATAAAGGAGTAAAGCAGGCTGGATGTGAGACAGCAGGGAGTGGTAGGCGCTGCAGCAAGCTGTAGGGTGCAAGTCCTATCGGAAGGAGACAATTGCCTCCCAGCTCCAGCGGAGTGTTGCCTTGCAAGAATGCAAGCCCAGTGTTGCCAGATAGTCCACATTTTAAGAGAAGCCAGAAATGCAAATGTTTCAGAAAAACCTCGTTTTTGAAAAATGTTAACTAATTCAGAAAATATTTTCAAACTTCAAGGGTCAAACAAAAGATGTCTCGTGATGTATGTGGTTTCTAATTTAGAAGACAGAACAAATACAGGGATAAGATTCATTTTCAAAACAAGTAAAGAAATGAATGGCATTTAAGTGAGATATGATAGGAAAAGCTCTGATTCATGCATCTTAAATCCAGGGCTTTCGGCTCTGCTTGACTACTATTTGTCTGTATGTTTACAATGAAATAATTTATAATGTCGTGGCCTTCATCTCTTTATCCATAAAATGAAGGCATTAAATCTGACACTTTTTTTAGACTTGGAGATGTGATGATTGAGGGGGCAGAAAGAAAGTGTAAGCAGTGGAAAAATGAGCCCTGGGTGTGTTTCAAAATGTGTTGAATTCATTGACATTTATTATGTGTCTGCAAGGTACATTGCCTTGATCATGGAATTCTTGCTTACTGTGAAAAAGTAAGCATAAACTCAAAAAGCACCTTAATTATTTTGCCTACCTGAGAACAATGCTTTCAAAGAAGTGGGAGAAGAGCCTCCCCCAACTGGAAGCTGTGTTACTGACACTATCAGCAGGTGAGTTACAGAGTCTGTCAGCAACGATAAGAGCACTGGCGTATTTCCTATTCAGACTGACGCTGCACTGAGACAGGAACCTAACTGATGTTTGTTCAATAATACCAAGATATGTCACAGAATCTGTGGGGGTGTCCGGTATCTTTTGTCAGCTTAGACTCAAACCCTGGAGAAAATATGTTGCAGACTGTTGCAGATGTTCTGAGATTAAATGATGTTTTCCTGAAAATGCATGAGGCATGGTCTACCGGTTTGCCTATTGGCAAACCGCCTCTTGCTGCCATCAAGACCCCACCCCCTCCCCCAGGCCATTCTGAAAAAGCAGAGCTGCCTCTAGGCCTTTCAGCTTTACCCTGAACCTCAAGACACTCCCACATTCTTCAGGGATTTGGGGATGGGTGGGTGGGTCTTATGATCCCAAAAGGATGGGATAGGGGAGAAGTGGGGTGGGTGGGAGGATGAGAGGTAGATGCAAAAAGATGGGTGGGGAAGAGAGGACCTAAACACAGTGCTGAGATCGAGTAATTTTAGGAGGCAGTACTGTTTGTGGAACATTTCATTCTTTATAGCTACTGTCACATTCTAGTCATTAGACTGCATTTACTTGTGGGTTGTAGAAATTACTTCCCATGGGAAACTAAAGCAATTCCTTCTTCAAAGGATGCTTTGTTTTCTAAGAGAAGAAAGTAAAGCCTATGACAGTGCAGCCAACTATGTAACCTACATTCCCTGCTAAGCCACTCTTGGTTGAAGTTCACTGTTTAGCATGACCACATAAAGAAGTAACCAAGAAATGATGATGATGACGATGATAATGATAATAATAGCTAGCATGTACTGAGCATCTTCTATATGCCAAGCCCTGAACTGAACCTTTATTTATGTGTTTTAATCCCTATAGAAACCCTGGCTATTATCATTAGCCCCATTTTACAGATGAGAAAACTGAGGCTTAAAGAAGCTATATGTGCTCACGATAACACAGCTAGGACTTAAACCTGATCTGCTCTGCTCTGAAGTCCATTCTTACAGGCACTGACCTCTGAATGTACCACATTTGGCTGAGAAGTCCTTTGTCATTTCTGACATAGAATCTCTCCTAGCAAAAACTTCAGGAATAAGGAGTGAATGAAACAGGAGTGCACAAAACAGAGAGTGGTATATCTGAAACTGGAGAAGTCCATGTGAATTTCAGTTTTAATCAATTACATCCATTAGGTGACAGCTGCTTCCCTTCTGCCCTCCAGGTGCCTGCACCTAGAGCTTAAAACATCTGCAAATTAAAGTGAGACTGTGCTGCTGTCCGAGGAAATGAGAGCAGCAGCTTCTGCTCTCTGCGGCCTCTGCCAGCCCAAATCCCATTCTTGCCTTGTTAGCATTTATATAAGACCTCTGGCTGCAGCACCAATCTACTGTACCTCCCTGCCCTGCGTATTCTCATTTTGATTAGTTACAGTGGAGCTGTAATAACTGGCTTCATTTCTTCCCTTCACACCTGATAGAATACCAGGAGCTCCCTGGGCCCTTTGTCTGGTATAGCATCAAGCCAGGATCAATCTCACCTGAGCGATGATTACTAATTAAATGCTTCCATCCTTCTATTCCATGTTCCAGTTTTCAAAGAGCTTTCAAACACATTTTCTTGTTTGCAGTGACATAATGAGTCAATGGGGGCCCGGCGAAAAGCTCCGTGTGTCCCCGCCCCTATCACACAAAGAATTCCTCTTTTTTCTCTTGAGAGCAGGACTCTAGAAGGGTTTGGGTTTTGGCTGTGATGCTAGAAGGAGGAGGAAGGGAACCCCCACCACGCAGCTCTTATAGTATTAAGGAGAGAGTTTATTGAAGAATAGAGGCAAGAGCCTTGGAGCCTCTAGAAATGCACTTTCCTAACCTTGGGCGCCTCCACTCAGGTGTCCTCTGCCTTCAAGGTAGTTGGAGATTTAAATTGATACCTTGGAGTAGCCGGCCACCCACCCTCATGGAGGGCACAGATCAGCCCCCTTCTTTCTCTTCCCACACTGGATCTCCATCAGTTTGCCAGTAGCTCGGAGGGATGCTTTTGCCCTTGGTCAACAGATTCTCCCTGGGCTTAGCACATGGGGCCCTCCCAGCCCTTGGATCCCAACTCAGTTCCTATGTTGGACGCTTTTCCATCCTAAAAGAAGAGAAATCTTTTCTTATTTAAACCACGCAGTAGAGTGTGCCACATCATTTAGCCAAGCACATTAATGAACCTTTGGAGATGTCAAGAGAAGCCAGAGTTGAGTTTGAGAATAGGAGTTGGAGCAGCTGAAGTGTGCTGCAAAATGATTCTCTGAAAAATGTTTCTATGCTAGTGAGAGCTGAGAAGAGGGAGGAGGCATGAGGCATGACTTATAGTAGGAGGCAGATGCCTGCGCTGACAGAAATGGGCAAGGTGGTTCAGAAATGAAAGTCCAATATTTAACTTTTTGTTGTTTACAGTGTGGCAATGGGAAGCCCTTCTGTTTCCCAGTCAGTGAAATCTGACTTATTAACATATGTGCAGTGAGTTGTTTTGTGCGAAAATGAAGGGAAAAGAGAAGAGATTCACAACCGGAAGCAGAGGAGGAGGACAGCCCCAGGAGTGGGATGTAAGGAGGATAGAGTATGAGTGGAGCCAGGGTTTCCATGAGAATGGAACCCCAAAGGAATTGCAGAAGGCTTCTGGGCATGGGATTGAGGAGGGTGGATGTGAGAGAGTGGGCTAATGATGACACCTGGGGGATACTTGTTACAGTCTTGTGAGGTAGGCAGAGCAAGTCTTGGTAAAACCCCATTGTACAGATGAGAAAAACGAGACTCATATACATTACAATAGTTGCCCAATGTCACGTAGGGCCTGGTAAGTAGGGAAGCCCAGAATAGAATGCAAAACTACGTTCCCTTCCTAGCCGAAGAGTTCCTAGCCATATTGGCCAGCTAAAAAGCATCCAATAAAAGATAACTGAAGGTAAATGAGCACCCAGAGGCAAGCAGAGCTGCCTCTAGGCCTTTCAGCTTTACCTTTTATATACTTTGGTATAACTCATTACATCATCAGCCTTCTCATCACTGGGTCACTCTGCTATAAACTTCCCTATTAGCAAGCAGGAGGGAAGGAAAGGTGATTTTGTTGCAAGGAACATTCCCAGAGCAGAAAAACTAGGTAGGACATCACAGCAGCGCAATCTGATGGGTAAGCAAAGGTTAGGAAAGTGAATGATCTGACTCAACCAGGCCCAAGCTATGCCTGACAAGATTACGGGTCCTTACAGGTCCTGTCCTGCCTGAGTGTTTTTTCCTCTGCAGAAATCCTGCTAGGATTTTTCTACTTTGGGACCATACTTCATCTGACAACCTGCCTAGTAATGTAACTTTCATTTCTACCTTGTGACCTTCTCCTCCATTGACTAATTCCTCCGTTCTGTGGATCCGTGATTAGGGATGTTTGCTTATTCTTTCCCCACCAATACTCATGTCCTGGTCTGGGGTTCCTGTGGGCCCTTGCTTACTGGGTAATTGGTGGTTGATTCATGGATGTTTTCACCCTGAAACTTGTGATTCTCACATGACTCTGAACAAGAGCCAAGCTGAACTTGGGCCATGTATCATTTCCAGGTGGCCTTTTTGGCTCATTTCTTGCAGCTGCATGCTCTGGTAATTGAGCATGGGACAAACCTGATGGCTTCTGTCCTTGGAGCTGCCCTGATGACTGCTGTCCCCAAGGCAATCCCCTAATGACTTCATTCCCTGAGGCTGTCCCTGATTACTTCTGTCCCTGGGGTTGCTCCCAGAACTCTGCCTGATGCTGAGGAGTAAGCAGTCAGGCCATGAAATGACAGAATGGAAAAGCAGAAACTCTGAGCTGGAAGAGGAGTTTGTGGTAGGGTACTCGTACATCTCTGTCTAATATGGCATCACTTAAGTCTGTTATCCCAGTGTAATTATTAAGAACATATATTTAATCTCAAAACATCCCAGTGTGGATAATAAATTATATATGATCACCCTACTTTAGGGATCGTCTAGGCTAGTTTTTTTTTTCAAGTTTTTGTTTAGCCTTGAAGACCACTTCTTGAAAGGGATACTTACTCCTGATCTCTAATGTGTAAAACAAAAAAAGGGAGAGTTGTCCAGGCTGAAGGGGGCAGAGAAGGCTGAACCTCCCCTCTACCCTACCCTGACTTGCTGTGGCAGCCCTCCCTGCCAGCCAATGGAGGTCTTGGAGCTCAATGCATCCCTGGTGATACCGGCTACTTTAATCTTACACATGAGGGAACTGAGGTCCACGGAGAGGTTAAGGGACTATGTATGGCCACATTACTAGTTAGTGGAAGAGCCCAAGCTAGAACTCAGATATGCAGACTCCACTGTGATCTTGCCACCATGCCAAGTCTCCTTCCAGCTTGCCTAATGGTCTTAAAACTAAGTGGTGAAATGTCCGCTATTGTGCTAGTGCGCACTCTCTCTCTTTCGCTCTCTGTGCGTGTGTGTGTGTCTGTGTGTATGCATATAAATTTTAAATGATGTATTCTTTATACAATTTATGTAAAATTTTCATACTGATAAAAATAGTCATGATTTTAAAATTACCCAGTTCACCCTTGAGAAGTCAAAGTCCATAAAGCAACAATAGGGGAATAGCGTTGTGTTGAGATAACTTGCTGTGAATTGTACACGTATGATTAAAGTAAACAGTGCTTAGGGACAAACACCTTTTCTAGAGCCTATATCCTTGAAAATATTTGGATGAACTTCATTAATCCTGTCTAGCAGCTCTCAAAGTCAAACAGGAAGCAAACCCCAGGCTGTAGTATAAAATAAACACTGTCCCCCCCAGGACCTCCCGAGTGGACAGAGTCCTCCCTTTGTCTTAGCTCTTCTTCCGAAGCAACAGTTGGCAAATCTAAACTGAAACCGAGTTCTATCTTGAAAGCACACAGCTTCTCCAAGCCCCTGGTTGTTTAAATAGTTGTCCACCTTTCCTTCTGCCTTCTGCTTCCACCTGCCCTCAGCTGGGACTCAGCCAGGCAGTGTCAACTTGAACCCTGGGCAGGAAAAGCAGATACCAAATGCAAATCAGACAGCAATGCAACCATTTTTTATGGCCCAGGAAAGGCCAACAGGAGGCAAGGTCACGTAGAAGGCAGCCTGCTGGTGGCAGCTTCCTGCTGAGGGCAGGGTTTTGCTATTTTATTTTAACCTTGTTTCAGTTTGATCCAAGCACTGTGTCTCAAGGAAACAAGCACCTGTAACTGTGGCCCACACAAACCAATTTTCCCCAATCAGAAAGCAATCATTTCCGTCTCCTGGTGTTGAAAAAAAACCGCCAGATACAGGCAGGGCAGGGTATGGGCTTGCCCTTGTCCTTCTTACCTGCTGACTCAGAGGATTTGCATAGCTGGGCTTCTGAGGAAACACCCAAATCCATCAGTGCAAGAGTTTGGGGTATTTATGCAAAGCATATGTCCCCTGTTCTGAGGCAGAGACTCAAGGGTTTGATAGAAACAATAGAGTAGAAATGAAATCTAACATTTGTGAAGCCCTTTCTCTGGGTTCAGTTATCCAATTCAAGCCTCACAAAAACCTCATCAGGTGGAAACTATGATTATCCCCATTTCAGAGATGAGCAAACAGGGCTTGATAAAGACTAAATGACTTCAGCCACTCAGCAAGGCAGTGGTGGAGTGAGGGAAGTTCAGACTGAGAGCCTGCCCCTGAAAACAACCAAACCCAGTCATACTGAGAAACATCCAGGCTAGTCTTCCCAAACTTCAGGGCTCATTCAGATCACGTGGGGCTTTCGTCAAAATGCATGTTCTCATTCAGGAGCTCCAGGGCTGTGCCAGAAACCCTGCAATTCTAAGCAGCTCCCAAATAATGTCAATGCTGCTACTGGTCCGTGAAGGATCTAGGGAAGAAATCAGCAGACTTTTTTTCTGGAAAGGGTGAGATAGTAAATATTTTAAGCTTTGAGGGCCACATCCAGCCTCTGTTACATGTTCTTTCTCCCTTTCTTCCTTCTCTTCCCTTCTTTTCCTTTCATTCTCCATCATTTGGAATGTAAAACCACCCTTAGCTGTTGGCTCGTGGGTGCATTTGGCCAGAGCAGTGATTTGCTCTTCCTTGCCCTGGGACAGTGTAGATAGAGAAGTTGCCATGCCAATGGGCTCAGGTGGGTACCCTTTCCCAACAGCAGCTATGAGATTCAGTCCTACTGTTTTCAATTAGGTATGCTTTTCTCAGGACAGTAAGATGCCATATAGGCTGTCTCCCCAGTGACCAGTCTGAGTTACAGGTAAGAGGGGGGCTGACTTACCCCAGAAAGTATGCATTGGGGTAGTGAGGGGTCTGGGTTCCAAGTTGTGCAAGAAAGCACTGGAGGAGGACTGGGACAGCCGAGGGAAGGGGGAGCCTGCTATGCACACAGTGAACACTTTACCTATTGGGGCGGTAGGTTGTTGAGGGGCTCCTGTGACAGGTGGGAGGTCAAACTCAAAAACCCGTTCAACTCCAAGAGTTCAAGATCCTGTGATCCTTGCATGCAAGGCTAATCTAATGTTGTCCTGAGATAACGTGCACATGCGTGATCTGATTCTCCTCAAGCTGATCAGCAACCGCATCTCAGCAGCTGCCTCTTTATCTCTTGCCCTGCCTAGGAAGGGGAGGCTGAAATTCACTCCAGGATGTCACTGCTCTGGGGGAAAAGGAAAATAACTCCCACCGCCCGGCTCAGAAGTAGGAAGTGAGGGCCTTCCGCTAAAGGCAAGGGTCTTATCTAACTACTGGGTAACCTTGTTGTTTTTCCATCTTCTCATAACTTGAGAATGAAGTGAAGTCATCTTACTTTCAGGAATCCGTCTAAAGAAATAAGTATGGATATGAATAAAATTGTTTGTCCTCTTTCAGGTGCAAAGAGTCTACTCTGCCTACTCTGTCATTCAAAGCTTGGTTGAGAACTGGCTAAATAAGTGAGATCACTTCTATACAAATAGAATACCATGCACAGATTATAAAATGATTCTATGTATGAAACCATGTGTATACATGTATATAATTAGCAAACACCCAAACAGTGGCTCTTTATGGGCAATAGGATTATGATCATAACTGTGGAATAAAGAAGAGACCCAGAGAACAAGAGTGAGTGCCCACTGGGAAGTGTTCTAAACTGCCAAGTTCTACAACGACGTACCATCCTCAGTGGTAAGGTAAGTTGGCAGCAGGGAACTATAGATCAGAGCTTCTCAAACTTAAAGGTGCATATTCATCCTGGGGATCTGGTTAAATTGTAGGCTTAGATGTAGGGGGTGCAGAGGGCCCTGAGATTTTGCATTTCTAACAAGCTCCCTGGGGTGGCCAATGCTGCTACGCTGCTGGCCCAGGACCTTATTTCATGAAGCAAGGCTCTGTCTACCTCGCAGGAGAAGGCGCTAAGAAGAGGAGTCACCAGTCTTGATATGTTACTCAGACACGGTGGTGAGTTTAGTTTACATGTGTGTGTATGTTGTCCTGAGATTGTTGTTTTTGGAGGGGGATATAGGAGTCACTGGTCTTGATATGTTACTCAGACGAGGTGGTGAGTTTAGTTTACATGTGTGTGTCTGTTGTCCTGAGATTGTTTGTTTTGGAGGGGGACAGAACATGGAGTATGTATAGAAATGAAATCACCTTTATCAATAATAAATATGGCCTAGTAGAGATTCTCCTGCCTTTTTCTTTTTCTCCTCCCTGTAGTTCAATTTAGTCGCCCAATTTCCTCTCAGAAGTAGGTCCTGAGGTTGAAATAGGAAGGAGGATAAGGGCTGTCTGGCCCCAGGCACACAGCTGGCCCCATGGACAGGGATCACCTGGGTAAGGTGAAGAGCACCTGTGAGCCCCCTCAGGGACACACCCTCAGACGTCAAGTTTGACCCATACCAGCTTTTATCAGCCCTGAATCCTCTGTCCTGCTGCCACTTTCCGGCCCTGACAGCCTGTTGCGCAAGCAGGATTCTCTCTCCCTTACCAAACTGCTTGGAATAGCAGGCACAAGCAGATTCTTCTCAACGGCCCAGTGAGTTTTCATCGGCATGATGGACAAAGGGGACCCACACAATAAGAATTTACAACAGATTGTCTGCTCACAGTGTAGACTCCAAAATATTTCCATGTGTTCTTCCTTGTAAGAATTTAGAGCCTGATCATGTGCATAAATAAAACCCCGGTATTGTTAGTATTTAGCCAACATTTATTTCACATTTTATATGTGTCAGGTACCCGGCTAGGTGCTTTCACGTTTGTCATATGACTTTAGCCCTAAAACAACTCTAGAGGCAAGATATTCCAATGAAAATATCAAGGTTCAGGTTCAGAGAGGTTAAGTAACTTGTGAAAGGTAGCACAGCTTATAAACAATAAGCCCCCAATGAAAGAAAGGAAGAAAAGGAGGTGACAAGTACATTGCAGGGATATGTTGGCAAGTTTGTTCTGAGTGGAGTTCTTGGTGGAGAGTGAGGAAAATGCCCTGAGAGGTAATGTGGTCCTGCACACCTACCTAGAATAGACCTCAAATATTGCTTCCTAGGCTATGGAAGAAGAGTCATAGCCACTTCTTTCTTGCTAATAGAACTCCAGTTTTGTCCAAGTGGCAACGTGTCTAGCCCCAGGCAAAGAGCAATAGTTGATCTAAGCCGATCACGGTCATCTCCTTCCCCTTTGCCAGTGATTGATTTACTTGTGGGCATCTGATCTGGCGTGAGATGAAAAAAAAGATCCATGGGTGCTTCTGGGAAAGCCTTTCTCCCTGATAAGAAAGAGGTCCATAAAGAGAGGGTCCTTTCCCGTAACCAACCCTCCTTTCTTCCTGCTTAGGCTGATATATAATAATATGAAACTGTGATACTTTATACTTAGACAACCGTCTTGTGACCATGAGGAGAAATGTAGCTTTACACTGAAGATGGCAGAACTAAACACAGAAAGCCAGGATCCTTGCTGAATTTGTTAAAAAACCAAATGGAGTTGGGCACAGTGGCTCATGCCTGTAATCCCAGTACTTTGGGAGGCTGAAGCAGGTGGATTGCTTGTGCCCAGAAGTTTGAGAGTGGCCTAGGCAACATGGTGAAGCCCCATCTCTACCAAAAAAAAAAAAAAAATTAGCTGGATGTGGTGGTATGTACCTGTGGTCCCAGCTACTCGGGAGGCTGAAGTGGGAGGATCACTTGAGCCCAGGAGGCCAAGATTGCAGTAAGCCATGACCATACCACTGCACTCCAGACTGGGTGGCAGAGGGAGACCTGGTCTCAAAAAAACAAACCCAAAAAATCATCTGGGACCATGGGACATCTGCCTCTAGACTTCTCCAAATGTGGGATAATGTAGTATCTTGGTAATGTGGCCTACTGTACATCAACTATTCTGTTGCCTGAAGGCAAAAGCACTGCACACATACAAGAGGCTCCCCTTGGTGAGAGACTAAGCATTCCCACACAAATGTCTCTGTCCCAAACCGATGACTTGTCTAGAATTGCTTTCCATCTGGTTCTCAAGATCTTCTCCTTACGGCTCCCTTTGTCCACAATTAGCTCAGTCTAGCATGGCTACAAATCAGGGAAGAGTCTTCATTATTCTACAAGAGACAGTTTGTTTATTCTTCTACATTACCTTCATCTTCGCAAAACTCAGCTCACCTCCTCATGGTAGCCTGCCTCCTTCATTAGGACTTAGCTGTGGTAGGCAAAATAACAGGACCCCTAAAGATGTCCATATCCTGATCCCTAGAACCTGTGAAGATGTTACCTTATGTGGTAAAAGAGACTGTGCAGATGTAATTGAGGTTAATGACTCTGAGATGGGGAGATTATGTTGGGTTTTCTGGGTGGGTGCACTCACTTCACATGAGTTCTTAAAAGTGGAGAACCCTTCTGTACTGTGATCAGAGAGAGATGTGGCTATAGAAGGAGATCAGAGAGATGTGACTTTGCTGGCTTTGAAGGTGGAATATGGGCAGCCTCTGGAAGTGGAAAAAGGCAGAGAAAACAGATTATCCCCTAAAGCCTCCAGAAAGAAACACAACCACGCCAACATCTTGGTTTTAGCCCAGAGAGACCTGTGTTGGATTTCTGACATACAGAAATCTGATTTCCGATAACTATAAAATATTTGCAGTGTTTAAGGCACTAGGTTTGTGGTAACTTGCTGTAACGGCAATAGGGAACTAACATATTGGCCATAAAGTGCCTGGCACCACATTTTCCACTATGGTATGTAGTATACTAGGTGAGGATATGGGTGGATCCAGAAAGATATGTGTGCAAATCCTGGCTCTGTTTCCATGCGACCTTGGGCAAACCACTTCAATTCTCTGGGTCTCAGTTATATCATCCAGAAAGCAGAGATGAATAAGAACGTTTCTCTCTTACAGGTTTGTTGTGATATTAGAATGAGGCTGTTCAAGTAACACAGTTAGCATGTGGCTGGCAAATAACTGTCACTAGAAAAATGGTAGCTGTTACAATATTTATTGGAAGAGAGGGATTGAGGGCCTTGTACATTCCTCTGCGGTGAGGAATACATTTAAGAGGCATGCTTCACATTCAGTTTGGAGTTGAGAGACCATGTGATGTAATGGGAAATATTGTAGACTGCAAAGTAAGACTCCCTGGATTTGAATCCAGAGAGCTGTGTGACCTTGCCACATGCATCAGCATTTTAGGGTCTCTTTCGCCAGAAGCAGACCCGAAATAACCATTTGAGGGCGGGTAGATCTTTCTGAGGTGATTTCAGGAAATATGCATAGGGAATGGAAAAGTCAGATGGAAAGGGAAGTGGCCAAGAAGCGTATGTTTCTAAGCAAGTTACCAGCGTGGAAGCTGGAGTGTAAGCCCTCCAGGGAAACTGGGGACACAGGTAGAATCATGCCTCTGAATTATCACACTCAAGGGGTGAGGGAGCTGGGGCCATTGTATGCCAACTCCCATCTGTCATTGGTTGAGGGTCACTTCCAGGGGACAGTAATTCCCCAGCAGGTCCTGCCTGCCACACAAGGGCAGAGAAAGCTCTCAGGCAAAGCTATGGTGGCAGCGGGAAGTTGGGCCAGCGTGTGCTGAAGTGGTGAGGGCTGAAGGGATACGGAGAGGAGCCCTCAGTATTGCTATTTTAAAGATGAGAAAATTTAGTTTCACATGGTCCCATATTTTCTCAAAATGGGATAATGATAGTATCTGCTTCGTAGAATTATCAGGAGAGTTGTGTAAGTGAACAACGCCAAGGGCTTCCATCAGAGCTTGTCATAGGGCAAGTAAGCACCATTTAAGTGCTAGTTGTCATCATCTGAAGATTTTTGCTGTTCTGTGATGTAAATTTTGTTCCCACCACCCCCCTCCACAATGTTTAGTTAAGCTGTTCAAACTCGCAAATACATTGGGGCGATGGGGGCTTGTGGAGCTAAAGGTAGGGGCTAACATTAACCACTGGTCCAACCACACAAATTCTCAATGATGGGCTTGCACAACATCTGGAGGCCTGCGGACTTTTGGGGGCATGGATTTGGGAATTGGAACCCTGCTCTTACCTCTCTCTCAAACGGCATGAGGCCACAGATGCTATCTGGGTTGTACATTAAATGGCAAGCCTCTGAAGGTAGAAACGGTGCCCTCCTGGCTGGATTGACTCGGCTTCTTCCCTGGCACATTGTAGACACTCGGTGATTGGCTATTGAGTAGATAAGCATGAAAACAGCTTAGAAAGCCAGAAAAGGAATGTTTCTGCCTAAAATCACGGGTGATTGATATCATCCTTACGTGCAGCCCTCACCTCACAACCTCTTGTTTCCCTGGCCACTTGGCCACCAGGACGCAGGAAGTAACCTGCACCTGACCCCCTGATGTTGGCAATGGGACGAGCTTTCCACTCTCGGCAGCATCTTGTAGAATACAAAGGACTCGCTGTAGTATTTATACCAACACACACATTTTAAATAGGCCCTCACTTCTTCCTGAAAGGAATCCAAAGACTCTGTTGGAACTGAAAACATTCATATTTATGTATCACCAGTTATTGAGGGAACACAAAGTGCTCAGCAAATATGATCTCATTAGTGCTCACGACAGCCCTGAGGGAAGAAGTTGGCAAGAATTCCCACCCTCCTTGGAGAGGTGAGAGTATGGAGGCCCAGAAGGCCAGGGAACACACGCCAGAGCCACTCAGCAGGTGCTCCAGGGAGCTGGGGCAATGGCAAGGAAATGGGAGGCTCAAGAGAAGTGTCACAATGCTGTGGCCTCCACAATCACTGCAGTGTCCAGAGGACAAGCAGAAATCTGGAAATATCCCCCATGTCTGTCATGATGCGATCTGATAGATGCCTGATGGTACTAACAATGAAATGCCATTCAGGTGTTCAAACAGATCCATGTTCTGTGGAGAAAGACATTCTAAGGCATTTAGATAAAAAATGCAAGTTTGCAAGAGTATATATAATATAGTCACTCATTACTATTAAGTAAATGTATAATATGAAGGGGAAAATCTAAAAGAGTGTATACCAAATTATATATGAAATATATATGTCTTTGTGTGTAAGTATTTTCAGAGAAAAGGCCTAGAAGAATGGGTACCAAATTATACTGAAATATACATTTATTTATTTTTATTTTCAAGGAAAGTTCTAGAAGAATGTGTAACGATGATTATCTCAATAGTTGGATTAAATATACTTTTCTTAGTCACACATTTGTTAATTTCCAATGTGCATTTTTTTGGTAATCGGATTAAAACTTTCTAAAAACCAGAAAAAAGGAAATTCATTGTCACCTAGAAAGTATTAAAAATAGAAAATAAAACTATTAAAATATGCTCAGAGTGTTTTTCTTTCATTAAAAGAGAACACTAGGAGTGTTTTCCTTGATGTGAAGAATTTGGAGAAATTCCACCAGACTTTCTATTTAGTTCCTACTACAGAGTGAAATTTGGATCAGATATTCTATTTTGTAAACGTATGGTCCTGTGTCTGCAAAACCCAAATGTAGAATGAAATCTTTCTGCTTTTTTCCTTGATGTTTTTAAACATGAGCTAGAGCTGACTATTTAGCATTTTTACCTGAAAAACTTTAGTAGAAGGAAAACCAACCCCACGCTGACAAGGGATTTAAAATGTCAACTACTCAACATTTTCATGAGTTACTGAGCAATAGATGTAAATTTTGTTATATATTAAATTTCAAAAAGTCAGACCACTGTGCTTTACAATGTGAATGTACTTTATACTATTGAACTGTACACATAAAAATGGTTAAGATGGTAAATTTTATGTTGTGTGTTTTTTACCACAATAAAAATTGCCAAAAACCAAAAAAACCAAAGCAACCCTAAACTTAGATCCTTTAAATCTAAGGTAGAGTACAGTGTAGGAAAAGAAAGGGTGGGATCCAGAAGAGCTGGATTCAGGTTTCAAGTGTGGTTCTTACAGCACCGGGCCTTGGACAGGTTGCATTCACTTTTCTGTTCCTCTCACCTTTCTGAGTAGCTATCACTTGCCAGGCATAGCAGAAGGCACTGAGATACAGTGGCCCATGAAATGGGTGTGTCCCTGCCCTGGTGGAGTGACCTCACTTCTCTTAACCACAAGTGCCCCCCAGAAAATAGGAAATAAGGCTGGGCTCAGTGGCTCATGTTTATAATCCCAGCACTTTGGGAAGCTAGAAGAAAGAGGATTACTTGAGGCCAGGAGTTCAAGGCCAGCCTGGCCAACATAGTGAGCCCCTGTCTCTGTTTTATAAAAAATAAAGTAAATTTTTTTCCAAAAATTAAAAGCATTTTTTAAAAAAGAAAATGGAAACTAATAATACTTATGCTGCCCATGCTTCATGAGAGGGAAAGGATTTGCTACCAAGGCTACAGCTTGACTGTAGGTATCAAAAAAAAAATAAAAAATCTCAGCTTCATCCCCTAGGAGACAGACAAATGGATCAAAATCTGAATTCAGACCCACTTTCCGGTCAGGAGCAGGGTCTGTCAGCAGCATTCTGTACCTTCAGCTTCTCATGCCCTCTTATCAATGGGGCTGGACAAATGAAGGGCACATTTGTGACCTGTGGTGAATTCACAGAGGCGGGACATTGGATAGTTACCATAGGAATGCAGCAGGTGTGAGGGAGCTGCCCAGTGGCAGGCACAGTGGTGAATGTTTATTGTCTGCCCTTTGAGGCAGTAGTGATAACATTGATGATGGTGATGTTGGCTGTGCCAGGCACTGTTCTCAGTGCTTTGCATTTACTTACTTAATGCTCATGATGACCCTGTGATAGAACTACTTTTATTATTCTGTTATTACAAATGAGGAGACTGAGGGGCAGAGAGAATTCGCTAGCTAGAAAGCGGCAGAGTTGAGGTTCAAACACAGGCAATTCAAATGTAGACCCTGGCTGGGCATGGTGGCTCCCACCTGTAATTCTAGCACTTTGGGAGGCTGAGGCAGGCAGATCGCTTGAGCCCAGGCAAAAACCCTGTCTCTACAAAAAATACAAAAATTAGCCAAGCCTGGTGGTGCACACCTGTGGTCCCAGCTACTCAGGAGGCTGAGGTGGGAGGATCACCTGAGCCTGGAGAGGTCCAGGCTGCAGTGAGCCATGATTGCACCACTGTACTCCAGCCTGGGTGACAGAGTGAGACCCTGTCCCTATTATTCTTCACATTTTATGGATAAGGAAACAGAAACTCAGAGAGGGACTTGCCTAGGGTTCCATGGAGAGAGCTAGGTTTGGCTTTTTTGGGACTCCAAAGCCTGTAAAACATGACACTCTCCTGTAATGCCCCAGGCAGTGAAAATCTCCAGGACAATGAGGTACACCCTCAGGCTGGTAGCTGATGGGCAGAGCCACTGTCACCAGCCCCATTCTGCGTCCTGTCTCCCCAGGCTAAAAACAGGACCTGGGGAGGGGTAATGCTTGCTTGGCTTTCTGCCCATGGCAGATGGGACCGCTTCACCACCATCTGTGAGTGGCCTCATTCCTAGTCCCTGAGCCTTAATACTTCTCTGGATATTCATTCATTCATTCAACAAATACTTATTGAACTCTTTGCCAGGCCCTGTTCTAGGTGCTGGGGATTAAATAGTGAGCCAAATAGTCAACAATGATTTTGTGCTTGGGTTCCAGGGTTTAAGCTCTTGCCTTCTTCCTTCTTACCCCATCCTTCTCTGTATCTCATTTCTTTCTAGAAATAGAGTCCCTTTTTGACCTTTAAGTATTGACATGGTGCATCTGCAGGGCTCTGCTAGCCTAAATGGTGTGTATGTGCAAACGAAAGTGCCCCCTCAGAGTGCACGCAGCCTCACAGGCCCCCAGCTTGGAGAGTAGATAGTGGGCTGGATTTCAGCCCCCATGCACCCTCCAACCTAGGTGTCTTTGGATAGGACAGAGTCTATGTTATGGCATGTAGCAGGCCCCTCTCTGAGCCCTTCCAGAGATTAGAGATGTGCTCTTGACACCCAAGCCCAGTGTCTTCAAATCCCACCTGTTTCCATGTCCCACCTGCTTAGCCAGGTCCCCCATTCACTTCAATCCCCATAAGCTGGGCCCTGCAGACCTCCAGCTCTTTATCCATTGTCCACTGCTAGGCTGGTCAGACATACCTTGTCCACCTCTCTGGACCCCTTTCCTCTTCTCCTCCTCTTGTCTGCCAGCTGCTGGGACATCTCTCTCCCACTTTGTAGCTCTGCCCCACCCCCAGGCCAGGGTTCAGCCATCCCTGCATGTGCTTTTCATGTTCACATCCAGGAGCCATTGTGACAATTGGGCCATTTTTAGGGTGCCCCAAACACTCACCTTGGTTCACAGAAAGGCATTGAAGTTCTGCTCAAGAGCTGGAAGGTATAAAACACACAACTGTCAGATGTCCTCCTTCCTGATTCCATTCTGACATGAGATGGAGATGCCATGTCATGACTAGGAGGTTATTTAGAAGTAGCACTCAAAATATAGAACAGATATTATATAATTTTTCACAGAGAAAGTTGTGGTTTCAAAAAATCAAATACTTCCTATTTCATTCACGATTGGATAATTCACCTGCTCAAACCCTACATGTCCTCAGACCACATCTTCCAGGAAGCTTTCTCAGATTGCCTCCCGTCTACCTTCCCTGCCTGACAGCCAGAGAAGGATTAGGTATCCTCCTCTGTGATCCTCCAAGAGCACCCAGACTTGTCCACCATGACACTCGTCACATTGAATTGTAATTGCCTGTTTGCTTCTATACTGCCCCAAGTAGACTGTAAGTTCTGTGAGAATCTGTACTAGACCTAGTTCACCTTTATATCCTCTTCACCTGATATAGAACCTAGCACCTAGCAGGAACTCAGTAACTGTTTGTGAAATAAATCAAAGGTATTTGTATGGGGAAAAAAATTGGCATCAATGCCAAGCTGGAGTTTTCCCCAACAATGGACATCCTGTTCTCTGCTGGGAGGAGTGAGGGAAATGAGAAAGTGTGGCTGCTCTCAGATCCCCCAGACAAACATCCATAAATAAATCAGAAATTACTACACCATATAGCAATTCCATCCATCCATCCATCCATCCATTCATTCATTCATTTGTAGTAGCCATTTATTGAACATGTCTATGTGTCTCATCACTGGAGATTCTGCAGTGAAAAAGGTAGTCAAAGACCTTGCCTTCTTGGAGTTTATCTTCTAGTGAGAGTGAAAGGGCAGACACACAACAATACCTTCCCTAGTTGGTAATTTATATGACCATGAAACGTCATAGCTTGATTGGAGTTCATTGGCCCCAGCTACTTCGCAGAATAGTATAATGATTAACTTGTCAAGCAGTGGAGTCAGACAGGTTGGAAGTAAGTTCCTAAGCTATGACTTACTAGTTAATTTACATTTGGGCAAGCAACTTGACCTCTCCAAGTCTCCATTCCCTCAAGTGGTGATAATAACAACAGCACCTACTTCCCTGTACCTATATGCCTGGCTGAGAGGAAGGACAGTAAAGGTGAGCAATAACTATTCCTCACCACTTAGGTGGTTTGGGAAGGGATTCAATGCTCTCTGGGCATCAATACATATGCACTTTACTAACATTAAGGCATTGTTTTGATTTTTTACTTTCACTGATTTGTTGCAGGGTATAACTGGCTTAATTTAGTCCTCTAGGTCGTGCAGTATTTGCATGTGATCTTTGAGCTCAGCCTCAGTTCCCAGAGCCCCTGCAGCAGGTAGAGCCACTGTCCACAAACTTCAAGCAGGAACACAGAGCAGGCAGCGGTGGGGACTACAGCATCCAAGGATTCTGCTTGGGTTCTGGCCATTGACTCTACCATGGAAGTCCTGGAGCTAATTTCCCCTTATTATTGAACTTGAAACAGCTAGGATAAATAAAGCAGATTTTTATCAACTACATTATAAACAAAAGGCACAGATGGCGGGGAAGATTGACTGACAACAGCGAAGTCCTCGGGGTGCTCTTGAACTCCCCTTGGTGGGGGAGGTGCTAAAGACAGGGCCCCCTGCTTTGTTTTGTTCTTTCCATTTATGAATTCCAGGAACTCCTTTCCTTGAAGTCTATAGCTTCCATCAACAGGATATTAGTTGGTGAATTCTATTTGAAGCCACAGAGGAAAAAACTTTCAATTAGGATCTGAATAGGTCAAGGGGGTGATTGGCTGTCCAGAGGATATGCAGCAGGAAGAGAAACCAGAGTTCAAATGAAGGGTGGAGGGGGGGAATACAAGGGTCCTCGTTGAGTCTGGAATGATGGAATAACAGTGGCAAAAATAAGAAAGAATGATGAGGCAAGTTTAATAAAGATTTTACCAAGAGATCCTAGATTCACTTTATAATTATGCCTTCTCTTTATTATTCTCTTCTGCAAAGCACACACAAACACACATACTTCATACGGACACACATACTTCATACGGACACACATACTTCATACGGACACACATACTTCATATGGACACACATACTTTAAAGCACACACAAACACACCTGCCTCATGACTAAAATCTAAATCAACTTTCACATATTTCATATTTAACCATGATCCAGTGTTATCCTAAAGCCATGGCCACTGTTGTTTGTTCCAGAGGGGGTCACCTGACCCAAACAAAGCCAATCATATTTCTAAATCCTGACCCTAAACTTCAACCATAATGGAATGATCCAAGGTGAACCAATCAGAGTTTTTGTCCAGGAGTTTACAAGTAGAACTAGGAGAGTGAGTCGTGTGCCTGCTGCAAGGCCAGAGTGTTTGAGGGCATAAACCAAACTTTTAAATTAGGAAGGCTGAAGAGAGGTGGTCCTTAGTAGAAATGAGTTCTAAGATGAAAAGAACTGAATTGAATGCTGAGAATGGGATAAATTGGATCCTTGGGGCTATCTAAAAATGGGTGGATCAATAAAATCAAATTTTCCAAAGGGCTTGTTTTCTGTTTAACTCGTGTGTGTAAGAGAAAGGATGGTACACCGCAGAGCAGTGGTTCCCAAATTGTGGCCCTGGGACATGGGTGGTGGTGGGGAGAGGTACCAAACAATTTCTGGGGATCTGCAGAGGCAGAGCTATTTATATAATAATCCTAAGGTTTGCCTTTTTCAGTCTCATTGTCTTATGAGCATAAAGTGGAGTTTTCCAGAGACTATACAACACACAGTGTTGAACAGACTGAATGAAGAAGCAAATATGAGAATCCTGACCAGCTTCTATCAAGCCATGCATGAAAGAGATTTGCAAAGAATGTAAAGCAATGTGACTCTTCTAGTTCCATTATTTTAGTTTTTGAAAATAGCAATTTTTACGAAATTTGTATTAATATAAACAAACACTATGTTTATTGTTGTTATTCCTAAATAATAAATACGTTTTTTCACTTTGAATTTCTAAAGTAGCAAATGCTCATAGACACACACACATCAACACAAGCTGTCTTGTGTCCCGTTATTTTTCAGAGTGTGAAGGATCCTGAGACCATAAACTTTGAGAACCGCTACATCACAGGGTTTGAAAAGTGTGACAACATTTTCTTCCAGTGTTAGAAACAACGTGGAATACACCTAAATTCTTTAAAAGGGAAGCAGCAGCTATGGGGAAAAGGGTTTATATCTGAAGCTATGATACAAGCCCAGGTCCCATCACCTTCATGCAAGTAAAAGATTGGGCGTTGGACCACAGAAGATGGTCTTACGGAAAGCCTGGTTTACTGTAGTTGCTGTGGAGTTGGAGATGACGCTGCATCAGAAGGCTGCCTAATGGTCTCCTTCTGCCTGGCCATGTCCTTTCATGCATGGGGAAAGATGCCCTGCTGAGTGCAGAAACTGAGGGGGAGTCTGTCTCCTCCAGGCCCTGGGGGATGCCTTCCCTGGGAGAGACAAATTTCAGGCTCCAGAAAACTGACCAGTAACCTAACGGCATTGGCCATCATCCGAAATCAGACCCACTTGGTGTTAAAGAAATAAGAGCTCAGGTGTGCCTTGCCTGTTTGCAGGGGAGCTCTGCCACCTGTGGAGACATGCAACAAGTTGACTCCCTGGGTCATGCAGAAACCATGTGCCTAATGCTACAGGGACAGGTTGAGCTCACAATGAATTTCCCAGGCGCGAGTCTGGTGCTGGCTAGGTGGCTCTGTCCTTTGCACACAGAGACGTGATCCCAGTCTAGCTAGGGGCCTCTGCTTCTAGCTTAGTGGGTCAGAGGCTCCTAAGCTTCTTTGGTCCTTTGCCAGTGGGTCTTGCCCCTGACCCTTCCAAAGGAAGCCTCTGTTAGAAAAATAAAACAAGTGTCTAATCGAAATCTCAGAATACCCCTCAAGAGACAATAAGAGGGATCAACAACCTGGGATTTTCATTTCACTTAATGGTAACAAACGAATCACTTTAATGATCCAGAAAAACAAAATGAAGGTGTTTTTTAGGCATTGTGCATCTTCGCTTATGGATTAGCCAATCAGGAAATAATCAGAGGGAGCTGGGAGATGGATTCAGGGCAGGTCATTTTTGTTAGTGAAGTAATTTGTTGCTGTATTTATATTCCATGTTCTCAAAAGAATTTGTTAGATTGTAAAAATATACAACAAAATAATTAAAACTGAGGAAGTCAACCTGAACCCTCAGATTTACTGAAAATAAAGAACAAAGGATAACTTGGGAGTTTCCAATGGAGGAAGACATTTAGCTCCAACAACAATTACTAACATCTCTGTGGAACTATGAACTTGAATCAGGAAACTGGTTAAAATGGAAAGGAGAGCTAATTTCCAGTACATGAACATATGTACACATGTGACTGTCTAGATTTCTGTTGAAGTCTTAATAGTATATTCTGGTAAAAAAGAAAAAAAAGAAAGAAAGAAAGAAAAGAAAAATACCCCCAAATACTTTCACCCTTAATTTTCAATTAAAATAATATATCTCAAATAAATAAATAGGCCATCAGGCCTAGGGATTAATACTGTTAGAAAATAAGAAAAAATTTGGAGTAAAGTCAGTATGCAAACCATTTGTAGATGGAAAGCCATATATTTCACCTTGATCTTTCTAGCATCCAGCACAAGGAAAATAACATGATAAGGCAAATATTTCCTGAGGTTCATTAGATAAAATCAGACCATTGGTCACTCCTTGGTGTCATACAGGCAAGCCTCAAGGCAAGGAGGCAAATAGGTTCAGCTGTTTAATTTGACTTTTCTTCCTGAATTGATTGGAAGTCCTTTGTTCCTGACTACACAGAGGTGACTTTAACAACTTAGTAAACTTAGTAACATATAAAAATAAACATCTAGCCGACTAATGATCATCGAATTTGGTTATATGGTTTTTCCCCTTCTTTCTCCCTGGTAATATTGTAACTTTATTTATTTGTTTATTTATTCATTTGAGACAGAATCTCTTCCTGTTGCTCAGGCTGGAGTGCAGTGGCACACAGTTCACTGCAGCCTCGAACTCCTAGGCTCAAGTGATCCTCCTGCCTCAGCCTCCAAAGCAGCTGAGACTATGGGTGCGCACTACCACGCCTGGCTAATTTTTTATTTATTTTTTCTTATTGGCTGTAGAGATAGGGCCACATTATGTTCCCCATACTGGTCTCAAACACCTGTGTTCAAGCGATCTTCCTGCCTTACCTCCCAAAGTGGCGCCCAGCCCTAATCCTGACATTTAAATAGAATCTGGCAAATAGGAAAAGCCTGTGGGAAAGGGGGCAGAAAAACTGATTCAAATAGCAGGTGTTATTAGAACTACTGAGAACTTTAGAACCAGGGAGCTTTGAGTTATAGTTCTGGCTGTGGCTTATTGGCCAGGCCATGCTGGGCAAACTATTGAACACTGCTGAGCCTTTGCTTGGTCATCTGTAAAATGATCACTGTAATAGTATTTACCTCATAAGGCTGCTAAGAGGATTAAATAAAATAATGCATGTAAAATATTTAGGAGAGTGCCTTGTCTATAATAAGCACTCAAGAAATACCAGATTATGATACAAAGAACTCTCACTATACAGAATCATTAAATCCTGATCACAATTCTGTCAATTAAGAGGACATTTATTATTACCTTTTTCTGTGGACTGAAAAAGAGACATAATTTGCCTAACACACGCAAAACCGTCTGGTAAAGAGAAGGGTTACCTATAATATATAATCTAAATATACATATATAATAACATATAATCTAAAGGAATGAGCTACTCTGAAGGTCCTGCAATTCTACCATTAGAGATTAATTTCTTTGTACTAATCTTTCTTTTAAAATATGAATAATAACTCAAGAGTGATAGCATATTAGGAGTGTATGGTTTTATTGGAGGAAGGTGCTTATCACAGTCCATAATACATAACCAGAATGTAGTAACCTTATTTTGCTTCATTGTATTTATTTTTACAATGAACTTCTATTAATGACAAAGGATACTGGTTGCTCATTTACAATGGTAATATGTAGTTAAAAAAATAAATGTATTTGAGATTTAGAGTTGGTTGACATAAATAAGAACATAAGTTTAAAAAATTCAGTTGGCAAATAAATAATGCAATGTCTGAATACCTGCAGTTTGAAAACTGCAGTTCTATGGGGTGAAACATACTCTTGGTCTTGTCTCATGAGGCGTTCTTTGCTGTGGCATCTGCTTAAGTTTTTAGTGTCTTTCTTCAGCATTTCCTGTACTCTAGTCACATAGGAATACTTGCTGTTTCCTCTTTTGGGGCTTTTGTTGTCTCTATAAAAGCTGGTTTCACTAATTGGAATGCTCTTTCTTTTCTCACCTCTTTGACAAATAAATTTCTGCAAGTCCACTCTGCAAAGCCTTTCCAGACACCATGGCAACAGCCACCCTCAGCCTTTCTCACCACATCAAGCAGGGTGGATCCCTGGTCTATGGGCCTGTAGCACCTTGCGCTGCTCCCTCGGAGAACATCCCCACCAGAGGATGACTTCTTCTGGGTACTCTGCTCTGAGTGTGCTGATAAAGAATGTATAGTCTCATTTGGCAACTGCACAGTTTTATAAATATTTATATCATCACACTTGTAATTATGTTGTTCAAGTCTTCTGTATCTTTTCCAATTTGTGTACCAGTGTAATCTACTAGTGCATAAAAATCTACAACTATTATTATGAATTTGTAAATTTCTCCTTATAATTTGACTTGTTTTAATGTTGGTGTTTCCACACATATTGTTTGGTGCCTACAAGTTCACAATTGTAGCATCTTTTTGGTTGGTTACAACCATGTCCAGGTCATCTGTGTATCCAATAGTTAGCTAGATGTGGAGTCAAGGGCAGAATTTGATAAGAGTTAGCGCTTTACAAGAGATTCAGAGGGCCTTGTGTTCATAGAAGGAAGAGAGCATTTCTGCTGGCAGCAGGACTCTGTCACCTTTAAATGTTATAGGCCAGAGCCCATTCAGCTTTCCAAGGGCCCATGGCAAGGAGGAACCTGTAAAGAAAAAAAGTATTGGCCCCCCAATACATAAGGAAAAACTGTAAAACCAAAATTAATAAAAATATATTAACTGTCTTCAATAATAGCTAAATTTAACATTTATCAAATTTTACTATATTTGAAAATAATCTATCATATAGAATAGATTTTCTGGCAGGGTGTGGTGGCTCACACCTATAATACCAGCACTTTGGAAAACAGAGGCAGGCGGATCACCTGCGGTCAGGAGCTCGAGATCAGCCTGGCTAACATGGTGAAACCCCATCTCTATTAAATATAAAAAATTAGCTGGGCATGGTGGCGCATGCCTGTAATCCCAGCTACTGGAGAAGCTGAGGCAGGAGAATCGCTTGAACCAAGGAGGTGGAGAGTGCAGTGAGCCGGGATCGTGACACTGCACTCCAGCCTAGGCAACAGAGTGAGACTCCATCTAAAAAAAAAAAGAATAGATTTTCTTACCCAAATTCCCAAGGATAAACAAAATAATTCGCCAAAAATTATAGCCAGCTGTAAACTAAATTTTAGTTTGCTAATAATATATAATTTGATGAGCAAAGTTATATTTAAAGTTTTTACAGCAGAAATGTCATACTTAACGTGCATCTTAATATCTCTGATGTGAAGGAAGGTGAAAAAGTACATGAGACTATGAGCATCTTAAAATGTCCCAGATTAAAGGGATCTTAGGGACAGATTGAAGGAAATGGCATTTGAGCTGGGCCCTAAAAAAATGAGTAAATCTTTGACCAAAGCAATTGGAGAGGAAGAGGACATTTTGCACAGCGATAAGAGCAACAGTGCAGAGGCTGAAATGCACACGGAGGTTCAGAGGACGAAGAGCAATTTGCTTGGGAAGAGGGAATGGGAGCTGAAACCCTCCAACACTGAAAGGCCTTGAATGCCTCGGCTGAAGGTTGGACTATTACATTCTGGAATATGAGGAACAAAGAACAGCTGCACGATCTGAAAATGCCTCCCTGGGTCACCTATCACTAGAAACATGCTCACAGGTTTCTCTTTCCTAAATCAGTTTATTTTCATTTCAGCCTGGGCCATCTGGCTTCCAAGGCATACAGTATGAGAAATCAAGAGGCCAAGAGGCCAGAATAAGCAACTGTCCCCTCTCACCCCTCCACGTCTAACCATTAACACACAGTTAATCCCCTGACTTTCGCAAAGCCTGGACCTCCTGCCTCTTTAACCTCTCGGCAATTAAATCCCTGCCAGTTAAAAGGCCAGAGAGGACAGGTGTGTTTCACACTTGGTTTCACTTTCCTGCAAGGTGCCAGACGGGCAGCCCCAAAAACCACAGACGTCTTTGTTCATTTAACAGCATCAGTTTCTAGCCAGACAGTCTCTCAGCCTGCTGGTAGCCTCAGGTGTGACCAGGAAGAACAGGGGGCTTCATTGCTCCTGCTAATTCCTCTACTCCAAGGCTTGACATATTGAGACAAGCTCCTCCTGGGAAGGCAGCATCTGAGGGCACTGCTTTGCTCTGGGAATCCATCCATTCATTCATTCAGTCAAAACCATTCCTTGAGCCTGGAAAAGCCAGCTAGTCTGCTACTACATGGGAGATTCAGTGTAGATGAGAAATGGCCCTTGACTCTTCAGAGATTACAGGCTAGTAGAGGGGATGCTTACAGAGTTTTATATAATGTAGGAAGCATAGCAAGAAAGACATTTATTTGCAGCTTATTTATATACTAATTGATATATAGAGTTAAAAACTTATATAGTGCTTATTAAATAGCACTATAAGAGTGTCAGGTACTGTTTCAAACCCTGAACAAATATTTAGTCATTTAATCCTTATGAAAACCCTAGCTAGGTATTGCCATATCCCTATTTTACAAATGTGGAAACAGAGGTATTAAAAGCTAAGGTATAATAACTGTCCAAGTTCACCCAACTAGTAAATCAAGGAACCAGGATTTGAAGCTGGACAGTTCCACTCTCAAGTCCATAATCTTGATCAGTCTTCTATGCCACAGAGAATACTTTGCTGTTTGACCCAGAAAAGGGATTTCAAAAGTGGAAATGTCATGCCAGTTGATAATAACAACAGCAAGAATGGCAACTATCGTCTACTGAGCACTTACTCTATGCCACGTTTTGTGCTAAGAAATTTACACAGGTTATGTCATTTTATTCTCATGATAATTCTTTGATGAACTATTGTGATCAATCCATTTTTACAGATCAGGAGAGTGAGGTTTGTAACAGAGCTACTAGGTGAAAGATCAGGCAATCTGACTCCAAAATTGAAAGTCTTCACTGGCATACAGGCCTGTGAGACACATTTGAAGGCAGAAGCTGCTTGGTGCCCCTTAAACGTCACAGTATAGGAAGGGTATGTCTCTATTCTCCTGACGTCCAGCCAGTCAATGAATTCAAGCTCCAGATCTCCCCCCGGTTAATTCCCTGAAGTGAAAGTACACACAGGTTCCAAGGATTTCTGGAGCTTGACTGGAAAGGGTTCATGGCCATGAATGCTGTGGGGCCCAGACTTCAGGTAGCCCCCAGTGTCCCTTAGCCCAACCTCAAATGGTCATCATTCACCAGAAGTAAACCGAGGGTCCAAATCATGGCTGTCTTGGCAGCAGGGGTGAGTGGTGCTGCAGAGTGGAGCCTTCCTGGCCTGGACCAAGGTGCAGCTGCATCTCAGGGAGGGGAAGCCTTTCTGTAGTTGTCTGCCTTGGAAGGGGCAACGTTTTCTAATCCATACAAACACTCTGTGTGTGTCAGCCACTTGGCTGGGCACAGGCATACCTTTGACTAGAAGATCAGGATATGACCTAAAGCTGCTCTAGAGAGTTGAGATAATAAATCATGTTTCCTGACAACTTCTCTGGCCTCATTTGACCTCCTTCACCAGGACAGTGAATTCCAGCTTCATTACCGAGCTTGGGTTTCATGATTCATCTGGCAGAAGAGCAATGTCCCAAACACAGGAGAATGGCTAAGCCCTGAAAAAGGAGACTTCATCAGGAGTGACCCTCGGCAGATACCTGAGGCAGCAGAACCCACAGGAAGGAAGAAAGAAAGTCCTCCAAACCAGGTGGGAAAGACTACTGCCTGGCAGATGTAAACGGAACAAAGTTGTAGGGCCTGCCAATCGAGTCTTCCTAAGAGACTTTGTGGTTGTGAGCCAAGCACCCCTGACTGCTGCCGCACCAAAAGAAAGATTGTAAAAACAGCAAAGTATAGTAGAGTAATAACAATTCTCAACCCTCTCAGACCCAAAGTTTGTTTTTAATACAAATATTACATAACTCCTTTACTGTCTTGAAATGAAATACATGGCTAATATAACCACCCTCAAATATAATTTTCAGAAAATCAATGTAGTAGCCTAACTGTAATATCAGGTTGGTACAAAAGTAATTGCAGTTCTTGCCATTACTTTTGCACCAACCTAATATAATAGAAATAAATAAAAGAAAAGGAGTTTATAATAAAGTAATATGTGTTTCTGTCCACAGACACTTAGGCACGACCACGCAGAGACTCCATGAAAGACCCACATGCTTAAGTCTTTATGCAGAATCTATGGGAACACACATGCACAAACGCAGATGAGCGCAGCTGAGTCGCATTGGCAGCTCAAATACCATGAGGAGCATAGCCATCGATGACCTAATTTGCCAAAATAATGAACAACTCTTGTTAAGATTGCCACATGATCAAAGCACAATCATCCCTTGCTTTCCATGGATGTTACCTTCTCAGAGCAATTAACATATAGTAAAATGATGCAAAAAGTGCTCTGTGTTTACAAGTACAACCAAGGTACTCAGTTACTCTCTGGATTCATAAGTAGAAAAAGATTTTTCACCTCCTTGCATGTCTAGTGTGATTTGTGGGATGTTCTACTCATCGATAGTAGTGCTTCCTCTATCATTAAATACGAAAGACATCCCACACCTGAATGCTTCCCGGAGCTGGAATTACCCTTGTAGCAAAACAATAGTGTAGGGTTTACTGTTGTAACCAAATAAAACTTACAAGAGCTCTATCTGCATATATTCATTAATTCACTCAACAAACATTTAAAAAATACTTATGTTGAGCAAGGAAGTTATTCATTTATTTAACAAATATTTATTGGATATATGCTAAGAGCTAGGAGTTATGTCAAGATGTGTAAGACTTGGTCCTTTCTCTCAAAGGCCTTATGTTCTAATATTCAAGATAAGTTCCAAATATAAAAATAACATTAAGACAATAAATTACTATAAGAAATAGAAAGTGACAAAAAGCATAAGATAGGCCGGGAATGCCTGTAATCCCAGCACTTTGGGAGGCCGAGGCAGGCAGATCACCTGATGTCAGCAGTTTGAGACCAGCCTGACTAACATGGTGAAACCCCATCTCTACTAAATACAAAAAAATAATCTGGACGTGGTGGCACATGCCTGTAATCCCAACTACTTGGGAGGCTGAGGCAGGACAATCACTTGAACTGGGGAGGCAGAGGTTGCAGTGAGCTGAAATGGCACCATTGCACTCTACCCTGGGCAACAAGAGCAAAACCCCGTGTCCAAAAAAAAAAAAAAAAAAAAAGCATAAGATGAATAGACAAAAAATGTTTGATTTGTATTCGTGATTGTACTACATGGAGAACAGTGGAGATCCTAGTTTACAGTGGTCGGGATTCCCAACTCTCCCACCATGTCACAAGGTCCAGGATTTCTAGTACTTTATTACATACACAACACCCACACAATGCACACATGTGCATTTACTCAGACATCTTTTACACTCTGCAGGGCTTCCGCAGCCTCTGCCTGGAAGAAGGTAAAAAACCTTTGGGCTGCAGAGGTGAGACCTAGCTGCCCCTAGAGGGGACAGAAAAGCAGAGACACCACTAGAAGATGACTAAGGAAGGAAGAAAATGTTTTGGCCCCCTCCCTTGCACTTTGGGAGATTCAGGACAGAAGGATGGTAAGGAAGGAGTGTGGATTAACAGCAGAAGAAAAGAGGGTTCCACTCCCCTAAGAAGCCTGTCCAGGTTCCTCTCCGCTCTTTTATTTTTGTCACACAATATTCAGAACAATATCTTAATATTTTGTTACGCTTCTTTTTTATGTGTCTGTCTCCTCTTACCAAATTACGGGGCATTTGGGGTAGAGGCTCTGTTTTTTCATTATTTTTGTCCCCAAATCTGGTTGAGAACCTGGAAGAAGCACAAGAGGTATGCACTCTACAGATTTTTGTTGAATTGGATACAAGGAAGGAAGGGAAATAGGGAGGGAGGAAGGAAGCCGGATCAAAGACTTTTCTCTGTAGCCCTCTGTCTCAGGGTCCCCAGGTCTTCTGAGAAAAAGAGAGTTACCCTCAGGAACAGTTAGACTAATGAGCTCAGAGTTGAGAAGAAAGGAAAGGATGATAGGTAGGCAGATAGATGATAGATAGATAGATAGTAGATAGATAGATAGATAGATAGATAGATAGATAGATAGATAGTTGTAGATAGATAGAGGTGATAGCCCATTTACTTGCTATTATTTGAGATTCTTTGAACAGTGAGCAAAGCCTTTCGTTTTGCCATTAGAAGTAAAAAAGATTAACATGCAAATTCCTGAGAGAAACACACATTGACAAGATAGAGTTTGGGGCAAAGTATACATGATAATAGTGGATTCTTTCCCATTTTGGAAGGGAAACGAGGTAGAAGGTTATAAGACAGCCCATTTGGTGGAAGAGGGTGTTTCTGAAGAGGGAAACATTCTCAAAGAGGAGACCCAGGTCCCCAGAGTCACACTGTGGCAGTTGCACCCTCATCTGTGCACACAGGTGCTGGCCGCCAGCAGGACAGCTGTGCAGTGCCACTGGAACAGCCTCCGCAGGCCTCTGCTCCCAGCAGATAATAGACTGGTCATGAGGTATTTTTAAGCAGTTGCTTAAAAAGACAGCATTGCGTGACCACAACCCTGGGGTGGCTCATAAACCCAAGCCTGTAGGAATCTTGAGATAAGCTTTCCATTTTACTGAGCACTGCTCAAGCGCTTCCTAGAATATTGTGTTTGAGCCCCGTAATTAAAGAGGAAAGAGGAGGCCTGGGAGAGGTTCCGAGAAGAATTGTGAGGATATTAAAAGGTTGGAAACAATAAAGCTTGTGGGAGAAAAAAGGTTAAAAGAACTGGGATTATTTAGACTGAAGGACAGAAGGTCAAGGAGCAGAGTAACAATAATCTTCAAATACACTCCTTCTAGCGTCAGGGAATACAGCTAATTCCTCACTGATAAAATAGTCAGTTGAGGCCCGGGTACACTTGCTATACGGACTTGTTAGCAAATAAGACAGAGTTCAGCAAAATGAAGGAGCTGACAGCTCAGGCGGTCGCAGTCTGCCTGATTGTCCTAGATCTTCATCATGACCCCTTTGCAGGAGCCATAGAGACCCAGGGTAGGCAGGAAGCCTGGTAGGAGATGCAATTCTTTCTAGACAGTGTAAACTCTCAGTGGGATTAGTGAAAGCCTTCGTGTGAGTCTAAGAAATATCCCCCACCAGGTTTATTTATCTATTAAACAAAAGTTTATTATTTTTCCCATTGTAAAAGTAATGCACACTCTATCAGGAAACCAGTTGCTTTCTAAATAAAAGCAAATCCAGATCTTCCAGAGTTGTCAATGAAGGGAGAATTCTACATGGGTGTATGGGGGAGGAGGGAGGAAGAGGGGAAGAGAGTGAGGGGTGGTTAAGACATTATAATGAGACTTTACTAAGGTTTTAGGATTATCTGAAAACTTGATTTACAACACAATCCAGGTTTACACACAGCATAGCTTCCTAATCTTCAGCCTGAGCCCCTGCAGAGATGCCTCCTGCCTGGATCCCACTGTATCCACTGGGAAGAGAGAAGCCTGCCAGCTCCTATAATAGAGTCAAGGCTTCATCCTGCTAAGTGGGCAGCAAATGGACAAGCTCAAGATGGGAGTCAGCCAAGGACCCCTTCCCATGTCTCTTTCCCAGTACTCCTACCATTTCCAACCTTAGAGAACCTGGAATCAAGTCTATTAATGATGCAGACAAACATCAAATCTACTTGAGGGAGCCAACCTTCCTCAGTCCACCATTCAAAGGCATTCATACTGGTGTATTTCCTCATAGTATATATTTTTTTCTATGTTTCTACTTTGTTGTAAATACTTAAACTGATGACATGTATATGATTTTGCAACTTTTTTCACCTGTTTTAGTCAAGTTAAACTAATCTAAGTTGTACGTGTAGTATGAAACCCTTTTTTTTAATAAATATGCACACATATGCATACTTACATTAAAAAGACTGGGAGGAATCCACCCAAAATACAACTATGGTTATCTGTAGGTGTGGGATTACAAATTATTTTATTTTTGATGTTGTTATCATTGGTATTCTTCACAATTAATAAGTTTTACTTTTGTAAAAAGCAAAAATACATTGTTGCACAATTACAACATAAAAATTTCTCTTATTATTATGAACTCTGACCACACCGTTTCTTTAGTTTTGTTTTGAGACAGGGTCTTACTTTGTTGCCCAGGCTGTAGCGCAGTGGTGCAATCACAGCTCACTGCAGCCTCAACCACCTGTGCTCCAGCCATACTCCAGCCTCAGCCTCCAGAGCAGCTGGGACTACAGGCATGTGCCACCTTGCCTAACTAATATTTTTCTTTTTTTCTTTGTAGAGATGGGGTCTCACTACATTGCCAGGCTAATCTTGAACTCCTGGGCTCAAGCAATCCTCCTGACTTGGCCTCTGAAAGTGCTAGGATTACAGGTGTGAGCTACCGTGCCTATCCCTGACCACACCATTTCTAATGGCCTTTTGGGCGAGGGTGTGGCTGATACTTCATTTAATTATTCCTTCCCACATTGCTGAAGTTAGGCTGTCTCAAATGAAAGGACATATTCTCAATAGGATCAATCTAACTCAATAGGAATCTAAGATACATTCTTGGAAGGGAAGCTATTAAGTTAAATGACATGAATGTTGCTAAACCTCCCTGCAAATTGCCGACAGCCCGTTCTCTCTGATGACAAACATGCTCTGGTTTTAATACCCTTTTCTTTAGCTCTTGTATGTTTTTCTCTCTCTTTCTTTTTCTTCTTCTGGCTGGATTCAGGCTTGTGTGCTTTCATTGTCCCTGCTTTCTGGTATTGATTGCTGTGTTCCTTCCTGTCCCATTTCTCTCCCTACTTCCGTTGAGGAAGGCTTAAGACCCCCAGTGTTATGGGTTTTCCCTGGGCATGCTTCCTTCTGGCTCCTGCCAATGAGATGACACTATTATTAACTTACAAACCTCCATTTCCGTCACCTTGAAATTTAGAACACAAGAAAGCAGTAAGCATGCCAAAGTGCCAGGACCATAACATCTGCCCTGAGGGATTGTCATAAACAATAAATGCTTACCCTACTGATACTGTGAATAGCCTTGACAAAACTAATAAACCTAAGGTCTAAACACATTTCTGATATTTCTTTGATGTCTTGAACACAGCATAGTGTTTTCCATGCCTAGCTAGATAGGCAGCCATAAAAGATGGTGGATTATTTTTAAGTTTATCTGATGCATATGACTTACAGACTGCTGATAGACTATTATAGATGTAAAGGCTCTACTCTTTGCCTTCACCCATTGTCTGAAGACATCAGCCAAACCGTTCTGATGTGAACCTACATGTGAGGACCTCGACTCAAGCAGAGGTTCCCACTGCTGAAAGTTCATGATCTGGTCCAAGAGTTCCTGGCTTTTCGGAGTTATGCTATTGCTCATTCTACATAATAAACACCATTCTGTGCATTTTCCATCTTCAACTCACAACCTATTTGTGGCTTTATTGGTCACATTCATAGAATTTCAGAGCTATCAAGGATCTTCTAAAAAACTAAGGTGAAATTTACATAACATAAAATTAACCATCTTAAAGTGTACACTTCAGTAACATTTAATACATTCACATTGTTTTGCAATCACCATCTGATATGGTTTGGCTCTGTGTCCCCACCCAAATCTCATATTGAATTGTAGTTCCCAATTTTGCCAGTTTTAGAGGTGGGGCTTAGTGGGAGGTGATTTGATCATGGGGCCGGGTTCTAATAGGTTAGCACCATCCCCCTAGTGCTGTCTCATGATTGAGTTTTCCTGAGATCTGGTTGTTTAAAAGTGTGTAGCACTTCCCCCTTTGCTCTCTCTTCCTCCTGCTCCAGCCATGTAGTGTATCAACCCTGGTATCTAGGTCAAACATTATTCTTTGTAGGTGTCATACATGCTTATCTTTTTTGTAATGAATCTTGAGCAAATGCAAGTTAAGTTGTCCTCAAGAACATTCTCATATCTAGAATACATGAAACTAAACAAAAGATATTAGAGCAAATACAGAGTCCCTTGACAAGGGGAAATGCATAAGATCTAGAATCTTCCAAGTGGACACTTCTTGGGCCCCCATCACAGTCTTCTTGGTGCACTCCAGCCATTGCTGTAGCAAGCTCCTGTCCACAGATGTAACCTGACAACACTTTGCCTTGGCTGTCCTGGGTATGCCTGTTTTCTGCCCTGGGACATCCAGTGTAAAGAAGACCTATAGGTATCCACTTCGTAGTGTAGATGCACAAGCCTGGAAGTACAAGAGAACTAATACGCCAAAGGGCAACAATTCACCAAAGGCCAGGAAGCAGAACTGATGGATCAAGACTTCCTTTTCTATGCCTTGAGTGAACAGATCTGAGTTATCTTCTATATGGCTCTTCAGAGGGTCTCAGTGAAACTCAGGTCCAGCTGCTCAAGGCAGTGTTCAGCTCACTTACACTGAACAGTAATCTTTGTGTTGCCTCCCCTCTTTCACTGTGACACTCTTTCCAGTCTCCACTCTTGTTTCCTGGGGTCATTTTTCAAAATAAACTCTCTGAATGAAAGCCCATATCTCAGGCTTTATGTTATGGTGGAAATCCAGGTTAAGACATGCCTAAGTGTAGGCACTGCTGTTATCCCCGTTTTACATCTCCATTTTAAAGATGAGGAAACAGAGGTCCAGAGACTTTAGGAAACCTCTTGGGCACATAGCTGGCAAAAGACAAAGCAGAGAATCATGCCCATCTGATTTCAGAGCCCAAGTGATTCACGTCACACTCTTTCCACTTAGCCTTTTTATTTATGTCCCTCCCATTGTCTCACTATCCCAGGAGAAGCTAGGTATGTGCAAATTCATCTCAAAGCCTTCTCACTGTGCCCAGCTCCCCAGCCTCATCTACCTTTTGCAAGATGTAATTCCCAAATACCAGAGGACCAAACTCAAATGCTTCCTGCAGCTGACTTTCTGGTAATATTTATAATGGCTAACATTTATTAAGCTCTTTTTAACTGTGAAGCCCTGTCATAAGTCTTTTAAATATATCAGCTCACTTAATTCTCACTACAACCCTATGAGGTAGGCACTCCTATTATCCGACCTTACCAGTGAGGGAACTGAGGCTTATGGAAGTTAAGCAATAACCAAAGACACACACTCTGAAGAAGTGGAGTCATCCTTCCAAGCCAGGTAGTGTGACTTCTGAGCCAATGCTCTTAAGCTATTGTTTCCAGGAGAATACAGATGAGTAAAGCTGGCTGACTAAAGCACAATAGGCAATGGCAGGTATTGCAGCAAATTCGGGAACACAAACTACTAAGAGTGGGGTGGGGATGAGGAGGCAATAAACTCCTTAGCTACCATTGATGGTTGCCTAAAAGCAACTTCAGTCTTCTGATTTTTCAAAGAATCCAAAAATCTAGATTTTATATAAAGCCTTCTAATTTGTTTAAGACTATTGACTAATTCATATTTAAATTACTCTGGGCAAACCAAACAAAATAGGTCTATTCATCAAATTTTAGCCCTCTGCATAACAGTTTGCAAAGTCTATTTAGCTATTCGGTAAGTTCCCTCTTTTCACAAAGTATAGTTATTATTGTCACAAAGGACTCCCATCGTAGTCTATAACTTGTGAGAAAGATAAGATTCATCAGGAAGAGTGATATAATGGGATTGCTTTAATTGTCATAAGCCACCTGGAGCAATTGTTTCTAAAATAACCAGCCAACTGGATATTGCATTTTGATGGAATATTAGGTCATGGAGATTGATGCTGGCTTATGAACCCATAAGTTCTTAGTAATGGAATAAAGATGAAGTATTCTATACTGTTATAAATCTAGTCTTTACATTGTGTAGCTGGACAAAACATCGTGTATTTGAGAATATAATATTCCATTCCATTCTGATTGGAAAAAAGTAACGTATAATGTTCATTTTAGAAAATGTGAAAAATACAGAAAAGGCGAAAAACACAATAATCATTCTTAACCCTCCTGTTCAGAGATAATATCAACAGTCGAGTGTGGTTCTTTTTAGCCTTTTTTTTAGACATAGAATAATTTTTTATAGATAGGTCTCATCTCAAAGTAATGTGAGGTTTTTAAAGAATTTGATTATAGTATGAATATAGACTCAAATTGAAGAGTTCAATTCTGCCTGGTTCAAAGCCATTTAAAGTGATTTTCATGTTTTCAGATTAGTATAGTACAAGCATTTTTAAATTGCTTGAAGTGGCATTTTTTCCCTTTTTCCTTGCTTCCAGTTTTCTAACATTGCTTTTTAGCATTAAAATAAATTTTTCATATACATTTTTAAATTAAATTTTGTGAGATTCTTTTGAGACTCTCTTAACAACTGCTTATGGTTCTGCAAAACAAAAGTAATTCAGAAAGGGTCCTGGAAAGGACATCTTTCTCATGAGAGATAATAAAAAGTTTGAGGGAAGATTTTTTCCAGTGTATAAGTTAATTCTCCAGAGAGTAAGGCATTTGGTGGAGCTGTGTTTGTCCTCTCAGGCCACTTGAATATTGCAAGTTTTTTGTTTGTTTGTTTGTTTGTTGAGACAGAGTCTCGCTCTGTTGTCCAGGCTGGAATGCAATGGCGTGGCCTCAGCTCGCTGCAACCTCCACTTCCCGGGTTCAAGCAATTCTCCTGCCTCAGCCTCCCAAGAAGCTGGGATTACAGGCACCCACCACCACGCCAGGCTAATTTTTTGTATTTTTAGTACTGATGGGGTTTCACCATGTTGGCCAGGCTGGTCTCGAACTCCTGACCTCAGGTGATCCACCCACCTCAGCCTTCCAAAGTGCTGGGATTATAGGCAAGAGCCACTGCGCCCAGCCGAATATTGCAAGTATTGATGAAGCAGAAACTAATCTACTAAATAAGACCTTAGCAGCCTAAGATTCTGAACAGCCCTGCAGTAAATGCTGTTTTTTCTTACCCTAATCCATTCCTCTCTTTCTCCTTCCTAAAAGGACCATAATTTTTGATCTGATGTATACCTAATCCTACTTACTCTAAGCCAGTCTCCTGTTGACTATGATTATTGGTCCAGGGTAGGTGAGACCTATGGCGGCACAATCTGACAGATGGGAGGATTTTATTCCATGGCTGGGAAAAAGTTTATTTCACTCAAGTTTACTCAAACAAGGGAACAAGTAACCCAGACCTGCCATTAGCAACCAAACTGCAACCCAGAGTGAACTTGGCATAGGCTAAAGCTAAAGCAGAAGACAGCAGAGTGAAAACATGCACAGAGTCTGGATCTGTGAGTTACCATGGAGTCTCAGAACATACCGCATCCGAGGCCTGTCCAACAACTGTCTCCCAGCTATGCGAGATATTACCTTTCCTTATTGTTTTACTCTGCATCAATACTGCCAGTTACTCACAGCCTAAAGCATCCTAACTGGTACAAGCTCTACAAGGCACAATTTCTTTTTAAGCTTCTAGGTGTTAAAACTAGTTTTGTATTATTCAGAAGTTAAACTGACAGAAACAGTTCTATATTTTTGCTATGGCAAATCATGATAAACAAGAGTATACTAGTTTTACACAATTTAATTTTAAGAGATTCACCACCAACAGGGTGAATTTTACTATAGGTGAATTCTAAATTAATAAATCTGACTTAAAGATAGGTTTTAAAATATCACTACCAAGAAAATTGTGTATCAATTAGGATTGTGTTTAACTTGCTCGATAATGGCATAACTCAGGCTCTTTCTCTTTCAGTTCTGCCTTCCTTAATATGCTTGATTCAGCCCTGGGGCCAAATTAGGAGAACTCTCAAGAACAAGGAAAATTGAACAAATGAAGGATCTGCTAGCTAAGATGAAAAGCAAGGGGAGAGATGACTTTTACGTAGGCAAGAAAGAGGGCGTCTACCACAGTCAGTCTTGACTCCAACTTCACTCCAATTTTCTAAATCTCTGTGCATACATCTCCAGTAACATTAAATCTAATTATATTATGACCATTATTGCCATCATACAAAGATCTCAAATCACATACTTAAAAAATAGGGAAATAATACACTTAAAAGATAAATGCGTTAAAATCATGGAATCCTGGAAAATCGCATCAATTTCTTTGTTATGTCTGGAAGAGTTGACACATACCAAGCTTAGAGTCACCTAAAATCCTGGTCTTTTAAAATAAAAGTTTTGATGATAAATTCACGACTCCTCTCAAGTCTTTGTTTCACCATTTTGAAGGTCCAGTCTTCTTGATGAGATTAATTACCTCTTATCAGCATGGGTAACTCTCTAAATTACCCACAACACAGATGAAATCTTATTTATTTAGATTAGTTATATAAATTAAGAATAAACCCATGAGCCACAATATGAACAAATCTCAAATACATGCTGAGTGAAAGAAACCCAACAGAAGAGACTCCATACTGTATGGATCCAATCTTAAGTCCAAGAACAGACAAAATTAATGTATGATGATAGTAATCAGAAGAGTTGTGGTGGGAGGGACTAACTTCGAAAGGACAAAGAAACTTCTGGAGAGATGGGAATATTCTGTGCTTTATTCTGGGTGTTTGTTATATGGGTGTATGCAATTGTCAGAAGTCATCAAACTGAACGCTTAAGATCTATACATTTTAACTTATGTTAATTACACGTCAATAAGAACATTAAAAATAATATATTTGCACACTCCTCAAGAGATGACACAAATTGTGGCACATCCATTGCTGAAATACTATGCAGCTTTGAAAAAAGAATGAGGCAGATCTGTCTGTACTGAAATAGGATAATCTCTAACACAAGTCTTTAAGTTAAAAAGTAAGATATGAAATAGTATGTAGAATTGCTGTCATTTGTGTTTTAAAAAAGAGGAGAAGAATACACTAAGACATGTATGTTTGTACACCTACAGAAATAGTCTGGATGATACACAGGCACTGGTATCAGTGGTTATCTCTGGGGACAGAATCAGTAGGATGGAAGTGGGGTATATGGAGTGAAAGGGTGGAGGGAGACTGAATGTTTTCACTGTAATGTTTTGAAAGAAAAATGTGCTGGGCGTGGTGGCTCATGCCTGTAATCCCAGCACTTTGGGAGGCTGAGGAGGGTGGATCACCTGTGGTCAGGAGTTCGAGACCAGCCTAGCCAACACTGTGAAACCCTGACTCTACTAAAAATATAGAAATTAGCTGGGCATGGTAGGTGCCTCTAATCCCAGCTACTTGGGAGGGTGAGGCAAGAGAATCACTTGAACCTGGGAGACGAAGGTTGCAGTGAGCTGAGATGGTGCCACTCCAGCCTGGGCAACAGAGCAGGACTCCATCTCAAAAACAGAATAAGAAAAATGAACATTAATTTAATATGTTGGGATACATAACGTTGGGCTATACATGTTGGGGTATAGTTACATGTGCGTAAGTTAACTGGTACAGACCATTGTTGGATGTTATAATAATCCTTGGAGGATGACAGCCAGGTGCAGGACAGATCTACTGGAATCGTGTGTGGGGTTGGGTCCATGTCAGGCCTGCCATGGTAAATTTGATTATTACAAGTTGAGTATTCTTTATCCAAAATGCTTGGGACCAGAAGTGTTTTGGATTTTGCATTTTTTCAGATTTTGAAATATTTGCATATACATAATGAGATATCTTGGGGATGAGACGCAAGTCTAAATACAAAATTCATTTCTGTTTTATACATACTTTATCCACATAGCCTGAAGGTAATTTTATACAATATTTTTAATCACTTTGTGTGTGAAACAAAGTTTGTGTACATTGAACCATCAGAGAGCAAAGGTGTCTCCATCTCAGCCACTTATGTGGACAATCTGTGGTTGTTTGGGATCGCCAACAATCATTCCTGACTCTGAATTTATATGCTTCTGATTAGTCATTTTCTTACATTTACTCACACATAAGTGCTTAGTAAAAAATATGACATACCATTAATAGAGTGGAAAAATAACATGTTTGGGGTAACTAAGCAGCACGGTAACCTCACCAGAATACCTGCATCAGCTATGAAACAGCAAGAACAAATGACAGACGTTCGGTCTCCACCTATGATACTGGTTTGTGTTTCAATTAAAAGTTTACTGTACATTTTAGTTTATGTCTTTAGGTGAGAAGAAATGTCAGAAGCAATTGAGAGAACAGGAAGTTGTCCAGAGGTGAGGAAGGATTCTGCTGGGTGGCTTTTTTAAGTGGTTGGGAGGGTCTTTTTTTCCTTGGGGATGCTGGATACATTGTGTTGTGCACCTGCTTTTTGACTGCGACCCATCACTTGAGGTCAGGTGTAGAATTTCCCACTTGTGGTAGCACTCAAAATGTTTCAGATTTTGGAGCACTTCGGATTTCAGATTTTCAGTTAGGTATGTTCAAACTGTACTACGTCTGGAGCTGAAGGAAGTTCTTTTCACCATCTGCCAGGTGGTATAAATATCATTCTAGCTAAAACTCCCTGGCCTCCTAGGCATCCCTCCTTCTAATTCTGGTCTAATACTTTGAGACATCTAAGTCCTTAGTATGCCAGTGACTAAAGCAACTGGATGACATAAATGTCCAATGTGTGTTTGGGTAAACACAAGGCTTAAAAACATAAGGCTTATAAAAAAGGACCTAGTACTTCCCCCCGCCACCCACCGCCCCAAGCATGTTTATTTGACAAAAGTTAGCCTTTCATGGCCAGGCACGGTGGCTCATGCCTGTAATCCCAGCAGTTTGGGAGGCTGAGGAAGGTGGATCACCTGAGGTCAGGAGTTCGAGACCAGCCTGGCCGACATGGTGAAACCCTCTCTCTACTAAAAATACAAAAATTAGCCAGGCATGGTGGTGGGTGCCTGTAATCCCAGCTACCTGGGAAGCTAAGGCAGAAGAATTGCCTGAACCTGGGAGGTGGGGGTTGCAGTAAGCCGAGATGGTGCCACTGCACTCCATCCTGGGTGACAGAGCAAGACCCCGTCTCAAAAAAAAAAAAATATATATTAGCCTTTCTTGTTCTGGGGTGGCAAGTCCTCTTCACTCTGGAGAAAGAGGTCTCTTTGATCTCAAAACCAACCTTGGTGATGAATGAAAGCAACCAATAGAAACTGCCATCACCACTTAGGAAGTATCAGGTGATTATTCATTTTCTGTGGTGCACAGCTGACCTTTATTGCTGCTGCTGGGCCAGGGTATGTTTGACAAGGACTCATTTCATTGTATATTTTAGAACTATTAAAATATGTTCCCATGTGCATATATGCTACCTATTTAAATAAATTCATTAAATTAAAAAGAGTAAAGATGCAGAGCAAACAGGAGGTTAAGAAGAAGCAAAAGCTATTTGCAGCAATTAAGGTGGTCCTGACATTAACGTGGAGTGAGCGTTGTCCACCTGGCCTGCCGATCAGCCCTCTTTAGGACAGATGCACCACCTGTTCATCCACACTTGTCAGTTAGCACTTACCATAGCCTCTTTGTTCTTTTTTCAGACTAAAAAGATTCTCTCACATCAGGCACCACTCTCCAGCCCTCCTGGAGATCTTGATTCACTTTCTCTGTGCATATGGTTTAACTTCACAGCTACACTGTAAGTGATCTTGAGAAGAGGCACCTGGTCTTATATATTTTTTTGGAACCCATCCCCCACAAATAACTGGCTGCTGAATAAATATTTGATCATTAAAGTAAGTAACTAATAAATGTGAAGGTCCTGTTTATCTCAATATGTAAAATAATTACTAATGATCATGTGAGACAGTGGTGACTCCAAACAAGTTCCAGCCAATCCAGATTTTTAAAAATTTTTGCTTTTCTATTTGAATATTATACTAACGTGACTTGCTTATAAAATACATTGTCCTCAAAATTTGTAAGTATAATATGCACAAATCAAATCCTGTTTTCAGTGCTCCAGGGGCTCATTATTTAAAACAGTGTATCTCACTGTTTTTTCCTTAAAAATTGATATTATACTCCCATCGGTAACAGTATAATTTTTTTGATATGAATAACCATAGTATAATTAATCTGTTTTCTAAATTCAAAAGTCTAGGTCATACATTTCCTAAAGCAAGCCTCAACTGTGCCTGGATTAACACCAAAATGACTTTTTTTCTGGGTCACACACTCAAATCCTAACTTAGTCTCTCTTTTTATTTTTATTAATGGATGTCAGTGAATGTAATTATTAAAGGGGACAGGAGACAGGATTATAAAAGACAAAGGAATAATCTTAGAATATTAAAAAAGTGGAGGCCCAGGAGCTTTATATAACAATGAGGGGAAAAGAAAGACTGTCCCTGGGAGAAAAGAGGTCACTTACCTAGGAAGTACAGGAAGGCAAGTGGGCTGGAGAGGGGACTCAGAGAACAGAAACTGAACAAGCTCTTGCATCAACATTGAAATAAGAAGAAAGTGGTGAGGAGCTGTTTGAGAATCAGGCTAGATGAGGGCTGATCATCCGTTTCTGAATGTTGAAGGGGAATCTTGAATTTGAGGGTTTTTTTTTCCTCAAATAGGACACATCTTCGCCTAGAAAACCAGTTGTAGGGGACAGTGGTCCCCTGGAGATAGAGAGAGCTATATCTGCTGTTGTCTGCACCCAGAACAAATACAACATCCTAATGTCCACTATGTCCAAGTTGGTTCTTTAATGACTTTGTTGGTTTTTATTTTTGTTTTTGTTGTTGTTTTAAAAGCAGGGTATTTTTTGCTTGTTTCTTGCTTTCTTGTTTGCTGCATGTGTGCATTGAAGAATTGATCTGAAGCATGAGGACAAACCATTTCCTAGCCCCCTGCTTGTATCTGTTCATAAGGAAGCAGCTTCCTCCAAACAGCTCCTGTGTCCACTGGCAAAGCTGGCCTCACCTCCATCTTGCTCTCTAGTACTGATGCAGGATTCAGGGGGGTAGAAGAGCGGGGTAGAAGAGGTAGCCACTAGCTGTTTTCCTTGTTTGTTGTTTCTCTCTCCTATTGGGATGTGAGCTCCATGTGGGCAGGGATTGCTGTTTGTTTTGCACTAATACATATATTTCTAGCTCCTGGCACAGTGCTTGGCACACAGTGGGCACCTGATAAATATTTGGATTATGAACAAATGAATAAATTGGTTGCAAGCCTGACAGCTTGCTCTCTGAAAGGAATGGCAGGATTTCAGGGAGAGGGAGGTAGAGAGTGTCAAGCACAGTACTAGGCTCCTTACATGAGATATCCATTGTTGAGAATTCACCTCAGCTAGTTTGGTCATGTGACAGTTACTGGTTATTCTGGTATTAGTCTCCTCTGGCCATTAAGATGGATAAAAAGCCATAAATTCCTTCTCCTCTAACCTCCCCGCAACATACCGTGTACCATCTAGTAAGGTGATATGTTACAATGAAAATATATCCTGGACCAAGTTATTTGTTTTGTTTTTTGTTTTTTGAGATGGAGTTTCTCTCTTGTTGCCCAGGCTGGAGTGCAATGGCTCTATCTCAGCTCACAGCAACCTCTGCCTCCAGGGTTCAAGTGATTCTCCTGCCTCGGCCTCCTGAGTAGCTGGAATTACAGGTGCATGACCCCACACCCAGCCAAATTATTTTTAAAGTACAAACATTTATTAGCAGATGGCCACAAAAACAGTCACACGGGCTGTTCTTGTAAGCTTGGAAAAGCTCACTACTTGTCTCAGGACTTCTGACCACACCTTTAATGAGAAGCTCACTCGGAGTCTTTCCCCGACATTCTGAATGGTGGATCAGCCAATGCTCCCAATATGTCAGAGAAACGGAGCCCTCTCTGAACTACGAGATGAACACAAGACCAAACAGTCCGGGATGGATATGCAGCTCTGAAGGTGCCAGATTCTTACCCCTTCCAGCAACAGCAGTATGGCCTACTGAAACTTTCTAGTCAATGACATATCTTGAGCAACATTAATGTCACCAATGGAAAAAAAAATGTGTTATATCCCTTACACCGGCTAACAAACCTTCTGGTGTGTATTCTGTTAACGGATATTTGAAATGCTTAAACAGCCACCTCTGGGGGTAGATTCCTGATTAGGTTCTTTAAATACCAAATAACCAATAACCAACTCCCTTCTCTCACTCCCTCCCCTCACTGCAGGAAAAGTTAACTTACACATACACATAGGTTCATTTGAAGGTACTGTAGATTACCACATAGAACCATTCAATTCTCACAACCTTTCTGGAGTAAAAATAAGAAGAGAAAATGCCTAGAAAGCATTTATGACATGCTCAGCCTTGTTTAAGGAGTTGTATTCTAATTTAACCTTTACATCAACTCCACACCATTATTGCCCGGATTTTACAGACAAAAAAGGGAAAGCCCAGGGAAGTGAAGGAACACATCCAAGGTCACACTGCTGATAAGTGGTCAGGACCACGATTGTAACCTGTTGTTGAGTTTCAGAGCCCACACTCCAAACCACCCTATTCTGCTACGTTTTCTTCTGAAAATAAGAATTATTGGAATATTAGGTATTCCACGTCCCCAACATGTCTTTATCTCTTTTATTCTTCAAAAGCAAGGATCTAATGTTCCTGGAGGCAAATGTGTTCACTGATAGTCCCCACAGAAGTTGAAGGCGCTCAGCAACAGTTCGGGCGAATTTATGCGTGGGTGCCATTCAGGAACAATCAAAATTTCTAAAGGTCACATTATCTTTTTCATTCCAAATAGAATTTGATTTTTGAGCCTCAGGGGAAGAAATAATATTCTTAGAATTCCTTTACCACCTTTCAAAATCAAAAAATATCAAAACTTCAGGTTGGCTAAATGTAGTGACTAAAATGGGAATATTTGTTATATTTGGAAAGTAACAACTAACTCAGAGACAACTTTCTACTCTCTCATGCTGAAATTAGCTACCAAGAAACATCACTAGGACTCCTGTGACTCATTACTGTTGAGGAGATAAGAATGTGGGCTTTGGAGTCATCAAGACAGAGTTGGAAATTCAGCTCCACCACTAAATGTGGCTCTTCATGCAAACTACTGCACCTCTCTAAGCCTCGATTCTTCATTCATGAAATGAGAATGATGTGTGTGTAGTTCCTAACAGACTGTTAGCAGTAGCGGATTCTTACAGGTCTGCAGCAACCTGGATTCTTGCCTCAAGTTTTGTTGAGAGGTTGTGTGGTTGATTTCTGACCTTCTTAAATTATAAGTACAGGTATATAAAATGTAGGCTAGCTACAGCATAGCCAAAGCCCAGGAGCTGATTAATTAGCCTCAGTTGACCCAGCAAATAGCCTTGATAGAGTTTTCATTTAGGCTTGTTGATAGCACTGCAAGAGGCTATTCATCAGAAGCGTGTCAATCCTGATACTTGGTTGCATTGGTTCCAGTGCTGGAGACAAGAAAGCTGATCAACATGGGTTTCATAGATTCAACAAGGTGGTCTCTGGTGTTTTCCTTTCCTTGGTCACATTGCAGTTCCAGTTCCTATTGAGAAGGGTCTGAATGCTGTCCTTTCCTGCTCTCTGCCTTGCTGTTTGCTTACCACTTGAGAAGCGATGGGAGCTAGTGCTGTGACCTCCAGCTCTTTGCAATGTAATTGAGTCTATAAAACCATGAGTCACCAGGACCACATGAGCTACAGAAAGCTCACACAGTCCAAGTATATAAAATGTAGACTAACTAAAGCATAGCCAAAGGCAAGTCTTAGAGCAGGAGTGAAAGTTCGTTAAAAAGTATTAGAGCAGGAATGAAAGGAAGTAAAGTATGCTTGGAAGAGGGCCAAGCAGGAGACCTGAGAAATCAAAGTGCCCTGTTTGACTTTTGACTTGGGGTTTCATACGTTGGCATGCTTCTGGGGTGTTGCATCCGTTCTCCCTTGATTCTTCCCTTGGGGTGGGCTGTCTCCATGTGCAGTGGCCTGCCAGTACTTGGGAGGAGCCACATGTGCAGTGTGTTTACTGAAATTGTGTACATGCTCACTTGAGGCATTCTTCCTTTATCAGTCAAGTGTTTCTAGAGGAAGGTCATATACCAGTTAAACTCCACCATTTTGCCTCTTAGTGTACATGCTCAAGCCCACTCGCCCAACTCCTGAGATCCTATCAGGAAGCTTCTGATCACTAACTTTCGGTGTTTTCTATTTACTGGGAGACTGCATTTCCCTGGCACTGGCTGTGACCAATTGTTATTTTAGAGAGATAGTTTTGACAGCCACCTGACCATCACATGATGGTTATCTGACATTCCTGGGATCGGGGCACCTCTCCTACCCTGTGCATATTTGCCTTACTATCTATTGTAATAAGATCATAATATAATCGCAGTAATTATTAGGATGTTTATTATTCCAGGGAAATTTGTATTTATTCAAGCCTCCTGAGGACAAACAGCCAGAAGAGTCACAAAAGCAAGGATTTCCCTGACTTTGCAAATTGCCCTACATAGAAAGCCACTCCCAGCCTGGCTTTAGTATGCATATTTTGAGAGCCCAGTTTATTGATGTATAATCACTCCATATAGGTGGGTAGGAAGTTGGTTTATGCCCTAGCCAAGTTCTATGTAACTTGCTTTAGGTAATCAGACAGGGGAAGCTGAAGTCAAGTTGTTCTCTTTGGCTGGCCCTTCCATCTCATGTGAAGATGTCCCTTTAAATAGTGCTGCTCTGTGGATGTAAGAAGTAGACTTCCAGTTCAGGAGGCAGTTCAGGAGGCAGAACCAGAACCAGCTGGTAAGGATTTTTCCAGGGATGGATATGGACTCAGTGGAATAGGAAGTAGTGACTTCTCTGTTACTGGAAGCATTGGAGGAAACCAGTGATTACAGGTCAAGATGGGTGGAGAGGACATTCTTGCCTTAGGGGGAACATGGAGTTGAGAATAATGGGAATGTTAATGAAACATGGTTTCTATTTATTGAAGCCATGTGTCAACGCATATTTTAGTTCATTTAATCCTCACAGGAATCTCTCCAATTCTATAGTATTATGTTTTTCACACATCACTAAACAAAAGCTCAGAGAGGTTAAGTAATTTACCAAATCTCACACAACTGGAATGATCAATGTTGAAGTTTTGAACCAGAGCCTATGCTATTATATCACCACCCAAAATGATCTTAAAACTTTCTTTCTTTTTTGGAAACAGATCTCTTATACTACACACCAGTTTATAAACTGTTAGAGTTATGTTGTATTAATATATACTTATTTTACAATTTCAAATATATGATATTTACTTGTTATAAAGTCATTCATGAGAATAATTACTGAAGATAAGTAATTGATATCTGAAATTATAAATGACAGATATTATTTAATATCAATCTTAATATTCAAATTATATTTTTATTTTATTTTGGCCCACAGTATTGCAAATGGTACAGTGTTTTCACTGTCCTCGTTCATATCTCTGGACAGTCTTCAGTTGAACTGATTCAGAAGCTGGAGAGAAGATCAGTAGGACATTTTGTTTGAAGTCTGAATTATTAACAATAACAACCATATGCCTGTCTTATAACCCAGAAGTCAGACTAGAAGTACCCAAAGCTTACAGAAATGCCAGAACATCATTGATATCTCTGGACACTCTTCAGCTGAACTGATTCAGAAGCTGGAGAGAAGATCGGCAGGACATTTTGTTTGAAGTCTTCATCATTAACAATATCTAACAACCACATGCCTGTCTTATCATAATCCAGAAGTCAGACTAGAAGTACCCAAAGCTTACAGAAACTGCCAGAACAATCTATGATATGATATTATCATCACATGGCAGTTACTCACTCAGCAAATATTCTTTCTGAGAGGCGGTGGAACACGTTGGTTACAAGCACAAGCTTTGACATGAAGCGGCTCAGCTCTACCATTAACCAGCAGATTGACCCTGGGCAAAATTCTGAACCTCTTCCAGACTTATTTTTTCATTGGTAAAGTGGAAATTGTCATGAATAATTACTGAATTATTTTGGGTAGATAGAGGTAACCTCTAATAGGTAGAAGTAGGTCTCTCCCATGGCATGCTGAACATAGGAAGTATGTCAAAATGACCAGGTTCTGCCAGATACACAAGCACTTACTAAATAATCATTCCATCTTATTTTATGTGAGCTCAGTGAATTGCCAACTCTCTGCCCTTTTAGGCACTTTGACAGTACCTTGCATGAACGTTTTACTTCAGGCTGGTGCAGCACTAGTCTGGCAGCAGGTTCAGCTAAACTTCTAGTTGGTCAGGTGACATAATCCTCCATTAAATGTCTTACACCCAGAAGTAATTGGAATCCTAAGCACAGATTACTATTTGAAGGGTGTAGGCTATTGTGTTAGGTAGGTTCTTATTTCCTGTATATTCCAGGTCAGGAGTGCCTATTCAATATTTCCAGTCAATTCACTCCTGCCTGAACACTATTCATTTCTTCAATGAAGAGTCATTTCTATATCCATAATGCTAATTAGAAAAACTTCTGGTGTTGATCAGAAATAAAGACAGTTATGAATTTGAATTATGGATATGAGTTATGGATTAGAGTCTTTGAAATGTAAACTAACTCTATAGATCGTATATTTTTATTTAAGAAACTGCAAGTGTTAACTACTAGCCTTTAGGATAAAGAGATTAAAGTTAGGACATACTACACTGAAGTACTTGTAAGTGAATTACAAATAATATAACAGGGGAAAAATTCTCACAAGAATGTTGTGAGAATTAATAATAGCTAATTTTTTGAATGTTTCCTAGTGCCAAGTACTATACTCAGGTAATCATGTGCATATTCTGATTTAATCATTATAAAAACACCATGAGGGAGACAATATTATTAAATGAATTATGAGTAAATGAGCAAATAAACAGTCACTAGTTAGCATTCTTCCCAGTGCATGATAAACATGCAATAAATGGTAACTATTCTTATTTTGCGGATCTGAAGATTGTGTCACGATAACAAACTGTTACCAGCAGCTGGGCCTTGTCTGACACTTAAATGAATATGACACATGCTAAGCTGATGTCAAATGCTTCCCTTTAAAATTTGGGTGAATGTGGGTGAGCCTGAATTTTATAAAGGCCTGTTCAGACCTTTTTAATCAATGACATATATCTATTAAATGCAAATACATTCACAGAGATGACAGATGTTTCTTTTTTTTGTTTTTTTGAGACAAGAGTTTTTTTCTGTCACCCAGGCTGGAGTGCAGTGGTGCAATCTCGGCTCACTGTAACCTCCACCTCCCGGGTTCAAGGGATTCTCCTGCCTCAGCCTACTGAGTAGCTGGGATTATAGGCACGTGCCACCACGCCTGGCTAACTTTTGTATTTTTAGTAGAGACAGTTTCATCATGTTGGCCAGACTGGTCTCGAGCTCCTGACCTCAGGTGATCCACCGGCCTCGGCCTCCCAAAGTGCTGGGATTACAGGCCTGAGCCACCGCACCCGGCTGACAGATGTTTCATTCTGAGGTCTATACAAATGGAACTAACCTACAGCGTGTATTGTGTCGACGGTCTCTAAATGTGTTAAATTTGCCATAGTGCACATTTGGATGTATGTGTAATTTTTTTAAGTCTCAGGTTTTTTAAGTCTAAGGTTTACAAATATTTGAAAAATGAAATATGAATCAAACATTTGTGGAGTACCTGAAGCATTTCCTGCCATGAGGTCCCAGTTTGATAACCACTGGCCTAAATGACTGGCTGGCATCCAGCGCTCATCTCAATATTACAATCCTATGATTCAATTATTGCTAAAAGCAAAAATCTAAGATCTGCAAAAGCCCAGTCTCCTAACCAATGAACAAAATCCAGCTACTCTTTATTTTAAATTCCAATCAACGTAGAGAACATGATGAGAAAGATGATTCATTACGGTTGTCACTCACATTTTTTTCTCATTGAATAAACATGATTATTTGCCATTCGCTAGTCAGTTTTCTCTCTTCTTTTAAGGCTTTGTGTGTGTCTGGCTTTAAACACTAAAGAAATGTCATAAAGTTTCATAAAGTTTCCTGATCTCTACTTTTAAAGGAGTCATATGCTTCTGCCTCACAAGACTGGCCACAGTCTCACGATGGGAAGAACACGCTTTGCCACAAGGTTTCTAACTGCAGATCAGAAACTTCCAGGTTTGAGGCCAACACTTTCAGTAGCCTCCTGATGGGCTGACTTGTCTTCTCTTCATTCTTTTTCTGGAACTGGAAGTCGTAATTCTTCCCTTCTTGAATCGGAGTAGGTCACTAGGGTAACAGGAATGAGTGAAGCCAATAGAAATAACTTCCTTCAGGGGAGTGTAGACATCAGTGTAAAACGAAAAAAAAAGAGAGTGGGGATAGCTTCAAAAAGCCACAGAGCGGGCACTCTCCCAAAGGCAGAGCAGGTAACAAAATCTTTAAAGAGTCCAGCTTTACAGCTGGGTCTCTGGAGGGGATTAAAAACTAAAAGGCATGGACATCATGACAGAGTATGTCTAGATACAGAAGACACAGAAACAGCAAAACGCTAAAGGCAACCAGAGCATCCAAAAAGAAAAGCTAATTCAAAACCACGGATGTAATTACTAAGATTAAAAGAGCAAATGCCCTTCTTAAATTTTCAGAGGAAGGTTGTAAAAATCACTTAATTTAAAATAAAGCATATCTTTGATGTGAAAACATACAAGCCCGGAAGCAAAGAAAGGTAATATAATTAATTTTTAGATCAAATTTTGAATGAAGGGAAATATTTTACATTTGTTTGTCTAACTTGCAAACATTAACAAGCAATTAATGACTCCTAAATTCAACAAAGTTATTAGCAAACTAATAAAGGCAATCATAGCCAGGATCCAGTTAGTCAACTCAAAGATGGAAAAGACTGAATTAGCTAAATGAAGTCAGATGATGAATTAAAAAAAAATTAAAATTAAAAAACCCACCACTTTCATTAATGGAGAAATTAAGAAAACTGCTACCAACTCCTGTGACTTTCTGTCACCTCAGGCCATCTCTGCTCTCCTTCTTGTCTGTTGATTGTCTTACTTCGATTACAAGGCACTGAGGCAGGTCACATCTCATGGCCTCATTCCATGTTGAGCATTTCCTTGGCATTAAACGGAGTATATTCTGCGGTTCATTAGTTCATTCATCCAGCAAATGACTACTAAATGCATATTGAGAGCAAAGCATTGATTTGAGTCTGCTAGTTATACAAAGATAAAAAGATATGAACCCTGCCCTTGGAGGAATTAACAGTCCAGTGTATAAAAATAATTACAATATAATATGCATACATACCTAATAATAATTACAATGCTGAGGACCTTTGAAAAAGGTGTAACAGGAGGTGAGAGATGAAGGGAAGGAGGCTGAAGCCTCCTGTGGAGAAGGTCGGGCTACAGCTGAGAGTTAGGGGCAGAGAAAAAGTGGTTAGCTGTGAGAATTAGGGGTGCTGTGGACTCCCTGAAGCCTACCAGGTCATATAGAACTCCAGTGCAATTTGCTAAACAATCACTGCTCTCACTGAAGAAGTTTCAGGCAGGTGAGAGTTAGCTACTCCTCCATTCTTACCACCACAATGAAAGCAAGGTTCAGAAGAAAAAAAATCTGCCAAATATAAGATATTTATTAAAGAAACAGTCAGTCATTAACAAGGAAGCACAAAACAGTTCCTGCTGTCGGTTAGGTGAACTGGCAGTTCTCTGTCCTTTTGTGTGCTTTGTGTGCTCAGATCACCCCTGTGCTGTCCAGTAGACAGAATCACATTCCAGAGGCAGGATTCTGTCAACCTTGGAGCTGGCATCAGGCAACCATAAATCCTTCTAATCCAAAGGCTGGACATGGAACTATTTAGGGACTCAGCTTCAAGTGCCATCCCTAAGAGTGCAAATCTCCTAATTCTTAGACTCTGTGCATACAAGAGTAAAAAAGGTCTCTGCAATATTTTAGCCAATCCACATTTTAATATCTTTAATTTCAACCATGAAAGCCCACTGCAAGAATCTGTCTTGCTATATAAGAAGCCATCATTACACCAATGAAAAAACATGTCAGACATTCACTATGTTGATTTGAACAACCTTGAATGTTGATCAAGATCTAGCTAACACAAACTAATGCAGGAACAGAAAACCAAATACTGTACATTCTCACTTATTAGTGGGAGCTAAATGATAACACGTGGGCACATAGAAAGGAACAACACACACTGGGGCCTATTGGAGGGTGGACGGTGGGAGGAGAAAGAGGATCAGAAAAAATAACGAATGGGTACTAGGCTTAATACCTGGGTGATAAAATAATCTGTACAACAAACCCCCATGACACAAGTTTACCTATGTAACAAACCTGCACATGTACCCTTGAACTTAAAATAAAAGTTAAAAAAAAAAAGAATCTAGCTAACAGAAGCACTTGCAGACTCTCTAGAGCTGCACTGTCCTGTATGGTAGCCACTAGCTATATGTGGCTATTGAGTGCTTCAGCTATTGAGTGTGGCTATTGAATTGTTCTCAATTCAACAAGTCCAACTGAGATGTTCTGTAAGTGTAAGATATACACCAGAAATTTCAAGACTTAGTACAAAGCAACAAAAAATGTAAAATATCTCATTAATCATTTTATATTGGTTACATGTTGAAATAATATTTTGTATATATTGGATTAAATAAAATGTACATAAGAATCCATTTCACCTGTTTTATTTTACCTTTCATATTGTGGCTGCTAGCGAATTTAATATAAAATATGTAGCTTATATTTTATTTCTATTCGGCAGAGCTGTTCTAGGCTCCAGATCATGGAATTTCAAATTAGATTGCTTGCCAGTATTTTCTTGACCTTGCATTCCCGGTGAAAATGCCATTAGCCTTAGGTATGGTTGCATGTAGATTAACCTAAGTAGCATGCCCATAACATCAAACTGTATATGTCAAAGTGTTTTAAAGTAAATTCATTTGTTTACTTATTAATTGCCTAATAAGACAGATAAAATCTGTACTGTCATGGGGATTTATGTTCTCTCTGGGGTAGAGAGAAAGAAAGTACTGAATAACAAAAAGTCATAAAATCATCAGCGTGGTGCAGGGAGTAAAATGGTGTGATGTGTTAAAGACTGGCTGGACAGCTTCTTTAAGTTGAAGAGTCAGAGAAGGCCTCTCTGAAGGGATGACATTTAAAATGACATCTGAATGACATGAAGGAGTCTGAATGACATGAAGGAGTCAGACATGCAATGATGAGGTTTGTTGGCAGTGGGTGGGGAGGAGTTGTTCTAGGCTGGGGAAACAACTAATACACAAGCTCAAATGTGGGAATGAGCTTGGCTTGACAAGAAAGAGAATAATGCATAAATATGTTAAAACCACGACATTCAATGAAATCTACTAGAGAGGGAAGATGAATATAGGAGCCCTCTAGGGCTCCTCCTTCATAAATGAAGGAGAAGGCACCCAGTTTCAAGCCCTAGAGGGCCCCCATATTTAGAGGTTGAGTGGAGAAGAAGATATCCACAAAAGGAAAGAGGAATTAGGGAATCCACTGTGGGCTCTCACAGAAGCCAGGAGCTGACACTATTTCAAGAGGAACAAGTAGTTCTGTTGAAAGTGTATTGCTGAAGGGCTGGGAGCAGTGGCTCACACCTGTAATCCCAGCACTTTGGGAGGCCGAGGTAGGCGGATCACCTGAGGTTGGGAGTTTGAGACCAGACTGACCAATACGGTGAAACCCCATTTTTACTAAAAAAAAAAAAAAAAAGAAATACAAAAATTAGTCCGGCTGTGGTGGCACGTGCCTGTAATCCCAGCTACTCAGGAGGCTGAGGCTGGAGAATCGCTTGAACCCAGGAGGCAGAGGTTGCAGTGAGCCGATATTATGCCACTGCACTCCAGCATGGGTGACAGAGGGAGATGCTGTCTCAAAAAAAAAAAAAAAATGTGTTTCTGAAGGGTTGGGTGAGTTGGGTAAGACCAGTAATTACTGACTTCAACTGATTGGGAGCCATTGGACATGTAGCACAAGCCATCTCACCTGGGCACGGGGAATGGAATTCCATTAGGAATTGGTTGAGACGAGAACACGAGGCAATAAGTGGAGACAAAAGCTCTAGTCAGCCCGTTCAAGCAGTTTTTCTGTGATGGCAGAGGACCATGTTGAGCCTGAGGAGCAGCAGGGATGGATGAATGTAGATAATATTGAGTGTGTTATTGCTGGTAGAGGTAAGGGTGAGAGTAGATGGACAACGTCACAAGGAAACTTTGACCTTGTGACCTCACCTGAAAGGTATTGAGCAGAGGAGCACGGTAATCAGATACAAGAAGAAACAGGAAGAAGAGAAAGAACAGTAGAGGGCTTTGATTAAGAGGCAGGGGTCAGGCCGGGAGTGGTAGCTTACGCCTATAATCCCAGCACTTTGGTAGGCCAAGGCGGAAGGATCCACTGGGCCCAAAAGTTCAAGACCAGCCTGGGCAACATATTGAGAACCTGACTTTACTTAAAAAAACAATAAAAGAGGCAGGGGTTGTCCTTGTACATTCCCCCCATCATGGGTTCTACAGACCTCATGGAAAGTTTTCGAAGAAGATAGTTCAGGAGAGAGAACAGTGCAGACATCCTTAGTAGAAGCAAGCCAACTTAACAAAAATGAATTCACTCAAAGTCAATTCACCAAAATTCACTTTGCCAAATTATCAATTCACTTAAGTCATCAAACTTTTCATTAGCCAAAAGTTGTTTTGGTAGAATTCACAGAAAGCTAATTTGCTGAAAGCTTAATTGCTAAAAACCAAATCACTGAATGGCCAGATCCCCAAATTATCCATTCATTAGCAACTCTGTATCATAAAGTTTATAGTTAAAATGGTAAAGGGACAAAGGATATGGACAGGGAATTCACAGACAGGAAAGCCCTGATAGCCAAAAAGCATATAAAGAGATGTTCAAACTCACAAGTAATGAAAGCAACGCAATTGAAAAAACACTGAAATTTGATTTTAAATACATCAGGATGGCAAATACTATACCGAAAGATAATACTAAATATTGGCAAGTAACACTATTTGCAATCCCTGGGCAACAGACTCTCAGCATAAGCTTAGCATGAAAAGCATTTATTAGTAAGCACCAGTGGGAGAAACATCTAAGGAAGGGTGTAGGAGGAAATAGTACAGGAGCTTCAGTGCTGTCCCAAAGAAAGCCCAGCCATCCTAACAGGCATCAGGTCATATCTCTTCGTGGCTTTGATTTGCGGTTCCTGATGATTAGTGACGTTGAGCACCTGTTCAAATATAACTATTAGCCATTTGTATGTCTTCTTTGGAGAAATGTCTGTTCAGATCCTTTGCCCATTTTTTTGTTGGTTTTTTTTGTTTCTTGCTATTGAGTTGAACCCCTTGTCTATTTTGGATATTAACCTCTTACTAGATGTATGGTTTGCAAATATTGTCTCTTCACTCCTGAAAGAATGACTATTATCAAAAACATAACAAGTGTTGGCAAGAATGTGGAAAAAAATCCTTGTACACTGTTGGTGGGAATGTAAATTGGTACAAGCATTATGGAAAACAGTATGGAAGTTCTTCAAAAAAATTAAAAATAGAACTACCATATGTTCCAGCAATCTCACTTCTGGGTATATATCCAAAGGAATTGAAATCAGCATGTCCAAGAGATATCTGCATACCCATGTTCACTGCAGCATTATTCACAATAGCCAAGATATGGAAACAACCTAAGTGACTGTCGACAGATGAATGGATAAGAATATACAATGGAATGTTATTAAGTCTTTTAAAAAAAAAAAGGAAATCCTGGCATTTACAACAAATGGATGAACCTGGAGGACATTATGCTAAGGGAGATAAGCCAGACACAGAAAGACAAATACTGTAGGGTCTCACTTACATGTGGAATCTTAGAAAGTCAACTTCTAGGAGCAGAGAGTAGAATGGTCGTTACCAGGGGCTGAGGGGCAGGAGAAATGAGAAGTTGATTAAAAGGTACAAAACTTTAGTTATGCATAATGAGTAAGTTGTAGAAACCTAATGTACAGCATGTTGACTATAGTTAATAATAGTGTATACTTGAAATTTGTTGAGAGTAGCTCTTAAGTGTTCTCACCACACACACACACACACAAAAGGTAACTATGTAAGGTGATGGATATGTTTATTAGCTTGATTGTAATTATTTCACAATGTACATATTTATCAAAACAAAATGTATACACCTTAAATTTATTTAATTTTTAATTGTCAATCATACCTCAATAAAGCTGGGGAAAAAAAGAAAAAGAAAGCTCCATCTAGCCTCACCAGGACTGAAGCTGGGTGGCCCCTCAAAGTTGAACCATCATGAGATGAACTGGTTATTTATACCCTTTCAATCAGATGGTCAGCTACTGATTAGTACGGGCAGTGCATGATGGAAGGCATGACTCTGAGAGAGGTGATTTTCTCCAGCTGAGAACCTTCCCAAAAGGGCTGCAGTTGATGACTATTCCAGCACTGGGGCACCAAGTCCATTTTTGAAGGTGGATCTGAGAGTCATGTGAGTGTAGGGTTGGATGTTGTCTTTATTTTAAAATTTTGTTTTCTGGTTGTATTTAGGTGTGATTGGTATACAAAAACACTGCACATAGTTAATGTGTACAATTTGACGAGTTTGGACATATGTATAAACTTGTGTTACCATCATCATAATCAAAGTAATGAACACATCCATCATCTCCAACATTTTCCTGTGTCCCTTTGTTGTTTTTTCTCTTCATTTAAAATTTTGATTTTATTGTTCACATCAAAATGTTTTTGCATGAATTTTAATTTTAAAAATATTGCACTGAAGTATTATTTACCTTGATCACTAAGTCTTTTGGCTCTCCCTTAAATTTTGCCTCACTCCTCTCATGCTAATCGCAGCCCTGCTCCTGGTAGGTATGTGAGCTAGCTAGACATTCAGGAAAGCAAGCCAGCAGTATTTAGTGACATTGCATGTGAATATGCCTTATGATGTAGCAATCCACCTCCTGGGTGTGTAGAGAAACCATCTCATCTGTCTGTAAGGGGATGTGGATGTGCATCTAAAAATTGTTATGGGACCGGGGGCGGTGACTCATGCCTGTAATCTCAGCATTTTGGGAGGCCGAGGTGGGTGGATCACTTGAGGTCAGGAGTTCGAGACCAGCCTGACCAACATGGTGAAACCCTGTCTCTACTAAAAATACAAAATTAGCCTGGCATGGTGGCGCTTGCCTGTAATCCCAGCTACTTGGGGGGCTGAGGTGGGAGAATCACTTGAACCTGGGAGGCGGAGGTTGCAGTGAGCCAAGATTGCACCATTGCACTGCAGCTTGGGCAACAAGAGCAAAATTCTGTCTCAGAAAAAATAATGGCTGGGTGCAGTGGCTCACACCTGAATCTCAACACTTTGGGAGGCCAAGGCAGGTGGATCACGAGCACAGGAGTTCAAGCCAGCCTGGCCAAGATGGTGAAACCGTGTCTCTACTAAGTAAATTACAACTACCTCTAGAATGTCAAATGGTCTCTTTTCAACTGGAATGACAAAAGCTGAAAGAAATGTGCGACCATGAGGACACTGTAACCTATAAATGATGTGCTGAGACCGGAAACTCAAAATATGGTAACTGAGAGTGGCACTAAGGCCCTAAGTTTTGGTCACACTCTCACCTAGTGAGAACCTGGCCAAAAAGGGTGGCAGGTGCCTGTAATCCCAGCTACTAGGGAGGCTGAGGCAGGAGAATTCCTTGAGCCTGGAAGGCAGAGGTTGCAGTGAGTCGAGATCACGCCACTGCACTCCAGCCTGGGTGACAAAGTAAGACTCCATCTCAAAAATAATAATAATAATAATAAATTAATAAATAAATAATAAAAATTGTTATGGTAGAAGAGAGAAGGAGAGCTGTAGACAACTTAGGAAGCCATTTCTAGGAGATGAATAGTAAAATGGGCTGGATGCATTCTATGGAATACTAAGCAGTAGTCCAGGGTGATAAAAGAAAAGCTTCAGCCAGATTTAAAAGAGTTTAATTGAGCAATGAACAATTCATGAATTGGGCAGCCCCCAGAACCACAGCAGATTCACCAAGACTCCAGGGATGCCTTGTGGTCACAACAAATTTATAGACAGAAAGGGGAAAGTGATGTACAGGAATTGGAAGTGAAGTACAGAAACAGTGTGATTGGTTACAGCTTGGTGTTTGCCTTATTTGAATGCAGTTTGAATGTTCAGCAGTCTACGAGTGGTTGAAGTATGACCGCAGGGATTGGCCAACACTTAGTCATTGTTACAGGTGCATACTATTAAGTTAGGTTTTCAATTTTGACTTACTATTAAGCTAGGTCACAGTTCATCCACAAGGACTCAAATACAGAAGCAGAGTCCTTCTTAGGCCATATTTAGTTTGCCTTAACAAGTTCCCTCTTTTGGTCATTTTCTCAATTTTAAGAGATTGACCAAAATCTTAGTTATTGATGCTACTATCGCTATCATAAATGTACTTATATGGTTTTGAAACCCACTGGGAAACATTAGAACAGTGGGTTTTGCAAGGAAGGAATAAGGACTGAATAGAGGGTGCTTCCGTATGCTGGAACATCCTGTTTACAGGAGAAAAACAAAACCTGGTCTGTTCTAGGATCTATGTGCTTTCTCAAAGCCTTAATTTGATTATGTCACATTTAGCACAAGTGACTCCATTTTATCCTGGTTTGGTTTTTTGGAGCCTAGTGCATGAGCTCAAGTCCAAAATAACGGCTTCCCATAATTTTGTTTTTTAAAAATTCCCCCTTTTTGGCCAGGTTCTCACTAGGTGAGAGTGTGACCCAAACTTAGGGCTTTAGTGCCACTCTCATTTACCATATTTTGGGTTTCCGGTCTCAGTACATCATTTATAGGTTACAGTGTCCTCATGGTCACACATTTCTTTCAGCTTTTGTCATTCCAGTTGAAAAGAGACCATTTGACATTGTAGAGATGGTTGCATGTGAACAGTGAAAATCTTTGAAAGAATACAGAGCACCAGAAAGACTATGATTATGACTATTGGGAGGATAATACCAACGGTTTGGAGTATGCTCCTTACCCAGGGTCCCCATAAACCAAACCACATCAAATAAAATAGATTAAAGAATGAGCTAGATGAAGAGTCTACTCGCTTGACCAAGTGGTCTTTTCATTAATCCCCTACAACTGAATTTTTGTAATCTACATTTGATGTATTTCTCCATAGGCCAGAAGTGTCAGTAGCTGCACAGGTACTTTTCTGCTTAGCCAATTCTATTATTTAGCATAACTTTCACAAGAGAATTTAAAGTCTGTTGTGTAAGGATAGCCTTTAAAGTAGAATTTGCTGTAGAGCCTATTGTGAGGGTGACATTTCTAATTATTGCCTATTTTATTCTAAACCATGGAAAAAGGACCTAACAAATGATATCCTTCTACAGGACTGAAGGCCTCCTGGCAATGTTCTCTTTAATTCATGAGGAGTTTTGACTGATTATGAGGCAATATATGTACCATCAAAGTTTCTCACCTACACTGGGCCTTCATCTTTTACCTATTAAAGCATATGGTTATTCATGGCTGCAAAATCCTTCACAAATAAAGTATACCCTATAAGTGCACATAATAGACCCCTTTTTCATTTCTATTGTTCATAGAGGCATAACAAGGAAAAATATTCAAAGATAAGAGTCTGTGATAGTAGAAGTCTTGATCAGTGATCTTGGAAAAAGCTGTTCACATAAAAGATGCCATCTTCTTCTGGGGAGAAACTTTCCTGGTTACTTTTACCTTAAGGGTTCCAATGGGTGTACAGTTCCAGGAGTGTGGAGGGGCCCTTGTCAGTTGTGCGATTACGAACCCAAGGTTCAAGGCTCCAAAGTTTTGCTGTAGTGTGGATGGCAAGGACAAACTTTTTCTCATGTTCTCAGAAGATCCAATCTTTGGGCTCCAGATTGTGAAGGGATTATCCTCAGTGAACCATAAAAACTCTCTTTACCTGGTGAAATATACTGTAGCATAATAATTTACTGTTATAACATCAGCCCTCTTGCATGGGAAAGCTTTTATACCCCCAGAAAACATGCATTGAAAATGACAATTGAATGAAATTCCTTTATAAATGTTTAAATGGACCATCAAGTAGCCAAACGTACCTGAACCTTTGATTGTCTTCCCAGGAATATGTAACCAAACATTGGTTTTAAACTATTACTGCAATTTATAAGTCACCACATCAATGTATTCAATTTGGATTATTTTATCTTTTTCATGACGAGTCATGGAATGCAGAACCTTTAATAACAAAAGCTTTAAGCACTCAGGAAGGACAAGGCGGCTGTCTTGGTTCTTCACGAGTCCATGCTTAACACTGGACTTATGTCCTCTTGAATACCAGTTGTTTCTCCAATTTAGGTGCATAGCACTGATAACTAATAAGTTATCAGAGGTAATTTGACTTAGACCATGGAGTTCATTCAAATTGTATATTTAAACAATGTTAGTATTGGCTGATTTAGCATGATAATCTAAAGCTTGATTTTGAAAGGTCTGTTAAATAGCAAAGGTTTAAAACTTTGGATATTACAAAATAGAATTTTAGGTTACCATAAGTCGTTCATTTAGCCAAAATGATAACTCAAAAAATTTTTAAAGGAAAAAATACTATTCTGATGGAGAGGAGACACAGCTTTCTAAATAAGACCCAGTGGAGATAGCATGAAGCCAACTGACTCTGTCTCCTTTCTTTCCCTTCCCCCCTTTTTCTCTTGTAGTTTACTTAAAAGGTAAACAAAAACCTTTCATTATCTTTTAATATTACATAAAAATTATTTTTAAAAGAGAAAACCAAATTTTATGTTTCCATTGGTGTATTTTTAATGATAAAGCTAGTTTTTTAATAACATTTTATAAGTCTATTAAGTTTAATTAGTTTGACCATAAGGTAAGATTTTTATAAACATTTTATAACCCTTTACATTTTTTTTTTCAGACCAGAACAATGTTCTAAGAAAACTCTGTTGTGCTTTTATTCCAATGTTCAATTTATGGAAAAAAACTGAAAAATGCCATTTTAACTTTAGCCAATATGTCCACACATAGAATTTTTTACAATTAATTTTTTATAAACCTTCCACAACTTGTTCAAACATTTAGCTTTATTTAATTTAAAACAATGCTTTAACCCTCTAACCTAGGCAAAAATTTACATTCCCTTACCTTCTTATAATCTCTTACAAAAATACTTTTTATTCTCCTTACACACCTTGTATGTAAACTCATTTTTTCAGTAGTCTCAATTGCATATTACAATGTTAACTCTTAGAGACTTTTACTTTTGGTGAAAATCTTGGTAAGTAAGGGATTTTAATTATGTACTAGATGGGGAGCCTAGGACCCAGACAGAAATGCACATAAGGTCTGACTCTTTCCATCATCTAACTCCACATGTCCCAGGCCTTACCTAGCCGTAAAATAGGCAAGCTGTACAGTCATAGTGGCATGTTATAAATCATTTAGGAGGCCTATTCACCTTTATTTATTTATTTATTTATTTATTTATTTATTTATTTTTTTTTTTTTTTGAGATAAAGTCTCACTCCTTTGCCCAGGCTGGAGTGCAGTGGTGCCATCTCGGCTCACTGCAACCTCCACCTCCTGGGTTCAAGTGATTCTCCTGCCTCAGCCTCCTGAGTATCTGGGATTACAGGTGTGCGCCCTCACGCCTGGCTAATTTTTATATTTTCAGTAGAGACGGGTTTCACCATGTTGGTCAGGCTGGTTTCAAACTCCTGACCTCGTGATCCACCCACCTCAGCCTCCCAAAGTGTTGGGATTACAGGAGTGAGCCACTGCCCCCAGCCCTAATCACCTTTAAATTATACATTTCTGGCATAAATTTATTTTCATAAATTCTTTCATGACTTACACAGACTATGTGAGACATGTTTAGACTTTCTGAGTGACTTGCCCTAAACGTCCTTCTTTTTAAACAACCAGTCATTTTACTTTAGGACAAGAATTTACCATACAACATCCTTTCTTATATAAAATCTATTTTCTTTATAGCCTTCTTTGCATAGCTAAGGGGCATGGCTAATTCCATATATCCCCAGGCCTTATTTAGAATGTAATGTCTCCAGAATAAATTGAACAATTTTCAAAAGTCAAAGCAGTTTATGACCTTAAAGCATTTAGCAAATCTAATATCTGACCTGCATAATTTAGACAAAAATGTCTTTATTTTATCAGTAATCTTTAAAGCTGTTTTTATTTTGCTTTCTAAATATTTAATTTGAGCTTATTTTTGTTTAAGCCAATTAATCAGAGCTCTTTTATATAAACATTACACACAACACATATATAATTATACAGACAGACAGAAGAAGATTACCACAGTAGTTGTAAGATTTTTTATTTTGCCAGTTTTTATGTTTCTTAACTGGTTATTGGCTTTTGGGTGGAGCCCTTGGAAGAAGAGGGCCAGAAAGGGATTTCTGGTGCCTTCTGTTTTTCCCAAGAAGTCCAGGCAGTTAGAGCTTCAATATCCACTTTTAATTAAGCTGACTTTTAACCATAGCACTCTTTAATAAAGTCCTTTTAAAATTTTTTATTACCCAATTTTAGCCAGGCCAAACGGCTGGTATTTCTGGCTTTTGAACTCTACCAAAGGTAACCTCCCAGGTGCTCAGAGAAAGGAAAATTAGATAGTACATGGAGAAGAGACTAGACAAGGTCATACAAATATTAAACTAAACGCAACTTACTTCATAGGCAGGGAATTGAACCCAGACCACCAGTATGAAAGAGCAAAGCCTTAGCTACTGAGCTCCAACATGGGGCAATCTTTTATGACCTCTCCCAGGAGGAATCTAGAGTAGTTAATTTTGAGCTTGCAAAGGCTTTTAGCTACTCGAGATAATTTTTAGAGCTAACTATGACATAAGCCCTAAAATTCCTGTTCCCTGGAAGGCGGAAACCAAGAGAAAGTACCGCCACATGGTTACAAGGTCAAGCTCCCAAGGACGTAAAACAAAATGGAGATAAACAGCAATTTTTACCGTTCATTCAACCATTTGCACAGAGAGAGAGAGAAGCCTGAAATCTAACTGGTAAGAAATTCTTAACTTTTTGCCGGGATGCCAGGCTTCTGGGTACGCTTTCCATGAGCGCCCCTAGTGACTCAGCTTGCCACACCATCGCACTGGGGCAAAGCCACATCATAAAGGAAAATTATCTTTTTTTTGTCCTGGCCAGAGTAAAATATGTGTGACAAAAACATAGACATTAGCCACTGTGGTTGGCACCCAATGTCAAACCAGCAAGGCTCAAATTTGCCCCTGGTTGGGCCCCATCATTGTTAATCCAACCTCCGACCAGGAGTTTCAACCTGTGGTCTCTGGGCAAGGTGGTCTCCCTGAGTAATAGAAAACATAAGAAAGGGAAAGGAGAGAGAGAAAAGCATTGCCTGTGGCAAGGTGGGGAAGGTGAAATGATCAGGGAGGCCACAGAAAGACCCACCTATTGCAGCGACACTGAAAAGTTCAGGCCGCTGCTTCTTGGTACCAAATGGATCTTTTCCAACGGTCCCATCATCTCTAAAGTTTCCCCTTTTAGGGAAGAAAAAGCTTCCCATGTCCCACGATCCTGTACATGCCTAATCCTGTCACCCACAGCCATCAGCAAAGAGTGCAAGGCAGATTATGCCAAAGAGAACAGCAATTGACATGCTGGAGTGCCAAACCCTTTCTCAGCTAAAAGGGACTTTACCAAGAGCCCTCATTTTTTAAATGTACTTCAATGCATTGTTGTTCTTTGGGAATGTTCCACTGTAAGGTATCTTTAGTAAGATTTTGCTGTTTCTGTAAGACTTCACTGCCTCCCAGGCCTAAAGTATAAGCCAGAAGGAACTCGGTTTTCCAGAAATTAAGGATCCCATTTTTACCTCAAATATTGGCTTTATGCTCAGGTTCTCTTGATTAACTTAGCCAATGATTTTTTTCCCCTACCTAAGCGTGCAAGAAAAATGAAACAAAGGGATATAATGCAAAAATCCCTGTGAATGTTCAAAATCCACCTGTTCCTTTCTCACCCAGTCAGACGTAAGAGGCCTCTAACTTGATCCAAGCCAGTTAATTTCTGGATCAAATCCATTCCTGGACCCAGTCCAGTTTCTGTTGCGACTCCAAACCCAGTTTGGATCAGAAATTTGTTCAAAGAAACTCGGAGAGCTCAAAACACAAATCCACGGAGCTCCAAAATCTGAGACAAGTGGGTCCTGCAGGTAGCTTGCGTGTTCACTCAGCCCTCCTAGTGGTCGCTAGAAGCTCCACTTCGGATACCGCTTCTGACACCATCTGATAAAAGAAAAACTTAAGCCGAATTAAATTTAAAAGAGTTTAATGGAGCAATGAATGATTCGTGAATCGGGCAGCCCCCAGAATCACAGCAGATTTACAGAGACTCCAGGGGTGCCTTGTGGTCAGAACAAATTAATAGATAAAAAGGGGAAAGTGACGTACAGAAATCAGAAGTGAGGTATAGAAACAGTGAGATTGGTTAGAGCTGGGCATTTGCCTTATTTAAACGCAGTTTGAACATTCAGCAGTCTATGAGTGGTTGAAGTATGGCTACTGGGATTGGCCAACACTCAGCCATTGTTAGAGGTGCATACTATTAAGTAACATTTTCAATTTTGTCTGTAGTCATCCGCAAGGACTCAAATATAGAAGTATAGAGTACTTCTCAGGCCATATTTAGTTTGCTTTAACAAGGGTAATGAACTAAATGTACAAACATCAACATGTGTAGACCCTTCAAACAGGGTAAGAAACAGAAGATTTGTAGCACCATTCTATGTATGTAAATTGAAATCAAATATATACATAGCACTACAGAAAAGGTACATGCATTTTAAGAACATATCATGAATACGTTAAATTGAGTCCTGTGGAGGTGGGGAATGGGAGTGGAGATTGGAGATGAAGGGGAAATATACAAAATAAAATCAAACATGACAGGGACCGTGTATGGGTCAATGATTATGGTGTTTTATGAAGTAAGAATGATTAATTCAATTCTCTAGATTGTGAGTAAAGTAAAACATATATAATTTTCAAAAAAATTAATAGCAGGGGATGGGCGCGGTGGCTCACGCCAGTAATCCCAGCACTTTGGGAGGCCGAGGTGGGCGGATCACGAGGTCAGGAGATCAAGACCATCCTGGCTAACATGGTGAAACCCCATCTCTACTAAGAACACAAAAAATTAGCCGGGTGTGGTGGCGGGCGCCTGTAGTCCCAGCTACTTGGGAGGCTGAGACAGGAGAATGGAATGAATCTGGGAGGCAGAAGTTGCAGTGAGCCAAGATCGTGCCACTGCACTCCAGCCTGGGCAACAGAGCAAGACTCCACCTCAAAAAAAAAAAAACTTAATAGCAAATTAGTTATGTGAAATGGTTTCTAATGCCTTTACAGGTTTTCTGCTTGCTGCTGAAGTTAGAGTTTAGTTTTAGTTTTAGTTGTGCTCAGCTGGTTCACCCCAGCTGCTTTGTAACAGATTTGTCAATCCAACTCAACTGAATTTCAATTTTGTGAGTGATCACATTTCAGACACTAATCCCTTCTCAAGTGCTTGAAATACAGGCAAAATATTTATTTGAACTAGCTGATTAACAAATCTGTGAATTAAGTGATACACAAAAGGCAATGAACTGGAATGAAAAGTATTGGAAGAGAGAAACCTGCTCTACCATTTCTAAATCTTTGTCTTCCAAAATGCATGCATTTGAAATAACAATGAAACTTTCACTCCCCAAAGTCATTGACCCAAAATATAGAAAAATCTGGAATATATTGAAATTTGGTCGCAGAAAAACAGCTAGAATAAACTAGAACTAAGTTCAAATGAAAACTAAACCAAAGTAAATCTTCAAATTTATCAATTAATATTGCATGAAAATCTTTAATATCTGCTAAAAATAATTCCATCCGAAACAAATTAATATAAACATTATGAACAGTTAAAAAGAAATAGGTAAATTGACAAACAAGGAGAACTTACTTGAAAATCCGGCTGATCATTTGGAGAATTCATCCTTAGTAAATTGACCTGGAGTGTAAAGGACTAATCATTTCCTCTTCCCTCCTCAAGCTTGCCTTTGACATTCATCAGAACTGTGGGCACTTGGATCAAAACGCTGGAGGGTGAGATTGGAGGAGGGGCAGTGAGATTGACCTCAAATATGTTCATCTTCAAAGACAGCCCCATCTACCATGTGGCAGAATTTCAATACATGCATCCCCATCTCCCTGAACCTGATTACAGGAAACCAAGCAGAAAAAATTAACCTTGGGCTGAATCCAGTCCACTTGCAGCTGCAGCCCAAGTGGCCTTTTTAAAGCACACATTTGATCATGCCACTCCCCAGCTTAAACCATTTCAAGGACTCAGGATCAAGTACCAACAGCAGCTCGAGGCTTACAAGACCCTTCAAAATAAACCTGCTTCTTTGACCTCAGCTGAAGCCTCCTCCTCCTCCCCAGCCTCCAAAGCCTCCTGGGCTTTTCTTTTCCATGCTGTTTCCTCTGTCTAAAATACTCGCTTCCTGTATCTCCTATCCCCAAATATCTGTTAGCTAACCCTTTTTCAAAAATGACTCCCATTAGATACAACTTCCTCTAGGAAGCCTAAAATTAAGAAAACTGCTACCAGTACTGCAGTATTAGGAGACAGTTACCTGTGGTTCTCTCACATTTGTGCACATCTCACAGAGGTACTCTCTTCTCTTTGTTCCAGATTAGCTTTGCAAGAATGTTTGGATAGCAAACAGCCTTAGAAGACAGAGATAGGGTCTCTCTCTGGAGCAAAGGGCAAGTTGGCTTTCAGTCTTACAAGATAGAAACAATGTCTCCCTCTCTCCAGATCAAAGGGCAGGTATGCTTACTGCCCATTATAAAAGATAGGTTCCCTTGGATGGAGCTGGAGGCCATTATCCTTAGCAAACTAATGCAGGAACAGAAAACCAAAAGCTGCATGTTCTCACCTGTAAGTGGGAGCTAAGTGATGAGAACTCATGGACACAAAGAGAAGAACAACAGACACTGGGGCCTACTTGACAGTTGAGGGTAGGAGGAGGGAGAGGATCAGAAAAAAAATAACTATTGAGTGCTAGGCTTAGTACCCAGGTGACAAAATAATCTGTACAACGAACTCCTGTGACGCCAGTTTACCTATATAACCAACCTGCACGTGTATGCCTAAACCTAAAATAAAAGTTTAAAAATAATAAATAAATAAACGATGGGTTCCCTAAGCTCAGGGTTTTTCTCCTGTAAGGCAGTTCTCTATGTGTAAGTACAAAGATCTGGAGCTTTTCATATTGCCTGGATGGAATTTGGAGGCAAGGAGACCTGACACAGATAGGCTGTTCATGCCACTTGCTGTGTAATGAGCAATAAAGTGCTTTGTCTCTGACCCAGGAATCTCATGACTTCTGCCAGCATCCATGCAACTACAATAGACTAACATCAGTTTGAAAGTAGAAGACAAACTCAGACCCTTCTCAGTTCTTGACACTAATATAGTAATATTAATTTTCTGATTTTGATGGTTGTGCTGTGGTTTACTGGGATTAGGTCCTTGTTTGTGGGAAATAAACACTAAAGTGTTTAGGATTGGTGGGGTATCATGTGGACAAATTTCTCTTAAGGACCAAAAAAGGCATTGTATTGTACTTGCAACTTTTCTGTATATTTGAGATTGTTTTACTTTTTTTAAAAGATTGATCAGTGGGCTCAGGTGATATTAGCCTGATCCATCCACTACACAGTTTCCTGTTAACTTTTTATTTTGTGGTTTTGGCAATTGTTGACAATGATTGCCCAAATCTGTTTTTCATTAGAGATTCCAAAATGTTGATTTTCTAATTCAATTACTTATTTCAATTTTATTAACTGTAATACTTCTATAAAAAAGAATTTCTTCTTGTCAACTATCTGGTTACCCTGAAATAAAATTTATACAGGAAAAGCAGGAAAAAAAGAAATTGATTCTGTCCCTTTATTTTCAAAGTAATGATTTGTTGCCCTAGGGAGTTACCAAAGACATTTGTTTTTGATTGCTTCGGATGAGCTTATAATTTTTATATAGTTAAAGTTTTCAATCCATGGCAGTCATTATTCCTTTTGATGCTCAAATGTCTCATTTCAGGCCAATGTAAGCCCCTTCAAGATGAATCCAGTGCTCTTTTGTCATGACTTTATCAATCTTTGATTGCTTCCTTGCTTTGGGCACAATTAGATAGCTTAGTTTCATCTTGTACATTTCTGCCCCCAGATCTGAAATCAGTCATTTCTTTAGTGATCTTTGACTCTTTTTAAAGGGAGGTTGGTATTTACAGGCTGCAATCTAAGAGCTAGAGTTGTTCCTTGCTACAGAGTCATCATTAATTTCAGGCTTTTCAGTGGGCAAAGGTAGGACATTTGCATCAAATCCTGAGTTCATGCTGGCATTTACAAGATTTACATAATTTCTTTAATTTTATCCTTTTTCCTATATATGGAAACCTTGGTTCCTAACCACCTTAATTATATATTTATCTTATACTTTACTGTACTTATACTATAGGTATACTATAATGGTCTTACAATACAATACAGCAATAAAACACTGAACGTAGTTAAATATTTCTTTGTGGTTTTTATTTGTCCCTAGAATATGTCTTACTCAGGATGTACAGCCAAAATGTAGGTTTTATAATCACCTGTTGGGGTGGCCAACTGTAAACCTGGATAGTTCCAGGCAAACCAGGAGGGTTGATCACCCTCCTTGAAGTAATTCTCTACTCTTTGATTTAGCCACCAATTTGACATAGAGTCAGGTTCATTTGTTTCAGGTTGTTTTTGATGTTTAGGAATTTTTAACGTAAAAAATATCTAAAACATTTACACCGTTTCAAAGCCAAACCCATGTGATAAGACACCTAAGTCACATAAGTCACATTCAGAGAAGTCTAGGGTCTATCTCTATCTTCTCCACCTTATTCCCTCTCTCCCCTGGAGATGTCATTTGCCTTAGTTTTTTTGTTTATTCTACCACTGTTTCTTTTTTGAAAAATACATACATATAGTAATATCTACCTTTCTTACACAAAAGATAACATTTTACAAACACTCTTTCCATACACTGTTTTTTGTTTTGTTTTTTTGGGTTTTTGTTTTGTTTTGTTTTGAGATAGAGTCTCGCTGTGTCGCCCAGGCTGGAGTGGGGTGGCACGATCTCGGCTGCCTGCAACCTCCACCTCCCAGGTTCAAGCTATTCTTCTGCCTCAGCCTCCCGAGTACCTGGGTCTACAGGCACCCACCACCACACCCAGCTAATTTTTTGTATTTTTAGTAGAGACGGGGTTTTACCATATTCGCCAGGCTGGTCTTGAACTCCTGATCTTGTGATCTACCCACCTCAGCCTCCCAAAGTGCTGGGGTTACAGGAGTGAGCCGTTGCGCCCGGCCCCATACACTGTTTTTTAAAGGTTTCCCACATCAGCATTTACTCTCGAACTGCAGTCATGTATCTAAATAATCACATCTGTCATCCTCAGAATGGCCTTAAACCCAAGACTCCAGAATTGAGGAAAACAATCCACCAGCAAGAGACAGAATTCGTTAATAAACCAGCTTAACTGAGATACGAAATGTCATGTTTTCTCTCCACATCATACCCCTGACATTACCTACTCCATCCCAAATAGCTTTCAAAAATTGTTGCTGAGCTCAGACCCAGGGCCTTTAGAGATTGAATGTAATGACGGGTCCCCAGTGGTGACAGGAATTGCTCTCCGCTCCCAGCTACTGAGGATGGGAAATGGCTGGTGAGATGACAGCAGTGAGGGCTGCTCACTTAGTTCAGCGATATAGTACCGGTGTGCAAAGTGCAGTGCACGTGGGCAGCTCAGGCCTCTGGTGTGACAGGGCCCAGGAGAGGAGTCAGAGTGTTTGTGTCCTGCTTAGGGGGCTGTGTGAGACTCCACATGGAAGCTGTTAGCCTGGCGCAGTGGCTCACACCTGTAAGCCCAGCACTTTGGGAAGCTGAGGCGGGTGGATTACTTGAGGTCAGGAGTTCGAGACCAGCCTGGCCAACATGGTAGAACCCCGTCTCCACCAAAAATACAAAAATTAGCCGGGTGGGGTGGTATGCACCCATAATCCCAGCTACTCTGGGGGCTGAGGTGGGAGAATCGCTCGAACCCGGGAGGCAGAGGTTGCAGTGAGCCAAGATTGCACCACTGCACTCCAGCCTGGGCAACAGAGTTAGTGAGACTCCATCTCAAACAAAACAAAACATAACAAAACAACAACAACAACAAATACATGTGAGGTCTTCATATAATGTGTGCTCAGTAGTGTCACAGGAGAAAGATTTTGGGAACTGCAAGAGGAGTCATTTATGAGATACAATGATTTCCTTGCATGTGAGAGAGGACCAGTTCCCTGTTTGTTATTTGTGAAGAGTCAGGTTCATCTATTGGAAAATTGGCCTCAGCACCTGCAGACTGAGCACAGATTGCCTGTGGCTGCTAGTGTTCTAGAGAGTGCTGCCCAGATTTGTGGACCAAATTGATGGCTGTCTACCTGCTACATTTGAAGCACAGCCACAAGCTCCCCCTGCCCTTTCACACTTCCTTCCTTCCAGGGTCTGTTCTCTTCCCATCCCCTTCTATTTGAGGAGGACACACTCTCTGAGTTCTTTTTGACTACAAAAGAAGGGCATCATCTTTTGAAGATCACCCTTTAAACACACTTTCACCAGTGGGGAAAGGAGATAGAGAAGCTTTAGCTAAATCAAGTAGAAAATTCAGATTGGTGTGGAGAGGTAGAAGAGCACAGTGTTTGGAAAATCCCTGGAGACTGACTGCATGGGTTTGAATCCTGGTTCTATTACCTCCATAGGGATCTTGGTCATATTATTCATCTTTTCTGTGCCTCAGTTTCTCACTTGCAAACTAGAAAAAACTGGGGCTCTTATCTCATAAAGTTGTTATGTGCCTGTAGTGGGTTGAACTGTGGCTCCTGAAAAATACATCCACCCAGAACCTCAGAAGATGATCTTCTTTGGAATAAGGCTCTTTGTAGATTGTTTTATTTTATTCTATATCCTTTCCTTTCCTGTCTTTTTTTTTTTTTTTTGAGTCAGTCTTGCTCTCCTGACCACGCTGGAGTTCAGTGGTACAGTCACAGCCCCCTGCAGCCTCAACCTCCCAGGCTGAAGTGATCCTCCAACCTCAGCCTCACAAGTTGCTGGGACTACAGACATGCATCATGTCACTCAGCTAATTTTTAATTTTTTTAGAGACAAGGCTTCACAATGTTGCCCAGGCTGGTCTTGAACTCCTGGGCTCAAGTGATCCTCCCACCTTGACCTCCCAAATGCAGGTATTATTAAGTTAGACAACTTAAAATTAGATTATCTTGGGTTCAGGCTGGGCCCTAAATACAGTGAACAGTGTTCTTCTAAGAGGAAGGAGAAGGAGATTTCAGTCTCAGACCCAAGGAGAGGACAAAGTTAGAGATAGGAGTGATGCATCTATAAGCCAAGGAATACCAAGGATTGGCAACAACCACCCAAATCTAGGAAGAGGCAAGGATTATTTGTCTTTCTCTATTAGAACGTGAGCTCCAATGACAGCAGGCCTAGAAGGGGGCTTGCTGCCTAGTAGGTGCTCAGTAAAAGAAGACTCAGCTTCTACATTGCCTCTGTCAAATTTCCCTAATCCTGCCTCATGCTCATCTCTCCCAACCCACTCCCTCTTGTGAACCACTTGGGTTCTTTGAGGGTCCTCTATGATTGTATTTTTCCTGCCATTGATAACAGTGTCTTTACAAGTCTGTCTCCTGAAAGACCAGGCATCAGAGAAGGCAGGGGCCAAGTCTTGCTAACTGAAGGCCCCCAGATCCTAACACACTGTCCTAAAGCAGGAACAGTTATTGAGCACCATTTCTAACGAACGTTTGGGAAAACAAAAATGGGAACACCCAGTCGTGGTGGGTGTAGAGAGGTGGGGTCAGAGAAGGATTCCCAGAAGAGAGATTGGAGAAGAATCTTCAAGGGAGATAAAAGGACATTCCGAAACAGAAAAAGACATTCCAAGATCTGCCCTAAAGAGTCCTTTGAGAGAAATGCTACTAATGACTACTGGGCTGGCCAACCTGAGCCCAAAATAAGGTGGTTCAGAGGGTAATATCACTGCCTGAGGAGCGCTCTGTGCTCTCTACCAGAAGCCAATAACAGTCCCCAGCAGTTGCCTCTTCAAAGCCTAGGTCAGGAAGGTGGAATAAGAACATGCAAATTGCTATTCCAGTGGCAGTATTGCCTGCAAGCAATTTTTAAGACCACACAATAGAAGTTTTCAAATAGATGGTTTCAAGTATCCACAGTGTAATGAGATCAAGACTCAGGACTCCAGCATGTAGCCCAACAGGAAAAATATCATTTATGGTAGGCTCATGAATTCTATTTGCATAAAACTTCTGAACCTGAAAACACACACTCCTGATGCAGTGAAAATCAAGTCTTCTCCCTGTTTTTGTTTTCTCTGGATGGTGGCAGTCTATCAGACGAATCAGCATTTGTGGTAAGAGATTTCTCTAAAGCTACAGGAGGCTACTTTTAATAGATTCCTAAATATATGACTGGCCGGGTGCAGTGGCTCACGCCTGTAATCCCAGCACTTTGAGAGGCTGAGGTGGGTGGATCACCTGCGGTCAGGAGTTCAAGAACAGCCTGGCCAACATGGCAAAACCCTGTCTCTACCAAATATACAAAAATTGGCCAGGTGTGGTGGCACACACCTGTAGTCCCAGCTACTCGAGAGGCTGAGGCAGGAGAATTGCTTGAACCTGGGAGGAGGAGGTTGCAGTGAGCTGAGATCACACTGCACTCCAGCCTGGGCAACGGAGTGAGACTCTGTCGCAAATAAATAAATGAATAAATAAATGACTGAATTTATTCAGACATTTCTTTTATTGTGTTATAGGAGATAAAGTCTTTCCACTTAAGCTGTTTTACAGCCCTTAAATACCTGCACACTTATTGATGCACCCTCCATACTCCACCTTCATATCCACCCACCCAGGCACAAAACATGTATGCACACACATGCACCCAGTGCATCTGGGCATGAGCACATCTACGGAAGCCTGGCCACGGTACTGCAAATTTTCTAAAGTACTCATTCTCCCTGACTGATCTATAAGCTCACAAGGGCATGGCCCCATGGTTCATTTAGAGGGAAAACACACCTGACAGGGTCAGGAGAACTTTTTTCATGGGTAAATTGTGGGAGTTGAATTATGTGAAGTTTGAAGTCCCTTCCAACATTTTAGCATTCTCAATTTCGTTTTATTCCCCCCCACCACACTGCCTGGCCTTACAATACAGCATCAAGTTTAGCAAAGAGCAGGTGCAGGATTTATTACGCAAGAGCCTTTCTGTGCCTTCAGGGGGCCTGAGCTTTTCTGCTGGAGCTCTTCAACCCTGGTTTTCATTGGTACCAGTTGCCACTGCATCATAGAGTTGAATAAATACCAATTGAATTAAAACCCTGATTCAAATGCTTTGGATAATCCCCTTCATTAGTGTTTCTAGAGGCAACGCGTCATCAAACCCCCTGGTCTGACTGACTAATGGTGAGAACTTGAGGCACCCAGCAATGAAGTCAGGCAATATTTCTGGACATCAGAGGTGGTTAGGAACATAGAAAACTGCATGACTCTGGCAGGGCATGAGGGTGAAGGGGAAGATGAGGACGCACTGGGGCTTGTGAGAGAGGGAGAGGAGCCAGGGAAGATGGTGTTAGAGCAGAGAGGAGCACGAGGGCCTGAACATGGGATCCTCCTGTTCCAGGGTTACAAATGTCCCCTGTCCCAGAATGGCAGCGTGGTTTAAGAATCCCTAACCTGGCAGGTGACAGAACAGGGGTTGTAGATTCCAAAGCTTACTAAGGACAGTGGCATAGTTGTGTGAGACCTTGCTTCTTCTCAGTGTTGGGAAGAGAAGAGGGAGTAAAAGGGACTGTGGAGAGGGCAGTCCAATTGTGGATTTTAATGCATAGGGACTCAGCATTGCAAGATCTGTAATTTAATGTGAAACTTGCACATTTGAAATAATAGCAGCTAAATCTAATTGAGAACAGCATGCATTCCAAACAAAATACCTCAGTGGGCCAGATTTGGACCTCCAGGGGGATTTATGCAAAAGACCAAGTAAACAGAGACACTTCACAGTGGCGGAACCCAAGAGTCTAGCCTGGGGAAAGCATGCAGGGGCCCTCAGATAATCTGTGAAAGAAAGACAGGTCATAACACTCAAAATGCCTACAAGCGATGAAGGCTAAGACTATTTGAAATCATGGAAAAAGGTTAGCTTCTTCAGGAAAATTGTATGGTCAAGGTACAGGGACACATGTCATCCTGGGATATATATGACTGTGGTGGAGACTGGTATAACATGAGCCACTCAGGGAAAAAAACAAAACAAAACAAACAAAAAAACTCCCTTCCTAGTAATACATAAAGCTAAAGAGAAATTGCATCTGGGTTACACCAGAAGAAGGAAATGAGGTAAGAAAAAGGTGAGAATAAATCACCTAATCAAAATACTGGGTTATAAAAATAACTAGCCCACCTGCTTCAGGACTGTAAGAAACTGAGCAATGCTTTCAGGAGGCCAGGTTGAAAAACACAAACCTGTTTAGCCACAGCTTGATTCCATGCAATTCATGCTCCAAGATTCTGTCTCACTGTGGTTAAAAACTCATGTTTTTTAAATGGTGGGCTGACAAAATTGCATTATTGTAGATGTGGAAGGAATAATATAAATGAAGTAGCATTGGAGAATCAATATTTTTGGAGCACCATCATGTGCCTGACCCTGTATGGGTGACTCATGTATGATAACCGCTTTTACTGCTCACATCATTCTTATGAGATAGATACTTCTTTTCATTCCTGTTTTGCAAATGAGGAAATTAAGGCACATACTGGTAACATGACTTACCTAATGTTAGAGCTCTAATAATAAGTTAAAGAACTGGGATTTAAACCAGTTAAATATAATAATGATAATAACAGTAAACAATTCGATCCTCAGAAGTCTTTGTGTGAGCTCTGAGCTCTGATTTCCATTATTAACGCCAGCCTGTCTTTCGAGGGTTGTGAAGATTAAATGAGATAGTGCCTGTAAGAACTTAACACTGACTTGCCCAATCAACAAGATTAATAGTTGTTATTAATAATAGTAACTGGATCCAGTATTCAGAAGGCTCTACTGGGAGGAAGTATAGGGACAAATAGCAATGGAGAAGTGACTGGGAGGAAGAAAGAGGTAACCGGTATAGACTTCCCTTTGGAAAATTTCAGGTTTGAAGTTTGTTTTTAAGAAAGCTTATTTACCGGCCGGGCGCGGTGGCTCACGCCTGTAATCCCAGCACTTTGGGAGGCCGAGGCGGGCGGATCACAAGGTCAGGAGATCGAGACCATCCCGGCTAAAACGGTGAAACCCCGTCTCTACTAAAACTACAAAAAATAGCCGGGCGTAGTGGCGGGCGCCTGTAGTCCTAGCTACTTGGGAGGCTGAGGCAGGAGAATGGCGTGAACCCGGGAGGCGGAGCTTGCAGTGAGCCGAGATCCCGCCACTGCACTCCAGCCTGGGCGACAGAGCGAGACTCCGTCTCAAAAAAAAAAAAAAAAAAAAAAAAAAGAAAGCTTATTTACCATGACTGCTATGGACTGAATTGTGTCTCCCTTCCCTCCCCCAAATCAACAAATTCATAGCCTGAAGCCCTCATCCTCAATGTGATGATATTAGAAGGCAGGGCTTTTGGGAGGTGATGAGGATGGAGCCTTTGGGATTGAATTAGTGCCCTAATAAAAACAGACTCAGGAGAGCTCTCTCTCTCTCCCTGCCATGTGAGGATATAATGAGAAGGCAATTATCTGCAAGCTGGGATGTGGGCCCTCACCAGACACCAAATCTGTTCGCACCTTGACATTGGACTTCCCAGCCTCCAGAACTGTGAGAAATAAATGTCTGTTGTTTAAGCCACTCATTCTATGGTATTTTGTTGTAGCAGCTCAAGCTAAGACAGTGGCTGCAAGTGGAAGAGGAAAGCCTGATGGTGCCAATGGTAAGGGGTTTCAGGTGAGTGAAGACCAACCCCTGGGCCATGGAGGGAGGGCATCCAGAGCCCAGATGAGAAATTCAGCCCTGGAAAGGGGTGAGGACAACTGTTCCCTGAAACAGAGGAAAGAAGAGAAGAATGGATGGAAAACACTGGGAGATTTTGATGTGGAAGGAAGAAAATTGAGGGACTGTGAATTTGACCTAATCCAAATGGAAGGGACAAAATTTTGCTGATGAAAATGGAAGGTGAGGTGCCGGGGGTAGAGGAAACTAGGAAAGGGGGCGCCTAGCTTCCATGGGGGTTCAGGACCATGTTTTTTAATTATAAATTTAAAAGGCACGTATCAGTTCCACCAAGACATCTGGTCCCAGAAAGCATTAGTGTCTCCTTCATCATTTCCCATAGACAAGTTATTATCTTTCTTGGAGGATTCATCTCAGGAATGAATTGGCATTGTTGAAATAGGTTGAATAGGGCTCTGTTTTGGGGATGGGAGTGAGGGGAAGGAACCTAACTCAACAGTCCATCAAAGCTTCACACTGGAATAGGGCCATTTCATTGAGCCATCTCCCTTTCCTTTAAAGTTAATGGAAGGACCATTTTTTCCATAAACTTAGTACTTTTTTGTGTCATTTCCAAGCCACTGATAGCCTATCTAAATTGATACTCCTTTTGTTTGAGTAAGTTTTTAAACTAAGGTTCAGTGCATGGCATAGACTTGGAGAACTGGATTATTCACAGAAAAATCAGTGAAGCTGGTGATATATCATGAACTAGAGGTATTTTTTATTCTCAGAGATATAGCAAAATTCAGGATGATTTCATATGTACTTGAATCAGTGATTATTTTTTGCATTAAGCATATAGTGCTAAATGGGAATATAGATAAATATTTAAATATTCCCATGTCCTCAACCCTCCTAGTGGGAATTGAAAAAAAAAAAAAAGGCAGGATAAAGTTATTGTACTACTATTGTATAGTTCTTTTCTCCCAAGAAATTCTAAGAGTTATGCCAATAATGCAACTTGTCCTGGACAAGGTGAAGTGATGCCCAAAGTGTCTCAATTTAATAAAAGGGAAAACTGAGGCCAGAAGAGGTACATGCCCAGCTTGTCAAATATCATGCACAGAAAAGCCATACTATAGGCTCAGATTTTCTGACTTCCATCCTGCAGCTTCTGTTTTGTTTATTCATTTACACCCACGTCATTCACTCACTTATTATTCATTCAGTGGATACAATGGACAAAGCAGTAAAAGGAGCTATAAAGAATACCAAAGAAATAGAAAATAATTTTTGGAGTTAAGGATCATAATCTAGCTGAAGAGATAAAACCAACACAGTAAAAACAAAACACAATAAAGCAAAACCAAAATGACAACGTGCCTGGTACTCTGGTTGGAAAAGTACTTTAAAAATTCAGAGTCCACTACAGTGTGAAGCCTGCCTGTTAAGGTTTTGCAAAGAAGGCAGAACTTGATGTCACAAGTGACAAGTTTTTTTGCGATGGGTGCGGCAAGGTGGGGGTGGTGGCAGGGTAAGTCTTTTCAAAGAGAAAGCTATGGTCTGAATATCTGTCCCCACTATGATTCATATGTTGAAATCCTAACCCCAGGCACTGATATTAGGAGGTGGGGCCTTTGGGAGGTGATTAGGTTATGGGAGATTAGTGGCCTTATAAAAGAGACCCCAGGCCAGGCACAGTGGCTCACACCTTTAATCCCAGTACTTTGGGAGGCCGAGGTGGGCAGATCACCTGAGGTCAGGAGTTCGAGACCAGCCTGGCCAACATGGTGAAACCCTGTCTCTACTAAAAATACAAAAATCAGCCAGGCGTGGTGGTACACACCTGTAATCCCAGGTACCCAGGAGGCTGAGGCAGGAGAATCACTAGAACCCAGGAGGTGGAGGTTGCAGTGAGCCGAGATCATGCTACTACACTCCAGCCTGGGTGACAGAGCAAGACTCTGTCTCATGAAATAAAAAAAAAAAAAGAGACCCCAGACAGATCCTTCATTCCTCCTGCCACACATGAGATTACAAGGAGAAAATACCTGTTTATGAGGAATGGGCTCTCACCAGACACTGAATCCTCTGGCTCCTTGATATTGAACTTCCCAGTCTCTAGAACTTTGAGAAATAAATTTCTGTAGTTTATAAGCCACCCAGTCTATGGTATTTTGTTATAGCATTCTGAATGGACTAGAGAGAGGAAAAGCATAAGCAAAATAGTAGGAAGGCAGAAATGAATATAGTTTATTTGAAAAATAGTCGGGTTGTTTTGAAATGAACATTTCTTTTGGAAAAGAAGAAGGTGAAAGCAAGGAAAAAAGGCCAAAAGAAGAAAAGAAAACCTACAAGGGGAAAGGAGATGAGGGTCTGTTGCATATGCAATCGATTGGCATTCAGAATCTATTTCCCTTGCCCCTGGTATATGTATGTACTGCAGAAGCTAGATAGCAAAAAAAGACATTTTCTCAGCCCCCTTGAAGTAGAGATTGTGGATGTTAATTAGGTTCCACCAGCCAGGCCAGCTTCCAGGCATGTAACCTGTGTTGCAAAGGATCCCTTGCTCAGAAGGGCCCCAGGTTTGTTTTAATGCTCTGCTGCTGCAGTCTTGAAATCCTGAATAATTTTAGCTTTGAATTCATGTTTTGTAAGTGAAGTCCAATGGAACAATGGAGCATGAGCAGAGGAGATATATGCAAGATGGGTGTCCACTGTGGTCCCTTGCTGCCCCGTTCCCACACAGCTTCAGGAGTGCCCCCGAGCACAGAATCTGGTGGACCTAAGACGCATGAGAGTTCAGCCAGGCTCAAAACCAGCACAGAGTAAGTGTATCAGAGAAACAACTGAGTCTGCAGGCTGCTGAGGGCCATGAAAGGCCACGCTCTCCATTTGAGACAGTATTTACTTGGAACACAAAAAGGTGAAGGTATTCTAAGAAACATGAACCACCGAGGTACCCTTATCACATGTTTTCCTACTTGTGTATTTCTTACCTCTCTGTATTAGGCAACCACTTATGCTGAAAATAAAGACATAGAAGGAAAGGAATAGATGGGACAACACATAATTCCTTTTCCTTTCTGTCTTTCCTTATTCATAAGCAAAGCCAAAGGTAGAGAACATTAATGGAATATCAGCATATCCAGAAATAAAATACAAACAGCTGAGTTTGTTTTATGCAGTGTTTTTGCTGTTCTGGTTAAGAACAGAATATCTAAGTATGTCTACAAGCTACCAGGTACAAATCGTGTGCTTTTGGTGATTCTACATATAAGTGAAATGCGATTATATTTGCTTCTGTAACTGGTATTGTACAATGTAAAAATGAAGGTTAAAATTCATACTAATAATTTTAATGTTTAATTTTTCCCTCCTTAGAAAAACATTAATACCAACTAAAAAAACACCATGACAAGAGAAATACCACAGAAAGAAGGAAAAAGCTTTCTATTTTAGTACGTTTAGTGGCACTTTTTTCCTCCTTTGTGAGCAAGGTGCCCCACAAATTATGTAGCAAACAAACCCTGTTCACAAGTTTGCTTCCCATGTGTGAGATCTGGAAGGCAACAATAGTGTGGACACAACCTTCCTTCCTACCCACTACCTGCATCAAGGTCATTGCCACTGCCTGAGGCCAGCCATGTTTCATGATTTAAGACACTTTCATCACAAGATGAAAACAATGTGAATCCCAAACTAATGTTTAAATTAGTTTTGGGGTTCTTTTACTTATCCCAAAGCTAATTCAGGGTTTTCAGAATGATATCATATTTAAATTAATTTTAATTTTTATTCAGGTAATACTTTTGTATAATTTCACATTTCAAATAGCATATGATTTTTAAAATTTAGATATAATTCGCAAACCCTAAAATTCAGCTTTTCAAAGTATAAAATTTAGTAGTTTTTAGTATACTCACAAAGTGATGCAACCATCACCACCATTCTAATTACAAATATTTTCATCATCCCAAAAAAGAAACCGTGTACCTTATTGGCAGTCATACCCCATTTCCCCTCTCCCAAGCCCCTGTCAATTACTAATCTATTTTCTGTCTCTGTGGATTTGTTTATTCTGAATATTTTGTACAAATGGAATCATACGATATGAGATCTTTTGTGTCTGGCTTCTTTCACTTAGCACAATGTTTTCAAGATTCATTCTTGTTCTAACAGGTATCAATACATCATTCCTTTTTATGGTTAATATTCCATTGTATAGATATGCCACATTTTGTTTATCCATTCATCCACTGAAGTATATAAAGTTTTGTGTTTTGTGATTTTGTGGGTTTTGTTTGTTTGTTTTTTGAGACAAGGTCTCATTCTGTTATCCTGGTTGGCGAGCAGTAGTGCAATCGTGGTTCACTGTAGCCTCCACTCCCCAGGTCAGGCCATTCTCCTGCTTCAGCCTTCAGAGTAGCCGGGACTAAAGTCACACACCACTGGGCTTAGCTAATTTTGAAAAAATTTTTTATAGAGACAGAATCCTGCTAAGTTGCCCAGGTTGGTCTCAAACCCCTGGGCTCAAGTTATCTCCCCCACCCCTACCCCACTTCAGACGCCCAAGGTGCTAGGATTATAGGCATGAGCCACCGCACCTGGCCTGCAGTCCATAAAGTTTTAATGAAATAAGAGTAGTCGGTCAGGTGCAGTGGCTCACGTCTATAATCTCAGGACTTTGGGAGGCCGAGGCAGGTGGATCACCTGAGGTCAAGAGTTCAAGACCAGCCTGGCCAACATGGCGAAACCCTGTCTCTACTAAAAATACAAAAAAAAAAAAAAAAAATTAGCCAGACATGGAGGCAGGTGCCTGTAATCCCAGCTATTCAGGAGGCTGAGGCAGGAGAATCGCTTGAACCTGGGAGGGGGAGGTTGCAGTGAGCCAAGATTGCGTCACTGCACTCCAGCCTGGATGACAAGAGCAAAAACTCCGTCTCAAAAAAAAAAAAAAAGAGTAGTCACTTGCTCCATTCTTTCCTACTTTTCCTACTCCCCAAAGGAAGCCACTTTCTAGTCTTTTGGTTATTTTTCCTGGTATTTACCTGCGTTTCTATATATCATCTTTATACTCCTATTTATTTATAATTTATATATGTATTTATTATATTCTTACTTTGAGAGATGATCATGCATCATTTTTATACCTCTTCACATACTTATTCTTTCTTCTTCCTTTCTCTTAATAGTTACCTGGACAATTTTCGGTTGAATTACTATTTAGCAGTTAGATTACTGTGACCATGCCAAAGAATAGTCACTGCTGAGCCAAGAATTATATCCCTGTTACTTTTGCTTTTCTGAACTGGGAGAATCACCTCTCTTCCTGATCTCTCATGGGGAAATGCCACAGGGCCCAGGACTTTGGCTGCTGCTTTCCTCTGTCTACACTCCCTCCATAGCCATCCTCATGGCTTAAATAGTAATCATGTGCTTATGACTCCTAAATTCATACTGCCAGCCTGGTCTTCACCTGAATTCCAGTCTCTCTCTTTCTTTCTTTTCTTTTTCTCTTTCTTTCTTTCTTTCTTTCTTTCTTTCTTTCTTTCTTTCTTTCTTTCTTTCTTTCTTTCTTTCTTTCCTTCTTTCTTTCCTTCTTTGAAATAGAGTTTCTCTCTTGTTTCCCAGGCTGGAGTGCAATGGCGAGGCCTTGGCTCACTGCAACCTCCGCCTCCCGGGTTGAAGCGATTCACCTGCCTCAGCCTCCCAAGTAGCCTGGATTACAGGCACCCGCCACCACGCCCGGCTAATTTTTGTATTTTTAGTAGAGAGGGTGTTTCACCATGTTGGCCAGGCTGGTCTCAAACTCATGACCTCAGGTGATCTGCCCGCCTTGGCTTCCCAAAGTGCTGGGGTTACAGGTGTGAGTCACTGCACCAGGCCTGAATTCCGGTCTTGAGTTGTTTTGCCCAAAGCTGACTTGACATTTGCTCTTGGATGTCTAACAGGCACCACGTACTTAAATTGTCCAAAACAGACCCATTTCCCCTCCTGGTGAGCCACAACCTTCACCATCTCAGTAAATGGCACTGCTATTTTTCCAGTTGGTTCATCCCCAAGCCTTGAAAAGATCCCTTTCTTGTTTTTCCTTTCGTACCCTATATCCAATCCACAGAAAATTCTGCTAACTCTATTATCAAAATATATCCAAAATCCAACCACTTCTCACCATCTCTACTAGTACCTTCCCAAAGCCAGAACAGCAGCATCATCCCTCACGGTTGTTACTGCAATAATCTCCTGATGGGTCTCCCTCCTGCCTTCCTGGCCCCCTGCAGTTTTAGACATCAGTCATTTTCACATCACCCCTATAGCCAAATCTCCCCAGTGATTTCCTATGTCACTCAGATAAAAGGTGGTGTAAGATCTGGCTCTGCTATCTTTGACCTCATCTCCTTCCACTCTCGCCTTCCTCACTCTGTTCCAGCAGCACTGGCTTCCTCGACATACTTGGAACTTTCTAAGTTCATTCCAAGCTCAGGGCCTTTCCCCTTGCCATTCCTGCCTCCTGGAATGCTTTGCTCCCAAATAGCAGCATGACTTGCTCCCTTTCTTCTCAAAAGTCCTACTGGCTCAAATGTCACTTCATTGGAGTGGTTGTCCCTGATCAGCTTGTATAAATCAACACCCTACTATGACTCTCTCTATGCCTCTTATCCTGCTTTATTTCTCCCCATGATATCTATCACCCCCTGACACATTACTTATTTATTTATTGTCTGCTTTCTTCCTGTGGAAGGCAGGGATGTTGTCTGTTGTGTGTGCTATCATATCTCTAGTGTCTAGAATGTGCCTGGAATACAGTAAGCACTCAACAAATATTTGATGAGTAAATGAATTAATAGGAAGTGTCAATAAATGCATGTATTCAATCTACAAGTTGAATTTAGAAGCAGAGTTTCATATTCTGCATTAAATTCCATGTAGCTTCTCCTTATAAATGCATCCTTAGTCAGTAGGACTCCGTGTTTAAGTATCTTTCTCTCCACTAGAATGAAGCTTTTCAGAGGAATTCTCAGTGCCTGCCTCAGAGGCTACCCTCAATAAAATGTTTGCGGGACTGTGCCACCTTAGAGAGCTAAAGAATTAATGGACATAACTGCTCATTAGAGTCACATGTTGCCCATCCCTAAAATATGTTTAGGAGTGAATGTAATACATCAAAGAAAGATGATTCCAAAACCTCATTCATCCATTCATTCATCCATTCAACAGTTATTGATCACATATGTATTAAGTACCTTCTCTGTGAAGTTTCTAGTTCCTAAACACTTTCTATTCTTGTGTCTAAATTACCACTCAATTCTCCCCCTCCTAGTGATCTAAAGCATTGTTTCTGGTTCTGACCTCAGTGGAGCTGGGGAACAGCTGGATACCAGCATCTACCTAATCACCCTTCATCCCTTGGCAACTGTTAAGACATGCCAGGATGCTCTTTGCTGATGCCTCTCAAATTTAAAATGGGAACACTGGGTATTCAATATAGAGGCCTTGACATTTAAAATACCTGACCCTTCTTTCTCAGCCTGAGAGAAATGCCTGGTTGTTGACATTCAGGGTCCAGCACAGGCCAGCCATCCTTCCTTGGGGCTGGTGTTTGGTTTGGTGGGTTGAGTTCACAGACAATGAGCACATTTTCCTAAGTCATCAAAGCAGGAGGAACCCACATCCTTGGAAGTAATTTATGGTAGCATGATAAAAGAGGAGTAATATTTTATATGAAAATTGAATTCTTTTTTTTCTTTTTCTTTTTCTTTTTTTTTTTTTTTGAGATGGAGTCTCACTCTGTCACCCAGGCTGGAGTGCAGTGATGCAATCTCCACTCACTGCAAGCTCCACCTCCCAGGTTCAAGCAATTCTCGTGCCTCAGCCTCCCTACTAGCTGGGACTACAGGTGCCTCCCACGATACTTGGCTAATTTTTTTGTATTTTTAGTAGAGACGGGGTTTCGCCATGTTGCCCAGGCTGATCTCCAACTCCTGGCTTCAAGTGATCCACCCACCTTAGCCTCCCAAAGTGCTGGGATTACAGGCGTGAGCTACCGCACCAGCACTGGAACTTGAATTCTATTCAGCTGGTATAGAACTATCTTATTTTATTTTATTTATTTTTTCTTTTTTTTTTTTTTTGAGACGGAGTCTCACTCTGTTGCCCAGGCTGGAGCATGGCGACGTGATCTCGGCTCACTGAAACCTCCGCCTCCCGGGTTCAAGCAATTCTCCTCCCTTAGCCTCCCGAGTAGCTGGTATTACAGGCATGCGCCACCACGTCAGGCTAATTTTTTTGTATTTTTAGTAAAGATGGGGTTTCACCATGTTGGTCAGGCTGGTCTCGAATTCCTGACCTTAAATGATCCACCCGCCTCGGCCTCCCAAAGTGCTGGTATTACAGGCACAAGTCACCACTCCTGGACAAATGGAGCAATTTTAAAATGTGGGGAAAGAAATTAGGCCAAATTGGAAACAAAGCTCCCAAGTCATATAGGAGTGCTGTTTTGTTGTCAGGACTTTGCAATTTCTCTACAGAGTCCCTGGCTCCTTGCACATTCTTCCAGACTTCTTGCTTTGGTTGGAATGAAAAGGCGTCCTTGGAATGAGTTTCCTGAAACTCTTCTCACTGTGTTACGTAAACAAACCAGTTTTATAAGAAAAGTGCCATGGGAGCCTTTTCCAGGATAGGTCAGAGGTCAAGCAAGGAGGACAATTAACAATAATATTTTGCAACATTTATTCACTGTTTTTGTTAGCATCATTTTAAAAAGCTGAGCACTTGCAGGTTAAAGATATGTTTCCTTCAAGAAAACAAGAGGCAAAAGTTTGTTCTTTAGAAATTTTTTTTTAAAAACCCTCAGAGACTAACTCTTTTAACTCAAGGAGGAAATCTGAAAAAGCAAGTTCCCCTGTTGTACTTGAGTGTTCAGTTTGCACATACGGGTTTACATACACACACTCTCTCACACAATTTGATTTATACCCGGCTTTTTGTTTGTTTTTTTTCCTCTGGTTCAAAGGTATTGTGTAAAAGGAAGCTATAGCCATTGATTTGCCTGTGGGACATTAGTAGGGGAAATGGGCTCATCTGCCTGGAAGGGTGAGCGGGGATTTCAGGATATAGAACTGACTGGGACCTGATTCCTATCAGATACATTTGCCCGTGAAATGACCCATTCAGCTGTAATGAGGTAGAGTTATTGCCGGTGGCCAGATTGTTGGGAGATCTCCCTGGAGCCGCTCAGGGACCTGCGGGTGAGGTGGGTGAGGTGAGCATTGGATGGGTTCCCCACACAGCTCCTGGGTTAAACTGGAGTCTTTTGTTTTCCTCTGGGAAGTTGGCTCAAGCCTTCGGAACCTTGCATGTGGCCAGTTCCCCTGCCAAGTGACTCGTCCTTGGGAAGGAATGGGCTGTAAACACAGGGACAGCCCAGGTAGGACACATGGTTTGTAATTTTTAACTAACACTGTGTTTCTCCCGATATGCCCAGCCTTTCTTCAGAATCATTCTTTCCTTTTGACCTCTTTCTACTAGGAGTGACTGTCTTTTTCTCTCTTTAAAGTATTTTCAAAATCCTGTGTTCTTTATCCTAGCTTTCCAAGTTTTACACTGTTCCCCATTGTTTCAGGGAAGAACACTCTCAAACTGCGTTTTTCCTCTGCTCTCAAACCACAACAGAAGACTTCTGTGACCAAAGATGTGGGGGTTTTTCCCCACGCACCAAGCAACAGAGATGGCTTGGTGGCCTCCAATTCAGTTCCGACACTATCTACCCAGAGATAATGTCAGATCCCACAGGTTGAGCGCTCAGTCCCACAAGACCTGTTCCCCCAATCCCCAGTCTCAAGTCCAAGCCTCCAGCACTTCTGACTCAGTGGCTTCAGGTTGGGGTTCCCACAACCCCCTCTTCAGGTTTGATTAATTTGCTAGAGCGGCTCACAGAACTCAGGGAAACACTTACTTATGTTTACCAGTTTCGTAAGAAGAATATTTTATTTTATTTTATTTTTTTAAGAGATGGAGGTCTCACGATGTTGCCCAGGCTGGTCTTGAACTCCTGGCCTCAAGAGATCCCCTCCATCTCAGCCTCCCACAGTGCTGGGATTACAAGCATGAGCCACTGCACCCAGCCCTAGAAGGATATTTTTAAAAGTACAAATAAACAGGCAGACAAAGAGGTACATCGGGGAGGACTGGAAGGGTGCTAGGCACAGGAGCTCCTGTCCTCATGAATTTGGGGCGTTCCACCTTCCTGGGTGCATGAGTTCTGCTATGCCTTCCTGTCAGCCTCCATGTATTCAGCTCTCCAGAAGCTCCCCAAAGCCTGTCCTTTGGGCCTTTTATGGAGACTTCATCAGTTGTCTGTGATGGAAGCATGGACAAATGTGAGGAAATGAGATTGGGCAAAAAGAGTGTGATCTAAACCCAGCAAGACCTGTCTGTTCAGATTCTTCTTAGCCTCTCTGTGCAGAATTTCTTCCTCCAGATTACGGGGCAGGACCCTCTTTAGAATGAGGGTCATAGGACCCACAATTAGGTTAGAGTCCTGCCTTGGGCAGGTGAAAGGAGGATAGGAGAAGGTCAGAGAGAGGTATTTTGTTTCCTGAGCCCTGAAGTGCCCCCAACATTATAACAAAAGACTGTAACAATGGCTATGAGAGTTAGGAGCTAGCAACCATGGACAAAAAATGATATTTATTAATATAATCATAATATCCCATCCATCCTACCCACCAGTTCCAGATCAGAATGTTCCACCCGCCTTGTGCCCTCAATTTCTATTTGAATCACATTTCCTCTTAGCAAGAATGCAAGCAGGTTGGGGATCTTTTGGACTGAGCCCTCCAAAGACCATGAGCAGTCAGGTCACCCATTGATACCTAACTAGACAAGCACTGTTTTTGATGCAGATAAATAATAAAGAAAAGAAAAGCAGCACATCTTAGGGAGTTAAGCAACAGAAACAGGTGACTGCAAATTCCTTTCTTAACTCTACCATCAACTCCCTGTGTGACCTTGAGTTTTTAAGACTTATCAGGAATATAGAGAACCTCAGATAACTTCCTAGGGCTATTTTGAACAATACATATTAATTAATTGGTTAAATAATGCAGTGATTACAAATCATTTTGTATATGCAGAGCTTTCACTAAGTAATTCTGCATGACTTACTAAATGACTGAACTAAAAGCAATGGAGTGAAGTTCACATTGTTTTTTTCGCTATATAATGAAAGCTAACAAATATTAAATGTTTATTATATACCAGGTGCTTAGCTTAGATGATCTCGTTTAATTTTTCCCAACAGCCCTAAGTTGTCAATACTTTTGTTTTTCCCATTTTAGAGACGAGGACACTGAGGCACAAAGAAGTTAAATAACTTCCAAAAGTCTTGCAGCCAAAAGGAGCCAGAACGAGGATGTAGACTGTCATAGTTCATTTTTAAAGTTGATGCTTTTACTCATTCTGCCATAATGCTCACATACGTCTGTAAGTCTCTCAAACCATTGCAGGAAAGTTTTGACAATTCTTTCTTTAAAACATTCAGTCCCATGGATGAAATAATGAATAACTAGCACTTATTGAACAATTACTATGTACAACTGCACATATTAAACCATTTAATTTTGACATTAACCCTATGAAGTTGGCATCGATATTATTCCCACTTTAAAGATGAGGCACAGAGATGTTAAGAAACTTGTCCAAGTTCCCACAGCTAGCAAGTGGCAGAGGCCAGCTTTGAACCCTGGGCTGTCTGGGTTCTGAGTTCATGCTCTTTATCAAGAAATATGCCCAATAAATGACTGAAAGTGTAGGGCAGCATGTAGAATGCTGTTATGGACTCAAGGAGTAGACTTGGCCACTAAACTAACTGTGTGACCTTAGGCTTGAGTTTCTTCATCTGAAAAATAGATGTTCTCCCTGACCCTGCCAGCTTTATAATTCTGTAATTTAACATGTGTGAATTTCTTTATCTTTTCTTCTTTCTTTCTTTTTTTTTTTTTTTCTTCAAGGTCTGACTCTAATTGCCCAGGCTGGACTGCAGTGGCACAATTTTGGCTCACTGCAAACTCTGCCTCCCAGGGTCAAGTGATCCTCCCACCTCAGCCTCCTGAGTAGCTGGGATTAGGAGTGTGCATAACATATCCAGCTAATTTTTCTATTTTTTGTAGAGATGGGGTTTTGCCAAGTTGCCCAGGCTAGTCCTGAATTCCTGAACTCAAGCAATCCATCCTCCTTGGTCTCCCAAAGTGTTGGGATTACAGGCGTGAGCCACCACACCCAGACATGTCTGCATTTAGTAATAAGAGTCCAGAGACAACCATTGCAGTTTCAGAAACAAATGGGTAGAAAAGATCGGTTTTAGGAATTTGAAAAGAGGCAGGAAGGATACACAGGTTTGGAGTTTCATTCAGGAGCCCTGGGATGCCGGAATCCAGAAGTGCTAGGGAGACTTCAAGGAGATGAAGCTACTTGGCAAGAGAACAGCATCTTGATTCCAGCAGGAGAGACAGCTGATGTGGCTTATGGAGATATGAACAGAGGGGCCCCACAGGATTCATCTGGAGCAGAGGTGCCAATGGAGAGGAAGGGGGGAAGAAGTGCAGTGTAGTAGACAACTCTGGCATTGTGTTTTGTGAACTGGGTCCTGATATTGGGGAAAGAGTAGCCACAAATCCATTATTCTTAAAATTCAAGGTTTTATTTATTTTTATTTTATTTTACTTTATTTTGTTTTATTTTATTTTATTTTTGAGACAAAGTCTTGCTCTGTTTCCCAGGCTGGCATGCAGTGGTGCTAACCCTAATCCCACTCCAGGTTCAAGCAGTTCTCCTGCCTCAGCCTCCCGAGTAGCTGGGATTACAGGTGCACACCACGACGCCTGGCTAATTTTTGTATTTTTAGTAGAGACAGGTTTCACTATTTTGGCCAGACTGCTCTCGAACTCCTGACCTCAGGTGATCCACCAGCCTTGGCCTCCCAAAGTGCTGGGATTACAGGCATGAGCCACCAAGCCTGGCCTAAAATTCAAGTTTTATGGTCAAGGCAGCATATAAAGAGCACCCCTAAGGGCTTTGCGGTGGGAGAGACATGGTTTGTTCCCTCCTCCACCACTTTTTAGCCTGGGATCCTGAGAAAGTGCCTTAATATTCTCCTTGGTAAAATAAGGATCATACAGACACTGAAGAGGGACTCAGTAAATGCTATTTTCCATCCCAACGGGCCAGGACGGCTTCTACCCAACCCCACCGTAAACCTAAGAAAATCAAAACCCAACTAACTCCTAGCAGTCAGGAAAATCTTTGACCTTGAAGAGGAATGAAGATGTCATGTTTACTCCTGTTGCTCCTCTCAAGTTGCTGTAGATTTCTCAGAGAGCTTAGCCCTGATCTTGGAGAGGCAGGGATGGGAGTACAGTGATAGGCAGCAAAACAAGCAACCCAAAATTAAAAGAGATGAACTTGCTCCCTATGGTAAGTACGGGAGGGTTCTAACAACATCGGAACAGGGGTTTCCCTTCCTCAGTCCTGTTTCCTCACCGCCATCCCAGGTAGAGTCAGCTAGGCAGATGCTGGCCAATGGCTGACCCACTTCAAAGGGCTGTTCAGAGAATGATATTTGCTTATACAGCTTCTCAGGGTCCCCCAAATGGAAGAAACATCAGGCTTAACGTCACTCCAGGGCAAAAGTGGGGAGATGAGAGTGTCACATACATAGATGCACGAGGACAAGAGGGAGAGAGTGGAAAAAGCCGACCTACATTAGCTTCCTATGGTTGCTACAACAAATTACCACAGACAGTGGCTTGAGACAACATAAATTTATTATCTCACGGCTCTTGAGGTCAGAAAGCTAAAATGGGTTAGCAGGGCACCACTCCTTCTAGAGGCTCTAGCGGGTAACTCGTTTCTTTGCCTTTTCCAGCTATTAGAGGCTGCCTGTGTTCCTTGACTATGGTTTTAAATCATTCCTACCTCTACTTCCTCTTCACACCTCTGACTCTGACTCTTCTGTTTCTCTCTTGCAAGAAGCCTTGTGATTCCCTTGGGTCCATCTGGGTAATCCAAGATGTCTCCCTATCTCAAGATACTGAATTAAATCACATCTGCAAACTCGCTTTTGCCATGTGAAGTTAACATGTTCACAGATTCTGGGGATTAGGATGCAGACATCTTCAGGGTACCATTATTCAGGCTACCACACTACCTAAATTTTGGTATCCAAAAATTTGGTTCATCTCCCTATTAATTTGTGACCTCAAACAAGTCACTTCTCTCTAACCTTGCCATCTATATCAGTAGCAGTATTTTACTTGATTTCTTTACTTTGAGGGTTTATGGGGTAATCCATATAAAATGTCTACCACTGAGCCTTGCATGGTGTAAGTGCTAGTTCCCCTCTCCCTTCTCTACCACATGAGTTAACATTGTGGAGATGATGGTTGGGAAAGGGCACTGGGACTCTTGCCAGCTGTCGCAGGCTGAATTCCTGAGAAAATTGACTTTGCAATGGAGATATGCATGCAGAAAGTATATTAAGGCATGGTCTTAAGGTGGACACCTGTACGGGGTGTGAAAGAAGCAGGACTTGGCAGAGGGAGAAGCTGGGCTGCCATGAAAAGGCAACAGAGGCCCATGGGGAACTCAGAGTTGACTCAAATTAGGACAAGGGGCCAGGCTTTTACATCCCTCCATGAACTAGTCATTATATGTGAGTTGCCCAGAGAGGGCCATGACATTGGCCAAGCTGGCTCTCTCCCATGGAGACAATCCTGGGGGGGAGGGACTCATCCGTGACCTACACTTCCAGCAGCTGGGGGAATGCATGCCCCAGTCATGCAGCAAAGACCTGGAGAATGTCCCATAGCATCCACTACAGCAGCTAACCCTCTTGGCTCATTAAGTGAAGACCAGAGAGAAAACAGAAGGTAAGTGTCCTAGCAAGGCTATATACCTCAGAGGTTCAGGGGTTTTGCTCCCAAGCAGGTAAGCCTGAATTCAAATCCCTTCTTCCCATTGTATGATTTGGGACATGCCCTTTAACATCTTTGTGTCTCAGCTTCCTCATCTCTAATTTAGAGGATTTATCTCATAATTATTGTAAGGATTAAAAGGATAGTCAATGTCTCTGCAACCATGGACAGTTGGTCCCATACATGTTAGATTTTGTGGTTAATAGCATTCTCAGAACCCCTTGCCTACTTGTCCTTTTTGGCTCAAATCTAGATGTTTAAAATAGGGGCTGGAAAGAAAAAAGAAGACTCCTACAAGAACACTCATCATGATTTAAGACATGTTTCAGTAAAGACAGGGATCGGGGGTTGGAGGGTGGGAAGAGGGGGTGTTAATGAGAGGTGACAGCGTGCTGGCAGCCCTCGCAGCCCTCCCTCACTCTCGGCACCTCCTCTGCCTGGGCTCCCACTTTGGCGGCACTTGAGGAGCCCTTCAGCCCACTGCTGCACTGTGGGAGCTCCTTTCTGGGCTGGCCAAGGTTGGAGCCGGCTCCCTCAGCTTGCAGTGAGGCGTGGAGGGAGAGGCGAGAGCGGGAACCAGGGCTGCCGGCAGCACTTGCGGGCCAGCTGGAGTTCCGGGTGGGCGTGGGCTTGGCGGGCCCCGCACACGGAGCGACCGGCTGGCCCTGCTGGCTCCGGGTAATGAGGGGCTTAGCACCCGGGCCAGTGGCTGTGGAGGGTGTGCTGGGTCCCCCAGCAGTGCCGGCCCACCGGCGCTGCACTCGATTTCTCGCGGGGCCTTAGCTGCCTCCCCACGGGGCAGGGCTCCGGACCCGCAGCCTGCCATGCCCGAGCCTCCCTCCGCCCCTTGGGCTCCTGTGTGGCCCAAGCCTCCCCCACGAGCGCTGACCCCTGCTCCACGGCTCCCAGTCCCATTGACCACCCAAGGGCTGAGGAGTGCAGGTGCACAGCGCGGGACTGGCAGACAGCTCCACCTGCAGCCCCAGTGCGGGATCCACTGGGTGAAGCCAGGTGGGTTCCTGAGTCTGGTGGGGACGTGGAGAACTTTTGTGTCTAGCTCAGGGATTGTACACGCACCAATCAGCACCCTGTCAAAACGGACCAATCAGCTCTCTGTAAAATGGACCAATTGGCTCTCTGTAAAATGGACCAATCAGCAGGATGTGGGTGAGGCCAGATAAGAGAATAAAAGCAGGGTGCCTCAGGTAGAAGTGGCAATCTGCTCGGTCGTCTTCCACGCTGTGGATGCTTTGTTCTTTCACTCTTTGCAATAAATGTTGCTGCTGCTCACTCTTTGGGTCCACACTGCCTTTGTGAGCTGTAACACTCACCTCGAAGGTCTGCAGTTTCACTTCTGAAGCTAGTGAGACCACGAACCCACCAGGAGGAACGAACAACTCCAGACGCACCGCCTTAAGAGCTGTAACACTCACCGCGAAGGTCTGCAGCTTCACTCCTGAGCCAGCAAGACCACAAACCCACCAGAAGGAAGAAACTCCGAACACATCCGAACATCAGAAGGAACAAACTCCAGTCACGTGTCCTTTAAGAACTGTAACACTCACCGCCAGGGTCCACGGCTTCATTGTTGAAGTCAGTGAGACTAAGAACCCACCAATTCCGGACGCATTAAGAGCACACAATCTGGAGCCAAGCCGTCTAGTTGAGATTCCCAGATGTGCCACTAACTAGCTGGATGACCTTGCAGGTCATTGTGAGAACTAAATAAGAGAAAGCAAGTAAATCTCATAAGACACTGCCCGACACATACTAGGTGCCATATGTGTTATAATAGTATTCTTGAACTACAGTATAATCCACAAAGGCAACATTGAGGGAAGATTCCAACCTCAAAGATTCTCCAAGAAGTTTAAAACACTGTAGATACACAAAACGGATTCCTAAAGTTGGCTACAGACCCTCTGTTTCATCTGTTACCAGGTTAATCCTTCGCTAGCACCAATTCTTTGGATTATGTATTTAATCATTTACAGTTACAACAGAATGGTCAAAGAGGATGATGTTTTCTATAGTTTCAGGGGGCATTAAGTGGAGAAAAGAGGTTCAGGAAAAATGATTCTAGGGATCAGCTAAAAGAATATGTATTCCTTGAGAATCCTGCCTGCCCCCACCCCCATAAAGGTAAAATAGAGTAAAGGTAAAAAAAGGTAAAAGAGTGTGGTAAGGTAGGCTGAAGTCTCCATGCATTATATGATCTTTTCATAATTGTTTTTTCCTACATGAAAAATTAAAACTTGTAGGCTGGGTGCACTGGCTTAATGCCTGTAATCCCAGCACTTTGGGAGGCCAAGGCAGGTGGATCACCTGAGGTCAGGAGTTTGAGACCAGCCTGGCTAACATGGAGAAACCCCGTCTCTACTAAAAATACAAAAATTAGCTAGGTGTGGTGGCGCACGCCTGTAGTCCCAGCTACTTGGGAGGCTGAGGTGGGAGAATTGCTTGAACCCAGGAGGCAGAGGTTGAAGTGAGCTGAGATTGTGCCACTGCACTCCAGCCTGGGCAACAGAGCGAGACTCCACCTCAAAAAATAAAAAAAAAATAAAAATGAAAACTTGAGGAACTTCAAACACCCTTGCAATTCTGCCATTTGCCCCCATTTTCGCTGTCTCCAATTTCTTTTTCCTCAATCCATCCTTGCCTGGCATACCCATGCTGGATGGGGCTGCAGAAGATATGAATTATCAGAAAAAAAGCTGGACCTATACTACTGGAATTGAGAGACACAGAACATGGATTTAAGAGAACACTCTCCTCACAGATGGTCCAGGCTCCAAGCTGAGAGCACTTGCCCTAGCCTCTCTCCTCATCTTGCCCCTCGTTCTGCAACAGGTTGAAAAAAAAAATCAGATGTTTACTCTGATTTTACTTTTCACATGCTCTTGATTTTCAAGCCCAGCTTCTTTGGGATACTGCTCCACTAGGCCCAGGCTGGCTTTGTGGACGTGCTACTCCACAGAGTGAAAAAATACAAGTCACAGGAATCCCAAGTCACATAGCAAGTCAGTTTTTTGGGACTCATTTAAACTCCGTTCAAGATTAACTTTTCATTAGTTTTATTTGGTTAAATGTTGCTGTAAAGTTTCTTCTGCAACTATGGTATCAGATTATTTTTTATTTTTTTTTTTAGCAAGTAAGCAGTAAAGTGCATGCACTAAGTATTTTCATAAAAGGGGAAACTATGCTGTTTCTATCTTTTATAATCTAACTCCTTGTGATGCATGATTTGGGCATTAAGGGAGCTATTTAGCAGACAGGATCACACCCCTGACTTTCATCTTTGTGGACTTAAAATCAGTGAAAGTTCACAGAGATGTTTTTATTAGGCTGCGGTGAACAGTTCATTTCCTGCACTGACTTTTCATATCAGAAGACATAGTTAACTTTAAATCTTGTGATTTTTATTTCCTAGAAAAAGTCAAGAACAGCCTAACAAAGAGTCATGGGACTTGCGGAAAAAGCCCCTAAACAAACTACATCTGACATCTAGGCCCTTCTCACTATCTGCAATGTCACCATCCTAGGGCAGTCAGCCATACCTCTTCCTGAGGTCACTACTTACGATGGCCTCCTCATTGCTCTCTCTGTGTCAGTGAGCCTGATTCCTGTGTGCCTTCTGCACACAAAACAGCCAGGAGGATTTTTCAAAAAGTGTGAATTATATCAAGTCATTCCCCAACTAAAATTCTATAGGAACTTCCCTTGTGCTTAGGGTAAACCTGAAGTTCTTACTGTGGACATATGTCTGTATGTGGTATGGCTCCTGCTTGTCTCTCCAGGCTCAGTCCACTATCTTATAGCCCCACTGGATTTCAAGTTCTTGAGTAGCTCTTTCAGGCCTCAGGACCTTCACGCATGCTGCTCTATTTAGAAACTTTCTCTCCATCCCATCCCTTTCTTCCAAGTGACTTTGTCCTTATTCTTGAGACTTCAGCTTAAATAACATTTTCCCAGGGAGAACTTCCCTGACTATCCTATTTCAACTAGACTTCTCACTCTTGTCATTAGTCTATTTTAGACTTTTTCAGAGCATTTATCATGATTGTCATCATTTTTATTTTTCTTTTTTTCTGATTCCTGTGGTTGAATGTAGAGAGCCAAGATCATGATTTTGTCTTTTTCATTTGTATCCTTTTTGTGTAGGAAGCCATTTGGCACAAATTTAGGGACTCACCAAATAATTGTTGAATAAAGAAACACTTTATTCTGATAGAGAAAACGGCTGCCTTTTCCAAGAAGTAGCCTTCTTTTTATTTATTTATTTAATTTTTATTCTTGGTTTTTTTGTTGTTGTTGTTTTTGGAGATAAGGTCGTGCTCTGTTGCCCAGGCTGGAGTGTAATGGTGCAATCATAACTCATTGCAGCCTCAAACTCCTGGGCTCAAGCAATCCTCCTGCCTCAGCCTCCCAAGAAGCTAGGACTGCAGGTGCGTGCCACCATGCCCACCTATTTTTAAAAATTATTTTGTACAGACAGGGTCTTGCTGTGTTACCCTAGCTGGTCTTGAACTTCTCACCTCAAAAAATCCTCCTGCCTTGACCTCCCTAAGTGATGGGATTACGGGTATGAACCATCAAGCCTTGCCTGCCTTTAAAGCTTTAATTTTATTAAACTCTATATGACATTCTGAAGTGTCAAAATAGTCTAGTTATAACATTTTTTGAGATTTTTCCCATCCAATTCCTTATGTTTTGTGGTCTTGTCTATTGTGAATTCTATGAATATGAATGTAAGCTTCATTTTATTTGCCATATCTCCAGTATCTATAACAGTGCTTGGCATATAGTAGGTATTATATATGTACTGATGCTACACAAAAGCTATCCAGGATGAAATTTCTGAATTGATTTAGCACTAGGACCACAAACTCACAGAGCAGTGATTCTGAGAAAGTTTGCAAACTGGTAGCCTATCGGCTAGCAGTGTCCCAGAAAATTGTTATTATTTGACCTGGTTAATATTTTAACTTGTATTCAATCAGTTGCCAATATATTAGAATTGGGAGATTTCATATAAAAATCCTGATGTAACTTTTCTTAAAAAGCCACAAATCTGGCCATATGGGGCCCTCTTTGCCACTTGCCACAATGGGCTCAAGCTGCCCCTTTTGGGGGTGCATCTCCTCTCCATTTGCATTTTCTATTCATTTGTGTTGATGAAAGAATCATACCCCATTACAATCATCCTGAAAATAATAGTGGGGGATTTTAAAACTAGGTAAATATAGAATTCCAACAGAAAATTCATCAGAAATGAAGAACTAACTCAGGGAATATTTGTGCAAGACTGAGATGGCGTCAGGCCTGATCAGTTCTTCAGAGATTTGTTCAAAGCTCTCTGCAAGCGTTGCAGTAGGTAGTGGCTGGAATAGAAATTCTTTACCCTTGAGATCTTCTCTCTTGTTAAATTCTGGGCATGGAGTAAGAAGTTAAATCATTTTCTTCCTCTCAGGACCAAACTAACTTGGCTCATAGTTATTCAAGGATACCACACCCCTAACTTCCAAAGAAAGGAGGAAACAATATAAAGGCAATATTCAAATCTACTCCTGGGTCACATACTTTGAAAGTTGGCAAACAACTAGTGCCTTGACGAGTCAAAGTGCACATTCCATCAATTGAGGGTGAGTTAGCAGGAGCGCAGCATCGCCTTCATCACCATCACCATCATTATCATCATTTTGGAAATCTGAGTTTTAATATGGACCTTTGGAAACAAGTTGCTATAAAGGGGGTGAAGTTAACATTTGATCAGAAAATACTTTGGCCATGTGGACAATAGGGTCAAAATAAGAAATGATCTATGAGAACTGGCGATGAGTTATTGGCTCAAGTAAATTTAGACTGACATCAAAATGATAATTAAGTTTATGATAATTTTGCTTTTAGAATTTGATTTTTTGCTTCCATTTACTGGTTTTGGTCATTACGGAAAAAAAAATAGGCCTGATGAGGGTAAAAACATCCAGTATTGCTGAATTTGATTTGGTCTAGCAATTAGATGCATTTTTATAAGTGCTACTAATTGTCCCTTAAAATAAACTGGAATGTCACAGTCTAAAATTACTCATCTATTTTGAAATCTAATTTATTGCTTCCACTTAAATGTTTACAGATTATAGTAAAAAATAAGAACTATCAAAATTATAAAATGTTTAAGTATAACTTTGAGGAATTTATCATTCATGATTTAATTAAGCAGTTTTTTGCAGCTGTACATATTCATTCCTGGGTAAAAATATCTTGCTCCAGCAGTACTATTGAAAATCAGAATTTTTTCTACAAGAAGATTTGCTCTTTTTTTTTTCCTTAAAAATGTAAGAAAACAAGAATTTAGGAAATTAGAAAAGAATTATTTTTAAATGTGGAAAAAATTAACATGTAGTCACTCACTGGAATAGTAGCACTGCTCCATATAACGGACCGCTACCTTGGATTGTGATTAATCTGCAATTTCTGGTCCACCTGGGCCCTTAGGATAGAGCAGCTGAGCTTCAGAATCACTGATGGAGTTAATTAAAAGCATACATGTCCCTGGAGCTTCTAATTCCTTCATTCTAGGCTGAAACCTGAAAATCTGTATTTTTGTCAGGTGTATCTGAGGGTCACCCATATTAGGCAAGTACTAGGCTAGTTCCAGAGGATTTAGAGACACTAGAGGGACCTGAAATGGATTTGTCATCTTGTTCTTCAAACTCACGTGAGCCTGAAACCCATGATCTGAACCAGACAAGAGCCCCCCAGTCTGATTTGGTCCTTATATTCCATTAATCTCAGATTCAAATGCTTAATCTGAGTTGAATGATTTCAGGGGATTGGCAATCAGAAGACTTGGTTCTAGGCATCTTTTTGCTTCTAACTGGCGATATGAAGTCAATCTTTTTTTGGCATTACCATCTTGTAACTGTTACAGTTTTGTTGCCCAACGCGCAGTGGTTCAACATACCAAGGAACCAGGGGTTGCAGCAGAGAAAGAGTTTAATCATCTCATAGGGCAGCAAAATGAGGAGATGGGAGGAAACCTCAAATCCACCTCCCTGAGAGACTGGGGTATGAAGTTTTTAAGGGATCTGGATGTGTAATGGGCTAAAGTGTGAGGATTGCTGATTGGTCACAAAGTAAGAGGTGAAACTGTGGAACAGAGAGATAAAGAATCTGCATTCTTATGCTGAGTCCCTTGGCAGGGTCTTCAGATAGGTTGGCGTTTGCTGGAATTCATAATCTGAAAAGTAATTTTGGGGAAAAAGGTCCAGTCCGAGATTCCATCTATAGGAGCAATGAAGGACCAGGTGGTCAGCGAGCTACCTGACTGTTGATTAGTTAGCAGCTGCAAGAAAGTGGGTCGAAGTGCACCAGCACAGCCTCATCAATGCCTGACTAAATCTGCCTAAAGCCTGGATTGTAATTCTCATTAACCCTGCGAGGGCAGTTTCAATCTGTAAAATAAAGAAGGTGGGATAAATGGTCCCTATGAAAAGGATTACAAAGCAGTGGTCCCAGGGCATATCCAACCTGCAGACTAATTCTACTTGGGCCTACATGGTCTTTGAAAATGAATTTCAGTTATGTTCCAAATAGGGATATCCAACCCTCTAAAAATCTGGATTTTCAGATTCTCTTGGAAAATTGAAAATTCTGGGCAATACTGGGTCTCCTGTTCCTATCTTGTAACTCTGCTGGGTAGAGTAGTGTTTGTTCCTTTGAAATAGGCCATGTGTTCTTATATTCCAACAGTAGCTTCCGCTCCTCCCCAGCAGCCTGCTCATCCTTTTATGTTTCCTGCTCAGCGCCTGGAGCTGCTGGAGCTGTTGACTCGCCCCTAGGTCATTTTCAGGGTTAAGGTTTCTGGATTCTCCAGTTTACATCTAAGAGCTGGGTCCTTTAACCAGGCCTGGCCTGATTGGCACCCTCCTTAATTTTTGAGTCTGAAAAGCAATTTTTGCTGTTTCTTTTTCAGGATACAGTGAGTCTTTAAAGAAGAGGTGGCCCTGCGTGCTTGCTCACACCTGTAATCCCAGCACTCTGGGAGGCCCGGGTGGGCGGATCATGAGGTCAAGAGATTGAGACCATCCTGGCCTACATGGTGGAGCCCTGTCTCTACTGAAAATACAAAAATTAGCTGGGTGTGGTGCGACGCGCCTGTAGTCCCAGCTACTCAGGAGGCTGAGGCAGGAGAATTGCTTGAACCCTGGAGGCGGAGGTTGCAGTGAGCCGAGATCGTGCCACGGCACTCCAGCCTGGTGACAGAGCGAGACTCCGTCTCAAAAAAAAAAAAGGTGGGGGTGGTGGGCAAGAGAGTAGAAGACTGAAGGAATGTGGTTGCTGCTTTTTCAGAAATGATCCAAAGAAACTAGAAAACTTCTATGTTTACAAATTCCTAAGTACAATATACCCAAGTGGATCTTATTTAGGCCAAATGTTTGTACCATGGGTTATGTGAAGTTCTAGCAAGAGCAAAGAGATTACTTAATTGCCAGGATTTTAATGACAATTGTACGGCACTGAGTCTAAAATCTTTGTACCAATATAATAATTGCTGGATGACTAGAATTACTGAAAGGAAGTGGCTTTTCTAGGAAAACAAACAGTGGGAAATTTTTTTTAGCTTTTTCAGAAGCATCTTAAGCCTAAAGGTGGGGAAGTTAGGGTTGAGAGATACGTGTTTGAGATGCTGTGGAACTGATATAGACCTGCTTGTGAATTAATCAGATCTGACAGTTATCAAAGGGACTGACTTATCAGGATGTGCCCTTCACACCACTTCCACTTAAACTCAAAATATGCCAAATGCAGAGTGGGTAGAGCAGATATTCTTAGCTTCCCTAAGGCAAAGTGGTCTCAAAAGTACACTTCCTGTGATCTCTTACCTCAATTCAAATCAAGCATCCCTGGTCCCCAGTAATGGGCATGATTCTACATTACAAAAGATGGACACAATTTGAGCCCAGAGCTAGTGTATGTTACAGATATCTATGCATGTGACAATTTTTTTTTTTTTTTTTTTTTTTTTTTTTTTTTTTTTGAGACAGAGTCTCACTCTGTGGCCCAGGCTGGAGTGCAGTGGTGCGATCTTGGCTCACTGCAAGCTCCACCTCCCGGTTTCAAAGCATTCTCCTGCCTCAGCCTAGTGAGTAGCTGGGATTACAGGCGCCTGTCACCACGCCCGGCTAATTTTTTGTATTTTTTTTAGTAGAGATGGGGTTTCACCGTGTTGGCCAGGATGGTCTCAATATCCTGATCTCGTGATCCGCCTGCCTTGGCCTCCCACAGTGCTGGGATTACAGGTGTGAGCCACCATGCCCGGCCAACTGTTGAATGTTTTAAAGGAGCCCATTTTTGAGAAATAAACAATGTGCTATGTAAATGAGAGAAGGATATCATTTAGATCGGGCCTGGAAGGATGAGTTGAGTTGGATGGTGAAATGACAAGGAGCATTTAGGCAAAGAATCTGTCAATAGCAACATGTGTTTTGGGGACCCCGAGTGATCTGCTGTGACTGGAGTTGAAGCTTCTTGGATGATGAGAGAAATAAAAAGGAATGAGAATTGGCAAGAAACAAGGCTAGAAAGCTAAGTTATAGCCAAATTGAGTACAGTCTTGAATGCCATGCTATGGCATTGGAACATTATTTTTAGGTAATAGTGGGTGTCATTGAATGTTTTTGAGACAGGCGTCAGAAATACCTTTTTTTTTTTTTTTTTTGAGGAGGGGTTTCAGTCTGTTGCCCAGGCTGGAGTGCAGTGTTGCGATCATGGCAAACTGCAGTCTTAACCTTCCAGGCTGAAGTGTTGCTCCCACCTTAGCCTTCTGAGTAGCTGGGACCACAGGTGTGTGCCACCACACCTGGCTAATTTTTAAATTTTCTTCTGTAGAGACAAAGCCTCGCTATGTTCCCCGGGCTGGTCTTGAATTCCTGGGCTCAAGCAATCTTCTCACCTTGTCCCCACAAATTGCTGGGATTACAGGTGTGAGTCACCGTGCCCAGGCAGAAATATCATATTTTTGTTTTAGAAAAATAACTCTCCCTGCAGTGTGCAGCATGGATTGGAGAGGCGGGAATGATGGAGGATGGGTGGGGCGCGGAAGAAGCAAAGTTCTATTGAGTTTTCTAACTTGGGTTTGTCATTATCTTCTGCCTTAAATCTAAAAAAATTAAAAAAGAAAACAAAAAACTATCCATTCATATTTCGTTCATTAACATTTGTTAACTGTTAATTTAAGGTTAGATTTGAATAACAGTCCTTCCAGTAAATTGAATTATTCTGTTAAAATAAATAATATGTATTATTTTATTCTAATATACTCTTTCATTAAAAGCATACATAAAAAACAATCACAGCTTAATTATTTAAGGATTCCTCTCACCTCCTTTATGAATTTCCCCTTTATGTCTTTCACTGTAGTCTAAGCAATTTTTTGGTACTTTATGAGCAATACAAGGAAGTTTGGCCACTGAATCAGTAATGGGAGTTTGAGGTTCAGACTGGGGAACTGAATGGTTCTGGATATCCCTGCTTTCATTTGCTGTCAAAGCTGAAAGTGTTCTAAGACATATAGAATGGAAATTATTAAGTCAAATGTAATAAACCAATAAGCAAGAAATCTTATTATGACAAGAAGTAACAATGAAAAAGATGCATAACCCATTGAGAAGGGGACGAAACATACGTATTACTATTTCTAGCATGTTTTACATTGGTCCATTATATATGGGACCTGTTTCAGCCTCGTAGAAAATGGATGATTTTCAGCAAAATCTACCAATGGCAGGCCTTTGGGGACACTGGAGGGAAAGGGAGCCCTTATGTATAAAATGCAATTATAGCCATGCAAAATGGCTTATTGCTGGGTCTGGCATTATTGTACTGCTCTGGTAGAGACATACTTAAAGGTTCTATTCCTATAAACTGTGGGAAATGATGGCTGGTAAAGAACATAAGGCTGTTTCATGAATTTCACATAACTTCAGATACATTCTGCCCACCAATATGCATGGGAAGAAGAATCCCATGGAATGAGAAAAGACTGAATTTGATATTTTATTACTTTGCTAATACTTTTTATTATTTTGGAGAATTATAAACTTTATACGTGCCTTTATTAAGTAGGACTGTTACTAATTATAGATTAATATTATCTTACTAAAAATAATACAATTTCAGAATGTTTTGGTTGGAAAGATGGCAAAGAGCAATTAATACACTCATAGAAATCACACTTTGAGCTAAGAGAACAGATGGAGTTGAAGACACCTGCCTCCAAGTTCCTATACGGTGACAGTGATGGACTCTAGGAATTTATGGCAGCAATTCTCTGTCATGTAATCATAAAAGCCACAGTGTAACACAAGATTATTTGCTGCTTTCCTGCCAATACACGGCGGTCAAGGTTAAGACCTCCAGAGTCAGACAGGATTGTTCTGGAAAGCTGCTGTGCTGCTTACTAACTGTGTGGTCTGAAGCAACAGACCTACCTAGCCTCTCCGTAATTCACTTTTCTCATCTGTAAAATGGAAATGACACTATTCTAGGGTCGTTTTGGGTTTTAAATGAGATAATTTATTGAAAGCAGGATTTATCAACCTCAGCACTATTGCGATGTGGGCTGGATAATCCTTTGTTGTGGGAGGTTGTCCTGTGCATTGCAAGATGTTTAGCAGCACCCTGGCCTCCATCCACTAAATGCCAGTTTCACCTCCCCACTCTCCTCCTCCCCTAGTTGTGGCAACTGAAAATGTCTCCAGGCACTGCCAAATGTCCTCTGGTGTGCAAAACCACTCCTCCACTGTAACCAGTGATTTTAGGAATCTACCTGGCACACAGTAAACACAAAAAATTAGCTCTCACTATTATTATTATTTTGTATTCCTATTAAGGAGCAGTAATTTTGTATTTACAAAATCTTTGTTTCTTTTCTTGGCCTTCATGAAAATGTGTAGAAAACTGGTAAAATGCAAGGCATAGGGAAAAGATGAGCCACAAACTGTAGAACCAGCTTCTGAACAGTTTTGTTAAATGTAGTGATTATCTTTTTCTCTCGTTCTCTAAGGAGGAGAAGGTGACCCCATACCTAACCCTTGGATACTTTCTGATGTGTTCCAAATTTTACCATGCCCTGCACATGCCTGAGTCAAGGGAATGTTGTCACCATACCAAGCCTGCTGTATGAGGAAAAGAGAAAAAGATAACATGGTTAAATCACTTGCATGCTATTAATACAAGTTGCGCTCTGGTGAGCCAAACCATCCCCGAATGTAATTTCCGTGTATTTCTTCACCTCTCACCTTCTACCATTGCTATTACTTAACCCACTGACCCAGATAGCTGCTTATTAACATTTAATACATGTTGAAGTGTTAGTGGGCTTTGAACAAAACATGAAGAAGTTTCTGATTTGCTTTTAGCTCATTGCCCTTGAACCATTACATGAGTAATTCTTTAAAGTCCTGCTCTGTCATTGCTATAACCGTGGTATGCATATTTTCTTTAAGATAAAAATGAACAATTTATGAAAAAGAATTTCCTCCCTCCTCCATGCATGCAAGCTTTCATTCATTTAATGAATGTTGATGAGTTCCTATTATGCTAGACATTCTAGGCTGGAGAGGTCACAATGAACAGACATGGTGTTTATTTTCCAGTTGCTTGTAGTGGGGGAGGTGGGAGGCTGGGAGACAGGAGCACGTAAGAGGGAGATCACAACACAGTGTGAGAAGTACAAAGACATAGAAGGTGTGTGTCTGTAGGCACACAAGGGACAAGTGAAATCCATCCAAGGGCCCCTAACCAGTCTTAGGGGTTAGAAATGTTTTCCCCATTTAAAAACAAATGAAAATAGAAGTATCCTCATTCTCCTCCTAAATAAATAAATAGTCACACTGAGAAAAATACGGGATTCAATCAGGTGGGAACCTGAAAGTCTGTGACATCTGAAGTGTGTAGTCCTCATATATGCAAAATGCAAGGGCATTTCAGAATAGGGATGTTTAATTTGACATAAATATTTATTAATTCCTAAGTTCATTCCAGAAAATATTTGCCATAGCTAAATTGGGCAAATAGCAACTTATTTTTTTATTTCTTAAAATGTAAAAGTAATACATGAACATGTTTGAATAAAAGTTCAAACATTACAGAAACAAACAGAGGAAGAAGTGAACTCCTCTACCTAGCCCCCTCCCCCTCATTCCTTAATTTTACCCTCCTAGCCAAAGATGAGCAATTAACAGTTTGGTTCATGTCTTTTCAGAGATATATTTATATAAAGTCACATTATCAGCATCTTGGTATGATTTAACCTAATATTTAACCTAATTCAAATTATCCTACACATGTTATTCTGTGACTTTCTCTTTTCTTTCTTTTTGAGACGGAGTTTTGTTTTTGTCGCCCAGGCTGGAGTGCAATGGCGCAATCTCGGCTTACTGCAACCTCCACCTCCCAGGTTCAAGCAATTCTCCTGCCTCTGCCTCCCAAGTAGCTGGGATTACAGGTGTGTGCCACCACGCCTGGCTAATTTTTGTATTTTTAGTAGAGATGGGGTTTCACCATGTTGGTCAGGCCGGTGTCAAACTCCTGACCTCAGGTGATCCGCCGGCCTCAGCCTCCCAAAGTGCTGGGATTACAGGTGTGAGCCACCTCACCTGGCCGACTTTCTCTTTTTCTTTAACAACACATCTTTAAACTTTGTGTGAACAAACAGAGATTAATCTTATTTCTTTGGCGCATGACATCTCTAAAAGCATTATTAAAAAATACTCTTGAGAAGATAGATTAATGCTACAGCAGAGATGCCAATGATGGAAGAGTTGCTGGAAAAATTACTAATAATAAGGGACAATTTGAAAAATAATTCCTGGTCACCTGAGGTCAGCCCAGAGGCCCAGTTCTTTCCAAAAGGCTCAGTGTACATGGTTAAGAAGCTTTTCAGTATGCAAACAAAAGAATGCCCCTGTCCCCTTCTCCCTGCTGGGCTGGCTTTTGCTGGCTGGTGTAATTTACCTTCCAGCCACCCAGCGCTCTCCAACTGCACTGTGCCAGGCTCCAAGCTGTCTGGAAGAGAGGCTGGCTGGCTCCAAGACCCAGAGGCCACAGTCTGAGACTCAGATGAAGTTTTTGTGGTTAACAACAAATGTTAACTTATTTTCTGATGACTGCTGGAGTCTTGGGATACTACCTGATCCTCCTAGATTGTTGTCTAGTATAATTTTTCATACTTTGCTTTTTTTCATAATAATGCCCTAAGAGGGCAATTTGAGTAGAAGCAACGTTGGATTTATGGTTTAAACATTGCGTTTAAACGTCCACTCTCTCCACTGTTTATTAAAATGGATAGACTGGCTAAATCGCATATCCTCACTGAGCCACAATTAGTTTTAATAGCTATACAACTGGAATAGTAAAAAAATGTATATCTGTCATTTATTGGGTGCTTCCTATATGCCAGGCACTGCTTTTAGCACTTTACATATATTAACTCATGTAATAGTCATCATAGCCCTAGGAGGTGGTTATGACCCTATTCTCACCCTATTTTACAGATGAAAAAATTGAGGTGCAGGAAGGTTAAATAACTTGCCCAAGGTCACACAGCTAGGGAGTGAAAGCAAAAGGTGCAGTGTTTGAAGAGGAATGAAGAGAGAAGTTGGAGTGGTTTCAGTAGCTCCACTTGGCCACCAGAGCTAGCCAGGACAAAGAGTTAGGGAACATTCTTTTTTCCTTTCACTTTTTTTTTCTTTTCTTTTCTTTTTGTTTTTTGAGACAGATTCTCACTCTGTTGCCCAGGCTGGAGTGCAATGGGTGAGCTCAGCTCACTGCAACCTCTGATTCCCATGTTCAAGCCATTTTCCTGCCTCAGCCTCAAGCCATTTTCATGCCTCAGCCTCCTGAGTAGCTGGGACTACAGGAACATGCCACCATGCCTGGCTAATTTTTGTATCTTTAGTAGAGACGAGGTTTCACCATGTTGGCCATACTGTTCTTGAACTCCTGACCTCAGGTGATTCGCCTGCCTTGGCCTCCCAAAGTGCTGGGATTCCAGGAGTGAGCCACCGCACCCTGCCTTTTCCTTTAACTATTGCCCTCATATCAGATAATTAAAATTTTAGAGCTGGATGGAACCTCAGAGATAAGAGATCATCTGGGGCAAACCTCTCATTTTAAGAGGGACAACAGTAGGTCCAGAGCATTGAAGGGATTTGGACAAGGCTCAAACTTGCTGATAAGAGTGCAGGGCAAAGATTTTGCTGACTATGGTCCTGTCATTCCCTTGGTTTTCTCCATTTGGTTAAATACCGTCAACAATTTAAAACCACTGTTTATTGTGGAAAAAGTTAAACATCTACAAAAGTATAACGAACCTCTGCATCCTGCCTCCCAGGCTTCAGCAACCATTTGGCCAATCCTGCTTCATCTATCTTCCCACCCACGTCCTACTGCCCCTCACCCCCGCTCCACTGGAAAATTTTGAAGTGACTCTCAGGCATCATAGGATTTCATCATAAGTACTGAATATATCACTAAACTATAAAGACTCTGTTTTTAAGGTTAGTACAATGCTATTATCACACCTTAAAAATTATCTTGCTTAAAATCATCAAATATCCTGTCAGTGTTCAAATTATCCCATTTGCCACACATATTTATTTTTATAGTTGGTCTGCAGGAAGCAAGTTTTGAACTTTTATTCAGTATAAGACACTGTAGAGGACACAGAGATGGCTAAAAAAAAATCCCTTTGGTTCTAAACAGTAAAGTGTGAAGTTGAAAACCTACTATTAAAATGGAACAATAGTGCACTATAGTCCCGTGGTGCAGAGGGAGGCAGCAGTGTGGAGGTTTGCCTGGGTTCTTTCTATTCTATTCTATTCTATTCTATTCTATTCTATTCTATTCTATTCTATTCTATTCTATTCTATTCTATTTTTCTTTTTCTTTTTTTTTTTGAGACGAAGTCTCGCTTTGTTGCCCAGGCTGGAGTGCAGTGGTGTGATCTCTGCTCACTGCAACCTCCATCTCCCGGGTTCAAACAATTCTCCTGCCTCAGCCTCCCGAGTAGCTGGGATTACAGGCGCCTACCACAATACCCAGCTAATTTTTGTATTTTTAGTAGAGATGGAGTTTCACCATGTTGGCTAGGCTGGTCTTGAACTCCTGACCTCAAGTGATCCGCTGGCCTTGGCCTCCCAAAGTACTGGGATTACAGCTGTGAGCCACCACGCCCAGCCTGTTTTATTTTATTTTATTTTATTTTATTTTTGAGATAGAATCTTGCTATGCTGTCCAGGCTGATCTAGAACTCCTGGGCTCAAGTGATTCTCCTGCCTCAGCCTTCTGAGTAGCTGAGACTACAAGCATGGGCCCAGCTGGCTACCTGGGTTCCAAGCCTACCTCCACCACTTCCTAACCAGGTGATCTCAAGTAAGTCACTTGACCTTTCAGTGCCTTCCTTTCCTTATCTGTAAAATGGGGCTAATGATAGACCTACCTCAAAGCGTTGTTTGAAGGAGAAATGCGATAATACAAGCAAACACTTCCATCAGCACATGAACCATCAGGATTAATTAATAAACATTAGCTAGTATTATATCTTGATATGGTTATGGCCCATAAATAAGTCTTAAAGTCACTTGTGTAGTAAAAAGATGGGTATTCCAATCATTATGCCATGAATATACAATTATGTATTATTTAATGATAATGAGAATGATGATTATTTTGGCCAGAAATTTTTTTTTTAATATGCAAGTCAATACTATTGGTGTTTTTCTTTCTTTCCTTTCTCTCTCTCTTTTTCTGGAGAGAGTCTTGCTCTGTCGCCCAGGCTGGAGTGCAGTAGCGTGATCTCGGCTCACCGCAACCTCCACCTCCCGGGTTCAAGCGATTCTCCTGCTTCGGCCTCCCAAGTAGCTGAGACTACAGGCACGTGCCACCACACCCGGCTAATTTTTGTATTTTTAGTAGAGACGGGGTTTCACCATATTGGCCAGGCTGGTCTCGAACTCCTGACCTTATGATCCGCCTGCCTCTGCCTCCCAAAGTGCTGGAATTACAGGTGTGAGCCACTGTGCCCGGCCCCCTATTGGTGTTTTTCAACTGGCTTAAGCTCTCTCTCTCTCTCCCTGACACCCCACAATCTTCACACCTTCCTCTGAAGCTGAGGTCAAAAGCATTCAGTACTTGCAGCCACATTTCCAGGGCATTTCTGTCCTAAAGGGCCTTAGGGATAGAAGAGACCTGATTCCTAACTGAAAAGGGTGGCAGCAGAGAAGTTTCCACAACCCCTATCCTCAGGATAACCGTTCATCCTGGAGTGCCTAGTTGATGCCTTTTGTTCTTTTTCACTACTAGAAGTGTCCTAGTATGGATGATAAATTATATGATCACCCTACTTATACGCAACTCAAAATATCAGGTGTGTTTTAAAAAACACACCTTGTAGAGTCAACCTTTCCTCATTTATCTCTTTCCTCTTGCCTCGGGTCCCTGCCAAGTAAATATACCCATCTCCAGAGTCACTTTAACCACTGGAGGCCTGTGGTCTAGTAATGATCAGAGACTCCTGTCGTTCGGAATGGTTTATGCTACAGCACCTGTATAATAAAGGCCATGTTCATGTTGCTATTTTTCCATTGTGTTAATAGTTTCTGTCAATCAACAATGAGGGATAGATGGCTCATGCCTGTAATCCCAGCACTTTGGGAGGTTGAGGCAGGCGGATCATGAGGTCAGGAGTTCGAGACTAGCCTGTCCAACATGGTGAAACTCCATCTCTACTAAAAATATAGAAATTAGCTGGGTATTGTGGTGGGTGCCTGTAGTCCCAGCTACTCAGGAGGCTGAGGCAGGAGAATTGCTTGAACCCAGGAGGTGGAGGTTGCAGTGAGCTGAGATCATACCACTGCACTGTAGCCTGGGTGACGGAGCAAGACTCCATCTCAAAAAAAAAAAAAAAAAAAAAAAGAATGAGGGGCAGTCCCTAATCTGAGATCATTTAGTTGCAAATGTTAAGAATTGCATACAGATTATAAACAGTTCTGTCTCCCCAGTCCCCCACCAATCAGGAAACTTGATTTATCTTTACTCTTTCTTGTGTTAAACACATATTTACTCCTTGTATTTACTCAACCATTTAAGACTTTTATTCTTAAGAATAAAAAGAAGGGCCGGGCGAGGTGCTCATGCCTGTTATCCCAGCACTTTGGGAGGCTGAGTCGGGCGGATCACCTGAGGTTGGGAGTTCGAGACCAGCCTGACCGACATGCAGAAACCCTGTCTCTACTAAAAATACAAAAAATTAGCCGGGTGTGGTGGTACATGCCTGTAATCCTAGCTACTCGAGAGGCTGGAGACTGAGGCAGGAGAATCGCTTGAACCTGGGAGGTAGAGGTTGCAGTGAGCCAAGATTATGCCATTGCACTCCAGCCTGGGCAACAAGAGCCAAACTCCATCTCAAAATAAAATAAAATAAAATAAAATAAAATAAAAAGAAGAAGAAAACCAGGTTTTTCTCCTGCAGCAATGTAATGTAACTTCTTTATCAGATCAGAAGGAAAATAATAAAAGTAAAAAGAGTCATGATGTTCACTATGAGATTAACATAGATTTGGATTATACAAATTTATGACAATAATAATAATATATTGGATTTCCTGGGGCCAAAACAAATCCTGATGAAGTAAAAAACATAGGGAAAAGCCTCCAGATGCATAATTTGTCAGCAATTATGGTTTTGTAAACACAGTGCCTGTTGGGTGCCTGGCCTGCCTGGCTTTGTTTTGGGCAAGCCCTTTGTTTGAGACTCACAGTTGACTTACAGTACAATTTCCTCCAATAATTTATGATTTAGTAAAGAGGCTGTGACAAGGTTACAAATAATTGTTATATAAGCCAGAAAAAGATGTATGACTTAAAAGATGTCTGAACCATGTGCTAAGGAGATTTACGGAACTCTAAAGTTTAGAAATACTCCTAAATCTGGGAAGCAACACAGATTTAGATAAGATGCCCTATTACTTTATGTATGTATGTACACATGTATTTCTGTGCAGTGCCTTTGTTGTAGGAAGTTCTCAGGAATGATTGTTGATAATTATGAAAGAGTTACCTATTAGTATCATATTTTAAATACTCATATATACATTGGGACTCTAGGGTTTTTAAATTCACCCTACACACTTCCATTTCTCACTGGACTTGTTCCTTCTGGTTTCTAATGTTCATTCTTCCATCTTGGCTTTAGATTGTGTTTCCACTTCCCTTTTCAAATCACCCTCCCCCCTCACCTGGATCTTCCAGATCTGTTTCTTTTTTCTTTTTCTTTTTTTTCTCTTTTGAGACAGGGTGTCACTCTGTTGCCCCCAGCTCAAGCGATTCTCCCACCTCAGCCTCCTGAGTAGCTGAGAATATCAGCACGCGCCACCAAACTCAGCCAATTTTTGTATTTTTTGTAGAGACGGGATTTTGCCATGTTACCCAGGCTGGTCTCAACTTCCAGGCTCAAGCCATCCTCCCACCTCAGCCTCTCAAAGTGGTGGGGTTGTAGGAAAGAGCCACTGTGCCAGCCCAAGATCTGTTTTCTCTGGTGCTTTCAGCAGAGCCTACAAACACACAGGGCTCCCCAATCTTCCCTTAATCTCTTGCCTCTTCCCCCTCTTTCCTCATACCACCAAACCTGAAAACTTTCCAAGGAATAAATCCCTGGGCCTACCTCTTCACTTCTAATGTATTGTTCAACCCACTACATTCTGAATTCTGGCCCCACACACTGTGTATGTGTGTAGTGGGTGTGTAGGTGTGACAATATGTGTTTAAAGTTACCAAAGACTTGCAGGTTTAGGGACGTGAGATATTACAGTAATTAAGCACAGGGGCTATGTCAAGGGTTCCAATCCCGGCATAGGATTCAAATTTTGTGCCTTCCTTGTGCCTCAGTTTCCTCATTTGCAAAATGGGGAGAACAAGAGTATCTACCTGGTAGAGTTCTTGGAAACATTAAATGAGCTACTGTATATAAAGAATTTAGAACTTTGGTAGACGTTGTCAGTTCTTATTATGATTACAAACTCCCGCTGATGCTTTTCTGCCCTTATCTTATTTGACCTCCCTATGAGATATGATACAGTTGAACACTCCAGCTTTCCTGAAAATCTCCTTTTGCCACAGCCCTTTTTTGCCTTTCTGACCTCTGCTTATTGGGATCCTTTAAAGGGTATTTTTTTTTTTTTTTTGAGACAAAGTATTGCTTTGTCACCCACGCTGGAGTGCAGTGGCACGATCTTGGTTCACTGCAACCTCTGCCTCCCAGACTCCAGTGATTCTCCTGCCTCAGCCTCCCGAGTAGCTGGGACTACAGAGGCCTGCCACCACACCCAGCTAATTTTTGTATTTTTAGTAGAGACAGGTTTCTGCCATGTTGGCCAGGCTGGTCTCAAAGTCCTGATCTCAAATGATCTGCTGCCTTGGCCTCCCAAAATGCTGGGATTACAGGTGTGAGGCACCATGCCCGGCCCCTTTATGGGGTACTCTCTGCCTGTCCCTTACGGGTATTCCCCAAGGAGAGGACATCTTTCCTCTGTTTTCTTTGCAATGTACATTTTATCCAGAGTGACCTCATGCAAATCTGAGGCTGCAGTCCCCTCTCTGCAGCCTGGTCCTGTGCTGAGCCCCAGGCTTCCATATCTAGTGTTAAGAAGTCTGGCCTGGTGCAGTGGCTCATGTCTGTAATCCCAGCACTTTGGGAGGCTGAGGTGGGAGGATCGCTTTAGCTCAGGAGTTTGAGATCAGCCTGGGCAACACAGTGAGACCTCATCTCTTTAAAAAAATTAGCCGAGTGTGATGGCATGTATCTGTACTCCCAGCTACTCAGGAGGCTGAGGCAGGAGGATGGCTTGATCCCAGGAGTTCGAGGCTGCAGGGACCTATGAGGGCACCACTGCACTCCAGCCTGGACAACAGAAGGAGACCTTGTCTCCGAAAAAAATAATTAAAAAAAAAAAAAAAGTCGGCCGGACACAGTGGCTCATGCCTGTAATCCCAGCACTTCGGGAGGCTGAAGTCAGGAGACTGAGACCATCCTGGCTAACATGGTGAAACCCCATCTCTACTAAAAATACAAAAACAAAATTAGCCAGGCATGGTGGCGGGCGCCTGTAGTCCCAGCTACTCGGGAAGCTGAGGCAGAGGAATGGCGTGAACCCGGGAGGCGGAGCTTGCAGTGAGCTGAGATTGCACCACTGCACTCCAGCCTTGGCGACAGAGTGAGACTCCGTCTCAAAAAAAAAAAAAAAAAAAAGTCCACGAGCATCTCGAAACAAACAGGCTCAACTCCAAATCCTTCACTGTCCACTAACAAGTACCTCCATGTCTTGCTGGATGGGAGCACATGTAGCTCCACAATACTTTTGGTCACACAGGCCTATTGAATCTTAACTTCCTTATTCATCCCCTCTCACTATTCTCACCTCTGTGGACTTAATTCAGTTCCCTGTTTCTCCTGTGGATCACTGCATTAGGCTCCTTACCATTTTCTTCCTGCCTTAACTTTTGCCCCCTTTCAAGTCACCCTTCACTGAGTTTCTTCACTATCTTTCCAAAAATGTAAATCTTAGCACAACAGGCTGCAGCTTAAAGTCCTTTAGTGACTCCCCGTAGCTCAGAGGATGAGGTTCTCATTTCGGAGTATTTACAGTTCTTGTCTATCTCTGTGGCCTCGACTCTCCCCACTCTCCTCCAAGCCCCATTTCCTTGACTGGGCAGCACTCCTTGTTCTTCCTATTCCTTATGCTGTTTCCTGCCTCTAGCCCCGTGCGTTTGTACTTCCCACTGCTGGAACATTCTTCTCTCCTTTCCCTTTCCCCGCTCCTGATCCTTCAGAGTCTAATACCCACCTCTCTGGGAGGCCACATGAGCTCACTGGACAGGTGCTCCTCTGTGTGCAAACATCACTGTGCATGGCTCTGTTAGAGTACTTCATGCCATGTAATTTTTGCCCCTTTATTCATCTCTCCCCTCATTTGCTGGAAATCCTGTGAGGGCAGCATCTGTGTCTTGTCTAACTTGGTATCCCTGACACCTAATACACTACATCTGACACAGAGATGTTCAATTAATACTGAATGAAAGCTGGAACGAAGACCATACATTATCTCCTTTCAGACTCACAAACTGTGAAGTGGTTATTGTTAGTATAGAATCTAACCGGGGGATTGTATTAATCTATTCATTTCTTCAACTTTATGGACAAAAGACTTTCAGATGATTGCTGAAAACCAAGAAAAGCTATTAAAAAGCAAACTTGAAAAGGATTATACTCTTGTTGTAGTAATTCCACCCCTGGTTAGGAATGCATACTTAATAACTAATCAGAAGCAGGCAAGTTTTATTCACCAAGACATTAATCATCAAGTAATTTATGATAGTAAAAAAATTGGAAAAAAAAGAGAGAAATGATTAAACACCCAGAATTATGGTACATCCATAAAATTGAACATTATACTGCCATTAAACAGTGTGTTTCCAAAGGATTTTTAGTGATCTGTAATAATGCTCATGTTATTTGTGAAAAAGCTGGATAGAAAACTGAAAATATACCAAGATCTTAAATTATGTAAAGGGAAAAAAACCTCACACATAAATAGAGAAAAAAGAAAGGAACATATTAAAACAAACTCTTCAGTGATTGTATCTTGAGTGCCTTTTTTGTTTTTTATAATTTTTGGTATTTTCCAAATTTTCTACAATAAGCATCTTTTACAGTCAGAAATATAATAAAATATTTTCAAGTTCGAGATTTTAGCTGTGTTAGTTGTATTTGTGTGGCATTATTACTCTTTCTTCTGTTGATGGTGCATCAGTTTTTCTTTGGGGATGCACCCTTCCCCATCTCAGGCCTCTGGTGTGAAGTGGATCCCTGACCCCGGCTTCAGGGGTGGGCACATGACTCAGACATGGCCAATCAGCATACTCCATCCCTCTGGCTCCTTCCCAATGGGCACATGACTTAAGCCAGGTCAGTGAGACTCGGTTTCTCCCATAAACTTTTACAGGAGATGTTTATGGGGGCAGGAAAACTCTACTTCCGTTGGTACTAGTGAGCTGTAAGCCTAGAGCTGCCCTGAGTGTATACAAGGTTGGCAAAACAACACAGGAAAGTATTGAGGATAAAGGTGGAGGAAAGTGTACGTGCACTTGTGCACACATGCATCCACACACACTCGCCCTTCAAGTCCTGATAACTTTGAGTCCTTGGATCTAGGAAAGTCTGAAACACTATTGTCCCTGGACTTTCTGGTTATAAGAGCCAATACATTTAGGCTTCTTTGTTTGCTTGCTTAATTTAAGCTGCTTCTATAAGTTGCAATCGAGAGTCCTTGCTAAAAGAATTATGAAAACAATGAAATACATAAAGCACAATCCCTGAACATGCCCAGGACTATCACAAAATACAGTATAGAATTAATCCATACATCCTACCTGAGATATAAAACATTTCCATCATTGCCAATGTTCCATTGGACACTGCTGATCTATAATATAGTTCCTTATATATTACAGCATATATGTCCACTCATAGTGCCTTATATATATGCTTCCTTTCTTTATGTAACAGGCAGTGGGTATTATTAAAAACAGCTAACAACCCTAAAGGTACAAGTACTGGAGGCTCTCTGTTGTGGCCAGCATTAAAATTTTAATTCCTGGATCTAAGGAGATTTAGCGTGTCTCAAGGTTGGGCTGGGAGATATTTTAGGGTATGGTTTTTTTTGTAATCAGTACAGAAGGATTTCAATATTGTGTCAACCAATAAGGCCAAATTGGTGTGTACTGGCTGAACATAAGCTCTGTTAGCAGATATTATAGTTTCTTACTTGAGTACCTATTTTCCCTGCTGGACTGTGAATTCCCCTAGACAGAGACTTTGTCTTACTCATTTATGTGGGTCTTATGCCTACCTAGGTGCTCAAAAGATATTTGCTGAATGAAAAACAGGAATGACGGTCCAACATGGTATAACTCCCTATTCAGTTTTTTTTTTTCCTGATAGAAGTTCCGTGCCTAGAATTAAATTGCAATATGGTCTCTTTTCACCCACTCTTTTGAAGATGTTATCCTCTCCAATATCAGCTGATTGAAGAAGAAAATTGTAAATTTTCTCTCTCAGGCATAATGTTGATATTTTAACTCATAGTGATTTTTTCTCAATACAAAATGAATTTTAGAAATAAATCAAGATCCCAGAAACTTATGATTGCTTTGAGTGGTATCTTTTATCTGTCATCCTAAGAAAAACATGAGATCTGATGGCCCAGAGCACAGAGACCTTTGGTATTTCAGTTCTCCTACAGCCGCATGACTCGAACCTTTTGCTGGGAGATTGGGATGTAGGTCCCCATACTTGATTATAAGGACTGTGAGGGCAGGGGCCACATCTGCATATCTGTCTATTAATAATAGTACTCCTGGTACCTAGCTCCTCCTTGCTTCACAGCAGACACTAAACAAATGCTTGCTGAGTGAGTAAATACTTACATTTAAAGAGAGGCAATTATACACATTGATCATTTGATCACCCTCTAGCACTGATAATTTTTAAGTGATTAGCTTTAAAAATCATTTTTCTTACATCAACCTGGGTCCTCACACTATTAAACAACAGGAGAGCTTTCAATATTAAATGAAGTGGGGCAGCTGGGCAACTGTAAATTTTGGATGATACTTCAGAGAAGAGTCTAGGTGTATCTGTTCTATCCCTTTTTCTGATGGGCATCTGCCATTTATTTTTCCATTCTTAAGCTCTCAGGAGGGATGTCTTATTAGTTTATCAGAATGCATAGGGAAAGCTCATCTTTCTTGGAGTAGGTCTTCCAATAAGTGTTCAAGCCCTGGGTCTTCCCTCACTACAATAATAAACATACCTGCTCTACCCTCCTCACAAAGCTGTTATCGTGAGCATGAAAAGACGAGTCGCTGTGGGGAAGAACTATTAACCCCTATACAGATACTGTTGTTGCTTTCCGTTCAAGGATCCACCATGAGACTGTGGGTAAGGCACTTTCTGGGCAGTGAAATCGGGCTTAAGAGAATCATTGTACTTTTATTTTGCTCCTGGGACCGGCAAGGGCAGTTAAGAGCCCTAGCCCTAAAACTGTCGTCTGTTACAGAGGCAGAGAAATCATTACTGGGGTTGGCAGCGTTGGGGGGAGGGGGGAAAACGTGTATGAAAACCTGGGCTCCCAGAGCAAACTTCGCCACGCGCCCTCCATCGCCCCTGTCTCCACACAAGTCCCGGCAGGGGCTTCTTGGGCGGAGGCCACGCCGACCAATAGGAACCCACTGTGTTCCTACAGGTTACGAAGCAGGTGGAGAAATTGAGCAGAAACAATTAGCGAAACCGGGCTCAGCCTTTACCGCGGTGCCAGGAGCTCCTAACAGGCCTGGAGGGGAATGTCGGGGCTCAATTTCCTAACGCTCCCCTCCCCATCCCCATGCCACCTCCACGAGCAGCGGCGTCCAGCCTCCTCCCGCCCGAACGTGCTCGAGGGGCGGGCAGTCGACCTTTATTGTCTGGGGAGCACCTGGCAGGTGGCGGGCCCGTGCCCTAACGTGTGCGTGGTGCCCAGCTTCACAAAGCGAGCGGGCAGCACCTCCTTGGTCCGGGAACGGCCTCAGCCTGGCCGTCCACATCCCAGGGGTGGAAAGGTGGAGAGAGAAAGGGGCTCCGGAGTCAAGAGCGGGGAGAGAGGGCGCGCGCGCCCTCCTCCTCCCGGCGGGCACGGCCCCCCGGCATTAACACGTCGAAAGAGCAGGGGCCAGACGCCGCCGGGAAGAAGCGAGACCCGGGCGGGCGCGAGGGAGGGGAGGCGAGGAGGGGCGTGGCCGGCGCGCAGAGGGAGGGCGCTGGGAGGAGGGGCTGCTGCTCGCCGCTCGCGGCTCTGGGGGCTCGGCTTTGCCGCGCTCGCTGCACTTGGGCGAGAGCTGGAACGTGGACCAGAGCTCGGATCCCATCGCAGCTACCGCGATGAGAGGCGCTCGCGGCGCCTGGGATTTTCTCTGCGTTCTGCTCCTACTGCTTCGCGTCCAGACAGGTGGGACACCGCGGCTGGCACCCCGACCGTGCGACTACTCGGCGAAGCCTGTGCCTGGGAGGGTGGTACCCGCCAGGGTGCATCCGGAGAGAGGACTGCGGGCCCTCAGTGCCCGTGCGTTCCAGCCTCCGGGGAGACTCCAGGTGGCCCTCGGACTCTCCGGCGCCCTGCCTCGCTCACCTGCGCGAGGAGACCCCAGCTGCTGGTGGTGGGGGACGCGAATCCGGGGTTCTTCGGGAATGGGGACAGCAAGAGGGGGTTAGGCGTGAGCGAGGCTGCAGGCTCCGTGCGAGTTTGGGGTGGCTTTTGTGCCGACGTTGCGCGGGGGGCGGAGGCGGGGGGCTCAGGGGTTTGCACCGAGCGCCTTCTCTTGCCGTGCGAGGCGCGGCCGCAGCTTCCTTTTGTTAAAAGTTGCGTGTGTGTGACCGGCGCCCGGGAGGACCTGCCTGCAGGTTCTCCGCCGCGCTGAGGGCAAAGTTAGAGAGCCCTTTCTCTGCTCTGCGGCTACTGCCTTCCAACCGCAGGCGCTCTTTGTGCCCAGAGCTGGGGACCGACCCGCTGCCGCCTCTGCTCGCGGCGCCACCCGTGGAGACCAATCGAAGGCTGCGGCGTTTCCCCGCCTCCGGGTTAGGCTTTTGCGCTGGGAGTGCGCGGCGTGGGGCTGTTGTGGGGCCGGACTCCCGCGAGCCTGGAGGTGGTGGCGACAGGGACAACTTGGGCAGGGCGTGTGGAAAGCAGCCGCTAGGTTGCAGACTTTTTGCTTTCGTACATCCCGTGCTCGCCCCTTTCTGCCGCGGCGCCGTTTCATTCCTGCCGCGCGCCCCGGGGCGGCTGGAGGCTGTGTTTGCCGCCTGCTCCGGGAAGGCAAGGGACAGCGTGCTGGGACTCTGCGTTCCCTGACTCCAACCGCCTAGCACGCCGGCCAGAGTGCCCGGCCTGCCTGGCGGGTTCTGAAAGCCCCTAGTTCCCGGTGTCTGCGACCTGTATTCGCAGGTCCTGTTTTCTTCGGAAATTTTTGAGATTCGTGACCGCCCGCCTCCCCGCCCCCGGGACTTCTATACTTCAGGGCTGCCTGGGGGTGGGGTGGGAGATGGCGTGGAACTTTCTGCAAATCCTACTCAGTTCTTAAAGCTATAACAGAAATCCAGGTATATCCGCGCGGGAACTGGGTCTTAGGTGAAGGATTTGCAGGTTGCTGGAGCCCCTTGGTCAGATTCCTGCCTCCCGTTCCCTTTTTTCCAGGTGTCGCTGGTGCGGGCGAGTGCAGGTCGCCCAGCTCACCCCTGAAGCCCTGCTATCTCCCAGGTCATTTTTTAAAACAAACCTTTAAGGTTACCCTGATGATGTAAGGATAGAAAGTGAGTCTTAGCTGGAATCAAGCGCTTGAAAGGAAGCGGCGCAATGAACGGTTTTGAGACTGTCGACTACCGGTCAGTTTCTCTATAAAGTCTCCAGGCGCAGTCTGCAGCGTCCTGGACTTGTAACTATTGTGAGGGCTTTCCTGTGGGGGGCAGAGAGGCCTTGCATCTGGACCCCTGTGCAGCAGGAGGGGTCAGCAGGGGTCACGAGGGAGTGTTCGGATTCTCTGGAGGATTTGATCACCTAGCTTAAAACAACACATCTGGTCTTTATGTTTTTGTGCCTTGACCTTTTTAATATCAGTTAAGCTATGTGAACTAGAACCTAGTAGGAGACTAGAAAGACCACATCGAATATCTCCCTTTTAAAAAATTAAAAGAATCAATGGTTTTCTTCTCCCCAATAGATTTTTGGCAAAGGGAATTTTAAGGTCTGTCTCCTGGGGGGGCAGTGTGGTGTAACGACAAAGCCTTGCTCTGTCCCCTGGGTTCTCGGTTTCTCTGCCATTTCTTGGCTGCGTGCCCTTGGCCAGGTTGCTTAGGGCAGGTTGCTTAAATTCTGGGAAACGCAGTGTCCTCCAGAGTACAAGGAGGCATCTGCATCATGAAGGATCCTTTGGGTCCAGAATTCTCCTCCAATGTTCTGAGTGTAGACTCAGCACTCTTTTTAACTATTCCCCTGGCCCCTGTCTGCCTCTTTGAAATTCCTCTGCCTCTCCTGCTCACAGGGAAGTCATAGAGTATGGGTGCATCTGACCGGTCTGCCCCTGACTGAAGCAAGGAGCTGTGGCTTATGCTTACTGCCCTTCAATTCCCATATATTCCTCTGCATTGCCCTTTGAGGGCCCCCGCCCCCCAAGTATTACAGCTCCTGTGCCTAACAGGATGAACCTGCTAGGAATAGTGAATCATACCTTCCCCGTTTCGTTCCTGCAGGTGTGAGGCTGGAGTCATTCTCAGCAGCTGGACACAAGGCACTCTAAATTATTATCCTGCTGGAAATAAGAGACCCCAGATAATTCATTTATCCCTATTCTGTTTTTTCCCCCACTCATTCCCATTTTTTTTCTCATGACTCTGTAAATCATGTAATGCTATGCATTTATAGCATGCTTTCTAATGGGCCTTAAGTTTCGTATGACATGTGTGGTGTACATAGTTGTTGCTCTTCAGTTGGAAACTGTGTGCCAGGCCTTTTGCTTGGGGCTTTACCTATTTCTAGTAGTCTCAATGAGCCTAGGAAGTAGTACTATTATTACCCCTAACATTTTACAGCTGGAGAAACTGGCTAAGGATAAGCCCTAAATCATCAGTGGTGAAGCCTGATGAGATTGGCTGCATGTGCCCAGCTCTATAGCCATTCACATGATTCACCAGAATCTGTTGTAAGACTCATTCAAAAATATTTAATGAGTTTTTACTATGTGCCAGGGATTGTTGGAAGTTCTGGGAATACAGGATGGCCAATGTCACTACCTTCCCAATTTTGGTGAAAAATATTTAGAATTGCGTGTCTTATGAAAGCGGATTATTTGTGGAGGGAGGATTAATTAAATTTTAGCTTGGAGGAAGGGCTGTAGGCATTTGACCCTGTGGTATGTTGGCTTAGTTGTTAGCTATCTCATTCCAGTTAGCGTCCCTCAGAAATGAAGGTAAGCTGTTTCTAAAAGGATGATGCAAGCCAGTTAAAAATCCATCTCCCACTCCAAAACATAAAAATGGTCTTGTGCATAGGTGTGAAAGAGAACACCCCCAATAATGGCTGATGTCATTGGCTATTTACCCTGGATAGCATGGTGAGAAATAATGACAATCTACCATCCAAAGCCATTTTTTCTCCCAAAAGAAATTCTCATCAGAAATGTGCCAAGTATTCTGCGGGCTTCCCTTGGAGAACATTTATGTACAGATGTTGTGGTGGTGATGAATTTTGCTGCTGTTGTTGACAGCCCTTCGAAGTTACCCTTAGGGTTTTGACTCATTTCCTCAAGTCTCTTCCAGCTGATTAAAGAAGGACACGAGGAAATGAACCTCGGTGTCTCTAGCGGAATTCTCAGAGCTGGCCTGCAGTGTGGGGACCCCTTCAAGGTAGTGGTCAAGGCTGTGGCAGCTTTTTCTTCAGAATGAATGTAGTTTAAGAGTTGGCAGGCTAGGATGTGGGAAATGCTTTCTTTTGCTGCATTAATGTGCGGTAACTTTTAAAAGTTGAGATTGAATGACATTTGCAGGAATCCAAATATGCAAATTTCATGTGCAGTTTTGGTAACTTGAATAGATATTGCCACAGCTATAAGTCCGGATTGAAGAAGGCCTGGGGAAGAGTTAGAGGAGGTAAAAGTTTGCCTGGAGGGCAAATCCAGTGTAAATCTTTGTTGTACTTAGAGAGGAATTGAGTTGAGTCATAGAGAGGAATTGAGTTGAGTCGGCTTGGCCCAGCAGCTCTGATTTCTGACATTTTTTGGATGTGATCATACAGCTCATCTTTTGACCTAAGACTCTTAATAAGTAAAGAGCAGTTGTAATCTGATAGCCCGAGGAGACATGTTTTCTTTGGCCTACATGATGCTTTTTAGAAAACATTGAGGCGATATTAAACAATCTAGAGATTTTTTTTAAATCAAGATCTCTATTTCTGTCTCCTCTTTAAGAATTGAAGGTCATGGCCCCTGTAGATGAGGCCTGTGCTCTTCAGGTTGCATTAGGCTCTAGGGCTTTATCCTGCCATCCCTTAGGCATTCCCCACTGGGCCCTGGTGAGTGCAGGAATCCAAATATGCCCCTGGGACCAGGCAGATGACAAGTGGGAGGAGACAGGCCGGCCTACCTTGTGTTGGTCTGATGGCTTCATGACTGACAGCTTGATGGCCTTAGAGCAAATTGTTTAACCTTTTTGAGCTTTCATTGTCCATCCTAGTTTTGCCACTTATTAGCTCTGTGACTTTCGGCAGATTACTTAACCTCTCTGTGCCAGTAAATGTGTTGCTACATGTAAAACTTTTAGAGTGGTGCCTCATAGTACAGGCTCAATATGTGTTAGCCATAATTATCGTCTGTAAAACAGGAATTATTATTGTCCCTAAAATGGGAATAATGCCTACTCTTTTAAGATGATTGCCCTAAAGATTAGAAAGGCATTTTTTTTGTTTGTTTTAAAGACAGTATCTTGCCCTGTTGCCCAGGCTGGAGTGCAATGGCGCAATCTCGTCTCACTGCAACCTCCACCTCCTGGGTTCAAGCGATTCTCCTGCCTCAGCCTCCTGAGTAGCTGGGATTACAGGCACCCGCCACCATGCTCGGCTAATTTTTGTACTTTTAGTAGAGATGGGGTTTCACCATGTTGGCCTGGCTGGTCTCGAACCCCTGACCTCAGGTGATCTACCTGCCTCGGCCTCCCAAAGTGCTAGGATTACAGGCATGAGCCACCATGCCTGGCCGACAGTTTTAAAAATAAGCTTTAATTTTTTTGGTCTTGTTTTATTTAGCTTTTGATAAGAGTTAGGAAATCACTAGTCCTAGAGATTGAATAGATCTTGAACTTTTTTTTTCTCCAGGGGGGAAAAAAAAAAACTACACATCTTGTAAGATTCTCCAACATAACATTTGTGTCTGGTACTTTTCCCATTCATCTTATGTTTTAGCTTTCATGCTTACATTTTGGTTATGACACACTTTTGTTAGACATCTTCCCATGCATACCTTTCTGACAGGTTTTCAACATTTTTGCAAAATTTAAGGTTTAAGCCAAATTATTATTCAGGACATGTGGCATCAGTTAATTACGAGCTTGGGCTCTGAAATTGACACGCTGGATTTTTATTCCAGTTCTGCCTCTTCCCTGCTGTGTGCTCTGGGACAAGACACTTAACCTCTCCTTAAGCTTCATTTCCTCATCTGTAAAATGGAGATGATGACATAGGGCCCCTGCGAGGATTAAATGAGATTCTGCATGTAATATGCTTAGCATAGTGCCCCGCATAGAGGAAGTGTGTGGACTCCACTATCAGGCTGATTTTCTTATGTTCCCCTTTCAGCTTTGCCTCTTAGAAAAAAATTGAAAACGTGTAAACAGAATATGTAGAGTGGTTTTTTTTTTTCGTATTAAGATGAAGTTGTTAATTAGTGGTAATGCATGTTTATCTGCTTGGCTCTTTGTTTAGCCGTATTCTTGGGTTACTTTCCACCAAAAGAGATACAAATTTCTTGATAAAAGTTTAGGTTGGGGGAATGTCTGCAAATGGCCATTTTCTGTAGGTGAATAAGTACATGTAGTTCACCTAGGGTCCATGAAAGCAGTCAAGGAGCTTTTCCATGACTGCTTTCACTAGGAGTTCAAGGACCAAGCTGAACTTGTCCATTGCCCCAGGCTAGACACAGCGGTTAGTGTTCAGTAAGTATTAGTTTAACATCTTTTCTATTCTCCAGCACTTACACTAAGCTTTGAACATAAATGGTCAGTAAACATTTTGGATTCAGTTTAACAAAGGCTTATCAATCCCCATGCCTTGGTCCTACGTTACAGGCTGGGGGTGGAGGAGGGCCAGGGCAAGAGCACAGCCCCTGATTCGAAGTAGAATTTGGTTTTCTTAAGTGTAAAGTGCTCTGGGCAGGATTTTCAAGGAGATGAGCTTAAATCTTGATGGGCAGGTAATAGAGATCAGGAATCAGTAAGAGCATCCACATAGGAGATAATATTTGAGATTAATTTCTGAACCTTAAAGGAAGAGGGCAGTGTAGTTGTGGCTTCAGCTGAAAAAAACTACAGTACAAGGAACAAGGCATTAGGATCTTACTTCAGGATTATCAAACCTTTCTATTGGTATGATGGCTGGGGGTAGGGAATTGGCTGGGAAGGTAAGACTCCTCTTACTAGCCTCAAGGAGCATGGAGGGAATGTGTATTTAGTGCTGAGTTTGGTCTAGGTTATGAAGAATGCTTTGAAGTCAAGGCTAAGGTGGACTTGACCCAGGAGTGGCCCCCCAGGCTTTGCATACTAGTCCAGGGCTGCCTGTTCCACCATTCTGTCCAATTAGACATACTCCCCAGCCTGTTCCAATAGTCTGACGAAGCGAGAGGCCAAGCCCTGCCTTAAAACTTGGACACTCCCTTGCTGTGGGCAACCAAGACTAAGGGAGAGTCTGTTTTTATTATTTATTTATTTATTTATTTATTTATTTATTTATTTATTTATGAGACAGGGTCTTGCTCTGTTGCCAGGCTGGAGTGCAGTGGCACGATCATAGTTCACCGCAGCCTCCACCTCCTGAACTCAAGTGATCCTCTCATCTCAGCCTCCTGAGTAGCTGGGACCCCAGGCGTGTGCCACCACACCGGCTAATTTTTTTATTTCTATTTTTGTAGAGAATAGTCTCGAACTTATGAGCTCAAGCGATCCCCCAGCCTCAGCCTCCCAAAATGCTGGGGTTACAGATGTAAGCCACCACACCTGGCCTGTTTTTTTTTTTTTTAATAGTAAAACATACATAAAATGAAATTTACTACCTTAATCATCTTTAAATGTATATTTCAATAGTGTTAAGTACATTCATACTGTTGAACACTTTCATCTTGCAAAACTGAAATTCTATACCCATTGAAGAGCAGCTCCCCTCTCCTTCCCCCAGCTTCTGGCAACCACCATTCTACTTTCTGTCTCTGAATTTGACTATTCCAGGTAACTCGCAAATGCAGAACCATACTGAATTTGTCTGTTTTTTGACTGGTTTATTTCACATACCGTAACATCCTCAAGGTTCACCCCTATTGTAGTATAAGTCAGAATTTTCTTCCTTTTTAAGACTGAAAAATATTCCATTGTATGTATAGACCACATTCTGTTTACCTGTTCCTCCTTTGATGGACATTTGGGTTGCAAACAATGCTGTAATGAACATTTGCATGTAAGTATCTAAGGGAGATTTTTCGTGGAGACTATTTAGGAGGGTTAAACTCATGGCTGCGAGCTACATGTTGGGGAGCTGGGCAGAAGATGGGCTCTTTAGATTATCTCTGAGTGAAGGGGTAGTGGACCTGGGTATTAGGGTACATGCTTTGGAAAGAAAGCGCCCTTAAGAGACACGAGGAGGATAAAGGTGCAGGTCTTCTCTCATTCGGCGTATTTATGGGCACCTTCTGTGTGTCAGGCACTGATGAGATTGAGGGGAAGGAGAACTGGAATTATCATGGGTGTAGGTAACTGGGAGTATTGTTGATACTATGGAATTAGTGGAAATAAAGCCAAGAGGAGGGGTGGCCTATTTGAGGGAGAGAATATGATGTTGGACTCTGCTGGGTTTATTCATTGATTATTTGTGAGCTGCATTTTCTTGAAACTCAATTTCACAGACATGGAGGGAAGACGTCAATGAAATCTTAGGGTCAGGTCCCTGTAAGAAATAAAACTAAACCCCAAAGTCACAAAACATGGCTCTATAATATTACGGTAGCATTGGGGATTATAAAGAATGGTATGTTAACTGTGAACCAGTCTTATGGTGAAAAGTAAGTTTTCATGAAAAGGAGTGTATACTAGGAAGAGAATCCTGTATTCTTCTCTGCATTAGGCCATGTTTAAGGTATGTTTTTTGTTTTTCTCAGAATAAAATGGCCATACTGGGTATAGAGGAGGACATAGAATTGACGAAAGCTTTGGGAAATAGGTCCTTTGAAAGCAACTTAAAGAAATTGGATTTATTAAGCCTGGAGAAGATAAGGTGAGGGAAGGTTTAGTGAATGACAGTCTTCAAATATTTTTAGTGTGTGAGTGAAAAGTAGAACAAAATGAGAGTCATTTAAATTGCCCCAGAAGGAAATTGAAAATTTTTTTGTTTTTGTTTTTTGTTTTTTTTGTTTTGTTTTGTTTTGAGACAGAGTCTCACTCTGTCGCCAGGCTGGAGTGCAGTGGTGTGATCTCCGCTCACTGCAGCCTCCACCTCCCGGGTTCAAGTGATTCTCCTGCCTCAGCCTCCCGAGTAGCTGGGACTACAGGCGCACGCCACCATGCCCAGCTAATTTTTGTATTTTTAGTAGAGACGGGGTTTCACCATGTTGGCCAGGATGGTCTTGATCTCTTGACCTCGTGATCCACACACCTCGGCCTCCCAAAGTGCTGGGATTACAGGCGTGAGCCACTGCACCCGGCAATTTTTTTTTTTAAGGGAAAATTCTTTCATTAGAAGGGTTGGCAGAGACTTTATTCAGTTATAGGGCCTTTGCTGGAGCTGTGAAGAAAACCAAGTAATTGTCATTTTGAAATGGTTCTTAGGTCCTCCCCAACTCAGTTGGTTTGATGGCCCTTTAAGGGCCTGCCTGAAATCGTTTGGGAATAATTCAGAAATGGGAAAATAACCAACCGTTTTTCTTTCCTCACTGCCTTGGCTGTGGGGCAGAGTTTCTCATAAATGCTGAATAGACTCTAACATAATCCACTACTATAGTCACAATTTCGGCTATATTGATAACAGCAAGTAAAGAACCCACAGCCTAAAAATGGGTTATTGATCTGTTAGGTGTGGCGGGATCTAAACACAGAAGAAATTGTACGGTGTGGTAGCTTAAACTGAGTGTCAAAATAAGACAAAAGGAAGCTCAAGGTCTAGAGAAATCCATAATCTATCATTTAGCCCTACCCTAAGAATCGCTGTGCTATAACGCAGCATGTAGGCAGAAAGTCTGTAAGCATGAAGGACGGCTCCCAAAGTCCTTTTCTCTTGATTACTCAGGGGTGGATTGGTTACCCACCACTCTGACTACCCTTTCCATCTGTCCTTTCCCTCTGGTCATTTTGTGGTCATGGCTCAGTGGCACGTTTGAGATCAGCCCATGGTCCAGTGGGGAAGGTGGTAGAAATGACATTGCAATTCAGCAGCTACTGCTTGATAACATTTTATTAATACCTGTCACTTTGAAATTGATGAGTCTTAAGATGGGATCCTTGCCTTTAAGGATCCTAGGACCTATAGGAAGATGGTCCTGGGTAGGCGCCAATGTTACAGGATTTGTAATAAGATTTAAGTTAACAATTCCAGTCCTATTCATTACCATTGGTTTGGAGGACATAGGCATCACTTCTTGAATGGCCAATTGAAAGGAAGATAGGGGCCTGAATTAAATCTTAAAAGAGTGGGGTGGAATTTGGTCAAGATGTGAAGAGGAAAAGCAAAGGTTAGAGTTAGCCGGAAGGCTCTGCTCCCGCCGACAGAACGTCTGTAGAGAGTAGCGGAAGATGAGATGGGATAATTTTTAGGGCACCTGGATTTTTATTCTTCAATAATTGAAGTCTTTCCTGCAGTGCTATATGTGATGAGATTTTTGTAAATGTAATCTGGCTAAGTAGTTGCCTATTCAGAGAAATAACTTTTAAAAATGGAAAAGTATGGATATCACTTTTGCATGTATTACCTGTGTTGTATGTTCGATGCACATCCAGTATGGATATGTATTTTGAGTTGTTTTTAAGTCCAAGGCTAATTCTGCTCCCTTCTCCCTACCGACCTTCCCCACTCCTAGCCAAGATTAGAGATTTTGTGGGCTCAACTTCTGATTGTGGCAGTAGATGACCTTTCATTTGCTTATTAACATATTTTAAATATTTAGCAAAATAATACACCTTGTTTATGTCAGTTTATTCATTGAAGCAAAGATAGCAACAAACAAGCCTGCAAACCTTGATAAGGAGCCTGTGTGGTTTGGAACATCTTGAGATTCTTCCCTGGATCCCCCCGAGTCCTGTTTTAGAAACCTATTAGGGGCACACTGGTGGCTGCCCTCCCCAACCCAGGGAGTCTTCGGAGGGAGGAGGAGGTGGCTGTTTGTGGTGGGCAGAACTCTGTCACTTAAGGAAGAGGCGTGTCTGATAGCACTTGCCAGTAGTGAATGCCTCATTCTTGACCAAGTAGAAAAAAGATAAGAGGGAAAATGAAAAAGGTGAAACGGTTCTCCTTTACCTTGTATTTTAAATTGCTTAGTGAGGCAAAATATCCACCTTCATTTGGGTTTACCCCAGGTAACTCATTTCACAGGGTGTTAGAACATTTCAGAGGGTGTTAGAAAATTCCAAACAATGGCCGGGACTCCCAGTAATTTAAATATAATGGCCTATGCGGGTTCTTAAGCAGAGGAATTAGTTAACAGAGTTAGAACAAAGGAGAGCATTATCACAAAGAGCTCTGGAAGTTAATGTGTCTCTTTTTATTGGAAAAGAAGTATTTCTAGAACAGGATTCAATTGGCTTCTGGGGAAAATATTTACTGGAGATTTTAGAAGTGTGAAAGGTGGCAGGAGACGTTGGCTGTCTGTTATTCTACTTGGCTAGTGCACACTTAAAAATAAAACAAGACTATGTTAAAAAGATCTTGAGAATTCTACTTGGAAAGACTGAAGTAAAGATAGTACAGGTACTTTTCAAAGGATATAAATTTTGGCTTATAAAGTATTTTAAATGCAATTCCATCCCAACTTTCACAATGCAGACTTCCTTTTTAGTGGCTGATGTTGAAAGAAGGTACCTTAGAAAGATTTTCCATTTAAGAAATGGTTGATATTGATATTTATTTGGCTGATAAAACACCACAAGGACTGGTTTTTAGAATTTTTTGTCATTGTTAAATCAAGCCAGGATTCTTAACCTAAAATATGTTAGGATAGCTAATGAAAATACTTAATTGGAATGTTTAAATGTTTCTCTACTTATTTTAGTATAGTCTGTATATGTGCAGCTGGGAAATAGTATATACGTTTTTAGCCGCACCAAAAAGCATCACTTTGATAAAAGAGGACCCCCCCCCCTTGCTTTTTTAAAATAAACCAGCATATGTAGAAGGGTTTGTGAGTTTTTTTAGTAGATCTGAATGTGTTGCCCAATTTACATTCCAGCATTTTCAAGGGATATTATTTAACATGATCATCTTGGTTTCAGAACCACTGCCTTTCAAAGAGTCTGGCCCAGAGCATTGTGTGTGCCTGCGAGTGAGGTGGGTCCCCCACGGGGTCTAGTGGCTTTGCGCCATACTGGCCACTGGGAACACCAGCTCTGGCGGTACAGCAGGGGTACTTAACATTACAGCTTTATTCTTCATTCTTTTGATCCCTTCTGTATCTTTAATCTGCCCTTATACCAGAAATCCATAGATTTATTCACAAATAATTATTGAAGCATCGGAGGTGTAGTAGTGAACATACCAGGCAAAAGTCTTTGTCCTCTCTTGGGGCTTATGTTTTAGTGAATTATTTTTCTCTCCAGGAGAGAGAAAAGTCCAGGAGTCCAGAAAGGAAAAAAAAAAAAAAAGAAAGATGTAATTTGAGGGGCTATCATAGAAAGCAGTTTAATTTAGACTTATTTCAGTTCCATATTGTGGTTAGTTAAGGAAGAAAGAGAAAAGAAAGGTGATGCAGAGGGTCAGAGGGTACCAGTTCAAAAAAGAGGAAAGCCAAAGAAAGCAACTAGAACAATAGGAAAAGGAGATTCAGGGGCTGGGGGAGATGGGCAGGAGTGGAGTCAGGGAAGCTTTGTGAGGTGCTTTTCACTACCTGCCACCAGTGCTGCCCTCCAGAGGGCTGAGCACCAGCTCCATCCCACCATGTCCCTGCCCCAGTTTCTGTAACTTCAGAGCAGCAGGCCTCTTGATTCAACAGGTGTTTTTGATGGAGGATTTACCCAAGAGGATTGACTAGTGATAGGTGTCTTCACTTTCAGGACCTTTGGAGCCTTTAATGTGCTTTAGTCTGCAGGTTTGGAACTGTTTGTTCTGGAATGTGCCGGAATGCTCTTTCACATCTGAGAGAGATGTTTCAGGGTCCAGGCTAGATGCTCTTTGGTATCTCTCCAAGGACTGGAGATTCTGCCCCTCTTTTTAAAATTCATTCATGTTTTTCTTAAAATATGACCGAACTCCTAACTCTTGCTAACCTTACACCTGGGATTCTTAGGCCCTCAGCTGAAGAACTTGATGAATTTCAACTTTAAAGAGGTTCTTCTAACACTTGGCCATTTCAACCAGGCTTTGCTATAAAGTCCTGTGAAATTGGGGGACTGAAAGCTAATTACTTGGATCACAAGTTGCCTGTGAAAACTGCAAGGACCTGCTGTCAGGGCTCATTAAACCCCAAAGTATGGCACCTTGGCATGCAGACTACTCTGACCAAGAGGAGACTGGAAGGCCTCAGAAGCCAGGTCTCTGTTCTTTCCTCCTGGTTCCTGCTCCCTTTTCTCCCGCAAAGTGAGTCACAGAAACCAGAATTCTTTTTCCCCAAGGCAGGTCATAGAAACTAGAACTCCTCTCTCCCAAAGCCAGTCATAAAACCTAGCAAGTTCACTCTCCCTTCTTCCTGGAAGACCCTCATTCCCGAGGGGTCCTGCCCCATCCCCAGGGGAAGGGGAATTGTACAGAGCGGGCTTGCTGGGTTTCACCACTCTGTCCATCACTGTTAGGCCAGATCCTTTGTGTCCAATCACTTTTCTGCATGGCTGTTCATTCATCAAACCTAAATATAAAAATAAAGGTTTTCCCTGGGGAAAAAAATATGACAGACTTCAGTTTTAATAATAACTGTTGTAATAACTGTCGGTCTGTTTGACACGGTACCATTTAGCCACCATCAGCCCTACTGCATGTCAAGTTTCAATGCTCCTGTTACTGTAGCTGGCCTGGGTGAGGTGCCAGCAGAGAGGTGACAGGGTGACTTCATCCGGCTTTTTGCGTTTTCACTTTAGAGTGGCCTTTCACAGTTCCATGAAATGATAAGCTCTCCAGTTTCAAATGAAGGACGCCTCAAATTGAGAACTGACACCATTGCATTCCTCAGGATGGGAAAGTTCCTTCTCCATCAATTCTTGGGCACTGGAGTAGGACTCTTGCTGCAGATGGTATTGTTCTGGTTCTCGAGAAGGAATCCAAGATAAAGGCTGTCTGGGGATAAAAGTGGTACCCTCTTGGAATATGGGCAGGAAGGCATCCCTAGTGACCATAGCCTTGGTTGAAGGTATTAAGGAGGAATCTTGAGGTGCTTGTCTGGGTGTCAGTTGACAATTTCAATGAAATTAGCAGCATTAGGTCTATAGGTGGCTGCTTAACTAATTATGAACTCAGCTGCTTAAATATATTTGCTCCAGGTTTCACAATTCCTTTTATTTACAGTAATTATCACTGGTTAGCACCTATTGTTTTGGGTGAGAATTTCAGGGTCTACATTTAAGTAAACCCTATTTAAATTTATTAGTTGACTAGGGAAGGGTTAAAAAAGCAGTAAGGAGTCTATGCCTTCTAGAGTATTCCCTGGCTTGTTTGAAAATGTGTTAGCAGCCATTTTTCAATATGAAAGAACTGAACTTTAAAAAAAAGTATATTTTTATTTATGGCAACATTTCAAATAGGATAGTGTAATGAACCCTCATATAACCATCTAGCTTCAACACTTACCAATACGGCCTCTACCCACTTTATCTTCCCATTATTGGGAAGCATGTCTCAAGCATCATAGAATTTCATCTATAAATATTTTCAGTATGTAGTCCTAAACTACAAAGACCTTCTTTTCTGAACATAATGATGATGCCAATGTCAAACCCTTCCAAATAAATATAATTACATAATGTCATTGAATAGTATTCACATTTTCCTATTGAAGATACATAAAAATATAAACAAATGTATGCACATTTAAAAGAAAGCAAACAAGATCTACACATTGTAATTGGTTGATATGTCCTTTAAGTCATTTCTTCTCTGTAGGTGTTAGCCCCGTTTTGGTTAAGGAAACTGCAGTTGTCCTGTGCAGCTTTTCATTCTGATTGCATTCCTTGGTCTTCACCTGTACCATTTTGAATATTTCCTGTAAATTGGTGACTTAGACGTTTGATCATACTCAGTTTGATTTTTTTTTTAATGAGGGTACTGTGTAAGTGGTGTGTTCTCTTGTTCTGCTTTCTCTTTTTGGTGTACCTTTGGGTATTTGTGAAGATTCATATTTTTTGCTAGATTTGTATTTTTGGTTTTAATGGTTGCCTTCAGACTGATACCTTTCTATAATACCCTTGTCTGCTGTTTTTGTGGGGGCTATTTTCCATTGTTGCTACCATAATATTTAAATTAGCCAGCGTTTGTTCTTTGCTCTCTCTTTACTCTCCTGAGCTGGGGATTGGAAGTAATATTCTTTTACTTCCAGTTAATATCTAAAAGGCAATCAGCAAGCATATTCTACTTTTCGGAACTTCACCTATTCCCCATTTTTCTGATGGCTATACTCATTTTTCAGAGCATACAGCAATTATATACTCTGCTGTCTCCCTTGTTACCATCATTTAGTCTTAGCTCTACAGGTAAATATCTGTTTAATGCTGGCGGCCAGTCTTTATATCATGGCTTTCCTGGCATTTTGGTTTTCTGAAACGCACCCTCTAATAGATGCCTTATGGGAAGTAGTTCCTGAATTATATGTCCACAACGGCGAGTGTGTAGTCTGTATATTTAAAGGTCAGGTTGGCTAGTATAAAATTGCTGGCCCATCTTATCTTTGCTTGGATACCTTTATTATTTTACTGTATTGCATTTTGCCATAAAGTGGCGTCAAAATCTGATGATAATCTTATTTTCTATCCCTCAAATTTAACTTGGTATGTTTGCCTAGATACCCAAAGGAATGTTTTTCCACCTTTATTCTTTAAAGCCCACTAGTTAGTTTTATAGTATTGGCTGCTGTAGGTTGATTATTTTTTTTCCATAGACACAATGTGCTCGCTGCTTTAATGTGTAATTTTAAGAGTTCTTTTTTATTTCCTCTCCAATAAAGATTTCATTTACCATTTGTTCTGATCTTTGTTGGCTTTAGGAACTCCCATTATTCATGTTAGACCTTCTTAGCCTGTATTCTGTATCTGCCACTTTCTCTCAAATCCTTTTAACCGCGTCATAATTCATTTGAATTGAAAAATTTTCCTCCTTTCCGTCTTCTGGTTCATTTAAGACACTGTTCATTTTTATTTGCTCTCGTGTTGTCTTTACCTGTCATTTCTGAAATGATTATTTTCTTTATTTTTAATTCTTAGTTCTTTTGCCTCCATTTTTAAATCTTCATTTTCTTCAATCAACTCATTTCTGAGTTTTAAAAATTCTGATTTATGCTGTTCTTCATAGCTTCTTTCATTTAGTTAATTTCTCTTGGCTCCTTCTGAAATATTAGGTCATAGCTTTCCTTTGTGCCCTTCTGGCGTGATTTTATTGTTTACACGATGGATGTCATTCTGCTCCTTAGTTTTTCTTTAAAAATAACTATGTGGAATTCAACTGGATTCTTTTCTGTTGTTAACCGAGTTTTCCTATACTTTTAGGAGGGCCAGTGTAGATTTCCTAGCATCAGAGATTTAGGAGACTCTGTTAGTTGTTTTCATTTTATTTTATTTTATTTTTGAGACAGAGTCTTGCTCTGCCTCCCTAGTTCAAGTGATTCTCGTGCCTCAGCCTCCCGAGTAGCTGGGATTATAGGCATGTGCCACCACGCCCAGCTAATTTTTTGTATTTTTAGTAGAGACAGGGTTTCACCATGTTGGCCAGACTGGTCTTGAACTCCTGAGCTCAGGCAATTCAGCCGCCTTGGCCTCCCAAAGTGCCAGGATTACAGGCATGAGCCACCGTGCCCGGCCTCATAGTTGTTTTCATAAAGTGGTAATAAAAATATGAACTCTACTTTCCTATATCCTAAGACTTTTTTTTTGTCCCTACCCACACTGCTTACCTGCCCAGACTTTCCCTTACCTTTGCCCCTATTTCCTCATCTTAGATCTCATCCCCAGCAGCTTCTCCCCAGTGTGGGGCTTTGCCTTGGCTTGCTAATTCATAGGAGTCAGACCCCTCCCACTCCAGAACATTCTGGCACATTGGACATACAGGTGGCACAGCCCTCTCCGCACTCACTAATTAAACTGGAACTTTTTTCTCTGTCTACTCTCAGGATGACCCTCTGAGCTTTCCAGTGAGTGCCTGATAGTGGTTCCTGTAGCTGATGGTAGTTTGTCATCTAGAGTTGTTGTGGATGTTGTCCATGGTTTTTGAGTCTGCTCTCTGTCAGTTTTTATGGTTGGGGAGAGTCAATAATTATGCTGCCACCACCATCTTCCCAGAATCTATATTGACATTTTAACACAAAATTTGGCAACCTTTGGGTCAATGAAATCTGGATAAAGTCCTGTCTTGAAATCTCAACTCAGAGGTAGCTGCTTTTCAAAATGATTTGCTTCCAAAATAAGTTATTAAAAATTTGTAACTATCTGAAAACTGATTACTATGGAAATGAACACTGTATGGCCTACCTAACATTAGCTTTCTAAGCTTATTGTTTATGAGAAAATATAGTGGCTGAAATCATCCGAGTGCCAGGAAACTCACTGCTGAGCTATTATTTCTGAGAAAAATTTATAAGAACTGACATGCTTTTGTCATTATTTGTTTGGTGTGAGATTCCTTGAGTTCTGAAGGAGAGAGTGCTATTTTACAGTTTTAAAAGTATTAAATCACATTTATACTTAATATCATCTAATAAAGATAACAGCATTTCTTAATTAGGTGTATTTTCCTCTGATTTTTTCCCCCACTGAAAAATTTGCATATCTCTAATTATAATCATTTCTGGAAAAAATGCTGCTAGGGATTGACATGATATTAATTTAGATTTCCAGAAATACTAAATTTCCTTCCTCCAACCTGAGTTTTCCTCCAATTGGCCATTGATTTAAATTACCTACTAAAAGGTTACAATTTTAGAATTGACCTCTTACCCCTCTGCTTTTGGGAATGGCCATTATCCTAAAGCCATATGAAGAATAAGGACAGATTTCTCAATAGACATACTGGAAACTTTTGTTATTTAAATTCTGGAAGATAGAGTAAGATTGTTTTTAGACATTTCCTCTTGTTTTCCACAAAAAGATTGAGAAGAAGTAATTTCAAACACAGGGCTGGTCGTTAAGAATTCTTTGCAAAGGGAAACAGGCTTAATGTATTGCTCTAAGTGAATGTCACCCAAGAAAAATTAAGGGAAAAGTGAATACTCATTAAGCAAATTGACCAGCAAGCGTTCTGATGAATGTTGAAACAAATTTGAATAAACCAATTTTGTCCATTAGTGTGCTTTTAAACCAATGTGATTGTTTTGGCCTAATTATTTTCTGTTTTGCTTATTCAAATGTAGAATGGCTGCAGAATTAACTATTGCAGCAATTATCTGATTAGCAATTTAGAAAATTGGTGAATGGTATCTGACTACTCACCAAGAAATATCTGGTATTTTACAGGGCTGTGTGGAAGAACACAGACTGTCCAGGGAGGATATTTGCTGTTTTTCACTCACTACAAATGGCAGCTCAGAGGATCTCACTGGATTAGTATGGGCTGTGGATGTGGGCTCCGGGCTCTCAGATGTAGTGCACCAGATTGAGGTCTGATGTGCTGCAGAAGTTGTATTTGCCACCCGGTGTCACTATTCTGGAGTCCCGTAGCTGTGACTGGAGAATTCTGCAACATTTCCCACTTCTAAAGCTTGGGGATTCGAGAAATCTGTGCCCGACTGGCTGCCAAAGCTTGTCAGGGGGACCCAGTGCTAGGCCGATTTCTAGGTGTAAAAGCCAGGCAGATTTGCTCACTCAAGAAAATCTGTTTTTGCAGGTTTGCTTTGAGTTCCAAGATACAGATCCTGGTAAAATTGTTTGCTGCGCTAATGCCCTGAGTTTCTTGTGGTAGCTGGGTTCCCGAGTGTGGTCTGGACCAGCAGCATCAGGATCACCTGGGACTTGTTAGAAATGCAAACTCTCCGCCCCCACCCAAGAACCTGCTGAGTTGGAAACTCTGAGAGCAGGGCCCAGCCATCTGTTTTAACAAGCTCTCCAGGTGATTCTGCTGCAGGCGAAAGTTTGAGAACCACTGGCCTTGAGTGTAAAAATTACTGGGCTTTGTCACAGCTGTCAGGCTGTGCTAGTTAAAAAGTTAAAGCCCTCGTGGATTCTTCAATTCTCTTAATGTCAGAACGTCAGACCAGGGTGCAATTCTCAGTTCTCCTTGTGTCAGACTAAGAAAGATAGATATGAGTTTCGGTTAGTCCAGACAGGAAAACAGACAACTGGAGTACCATGGGACAGTGCTGCAGTAGAGGCTTCGAGAAACCTGCATGGGTGGAGGGAGCAGGGGAAGAGTGGTATTTTCAGAGGACAAATACGATTGTGTCCTACCCTGATTAAAACCTGTCAGAGACTGCCCAGTGCTCTTGGAATAAAGTCTGTCTCCGTAGATCCCTTTCAAGCCTCCAGTATCTCCTTTTGATCTCCATTTTGCACACAGCACTTGCCTCATTGTTGGCTGTGGAGTGCACGCTGCACCCCCAAAGGTGTCCAGCTCCTATCCACCCATCTGTGGCCTCTGCAGGAGCTGCCCTTCTGTCCACTGCCAGGGGCCTCATGCTTCTCCCTGGCCTCCTAGTGCACTTCACAGCCCAGCTCCCACCCGTCCTTTGCAATCTTCTCTGACCTCCCAGGGTAGGTCAGATCAGCCCTCATTGTACAGCGTGCTTGTTCGAACTTATCACATTGTAATTACCTAATTGTATAATTATTGGTTTATTGCTGATGTGGAGTTAAATATAAACTCTATGGGTGAGGGGTGGGGAATTCTTGCCCTCTTGACTGTCCCAAGGGCCCAGCACACAGCAAGCTTTATTATTGGATGAATGAATGGTGGAGCAGTCCTCATCTTTGTTGTTAGGACACATGGGCTGGTTAATATATTACATTTTGATTGAGGTGTCACCTGAGCTTTAGACCCCTCCATCCCTCCCGCCCCCATCCCCACTCTCATCCCCACCCTCGTCCCAGGAGCATTTGCCACCACCATCTCATTCTACTATGGGAAAGGCAGGTCCCTGGCACTGTGGCAGCGAAATTTCATAACTTGGTTCTAACTTGGGGTCTGCCCTGTGGGACACTAGAGAGAAGTTCTTGAGTATCAGTATTTCAGGGATATGGGGAAGGAAGAACTCCTTTGCTTTTGCAGACATTCATAATACATGGGTCAGAAGCCAGCAGCCTGGAGTAAAGGTGGCCCCGGAAGGTTTTCAGGGAAAGTGACTCTTGCCTCCTCTTTCCTCGGGGCTTCCAAGAAACACTGCCTCCTTCTGTCACAGAAGTTGATGGCAGGCTGGGGGTTGTGGGTTGTGTTTCTTCCCACCCACTTCCAAATCTATTTGTTAGAAGATACGCACTCCTTTGCCTTTTAGTCAATTTACTTTGGCCTGGTTGAAGCCAGTGTTTTTTATTCCTATTCTAGAAGGTAAAGGCATGGAAGTTGCCCTTCAGAAGCAACAGCTGTGCAACATTGGGACATTTGTCTAAAATAAGAAACTCAGCCTTGCTGATTTAATAGAAAGCTTGACAATAGCTTATAAAAATACATATATTGAGAATGAGGGCTCATGTTTTGTGAAAGATTGGGGTTTCAAGACCTAGAGGGTAAAGAGGCTGACGTGCTTAATGGGAATGTTGCTTTTGATAGAGGAACTGGTAATCTGTTCACTATTTTATTTGCACGTTGATTGATGTGTGGTTTTTGTTTTTTACATTTGAGGCTCAACATATTCTCTTATACCTATCGTAAACGTCTGCTAGATTAAGTGAATGTAATAAAACACAGTAAATTTGGGAAAAATTATAAACACAATTCCTCACTCACTGTCAGAATACCGTAGCTACCATCTGCCAGGAGTGTTGATAGCAGGAAGAACTATAATTTTGTGCTTTGATAACCTATGTTGTCTGTTTCCTTCATCTTCATCAGCTGCCATTTTTCTTCATAGCTTCAATGCATTCCATGGCTGGCTCGCTCCTTCCTTCCTTCCTTCCTTCCTTCCTTCCTTCCTTCCTTCCTTCCTTCCTTCCTTCCTTCCCTCCCTCCCTCCCTCCCTCCCTCCCCCAATCCCTGTGAGGCTGTCTCCCTGCTCCTTCACGTTGCCTTACCCCCTTCTCTTCTCTTCTTGCTGTCAAGTGCAGTAATTATAGTAGTAGTAACAACAGGACCATTTTATTTGAGTATAAAGCATTTAAAGGATTTGAAGATGGAGATTCTGACCTATTTTACCCCTATAGATGTCAAAACTGAAGTTTGTAGAGGTCAAATGAGTTTTCCCAAAGTCTCACATTGCAATCCATGCATGTCTGACTCCAAAACCCACACCTGTTTTCATAATATTCCTCTTGTTTTCATCTGCTCACCCAAGCTCAGAGAAGCACCTTAATTTCCAGTGTCTGATCCTCCTTCTAAACTTTCCAATATTGCTGAGTAAAGTTACAAAGCTGGACCCACTTTTTGTTTTAAAGCTCCTTTTTTGGAAATAATTTCAAACTTAAAGGAAAATTGCAAGATTAGTACAGAGAACTCCAGTACACCAGTTGTTAACATTTTGCCACATGTATTTTGTTTTATATACATATTTTTTTCTGAACCATTTGAGAGTAAGTTGCTAACATGACCCCCTCCCCCACCTTTGCTGTGCCCCCTTGAAGACTCACTGAAGGAGACAGCCTTGTATTATTCTATGAGAAACACTGAGGCCACCCAGGGTGAGTTCCTCTGCCTCCACCCAAGTGCAGCCTTTACCTTGTCCCTCTAGAGCTGAGGGCCCTGCTCCAAGGAGTGACACTGTGAGCTGCTCACTTGTGAGCCCTTTAAATTAAACTCATATTCTGAAACACATGCACTGCCTTCCTGGAAATTGGCTCTCTCTAGCACTTAAAAAACAGATCCTCCTCTGTGGCAGGGTAACACAAAGGCAAGTGAAAAGGGGCTCCCTGAATGTTTCTACCAACTCCAGAGAGGGGAGAAAGGAGATTTGCCTCTGCTTGTTATCCGGAGCTGTAGGTGAACTGTTCTGCTGCTGGTAATTGAAGTCTATCTGCAGAACAGTTATCAAGGGCAGTAACCTTTTTTCTAGCAATGGCCTCAGATAAAACTTGTTTTTCTTATTAATAATTTGTTTTTACTTCCTTTGGTATAAACCATCCCTATGGCTATAAAGTGACATTTTTGAAAGTGGAAATAGAAGGAAAAATGTCCTGTCTGTTCAGTGTGGGATGGAGGGGAAGGTGCAATTTTCCCTATTTGACAGGCCCATTAAAGCAGGATTTCAGAGTATGTTCACTAGCAAAATGTACTGATTTACCCATTATAATGAAAATTAGCTTAAGTATCTGAGTCAAGTATAATTTATAGCATTTTTAAGAGCTAGAAAATCAGGCCTTTATAAAATGTAGATCATAATTGAAGACAGGTTTTAAAAATGCCTTAGGGAAATAATATTAATAAAATGTCAAGACGAATGGATAAACAAAAATATAGCATATACACAGTGGACTATTATTCAGCCTTAAAAGGGAAGTCAACTTTTACAAATGATACAACATAGATGAACCTTGCAGACCTTATATTGAGTTAAACAAGCAAGAGACAAAAGGACAAATAGTGTGTGATTCCACTTATATGAGGTACCTAGAATAATGAAATTCATCCAGACAGAAAGTAGAATCATGTTGATCAGGGGTTGGAGGGAGCAGAGAATGGTGAGTCATTATGCAATATTTCTGTTTGGGATGATGAAAAAGTTCTGGAAATGGATAATGGTGATGGCCGTACAACAATGTGAATGTACTTAATGCCACTGAACTGTATACTTGCAAGGTTAAAATGGTAAATCTTATGTCATGTATATTTTACCATAGTAAAACATTTCTTAAATGCCCCAGTTGCCAGATATATGTGTATATATACACATGCACACAGATAGGCATATGTGTATGTATAAATGTTAATCAGCCTCTCACTTATCTGTGTTTCATTTGATATCATTCAAATTAGATGCCATAAGTTAGAACTAGAGTTTAGGGTTGTCACACTTTTTTATGTCTTGAAGTTTTCATTCGTCCTTTTTTTTTTTTTTTTTTTTAATGAGAAGGAGTTTTGCTCTTGTTGCCCAGGCTAGAATGCAGTGGCATGATCTCTGCTCACTGCAACCTCCGCCTCCCCAGTTCAAGCGATTCTCCTGCCTCAGCCTGCCGAGTAGCTGGGACTACAGGCGCCCGCCACCACGCCCGGCTAATTTTTTATATTTTAGGTAGAGATGAGGTTTCACGGTGTTGGGCAGGCTGGTCTCGAACTCTTGACCTCAGGTGATCCACATGCCCCGGCCTCCCAAAGTGCTGGGATTACAGGTATGAGCCACCGTGCCGGCCTTATTTGTCTTCCTCAAAACTCCATTTCCCCTCCTGAGCCTGCAGGGAATTGACATTTTGCAGAAGCTTGAGTTTCCTGATAGGAGGAAATTTGGTGATTAGTGAATATTGGAGCGCCTAGCTCACACTCGCCCACACCCACACCTGTCCAGGACAGTGCTAACATGAAGGCAGTTTGCACTTGTCAGGTCCTCCTGCAGGATCTTGTTGCAAGAATCTGGTGATGCCCATCTGTTTGTGGAGTGTGCAGCCAGGAGGATCTGCTCGGAGGTGAGACTGCACCAGGGCTCCCTTTTGTATGTCCTAGGTCTTGGGGGGGTGAAGTCTTTGACTAGTGTGGCTGACCTTTGCCATGCTCTTTTGACCTGTTTCTTTTTACTTTGTTCTGAATTGTTCTTTAAGTGAAGGAAGAAAATGTTCAAAGAAGGGACGAGCTCGCTACCCCGACCCCAAACTTCACAGATGGTGAGGGCCTTGTTCTGGTGTTTATTGGATTCCAATCCTTAGTGCTTTTCTGGTTCATGTTTCAATATGTGCTTTCCAGAAATCAAAACACAGAAATCTACATATTTACGGCAGCGGGGATGGGGTGGGGGGTGCGGGGAAACGGGGGACTGTGCTGGGCTGTTGGGAAGAACCCACTGGAAATGAGAAAGTTCCTCCTTTCTGCTCAGGGATGGATCCCAGTATATTTTGCTTGTCACATCCAGACCTTATCCAACTCCCCAAAGACTGACTTCATAATGGCAGAGAAAGGTTTCCTCTTAGTCTGTCTCTGAGATCAAAAGGGGAGGTCTTTCCTCAAGCATTAGGTTGTATTTTTGTTAGGATGAGTGAGTGAGAAGAGAATATATTAAGTAGTCCTATGAAGGTCTTTGCTGCTGGTAAGGTGTGTGTATCTAGGAGAAGTCTGACCACATAATTAGCTGAGAAAGGTCCGTCTTTGAGTGTCGAATGATACTTGCATCTTCATAGTTAATTATAAGATGTCAGAGCCGTAAGTCAAATTTCATGTTTAGGTCCTTATTCTAATTCTGTGTCCAAAGAGTAGTATAAAAACAAAGTAGGCCTGGCATGGTGGCTCACACCTGTAATCCTAGCACTTTGAGAGGCCAAGTCGGGTGGATCACCTGAGGCCAGGAGTTCGAGATCAGCCTGGCCAACGTGGCGAAAACCTGACTCTACTAAAAATACAAAAATTAGCTGGGCATGGTGGCGGAGGTTGCAGTGAGCCGAGATCGTGCCACTTCATTCCAGCCTGGGAAAGCGAGACTCCATCTCAAAAACAAACAAAAACAAAGTAGATGTTTAGTTATATATTTATATTATAAGAGAATCACTGCTATTCATTCTTGCCACAAACATTTGAGTGCTTTCTATGTACAAGAACTGAATTTTCTTTTTTTTTTTTTTTTTGAGACTGGATCTCTCTTTGTCTCCCAGGCTGGAGTGTAGTGGCACGATCACAGCTCACTGCAGCCTCAACTTCCTGGGCTCAAGCGATCCTCCCACCTTAGCCTCCCAAGGAGCTGGGAGTACAGGCACATGCCACCATGCCTGACTAATTTTTGTATTTTTTGCAGAGATGATGTTTAGCCACATTGCACAAGCTGGTCTTGAGCTCCTGGGTAAGCAATCCTCCCGCCTTGACCTCCCAAATTTCTGGGATTAAAGGCATGGGCCACCGTGCCTGGCCCAAGCACTGAATTTTTATTAATGTAAGAGATTTCTTTGTCTTTTTTTTCTTTTTTTTTTGAGGTGGAGTCTTGCTCTATTTCCCAGGCTAGAGTGAAGTGGCACAGTCTTGGCTCACTGTAACCTCCACCTCCCAGGTTCAAGTGATCCTCCTCCCTCAGCCTCCTAAGCTGAGATTACAGGCACATGTCACCATATCCGGCTAATTTTTTTGGTATTTTTAGTAGAGACAGGGTTTCAGCATATTGGCCAAGACTGGTCTTGAACTCCTAACCTCAAGTGATCCATCTGCCTCGGCCTCCCAAAGTGCTGGGATTACAGATGTGAGCCACTGCGCCCGGCCGATATTTCTTTGTCTTGACCGTTTTTTTTTTTTTTTTTAGAAGACAGAGTCTCGCCCCGTCACCCGAGCTGGAGTGCAGTGACGCAATCTCGGCTCACTGCAACCTCTGCCTCCCTGGTTCAAACGATTCTTGTGCCTCAGCCTCCTGAGTAGCTGGGATTACAGGCATGCTACACCACACCTGGCTAAATTTTGTATTTTTAGTAGAGACGGGGTTTCACCATATTGACCATGCTGGTCTCAAACTCCTGGTCTCAAGTGATCCTCCCGCCTCAGCTTCCCACAGTGCTGGGATTACAGGTGTGAGCTACTGTGCCCGGCCTGTCTTAACCTTCCGATGGGGCCTATGTGTTTAATTCCAAACATACAATGTAGGATGATTAAATCAGGATAATTGGGGTTATCCCATCACCTCAGCATTTATTTCTTCTAAGCATTTAATTACAGATCTTAGAATTGTTAGTGGCTTTAGACTCTTTACTTTGTCAAATGAGAAAAACAAGGCCTAGAGAACCTAAGTAACTTGCCTAATGATTTAGAATCCAGAACTGCTATGTCTCTACCAGTATATATTTTCCCCTTCACATCCTTCACTAATTGCTTAAGAGCAAAAGTATGCAGTTATGGCCGGGCGCGGTGGCTCACACCTGTAATTCCAGCACTTAGGAAGGCAGAGGCAGGAGAATAGCGTGAGCCCAGGAGTTCGAGATCTGCCTGGGCAACATAGTGAGACCTCGTTCTCCACCAAAAGGTGGGGGGGTGGGGAAGACAAAACCCCCAAAACCCAAGTGTAACTACCTGCAAAAGTATGCATTTATACATTTCATCTAATATATACAAATATTAAATATTTAACAGACACCAAACATTTAATAATTTTGCTTGTCTTCTCCAGCCTGAGAAAAGCTTTGACAGATGTCCTGTCTCTAAAACACACTCACTGGAAGCTTGAGTCGTTGCTGCTGGGTCCTCTTAGTAAGTTTCCTTAGAAGCACACAGAACATTTAACATGTTCTCTATCTTGGGAGTGCTGTTCAAAAAGCAGAAGCAGCCCAAGGGCATCTTCTTTTGCCACCAGGTGGCACGCTTGTGAATTGGGAACTGGTGGAAGGAATGAGTCAAGGTGAGGGTTGCACTAAAATGAATCTCCCAGCTGGGCAATGTTGAGGAATCTGAGTGGGGAAATGCTTCATTGCAGAGAATGAAGTCTGTCTGATTTGCCCAGAGATCACAAAAATAAAAGACAGAAAAGCAGAACATGAAAATGCTACAGGAAAGGTGGGATCGGCACAAATGATACCTTGGCACTATGTCCGTGTGGTTTAAGGCAGAAAACTGAAGGGCTGACTTGGCCCTGAGGAGGAAACTACTCAGTAGCAGAGGCAGGAAGGGCCCAAACCACAGGTGAATCCACCCAGGTTGAACGCCCACACAGAGGTGTGTGGGTGGGGTGGGGTGGGGTGGGGTGGTGCAGCCTGACTGCCTCCGCTGCAAAGGATGTGCCTTTGTGTGCAGTGTGACATCCCTCTCTAGCCTTGGCGAACCTGGGAAACACTTCGTCTCACATGTCCTTGGAAATGTGGGACCCACATGTACCATGGGCTCCTTTGTACCACTGAGAGTCTCCTGAAAAGAGTAGGTCCAAAAAAAGGGGGGCTTGAGCCCAAAATGGGCTTCTGCACCTTATGGACACATGCATCAGCTCCTGGGCAGGTCAACTTAGGAGCCCTTCTAGTCATCCCTCTGGCTATCCCTCCCCTCAGTTCCTTCTTTCTTTATTGCCATCTTCCTCTGTGGATGTTCATCTCCCCAACTCTTCATTCTGAGCCTTCTGGAAGCACCCTGTGTCTTCATGCTGCCATCAGGCACTGTCCCCCACACTCACTGACTCCGAGGGTCCTCCCTCCACCTCCTCCCCCAAACTCCTCCCTGACACCAGCCAGTCCCCACAGTTGCTGCTCCCCCGGCAGCACGACAAAGCTCCCTTCTTCCATGTCCCACTTCTGCCATACCAATGGCCGGGCCTGCTTCTGCTGTACCAGTTGCCAGGCCCTGCATCTAGAGATCCTGGTTTGACTACTGTGGGCAAAGCTCTGGTGGTTCCGACATGCAGCTGGGATTGCTAATGAGTGTATGAGTTCTATGATTGTTTCTCCTCACTGCTGTCAGTGGCCAGTCCTGTGCCCTGGAGACTTGAGGGTGGGTTCCCCATCCTTCTCTGCTCCCCAACCTACTACCTTGTCCTGAGGTTCTAGTGTCCATCTATTTTGCCATTCAAAGTAATGGCAAAAACCACAATTACTTTTGCACCAACCTTCTATAGAAGGCCCTGTGCACTGTCTGATCTGGAATTTCCTGGTTCTCCTTTAGCAGTGGAGTCATTGTCATCTCTATCCTACTTCAGCCACCCTGGGCCTTGTCATTTCTCCCTGGCCCCTCTGTTCTTTGTAGTCTCCACTCCCTCCCTGGGGGATTTCATGGACACCACTACCACCCTCTGTGTGCCAGTAAGACTCCAGAGTATATCTGTGGATATACCCCACCTCCTGCCTCCAGTTTCCAGAACCTTTTTGCTGCTGCCTGCTGGGCCAAATGCCTCAAAATCTGTTTTACCCCTCCAATCTATTGGCACCCCATCTCCCCATCATGTAAGACAAAACCAGGGATATTTTTCTCCTTGCTTCTTCACTGTCCAGGGCCAGCCCACCCAAGGTCCCAGGCTCACCTGGCATAAAGCCACCCCTCCCCTTCATCCCACCACCTCTGGTTGATGCCCTCATCAGCTCTTTTCTGGGTCGCTGACTGGTTGTCTCCTGGCTGACCTTTCTCCAATTCTGTTCCCCTTGCACTGTCCTTCACTGCTCCCAGAGGAGTCCTCCTAAAACATACATCTGCAGCTCACCCCCTTACCATGACGGAGGAGGCCTCCGGGGGTTCTGCCCTCTGTCCCTCTCTAGCCTCACACCGGCAGCAATTCTGAATGATTTTGTGACTCCTAGGCACTGACTCCACTAGTTCTGTGATATTTGGTCTTGAATGTCTCTCCCTTCTCCCCTGACCCAAGTGATAGACCTTTCTCCTCTTCTACCCCTCAGCCTGGCTGCACACATCACTTGTTTTGAGCCCTAGGAATCTTTTTCTGAGCCTTCTCCACTTGCCCACTGCCTTAGTTTCCCAGCTCAGTTCTACATAATACTCTGCCCTGTTTTAGCCTGTACTTGCTTCATTGTATGGTAATTATGTGAGTCTGTCTTCCCCACTGGGCTGTGAGCCCCTTCTTTGTATTCCCAGGCCAAATGATAGGAGCTCAATTCCCATTTCATCAATAAGGACACGTTACACAAGTGCTTGCTTTGTTACTGATCCAGCCTTGTTTGCCATTAATTACTGACACTCTAGCTTTAGCTTTATTTCTCTGTTCTGTGATTCCCCTGTGTCAATTAGTTCATCATCTTTAGACCAACCTTGAAATATACTTAAGGAGCTACTTAAAAAAAAAAACTAAATATGCTGTAATGAAGTCTGTTATTTTGTGAATTTTAAATGGCTAATCATTTTTAAATGGTATAGTGCTATTGCTTGAAACCTTAAACTGTCCAAATTCTGTAAAATCACTAAATATCATGTACATAATACAGTACTGAGACCTGGCATGCAGATAGAACATATCTTTAATTTTTAAAAGCTAAACAGAAATTTGCATTGTCCAAAGGAACTGGTTTCTCAGGCCTGGACATGGGAATATTACAATGAAAGGTAAGGAGGAGATGATGTCAATCAGTTACCTATCATTCACCTCATGACTAAACCTGAGTAGGTTTTTTCTTTTTCTTGAAATGGGGCCTTACTCCACTCCTCAGGCTGGAGTGCAGTGGCACAATCTCAGCTCACTGCAGCCTCGACCTCTTGGGCTTAGGTGATCCTCCCACATCAGCCTCCTGAGTACCTGGGACTACAGGAGCGTGCCACCACACCCAGCTAATTTTTGTATTTTTTGTAGAAATGTGGTCTCACCATACTGCCTAGGCTGGTCTGTAACTCCTGGACTCAAGTGATCTGCCTGCCTCGGCCTCCCAAAGTGCTAAGATTACAGGTGTCAGCCACCACTCCTGGCCCTGAGCAGATTTTAATCATGAGTTCTGCCTAAATAATTGCTTTAATCTCTGTATTACTGGATTAAAGATAGATCTGAACTTAAGAGAAAGTGTGATCCGTCCAGGCATATTCTCAAACTTTTCCATGGAACTACTTTTAAAGATTGGAGGTACCACTGGTTTGAGTGGGACATTTGGGAATATGTGGTTGTAAAGTAATTCAGTTTCTTCGAAAGCTCATTTATTTCCTCCTGAAAAAAATACATTTGATTTTACCTTCTATATTACAATATGTAAAACAATATGAAAGACTGTTTAAAATTATTTACCACTGAGTGAAATCAACCTTCAAGAAGACTCATAATCAACTTTGGGAGGCCGAGGCGGGTGGATTACCTGAGGTCAAAAGTTCGAGACCAGACTGGCCAACATAGTGAAACTGCATCGCTACTAAAAATGCAGAAATTAGCCGGGTATGGTTATGTGCCCCTGTAATCCCAGCTACTTGAGAGGCTGAGGTGGGAGAATTGCTTGAACCCAGGAGGCAGAGGCTGTAGTGAGCCGAGATCGCGCCACTGCCCTCCAGCCTGGGCGACGACAGAGCAAGACCCCATCTCCAAAAAAAAAATAAAAAAAAGACTTACAATCAAACATCCTCAATGAAAAAGCATTGCTCTGTAGGGTGATGCCACAAATTATTTAACCATTCTTTCCTTTCTGCCCCTTTGCATCTTCTGTACTGTAGACATTCCTTCCCCCTGCACTTAGCAGGTGGTATATTCCTGGCACTGGACAGAGACCTTACTTTGGATTGTGAGAGCTCACAGTTTGGTTGGGTTGGGGTCCCCATAGGACTAGCTTTTCCTGATGCTTTGGACACCCCTTCATGCTTTGAGAACTTTGTCTTCGCCTTCCTTTTCCTTGAATACACATAGAAACACATACACGTGCAAACACATATACAAAGTCTTCCTGGCTCAGCTCTCCCCTACACCCTTTCATGGTCCTTCTGGGCAGCACAGGCCTGTAGCACGTGTGTCACCTCTTGATGTTTTATTTCATTAGCATTATGTCTTTGTCTGCACAAGGCTGTGAGCTCCCCCATGAGCATCTAGTTCTGGTTACACAGTACATGCGTGATGAAAGGTAAGACTTTAATGACGACGGTGCATTGAGCTCCCCATAGTAGAACAGGGACATTTTTGAGATTCTCTGTTGCATGGCTTCCTTTGGTTCATGTGGGTGATTCAGAGTTGATTTAGTCTCCCCACTGCTGGGCAAGAGTGTTTTGAGGACTTGTGTGGTTTTCACTGAGCTCATACTCCCCCTCCCCCATCTGCATGCTATTTCCAGTATCATCTCTTTGTTTGTAAAGCCTCATGGGTGTTGTGGGCGATTACTGGGATCCTTCCATCATGGTTTTCATCCAGTTTATTCCTATGGGGATATAAAAGTGTGTCAGAAACAGTATAATATACAAATCATTAGCTTTTTTATTACGAATTGTGGTTAAACACTATGTGAACCGAAGAGTAGTTGAACTACAATGCACAGGCTCTGCCCCAGTCACAGTTCTTCCTGCTCTACTTCCCCAAAACTAGAATAGGCCTAATGTGGTGGGTTTTCTTCCCCGCCATTATTTTGTCTAGTTCCTTATATTTGTGTCCAAAAGAGGACAGGTTTAGAAAGGACTTCCTTACTTTTAACCGCAGCTATCAATCCAGTTGTTGGAGCTTTAGCCTTTTGTGAAGGATAGAAAGACCTTGCAGTCATGGTTGACCTGGGCCAGCCACTGCTGAAGTTGCCGGGGAGAACCCCTGAGCTCCATCAACAGGTCACTCCTGCTTCCACAGATCACTGCACCTAGAATTGCAGTCTCAACTAGTCTGTGAATTGACATGTTAAAAAAATACTACAGGTATGCTTTGAATATTTTATTTTTACGAATTGTGGTTAAACACTATGTGAACTGAAGAGTAGTTGAACTACAACGCACAGGCTCTGCCCCAGTCACAGTTCTTCCTGCTCTGCTTCCCCAAAACTAGAATAGGCCTAATGGACAGCTAGGAGATGGACAGCTGCCTATCTTTTGATGGAGGGCCAAAGCCTCTTCTTTGAGTTTTGGTTGAGTGATGGGCTTTCTCAGGAAAGTTCTGAGCTGCCATTCTTTCCATACACCACACCCACAATGCAGAGTCTGTGATTCCTTATTTCTGTGTCCTTAAATGGAGTACTTGTGAAACAATCCAAATGCAGAACCCACGCCAAGTTTTTGTAAATTGGAGGCCCTCCTCCGATCTGCTAATGTTTGCCCACATTTAATTCAATAGTAGACTTTCTTTAGTTGAGCGACCCATATAAAGCCTTTCTTAGTTATGGAAGAATTAGCAGCTTTCTCCCCATAAGCACACACTCATTTTTCACCAATTTCCATAATGTGCACTTTATACATGTAATTTATACATAATAAAATATCGAATACAACTCCCATAAGCAGGTTTGGGGATAAAACCAGATGACTCATGGTGTGAGCAGAAGAGCAAAGATACACTAGAGAAGAACTTAATAGTATTGGACATTAAAAATGCCTTGGGCAGGGTCAGTGTGGTTTAAAATAAGAGCTTCCAGGTCTTTCCACTCAGAGAGTTAAAAGACCTTTTCCTGCCAATGCTTATTTAGTATAAGCTCAACTGTATAGCAAAACTAAATAAAAATAGTGAAGCAATTAATTTTTTAATGACATGAATTAAAACAACATTGAGGGGCTCACAGAGGCTAATAATAGAGGCCAGTGTGATCAGATAAAAAAGTGTCAAGATAGCTGAGGCAGGTTTTAGGTTTAGCCGGGCCTTAAAGAATTGTTGAGTTTTTAAAACATTAATTGCAGTAAAATACATGTAACTTAGGATGTACTATTTTTAAGTGTCCCAATTCTGTGTGGCACCAAGTATCTTCACAATGTTGTGTAACCATCACTACTAACCATTTCCAGAACTTCTTCATATCCCAAACAGAAACTCTACTTATTAAATAATAACTGTCCATCCCCCACTGTACTCCCTCCCCACACCTTAATAACCTGTTCTACTTTCTGTCTCTGTGAATTAGCCTATCCTATGTACGTCATATAACTGGTATCACACAATATGCCTTTCTGTCTGGCACATTTGACCTAGCATACTGTTTGCAAGGTTCATTCATGTGTGGCATGTATAGAATGTTACTTTTTTTTTGTGGGGGGGGGGGGCTGTGTAATGTTCCATTGTATGTATATACCACATTTTATCCAAGTTATTGGACCACATTGGGTTTTATAAGTTATTGGACCACATTTGGGTTGTTTACACCTTTTGGCTATGGTGAATAATACTGCTGGGAACATTGGTGTACAAGTATGGGTTTGAGTTTCTGCTTTCAATTATATAGGTTGAATTTTATACTGCTAGTGATGAGGGAGACATAGCAAGTACCTGAAGAGGTTATAAGCCAGAGGCATTTCTTTTATTTTGAGCTATCACTGAAATCTTGCATTGTTGACTCTTCGTAAGTGTCCGCTTCCTCCTCTATGCTGTTTGAGAGCGAAGGCCATTTTCTAGGTTCAGCACTTACCAAGTAGCTGGGATAAGTATTTACTGAATAAATAGTTCCCGGAGTTCCTAGCTTAAAGCCGTCATTCCTTATAGTGCTAGTTGGTCTCCAGAGTGTTGGGTTTTGCCACCTATCCTTTTTTTGGGTTAATTAATTAACATGTGTTCAGGGAACAGAAAACAACTCTTAATATTAGCCTTAGCCAAACATAATTTGGGAAGTACATTTGCTAATGCAAAAAGTCCTGGTGTAAATAAAACACAATTCAACAAACATTTGTTAAGAACTTGCTGTCTACCACGCACATTTCAAAATTTGGAATTTCAGAGCAATTTCAAAGCTAAGTTGGAATACCTTTTTGAAAGGCGTTCTCTTAATACGAACCTCTACTCTTTTAAAAAAAACTTTGTTTTTCAAAAATTGTGAGACTACTATAACAATATTAAAGACAATTTAAAAAAGAGAATAAACATTACAGTCCCACCCTAATAAAAGCCCTATTTTCATTTTATAATGTGAGTTTATAAATCATTTATTTTGAAAATAAAACCCTGAATACTTCTGGTGGCAATTATTTTAATTATTTTTTAAAACTCTAGAAGTGAAGCATGAACTCATGATCTTGAATTTAGAGGGCCCTTATTTGGAGGGATGCATGGCTGTTTGACTTGATGAAGCCAAGCTTTTCTTGGTGGAGCAGCAGAATTGACATGGGTCATCTTTTGGGGATAGATCTGTAGACTGTTGACATCTGTTATAGGGACTGGGTGTTTAGGAGCCTGTCCTGTCTTTATTCTTTCATATGTTCAGGATTGAAGAAAATGTTTTTATTACTGTGCTAGAGGGAAAAGTACGATTTAGGATCCTTACCTGCAGGATCTAAGACCTTGGAGTGGATGTAGGAGATATGGACACAGTTGAACATCAGTACAAGGCAAATGAGTGATGGGCTGCCTCTGTTGGTGGGATTTAGTGAGGACAGGTTATCGCAACATGGAGTGGCTAGGGAACAACATCCATGAAGAGGCTGTCTTCAGCGGGGCTTTACACAAGACAAGATGTGTCCCAGGGACACAGGCAGAAGGGATGATGGGCATGACAACGGATGAAGAATGTTCTCAGGATCCTTAGCCAGTCAGCCTAAGGAGAGGCAGGTTGGGTCCGGGGAAAACAGCTAGAAGTTAACCCCATGGCAGTTCCTTTAAAGTTGTAAGAGCTGCTACTGTTAGCTGCTGCTGCCTCTGTTGTGGTTTTGAGGCTGGGGATGGAATTGTTAAAAGGATATTGTTTTAGGCTGATGGACCTCAGAGTTTTGAGGGAGGATGAGTTGGGGTGGGGTGGGTGGCGGCTGGCGGGGAGTCTTTTAGGAGAGGATATTACTTCTGTGAAGTAGTTGGCTGGTCTCAAGTGGAACAGCAGGAATGGAAGGGATACAGGGTGTGTGGAGGGGGCTCTGAAGGAAAGAATGCTAGGATGTGCTGCCCGAGAGGGGGAAGTCAGGTAGGAACATGTTTGGCAGATGATGGAAACTCTTCCCATACATAGGAAGTGGGTGAGTCCGGACTGATTTGGAAGGCCAATAAGAAGTTCCATTTCTGGAATAAGTGTGCCTAACATTTATTATGTGTTTTCCATGTACCAAAACATAGTTCTAAGAGCTTTACATAACAGCCTTATAAAATAAGTACTGTTAGTATCCCCACTTTACAGATGAGAAACTGAGGGCAGAGTTGAGTAGGAACTTGCCTCAGGGTTACACACTCAGTGGCAGAGCCAAGATGCAAGTCTAGACAGTCCTAACTCAAGAGCCAGGCTCTCACTTGGTATGCTAAAAGGCTTTCCTGCTTTTCTATGATAGCATGTATTAAAAACTATCCAGTCCTGTTTTAATCTCCTTACATGTGTTACCTCACTTGATTCTCAGAAAAACTCTATGAGATGAGGGTATTTTTATCCTCATTTTCCAGGTGTGGAAACTTGGACACAGAGTTAGGGTGATATGCCTATGTCACACAGCTAGACTTAGCTGCATTGGCCTGGTGTGTCTCAGGAAGTCAAGGATGTTTATTTGACTGGATTGTAATTATCTATATCCATCAGATCAACCCATGAGAAAATGGAATTGATTGAAATAGATTGCAGTATAAATTCTTTAAGAAATATTGGGTCAAATTTGCTATCAATATCATGCACATTCATTGGGAACTGTTCTTTTTTAAAAGGAATAAATAATATAAATAATAGCATCTCTATTGCTGCCTCTGTTTTTATTATTTAGTGCTCTGTACAACTCTGAAAATAATCCTGGCCACTGCGTGCCCATATTCTTGCTGCCACATTTAGATGCTGCACCTAGCGGACTCAACGTCTCACTCTGTAGCCTTTATGACGTTGTTGCTGCCTAATAATATTTAATGCTTATAATTGGACTTATTGTCTTTTGATCTGGGGTGTACTTTGCTTGACATAATGGGGCTACAGTTGATGCCACCACAGGCAATATTTGGCTAATAAACAGGAATTGAGACTGGTCATCTATACACACACCTGCAGGAAACAATTTCCACCCTCCTGTAAAGCACCTTCAGTCTGTCCCTACCCACAAGTGCTCTTCTTTCTATCTCGCATGTGAGGGGGTCTCCTGTTTTCTTTACCTTTAAGCCTGGTTTGGCTACAGATCTCTATTTCTGTCTTGTACTGCCAGAACTACCCAAGGGAGAGGTCTGCATTTGCAGCTTGTAGCCCTGGAGCAAACAACACTTCCCACTCAATTGAAATTGTACTTTAGAATTTCCAGCAGTCTCTTTGTAACCAGATTAGGGGTCTTTTGTTCATTCCCTGCCATCTTACTGTGGCATCTGCCCTTAGAGCCACCACCCTCTCTTTGAAACTTTGTACTGCATTGCCTTCTTTGCCACTTAGCCTCTCTCCCTTTTCTTCCTGGTGGTTCTTTTTCTTAAATCTCTCATGACCCTTTCCTACACCGTCTTGGCTGGAAGAGCCCTTTAAGATCAATGCTTGGTTGGTTCCTCAAACCCTTTTCTTTAATGATCTGATCTTGTTTTTTAACTTCACAAGGTGTCACTGGACCACCATCATCTGAATTCCAGGTCATAAGCAACCCACTGCTGAGAAGTCCCATTACTGGCCAGGTTGTACCTGTGAGCAAATTACACCTCTCACGTCCCCTCCCCTCAGAATATGCCCCCATCCCCTATCCTCACCCATCCTGAACTTGTGTGGCTCACTCAGATCAGTCCTCATCTGCAACCTTGCATATGGTGGCAGGGGACATAAATCTGATGTGCATGAACCATTCCCTTCACCATTCTGCAAGAGGTGACTGGGGGCCCCAGGGAATCTTGTTATCACACTGCCCCAGCCCACCTCACCTGGGGACCTTGCCTTCTGCCTCCTCACTGAGGTCTTCCCTGAGTCAACCTTTTGCTTTTTCATCCCGCTGATATGGCCTTCCTCTGACAATCTATAGTGTCTTTTCCTGTTTATTCTGAATTCCTTACTGTAGGTTCTCATTACTTCTGCCTGCGACCAGCATGTTTCACTCATTTCCTTGAATCTAGTTGATTCTCTGGGATCTCACTATGCATGTCACTTCTCTGCTGAAAAACCTAAATTGAATCTACAGGGTCCCTGAGGTACGTTCCCAGAATTTACACCCAGAAGTTCAGGACCCTTGATGGATCTGGTTTCACTCCACGTAGTTTCACCTGTCATGTGCTCCGCAAGGTACCCTGTTTTTTAGCCAGGCTGGTTTCTGAATAACTCTAGAGGCTCTGTGCTCACTTCACTGCCAGTTCATGCTGTCATCTTCTCCTCCTCCTCCTCCTTTGCCCTTATGATATGGTTACACTCCAGCCCACCTCTTGCTTTTTCTTCAGATTGACAGTAAACCTCATAGCTATGTTTTACTTCAGTACTTTGTTCTATTGTTTTTAGAGAGACAGAGTCTTACTCTGTCACTCAGGCTGGAGTGCAGTGTTGCAATCACAGTTTGCTGCAGCCTCAACCTCCTGGGCTTAAGTGATCTCCCACCTCAGCCTCCCGCCTCAGCCTCCCATGTAGCTGGGAAAACAGGTTCCCACTACCATGCCCAGCTAATGTTTTTTCTAGTTTTTGTAGATGTGTTGGGCGGTGGGGGCGTCTCACTGCGTTGCCCAGGCTGGTCTCGAACTCCTAGGCTCAAGCAATCTTCCCACCTCAGCCTCCCAGAGTGCTGGGATTACAGGCGTGAGCCACGGCACCTGGCCAGCAGTTTGTTCTTTAAACCCTGAAATGTATGTGAGGACCATGTGTCACACTAGCATGGACTTTTCCCCAGCATCTAGCATGGTGCTTTTGTAGATGATAATTAATGAATAGGTATTTGAATACATGGAGGCATGCATGGCTGAATGAAGTGGCTGTTGTAAAATTTCTAGGGTTCAGGTTTCATATTCAGAGCCTAAAGTTTGCATCTTTATAAACTAAATAGTTTCCTATCTAGGAAACCTATTTAGGCATTAGGGTGTTAAAACAGGTGTATCATTTTCTGCCTTAGTGTTTAGAGATTTGTGAATAGTTCTCCTTTTGATGAACATTGCCATGTAAAGAGAGTTATACAGAAATAACTGAATTCACACAGTTTTAAGGAAAAGCTATTCTATGTCATGGTCATGTATATTCTGCCAAAGAGAGTGACAGGCCAGTAGTTTCTTTTTTCTTTTTCCCCATAGTGTGAGATTTTGTTTCTGTTGTTTCTAAGCTGGGTGTCTGCATGTCCACACTGCGAAGATGGCCCATATTCAGAATGAAAACTTGACCCAATTGTATGTTTAGCCCAGAGAAGGCTGGGGCATTCAGCACATCCTGGCTTGGGGACCAAATGTGACCCTCAGGATTAATTGAGGGTTGGAGAAAATAATTTTATAGATGAACTTAAGACATTTTAGACAGAACTCTCTTTTCAGCCATAAATAGCAGGGCAGCTTTGTCCTATTTTTATTGTAGAGTACACAGAAGATGGAACTCAGTATTGGAAGAAGTGCTTTATTTCGCCAAGGAAGAAGATCATACTCAACACGATTCTGTTTTTCTTGGCAGGCTCTTCTCAACCATCTGTGAGTCCAGGGGAACCGTCTCCACCATCCATCCATCCAGGAAAATCAGACTTAATAGTCCGCGTGGGCGACGAGATTAGGCTGTTATGCACTGATCCGGGCTTTGTCAAATGGACTTTTGAGATCCTGGATGAAACGAATGAGAATAAGCAGAATGAATGGATCACGGAAAAGGCAGAAGCCACCAACACCGGCAAATACACGTGCACCAACAAACACGGCTTAAGCAATTCCATTTATGTGTTTGTTAGAGGTAAATGCTTGGCTTTCTGCAGTGCTGTGCTTTCAAGAATTTAATATCCTGCTCTTAATTTTGGATGACATATGGATGACTGAGCCATAGATAAAATATTTCTGGCTGGGTCTAGAAGGCCTAAAACACATGTTTCTTCACTGTTCTCTCCCATCTTTTGATATGATACATAGTGGCTTTGGGTATGGCCCCAGCTGGAGGACTGCAGGACTGTGATACTCTTCCTAATGAGATTACAGTAGGTTTAGCCCATTTGTGCTGGTGCTTTGAGTAAACCCTGAGAATCAATTAGGCCCTTTGGGAAAGCTGCATTTTAATGCCTTGAGATACTAGATACTCCCACTTAGTAAAAACACTTCAGGGAGCCGAAGGCCTCTCAAAGCCTAACCAGACCGACACTTCGAAAGATGTGGCCCACTCTTAAGGAGTAAATTTCAGAAAAATAATTTGGTCAGCTAAACATCCCATGTCTGTCATGGGTTCTTTGTAGAGTTGTCCATAGAAAAAAATGTGACCTCTTATAAACAAAAGAAAAATAAATATGGTAGTTGGAGTTCTTTGCTTTATTTCCTATGACAAGTTCAGTGATTTGTCTGTGATTTTAATAGCCTTTTCAAGAGTAAGCATGCTGGGCAGGGGTGTATCTTGTAGTTGATGTAAAAACTGATCCACTGGCAGCTTAAGGGACATATCCAAGTGACGGGAGGAGAAATAGAGTTCTATTTTCTAGTTCTGGGTGCCCCTGGACTGGGGCTGTCTTTGAAACAGGCCTGAGAGGCCTTATCCATGGTATTGTGAATGAATAATGGATACTTTTATTCTAGATTGGAGATCTTAGGTACCTCCTGAGTTCAGTTCCTCACTACAGTATTTGGATAAGATGATCTGTTCTGTCTTCCTTACGTAATTGTTAGGGAGCCAGGATGGTACAAATTCTAACATGCTCCATCAGGAGCGAATAAAGCTGACTCTAAAGTTTGACTGTGCCTCTCCGCTTTATCAGTTGTCCTTTCCGAAGTAGGTAGCTGCAAAGAGATATACCCTGGTAAGTCACCACTTCGCCTCAGGGCATGCTTCTGTGATTGCTGAGCTAATCCATGTGCTGTTCTTTACATTCAGGAAGGTATTTTGCAATTTCCAGGTGGCAATGAAGTATCATGACAATTGAATAAATGAGGAAAACTGTTGAATTGGTTAAATCACTCTAACAGGGCTCACAAACATTCTTCATAGGGAAAGTCATCTTCTGTATCTTGGAACTATCCTTAATTATAACAAATGTAAGATGTTTGAATACTTAAGTAATCTCTGTTACAGCAATGAAGGAAGGTGGGGCATCATTGTAGGAGCTAGACTCAAGTGACCTACAAAGAGTAGATAAAACAGTAACTAGCTATGGCCTGGGACCATCCATAGTTCAACCATCATGAGGTCATTTATTTGCAGAATAAATTAGTAAGGTTGGGAGATGCATAATTTATCTTGGAAAACTTTTTTTTCAAAATTGATCAAGGATAAAACACAAACCTATTTCAATGATGTCAAGTTCATTTTGTGAAACACCTGAGTTTCAGATGGAAAGGACAGTTTAAAAACAGATTTTAAATGTAATCTGTGGGCCTAAACATGTATCTGTATTATGACACTGTAGAGAGTGGCAGCATATTGTGTATACGAAATTAGGTTTGTCTGGCTTCTATGAGGCCCCAGTCAGCCTGAGCCACTCCGAGTCTGTTCCTGGTGTCCTGTCATAAACACTAATGGTGTTCACTTTCACTCACAAGTGTCCTGGTGGGCTATGGTATTTGCCACAGAATTCCTGAAACTCACAAGCTCCCCTTGTGCATTTGAAATTATTTGATTTCCAGAAGCTACATTTACATGTTTCTTCAGAGGAATATGAATCAAGTGAGACTCACCTATCATGGGTACTGGGTGGCCTGGTGAGAGTTTTCTGGATTCTCTTTAGAAGCCGAAAGACTCTGGACCCTGGAAAGGGTCCTGCACCAAGTGGTTAGAAGGAGGAAGCCTTTCCTGCTCTCACTAGGAATCATCACACTGGCTTATTGGCAGATGATCCCTGGAGTTGTAATAAAGTTTTCCCAAAGTTTTAAGAGCTCAAATATTGCTCTCTGTTGGACTTGGGTTTGAGTTCCAATCAGCCATTTCCAGGTCATGTCACTTTAGGAGGGTTGCTTTTATGACACCGCAGTTTCATCTATGAAATGGCAATAATAATAGTACTGATCATGGGAGGGGCAATTTGAAGATTAAATGAGATTAAGTGTAATGGTCCAAGCTTAGTGCGTGATACATGGAAAGCGTTTAATAAATGTTAATTCTCAATAGTACTAGATGGATAAATTTTGCTTTTGTTTACACAGAAAAAAGCAGCCATTTGGGCCACTAGTCATGAAAGGCAACATATTAGATCTTTTAAAAAGTGTTTTCAGTGTCTGTGACCAGCCATTCCAACTACTGATTTTGGATATGCTTCTATAGATCCTGCCAAGCTTTTCCTTGTTGACCGCTCCTTGTATGGGAAAGAAGACAACGACACGCTGGTCCGCTGTCCTCTCACAGACCCAGAAGTGACCAATTATTCCCTCAAGGGGTGCCAGGGGAAGCCTCTTCCCAAGGACTTGAGGTTTATTCCTGACCCCAAGGCGGGCATCATGATCAAAAGTGTGAAACGCGCCTACCATCGGCTCTGTCTGCATTGTTCTGTGGACCAGGAGGGCAAGTCAGTGCTGTCGGAAAAATTCATCCTGAAAGTGAGGCCAGGTACTGGCTCTTTCTTATCTGCCTCTGGGAGTTGAGAACTCACTTATCTAAAGAAGACTTCTCTTCTCGTTGATCCACCTTAGTGTAGTCAATCAGGGAGCTAGCTGTTCATAGTTCCCCCAGCTTCAAAAAATGTCATCTGCTTTTGAATTTGTTTATTTCATGGTCCTGACCCCGTGTGGCAGTTCCATGACTGCCTCTCATAGAGGTGAATGTATCTGCCATAGATTGGCATTTAGACTGGACTGACTTAAGTCAGCCCAAAGTTTCATAATTGCATCAAGTACTCGTTCTAAGGGAAACCCATTGGGTAGCTTGAATTATGTTGGTTGAAAAGATTAGCATGCAGATGATTCATTCTTTGATTTACTATTGACATATGAATTGACTTTCCCTTCAGCTGATCAATTGCAATGCATCCTCAAACTGTTTGAGATCTGAGAAGGAAAATTCCAGTTGACTGTGGAACTTGTTATGGTTGTGCCGTTATGTAGAATATTTCGTTAGCTGGAAGATAATCTAGGTTTTAAATCTCAGAGATCATCTAATTCAACACCAGTTGGCATTCAGCTATTGAGTACAGTTTTTATTAAGGCTTTTGAAAAAGTATACTTATTGAAATTAGGGAAAATTTGATTATTTAAAACCTGGGATTTCCAGAGGTGAGCAGGGTAGGATTTGCATGAGAAAGACGCCTGTTTGCTTAAAAGAATATAAGTAGTTGTTGGTCACATCCTCCTGACACCATCAAGGTTGTCTGAAATAAAGATTAAAGCAGCTTCTCTATGCTAGGGCTTCTACTTGGTTTGGAAAAAGTGTTTTCCAGAAGTATTATAATCTCACAGTGGGCATTTCTGTCTTTTTCACTCAATTTACTTGAAGGATGCTTGATTTAATTGCTGGTACCTTCAGATATGCAAGTAGTACAGATAGGTTAGCACCATGCTTTGTATTTTATTTAAAAGATGACAAAGTAAGCTGTACACATTTGAGGAGAAATGGTAAATCAAAATTTCATGCTATAATACAAATTATTTGAGGGGCCACATTTCTTTTCATTCTAGCCTTCAAAGCTGTGCCTGTTGTGTCTGTGTCCAAAGCAAGCTATCTTCTTAGGGAAGGGGAAGAATTCACAGTGACGTGCACAATAAAAGATGTGTCTAGTTCTGTGTACTCAACGTGGAAAAGAGAAAACAGTCAGGTGAGTGAATCGCTTCATTCTTCTCATGTTCTGTCTCTGTGGGAGATGATAAGTTTTCTCTTTCAGAAGAGTCTGTCCTGAAACTGCCTCGACTAGTGCGTCTGTCAGAGGTGGATTGTCTGGGAGAGTGTTGGGATTGCATATTTCCCCCTTTCATACCTCCACATGGAGATATATACATTTATTATTAGTAACAAATAAATTTCATTTTATACATTTATTTTGAGAAACTTGAGAGAACTTCAGATTCATGTTATTACTTCATGCTGTTTCTTTGAAAAACTGTTAGGGACTTAAAAAACATGGTTAACTGCATGAATACTTTGATTTAAAGCTATTGTTGATACCGTTTAGGCCAGACTATTTAAAATATTGAAAAGAGTTGCCACTTCCATACTTAAAAAGAATAGAGAGTCTCAATTATTCACCAGAAAACCCTTCCCTCGCCCACAAATTGGCCTATCCATTTGAAGATGGGTTTCTTTTTGTAAGGATCTGATTTCCTCCTTTGAGGCTGGTTACCTGAGATTAAGTTGCTAATGGTTTTCTATTTGTTTTAGTCACTATTAATAAAACTGTTATCCTTAATCTGAAACATCTGGGCATGCTTACGTTCCCATTCATTTAACAAATGCATATTCAATGCCATTATACCTCAGATACTGGGTTAGGCATATCTTAAATAAATTTTAGCTAGTTACTGAAATTTTATCCCTACTAAAAGAGCAGAGTTTTTACACTGTCTTAATTTCCAAATACTTTGCTTTAAACTTCCCATTGACCAAGTTTTCAGTAATTTTTGTTTGAATAATCTTGGCCATCTAGTTAATTAGCTATCACAGTGGTTTTTATTCATTACCCATGCAAGCATTATATTGGAAAAAAGAAATATTATATTTTCTTTCTCCTCCTCTTCCTCCTCCTGCCCCATGTTCAACATTGGCAATTTTATGCCTGTTTAAAAAACTCTTTGCTAAACAAATAACCATGGTGATTGCCATAATGCAAAGACAGTGTGATGATATTCATGTAGACCTGTGATGGATGATATCTTGCTAAATGAAGCCTGCCATTGACTGGTAGAATGGATTGTACCATAGACTTATTCTTTCAAACCAATGACTCAGAGAAACATTTTAGTTTTTGTATCATATAATGTAATACAAAAATAGCTTATGTATGGATTTTTGGCTAACCTTACAGAATACAATCTCATATTAATTGGCTTTCTATAATCCTTGATTTCAGATGAGAGAACAATTTAGACCGGGTGTGCATTTGAGCCTCTGTATAACTTGAACATTATCCTTTTTTGAGATGAGAAATTAAATTGCCCCAGGCAGTTTTGTTCTGAACCATTTTTCCCAGGAGCCCTGCATGCCAGTCCCAATTAATCCACTGGTGCTGGTAGATAAGCCTTCAGTGTTAGGAGCTCTTTGGGGAAATCCCAGTGTGCACCTCCAAGGGTTAAGGAAAACCAAATCACGTGCAAACAATATGTAATGTGTGACTTGCAGATGGGGCTCATGGCTGTCTGCCAAGGTTCATCCATGAATCTTTTATTGATATCTTTTGGCTTAATTTAGAATACTATTAGCACTATCAAATTATTAAAAAATCCATAATATTTTATTCTGACCCTTTGGAATAAGTTTAACTCACAATGTAATTTAGGGTAAAATGACTTTTTAGCATTGTTGCCATTGTTTAAGCGCAAGGGAGTCTTGGAGTTTGTTCAATACTGTTAATCTTAGTTGGTTAGCTTTCTTAATGCCTCTAAACCCTCACATTTTTACTTGCTTGTAATCAGAATCTTTGACAGTATCCTAACTTATGGGCTTTGGGTTTGGATGTTCATGCTGCATCTCTTATGACTGCACTATTCCTTTCAGCGCTGACAAGTTCAGAGTTCCTGTTTGAGTTCTGTTGTGGACTCTTGGGCTCTTGAAAGAACTAGAAGGAAGATACCTTAAATTGAGACTTTGATATGTTATCTGTCCATTGTCACTCTGCCTTTGTGGAGAAGTCTGTGAAACTATGAACTGGGAAAAGCCAGTTTGAAAATGTTGCTTCACCTTGCTCTTACATCTTCTTGACAATTGATCTTATGCTGTGAAATGGTAGATTTCTGCCAATTATTAGAAGACTCTCTTAGAAGGGGGTAGTAGGAAATCTACATAGTGTTACAAACTAGAAAAGCCTTTAAAGATAGTTTTGTTCCCACATACCCTTTTAGAAACTAAAAGTTAAGACTAGTGATGCTCTTGACTTACCTAAGATCTCACGATTAGTTAACAGCAAAGCAGGTTTCTGTTCTTTTTAGTTTGAAACATTCAGCTTCAGCAGTCAACTTTTGTGTGTGGTTACTTTAATGTAAAAATATTTGTAAAACCTTAATAACATTAAAAAATAGGTATAATTCCACCGTCATAGATAGCAATGCTGTGTAATAGAAATACATGAACCTTATATGTAATTTTAAATTTTCTAGTAGGTACATTACAAAAAATAAAAAAGGTAAAATTGATTTTAATAATATATTTTATTTGACTCAGTGTGTCTAAAATATTATTTCATAATGTAATTAACATAAAAATTACTAATTAGGTGTTTTACATTTTTTTAAATATAAGTCTTCAAAATCCAGGACATATTTTATATTTACAACACAACTTACTTTGGACTACCAGATTTCAAATGCTTAGTAGTCCCAAGTGTCTAGTCCTTATAAATGCTATATAGTCTGCATTTTTTCATATTTTTTCTCTTTTCCCCTATGCATATGTATTATCAGATAATTGCAATTTTAAGGTACATTCAATTTGTGCTTTTTAAGTAGGTAAACACCTCTCTTATAGTCATAATGCTATACTTGATATACATTTAGGTCGTTTCTGAGTTTTTACCACAACCAACATATTGAAGCTTTTATTTTCTGTTGAGCAATTTCCTTGAGTTAAATTTGCTGCAGTTGATCAGAGGGTATGAACATCCTGGTAAGCTCCTTTCCAGAAGGATTTTTCTGATTTATAATACTGTCAGATGCTTTAACTCTATTAGGTTTACCAAAGCCTCGCCAAGGAATCACCCTTGATCTCATTCCATGTCACTATTAGCTCCTTTTACTTTAATTGGTTGTTTTTTTCCCCATTGTAATAGGAGTGTGTGTACATTACAGAAAATTTGGAAGATGCAGAAAGCTATATTAGACTTTCTTTAATCTTTTCAGAAAGCTGCTGTAGCTTATGTTATGGTTTCCCCATGACTTTTTAAATACAAGAAATCTCTCCATGTCTTGTCTGCAGACAAAAAATGAGTGAGATGGTGATATCACAAGGGTAAATTCACAACCTTTTCTTTTCAGCTCATGCTTAAATAATTTGGGCCTTGTTCTTAGATGTCTCTTATACCTTGGAACTCCCTTCAGTAGTTTACAAGATTCTGCTGGGTGAGAACTGCAGGATGAGTTTCCAAGCTAGTTGTTGACATTGTGATTCTGTTTTCATTCTTGCAAATAATAAATTTTAATAAAATAGAACATTATTGTTATTAGCAATGTGTTCGCTCTCAGTCATTGGGACATAGAAGAGAAAAAGACATGACAAAAATATGCTGACTCATATTACAAAATATCAGTATCCCATAATATTTCAGAGATAGCAACTTTTAAAATTTAGCGTTGTATAGAATTTGGAATTATACATACTAGGGTTAAGAAATGAATTTTCGTTTTTTTCCCAATCGTTAATAATGACTGTCTTTCAACATAATCCTGTAATATGAAGTGTTCCAATGACAGACTTGTCATGATGCTTTATTATTCTTACTTAAGTAGTGTATAATGAAAGTTAATATGGAGAAGTTAATTGCTGCTATTTTTAATTTATCTAGGAAAGATTCTGAATATAAATTATATGGTAATCTTCATTTTTTTTTCTCCTTTTCTGAAACCAGCAGACTAAACTACAGGAGAAATATAATAGCTGGCATCACGGTGACTTCAATTATGAACGTCAGGCAACGTTGACTATCAGTTCAGCGAGAGTTAATGATTCTGGAGTGTTCATGTGTTATGCCAATAATACTTTTGGATCAGCAAATGTCACAACAACCTTGGAAGTAGTAGGTAAATACCTCTATGGGAATGTTTAAATTACTGGCAGTAGTGAAAGAAGAAATTATTAGACAGTTTCTTTTTTATGTAAATGGAATGTTGAACAGATTCTTAGAATTTTGTTATCACTGAATGAATGAAAATTATCCTTGTAGCCTCTTGCAATGAAAGCACAAAACCAAATTCTACCAGTTTAGTGGAGGAAAGTGGAAAGCTGTTACTAAAATTGTTCAAACCTATTATTCTTTGTGCACCTCACCCTCCTTTCCCCACCAAACAAAACATAAGTTGAGATTTTTCAAAAATGCTAGTGCTCGCTGAATGACTTGAGTTTGGAAATGGATGTAGAATTTATCAAGGAACACAAATGCTTAGAGCCTGAAGTATTTCTCTGAAACTTTTGGTAGGGGCTGTGCCCCTTGGTTTATTGTTTTGCCACTCATCAGATCTAGTTCCTTCTAGTAAGGACTGAATTGGACTTTTCCTCCCTAGTATTCCCTACCTCCTTATCTCACCTGTTCTCTAAGCATAAAGATTATAGCATAAACCTTCAGGAAGGAGTGCCATTGGGACACAGGTCATTGGTTCTACGGAGCATAAACTACAACATGGTAATCTGTCCCCGGACCCCATCATATCTGGTATGCACAATTGGTTCAGCCTTATCTTCTCTACTCTAGAAATTTCACTAAATATTTATTTTCCAAGCATCTTTATTTAAAGAGAGCAGAGCATAGTGAGTTTCTTCATGCTTTTGATTTACTGAGAATAATAATAATTTTAAAATTACTTTGTTTACAATTTTTTTGTCTTTTGAGTATTGTTTGAATTTAATCCATTTTTCTGTCTTTTTAGTACAACCATATTCCTAGTGTTAGACTTTCATTAAATACTTCTAAGGTGGCAAAATTCTTGATCAAGAACAATAATAAAGTGATGCGGTATTTGTTTTCATCTCTTTCCCCGCCTCACCAAATTTCTTCAATAATTTATGTAGCAGTATTAAAGCTTTGTGATTATCCCACAATAATCTCGTAAAATTTTGGCGTTTCTGCCCATGTTATAATGGAAAGTTTCTCCCCAGACTGAACATGGAAAAGATACTTTACTTGCAATTATAGTCAGCACACAGAAAGTGTACTACTTTGTTCCTAAACATGATTGTGAACCATTTATTAATTTGAATAGAAGGCTATGCTTTTAAAATATTAAACTCCATAAGCACTAATTTGCTAAGTTGATTAGGGAGCATGTTGATATATCAGCTTCAGCTCCAGAAAGCAATTAGTAAGGATGTTTTGAGAACATTGTTGTATGTAATCGGATTTTTAAAATCCATTCATCAATTTCCAAGAATTATCACTGTATGACTGGAAGGACTTGTGGCTGTGAAACCTGAATCTGGTTTTGTATTGTTTTGAGAATGGGTTGAGGTGGAACAGGAACAGGAGGAGACAAACAGAAAAGTAATTTTTTAGTGGCTGGGAGGAGGGTTTGGATCCATGATGGAGTGATGAAGAGAACAGGGCTTTGGTATCACTCTTTTTTTAAGAAATTACTTTTTTATTGTATATTTTTAAGATATACAACATGATGTTATGGGGTACATATAGATAGTAAGAATATTACTATAGTGAAGCAAATTAATGTATTCATCATCTCACAAAGTTACCCTTTCTTTGTTTTTTGTTTTGTGATAAGAGCTGTTAACATTTTACCTGGTTTTGAATTGGAGGCTCTGCCTGTAATCCCAGCACTTTGGGAGGCTGAGGCGGGCAGATCTCTTAAGCCCAGGAGTTTGAAACCAGCCTGAGCAACATGGTGAAACCCCATTTCTACAAAAAATACAAAAATGAGCCGGGCATGGTGCCACATGCTTGAGTTGCAGCTACTTGGGAGGCTGAGGCAGGAGGATTGCTTGAGCCCAGGAAGTCGAGGCTTTAGTGAGCTGTGATCGTGCCACTGTGCTCCAGCCTGGGCAACAGAGGGATACCCTGTTTCAAACAAAACAAAACAAAAGATTAAGTGTCACAATTATTAAGTAAAAGGTATGCTAAAGTACTTAAAGCAGTTCTTAACACATAGTAAGCACATAAATGGTGGCCATAAAAATAATGTTAGCAATTACTTTATTGCTCTCTTTTTCAAGATCTTTTTTATATTATTATATCACCTTTTCTAAGGACTCCATTATTTATTTAACCGGTTTTCTATTTTGCCATTTTATATTATAATAGCTTATAATAGTGTAAATAGCACTTTTGTTTTTGGCCTGTAGCTATCTATCTCATTTTAAGAAGAGTTCTCAAATGGAAATTACAAGATTTAATCAAGGAATAGATAATTTAAAAAAAAATCTATATTGCTAAATGCTTCCTAAAAGAATTGTGCCAATTTACAGTGTGTAATTCAGCATACTACTTTTACCACACTTGCAAAATTATTGAGTTTAGTTAAAATTAGTTTTGCTATTTTTAATAAGTGAAAAGTGATGTCTTATTTTAATTACTAGTTTAGCTAAACATTTTTTCTACATTTTATTCTCCTTTTTCCTGTTACATTAATTATTTTACTATATAGACTTTTAAAAATATTTATGGATTTAAATTTGTCTTCTATGATGTTTTTCTTCTGTTGCTTCTAAAAAGCCTAGAAACTTCCCCTCTGTAGAAATTTCATAGGAGTCAATTGTTATTTAGTTAAAAATAACATTTTATTGTTAAAATGCTCTTTGATTTATCTGTGATATATAAGAAGACCTAAGGTTATTTTTCTTCAAATACTAAAGAACATTCTTTGAACATTTTTATTAAACATTAGGGCTCCCTTGTTTTCCCTTAATTTATGACACCTTATCACATATATAATTATATATTGGGTCTGTGTATGAACTCACTATTTATTCCAAATTCTTTTAACCTAATAAACATCAAGACTAGTAGATTTAGAAGACTTTTAAGATGGTGATAGATCTTTAAGAGAATTGCTTAAGAGGCAGAGATGGGAGAATCAGTATTTCAAATGTGTGTCCTTTCTCACTTGTGACAGTGATTCTACAAGAGCAAAATAAAATGAAAAACAGCTAGTTAAAATTCTCTTATTGCCAATTAATACTGGAAATCAACCAATTGTTTTTGTAATTCCAAGATGAGGTTCTGTTTTTTTGTCCAGTAGTTGTAGATAATGGTTTCTTTCTGTCTTATTTCATTCTAATTAGATAAAGGATTCATTAATATCTTCCCCATGATAAACACTACAGTATTTGTAAACGATGGAGAAAATGTAGATTTGATTGTTGAATATGAAGCATTCCCCAAACCTGAACACCAGCAGTGGATCTATATGAACAGAACCTTCACTGATAAATGGGAAGATTATCCCAAGTCTGAGAATGAAAGTAATATCAGGTAAGAAATGGACCTTGCCCTGGGGGATTACACATTACCCCCTTTTCCAGTGGGCTTATCAGATCTTATTTCTGTAACCCGTAAATCCACGAGAAGATACCTGGTAAAGAAGAAAGTCTGGGGCTGCCTCCTATGTCCTCATCCTAGTATTCCATTTTGTTGTGTGTTTAGAGCATGCACACTCTTGCACACGCATGCACACACACACCTGTGTGCCTCAGTTTTCTCACTTGTAAAATGGAGGACAGTTTTCTAGAGATCTGAGCTTAGCTCAAAGCAGTAACTTTCATGTACTCGGGATACAGCAAGTCTCTTCAGAGAAAAAGGGAAGTTAGTACCTATAATTGTTTCTTAAAGCTGTAAGAAAACTAAGAGCCAAATAACTTCGCTTCAGGCAGTGAACCCATGTTCTTTTACACTAGACCTCTCATTTGATCCTCAAAACATTATAGTAAAAATAGTAGCAATAGTAATACTTCAGGTAAGACATAAGTGCTTTTTTTCTGAAGCATGGTTCTAAGTACTTTACGTGTATTCACCCACTGACCTGAAGCCTCACAGACTTTGTGAGTAGACATTCTTATTTCCCACCATTTTTATAGAAGAGGAGACAGAGGTACAGAGGGGTGAAGTAATTTGACCAAGACCGAACGGCTAATAAGGGCTAAGTGCCTGGATAGGGTTTTGCTCTATTTTTCCAGTCAGGACTGTTGACTGTTGGAAAAATACGGGTGAGAGATGATAGCGTCCTGGGCCAAGGACTAAAGGTTGGAGGGAAGAGGATAAATTTGGGAGGTCTCCAGGTGATTGAGAGGGCAGGAGAGGCAGGGAGGAGTTGAAGATGCCTTTAGGTTGGGTGGTGAGAGACCATACCATTCAGGGAGAGCAGGAGGACGGGGAGGGACAAGTTTCTGAGGAAAGACAGTGACTTTGTTTTGGGGTTTGTTGGATTTGAGATTGATAGTGGGATCTTGAGTGGGATTGTTTAGGTAGGAAGTATCTTTTGCCAAACGCCCTAGAAGCAGAGCCTGAGACAGGGATTCTGAGGCAAGTGACTTATGCAGGGATAGACTGACCAGGGAGTAGGGGAAGAGGCATGGGAGGGAAAGGAGGCAAGTAAGGATGTGGCTCAGATGACCCCAAGCCTCAGTCTTATCCAGGAGCTGAGCGGGGCTTTTGCACCTCTCCAGCTATCAGTCACTTACTGGCTGCAGACCTGGCTGCACGGTCAACGTCTTCCAAGGATTGCGCAAGGGCAATCCTTGGGAGAATGCTGCAGGCAAGTGTTTGGGGGCATGAAAGTAGCTCTGTAGAGGAGACATGGTACAGAGAACCCTGCGCTGGAAGTAAAGACGTGAAGGTTGTGAGCCAGCAGCCAGCAGCTCAGTGTGAGAGAGTGGGCTGCCCAGGGAGCTTGCATAGTGTGAGAGTTGGCACACCGCCTATGGCAAGTTGGTGTTGTGGCCCATGTGGATCGTGTGGGTCGTGGACTGCCCAGGGTGACACATGTACATCGGAGCCCCTGCCAGTAACCCCGACAGGGTTGTAGGGTGCTCAGTGTACACAGCCCTATATGGCGGTCCTGCAAGAAGTCAGAAGCTTGAGTGGCAAATACTGCCAGGAGCACTGAGAAGTCTCCGGGGTGGAGGAAAACCAGGAGATGGGGGTGTTGCAAGAAGGAAGGTGAGCAGTGTGGACCTCGCTGAGGGCCCAGAGTGTCTGTGTGAGGGCAGTGAGCATGTGCATGCAGGGCAGGTGAGTTCAGGACACTGTGGAGAGCAGGCTCCTGCAGCACCATGGGCAGGGGAGGAAGTGGTATGCGGACAGCCCAGGGTGGTGGGGGGAGGGCGGAGGCGGGAGGCGGTGGGCCAGTGGAGAGGCTGCAGCCTCTGTCAGGTTGCCTTTGTGCTTAACCTTTCCCCACTCTGTGGTCTCTCACAACAGGCGTTGGTCCCAGATGGAATATGTGTGTGCGTGTTTATGTATTTGTTAATGTGGATTTTGCTAATACTTACTGAATTAAATGAGTTATATTTTTCCTCAAACAGGCATAGATTTCCAGGTAGAAACTGAAAAAGACATGCCTTCCAAGGCATGCTATCCACAGGTGATTGACTAGTTGTCTTTTCTTTGTAGATACGTAAGTGAACTTCATCTAACGAGATTAAAAGGCACCGAAGGAGGCACTTACACATTCCTAGTGTCCAATTCTGACGTCAATGCTGCCATAGCATTTAATGTTTATGTGAATAGTAAGTAACATGAAGGGCTCCTTTTAATTTTTTATTCTTTTAAAGTTGTGGCTCGTGTTTGTAACAGCTGCAAGGACTCAACTTGTGTACTATGTAAATAACGTTTCATGATAATCTTGACCTTCACAGAGACTTCGTGGTTTGGTGGTTAGAGTGTGTCAAAAAACCAGTTCCTTGTCCTACATTTCACTGATCACATGACCTTGTAGAAGTTGCTCAAATTCTGCGTGCTGCCTTTGAAGTAAACAGAGGAGCCAAACAAGTTGAACATACAGTTGTTTGAGGGAAAATGTATTATTATTGATTGTTGGAATGGGGGGCTAGTGGTTGAATAGGAGCTGAATTACTGCGTTAGGTAGGGAAGAGATGCTATCGAGCCCTGACGTGATTTCTTTGTTCAGTGCTGTCTCTTTTGAGGCTGTGATGTTACTTGTGTTTAGATTGTTCTTCCACTGAGACAAATGCAATACTGACAGGCCCATGGCTCACTACTGAGTACCATGTGGTATGTGGGAGAAGGTAGCAGATGGTTTAGGATGGGAGATGGCCATGGGCACCTGAGCACCCAAGTCCTGCACTGCTGGGGTCCTACCGACCCCACTCCTGCAGCCCACCATGTCTTAGAGAAATGTCTGCTCTGAAGTTGAGGCCAAGGGAGCCCGATCATGAGCTGGACCTTTTGCCAAGTGCAGGGCTTCTTCCTGGCTCCACTCTGGGCCCCGTGTGCATTTCCAAGGAAGGTGCCTCCCACACCATACCTGCTAGTGCAAGGGAGGCCCCTAAAGACTAGGAGTTCCAAGGGAGTGGCCCAATAAATGACTATTGGAATTGGCTTTCCTGGGTGTGTGGAGGATGAGGAGACAACTGGAATATTTCATAGAAAAGAGCTTAGGCGTTATGCTGGGCACTTTATGTGTGTTGGGTTATAGGGTGTTGTGGGAACAAAGGACTGGGGCCAATTCCTTGTCTTGAAGGAGCTTACTTTCTGTACGAGGTGTTGTGGTTTTGTTTTTTTTTGTTTTTGAGACAGAGTCTCTCACTCTCTCTCCCTGTCTGGAGTGCAGTGACATCTCGATTCACTGCAACCTCCACCTCCCAGGTTCAAGTGATTCTCCTGCCACAGCCTCTTGAGTATCTGGGACTATAGGCATCCCACCACACCCAGCTGATTTCTGTATTTTTAGTAGAGATGGGGTTTCACCATGTTGGCCAGGATGGTCTTGAACTCCTGACCACAAGTGATCACCTGCTTCAGCCTCCCAAAGTGCTGGGATTATAGGCATGAGCCACCGCGCCCAGCTAGATGTTTTGTTTGTTTGATTTTGAGACAAACATGTTTTTGTTTTCAAACATGTTGACAAACATGTTGAGCCAGCATCTGTCTCTGTCACCCAGGCTGGAGTGATCATAGCTCACTATATCCTTGTACTCCTAGGCCCAAGAGATCCTTCCGCTTCAGCTTACCAAGTAGCTGGGAGTACAGGCATGCACCACCACGCACAGCTAATTTTTAAATGTTTTTTAGAGATGGGGGTCTTGCTTTGTTGCCTAGACTGGTCTTGAATTCCTGGACTAAAGCGATCCTTCTGCCTTGTCCTCCCAAAGCACTGGGATTACAGGAGTGAGCCACAACACTCAACCTGTGTGAAGTGATTTTACATAATTGTCTTATTTGATGCTACAGCTCAGGAAAGATGGTAGGGTGGGTGGTGTAAGCCAATGAAAAGAAATAGCTGGACAGATTTTTTATTGCTAATCCAGAGTCTTTTGACTATGAACATTTCAAAAATTGTGTTTTCTGAATAAGACATTCATATGAGTTTAGATGAAGAAGGTCACATTCGTGTAATTAAACACATATCTTTATTACTGGCCTTCCCAGAATCCTAATATGCTAATGTGACTTTGCCAGAGGGGGCCATGGGATAGGATGTATATATCCCAAACTCGTTTGATCACACAGTTCTCCCTTTTCAAGGGAAACATTAATTATTATCTGAGTTCCAGCAAACAGTTTTGATTACATAGCATTTCTCTGGTCCTCAATTCAAGTATCTCTAGATTAATTTCAATGTGAATCAGAAAGTAATAGTATATAGAGGCTGGACGCGGTGGCTCACGCCTGTAATCCCAGCACTTTGGGAGGCCGAAGCAGGTGGATAACCTGAGGTTGGGAGTTCGAGACCAGCCTGGCCAACATGGTGAAACCCCTTCTCTACTAAAAATAGAAAAATTCAGCTGGTTGCGATGATGAGTGCGTGTAATCCCAGCTAGTTGGGAGGCTGAGGCAGGAGAATCACTTGAACCTCAACCTGGGAGACAGAGGTTGCAGTGAGCTGAGATCTCACTGTTGCACTCCAGCCTGGGCGACTGAACGAGAGTCCGTCTCAAAAAAAAAAAAAAAAAAGATAATAGTATATAGAGCTTAGTGTATTACCCATGGACAAAATTACCTGCTTCTGAAAAGTCTTAATGTTCATCTCATTTAAGAGATGACCGTAGGTAAATCGGTATCCTTGCAAGCATAATATGCATATTGTTCATACAGAATTTTATTGTGGCTGCTCTTGTGTGATGCTTCTCAACCTTTCTATGTTAAAAGACTTTCTTTTCTAAGATTCCCAATACATTGTGGATCAATACTTCTTGTAAAATATAGTAAAAACCAATTACTGGAAAAGTGAAATGAAAAAGAACAATATACAAAATACAAGCTCGGGTTTTTTTATTTTTTAGATTCAATAGATATAACAATTACTCTTTGTCAAATTGCTCCTCCTCAGTGCTTCTTCTCAGTTTCTGTATTTATCTCCTGTGCACCAGCAACAGCAGATCGTGGGTGGGGCCCACTCCACAGACCTCACTTTGAGAGTTCAGTGGTTGGGAATTTTATGAAGTGAGGTACTTTGTGTTACCACTGTTTCCCTGGCTTTAAGTCCAAAGGGGTGTTTAAATGTGTCTCTTTTCTTCTTTTTTCATGCTTCCATTTGCCAGTGTGTGGTCTGCCAGTTGGTCATGAGATATTGACCTCAGGAAGATGTTTCTGACTTTTCTCTGGTGGGGGCAAAATTGCTACTAGGCTAATTTGCCATTCCAGCAGGCTCAGTTTTAATCAGTGCTGCTGGTGAACCCATGCTTATTTGAAACTAGATAGGATATGTTGTTAGCCTTCCAAAAGGATATCTTCTTGGATTGCCTGTAAGTAGGAGGTCTTTTCTGCATTCTAGGGTATGGGTCTCTAATACCCACCCAGCACTTCCTGAGGTCCCACTGTATTTCACTGGATATACAGATGAGGATCATGTTGGTCCTGACCTCAAGCTCTTCAGAAAGTCTTTTCCTTGAAGTTAGTTTGTTACAAATAACAAACTGACAGAGGCATTTATTTCACTTACCTAACACGTTGGATTTATTGATTTGCAAACGTTTGGACAGAGGTAGTAGCATTTATGTTTGAGCTTTAAACTGTCTATGAGGTACGTCCCAGTTGCTCTTTAGAGATATAGTTAGCTGATTTGTTGATTTTTTTTAATTGAAAAAAAATCTAGTTAACATTATTATGTGGTAGTATTTTTAAAAATTTTATTTCAATAGTTTTTGGGGAACAGATGGGTTTTAGTTACATAGATAAGTTCTTTTATGGTGATTTCTGAGATTTTGGTGCACCTGTCACCCAAGCAGTGTACACTATACCCGTGTATAGTCTTTATCCCTCACCCCCCTCCCACCCTTCTTCCTAGGTCCCCAAAGTTCATTCTGTCATTCTCATGATTTTGCATCCTCATTGCTTAGCTCGTGAGGTAGGATTTTTTTCATGTTAAATTTTAAAATCAAAAGCTAAAATAATTCTACAATTTTAAACTTAGAATAGTTGTGGCCTTTTTGACATCATTTTAGCTGAGCCAGTTACATATGTAGGTGTACTGTATGGTTTATTTTGTAAATAAGCTGAGCCTCAAGGACAAAAGGGATTGTGTTCTGCAAAAATCAGAATTGATAAAAATCAGAATAATGAATGCATAGTGTTTGTTAGTGCAGAAATTCAGCCTACTTTTACTCTGTGACACTAATGCGTAATTGCTTAATAGATTCATCTGCAAGAAATGCTATTGAAAATCCTTGATTTGGCATGGTTAAATATTTGGCGGTTGAAAAATCTATTTGTTTTGAAAATTCCACATGTAAATTTCAGTATAGTGAATGTGGGGAAGGGGCATGTTTTAATTGCTTATATGGTAGACTTTTAAAAAATATTGTGCTCTGACAATTTGTGTTAAGAAAACACGTATATAACATGTTAAGCTTGAAAATGTTCTAATACTGTTTCTAACCTCTCTAATCAAGCCATGATTTACATGGGCCTATTAAACTGACTCAGTGACATTTAAGGTGGTTTATAATGGCCAAGAGCCATTATAACATGGTTGCCATCTTTGAGTAGAACTTCTAGTGGAAACTGATAGGAATTTTCATTAAAAAACAAAGCAAAACCAAAAATTAGTGATTATATCTGCATTGAATTTGCATTACTCTAATTAACTTTTGGAATTGCTTATCCAAGATGTGTATGGACATCAAATTCTTAGATCTGAAATGTTTGATATCCTTCAGCGAAAATGGTGATTTGTTTTTCTTGGAAATGAAAATCAGGAAAAAAGTAGAGTTTTGAAACCTTACCTCAAAGTGCTTTCTTAATAGACATTAACCTTTCCAAAACTCTTGGAAATATTAGAAAAAAATGACATTGCCAAGATGCTATGGGTAGCTTATGCTACTTATTTAGGAACTGATGGCCTCTTTGGTTATATTAAATGTCACACAATGAGGTTTTTTTTTGCCAGATCCAGGACAAATAAAAGGCCAAATATGCACTTTAATCCTAATATATCCATTTGGCTTTTTTCCCCACTCCATCTAGTATTTCTTGAATAAATAACAAACTTTATAGTGGACTTAAAGGATAATCAGTAAAGTAAATATTTTGTAGGTTTATTTTGGCTTCAATTTTAAATACCCATGTGAATCCTGAAATAATTTACATAATTGTAGAAATAAATTATGGTTGATATGATAAACCAGTTGTTTTTCAAACCTTTGGAATAATTTTAAGAAGATCCTGTAACCTTAAAGTGGATAGTTCAAAACATGATCTGGTAGCATTTCCAGGGCGGTATTATGCATTTAAAATATGTGGCAAACGGTATTTACGGATCATAAATAGATCCCGCTCCCATTTTGAAAGCTTATCCTTTAATGACGAGCTTCAGCCAGTGCGGTGGGAGTACTGTGATCCTCACGTGGTGGTGACGGGGAGGCAGACATTGAGAACTGAAGGGCTCCCTTTGATCATTAGCCTTACATAGGATGCCTTTAATGTTGAGCTAGATTGGAAGCCCAAGTGACTGCTGAAGTGCACCAAATTAACTCAGAAGTCACCAATTTCACTCCATTTATGGAAGGGTATTAACAGGGGGTTGAGAAACAATTTAAGGAAATGTTAAATAATGTATTATTTCCAAATCACTGCATCATATAATTAACATCCTACCTGTTGTTAGCAATTATTTATAGGTCATACAGTATACCAAAATCAGCCAAAGCAATAAATCACCCAGAATAAGGCTTCTCGATGAGAAAGATCCCCTTTGACCAAGTATGCAAAGTCTGGGCTACCTTTTAGTATTTTTGGTTCACAGTTAAATCCAGTTATGGATGGTGGAACCAATTCTAGGGAGAAGCTCCTGCAGATAAAGCACATAGCCATCTAGCTTTTGGCCAGCCAACCAGAAATGATCCCAGGTAGACTATCAGTGCATTTGTGTTGCTGTTAAAAAAAAAAAAAAAAAATGCCCGGGGCTGGGTGATTTATAAAGAAAAGAGATTTATTTGGCTCACATTTCTGCAGGCTGTAAGAAACACCTGCTTCTGGTGAGGGCTTCAGGAAGCTTCCACTCATGGTGGAAGCGGAAGGGGAACAGGCATCACATGGCAAGAGAGGAGGAAAGAGAGAGAGGAGAAGAAGGGTGCCAGGTTGTTTTTAAAAATCGGATCTCGAGGGAGCTAATAGTGTGAGGAGTCACTCATTACCTCTAGTACAGCACCAGGCTAATCATGAAAGATCTGTCCCCATGACCCAGACACCTCCCATCAGGCCCCACCTCCAGTATTCAGGATCAGTTTTTAAACATGAGATTTGAAGGGGACAAATATTCAAACTGTATCATAGACCCGTGAAAGCCAGCCATATAGATGGCTTCACCTGTTTGCCAGCTCTCTGGGTCACCCACCTGGCTGGAATCTCCAACTACCTTTATCCAGAGTAAAATAATAACGGCAGTCTTGCCTGCAAGGACTGCTCAGATTTGGTCCTTAAGGCCACTGTGCCCTTCAGGAAGATCCTCACAAAACAGAGCAAAGTTACTAGAACTTCAACTTTTTTGGAAGATGGCAATGTCTTCCCACCACTTAACCTATTAGCTTTTTCTTTCCATTTTTTAAAAAAATAGTAGGACCTTTCAAACACATGCGCGTCCAAACCATACTTGTGTTAGAGGCCACAAATTTGAAGACTTGCTGTTAATTTTTGCTTGAAAGTCTTTGCTTTTCAGTGTTTTCCCCATTAGGTGGATACTATTAGCGTGACTTCCTCTTATAGTAAATAATTGTAAATTTTAAACGTTAAATAAAGTGCCGAATAGAACTCCTTTCTGATTTATTTACTTGCTTTTGAGAGTTTGCTCTAAGGCTGCAACAGTAACTGGAACATAGCTTCGTTTGTGTGAACATTTGTATGCTGCATGTTTTTAAATTAAAACAATTTTTTCTCATTACAAAAGCATTATGTGAAGGGTAGAACAATTAGAAAATGTAAATAAGCAAAAATAAAAATCAAGTTTTATTTTTACTTTTTATGTTTATTTACTTTTTATAGGTTACCATTACTAATATTCTTTATTATACATTCCTCCAGACCATTAATTTTTTTTTAAATAAAAATGAAGTCATATTGCTTTATAACCTGGATTTTTGGTGCTGCACAACAAAAGCATTGTGAATATCTTTCTATAACATCATTTTGGCATCTCAGTGTATGGATCTTTTATAATTTCTCTAGCCCATGCCTGATGCAATTTTGAGACATCCAGGAGCGAGGCGGGACTCTGAAATGATGTGACTGAATTTTAAAAGAAACCTGTCAGATGATTATTTAAAGTTTATAATTATCGTGTTTAATGTCTAATGAGTGACCTTGCTTAAGTGGCTGGAAGTTAATAAGGTTATCATCTGTTGTTATCTTTCATGCTCTGTGTCTTCAACATACGATATGGCAGATATACTGTGCTGGCTTTCAGGACAGTTCTAAATTAAGGAATAATTTTCAGATCTTCTTAGTGTGGTAGCTAATCTATGTAAAAATCGTTGCTTGTCTTTTCACATTAATCTTTTTATAGATAATATGTGTTCATTTGAGATATCTGACAGTGTTTGAACTCTGTTTGTATTTTCTGTTCCTGAACTTGAAATGAGTTTTTGTTCTCAAATTGCTTGGGAATTATGAATGTTGTTTTTGATGTGACACTCTAATATCTCTTTCTCCTTATAAAGAGAATGTCTGTGGAGGCAAGAATTGTTATAGATGTTTAAATTGGAAAAAAAAAGATATAATGGCAACCTACTTTTAAAGTAGAACTTGATTCTCTTCTGTTCTGAAAAAATTTAGCAGATGTAGCTCTGAACTAAGCTAAACATCTTTCCCTCCTCAAAGGCTGGCATCATTACTCTTCCTCCCTATCTCATAAGAAAGTTGGTCTGGTGGATGTGTTGCTAATTTAGGGGCCTTGATGTAAACACTGAACCTGTAAGAGAACCAGGTAAACTCTCTGGATCCATAGCCCTTGGTTGCCCCCGTTTGTGTGGTTTGGCCATTTTTTTATGTTGATGGTGGAAAAGCAGGAGAAACAGGTTTAGGTATGTAGCCATGTAAACTTCTGCTGGAATTGACTCTAAACTTGGGTACATAGACTTCGCTAAAAGCAGTGAGTGGTCCCTTTTATATTGTGGAACTTCCACTCTGTGGAGATTTTCTTTTCAGTTGAGCCACTTGTTTTTACATCAAATTAGCTTCCTTCATTTACAGATATATGCAAGGTCACCTGTAATGTAGTGAAATTTAAATTAATCCAAGAATAGGGACATAATGTTTCCATGGGCATTCTGTCAATACCCTTCTCCTCCACTTCTGAATTATGTTGCAAAATGAATTAGCTACTTTTCCAGAGTAGGAAAAAAGAGGCTTTTGTCCCATGCCTGCACTCCTTGGCAGCAAGCAGAGTGGCATTGTGATGTGTGTACAGGTCTTCCTCCCCACGGCTGGGTGATACAGCAATGGTGCTCCTGTAAGTTGAGCAGTGATTCTGGCTGAAGAAGTCTCTCTCCAAGTAGTTTCATCATTTTTCAACGTAATCTCGTGATTGGGATATCTTTTTGATTGCTGTTTAGAACAGGGGTTGGTAGAACTATAGCCTGCTGGCCAGAATTGGCCTGTAGCCTGTTTTTGTTTTGTTTTGTTTTTTGCTTTTGAGACAGAGTCTTGTTCCGTCGCCTAAGCTGTAGTGCAGTGGCACAATCTTGGCTCACTGCAACCTCCACTTCCCAGGTTCAAGCAGTTCTCCTGCCTCAGCCTCCCGAGTAGCTGGTATTACAGGCACCTGCCACCATGCCTGGCTTATTTTTGTATTTTTAGTAGAGATGGGATTTCACCATGTTGGCCAGGCTGGTCTTTCTCCTGCCTTGGCCTCCCAAAGTGCTGGGATTACAAGCGTGAGCCACTGCACCCGGCCTATAACCTGTTTTTGAATGGCTCACAAACTAAGAACGTTATTGAATTTATTTCTGATTAGTTTTAAAAAATCAGGAGATTTCATGAGACATGAGAATACAACTCAAATGTTAGTGTCCACAAGGAAAGTTTTATTGAAAACAGCCATGCCTATTTGATTATATAATGTCTATGGGCACATTTGTACTACAGCTGCAGAGTTGAGTTGCAGGAAAGACCTTATGGCCCACAAATCTAAAATATTTACCTGAAATATGTATCTCGCCCTTTATAGTAAAAGTTTGCTGAGCCCTAGTTGAGAAAATCACTTCATTAAGAGAATGATTTTTTTTCTTTTTAAAATGACAGTCACTGTTAAAATAAATAGGTACAGGAGATTATAGTTGAAGTTTTATTTTGTTTGTTAAATAAACTTCTGTTAGTGTCCATATGCCAATTTCTGGATATCTTTAAGAATGTATAAGACACAGTATATGTCCAAAATATCTATCCTGGGAATTTTTTAAAAAGTATAATATTCCTTTTATAAGTAAGGTTATTTTTCTACTCCAATTTTAGCTGACTTAAATTTCTTTATTATAATGGTATTATGGCACAAGTGTAGGTTTTACACAGACCAAAACCGGGATAGTGAAAAATTCCGGAAAAGCATTGCTTCATTGCCTTTAAACACCAGCAAACCTCGAATTTTAAAAACAGAAATTCATTCTTATGATCCCTCTTCATTTAGTCTTTTATTATTTGGAGACTTAAGTGTTTGCGTTTTTTGTCCTGCTGATTATAAAATATGGGCAAATGTGCATTTATAGCGGAAGTTGGTTAAAGTGGCTGGGTGAGAGAACTCTAATCAAAAAATGCCTCCCTGCATTTAGATGAAGAAAGGAAGACCCCTTCTACCATTGGCTTGTGTATTGCCTTTCAGCCACCAGCCCTCAGCTTTGTTATCTGTACTATGTTCTTAAAATTCATTTTGTTCTTGCTTTCCACATGGACTGGATGGTGATGAAAAGGAATATTTTCCAAGATCACAAATCTGTGGGGTAAATCACTGGATGTGTAGGATTTTTAATTGCATGAGCAATAAATTCTCAGCAGAGTTACAAGCATCTGAAATCTGCCTACAAGCTGATCGGTGTTGTTGGCGATATCAGAATGACTCAGGTCCATGATGTTTTTAAAGGCAAAAAGGCTATTTTTTTTTATCTCCACAGGAAATGCATAACTTATACACCTCTTAGGCTTATCTAAACCTCCAACTTGGGAGGAATTAGAGAATGTGTCATTTGCTATACTGCTTATTGCAGAATATCTAAGAAGCCACAGCTCAGATTTAACCTGGAGAACTGCAGAGTTATGTATCTTTAAAGGCAAGATGTATATTTAATGCCAAACACGGTGCATTGAGGCACTTATAAAATGCAGATGAGCCCAGATTTTCATTTTTAGGAATTAGATTTCCACCTGGCTCATTCTTTATGCATTAAACATTTTCATAATGCAACTTGCCAGGTACAGCTCATGCTGTACTAGTGTGTCTCATCCTTTTCAGAAGGAGGTCTCTTAGCACCAGTGTTAGGGAAAGGGCTGGACCGAGGTGAGGCAAGAAAGGCACCTAGAGTGTGAAATATAAGGAGGTGCTCTCACAGATACCCACTCATAGGCCCTTTAGGGTTAGTGCCTTCTTATTTTTATGCCCTGGGTGCTTCTCTTGCCTTACTCTTGTCCTGGCTTTGATAAGGGTTCCTTAAAGGCCCTTTAAAAAGGTACATTGCTGGGTTATACCCTCAGCTTACTAGATCTCTGGAGGTGCGGCCCAGGAATGTGCATTTATTCTCTTCCCTTAGAGAGTCTAAGGCATATTGAAGATTTAGGACCCTGTCAGCTTGGTTGGCCAACCTAAGGCCAGCAGGACAAAAGCTGCTCAATTAGCCTCAGGTTATGACCCACCTGGGATAGAAACTTAACAAAACTGCTTAATTAACCGGCACATGGGAACAAGTAGGCCAGCCAGACCACACCGTTGCCAGCCATGGCTGTTGTATAACTGCTACCAGGTGTCACGCTAGAAGGCTTGGATGTTAGAGCATACTTGTAACCAAAGCTAAATGGAATTGATTATGTAATTTTGAGCTGTTCCAATTTTTTAATTAAACAATGTTTTATAGGTTCACTTTCAGCTACCCATTCATTGCAAAATAAAATTAGAAATAAAAGAATAAAATAGAAACTTTTCATCACCTTACTACCCAGAGATAACCATTGTTAACATCATCTTAAAGTGTTCTTTCAGCCTTTCCTCCGCCTATTAAGTTAATATTTAATTTCACTAAGAATTTACCATGTAGTGTTATGAGCATTAGGAAGTATGAGTATTAAGGGAATATAGGTATGAGTACATCTATGTTGTGAACTTAGCTCCTATTTGAGTCCTATTCAGTTATCTCTACCATCTTTGTGTAGACTGGTCCCACTCATCATTCATCTCAGTGTTATAAAAAATTCATGTTGTCAGGCGCTTGGATTTCTTATCTCATGGCCCTCCATTGCAAAAATAATAGAAATAGTGCCGTATTTACGAAAGTCACCATTAGGCTGTTCCCACAGGTCTCTTCTTGTGACTCTATAATTGAATGCCTTTGGAATCTTAGAGACTTGTTCCTTTGGGTGGGATCTTCATCATACAACAGTGCTTACTGTGTGCCTGCTGTGGGTCTCACTGAGCTAGGAGTCACAAGTATACTCAATCAGTAAGATGTCGTTTCTGCCCTCGAGAACATCGAGTCTGATGGAGGAGGCAGACCAAGATCTTGCATACCAGCGTCAGGTGTTCTTAAATGCTTTGGGAATAAGGAAAGGAGAGAGACCAGCTTGGCATCAGAGAGTTTAGGCTTGCTTAGAAAAGGAGGTGACACTTAAACTGAGTCCAGAGAGACCCACAGTATGGCACCTAGAGTCCCTAGCAAATAGCACTCTCCTAAGGGTCTGCTGATTTCTTGTGTCGTGTCCTACTTTTCAGCCTGATCACACAGTTGCCCATGATAATTAAATGAAACTTGCCAGATGGATGCTTTCGCAAGACGATGGCTTGTCTTCTTGCTCTATTTGTAAAGCTGGCATTGGATCCAAACTCTCAAGGATGCCCCTACCTTGAGATTGTTTTGGAGAGTTTCTCTTTTGTGTATATTAGCCAAATGGCCTGCTCATCAGCAGGGCCAGGTTGAGTGACAGGTGGGTGTGTCATGCATGTGGATACTCTGATCTCCGCCAACTCCAGGGAGGTGCCTCCAGGGAGGTGAGGTGCTGAGAGGTTATTCTACAAAGATGTCATTTATCAGTGTTACCTTCCTTTGGGGAAATAAACTTCCTAAGTTTCTGATCTGTCAGTCTTTCCTTCTCACTGCATATATTTTCCCTATCAGTTGCAATATAATTGATGTTGAATTCCCTGCGCATTGGGTTAAAATATACACCTTATCAGACTATTCTAAAGAAGGAATTTTTAGATTATTGAGGAGAATATTTAGAGTGGCAAATACAGTTCACTTCATTTGTAGTGAAATTGGTTATCCAAGAAAGGTAGATATTCTGATTATAAAATAATAACTCAGTATTAATAGTAATAATAAATTTTATTGAGATGGAGTCCCACTCTGTCACCCAGGCTGGAGTGCAGTGGTGCTCACTGCAACCTCTGCCTCCTGGGTTCAAGCCATCCTCCTGCCTCAGCCTACCGAGTAGCTGGGACTACAGGCGCATGTCACTGTGCCCAGCTAATTTTTGTGTTTTTAGTAGAGATGCGGTTTCACTGTGTTGCCCAGGCTAGTCTCAAACTCCTGACCTCAGGTGATCCACTGCCTCAGCCTCAGCCTCCCAAAGTGCTGGGATTATAGGCTTGAGCCACCGTGCCCAGCAATAATAATAATAAATAATTGTTTCATTTCTATAAGTCATTCTTAGCTCTCTGTATGTGCCATCTCATTTAATTGTCTCAATATCCCTATGAGAGGGGCACAGTTATTATTCCCATTTTACACATGAGGGAACAAAAATTTAGAGAGATGTAGAAACTTACTCAAGTTCAAAGAACTGAGAAATGTAAGAGCTGGTATTCAGATGTGTCCACTATGCATGGGGCTCCCGTAATTCTGTGCTTAGACTTGGCACAATCAATGCTATTCTTCAGAGTACAGGGTGAGCATATCAGCATCCCTGCCATCCTGTTGCTTCTGTTGAGCTTATTTATTCTTAGAGGGTTGGAATCCTTCAGATGTATTGCCATCAGAACCACCGAGTATAAGTGCATCTTCCTTTCACTTTGTAAATAACTTCAAAAATTAGAAATTCTTGAGTGTTAGCTGGTTATTGTAGTTACATAGAAATACCAAATTAGAGCATTTCTGCTGTTACAGTGAATATATTCAGATTTATATATATATTTATATATATATATGTATTTATATATATTTATATATATTTTTATATATATGTATATATATTTATATATATGTATTTATATATATATATTCACGTTCATAATATACATAAATATATAAATCTTAGGCTGGTTTTCTTTTCTAGTTTTCTGTTCATATTTTGCATTTGAAACAAAGATTTGAAGTAAAGCCCATATTGTATTTTACTCTTTATGTTCTAGCTTCCCTGTAAATAGAGTGATTCGGCTTTTAATCGGCACCACCCTTCCACCCCCAAAAAGGAGAAAATTCATGTAAGAGCAAAAGAGTGGGGCTTATCTTTTCCTCTAACAACTCCTAATTTCATCCATTCCAGTTCCCACAATAACTTGAAATTCCTAGGGCAGGTACAGTTGCTTGAAATCCCATTGGCAGGAATCCTTTAAAGTAGATTTTTACCTGTGGAACACTTTGGAGTCCTAGAGTTTGATTAGAAGCAGTCTTCAGATCCCTACTCCCTGAAAGCAGAAACCCTGCAGTTGGCCCTGCCACCTCTGCCTCAGCCATCTCCTCTGGGGCTGGGCCACTGTGGCTGGGAAAGCCTTTCTGGGTTGGACCCTGACAGCCGCCTCCTTGTACCTTCCACTCCTTGGTTCAGATTCTGCCCTTTGAACTTGCTCCCTCAGGCTACTCAGCAGCCTCAGGAAGGTTGTAGGGATTAGAGAGGGAGTGAAGTGAATGTTGCTGAGGTTTTCCAGCACTCTGACATATGGCCATTTCTGTTTTCCTGTAGCAAAACCAGAAATCCTGACTTACGACAGGCTCGTGAATGGCATGCTCCAATGTGTGGCAGCAGGATTCCCAGAGCCCACAATAGATTGGTATTTTTGTCCAGGAACTGAGCAGAGGTGAGATGATTATTTTTGGCACTGCTTATAATGCAGAGGGGAAGGACTGCAATTCACTTGAATTTCAAATATGTTTTCTGATTTTTTTTAAAAAAGCTTTGTTTTGATTATTGTTTTTTTTCTAGCCATGTGGCTTTTTAGAAGGGATAATTGCTATATTTTTCTTGGTAGACATTAATTTTGTTTGCTGAAAAATCATTACTGAATGACTTCTCTATTTTGGTGTTATCTTTCTGGATTTATCATGCAATTTCTAGCCTGCAGGTAGATAAAGCAATTTTGCAGGACAGAGTAATTAGATTTCCATTCTATACACAGGAGGTAATGTGTGTGGGAAATGTGACTGTAGTTATCATGAAAAAATTACCTCAGTAGTTAATTGCCAAGTTACCAAAAAGTAATGATCGCACAATTACAACATACATATGGCATTTGCAAGCGACCGCTTTTAAAAAGGGTTTCTTCTTGATAATGTGCCCAGCCCCTGAACAGAGAACATCTGGCACTGTGCTGCTTGCCCCTCACCATCCACACTTAAGCCTTAAATTGCCCTTTTGCATTACCTGAAGACGAAAATGGGGTCACCACAGCTGTTTTTATCCATCAATTGCTATTTTATGCTCAGGCTTTAAAAGCCCAGGTTAACATCACAATTGAATAGTTAGTATGGTCGCAGAAATTTTATTTTTCATGGAATAAGCCTCTTTATCACAACAAGTTGGAAGGGGTTACATCGGATTGCTGTTTTCAGCTGGGGTTTAGGAGAGTGTTTTCTTTTGGGGAATACTAAGTAGGGTTCAAGGCCCCTGGGAGGAATGGCCACAGCAGAAGCAAGCCCTGTAGTTACAGGCATTCATTCAGTAGATACACAGGGAGTGGCAAGTGTGTACCAGACACTATTCTAATGGACAGAACACACCCAAGTCTTTTTGCCTTTATGAGTTTATGTTCTAGTGCAGGGGTGTTCAGTCTTTTAGCTTCCCTGGGCTACACTGGAAGAAGACGACTGTCTTAGGCCACACATAAAATATAGTAACACTAACGATAGCTGATGAGCTAAAAAAAAAAAAAATTGCAAAAAAATCTCATAATGTTTTAAGCTTCATGAATTTGTGTTGGGTCGCATTCAAAGCCGTCCTGGGCCACATGTGGGCTGCAGGTTGGATAAGCTTGTTCTAGTGGGTAGAAACACATAATAGATGGAATAAACAATGAATGTATGTAGGTGTTAAGAAAGGAAACAGGGAATAGCTAGGTGTTTAGAATAGGGAAGTCGGGGTCTGGCTCATGAAAAGGATCCCTTGCAGTGGTGGTCTCAGCCACCTGCAGTATAACTAGGCCTTCCTGCTTAGAACTCAAACTTCAGTCCTCACTTTGACTATTTTCTGGTCTACATCCTTGATTTTGTTGTTGTTGTTGTTGTTGAGACCGAGTCTCACTCTCTTGCCCAGGCTGGAGTGCAATGGAGTGATCTTGGCTCACTGCAACCTCTGCCTCCAGGGTTCAAGTGATTCTCCTGCCTCAGCCTCCCGAGTAGCTGGGATTACAGGCGCCTGCCACCACGCCCAGCTAATTTTTGTATTTTTAGTAGAGACGAGGTTTCACCATGTTGGCCAGTCTGGTCTTGAACTCCTGACCTCAGGTGATCTGCCCACCTCGGCCTCCTAAAGTGCTGAGATTACAGGTGTGAGCTACTGCGCCCGGCCCCTTGAAGATTTTTTATGCTTTCCTCCTCTATGCTATTTCTTTTCAACCATTCGTGTACCCTTTTGAAGCTTGTTTATTTTAGGGATCTACTGTGTACCAGCATATATGCCTGCCATTTTATTGAATTCCTTTCCAATCCTTTCAGTAACCCTCTGCAATGGGTATTACTATCCCTGTTTTACAGTCGTAGAAACTCAGTGTTGGTGGGGGTTAAAAACTCATCAGGATTCAAACCCGCATCTGACTCCGAAGCCTCCTCTGCCTTCTCTTCCCCAGTGCTTTTTTCACTCACTAGGTCACCAAAGTGCTTATTCTTAGACACTTGTAAAAGGACATTTTCTGTTGATTATGAACCTCTAACTTTGTTTTAAAAGTATGCCACATCCCAAGTGTTTTATGTATTTATTTATTTTCCTAGAGTAAGCCAGGGCTTTTGTTTTCTTCCCTTTAGATGCTCTGCTTCTGTACTGCCAGTGGATGTGCAGACACTAAACTCATCTGGGCCACCGTTTGGAAAGCTAGTGGTTCAGAGTTCTATAGATTCTAGTGCATTCAAGCACAATGGCACGGTTGAATGTAAGGCTTACAACGATGTGGGCAAGACTTCTGCCTATTTTAACTTTGCATTTAAAGGTAACAACAAAGGTATATTTCTTTTTAATCCAATTTAAGGGGATGTTTAGGCTCTGTCTACCATATCAGTCATGATTTTAAGTTCATTCCAACATTGACCATGTCATTTCTGGTAATACATGCATCACACCATACTGTCATCAAACTCACTAAGTTTCATTTTGTACTAGCTTGTTAAGTATATGCTTTTACCAGAGCAATTTTAACCATGCTACTTTATATATTTTATATGTATGTGTGTCTCTATTAGTTGTATATTTACAATTGTCTCCATTAAAAAGAGCTAGAGAAAGCAAATGGGGGAATATATTTACCTTACACCCAAACAGAATTAGAACAATCTAAAATTTAAATTCAATTAAAAATTTCAGTTATTTAAAATGAATTATTTTAACACTTTGCCAGACACTGTATCCAAAAGTTAACACTGCCTTTATGAAGTCATGTTAGCAAGTTATTTCTTTAAAATATTTAAAATTTGATTCATGTGTGACTAACTCTCTTAACAAGTTAAAAGATCTTTTGGGCAAACTGATGAATTGGTACAAAGTGGGAAGACAAAGAAACTGGGCACTTACTTTTTAGGCCTTCTTGGGGTTTTGTTTGTTTGTTTGTTGTTTTCGTTTTTTGAGTCGGCAAAGACTAGTGCCAAAAAGTGGCGTGTTTTCTCAGGTTTTGAGTAGTGAGGGGAAGAATCTTCCATGTTTTTCAGACAGGGCAACGAAAAGAATACCTTAAAAATGTTTTTTTTTTTTTTGGTTGTGAAAGACATTCATGCTCAGTGTAGAAAATTTGGAAAATACAGGAAAGCTTAAAGAAGAAAATATAAACCGTCCATAAAGGAAGCTTCTTTTTTTTAAAGTTGTACAAGGCAGGAATTTGATTGAAGTATAAAGTGCATTCAGATGTTGCTTTTCATTGAAAAACAGCATAAATTATTCCTTTTCTACAGAAATCTCAACTTCTATTCTGCAGTATTGTGGTTTCAAGTTATATTTTTAAAGATTCATTTGAATAACAAGAGTACAATGTAACCAAGGTGAAGCTCTGAGACTCACATAGCTTTGCATCCTGCCATGGGCTGTGAGTTGGGAGGTGGGGTCAGTTTGGGACTGAGTGGCTGTGGTAGAGATCCCATCCTGCCAAAGTTTGTGATTCCACATTTCTCTTCCATTGTAGAGCAAATCCATCCCCACACCCTGTTCACTCCTTTGCTGATTGGTTTCGTAATCGTAGCTGGCATGATGTGCATTATTGTGATGATTCTGACCTACAAATATTTACAGGTAACCATTTATTTGTTCTCTCTCCAGAGTGCTCTAATGACTGAGACAATAATTATTAAAAGGTGATCTATTTTTCCCTTTCTCCCCACAGAAACCCATGTATGAAGTACAGTGGAAGGTTGTTGAGGAGATAAATGGAAACAATTATGTTTACATAGACCCAACACAACTTCCTTATGATCACAAATGGGAGTTTCCCAGAAACAGGCTGAGTTTTGGTCAGTATGAAACAGGGGCTTTCCATGTCACCTTTTTGGGTACACATAACAGTGACTTTAAGGAACTCCAGTGGCTTCCTTTGTTTTGTTCCACCTGAAACAATGAGTTTTCTGTGAAATTGCGCCCCTTTTGATAGGTTTGCCATAGAGAACATCGTAGGAAAATGTCTCTGGACAACATTGTTTTTAATTCCTTTATTGATTTTGAAACTGCACAAATGGTCCTTCAATTCCACCACCAGCACCATCACCACTTACCTTGTTGTCTTCCTTCCTACAGGGAAAACCCTGGGTGCTGGAGCTTTCGGGAAGGTTGTTGAGGCAACTGCTTATGGCTTAATTAAGTCAGATGCGGCCATGACTGTCGCTGTAAAGATGCTCAAGCGTAAGTTCCTGTATGGTACTGCATGCGCTTGACATCAGTTTGCCAGTTGTGCTTTTTGCTAAAATGCATGTTTCCAATTTTAGCGAGTGCCCATTTGACAGAACGGGAAGCCCTCATGTCTGAACTCAAAGTCCTGAGTTACCTTGGTAATCACATGAATATTGTGAATCTACTTGGAGCCTGCACCATTGGAGGTAAAGCCGTGTCCAAGCTGCCTTTTATTGTCTGTCAGGTTATCAAAACATGACATTTTAATATGATTTTGGCAATGCTAGATTATAAACTGCTTGGAAGATTTTTTTACCCAGACTGTTGTTCTCTCTTGCTAGATTTTGTTTTCCTCATTGTTCTTAAGAATGCAGATTTTAATTTTATCATTATGGGGTAGAACAGCCCAGGACATACCCTAGTTATTGTCGTATTTGTAACATCAACGACATCAGCCTCTTGAATATCTCATCCCGACCAGAAGGCTTCTGTTATCTTGTAAGCTTTATACATTTCTTGATCATATGTAGCCACTGAAAGGGTTAATATTAATTTGCATACTACAATTTAAAACAGGCGCCTAAGCCTACTGGTTCTCAAATATACACCAAATGAGGCAAACATTTCACTTCTCTAAAAATAAGTTTCCAATTTGAAGCCTTAGTTGAAGTTCCCATCAAGGATGTCTGTGATGTTTGCAGAAAGTATTTCAGTTGAAAGAAACAAAGATGTGTAAAATGAGCTGTTTCTGGAGATCCACGATAAAGTTGACAGCCTTATATCATGTCTTCCAATAATCCCCATAAATGTTGCTTCACCACATCATGAATTGTTCATGAGAAAATTTCTTACCCAAGTTAATTAGTTGCCTGTTACTTCTAAACTACAGTTTAAACATTCATAGCACCAAAAAATTTTTCAACTAGTAGCGCTCAGAACACAGGTCATTTTAGGTTTTCACTCACTTTCCAGTCTTGTCCCAGCTGGCTGCTCCTTGTGGCTGATTTTCCCACTATGCCACAGTTTGTGCCTTCATTATTTCCATAATAACGTTACAGAGAGTGTGTGAAGCCCTGCTGTAAACAGAAGTGAACCAGAGGATTCACGTAGGAAGCTTGATAATAGTAGAATCTTTGAAAGCAGTAACTTCTCTCTGTAAAACCAGCAGTCATGCTTGGCTCCAAATACTAATGTCACTTAGAAATTCAGGTTAAAAGAGGCTTGCTTGTTTTATGTTACTCCACATAAGGCTGCTTTTTTGATAAGCAGTGTTAATATATGGGATTGTATTGGGACTAAGTAGTCTGATCCACTGAAGCTGAATATTAATGGCCATGACCACCCTTGGGTATTTTTATGGGAGGCAGAATTAATCTATATATCTCACCTTCTTTCTAACCTTTTCTTATGTGCTTTTAGGGCCCACCCTGGTCATTACAGAATATTGTTGCTATGGTGATCTTTTGAATTTTTTGAGAAGAAAACGTGATTCATTTATTTGTTCAAAGCAGGAAGATCATGCAGAAGCTGCACTTTATAAGAATCTTCTGCATTCAAAGGAGTCTTCCTGGTAAGACTGATTTACATAAATAGTTAGCTGTTGACAGGCAGTTCATGGGGTCATAAGGGTTTGCAATCAAGGCTGATTCTTTAAAAAATGAACTGAGGTACTCTGAGGTATGAAATCAAAATTATTAAATCATTTAAATGTGATTAACAGTTTAGAAAGTTAAATTGTGTTTTTAAAGATTCAAACCTAGATTTTTGCTGATTTTTTAAAAATGTATTTTCAGTTTTCTTCTACACTTTAGTTCCATGCAACTGAATGCATTCTATATCTGTTTCTCTTACGGTTCTGTCCTGCATGTATTTCCATTTATACTATTGAGCTTGGTACTACATGCATGTTTCCAGTGAGATACTGTTTATAGGGAAAATGCTAAAGCCTCTCAAGTTGCCACAGTAAAGTCCCTTTAAAACCTTTAGCAGAATGACAAAGAGCTCTGAACATATCTCCACATGTAGGCTTCTTGCCATCGACCTCTGGATTATTCCTGTATACCTTGCCTCTTGCCCTTTTTATTTCATCATGCTATTAAAAGACATAACTACTCCAGCACATTTTTTAAAAATTCTGGACATTATTCTCATCTCTTTCATCATTGATGCCATTCTGAATTTGAATCATGTATAAAGAGCTTTGAGTTTGACTTACAACCAGAAAAGAATTCTTCTCATATCTTGCCTATTCTTTCTTTGGAAATGCTCTTAAGGGCCACCATTTGAGAAGACTTCCTAGATGTACCCAGTCCAACAGAAGTCATGGTTATTTTGCCCAGTCCCCTATACTGTATATTGCTGCAGTTGTGTGGTAGATTTCTCCTATCCTTTTCATGCACTTTATATCCACTGCATCTTGCAATGGCAAGACATTGCCTCCTGAACTCTTAACACCAGGTCCTCAAGGAGACCTCAGTAAATATTATTGATGGGCAATTACCCCTTAAAGCCATTTTCTGTACCTCTGGCTAAAGTTTAAAACCCCAGGTGAAACTTTTTATTTTTTTTTAATCCTATAAACTTGAGTAGTTTAAAGTGGTAGTAGAAACTGTACAAAACCACTTTTTGTTAGTTTCTCCTGGGCATGTGCTCATTATATGAAGAAATGAGCCATTTTGCTTCTTTCCGAAACCTTGGCCCTATATATATCCTTTAACTTTCTGATATAATGGCCTAAATTGTTCAATCCTGTGTGATGTTCTTTGTGCTTTGGGATCCCATATGGGATTGGAACCACCAGCACACTCTGAAGGAGATTGTTGTCATGGTGTTTCTATGCTAATCAGAAGCAGGAAGTACTAGAAATCTTGAAGAGTCTCCAGCCAAATGTTGCAGATTGAAGAGGTCCAGATGGTTCAGAAAATCATCCAAATTATTGGTGTTTATCTGAACCAACTTGATTTTTTTTTAAACCTTCCTCCATCAGTCACTATATGTTAACGATCTCTGCCTCCTGCATAACACGTCTTGGAAGCTCTTCTTTGTCTTTCTTTCATCTTGTCTCCTGGGGCTCATTTAGAGAGTTTGAGGTAATACGGGATACCATATTTGGCTCTCTGTCTCCCATTAAATTCATTGTGTCAAGAGACGGGAAATTTCTAACCTGAGTCCTCTATATGATTATACACAAAAAGGACACCTAGTTTCTGGGCATGGACCCCAATATCGATTATTAAAAACTCATTTCTTACAGAACAGGATTTTCAAACTCTTTATTCAAACTTTACATGACTTTCCTCAAATTGGTCCAGTCTATTATGTAGCAAAGGGGATGAGGAGGTAGAGCATGACCCATGAGTGCCCTTCTACATGTCCCACTTGATTCAGTCATGACTTGTTTCATCTCTCCCAGCAGCGATAGTACTAATGAGTACATGGACATGAAACCTGGAGTTTCTTATGTTGTCCCAACCAAGGCCGACAAAAGGAGATCTGTGAGAATAGGTGAGTACCTACCTATCAAGCAACCAAGAGTAACTTTACAGAGAGTATGTATATCATGCTAATGTGGAATATAACATCATTCCCAGTAGCAATGATGCAGACCAGTTCTGCTTTATGGTAGCAGTGCCAATGGTCAATGGCAGTTAGGGTTGCAAGTGGGTGTTTGGGGTCAGAGCATATGTTTTTGTGCCTGAGTATCTTTCTATAGATATGGGATCTTTGCTTTAATTCGCCATCCCTCTCCTCTATGGATTTTGTAACCCAGCCTAGGATTGTTAAATATTAACTTTGTGATTCAGCATCTACCTTTCCTGGACACCAGGGAAGTGATCTGCCTGCAAGTTCACATTAGTTCATTCATTACCAGCCTTTGGTATGTCATTGCCACTGTCTTTTCCTTTCCTGACCTTTATGGTTGTAATTGCTAAGAAAAATCCTCTCTTCCTCACAGGCTCATACATAGAAAGAGATGTGACTCCCGCCATCATGGAGGATGACGAGTTGGCCCTAGACTTAGAAGACTTGCTGAGCTTTTCTTACCAGGTGGCAAAGGGCATGGCTTTCCTCGCCTCCAAGAATGTAAGTGGGAGTGATTCTCTAAAGAGTTTTGTGTTTTGTTTTTTTGATTTTTTTTTTTTTTTTTTTTTTTTTGAGAACAGAGCATTTTAGAGCCATAGTTAAAATGCAGAATGTCATTTTGAAGTGTGGTAACCAAAAGCAGAGGAAATTTAGTTTCTTCATGTTCCAACTGCTGTCTCTTTGGAATTCCTGTTCTAATTTATAAGCTGTAAAGTACAAGCCTGTCTAAATGAGTTTTTCTATGAATATTCTTTTATATGCAGTGAAATTCTTTTAAAACTTTTGGCTTTTAGGATATAGGATATGTTCCTAGAGAACAGAATCATTTTATCAGTAAAAGCAGAGGGCACCTCATAGTTACAAGGCTTGGGGTGAAGCATAGACTTGAGTTTTATTGAAGTTAGATCCAAATATTATATGTGTGGCTTATGAAGTGTCAGGAAATAAGGGGTCAGAGGGAGTAATAAACACTTGGGAGAAGGTTAGGAATGGAAAGAATGATGGAACCAAAACAAGGAGCATGGTCTGTGGAAGGGTGAAAGGAGTTCCTTAGGAAGTAAGATTAACCGAACAGAATGAGTTACCAGTCCTACCCTTAAATGTCATGGGTGACATTTCCCAACAATTACCAAACTAAGAAAGGATATAAGATGGCTGAAATAAAGACCTTCTTCCGTGTGTCCTTGGGAGATGTCAGATTGAATTTGCAAAGGCATATTAGGAACTCTGTGAAAGGACATTCAAAGAGATGCATGCAAAATGAATTTTCAGTTTAAACAATATGATATGACTATTTCTTATGTATTTCCCTATGAATGAAAGCAGTCCTGAGAAGAAAACAGCATTTATTAGAATTGCTTTTAAAAGAGATTATAATAATTAGACTCTTGATTATGTGAACATCATTCAAGGCGTACTTTTGATTTTTATTTTTGGTGTACTGAATACTTTAAAACAAAAGTATTGGATTTTTTATAATATAAGCAACACTATAGTATTAAAAAGTTAGTTTTCACTCTTTACAAGTTAAAATGAATTTAAATGGTTTTCTTTTCTCCTCCAACCTAATAGTGTATTCACAGAGACTTGGCAGCCAGAAATATCCTCCTTACTCATGGTCGGATCACAAAGATTTGTGATTTTGGTCTAGCCAGAGACATCAAGAATGATTCTAATTATGTGGTTAAAGGAAACGTGAGTACCCATTCTCTGCTTGACAGTCCTGCAAAGGATTTTTAGTTTCAACTTTCGATAAAAATTGTTTCCTGTGATTTTCATAATGTAAATCCTGTCTAGGGATATCACACATTTTAGCAGTCAAATTAAGTATACTTCAGCAAAATTTGCATGGTATGCTGAACATTACTACAACTAACATTCAATAATAGAAGTCCTAATTCTAATTGTGTAATTTTGGGGCATGTGAAGGAAACAGAAATAGCCTTAATTTTCATTATAGCCTGAGAATAGCAATGAACTTGATTTTGCTCAAGTGTAACAAATGTAGGTCATTGAAGGTCACAGCAGGAGAAATTTTGGGGGGATTGGCATGCCGTGTGAAAAATATTAAAATCTAAGATCATATTCAGAGTTAGCCATATAGAATGTTGGATCCTAGAATACACGGAGAGCTATTAAATAGGTTCATAAGTAATAATGGGTTTGTAGAACATAGCAAATGTTTTTCAAAGTGCTGTATTTCCTTGCCAATTTTTATTGAATCCTCAGAACAAACCCTTGTCCTATAATTGCAGCACCTTCCTATTTTAAAAGTTGGAGAAACTAAGGCATGGCATATTTTAGTGCTTTTTATCTGAGGTGACACAGGACAATAGAGGCTGAAACTAGAGCCTGTGATTTCCAGAGTGGCATCCCATCGCCATGGAAAACCATATTGCCCTTTATAATATTCTCTGCCTGTCTTCCTGGGCCCATTTCTGCAGTCCAGATTTATTCCTGGAGGTGGATTTTTGTGCCCCTTATGATAATGTAATGTTTTCCCCCCATCACTGTGGCGTCTCTATTGGTAGCCTGTACTCGATTTGGTTTTGTAAGAGTGTTTCTGTGTTTATCTCCTGGCCAAAGCATGAATTTCTGAAAAGGCTGCCCTGAAGCTAGATATTATCATCAGGAGTGATAATAAAAACAACTTCTCTTCATCCTGGTGCAATTTTGGAAGGAAGAATGATAAGTCGTTAATTATCCAGTCCTCTGAATATTGACCAAAGGGAGGAGGAAGAAGGTGGCCGCCTCCAGGCCCAGTCTTGATGAATTCTGCAATCTGTCTCCATTATTTCATGCCTGTGTAATTTTGTCAAGAGTTGTCCAATACCTCTGAATCTTTGTTTTTCTCCCCTTGGGAATAATAGTGATTCCTGACTCAGAAAGTTATGAGTTAATATATGTAAAGTGCTTATGACAGTGCCAGACATATTGTTACTATTCTTTATAGATGTCTTATTTACGATCTAAATAATCGTGACGGTGGTTACATACTGTCTTGTTATTGGTTAGTGACCTTAGTTTGAAATGACAAAGAGGGGTTGGCTCTATCAGGCTTCCAGATTGTAGACTCCAGTTCAAGTCAGTTGAACTAACCAATCACAGATCTCGCTTTCACCAGGCTAGTGGGTAAGGAGAATTTCTGGAACAAGATAAGAAGAAGGAAACTCATATATGTTACCGCCCCACATTTTTGTCATCATCATTTGAGATCTCCTTGTTGTGTCAGGTTCTCTGAAGTTCTTTCCTTTCACATGAGTTCTTCATTGTTTTTCATGTCATGGCCCCTTTTAGAGCCTGGTAAAGCCTATGGGACCCTTATCAGAACACTGTTTTCAACGCCTATGATGAAATACATAGGAATACCAAGGAAAACAGTTAAATCGAAATAGCTATGAAGATACTAAGTAAATTTGTGATATGTCAGTACATGTGTTTACTATAGAGTGTAACAGGCTCTGTTAGGTTGGTGTAAAAGTAATTGTGGGTTTTGCTATTTTTTCTAAAAACCACTGTAATTTTAGAGTGGTGATTAATGTAAATATGATTTTGAGATACCTATAAAGACTTAATAGGATATGAAGATATTTATGATTACTGTTCATGACAAAGTCACAGGTACAGCTGATACTACTGCGTTTTATCACCTTTGTTAGTAATTTAAAGAAATGCTAAATTTCATCTAGAAATTAGCGAAAATAAGGATGTCATTTTTCCTTTCCAAGTTCACAGGCCCCTGAATTTGACACCCATAGATCTCAGGTTAGGAGCCCTTATAGGAACTTTAGCACAACATCTAGGAAGGGAAGGGATATTGGAAGTTTTTTGTTTTGTTTTTGTAAGCTGACTAAAATAACTTTAACACCAAAAAAAAAAAAGAAAAAAAAAAAAAGCTTTCCCAGTTTTCAATCCTAAATGGATTAAGAGAAGGATTGATTTAGCTTTTTATGGCAGATTAAGATTGGGAATCCAGAATGCATCTAAAAGGACTAGTTACAGAAAGTTTAGCTCAACTTTAATGGAGAGAGTTCTCCAAAGAGTCAGGATCACAAGCCACTACTGTTTATCAAGTACTTGCCTTTCTTCTAGGCAATTTTTCAGATAGCACTGAGTCAGGCGGTGCTAAGCATTTTTACCCATTTTATCTTATTTAACCCACAAGACAATTCATAAAATTAAAAGTATTCATTTTGTTTTACAGAAGAAGATACTGAGGCTTAATTACAAATATTTTAGTGACTTTCCCAGTGTATTAGAGAAAGTTTTGGGTTTTGACAGAAAACCCAAAATAAAAGAAGTCTAGGAGTAGACTTTATACCAGGATTGGTATAAAGGTTCCATGGAGTACCCGGGCAAGTCTTTCCTTTCCATGCTTAGCCATTCCTGAGTGTAACCCCCATGTCCATGGTCCAAGATGACCACCAGGTGGATAGCCAGCCATCATATCCAGAAGGCAGGGGGCCCTTGCACTAGAGAAGAGAGGGCAGAGGGCACGTGCCAGCTATATTGTAAGGAGGTTTTCCTGAAGCTGCTATACAGCACTTACAACTTAGTGGCCAAAACCGAGTCACCTAACTACAGCTAGCTAGCTGCAAAGGAGGCTGGGAAATGTAGTCCTAATTGTGAGAGGCCGTGTTTCTGTTTTTAAGGAAGGAGAGGGACATATTCAGTGGAAACTAACAAATCTCTGCATTACCTAAGGCCCATGGTGGAGCCAGGGCTAAAATGTCTGGCTGTCTCTGACGTTTGTGCTCTTAATCTCCATGCCGTACTGACATAGTGCTCACATCTTAAAATGGGGATAATGCACTTGTGAGCCATGTATTTCAGAGGTGATTGGGATCATCTGAGTTCATATAGGTAAAAGGTTTTTGTGAGATGGTACTCAAGTTATCACTCCACATTTCAGCAACAGCAGCATCTATAAGAATATCTTCTGTTCAATTTTGTTGAGCTTCTGAATTAACATTATTGACTCTGTTGTGCTTCTATTACAGGCTCGACTACCTGTGAAGTGGATGGCACCTGAAAGCATTTTCAACTGTGTATACACGTTTGAAAGTGACGTCTGGTCCTATGGGATTTTTCTTTGGGAGCTGTTCTCTTTAGGTAAAATGATCCTTGCCAAAGACAACTTCATTAGACTCAGAGCATCTTCTTGAAGTTTCATTGGTGTCCTGCTTCCTTGTGATTAACACTGCTTTGCAAACTGTGTCTCAGGAAGCAGCCCCTATCCTGGAATGCCGGTCGATTCTAAGTTCTACAAGATGATCAAGGAAGGCTTCCGGATGCTCAGCCCTGAACACGCACCTGCTGAAATGTAAGAGCCAAAAAATTTTTCCTTTAGGTCACGTTTTCCCTTTTATTTTTCTTTTTAGAGACAGAAACCCAGATGTTGAGGGTTTTCATAACACAGTTTGAAATGTCACTTGGATTCTTTATGACACACTGGTCAAATGTCATTTCTGTAGTTTATTTTCATAATCTCTTGTCACCAAAAATACAGAAAGTTTCAGTAATATTTCATACATGCAGTGTTTTATGTTATCTATATGTCAGTCCATATGTCCAGTTGCATAGCCCTGGAATTATTACTGAAGTTGCTGGATGCCCATACATTTGAAAACAAGCTGAGGGCATTGAGGAGGGATAGTAAATGGCCCTTGTCTTGCAGGTATGACATAATGAAGACTTGCTGGGATGCAGATCCCCTAAAAAGACCAACATTCAAGCAAATTGTTCAGCTAATTGAGAAGCAGATTTCAGAGAGCACCAATCATGTGAGTATACCCTGGCCAGGCATAGAATCCCCCTTCTCCCAGTTCCAGGTGTGTCCTCCTCCTCAGGCTTTCAGGGTGAGGACTAACCTCCCAACCCCTTCTCTCCTAATCTTAGGTTGCAAATTGGGCTTCAGGTAGGGGAAGTAAAGCAATGGAAACTAGTTCTTTCTGCCCAGCCCTCCTGTTCTGAGCCAAAGAAGGATGTGAGATTGAGGGGGAAGGGTGGAGAGTTTTGTACTCACTGGAAGTAGAAGTTTCCATAAGGATTTGCCATGTTTCCTCCCTCATCTCAAATGCTGGTCACGGGGTCAGTATTTTCTCCCTCTCACATGTCAGGGCCATGCATCCTTTGGAGGGTTGGGGTGATGTGAACTAGAATAAAAGCATAGAAAAGACAGCTTGTTACTGCAGTGAAATAAGCCTTCTGATCAAACAAGCATAGCCAGAAAATGGCAGATAGCTGTCATGCCCACAAGCCATATAGAATGAAGAGCTGTTTGAAGTTGGGAGATCCCTCCCAGTGATTTGGGAAGTGTGGGGGAATGAAAACTCAAATCCATTATTTCCTCTCTTTTTAAGCAAGAATTAGTGATACTTTGACTCAGATTTTTTTAAGCTGCTTTCTTTCCTGGGCTGTGTGCTTGGAGCTATCTTTTCTTTCCTAATAGCACACCACTGATAATTTTTGGGTTAAAGCTTGTTCTTCTGGGTGTCAAAACATGTTTCAAATTGAACAGCATTTTCCACCCAGTTGCTTTGATTCTTGACAAGAGACCCCTGGAAGGGCCGTGGGTTTCCCAGCAAATTACATTGGTTATTGGGTTGTAGTTGCTGGAGAGATTTACAAGCCTTTTAAATAGGTAAGATAGTGCTTGGTGCCTGGTGTGCCCTTTTAGAAGAGCTAAGCTTGTGCATGTTTTGTCCCCACTTCTTGTATAAAGTTATTTCCTTGGAAAAATGAAGGGGGAAAACAAAGCTTATATTTGTTTTGTCAGTATGACTTGGGTTTTGGCCACAAAGTTCTTGGAAACCACTTCTCTCTTAAGAGTTTCCATCAGTTAGTTGTGATCTTGACACTGTAAGTATGCCTTTTGTTGCTATGTTCGTTGTAGGGACTGCTGTATTGACTATGGGCTTGTTTTCTCCAGATTTACTCCAACTTAGCAAACTGCAGCCCCAACCGACAGAAGCCCGTGGTAGACCATTCTGTGCGGATCAATTCTGTCGGCAGCACCGCTTCCTCCTCCCAGCCTCTGCTTGTGCACGACGATGTCTGAGCAGAATCAGTGTTTGGGTCACCCCTCCAGGAATGATCTCTTCTTTTGGCTTCCATGATGGTTATTTTCTTTTCTTTCAACTTGCATCCAACTCCAGGATAGTGGGCACCCCACTGCAATCCTGTCTTTCTGAGCACACTTTAGTGGCCGATGATTTTTGTCATCAGCCACCATCCTATTGCAAAGGTTCCAACTGTATATATTCCCAATAGCAACGTAGCTTCTACCATGAACAGAAAACATTCTGATTTGGAAAAAGAGAGGGAGGTATGGACTGGGGGCCAGAGTCCTTTCCAAGGCTTCTCCAATTCTGCCCAAAAATATGGTTGATAGTTTACCTGAATAAATGGTAGTAATCACAGTTGGCCTTCAGAACCATCCATAGTAGTATGATGATACAAGATTAGAAGCTGAAAACCTAAGTCCTTTATGTGGAAAACAGAACATCATTAGAACAAAGGACAGAGTATGAACACCTGGGCTTAAGAAATCTAGTATTTCATGCTGGGAATGAGACATAGGCCATGAAAAAAATGATCCCCAAGTGTGAACAAAAGATGCTCTTCTGTGGACCACTGCATGAGCTTTTATACTACCGACCTGGTTTTTAAATAGAGTTTGCTATTAGAGCATTGAATTGGAGAGAAGGCCTCCCTAGCCAGCACTTGTATATACGCATCTATAAATTGTCCGTGTTCATACATTTGAGGGGAAAACACCATAAGGTTTCGTTTCTGTATACAACCCTGGCATTATGTCCACTGTGTATAGAAGTAGATTAAGAGCCATATAAGTTTGAAGGAAACAGTTAATACCATTTTTTAAGGAAACAATATAACCACAAAGCACAGTTTGAACAAAATCTCCTCTTTTAGCTGATGAACTTATTCTGTAGATTCTGTGGAACAAGCCTATCAGCTTCAGAATGGCATTGTACTCAATGGATTTGATGCTGTTTGACAAAGTTACTGATTCACTGCATGGCTCCCACAGGAGTGGGAAAACACTGCCATCTTAGTTTGGATTCTTATGTAGCAGGAAATAAAGTATAGGTTTAGCCTCCTTCGCAGGCATGTCCTGGACACCGGGCCAGTATCTATATATGTGTATGTACGTTTGTATGTGTGTAGACAAATATTTGGAGGGGTATTTTTGCCCTGAGTCCAAGAGGGTCCTTTAGTACCTGAAAAGTAACTTGGCTTTCATTATTAGTACTGCTCTTGTTTCTTTTCACATAGCTGTCTAGAGTAGCTTACCAGAAGCTTCCATAGTGGTGCAGAGGAAGTGGAAGGCATCAGTCCCTATGTATTTGCAGTTCACCTGCACTTAAGGCACTCTGTTATTTAGACTCATCTTACTGTACCTGTTCCTTAGACCTTCCATAATGCTACTGTCTCACTGAAACATTTAAATTTTACCCTTTAGACTGTAGCCTGGATATTATTCTTGTAGTTTACCTCTTTAAAAACAAAACAAAACAAAACAAAAAACTCCCCTTCCTCACTGCCCAATATAAAAGGCAAATGTGTACATGGCAGAGTTTGTGTGTTGTCTTGAAAGATTCAGGTATGTTGCCTTTATGGTTTCCCCCTTCTACATTTCTTAGACTACATTTAGAGAACTGTGGCCGTTATCTGGAAGTAACCATTTGCACTGGAGTTCTATGCTCTCGCACCTTTCCAAAGTTAACAGATTTTGGGGTTGTGTTGTCACCCAAGAGATTGTTGTTTGCCATACTTTGTCTGAAAAATTCCTTTGTGTTTCTATTGACTTCAATGATAGTAAGAAAAGTGGTTGTTAGTTATAGATGTCTAGGTACTTCAGGGGCACTTCATTGAGAGTTTTGTCTTGGATATTCTTGAAAGTTTATATTTTTATAATTTTTTCTTACATCAGATGTTTCTTTGCAGTGGCTTAATGTTTGAAATTATTTTGTGGCTTTTTTTGTAAATATTGAAATGTAGCAATAATGTCTTTTGAATATTCCCAAGCCCATGAGTCCTTGAAAATATTTTTTATATATACAGTAACTTTATGTGTAAATACATAAGCGGCGTAAGTTTAAAGGATGTTGGTGTTCCACGTGTTTTATTCCTGTATGTTGTCCAATTGTTGACAGTTCTGAAGAATTCTAATAAAATGTACATATATAAATCAAGTGGAGTCATTTGATTGTTGAGATTCGTTGAGATTAAACTTTAAAGCATTAAAGTGCAATCATCCTGACAAAGTTTTGTACGCAGTTTTCATAAAATATGTGCAGGGCTATCAGATCACGCTAGGATTTACATGCTTCGAGATTCAACAGATATTAAGAATTTTCATACGTGTGATATTTTCTCATTTTAGTCTTACAACCTGAGGTCTCTATTTAAATTGAAAAATAGATACAGAGAAGGTGCTTAGTATGTATGAGCTGGGTGCTGTCATGTGGGTGAAACATTATGCATGCCCAATTGGTACCGTCCAGACCACTGGAACCCAAACAGAGGCTGAGAGTTCTTCAGCTTGAAACAAAAGGAAGCACCCTGAATCACATAATCTTATTAAGAATGAGGCACCCACACACCCTCAGTCATGACTGTCTTTATTGACGTGACATCTACACCTGCAGAAATGTCTCCTGAAAGGAAAGGGAAGGGGTGAAAAGTGACCTGTAATGAAAAGGAATCCTTTTAAAATCCAGAGGGAATTGTGTGGCAAGGAATGCGTCAATAATCAGTGAAAAACAGACCCACATTTCAGTCAGGCAATTCCCATTATTTTATTGCAGACAGGAATGAATGCTAATTGACCACAAAACAAAGAAGTCTTTTCTTTCCAAATGTTTTCACTGTCATTTAGCCTTTGTCATGTGTGAGAAATTTGCGTTAGAAGCAGTTGACAGTCCCCTGTGTTAAGAGTCTAGCTAATTTTCCTCACCAGCCTAGCTTTTCATTGGAAAGGAATACCAGGTCTTGGTGCCCAGGCTCAAACTTGGTTCGAATCTCAGTGCCACCCCTGTGTCTACCACTTAACCACTGTGTGACATTAGGCAGATTAGCTCTTGAAATCTCAGCTCATGGGAGTAGTGTCTACCTTGATGTATTAATGTGAGGCTGTCAAGACCAGCTCGTTCATATGCCTAATAAGTTTTTCCACGGCCAATTCACCTTATTAAGCAGGGAGGGCGGTGTTCCTGTACTGACATAACCCATGTAAAATTATACAGTCAAAAGCTTGATTCTAATTTTCTTTCTCTTAGGTGCAAACAGTATTGTACAAGTGTGTTGCACAACTTGACATTGCTATAAAGATTTCTGGGTGGTGGTGGTGGTTTTTTTTTTTTTTAATCCCAGTGTTTGACCAGGAATTCAAAGCTCTCTATTCTTGCTCCAGCCTTCCTTCCTACTTCTCTCCTATTATCAAAGGCCCATGAGTATGCCCCATGCTCTTCTCTGCTTCCATTCTCAGACTGCATACTGTCTCTTCTCTCCAGCAAGACCCCATCTTTCAAGACCAGCAAAATCATCTCAATGGGAAGCTGTCGCTGAACTCCCACAACACTCTTTACTTTTTATGGCTCTTACAATTGATTTTTTTATTATTTTGGCTTTTGTCTTGTCCCCACCCATACTATATCCAGACTTAAAATCGGTTAACATAAAATTCCCGTATGTGCCAGGGTTACTGGTGTCAGTGGTATCATTTACTTGTTAAATATTGAATTGTCCGGACGCTCAGGGGTTAAATTGCCCAAGAGGTTGCAAGAGTTACATTTTGCCCAAGTTCATGGAGCAGTACATGAAACCAGACTTGGAATCCAGATCTGTACCTCAGTGATGGCAAACACCTGGTCTTCCCATGCTGGTGTCTCCCACCACCCTGGCCATGCAGACATCACTCATCTGCCACCACACCCTCCAACTGAGCCCAGGTGCCTTAGAAGTCACAGTCTTTTCCAACAAGCTGATAGGAGTCAACTGGTGTTAGCCTGCAGAGAGACTTACCTGTCCCCCTTAAATGATGACCAAGTTTCCATCTTCCTGAGGGACAGATGTTCTTCATCTCAGACACCCCAAAGCTGCTAGCAGAGTACTTCAAGAGTGGTTCTTTTTGAACAAATAATTAAACATCCCATCAGTGTTTGGAGTGAGAGAGAGCCATTAGGGAGGAAATGGGCCCAAGAAAGAGAGGAAATAGAAGAAGACAGAAGCTAGTGAAGTTAGCTTAATTTCACATGAGGGGGGTGGCGCTTTGGGGAGAAGAGAAAGGGGAACTAGAAACATTCCTTCGGACAGCCTTACTGAGGCCTATACAGAGGCTTTGTGGGAACAAGGAGAAGAGAAGGAAAGGAGGGCGTTGGTAGTTGGGGAAGGGTGAAGAGGAAGGGAAAGTGGCAGGAGTGCTCTGCCTTATTCAGAAGTAGGGAGAGGAGCTGCAGCTGACAAGCAGTTTCAGGGCTTAAGGTGCAGAAGCTGAAGACAGGAAGACCGCACCACCCCACACTTGGTCTTGGAGAAGGTCAGCAGCACCAGCGTCTGCATGAGAAAATGCCCCATGGGAGAGGTCTCGGGATGAGCAAGGCTTCAGGAAGCACCACCTGGGCAGCCTTTGAGTGAACCTTTATGAAGAAAAGTGTATTGGTTTGCTAGGGCTGCCATAACAAAGCACTTGAAACTGGCTGGCTTCCATATGGAAATTGATTGTCTCACAGTCCTGCAGGCTAGAAGTCTTGAGATCAGGATGTCGGCAGGGTCGGTTCTTTCGGAGCACTGTGAGAATCTGTCCCATGCCTCTCCCAGCTTCTGGTGGTTTGCTGGCAGTCTTTGGCATTCTTTGTACATCTCTGTCTTCAACTTCACATGGTGCTCTCCCTGTGTGTGTGTCTGTGTCCAAGTTCCCCCTTTTGATGAAGACACTAGTCATATTGGATTCAGGGTTCAACCTACTCCAGTACAACTTCATCTTAACTAATTACATCTCCCAAGACCTTATTTCCAGTAAGGCCATATTCTCAAGTACTGGGAGTTATGGATATGACTTCAACATAGGAATTTGGGAGAGACACAATTCAACCCAGAACAGGAAAATCTCAAAACCCTCTTGATTGCAGGTGACCTGGTTCTCCCTAGAGTACTAAATGGGCTCTCTAAAAACTCTTGAGTGATCTCCAAAGTTCCAGTTTCAGAGCACTCTGTTCAATCATTCCATTGCCTAGAGCAGTGTTTAGAACAGAGCCTGGTCAGTAGCAACCACTCAATTGTCAAATAAATGAAGCTTTATGCATTGAAGGACTCCTCCTTGAAACTTGCCTTCTTGCCTGCATTCGCCGGTCCTCCTCTTTGTCTTCCTCCAGCACCCCTTTAAAAGTGGGAGTTCCAGCGTTTGGTCCTTTCTTGTCTTATGTTCTCCAATCTCTGGTCAATCTCATCTAATCCCTGAGATGTGGCTGTCATCTACCAACCTACAATTTCCAACTCTGACATCTCTCCCTTTGTATAGACTAGAATTGTCAGATAAAATAGAGGACATCCAGTTAAATTTGAATTTCAACATTTAATGTAAGTGTGTACCCTTAAGTATTTAGAACATATGGATCCTAAAAAATTATTGTGCACTTGAAGTTCAAAGTCAACTTGATGACCAGTATTTTGTTTACTAAATCTGGTAACCCTTGTCTAGATTGTGAGACTCTTGAAGTTAAGGATGACACTTAATTAATTATTGGATATTCTAGGTCCAGCACATGAAAGAAATGCAGTTTCAAAGATACTAAAATATAGAAGAGGAACTTTATTTTATTGAAGGTCTGCAGGTGGCAAACCCTTTACTTTTTGATGTCTAAATTGTCATTTCACCTTCATTCTTAAAAATATATTTGCACTAGATATAGAACTCAAGGATGGCAGTTATATTTTTTAGCACATTCATTTCCACCCTCTTCGAGTTTCCATTTTTTGCTATTGAGAAGTCTGTTCAGGTTGTCATTCTCCTGAAGATATTATTTTTTTGTTTTCATTATTGCCTCTAACATTTTCTCTTTGTCTTTGGTCTTTACAGTTTCACTATGATATGCCTAAGATTGAATTTCTCCTTATTTATCTTATTTGAAATTCTTTGGACTTCTTGAATCTATAGATTGATGTCTTTCATCAATACTGGAAAAATCTCAGTCCTTTTAAAATTGTTCAGTCTTTTAAAAATCTTTCTTCTCCATCTTATTTCTCTTCTCCTTCTGGGACTCCAATTCAATGCATCTTAAAGTCTCACTGTATCCTTCATGTCTCTTAATCTGGCTTTCATATTTTCCTTCTTTTTGTCTTTCTATGCTACATGCAAGGTAATGTCTGTTATTCCTGTTATCTGAATCCCCCTTCAGCTCCTGTCCATGGAGAACCATTTTAGTACCTTTACTGAGGCATAATTAACATACCATAGACCCCACTGGCCATTGTAAGTATATAATTCAATGATTTTATTAAATTACAGAATTGTGCAACTATTCCCACAATCCAGCTTTAGAACATTGCTGTTATCCGCAAAATTTCCCTTATGCCTGTTTGCAGTTAAAAGGTATTCAAATAATTTTAATGGATTAATTTTCAGTTATTTTTGCCCTGTGAGATAATACCACATATTTCACTTTCTCTTAGATTACTCACTCATTGAGTCATTTATTGTCTCTGGGTTCTTTCCAGATGTTTTGGTCACATAAATAACAGTGATAATCAACAGGTTGCCTTGGTTGGAGAATTATCAGTGGTGATAATACTGATGATAATGAGAGCTACCATTTATGTAATGCCTATTATGTCCCTGGATCTTTATTGGGTGTGTTATACGTATTACCTTATTTAAGCTTCACAACAATCCTGGAAGGTAGGTATTATTTGTCTCCATTTAAAGGTGAGAAAACTTGGCCTCTGAGAGGCTTGCTATCTTGCCCTAAACTTCATGGCTATGGGCAATGGAATTGAGAGGTAAGCTCTAGTTTGACCCCTGAATCATAGGATTTTAAGCAGCAACTTCACCAAGATGAGCAAGTCCTTTCTTGTCTGTTTCTCAGTGTTGGATGATCTTTGAGCCATTTCATTTCACTTTTAAAAATACAAGAGAAGGCTGAGCATGGTGGTTCATGCCTATAATCCCAACACTTTGGGAGGCCAAGGGGGAGGATTGCTTCAGCCCAGGAGTTTGAGATGAGCCTGGGCAACACAGTGAGACCCCATCTCTATAAAAAATAAAAATAAGATAAATAAAAATACAAGAAGGTAAGGAAATCAAATCAGCCACTTTGCTACTTATTACTAATTCCTCTAAAATGTTGGTGAGAATGTGGTTGAAGTAAATGCTAATGGAGCTAATATAGGCTCCAGAATTATCTGTTGATGTCACAGGTTTGTGATCTGCCCACTTCCTGGTGTGCCATGAGAACTTCCCCATGTCCTTCAGGGATATTTATCCCCCTCTGTTTCAAAGAATAATCTGGTTCATTTGAGCCTAGTGAGAAAAACAAAATGCTGGATTTACAGAGGGGTGTGGGGTCTGAAGTGTGGAGAGGAGCATTAGATAGAGCCAATCAGGAATTTCAGATAAATGAGAGTGTGGGTGAAAATACTGCCTTTCTCTTGATCCAACATGTTATTGTTGGTTATAAATTAACAAGCTGTTACCCATATGTCTCCTCCACTGTTGATTCCATGTTCATTGGTTGAATGCAGCTTCTATGATGTGGGTTCTTCTATGAAGGATTTAACTTCACAAGGGCTAAGTCCTCAGGGTAAACGCTCCTAGTTGAAATAAAAGTTCTTGAGTGGCTCAGCTGTGTGTCTCCATCCATGGCTAACTTTGAAGTGTGCGTGCCTCTTTGAGCACATCAGCAGGGCTGTGGTGTATTTTATGAGGCTGACCTTTTTCTTTGTGGTCTGTGGCTTAGCAGCCACTCTTGTTCTATAGTAAATGAAGAATGAGGACAGGCAAAAGGACTTTCTTCATGGCTGCTTGTCTCAGGATATGCACAGGCATCCTAGGGAAACTGAAAACACTTGTGTCCACACAACAGGCCACCTGGGTGGCCTGAGTGCCAAACCCTCTTATATGGCATAATTTGCTTCTAATCAGGGTGCATTTTACTCCTATGGAGTGTTTGGTACAGAAAGCGGGTATGTGTGAACTGAATTTCTCTACTGCTACATTCAGATACTCCAGTTGACATGATAGCATGATGTGACAATAGGTTTTATTGAGTGATCTGGTTCATTAGCAAAGACGTGAAGTGACTTTTTTGAGAAGGATACAGAGGTTTCCAATAGGTTCAGTGAGAAAGTATGCTGTGGTTAAGTTCTGTCTGCTTGGACATAGGCATGAGGAATTGTATTTTGTGTGCTAACTCTTACATAGCACCAATATATAGCTCGTATGTTCTCAGTGCTTTACTTATATTCATTAGTCTAATCCTCTCAAAAACCATACGTAAGTTATTATTTTACAGATGAGGAAAATAAGGCACAGAGAGTGTCAAACAGCCTGCCCAATGTTACAAAGCTAGTGAGTGGCCAAGGCAGGACTGGAATCCAAGGAGCCTGGGTCAGAGTTTGGGTTCTGAACCACTATGCCAAACTGCCTCTCTATGTACTTATTTTCCTGTTCTAATCAAGACAGACTACCTAGGTCAGCCGGGTTCCATACAGGCCTCATATTTTTCCCTGGCCTAGGATGCAAGAGGGGATCTTCTCCACATGGATGCCTCCTACACATGAGTTTCCTTGAATGTCCTTCTTTTCTCCTAGGCTGACAAGGATTTAGATTCCTGACCTTGCAAAATGAGACGGCTTTTTCAGGAAGACAGTGATGAAGCCCCAAGGATAAACAGGCACCCAGAGCACATGTTGGTGGCAATTGAACTGTCTTTGACATGCATGATATCTATGGATGACAGGGAAAGTTGAAGACAATGGTACAGTGTAAGGCAGCAGTCCCCAAACATTTTAGCACCAGGGACCGATTTTGTGGAAGACACTATTTTCATGGACAGGGGTGGGGAGAATGGTTTTGGGATGAAACTGTTCCACCTCAGATCATCAGGCATTAGATTCTCATAAGAAGTGGGCAACGTAGATCCCTCACATGTACTGGTTAACAATAGGGTTCATGCTCCTATGAGAATCTAAACCCGCCTCTGATCTGACAGGAAGCTGAGCTCAGGCAGTAATGCTCCCTTGCCCTTGCAATGCAGCCTAGTTTCTAACAGGCCATGGACCAGTACCGGTCCCTGTTGAGGACCCAGGTTGTAAGGAGTCCCAAGCCCATCCTGTTGCCTTAGTTGTGCTACTATTTACCACTTACCTTACCTCCTTTCTTAAGCAACCATTTATTAAGCCTTAAACACTTAACTTGCATTATTTCATCCTATCCTCACAACAGCCCTAGGAGATAGGGAGTTATCTGTATTGCAAAGATGAGGAAACTAAGACTCAAGGAGTTTAAGTAAATTTTGTTTAACTCCAAATTCCTTCTCAATGGATTCCACAGAAAATTTCCACTGTTGTTGCTGCTGAACTCCAAATTAAGTTAAAAGTCCCAATAAGCAAAATAGACAATAGCGACAGGGGTCCCTGAAGTCCACTTGCCTGCCCAGCTCTTCCTCCACAGCTACCTCTCAGACTCTCTAGTCCTTCACAGACCACATTTGGGAAATCACTGAAAGTTCCCTGCAGTTCAGCAGCTTAAAATCCCACCCTGTCGTGATGTGGTTGACTGTGGCTTAGGTCTCCTCTTCCTGAAAGACTTCCAGTCCCTGGGGCACCTTGGGGGCATTCCCTAGTCTCTTAAATGCAGACTCTTCTATTGACTCAAACAGGAAGATATGGAAGGAAGCACACCTTCCCTGTCCACAAGTTTCTGAGATTTCTCCAGCACTAAGGCTCTTGTTTTTAAATTTCTTTTTAATTTTTATGTAATATACTATTATTTTCAAAAGATCTGCTCAGCTCTTATTTTCCTTGAGGTAATCAATGTTAACTTTCATATAATAACTTTCATACCTTTCTATTCTTGTGCATATATTTATATCTATTATTTAAAGAAATGGGATTATTCTATTAAGGAAGGCAAAGAATTTTTATCTGAGGAATGTGAGCCCTTTCTAACTTTTAGGCCTAAAAAGCCATTAAAATGAGAAAACAATCACATCCTACTTCCCTGCTTTGTGAGCTATGCATTCACCCATTGAACCTGCTTGCTATTGCCTATAAATTAATCTAATAATGCCACATCAAACACTATAACCCACACTCTAGAGTTTAACAATGTATAGCCAATCACTAATCAATGTTATTTCTGTAAACCAATGAGAATTCCTGACAAACAATGAATGTCCTATCAACTCCCTGTCCCTTTTTTTTTTTCCGTTAAAAATCCATTTGTAACTGCCACTAATTGAATTATACGTTCATGGCAACTTGAATCTATGCTTCCAAGTTGCAGTCCTCAACCTTGGCCCAAATAAACTCTCTGCTTATATTAATTTTGCCTCAGTTTCTTCCTTTCCTTTTATGTCAACGTTTTATATATATATATATACACATATATATATGTTATATATATACATATATATGTTATATATATACACACACATATATATGCAACTAACATTGCATTGCATATATATATATATATGCATTGCATGTATATATTCTGCAACTAGCATTTTTAACTTACAATGTATTATGATTATCACTCCATATCATCACATATAGATTAAATTTACAGTTTTCCACAGTATGGGTCTACCACAAACCTGATATTTTCAGGTAAGAACTTGTCACGTTGGCTATTGGCAGTCTAAGATCTTATCATTTTTGGTCCACTTCTGCCAAATGTAGAGGATGGCATACATTTGTTTGTTTGGACTAAAAGCTAAGTCAGGGGGAAGTATGTGATATACTATTTTGGTCAGTTTAGCAAATAAAGATAATTTATATAAGAGGGCCTAGTGCAGTGCCAGTTGAGGCACATGTACTCATTAAAGGTTAGTTAAATCTCAAAATATAATATGCTTTGGTAAGTAAGAATGAACTGAGAAAGTAAAAGGAATATTAGTGTGCCTGGACAGATTTTTATTGAATGTATTTTAAAAGTAAGATTATTAGCTTTTTGTAGATGTCTAAAGGAAATTGGAAGAAAAGGAGTTATTTTCCCATCAAACACATACTTCTACAGATTGGCTGCCTATGATTAAAATAGAGCCAAACCACACCAGGGTTGCTTTAGACATTCACCCTTCAGATAACAATAGGTTATCACTTTCATTTTGAACTGCTCTCCAATGAATGCAACCCCCCTCCTCCCAAGAATGTCAATCAATCCTTGCTCCAGTTTGGGCTGATTGGTAAAGTATTAGCCTGCTCTTAACCACACAAAAATAGCTGCACTCCAGGTACTTGTCAGGCAGTATAAGCTCCAACTCCCTGGCATTCAGAATCCATCAAAAGCCTGGTTGATAGAAACAATACTTATGCACAATTGTCTAAAGAATAATCAGTTCATCTGCCCTCTGTTTTGAAATTCAAGTTCTATTCATGAACTTAAGAAAGCTGTGTGTATGGATTGGGTTATATTGTACCATAACCCCAGAAATGCTTTTGCCAAATTATGCTTTGGGTTTAATCCATCAGCTTCCACCGCAAATTAAAGAAATTGTTAAAAAAAGAACATTATTATGATTAATGTTTATTGTTTGGAGTCCAGAAGAGTTGAGTTTTCATTCCACCTCTGCCATCTATTAGCCATAAGACTTTAAGGCTAATATACAGAATTTAAAAGGAACAAAAACAACAACAACAACAAATAATCCCATTCACAAATGGGCAAAGGACATTTTTCAAAACAAAACAAGTTAAATGGACAAGAATATGAAAAAATGTTCAATATCACTAGTTATCAGAGAAATGCAAATTAAAACCACAATGAGACATCATCTTATACTAATCAGAATGACTATTATAAAAATGACAAAAAATAACAGATGTCAGTGAGGATGTGGAGAAAAGGGAACTCATACACTGTTGGTGGAAATGTAAATTAGTACAACCTCTATGGAAAACAGTATGGAGATTTCTCAAAGAACTAAAAATAGAACTTTCACTCTATCCAGCAATCCCACTACTGGGTATCCAATCAAAGAAAAAGAAATCAGGCCAGGCATGGTGGCTAATGCCCATAATTCCAGCATTTTGGGATGCTGAGGCATGTGAATTTCTTGAGTTCAGGAGTTCAAGACCAGCCTGGGCAACATGGTGAGACCCCCGTCTCTACAAAACATTCAAAAATTAGCCACATGGTGGCTCTCACCTGTGGTCCCAACTACTTGGGAGGCTGAGGTGGGACGATCACTTGAGCCCGGGAGACGGAGGTTGCAGTGAGCTGAGATCATGCCACTGCACCTCAACCTGGGCTGAATGAGACCCTGTTTCAAAAAAAGAAAAAGAGATTACATCAAAAGATACCTGTACTCATATGATTATCTCATCACTATTCACAATAGCAAAGATAAGTAATCAATCTAAGTGTCCATCAGTAGAAGACTGGATAAAGAAAACGTGGTATATATACACAATGGAATACTATTCTGCCATTAAAAAAAATAAAATCACATGTTTCGTAACAACGTGGATGGAACTGGAGGCCATTATCTTAAGTGAAACAGCTCAGACACAGAAAGACGAATACCACCATGTTCTCACCTATAAGTGGGAGCTAAATAATGCATACACATGGAAGCAGATTGTGAAATGATAGACAATGAAGACTTGGAGGGGTTGGGGTGTGAGGGGGTGGATAGTAGGAGGTTGCTCTGGTGGGTACAATATGCATTGCTCCAGTGTTGGATGCACTGAAGGTCCTAACTTCACTGCAATGCAACACATCAATGTAGCAAATTGCACCTGTACTCCATGCATATATACAAATAAAAAAATTTTAATGAGGAAAATACTATTTAAAAGTCTAGAATAAATATATAATCAAAATGCTTCAAAAATTGTGTAATTTCACACTCCAATTTAAATAAACTGAAATTCAAAATCATAGCTGATGTATTGTGGATGTGATTTATATAAGAAAAATGGCACCATAATTCAAATCAGAGGACTTTTAATCAAAGAAAGGGCATTGAAAGATTGGGGAATGAATGTATGTTCATAGAATTAATTTACATAAAAGGTTTAAGGTATTACTGAGTGGTTTTTTTTTTTTTTGGCTTTTGTTTTTGTTTTCAATCGGCCAGTGAATTACTAGACCCATATAATTTCTATTGTATTATTTTCACTAACAGCACTTTTAAGACTCATGAAAGAAATCGCATGAAACAGAATGTTTTGGCTTAATGGATTTTGTGAATCAAATAATGTTTTTTTCTCTTTGTAGTTACTCCTAGAAAGCTTGGAGCCAAATGAGTGATTTACCCCTTGCAAATGGAGACCATTTGATGATACTCATTTTGTATTAATCTTGTGCCTGGCTCCTTGTTTCCTCCCTCATTTCATTTCCCTTTATTTGTTTTAAAGATTTATGTTATTTTATGTAACTGTATGTATCATTCAAGATACAGATACCAAACCTGCGACCTTTCTATCTCAAGCAGAGAGGGATTTAGTGTAGAATTAGGTGCTTAATCAGGGGCTGGAATGGTGGGCTCTAGGCTGGTTCTCCAAGAATATCTTCTTGAAAAACACAGCTAAACTAACCATAAGGGCTGCTGCTGCCTCTGGCATAGCCAGGATATGGAAATTGGGAGGCCACCACTGGAATCATTGATCTCAAAAGCTCACCTCGTAGCTGTATCCCAAAGGTGAGGAAACTACTGTTGCTAAGATTGCTGCCTCTGCCTTCTCATGCCCATAAAACTAGGAGCTAGACAACGTAATACAGAAAAACACCATTTCCTATGCCCGTCTTTCCCAACAGCAGCAGCTGAAGCAGGAGGGAAACGATCGTCTCCACTTCACTTCCTCCTGCTACACCTCAGATAAGTACTGCTGACGGGTGGAATCGAATTCACAGCAAGAATCCTAGCTTCAAGAGAGTCCAGGAAATATTTCTCATCAAGTACTCTGCAGCACTGCAACCAAACTAGAAGAAGGCTGCAATGAACGCTAAGAGCCAATCCAACTGTAAGTATTTTTGTGAGTCGCCATAAATCCTTTCCGGTCTAAGGTAGGGTGGGCAGGGATATAATTAGCAAAATGCTCCCAATCCCTTCACCTTTTAAAAAATAAAAGTAGCATATCCTCTCGTTATGTTATATCCAACATACCTATTTTTTCCCTCACACAAATATTAACAGTAACACTTGGAGGAAAGAGGAGACTGGAAATTAATAAACTAGAGCTGAGTACTGATTCTACTGGCCTTGGGACATGAAACAAGACTGAGACCCAGTTATCTCACTAACACAATGAGAATAACAGTAACACCTTCCCTAACTACCTCACATTATATTGTAGGTATAAGGATCTCTTTATTTTTGCCTTTAAGAGACATGTGACATTTATGTTTCTAAATCACATTTTGTCTGCTGTACACCCCTTGTCCTACCAAGCTGGCAAGAGATTTAATCTAAGTCAGAATTGGGCTCCCTTTCTTCCCCAGAGATGTGTGGAAAGGCACTGGGACTTACACAGTAAGAGAGGAGAGATGGTTCTTTGCCTTTGGTCGGTAGTGGTCAATGTAAGATCCTCATTTAAAAGTCATGCATGGTCCCTTGAAACCAGGCATTTCTGTTGCTCCTGTACCAGCTGGGGAGCCAGGTCTTTGGTGCCAGATATACATTGATAAATGAGGCATAGACAGCATCCTTAAGAAGCAGATGGGCTCCTGGGAGATAGAGATCATAAATATATAATTTATTACAATGGGATCAGGGGTAGGTATACAGAATGCCTTAAAAACATAGAGAAGAGAACTATTAGTTTTGTCTGGGGAGTCGGAAGAGACTTTATGGTGCCTGTCATATAGTAGCTACTCAATAAACCTGGGACCTGGCTCTTCTTTGCTTTTCGGAGTATTCCTACCAGAGTATTGTGGTGTTGCAATGCATGAGCCCCACTTACTTGCTGCATTGCAAAACTCCTATTTCCTTGCGAGTCTCAGGAAATTTCCCCAAATATCCCTTACCCTCTCTGAGAAAACCTAGCATAATGCATTTTATAAGCCCAGGTTTTAAAAAATGAAGGCCACAAAAAGGAACGGGTGTTGTCTTCTGGCAACTTCTGTCTGCCACACAAATTAATCTCTCAACAAATTATACTGCCACATCTGAAAGAGTTCTCAGACGTGTCAAGTGTTATATAAATGCATAGAACATAACTCAAGGCTTTGCTGTTTGTCTAATCTAGTACGAGGCTGGTCCTAACAAGTAGCAGCATTTTGGCTGCAAGATTCAGAGAATGCCCTGAAAATTGTACAGATTAGAAAATATGCAGCATTATTTTAATTGTTACTTTTAGAAGATCAGAAAGAAAGGAAGCAGACAGTCAAAATGAAAGAAAACCTTCTTCAGTTCTGTCTAATCCCACCAATATCCTGCCAAGCAGCTGAGGGGCTTTGCACAGGTCATTTAAGGTTTGTGGGAGCTGGATTTGTCATCTTTGAAATGAGATGGCCGTGATATAGCAATGGTTTTCAACATATTCAGTGGGCATGAGGATGGGAGTGGATAGGTCTCTAACCTTATTTTAACTAGAGCTGCCTGACATTTATCTGGTTTATAGATTAGGTTAGAAGAACCCAATCTTGCACTCAAAGCAAGAAAAGGTTTTGAAAACCACTAGACAGATTGATCTCTGGGGTCTATGCTTCTGTGAATGCAGGTGAATCTTCTGAGAACAGGTGGTGCATGCTATCCCATCGAGGTTCTCTATTAGATGCCAGAAAATGATGGCTGCAGCCCCAGCCATGGGCTCAGAACCCAAAAATGTTGTAACAGGACTAACCCTCCTGGGATGTGCATAGCTCCTTGGGAAATAGGAGTTGATGGTGCAATGCCTCCTACCCTGGCTTTGCCAATCCCTCACCCTTGTTTTCTTTTTTAATTTTTTTTCCCCGTAATCTTGCCTTGGGGTGCACATGTTTGAGGTAAATGAATCAGGACACAGGCAGACAGTCTTACACTTCTCTTTTGGCTGCCTTCATGGCTGATCTGTCATTTTCCATACTAGTCAAATGAAGCCCACAATTCTAGAATCTAAGCCACTAGCTCCAAAGTCACAGCAGATAACATAAATTATTTAACCACCACAGTCTTCCATCCAAAAAAACATTTTCTGCATACCTGCTCTGTGTGAGGCACAAGAGTAGGTGGCAGACATACATTGATAAAGAAGGCATAGACAGCGTCCTTAAGAAATATATGGGCTCCTGGGAGATAGAGGTCATAAATATATAATTTATTGCAATGGGATCAGGGGTAGGTATACACAATGCCTTAAAAGCCTAGAGAAGGGAACAATTACTTTTGTCTGGGGGGTCGGAAGAGACTTTATGGTGCCTGTCATATAGTAGCTACTCAATAAATATTTATCAATGAGAAGATGTTTGAGGTGATAGACTTTGAAGTTAGACTGTGTGGAATTGGGTCCCAGCTTCATCACTTTATCAGCTGTGTAACTTTGGGCAAGATATTTAAGTTTTCTGTGTCTCAGTTTTCCTATCTGAAAAAAATGGGGTAAATTGTACTGGGGTCAACAGTTGTGAGGATTAAGAGTTAATGTAGATAAGGTACTAAAACAGTGTCTGGCATATGGTAAATGCACTGCATAGGCTTGCGGCTTACTGTGGGCATTGAACTGGAGTTTGCAGGGTACAGAAAAGAAGGACAGATAGTGCCTGGGATCCAGATTAAAAACAGAATTTTTCAATAACTCAGTGAGGAAACTTGCTGTGAGTGGAATTAAAGAAAAGGGGTGGGGCTTGGGGGGCGATGCGGGAGCCCCAGCTCCCTGTACTTGTCCTCCCTTCTTCTCTGCCTCTGGCCTCCTGTCATCTTCCTTCTCTATCTCTGATTTTTTTGTAACGTTTTGTTCTCCTTTCTTTCCTTCTCCTTTTTTTGACCCCAATTCCCTTTTCCTTCCTCCGTCTTTCTTCTACTCTCTGCTTCCTCCTCCCCTTTCCTCTATCTCTCTTCAGCCTCCTGAGACCTGCTCTTTGCATCCTCTGTTTCCTCTTTTTTTTTTTTTTTTTTTTTTTTTTTCGAGACGGAGTCTTGCTCTGTCGCCCAGGCTGGAGTGCAGTGGCGCGATCTCGGCTCACTGCAAGCTCCGCTTCCCGGGTTCACGCTAGTCTCCTGCGGAGTAGCTGGGACTACAGGCGCCCGCCACCATGCCCGGCTAATTTTTTTGTATTTTTAGTAGAGACGGGGTTTCACTGTGTTAGCCAAAATGGTCTCGATCTCCTGACCTCGTGATCCGCCCGCCTCGGCCTCACACAGTGCTGGGATTACAGGCGTGAGTCACCGCGCCCGGCCTCCTCCCCTTTTTAATTTCCCTGTATCCCTGTTCTTCCTCCCCCTGCCTACTCAACCAAGCTGGCTCTACAGATACTTCTCCAAGGCCTGAAAAACCAGACCTTCTTCTTCTCTCTGCCCCACTGCCCCTGGCAAGAAGCATAGTAATAGGCTTAGGACAGACCAGAACAGATAAGTAAATCTTTTTTGTTATTGTTGCTTCTCCGAGAATGATACCAGTGTTTGCCCCTTTGTTCCAACACAGCCAGGGCTCTCTTTATGACATGTGTAGCTTGGGGTGATCGTGGCTTTTGGTCTTCTAACTTCTCACTGTCAAACATTCTAACAGTTTTCAGGGTTTAAATGGCAGTCATTGATATGAACAGAACCACCCCTGCTGACACCCTGTAGGGGATAAAGCCGGAATCTTCAGAAGGAAAAAATCATGAGTTTTCTACACTCAGAAATTAATGCTCAGGCATGAAGAGTAAGCCTGGAGCTGGGGCAGAAGGCCTTTGAGAAGTCTGGCCTGGGCATCTCCTGAGAGGGGCTTTCATTCTTTTCTTTTTTTCATTCTACAAATGATTCCTGCACATCGACTGCATTCAAGGGGATGCAACGTTGACAAGACAGACAAGGTCCTTGCCCTCCTGGGATGACTTCTAAGGGGGCAGGTAGACCATAACAAGTCAAAACATGAATAAGTTACATTTACATAATAGCGCTATAGTTACTTTGAAATTACTGGTGCTATAAAGAAATTAAGACAGTTATTAACACAGGGATTTTTATGGGGAAAGAATTTGCTTCAAATCACATAGTGAAGTCCTCCCCGAAGAGGAGCTGTTTGAGCTGGTTCTTCAATAATAGTAAGAAGCCACAGAAAGACCTGGGGAGGGGAATTCCAGCAGCCAGAAGGGCAAGTGCCAAAGACTGGAGATGGGAAGAATTTAGAGGAAAAAGACCCCAACAGGTGGAGAGTAGGGACTGAGTGGGAAGGGTGGTATGTGATGAAGCTGGGGAAGGAGGCAGTGACCAGTATATACAAGCCCTTCTAAGTCGTGTGTGTAAGTCCATTTTGTAAGTGACAGAGACTGAATGGCTGATTATATTAGAAAAGTAATTTGTTGAAAGGAGCTTAGGTGTCCCTCAGGATTGCCAGGGAAAGATATGGAAAAGAGATCAGATCACAGGCAGTAGCTGGGCACTTGCAACACCAGTGTTGTACTACCACCCTTGTCATCACTAGACAGCAGCCTTGTTGCCTCTTCCCAACACCTGGATGGAGTGGTGGGAAGATTAACATTCGAATGTTAATCTCATTCAAAAACACCTTTGCAGACACACCCAGGATAAATGATTAACCAAATATCTGGGCACCCATGGCTCAGTCAAGTTGACATGTGAAATTAACCATCACAATGAGCAAGTGCAGCTAATTGGCTGAGTGGTCATGAGCCTATTCCTTCAGAATGTGAAAGCCTGGGAAAGTGAGTATATAAAGTATTCTTGAGTGAAAAGCAAAGTCCACCACCCAAAACTCAAAAGGTGGGGAATTTCCCAAGGGTAGAAAGTGGATTAGGATTCTGGATAACCTAGGAAATGACAAATGTCCACTTTAACTTAGCAAGAGTTATCTTTTTATTTAAGTGCAATGGGAATTCATTGGAGGACTTTAAACAGGAAGTGATATAATCAAACTTATATTTTTAAAAGGTCACCCTGGTTACAAGGTAGAGAGTAAATTATAAGGGGGCAAGAGTGAAGTCAGGACTGTCCTGCAAGAGATAATGTTGAGAGATGATGTTGACTTGACCAGCATGTCTGCAGTGAAGGGGGTAAGAAATGGTTAGATTCAGGTTTATTGGAGGTAAAGTGAACAAGACTTCCTGATGATTTAAATATAAGGGATTAGGGAATGGGGCTAATCAAGGGTGACTCTAGTTTTCCACTTAAAAGATTTGCTGGATGGTGATGCAAGCTACTGGGATGGGATGGGGAGAAAGAGGAAGATGGGGTGAAAGAGGAAGGGAAAAATCAAGAGTTCACTATTGACATGTTAATTTTGACATGGATGAGGTTCCTATTAGTTATCGAAGTAGTGATATAAAGTACATATATAGATGTTATAGGCTTGACTCGGGAGAGAAGTCAAGGTCAGAGATAGAAAATGGCAGGATGGGCTTTAGAGCCAGACAGCTTTGCTTTGACTTTTGCTTCTGCAAATTACTAGCTGCATAAACTGGAGCAAGTTGCATAATGTCTTTGAGTTACAGTGTCCTCAACTGTAAAACAGGAGCATATTAGTTTTATCAGGCTACTGTAACAAAGTACCACAAATTAGGTAGCTTAAAACAAAAGAAATGTATGTTCTCACAGATCCGGGGGCCAGAAGTCCAAAATCAAGTTGTCAGCAAGGCCAGCCACCCTCTGAAGATTCTAGAGAAAAACTCCTTCCTGGCAATCATTGGCATTTCTTGGCCTGACGCTCCAGTCTCTGATTCTGACATCAAAGGACATTCTCTTCTCCCTTTTCTGTTTGTTTTTGTGTGTCTGTGTTCAGTCTCCTTTCTTTTATAAATATACTAGTCACTGGGTTAGGGGCAACCCCAATTCAGTATGACCTACCTCACCTTAACTTCATTACAGCTGCAAAGATCCTATTTTCCAAATAAGGTCACGTTCAGGACTTCAACATATCTTTGGTGGGACACAATTCAACCCACAAGAAGGGATATCTATTTTAAGTGCCTGCTACCAGTTAATTGCTCAATAAATGCGTGCACTTATTCTTAAAAAATTTTTTTTTGTTTCCATAGGTTATTGAGGAACAGGTAGTATTTGGTTACATGAGTAAGTTCCTTCGTGGTGATTTGTGAGATTTAGAGCAGACATCACCAGAGCAGTATGCACTGCACCCTATTTGTAGTCTTTTATCTCTCACCCCCTTCCCACCCTTTTCTTCTGAGTCCCCAAAGGCCATTCTTATGCCTTTGCATCCTCATAGCTTAGCTCCCACTTATGACTGAGAACATACAATGTTTGGTTTTCCTTTTCTCAGTTGCTTCACTTAGAATAATAGTCTCCAATCTCATCCAGGTCGCTGAAAATGCCATTAATTTATTCCTTTTAATGGCTGAGTGGTATTCCATCATATATATATATATTTTATATATATATATTTTATATATATATATATATATATATATAATCATATGTATATAACTGTGGGCATTTGGGTTGGTTCCATGTTTTCACAATTATAAATTTTGCTGCTTTCGTATAATGACTTCTTTCCCTCTGGGTAGATACCAGTAGTGGAATTGCTGGATCAAATGATAGTTCTACTTTTAGTTCTTTAAGTAATCTCTACACTATTTTCCATAGCAGTTGTACTAGTTTACATTCCCACCAGCAGTGTAGAAGTATTCCCTCTTCACCACATCCACGCAAACATCTACTATTTTTTTATTATGGCCATTCTTGCAGGAGTAAGGTGGTATCGCTTTGTGGTTTTGATTTGCATTTGCCTGATCATTAGTGACGTTGAGCATTTTTTCATATGTTTGTTGGCCATTTGTATATCTTCTTTTGAGAATTGTCTATTCATGCCCTTAGCCCACTTTTTGATAGGATTGTTAGTTTTTTTTCTTGTGGATTTTTTTTTATTTCATGTAGACTCTGGATATTAGTCCTTTGTCAGATGTATAGATTGTGAAGATTTTCTCCCACTCTGTGGGTTGTCTGTTTACTCTGCTGATTGTTCCTTTTGCCATGGAAAAGCTGTTAAGTTTAATTAAGTTCCAGCAATTTATCTTTGTTTTTATTTCATTTGCTTTTGGGTTCTTGGTCACGAATCCTTGCCTAAGCCAATGTCTAGAAGGATTTTTCCAATGTTATCTTTTAGAATTTTTATAGTTTCAGGTCTTAGATTTAAGGCCTTAATCCATTTCGAGTTGATTTTTGTATAAGGCGAGAGATGAGGATCCAGTTTCACTCTCCTACATGTGGCTAGCCGATTATCCCAGCACCATTTGTTGACTAGGGTGTTCTTTCCCCACTTTATGTTTTTGTTTGCTTTGTTGAAGATTAGTTGGCTGTAAGTATTTGGGCTTATTTCTGGGTTCTCTATTCTCTTCCATTGGTCTATGTGCCTATTTTTATACCAGTACCATGCTGTTTTGGTGACTATGGCCTTATAGTATAGTTTGAAGTCAGGTAATGTGATGCCTCCAGATTTGCTCTTTTTTCTTAGTGTTGCTTTGGCTGTAAGGGCTCTTTTTTGGTTCCATATGAATTTTAGAACTGTTTTTCCCAATACGTGAAGAATGATGGTGGTATTTTGATGGGAATTGTGTTGAATTTATAGACTGCTTTAGGCAGTATGGTCATTTTCGCAGTATTGATTCTACTCATCCGTAAGCCTGGTATGTATTCCATTTGTTTGTGTCATCTATGATTTCTTTCAGCAGTGTTTTGTAGTTTTCCTTGTAGAGCTCTTTCACCTCCTTGGTTAGGTATATTCCTAAGTATTTTATGGTTTTTTTTTGTTTTTTTTTTTTTTTGTAGCTACTGTAAAAGGGGTTGAGTTCTTGATTTGATTCTCCACTTTGTTGCTGTTAGTGTATAGAAGAGCTACTGATTTGTGTACATTAATTTAGTATCCAGAAATTTTGCTGTATTCTTTTATCATAGGCTCTAGGAGCTTTCTGGAGGAGTCTTTAGGGTTTTCTAGGTAAATGATCATATCATCAGCAAACAACAACAGTCTGACTTCCTCTTTACTGATTTGGATGCCCTTTATTTCTTTCTCTTGTCTGATTGCTTTGGCTAGGACTTCCAGTATCACGTTGAAGAGGAGTGGTGAGAGTGGGCATCCTTGTCTTGTTCCAGTTCTCAGAGAGAATGCTTTCAACTTTTCCCCATTCAGTATTATGTTGGCTCTGGGATTGTCCTAGATGGTTTTTATTATATTGAGATATGTCCCTTGTATGCCAATTTTGGTGATAGTTTTAATCATCATAAAGTGATGCAGGATTTTTGTCAAATGCTTTTCTGCACCTATTGAGATGATCATGTGATTTTTGTTTTAAATTCTGTTTATGTGGTGTATCACATTTATTGACTTGCATATGTTAAATCATCCCTGCATCCCTGGTGTGCAACCTTCTTCATCATGGTGAATTATCTTTTTGATATATTGTTGGTCAGTTAGCTAGTATTTTGTTAAGAATTTTAGCATCTCTTTTCATCAGGGATATTGGTCTGTAGTTTTCTTTTTTGGTTATACCCTTTTCTGGTTTGGATATTAGGGTGATACTGGCTTCATAGAATGATTTAGGGAGAGTTCCCTGTTTCTCTATCTTGTGGAATAGTGTCAATGGGATTGGTGCCATTTCTTCTTTGACTGTCTGGTAGAATTCTGCTGTGAATTCATCTGGTCCTGGACTTTTTTTTTGTTGGTAATTTTTAAATTACCGTTTCAATCTCACTGCTTGTATTGATCTGTTCAGGGTATCTAATTCTTCCTGATTTAAGCTAGGAGTGTTGTATCTTTCCAGGAATTTATCCATCTCTTCTAGGTTTTCTAGCTTATGTGGGTAAAGGTGTTCATAGTAGCCTTGAGTGATCTTTTGTATTTCAGTGGTGTCAGTTGTAATATTTCCTGTTTTGTTTCTTATGGAGCTTATTAGGATTTTCTCTCTTCTTTTCTTGGTTAATCTTGCTAATGGTCTGTCAGTTTTATTTATCTTTTCAAAGAATCAGCTTTTTATTTCACTTATGTTTTGTATTTTTTTTTGTTTGTTTCAATTTCATTTAGTTCTGCTCTGACCTTGGTTACTTCCTTTTTTCTGCTGTGTTTGCATTTGATTTGTTCTTGTTTCTCTAGTTCCTTCAGGTGTGACCTTAGATTGTCTGTTTGTGCTCTTTCAGACTTTTTGATGTAGGCATTTAGGGCTGTGGGCTTTTCTGTTAACATGCCTTTTCTGTGTCCCAGAGGTTTTGATATATTGTGTCACTATTGTTGAATTTTAGAATTTCTATCTTGATTTCATTGTTGACCCAATGATCATTCAGGAGCAGGTTATTTAATTTCCATGTATTTGCATAGCTTTGGAGGTTCCTTTTGGAGTTGATTTCCAGTTTTATTCCACTGTGGTCTGAAAGAGTACTTGTTATAATTTCAGTTTTCTTAAATTTATTGAGGCTCATTTTGTGGTCTATCATATGGTCTATCTTGGAGAATCTTCCATGTGCTATTGAATAGAATGTATATCCTGCAGTTGTTGGATGGAATGTTCCGTATATATCTGTTAAGTCCATTTGTTCCAGGGTATAGTTTAAATCCATTGTTTCTTTGTTGACTTTCTGTCTTGATGACCTGTCGAGTGCTGTCAGTGGAGTATTAAAGTCCATTTCTTAGGTCTGTTAGTAATTGCTTTATAAACTTAGGAGCTCCAGTGTTAGGTGCATTTATGTTTAGGATTGCGATATTTTCCTGTTGCACAAGGCCTTTTATCATTATATAATGTCCCTCTTTGTATTTTTTAACTGCTGTTGCTTTAAAGTATGTTTTGTCTGATATAAGAATAGCCACTCCTGATCGCTTTTGGTTTCCATTTGCATGAAATGCCTTTTTCCACCCCTTTACCTTAAGTTTGTGGGAGTCCTTATGTGTTAGGTGAGTCTATTGAAGACAGCAGATGGTTGGTTGGTGCGTTCTTATCCATTCTGCAATTCTGTATCTTTTAAGTGGAGCGTTTAGGCAATTCACATTCAATGTTAGAGATGTGAGGTACCATTCCATTCATCATTATATTTATTGCCTGTATACCTTGGTTTTCTGTTTTTTGTTATTGTTTTTTAAATTGTATTTTTGTTTTATAGGTTTTGTGAGATTTATGCTTTAACGAGGTTATGTTTTGATGTGTTTCCAGGATTTGTTTCAAGATTTAGAGCTCCTTCTAGCAGTTCTTATAGTGGTTACTTGGTAGTGGCTTCTTTCAGCATGTGTTTGTCTGAAAAAGACTGTATCTTTCCTTTACATATGAAGCTTAGTTTTGCTGGATACAAAATTCTTGGCTGATAATTGTTTGATTTGAGGAGGCTGAAGATAGGGCCCCAATCCCTTCTAGCTTGTAGGGTTTCTGCTGAGAAATCTGCTGTTAACCTGATAGGTTTTCCTTTATATAGGTTACCTGGTGCTGTTGTCTCACAGCTTTGAAGATTCTTTCTTTCGTCTTAACTTTAGATAACCCAATGACAATGTGCCTAGGGGATGATCTTTTGGCAGTGAATTTCCCAAATGTTCTTTGTGCTTCTTGTATTTGAATGTCAAGGTCTCTAGCAAGGCTGGAGAAGTTTTCTTCAATTATTCCCCCAGATATGTTTTCTAAACTTTTAGATTTCTCTTCTTCCTCAGGAACACCAATTATTCTTAGGTTTGGCCATTTAACATAATCCCAGACTTCTTGGAGGCTTTGTTCATATCTTCTTATTCTTTTTTTCTTTGTCTTTGTTAGATTGGGTTAATTTGAAGACTTTACCTTCGAGCTCTGCATTTCTTTCTTCTCCCTATTCAATTCTATTGCTGAGATCTTCCAGAGCATTTTGCATTTCTATAAGTGTGTCCATTGTTTCCTGAAGTTTTGGTTGTTTTTTTATTTATGGTATCTACTTCCTTGAATATTTCTCCCTTTACTTCTTGTATCATTTTTTAAATTTCCTTACATTGGGCTTCACACTTCTCTGGTGCCTCCCTGATTGATTAGCTTAATTAGTAACCTCCTGAATTCTTTTTGTTTTTTCAGATGTAGTTTCGCTCTTCTTGCCCAACCTGGAGTGCAATTCTGTGATCTCAGCTTGCTGAAACCTCCACCTCCTGGGTTCAAGTGATTCTCTTGCCTCAGCCTCCCGAGTAGCTGGGATTACAGGCGCGTGCCACCACGCTCGGCTAATTTTTGGTATTTGTGGTAGAAACAGGGTTTCACCGTGTTAGCTAGGCTGGTCTTGAACCCTTGACCTAAGGTGATCCACCCACCTCAGCCTCCCAAAGTGCTGGGATTACAGGCATGAACCACTGCACCTGGCCTAACCTCCTGAATTCTTTTTCAAGTAAATCAGGGATTTCTTCTTGATTTGAATCCATTGTTGTTGAGCTAGTGTGGTTTTTTTGGTGGTGTTAAAGAACCTTGTTTTGTCATATTACCAGAATTGGTTTTCTGGTTTCTTCTCATTTGGGTAGGCTCTGTCAGAGGGAAGATCTTGGACTGAAGGCTGTTGTTCAGATTTTTTTGTCTTACAGGGTATTCCCTTGATGTAGTATTCTCCCCCTTTTCCTACGGATGTGGCCTCCCAAGAGCTGAGCTGTAGTGATTGTTATCTCTCTTCTGGATCTACCCACCCAGCAAGTCTACCAGGCTCTGGGCTGGTACTGGGGCTTGTCTGCACAGAATCCTGTGATGTGAACCGTCTGTGGGTATCTCAGCCATGGATACCAGTAACTGTTCTGGTGGAGGTGGCAGGGGGCTTGAAATGGACTCTGTTAGGGTTCTTAGCTTTGGTGGTTTAATGCATTATTTCTGTGCTGGTTGGCCTCCTGCCAGGTGGTGGCACTTTCCAGAGAATATCAGCTGTGGTAGTATGGGCAGGAACAGGTGGGGGGGCAGGGCCTAGAAATCCCAAGAGTATATGCCCTTTGTCTTCAGTTACCAGGGTGGGTAGGGAGGGACTAGTGGGTGGGGGCAGGGCTAGGCGTGTCTGAGCTCAGACTCTCCTTGGGCAGGTCTTGTCGCAGCTGAGTATTTGGGGTGTCTCCAGGGTCCTGCAGGAGCAATCCACTTCCTTCAGGTGGTCTGTGGGTCCTCTCAGGTTTCCCGATTTATTCCTGCAGTCCTTCCGGAGCAAAAATTCATAATGCAAGCCTCCACACGCTGCTCTGTCCGTCGGAGTGGGAGCTGCAATCTAGTCCTGCCTCCCGACTGCCATGATCCCCTCGTGCACTTACTCTTTTTGTCCTTTTTGGTATGGATTCCACAGGAAGCTGTTATGATAAGATTGTGCTGAATATATTAGTAGAGGGCAACAACAACAATAAATAAAATACATGCTTCCTTAGCATGGTAATTCTGGATCATTAAGAGTTAGGAAGACAGAACTCTCAGAGCTTTATTGTCTTTGTATACAGTGGTCATTTGGAGTCTATTGAATTGTATTAGAATTCAGTCAATAAGCATTCATAAAATAAACATTGTTTGAATTATAGTGTTTTTATTTGCCTTTTTATGTTCCCTTTAGGAGTTCAGGTAGCATATATTTTCACTACCTTCACTGCCTAAAACAGGGCCTGGCACATAGTAGGTGTTCAGTGATTGAACTGACAAATCATAAGAAAAACTATGCAAGCGTCACTGGCTTTATCTCTCCTCGAACTTAAGGAATATTACAAATGACTTGCAAATCTATGCTAATTCCATATGACAGGAGTCTGACAGGGTTGCTGGGGACATCCTTCTCATTAAATCTATCTATATGGCTGGGATTGGAGTACTTCTCAGTAACTAGGTAGAATGGTCTGTGCAGGCTTTTCATTCATTTATTCAATTTATCTGTAACACTTGCAAACTCAAAAACCATGTCAACTAGTCTCAGTGCAGTGAAGTTGTCCAATAAACCAGTGCAGTTTTTTAAAGTAATTTATTTGAAAATAACTTTCAACTTAGAGAAAATTTGCAAGAATAGGAATAGTACATAAAACACAACTAAGAGCCTTTACCCAGATTCACCTGTTTTTAATATTTGCCTTGTTTGCTTTCTATTTGTGCTTTCTCTCTCTCTCTATATATATACATATGTGTATATATATATATATATACACATATGTGTATATATATATATATACACATATGTGTATATATATATATACCCACAAATACACATGTACATATATATATACCCACACATACACATATATACATGTATGTATATAATATATTTTTCTAAAGCTTTTGAGAGTAAGTTGCATTCCTCCTGGTTCTTTATGCCTAAATATTTTAGTGTACATGTCATAAAAATACTACTCTGTTGTCCATTTAGGTAAATCCATCCAATAATACCTTTTATAATTTTATTCCTATGTGCAGGATCAAGCATGACATTTAGCTGCTATGTCTCTTTAGTCATCTTTGATCCAGAATGTTTCCACAGCCTTGCATGGCATAGACATTTTTAAAGAATATGATTGTCTTTCCCTTCTTTAGATTTTTTTCCTCATTTTTGGTTTGAGTGATGTTTCCCATGGTTAAATTCAGATTTTGATTTTAGACTGGACTGTTACATAACCAAAGTGATCTTCTCAAGACACACTTCTGAAGGCATAGGATGGCCATCTCTCCCACATTGGCAAAGCAATTTTTTAATAAACATTTTAATTGAAGCATAGTATATACACAGAAAATTGCACAAATAATAAATTGACAGCTCTGTTAGTTATCACAAAGTGATCACACTCATCAACTTATCAGCTCAACTGTCCTTATTAGTAGAGTTTTTTTAATAAGTCTGGATGTACGGTAAGGTAAGTTCTCTATATTTGAACTTCTTCAAAATTTTTTGGGGGGCTATTCTTGACCCTTTGTATTTCATATAAAATTAAAAATTGCCTCATTAATTTTTAACAAAATTGCCTGCTGGGATTTTGATTGGCATCACATTAAATCTGTAGATCACTTTGATGAGAATTGACATCTTTATAATATTAATCTGATTCATGAAAACTGGCCTAGCCTTCAATTGATTTAGGATTTTAAAATTTTTTTCAGGAACATTTTATACTTTTCAGCATATAGATCTTGAACAGCTTTTATTAGATTTAGTCTTAGGTATTTGACTGTTTTGATGCTATGGTAAATTATATTTTAAAGGTTTTATTTGTTTGTTGTGGCTGGTGTATTGAAATATAAATTATCTCTTGTTGCTCTTATACTCAGAAATCTTACAAATTAACTTATTATTTATAAAAATGTATATGTAGATTTCTTAGCTGTAGATACAAATCATGCCATCTGTAAATAAGGACAGCTTTATTTCTTGACTCTTAATCCATTTACCTTTCATTCTTTTTTACTACATTATTGCATTTTTTACATTATATTGGCTAGGACCTCTAGTATAATGTTCATCAGAAGTCATGATAGGGGCATCATTATCTTGTTCTTGATCTCCGTGTTCAGTAGAATTTTTGCGGATAGTCTTCACCAGATTAAGGGAGCACATTTCTATTTCTAGCTTGCTACAAATTTTTATCCTGTGTGGCTGTTAAATTTTGTAAAATGTTTTTTCTGTTTCTATTAAGATGATTATATGATTTCTTTCCCCTTTGTTCTAGAAAAGTGGTAAATCACAGCTACTGATTCTCAAATGTTAAATCAACTTTGCATTCTTGGAATAAACCCAGCTTAGTCCTGATGTATTTTCTTTCTTATATTCAATGTGCTAACACTCTTTTTGGAATTTTTGGAATTTTGCATCTCTGTGAGAGACTCTGGCCTGCATTGTAATGTGGTTGTTAGGATTTAGTGTCAAAGTATTATTGGTCTAATAAAATCAGTTGGGAACTGTTTCATTTTTTTCTTTTCTCAGGAAGAGTTTGTACAAGATTGATGTTTTTTCTTCCTTAAATAGCTTAAATATTTGGAAGAATTCACTGATGAAGCCATCTGGGTTTGAGTTTTCTTTGCAGGAAGGATTTTACTATAGGTTCAATTACTATAACAGATACATGGCTGTTTAGATTTTCTTTTTATTCAAGGATACATTTTGGTAGGTTTTGATTTTTCTATTTGCTTTTTTCTTATTTTTTTACTTTATTGGCAAAAATTGTTCATGATATTCTTTTATTATATTTTCAAAGTCTGTAAGATATAGAATGACATTCACCTTTTTATTCTTGATATCGGTTATTTTACTATTACTTCTTTTTCTTAATTAGGTTATCAAGAAGTTTATAACATTTTTTAGTCTTTTCAAAGAATAGCTTTGAATCCTTTGTATTGTACATGGCTTTTCTTTCATTAATTTATACTCTTATCTTTATTGTTTTCTTCCTTCTACTTTCTTTAGTTTTAATTTGCTCTTCTTTTTCTAATTAACCTTTTTATTCAATTTCTAAACATTTGAAGTTATTTTTATTATTGATCTCTAGCTTAATTCCTCAGTGGTCAGAGAATGTACTCCATATGATTTCAGTCCTCTGAAAATTTTGAGTTTTGCCCAGCATTTGGACTCTAAAGAAATGCTCCATATGCATTTGAAAAGTACATGTATTCTACAGTTGTGTGTGTGTGTGTGTGTGTGTGTGTGTGTGTGTGTGTGTGTAGGTCAATGTATCTATTTATACATTTATTTATATCTATTTATATTTATAAATTAGGTAAATGTTATTAGTAGTGTTGTTCGAGCCTCTTATGTCTGTATTAATATTTTGTCTGCTTATTTTATCAATAAGAGGAATGTGTTAAAATCTCCCACTTTGTTCATGAATTTTCCTGTTTCCTCTTTTAGGTGGGTCAGATCTCGCTTTATGTATTTTGAGAATTTGCTTTTACTTCTGCAGGCAGTTATGGGGATTGGATCATCCTGACCCAATGAGCTGACTTGAAGCTGGATCTTTGTAAGAGCTGGTCTGTTCCTATTCATCCTCCCTGCTTAATATTCCAAAATATAAGATTGTTCATACATGAACAATACTTCTTGCATATCTACTATATACTAGGTACTATAATAGGTGCTGAATCATCTGTGTTATTTTAAGGGTTATGAAGAGAAAACAACTGTCTCTGAGAAGGAATCACCACCACTAAGGTACTTCCTATTTTGTCTCCTAATTTCTCAAGGTTTACCACTTGAATCCATCCTACAGTCTACTGCCAGACTAATTTCTCAGAAGCCACTTTTTTACTTCATCACATATAAACTCAAAAACTTGCCTTTGTTTTCTAGTACCTGAAGAATAGAAGTAGAATGGAAGTCTTTTTCTAGTCAGCTGGGAGGATATATGAGGTGCTACCTTATATTTTACCAAGGGTCTTAATGACTTTCCTAGCCACATACTTGATCTGAATTTACCCTGAGGCCATTTTAACTGGTAGTGTCCTAGATTTGGTCTTTGCTTAAGAACATCTCTTAATTTAAGAACCTCTTTTCAGACTATAAAGACTGTTCTGAGCTTTCTATATTTCTTTAAATCCTGCGTGAGAATTAGACAGTTCTTTCTTTAGTTAATCTCTCTCTTCTTATATGTTATAGGCAGCTAGATAAAACAGACTGATACTTTTAACATTCTTTCTGGAAATTTCCTTAGCCATAACTAGTAATTAATTAAATATCTTTTCTGTTTTCTCAGTAGCTGTGGGAGACAGTTTTGGCAAACTTTCTGTAATTACATAACAAGGGTTGCCTCTTCTCCAGGCTCCAATAACATTTCCTTCATGTCTGTCCAGTGTTTACTGAAAGTATTCTCAAGGCCTTCTTAGCTTCTACCTGTCATTTGGCCCCACTGCCACATATTTTAGCTTTTTGTTATGGAAGCATCTTGCTGGCTGTAGCAATTTTTATTTTGATTTCTGTTGCTGCATAACAAACCACTCCACTAATCAGAGGCTTCAAACAATAGCAATGTATTATTTCTCATGTTTCTGTGGTTGAATGGCATTTTTTTTCCTGCTTTTTTTCATGGAGTTCAGCTGTGTCTCTAGTCACGTTGGGGGTTTGATGGACTGGAATCTCCAAAACTGGCTCATTCACCTTTTTGGTACCTTGGTGAGAATGGCAGGAAGATTGGGCTCAGCTGGGATGCTGGAATAGCTGGGCCATTCTCCCACTCTCCATCTAGTCCCAGAGCTATTCCCTCTCCACATGGTCTTCCCAGCAGGGTAGCTGACTTCTTTCATCTGGCTCACGTGCAAATGGCACTTTATTTGCCATGGCCCACAGATTCCCTATGAAGGCTTTTTTAGATCCCACTTCTCTTGGCCACCAGTGAAAGAAGCAACAGGCACACTGGAAAGAAAAATGCAGTCAGCTTTTCCAGCTTCTGCTTTGAGAATAATTCTATAGATATTTAAAGATTACTTGGGACATTCGTGGCTCCTCTCAGTTGCTGATATTTGAGACATTTTCTAAAAGTATTTCCACCTTCCCAAAAGTGAGTGAACAAGGTTGAAAAGAGAAGAGAAATGGGAATCTGTTTAAATGAATTTGTTTGCAACCCTAAGAAAAGGTTTGGCAAAGTGGATAAATTATAACTATTAACTAAATGATGCTTTGGTATTTTCTCTGCTTTAAAAATACCCTGTACTTATATAGGTCTTATTTTCTAACTGGCAAAGCAGTTTATCATTAGCTTTTTAACATCCCTAATAGGAGAGAGAAGGTATTTTCATCTTAATTCTGTAAGTCTGGTAGAAGAAGAAAAGCTAAATAACTTCCCTAACGTGATTGGGGTAGTAAAATCATTCATCTATCTAGTCATCAATTCATTTAAGAAAATCATCCATTTTTCCAATACACTTCAGGACCCCCCCTGCAGTTTCACTTTCTTCAGTTTCAGTGACTCATGGTCAACTGTGGTTCAAAAATAGGTGAGTATGGTACAATCAGATATTTTGAGACAGAGAGAGAAAGGAGAGAGACCGCATACACATAACTTTTATTACGGTATATTGTTACATTGTTCTGTTTACTATTGTTGTTATTAATATCTTACGGTGCCTAACTTATAAATTAACTTTACCATAGGTATGTATGTACAGGAAAAAACATAGTAGATAGAGGGTTGAGTACTATCTGTAGATTCAGGCATCCACTGGGGGGTTTTGGAATGTTATTTCATAAGGAGGAACTACTGTGTATTCATTGATTACTACTATTTACCAATTACCACTTTCAACATATATTTCGTGATTCCCCAGGTACTAAGTATACAGTAGTAAGAGACCATTCCTGAAGCTTATATTCTAGAGAATGAGCAGAAATTAATCAAATAGTCACTCATACTCAAATTGGATCATGACATGTAACACATAAAAGCAATCATGAATACATGTTTTAGAGATCTGTGATCTATCTCAGGGGTTCAGGAAAAGCTTTTCTGAGAAGTGCCATGGTGCGTCTCAGTAGATTGAATTCTAGAAGGATGTTCAGGCAGAAGGTAGGTTGTGTATAAGGCACTGAAGCAGGAAGGAGCTACATCTTTGGGAAGTGGAGTGGAAGCCAGTGTGGCTAGAGGTTAGCCAACACAGGCCAGTAAGTCTGGAGGAGGCTGAGAAGACCGAATGAGACCCCACATCTTAAGGGCTTTTGGAGGTCACACTAATAAGCCGTATGACTTTAGGTAACCTTTCTAAGCCTCAGTTTTCTTACAAGGGAGATAATTTTCAATATCTATATGGTTTAGCTTTGTGTCCCCATCCAAATCTCATCTTGAATTGAAATCCCCATGTGCTCGGGGAGGGAGCTGGTGGGAGGTGATTGGATCATGGAGGCAGATTTTCCCCCATGCTGTTCTCGTGATAGTGAGTGAGTTTTCATGAGATCTGATAGTTTAAAAGTGTTTGGCAGGTCCTCCCTCCATCCCACTCCCGCTGCCATGTAAGATGTGCCTTGCTTCCCCTTTGCCTTCTGCCATGATTGTAAGTTTCCTGAGGCCTCCCCAGCCATGCAGACCTGTGAGTCAACTAAACCTCTTTCCTTTATAAATCATCCAGTGTCAGGTTCTTTATAGCAGTGTGAAAACGAACGAATACAAATATGCTAAAACTCAAGCCCTGACTTTTCCTCTGAGCTCTAAGTCATCCAATGCCAATTTGATGTATTCATTTTGATACCAACAGGCATATTCAACTCATTTTCACAACAGAATTTCTGATTCCTGCAGCTCCATGCCCTGAAGCCTCCTCCTCATCTACCTTCCTTCATTTTAGTGAATGTCTCCATTCTTCCATTGCTCCAGTCAAAATCTCAGGAATCATCCTCCCGTTATCACTGTCCCTCATTTTCCATATGAAGTGAATCTTGTTGGCTCTGATGCCAAAATAGATCACAAATTCAACCATTTCCACCATCTGCACTATTGTCACTGTAATCTCAGCCTACATCTCTTCTCATCTGTATTACTGCAGTAGCCTAGCTGTCTCCCTGTATCTACTCTTGTTCTTTTATAATCCATTATCCACTCAGAAGCCAGAATGTGCTTTTTATAATGTAGATTTTCATGTCACCTCTCTATTTAAAATACTCCTGTAGTTTCTCACTACACTTAAAATGAAGTCCAAACTCCTTAGAATCACTGAAGATCCTTGGATGAGCGGTCTCTGCCTGTCTTTCTGATAGCCTCTTGTACCTCCGCACTCAATGTACTCCAGACATGCTGGCCTTCTGTTTGTTTCTCAAACATGGCAAGCTCACTGCTGATCTTTATGGTATCAGATCCTGCTCATCAACTGGTCTTCTGCCAAAAAACCACATTCTCAGAGAAGCTTCTCTGACCACCTATCCCCAGCCCTCTGGCTGGATAGTCACTCTCCCAATACCTCATTTGAGTTTCTCAATAGCAACTACCATTCTCTGAAATTATGTTTACTTATGTCTTGCTGCCCTCATTCCAACTTCCAAATATAAGCTCCGCAAGAGCAGGACCTTGTCAATCTGATCCTCCTTGCTTAGCAAAGTGGCATAGAGTTGCAGTGCAATTCAACTATTTGTTGGCTAAGTGAATGAATATGTGGATGAAACCACCTCACAGGGGTCCCATTCATCTCAAGAGTCAGAATCTGTTTGCCTGGACTGCATAATCTGGTTTCATGGATAAGACACGCTGAAAGCTGCCAGTTTTTGACTAGACAAGTATTTCATTAACGTAGACCATTTCAAGGCCCAAATCCATTTCAAGTTTTGAGGACCCAAGTCCATTGCCTTTAGTGCAATTCGGGGACTACTCTCAACATCATAATCTGTATCAGTAAACTCATCCAAATTCAGTTATTTCACCCTGCTGTGAGTTCCATAATAGTGGGTAACTTATTCCCATGATCAACTTAAAACAAACATAAAAGGACTCAGGAAAACCATCTGTCAGAGAAGCACATAAACTTTCAAGCAATGGTTTAAAACATCTATTGATTGCGCAATGGATGATTTGTAATTACAGAATACGCATTTGGTAAATAGGTCTTTGTGGCCCTTTGAACTCTTTTTATTGGGTTAACAGATAATTAGGGTCTGTTGTGTAGATGCTCCATAATTGCTCCTTTGGAGCAGTTAAAGTTTGCGGAATGGATCCCCAACTCTGCTATTTCTTTGTTGCATCCCTCCAGCTCCTAATAGAGCTAGTGAGAAGAGCTGGGAGAGGCTCACCCTGGTATTTAGGAGGCAGCTGTTTTGCATTCAAGGTAGATCTCAGAAGCAGCAACCTGGGTGGCAGGGAGGGCAGGAGAGAGAGTTGGTTCTATAATCCCAGAGGCTGTCCCAGCTGCCCCCGCCAGCCAGCCTTGGGCATAGTGTAAATTGCTGCTGCTTTCTCACCATGTGTGGACCACCAACCTGAGCTGTGTGAGCCTCAGCACTTTCTTCTCTGGGTAAGTCACATCTTTTTCAGATTTCAGTTCCAAGTATCTGTTCCCAGGCTGGTGCTGCATCAACACTACCTCTTTTCTCTTCTTTTCTTTATGACTCCTACTTTGAGAAGTAGTTTCAAATACTCATTATCAAGTTCTATTCATCTTTCAGACTCAAAAGGTTTAGAGGCTGGGCTCTGGAGCCTGATCCTGCTTGAGAGGCTGGGCTCTGGAGCCTGATCATTCTGGGTTTGAATTCAGGCTCTGGAATTTACTAGCTGTGTGACCTTAGGAAGGTTGCTTAACCCTTTCTGTAAACCAAGGAGAATAGTAGTAGTTGCCACCTTTTAGTGGACACTAGCTAGGTGCCAGGTACCATGCTATGTATTTTCATACATCTCTCTCTTTTAAAAAAATAAGAACTAATTTTTTTTTTTTTTTTTTTTTTTTTTTTTTTTGAGACGGAGTCCCGCTCTTTAGCCTAGGCCGGATTGCAGTGGCACAATCTCGGCTCACTGCAAGCTCCGCCTCCCAGGTTCACGCCATTCTCCTGCCTCAGCCTCCCGAGTAGCTGGGACTACAGGCGCCCGCCACTGCGCCCGGCTAATTTTTTGTATTTTTAGTAGAGACGGGGTTTCACCGTGTTAGCCAAGATGGTCTCGATCTCCTGACCTTGTGATCCGCCCGCCTCGGCCTCCCAAAGTGCTGGGATTACAGGCGTGAGCCACCGCGCCCAGCCAGAACTAATTTTTTTAAAAAAACTATTATCTATCTCCATTTTGAAGTTGACAAAAATGCCTTGGGAGTTAAACAACTTGCTCAAGGCTAGAAATCTTCTAAGTGGTAGAGACAGGGTTTAAGCTGAGGCCTAACTCATGTGCTTAACTGTTATGCTCTCCTCTCTCCTGACAGTATCCATTTCCTAGAGTTATTTTGATAATTTGATAAGATAACATTTGTAAAACACTTTAGCTCAGAGCTAAGTAAATGTTCACTAAACATGAGCTAATGTGATTGGTCTTCTCTTCTTGTGAAGCTTTCCTTTGCTCCGCCCTGACCAAATTAGTTGCCCCTTTCTCTGGCTTCTATCACATTTATACATTTTGTCCTCTGTAATATCTGAACTGTAACTACTTGTTTACCTGTCTGTCTGTTCTACTGCCAAGTACAATGTTAAGCGCAATGAAAGAGCTCCAAGAAAATGTTTTGAATAATAGTAGTGAGAAGGTGAACTTTATAATTCACAGATATGTAAAGACCTAGAGTCCCAAGAGAGCACAGCCTGTTCAGGACCTGCCTTAAGAACAGCATGCCTGAATAATAAGAGGTGGGCCGAGGTGGATGGTGAGATATGGGAAGAATTATACGAGATGATGCTGGTGAGGTAGGAAGGCCTCATAGGCCATGTTACAGTGTGGACTTTACCTCCACAACCGTGGAGAATGATGGAAGACATTCAAGCAGGGTTTGTATGATTAGATTTGTTTCAGAAAGATCACTCTGGGTAAAGTGTGAATGGATTGGGGGTGAAGTGGAGCAGGCACCAGACCAGAAGCGAAAAGTTGCTTAGGAGTCTCTTGAAGTGGCCCAAGCAGGAGATGATGGGGCCTAGGTCAGGGAATGGTCGTGGAGTGAGATTTCACATGGGTGAAGAAGAGAGGGTAAATTCCCCGTGTCTAGCAGATCCTGGGACTTTTATTCAAGCTTGGAAAAATCCTGTCTACCCCTCAATACCAGATAAGAATCCCAAATGGCTGTTGTTTTTGGAATACCACTTATAATGTGAATTACTTTCTCATTTGTTTCAGAGACTAACCTATGAAAAAGCAAGGGCTATGGATCAAGTATTCTTTGAAGTGCCCTGTTCACTTCATGGTTCTGTAGAGAATTAGAAAACTTCCAGGAGTTTCCAAGAATGCTGATATCCAGTTCACCACTTTACCCACTGGTGAGGAGAAGAAAGTCAAAGGAAACCATATGTCTTAGACCTTAGTCTCCACTGGTGACCTCTGTCTACCTTGACCCTTTCTCTATCAGGTGACTTCTCTTTTCTGACCTTTCCCCTAACGTAGTTTTAGATATTATTGCTTTTTCAAATCCAGATCAATAAGAAGGAAGAGAGCTTTCCCCAAAATCCCTGGGAAAAGTTCTAGGCTGCATCAGACACACCCTTCCTTCCAAACAACTACAACAGTTAAGAAAGCGATGTCTACTTGGAGTATAGATGATAGCCAGCCATGTGTGTTAGGTCCCTGCAGAACTTTCCCATATTTTTTCCCTTAAAATAATCCCAAGTCACTAAGATACTCAAAGATATAGGCTCTGTTGATGCACATGACTTTGCATTTCCTTTCTTTTTCTTTGTGCTTTGAGTGAGAAGTCAGTCAGAAAAGAGGACAAAAAACCAGATAGATGGCTGTGTTTATGATGCACAAATACACAACATAAGCATACCAGCTTAGTCAAGGGACCGATGGACCCCTCGGGGGGCGAGCTGGCCCTATTTCACTCCTTGCTGAGCCTCTGAGTGCCCTGGGCTTGAAGCCCAGTTAAACGCCTTGTGAAAATTGCCCACATGCTGTCCAAAGTCTGCTCCTTCTGCAAGTTTAGCCTACTAAACTGGCGGAAACACCCTTAGCTTCAATGGGGCGATACTGAATTTAAAGTTCGAGATTCTACAAGGTTTAACAATTTTTGAAGCATTTTATATATATTAGCATACATCTTCTCCATGTAGATCCTGTAATATAGGTATTGTGAGCCCCATTTAACAGATGAAAAGACTGACACTCAGAGAAGAAGTTGAATATGCATTTCCAAAGGTCACACAGCAATTAGGTGGTTGATAAGGAATCAAACTTAGAGTCACTCAACTTATGAAATAGTTCACTGGCTTCTAATATAGTCAGGCAGTGTATCAGGCACTGGGAATACAATGGTAAATGAAGAGATATGAAATTTTCCCTCATGGATCTTATAGTCCAATTGAAGAGACACTCATTAGACAAAGTACTCAAAACAACAGAAAACTGTAAATATGGATAAGAGCTATGAAGGAAAAACAGGGTGTAATTTAGACGTGGGGTGTGTGTTTGTGAATGTGTGTGTGTATGTGACTGAACACCATTTATAACATTTAAGAGCCAAGAAATAGGAGGAAGGAATATGGGAGAAGAGCAGGAGTATGAAGTTTCAACAGGAGATGATAGTATGTATAAAGGCAAGAAGAACTTGGTGTGTTTGAAGAGCTGGAAAAGGCTGAGTGAGTGTGGCTGGAATAGAGTGGGTTAGGAAGAGCGTGGCATAAGATGAGATCAGATTACTGGTAAGCTAGGCTAAAACATTTAGCCATGGGTTTTATTCCAAGGGGGCAAAATGAGAAGCAAGGAGAACAATTAGGACACTGCAATAACCCAGGAGGAAGATGACAACTTTATGTTTCCAAATTTTGTAATTTTTGGTATGGTATGTGCTATAGTTGTGATCTAGAGAACTGTCTGACAGTTGAGAAAGGTTGTTCTTTGCCATACTTTAAAAATCACCCTTAAGTTTTCTTTACTTACAAGGTGTTGAGAGACAGTAGAGCCCTTGGTACATTCAAGAATTAGCAAAGATTTTAGCCACACGGTTCTAGAATTAAGAAGGCCATCTCTTCATGATCAAACAGGCTGCACAATATGCCACACAAGTGACATTTGAAAAGGAAATTGACCATCGGAACTCTTAATAACTGGTCCTCCCCAATAAGAGATGCTCCACCATTCTTACTAGCGATGTGACAATGGGCATGCTACTTAAACTTTTTTGAACCTAATTGACACCATTTGTGAAAAAAGGATAGAAGTAGTACTTTACTCATAGAATCATACTGAAATGGGATTAGATTTAGAATTGGATTCATGGGAAGATTAAATGAGATAATACACGCAAAGCACTTAACACAATGCCTAACAGGATAAGCATTCTGCTTTCAATAAATAATAGCTGTCATAATTATTAATAATGATACTTTTACAGTATAAATGTAATAAGATTAGATACCAGCATCACTTCTGTGGAATAATTAATTTCTGTCCCTAGGCAAAGTATTGACATATGTAGCTTAATTTATGAAAAATATATATCCTGTGTCTCCAAATTATTTTAAAATGCTTTGAAATGCTTGGATGAAAGAAATTATAAAAACATCACATATATTATTCCAAAGAGAAATTGTATCCTACAGAGCTAGACTTTCCCTAATGACTACAGGCCATCTTAAGAATAGCCTGTTTTATTATCGAACTGAACAGTTGGCAGTATTGGACACAATTACAGATTCTGCTTTAGAAAAACCAACGTTAATTGGATTTCTGAATGCCATTTGAACTACAGAGAGAGAGAATTCTTCTTCTAGCTCCGAAATCCACTTACTTTTAGCAGAGCACACTACATGGAGTTTTAGCTCTCCTAATGGCTTCAGGTAAACCCAGAACTAGAGCATTAGCTTCTCAGTGGAGGAAGGATGTATCAAGTATCGAATGCACAGGGCTGCGATTTATCTCTCTCCAATTCTGCTAAAGCAAATGTCCTTTGAAAAATGCATCTGATGAGAGTGTATTGTAAGGGAGATTCCTGAAGATCATCTCCCTTTCTAAACCTCTTTGATCTGAGATTAATCTGAAGATGGCTCAGAAGATCTGAGAGTTACCTAAACTCCAGCGTGTAGCCTGTGTGCCTCCTTGACCATGTGCCTCAGTTTCCAGAGATTTATATTCACAAACTTACAGATCAGTCAAAAGTAATGAAAAAGGAATTTAGCCTCTAATTTCTATGTCTTAAGAAGAAGTTATGAGGATGTAACTTACCAGCTGGCAACACTTTTCATATGTCCTTTTCTGTCTCCCCAACTCTCCTGGACCCATGTTGCTCCACAGCCCCTGTTTACTAACACCTCCCACTCCCACCACGGAATGCTCCTCCATCTCATTTAGCTTTTTGTCTCTTACCCAGTATTTAGATTAACTTGCCCTTTCTCCCTGCCTTCTTTTCTGTAACCTGAACCTGTGATTTTTCTTTCTTTGCCCATTGTCCAGTTTCCAGTTCTGTGTTATGGATGTCAAGGGGTCTAACTGACAGAGGCTAAGTCTCCATATGGAATAATGTTCATTCTTCTTTTTTTGTTTTTTTGTTTTAGACTGGATCTTGCTCTGTTGCCCAGGCTGGAATGCAGTGATGCAATCATGGCTAACTGCAGCTCAACCTCCTGGATTCAAGCTATCCTCCCACCTCAGCCTCCCAAGTAGCTAGGCCTACAGGCGCATGCCCCATGCCCAGCTAATCTTTTTTTTTTTTTGGATTTTTCGTAAAGACAGGGCTTCACCATGTTGCCCAGGCAGGTCTTGAACTCCTGGACTCAAGTTATCCACTCAACTCAGCCTCCCAAAGTGTTGGGATTATAGGCATGAGCCACTACACCCAGCCAACATGTTTATTCTTAATAAGGGCTTTATATTTGGTTCTGTGAACTGCTCTATACAGTGCTGGATTATAGTGTGCTGTGGGGGTGGGACTTGGATCATCGGGTTCCTCGTTGGTTGTATTCAGTCCCAGTTTGGACACAATCCCCAAGTTCTCCTTGGAAAGAATTGGAGTGGGACAGGGAGGGAGGAGGGGGAGGGAAATGTGAGTGAATCTGGCTGTGTTGATACTGATGCAAGCTTAGAAGTATGAAAAATAGTATCTGCCATCAGCTGAGGTGCAGAGAAAGGAAAAAATGGAGGGAGGAGAGATTGGTAAGGGAGAAAAGGGATGAAGGTAGAGGGCTTCAGTAGGTGGGGCAAGAAGGAGAGCGGGGAAGACATAAGATGCAGAAAGAGGCGAGAGACCTGTCAAAAAGTCAACAATCCAACTCCATTGCTCTGGCAGTAGTCACTTGATTCACAGTCCAGGGAATTGATTACAGGGGCATGAGTGGTATGCCAGGAACCTGTTTCTGGATGGAGATTTGGACTCTGATCAAAAATGTTTCTTGGCTGTGAATAGTTGAACTACCCTGCTAGGAATATGGCCCCAGATAATGAGCAGGTGGGATACACTCCTCTTTTTTCCACATCCATTTTATTATGCTTTAAGCACATGCCATGGCCATGGCCCAGCTTCTGAGAGATCTTAGCCCAGAATATATGCTTCTGTGGTGAGCTAATAGAGATTAAGCTGAGGTTTTCTTAGATGTTGCCTCTCATTCCAAAGTAGGTCAAGATTTCATGATTGCCATCCTTGAATGGACTGTCTGCCTTTTTTTTCTTTTTTTGGAAGGTTGGAAGAAGCCTTGGAGGGCACACAGAAGCACTTCCTCCTTTTACAAACAAGAAAAGGGACAGAGTGACAACTTTAAAAAAATCTACATCTGAAGTTAGTTCTATAGTTTCCTATCTCCAGAAGAGGCAGAAATGAACTCCACCATGCCTAAAGTTTGGTTAGTAGAACACAACTAATGACAAATAACAGAATACAGAGCACCTCATTTTCCATTGTCCTTTTCCATACTCAGAGCAATACTATGACAGTACAAGTGGGGCTGATCTATTTCACAGAAGAAGAAACTGAATTCAGACTGTCTAAAATCCACAGACAAGGCAGAGAGGGACTTCCTGGTTCAGACACACTACTCCAGAGGAAATGCTTGTGCCACTCTAAAAGGCAGCCTCCTCCTTAATTGTGTAAATGGCTTTACTTAGTTCTGATCTCTGTGGTGCTGCTAAAGTTGAACAGGACAAAGTGGAGCCTTGTTGACTCACTGATGCTCAGTTTTAATATTGATAACAGAGGTCTTCACTGTATCCACCATCTGTAGAGCCACTCAAAGTGCAAATTGCACAGTAAAGAGATGGGTTAAGAGGACAAGAGGAATGGTGAGAAAGAAAAAATTAGGCCATCTTTTTTCTTGCCACGGGGTCTTTTGTCCTGTTTCCTTTCATTGCTGTTTCCTCTAGGGTGGACCTTTGGTGGCCACATTAGTGGGAGCATCGAGAGGAAGATGCTGTGGTATGTCAGTACCCACACATCGCCTGGCTGCTGGCTGGTAGCTAGCCACTTAGGACAGGGAAAATCGCTTCCTTCTTCCACTTAAGTGGGACTCCGGACTCCTAGGGATAAGTCTTTAGCACCTACTGTCTGAATGCCTCAGACACTACAAATACCAGGAAATTTCAAGAGGAGTCTGGTCTATATCTCCTTTTTTTTTTTTTTTTTTTTTTTTTTTTTTTTTTTTTTTTGAGACAGAGTCTCTCTCTGTCACCCAGAGTGGAGTGCAGTAGTGCAATCTCAGTCACTGCAACCTCTGCCTCCCGAGTAGCTGGGATTACAGGTACGTGCCACCACGCCCAGCTAATTGTTGTTGTATTTTTAGTAGAGACAGTGTTTCACCACGTTGGCCAGGCTGGTCTCGAACTCCTGGCCTCAAGTGATCTGCCCACCTTGGCCTCCCAAAGTGCTGGGATTACAGGCGTGAGCCACCATGCCCGGCCTGGTCTACATCTCTTCTGATACACATGACAGGATCAAAGCATTGATCATGTGTAAATGGTTCTAGAATCTCTCTTAGCACCACCCTCCACAGAGGATGCTATCTTTGACTGCTCAGTTTCTTCCCTCTGCCATGTTGACCACCTTAGGAGACCAGTGAGAGTCTCTACCTTATCTTGAATCATTCCCAAGCTCCAAGGACTACCCACCTCCACATTTAAATACTTGTTTCCCCTGACTTCCTGATTGGCCTGCTTCTCCCAAACTTTCTACTTTCTCCTCCAAGTTATAATTCTTCTTTTTTTTTTTCTTTTTTAAGTTATTAGGTCACAATTCACTTTTTTTAATGGGCAAGTGTAAATGAGGAAAACTAGTAGATTTTTTTTTTCCATCCACAGCCAAGTACAGCTTCAAGACAGCTCAGTGCTGGTAGTGAAGGAGTGCCTGAGAGAATGGGAATGAACCTCATCCAATAAAACTGGGCTGTTGTTTTTGGATCACATGCTGTGAATTGATTTATTGTTTAAAGTGATGAAAAAGGTGTTCGGAGACTTGGAGGAGAGTTTTGCTCTGCGGTGATGCTCCCGCAGTCAGGAAACAGTCTTCTGAGCCATTCAGAGCTAGGAAATATGGGGTTATTTTGGTAGCTGTCAGCAGGAATTGGCTACAGTCTGTATGTTAAATAAATACAAACTGCCTATTTAATTATTTAACAATGAGAACAAACGTCCCACTGTTGGCAAGAGGAAAACAGTCAACACTCAAACTATGTAGAATCCCATCTCATTCCCATGATGTGATTTGACCCTGTTTGCACCCACAGGCTTGGCTGCAACCCTCCAGGGCATCTTATCACTGTTTTATTGGAGTTGGAACGCGGCTGGAATTGGAGTACAAATTTCCTTCAGCAAGGAAATGCTGGAGAAACAAGAGCAAGTTAACCTCCAAATGGGTTCCAAGGCAACCGCTGTGTTGAAATTTCACTTGGGTTCCCCTGGCTCTTTTTTACCTGCCTCTGCCAAATTGTTGATGCCCTCGCCTGTTGGAAATGGATGACTTTGAACAACGAGGGGCAAGGAGCCTCTCTTTTACTTCAGAACTACTACAGCAAGAATTCAAACTCTTTGTTTTTGAGAAAATAGCTCCTAATGCTGTGTTGATTTTACCGTGTGCTTCAGAAAAAGACCCTTAAGGCTAATTGATATGAACATATAGAGGCAGTCTGAGCTTACCAGAATTTATATTACCTGATGTGTTAAGAATCAGGAAGCTATTTATGCTAGCCTATAGCAGCAACCCTTTGTATTTAGTGTGTTTGTGTGTACACACATACCTGTGTAAATCAAAATGAAAGCTTGCTTTTGTGATCTAGCACAAGTTTTGCCATATCATATATACATTTTTAACTTTTGGAAGGTAGAAGACAATTGATAGGCATTTAACATGAAGAAAACATGCATTTATAGTCAATATTAATAGAATAGATGGTACTAATCTATAACAGTGAAAAATAAAGAAGGTAGAGGAAGGAGGACAAAGACAGAGAGGAGACAGGGGGGAAAGGAGAAGACAGAAAAAAGAAAACCTCAAAACAAGGACTGCTCTGAGAGCCACAACTGAGTTTTATGCTTCTTGCTGTCATCTTTCTCTAACCTTAAAGGGCAGAAAGCAATTGGGAGAACTAACCTGCACTTAGATTTCAGCTTCCATAGGATGTTACATTCTCAGGGTCTATTAAATCGATTGGACTTTGACCTTAGCTTCCACGAAGTCCTTACCTTTTGATTGGGGCTGAGAGGTCTGATTTAACCTCATGGAATTTGTATTTTTTGGAGGAACTCCTGCCTCGTCCGTACATGGTGAAACCCCCAACAGCAGCATTTTTAATTTCCAGATTCTCAGCAGACACAATGCACAGACTGTAGAAAACACCTGCTCATCCGGACCGCTCAGCTCACAGGCTCCTTCCTCAGGGGAGCATCTGATGCTCCAGGCAAGGCAGACCCTCTTCTTATACTCTTGTGACCTCTTAGACTTTTCTTTTGTAGCACTTACTCCAGACTCTAATCATATTTATGTTGTGATTGTTTATGCAATGGTTTTCTTCCTAACTAGGCTCTGAGTTCCATGAGAGTTGCAATGTCTGCATCCCTTACCCTTGTTGATATACTGCACTGTGCCCGGTACCTAAGTAATTGCTCAATAAATATTTGTTAAATGAATGATTATAATAGTATGCATATATGCATATATAGTATGATAATATATATAAATATGTGTAAAACAGTATATATACACATGCTATATTAATAGCACATCATGTAATATTGTATGTCTACACACACATACATTCAGTATTTACTCAGTTTTTCTGTATAAGTACCGCGCGCTAACCGATTGCGCCACTGGAGCTCTAGTATTTACTCAGTTTTTCTGAGGCTTATTTACTCATTGGTGAAGTGAAAGTGAATGTAAGGCTCTTTGCAAACCCCAAAGTGCTAGACCAGTAGGAAAGATCAGAATAGCCTTTCATATTAAACACTATGAAGCCAGGAGCTGTGGCTCCCAACTGCAATCCCAGCACTTTAGGAGGCTGAAGTGGAAGGATCACTTTAGCCCAAGAGTTTGAGACCAGCCAGGGCAACACAGGGAGATACCATCTCTACAAAAAAAAATTTTTTTAATTAGCCAGGCATGTGGTGCTTGCCTGTGGTCAAGTAGCCTCAGCTACTCTGGAGGCTGACGCATGAGGAACACTTGAGCCCAGGAGGTTGAGGCTGCAGTGAGCTGTGATTGTGCCACTGCACTCCAGTCTGGGTGACACAGTGAGACCTTGTCTTCAACGAACAAACAAACAAGCAAAAAACACTATGGTAGAGACCCCAGTAAATGCCTTCCATGCTTATAAAATACATTTAAGTATCTCTCAATCAAGTTTTCAGTATTCTCAAGTCAGTCTTTCATTCTAAATTTAGAGTCATTTCCAAATATAGTGCATTTCCTGTCCCATTCCTTCCCTGAAAGACAGCCGTGTCCAACTAGAAGTGGGCCTGACGCCTCTTATTAGCCCGGTTGCATTTCTGTCTCGCTCTTGGCTGCAGTGTGTGAGCTGATGGGCCCCACGTGACTGTGTTCACGTCCAAGCTTAGTAGAATGAATTTTTCCAGCATGATTTGCAAGTCACGCTATCACATGCCTCCTGAGTCCAGCTGTGCCGCAGCTGCCGCCTCCCCTGCATCCGCTCATCTTGCACTTGGATCAAAAGCACGAGCACATTTGCCTGAACCGATCTGGTCTCGGCCCAGCTGTTTGTTCCCCATTGTCATCAGGATGTTTACAGACCTGCTGTTCTTGCTGTACTTGTTTCATGATCACACTTGGGTCTGCAGAGCATTTTAACACATGGCTGTGGCCGAAGCTGGCAATTTGACTAGCTTTTCTTGGTCACTGAGACTTCTCTAAGGCATTTCCTTCAAACCTTCCTAACTATGTGTATGCTTGCACATTTCCACAGAGGCAACAAGAAAAGGAACCAGGGCTATAAATCCTGTTAAAGATGGGCCATGAGTGTCCTTCTGGCCTACTAATTTTATCACGATTAGTTTCTAACTGGACAAGAGAGCACTTCCAGTCTGAGACAAAGCCAGATTAAAGGAAGAAATCTATTCTTCTTACTCTAATTTGGTAAGTTGGGAAAATATAGTTTACCTTCTTAGGAAGTTGTCTTGACTGCTCCTAAAGTGTGCTGATACCTGTCACATGACAGCAGGTATTTTCTTGGCAAGAATTGTGCTGGAATAGCAGTTGGCAGTGATTGTGGTGAGGGCGTGGAAAGGTGTCTAGTGGGTCCAAGTGAGGTTCTAGGTCTAGCTGACCCCTAACTATGAGAAGAACATGAGTGAGTCATTCATTCTCTCTGGGATTCAATGTCCTCCCATTAATAACAGGCACCACTTATTATCATATTAAAACCTGTACTTAAAAATCTGTTTTCTAGACTCACCCCAAAGATCCTGATTCAGTAGGCTGAGGAGGTGCCTGAATGTCCCTATATTTTGATGTATCACAGTGCATGGTCAGCAATTCACTGTCTCCCCTGCAACTACAGTGAGCCATCTGACCTAGGATATTTTATACTTTTAATCAAATGCTCTTTCATGATAAATAACATGGCTCTGATTTCCCAATAGCTCAAGCGTTAAGAGAAAGACAGTTCTGCAATGCAAAGCATCCTAGGCTCATCTCTGTGGGCTGAGGCCACAGAGCTGCACTGTCTACTACAGTGGCCATGACCACATGTGGCAACTGAGTACTAGAAATATAGGTGTCTCGAACTGGGATGTGTTGTTAGTATAAAATATGCAACAGTTTCCAAAGGTTTAGTATGAAAAAAGGACTGTGAAAATACTTAATAATTTTTATGTTGATTACATGCTGAAATGATATTTTTAAATATATGACAGGTTAAATAATATATAGTACTGAAGTTAATTTGATTTGTTTTTTAATAGTTTTATTGAGATATAATTGATATATTAAAACTATGTACGTTTAATGCATATAATTTGAAGAGTTTGGACATATGCATACACCTATAAAACTATCACCACAATCAAGGTAATAGACATCTCCATCACCTTTAAAAGTTTCCCTGTGTCCTCCCTCCACTGTTTTTTTCCTTTTTCTTTGTTTTGTGTTGTTTGTTTTTGGCAAGAGTGCTTAACATGAGATCTAACCTCATAACAAATGTTTAAGGGCATAATACAGTACCATTCACTATGGGTGCTATGCTGTACAGCAGATCTCTAGAAGTTATTTCTCCTGCATAACCAAAACTTTATATCAACTGAACAAGTCCCAACCTACTCCCCCCAGCTCAGCTCCTGGTAGTCACTTCTATTTTCTGCTTGTGTGAGTCTGACTATTTTAGGTACCTCATAGAAGTGGAATCATGCAGTATTTGTCTTCTGTGACTGGCTCATTTCACTTAGCATAATGTCCTCCGGGTTCATCCATGTTGTCTCAAGTGACAGGATTTTCTTCTTTTTAAAGGCTGAATAATATTCCATTGTATATATATACCATATTTTTTTATCCATTCATCTGCCAGTGAACATTTTGGTTGCTTCCATGTCTTGGCTATTGCTAATACTGCTGCAATGGACATGGGAGTACAGATATCCCTGCAAGATTCTAATTTCAATTCTTTTGGGATATACCCAGTAGTGGAATTGCTGGAACATATGGTAGTTCTATTTTTTATTTTTTGAGGAAACTTTATACTGTTTTCTATATTGGCTGCACTGTTTTACATTCCCACTAACAGTATATAAAAATTCCAATTTCTCCACAGTCTCACCAACATTTTAATCTTTTTTGTCTGATTTATTTATTTATTTTTGAGACAAGGTCTTGCTCTGTCACCCAGGCTGGTGTGTAGTGGTGTGATCATAGTTCACTGCAGCCTCGAACTCCTGGACTCAAGCGATCCTCCCACCTCAGCCTTCCAAGTAGCTGAGATTTTACGGGCACACCACCATGCCCAGCTAATTTTTTAATTTTTTGAAGAGACGGGGTCTTACTGTTTCGCTCAGGCTGGTCTTGAGCTTCTGGCCTCAAGTGATCCTCCTGCCTTGGCCTCTCACAGTACTGGCATTACACATGTGAGCCACTACTCCCAGCCTTGTTTTGTTTTTGACAATAACCATATCAATGGGTGTGAGGTGATATCTCACTGTGGCTTTGATTCACATTTCCCTGATGATTAGTGATGTTGAGCATCTTTTCATACACCTGTTGGCCATTTGTAAGTCTTCTTTGGAGAAATTTCTATTCAAGTCCTTTGCCTGTTTGCCTGTTTTTAAATCAGATTATTTGGTTTTTTGCTACTAAGTCGTAGGAACTTATTTATTTTGGATGTTAATCCCTTATCAATATATATATAGAAAATACTTTCTCCCTTTCTGTAGGCTGCCTTTTCATTCTGTTAATTGTTTCCTTTGTTGTACAGAAGCTTTTTAGTTTCATGTAGTCACATTGTACAATTTTGCTTTTGTTGTTTGTACTTTGGTATCATATCTAAGAAATTATTAGCAAGCCCAGTGTACTAAAGCTTTTCCTCTCTCTAGGAGTTTTATGGTTTCAGGTCTTACGTTTGAGTCTTTAATCAATTTTGAATTAATTTTTATGCATACAGTAAGATAAAGATTTAATTTCATTATTTTGTATGTGGATATCCTGTTTTCCCAACAACATTTGTTGAAGATACTGTCCATTCCCTCTTATATATTCTTGACACCCTTGTCAAAGCTCAGTTGAATGTATACCTGTGAGTTTATTTCTGAGCTTTCTATTCTGTTCCATTGGTGTGTATGTCTGTCTTTATGCTAGTACCATGTTTTAACAACTGTAGCTTTGTAATATATTTTGAGGTCAGGAGGATCATTTGTTTCTTTTTACTTTTTTTCTTTAGTGTGGCTACTGGAAAACTGAAAACTACGTATATGTGGCTTGCATTATGTTTCTATTGGATAGTGCTGCTATGGAGCACAAGGCAATTTTTTAGAGACAATGACATCCTGAGGATAAACCATACTGTTACCATATCACAGTAGCCTTACAAAGTGACCCACAGTAACCCTGTTGGTCCTGATCAAACCCTAGCTCCCAGTTTCCATTTTGACTGATAAAATTTAGAAGTGGAAGCTTGAAAAGGGATTGGACAGAAAGTGGGAATGTACTGTTTACTAAGTCCGTGAGTGCTGCTCCTTAACTCATATAGCCTGCTTGGTTCCAGTTGTTACTGAAAAGCTTAGAAGCTTTATCCATTCCCATTATAGACCAGACTTCCCCATCCTCCCAGTACACTCTTCTCATTCTCCACTTCACCCCTTGGCAACCAAACATCAGACTATCTTCTTGATGCTTTGAAAACTATTAAATTAGAAAAAAATTCAATAATAGTACCCATTATAGGTAAAGATTTGGGGAAATTGGGACACTTGTATACTATTGGCGGTACCCAAAATTATAACTTCTTTGGAAAGCAATATCACATCATCTTTTAAGACCCATAAAAATATTCTTACACTTTGATTTTGTAAAGGGTAGGAATTTTTCTCAAGGAAACATTCAACAGAAGCAAGATAAATGGATAAGGATATTCAGTGTAGCATTATCTATACTACAAAATTAGAAGCCATTTAAACACCTAGTCATTAAGGAACAGTTAAGAAAATTATACTGCAACAATTCAATACAATTTTATATATTCATTCAAATTTATAATTGTGAAGAATATATAACAACATAGAAAAATGTTTACCAGATAATGTTAGATTTTATAAAGTAGAACACATAAATTGTATGTAGATTATGATTGCACTGTAACAATTATGCATGCATAAGGAAGAGGGCTTAGAATAAATGCACAAAAATGAAACCTCTGTGTTAGGATTATTAAAGAATAAATCAAAGCATTTTAGCTAGGAGACAATGGCCTCTCATGGGACCCAGAGATGGGCCCCCACAGTGTCCATAAAACAAGTGAAAACATACCATATTTTGTGTGGCTGTGCATATGTTTATTTTTTTGAGAAGTACGAGCACAGCTTTCATCAGATTCTCAGAGGAGTTCGATGATCACCTCCCTCCCAAGTTAAGAACCAGTGCTTAATGATGGTGCTATTACATTATTGTTTCAATAATTAAAAGGAAGTGAGTTGTCTCCTCTTTTGGCCTATACTCAAAGGTGAATTCACCAGTGGGCTTGAGGAAGAATGAGAGCCCTTAGGAAAGAATGAGTCTGGCCCTGGTAGCTTGTGGAAGAAACAGTAACCCCTTAGGGGCCCCCACACCTTCCCATTTAAATTTCTGCTCTCATCCTCACTCAGCCCCTTCTGTCTCAAGGCCAAATGCTGGTCAAAATGCTCTCCCTTTTGCCCTCCTCTCTCCTTCCCCTCCTTCTCTATTCCTCTCTAATGTTCCATATCAGACTAACTCTCCCCAACTTCCAGGCCTTTCTAGTCCTCTAATCTGAGACACACATCTATGCTGAAGGACCTGCCAATGCTAATGGATTACCCTACCAGGGACACTTGCCTTTCAACAGGCGTGTTGGGCAAACAATACCTTTACTCCATAGCAGGTTATGTAGATAGGTGTTCAAAAACCAGGATGGGGCCAGAGCCAGAATCTGTGTGGGAGGAACCACTGCGCTGCACCCCTCAGATCATATCAGGGCTGCCCACGTCACTACACATAGACGACCACTGGAAGGATTCTTTGCATTTGAGAAACATCCATTGGTGAGTCCTGGCATTTTTCTCCCCTCAGGGCCAGTTAAAGAAAACTCCAGTCAGGGTTGTTTTAAGGGACCTCCACAGAACAAAAACCTGGTCAAGGACTTTGCTTTCGGGCAAGCTTTAGGTGTTTCTCTCTTATTCATCTACCTTACCAGTGTGTGGATCTGTTCACTCTCCACCCCACCCCTCCTTCCTGAGGCCCCAGCTCGCCCTTGCTGGCTTGGAAATTGATGTTCTCTCTTCATGGGAAGATTTCTTTCTTCTGAGATTCTTTCTTCCAACACCCTATGCAGTCTCCAGGGTTTCCTTGAGCTGCAGGCTCGGCCTCATTCATCGGAGTGAGACTTCTTTAATGTTTTCTATTTAGATCCTTTGCCTGTAAAAGATTAGCTATTCTATAATGGACACCTACAAATGAGCTGAATAAAAAGAGAGAGAAATGAACATTTTTTAAAAAGTAGCCCAGCAGCTTCCCCTCTGAGAATTGCCACCAACTTTATCCCCTGTTCACTTATTAATGCCTCTCTTCCCGCACTTCTTTTTCCCCTGACATTTTGGTGAAAGCTTTTTTTTTTTCTACTCTAGTCTAACATTTATTCCTTCAACTTTTCTGTCAGACTTCTTTTTCCCTGGAAGCCTTTAAAGATATGACGATCATTATTTTTGTTTTTTCATGTAGATAAGCCCCTTTCTTTCTCATCACAAATTCAACAGAGGCCTAACTTTCAGGCGGAACGGCCCTCCAAATACACCCCAGACTGCTGTCTCTTGCTTATCCCTAAGCATCTCCTAGGGATGGCAAGGTGACATTATACTTTACTTCAGGATTCATTTCCATGCATCACTGTGGTGAGACTTAAAACATTCTTCTTCGTATCTGGCTTAAGAAATTGCAACCAAAGTTGATGTCTTTCATCAGATAGCAGTGGACATTTGGGGGAGTTTGTCACCATCACCTTGAGGTTCCTGGACTGTGTAAAGATCAGTCACTCTTACTTGTTAAGTAGAGAGATTTTAGGATCCATGAGAAACTGGGGGTTAGGTCAATCTGAGCTGTATATCCCTTGAAGAAGAAACAAAAGCTCAGTTTCCCCACCAGAAAAACAAACAAACAAAACAGAACACAATAAGGATCCCTGTTTCAATGATCTCTGCACACATATTGCACGTGGTATAGAGACCAATTACTGTTACCAAATGTCTCCTTTGTCTTCTGTGCTCTATAATAGAGTCTTGGATACTTAGCTGCATTCTTATTATCCTGGAATAAAGATTGTTTCCCAGTCTCCCTGGCACCTAAGTGTGACCATGGAGCTAAGTTCTGGTCAAAGAAATGCAAGTGGAATAGGTATATGGAATTTCCTGGAAGTTTCTTTAAAATAAAGGCTTGCACTTCTCTATTCTTTTGTCCTTCATCCTGGATAGAATTGGGACACAATGTTGGGAGCTCCTGCAGCCATTTTGGACAACTGAGGATGAAATCCACAAACGACAATTTAACAAATAGAAAGAGCTCAAGTCCCTAATATCATAGAGTACCATAACTTCCCTAGGTTGCCTCCAGCTGTTGGCTAGAAAGAGAGAAAGACCTTTTATCTTATTTAAGTATTATGTTTATTTCTGTTGCCTGCAGCCAAATATAACCTAAACAGGATCCACACTCAATAAGTACTTAATACATGATAGTTGTCACTTAAGCCATCACCTACAAATTTTGGAGAACCACTTCTCCCACCACGTTTCAACCCTCCCACAATATGGCAGAACTTTCAGATGCATCTTCTATAATTCTAACATATACTGAGTATTAATTATGTCCCAAGCAAAGTAACAAATGCTTTATGTGGAATATCTCATTTAAACTTTACCTCAACTCTATGAGGTAGGTACTATTTTTTAATCCTTAATTTACAGATGAATCTATTAGTTTGTTAGGGCTGCCATATCAAAATATTAAAGCTTGGGTGGCTTGAACAACAGACATTTATTTTCCCATCTTTCTGGAGGCTCAAAGTTCAAGATCAAGGTATCGACAAGTTCGGTTTCTTCTGAGTCCTCTCTCTTTGGTTTGCAGATGGCCACCTCTTACTGCTTCCTTGTGTGGTCTTTCTTCTATGCCTGCATATTCCTAGTGTCTCGTTTTGTGTCCAAATCCCTCTTCCTTTTAAGGACACCAGTCACATTGGATTAAGGCCCACCCTCATGGTCTTGTTTTGTTTCTGTTTTTGAGGTTGTCACCATTTATTGTTGGCGAGGACTTCACAGCCTCATTTTCACAGAATCACCTCTTTCAAGTCCTTATGTCCAAATACAGTCACCTTCTGAGGTACTGGGTTAGGACTTCCACATATGAATTTTGAAGAAACACAATTCACCCCGTAACAATGAAGAAACTGAATCAAAGAAAAATTAAATAATTCAATAACTTTGCCCAAACCACAGGTAGGAGGTGGTAGAGATGGGCTTCAAACCCAGGAAGTCTGGCCCCTGAGCCCATACAATCAAATGCTGCAGTAGACTGCCTTCCATTCCTTGTTATCATCTGTATGATATTTAGCTTGACAGTAAGCCTGGGTTCCCAGAACTGTTTGTACGCTTAATGGTCTAAGTTATGTTAGTCTATAAGCATAGATTTGAGCTTATAGACCCTTTCTATTCAGTGAAGTGTGCCTAGGTGATGGACTAGGGACCCAGCTCACCACACCACACTGCCTTATGACTCTGAGTGCTGCAGGAATTCTGAACAGGAGCTGTCAAAGAAGAGTAACAGGAAGGTCCAGAGTTAACTTAAAGAGAAACTGGCATTTATATTAGATTTAAAGTTTATATTATGGTATTAATATAAGGATTCCAGAAATATGTGAATTTCGAAGCTTGGAGGGGTATCTTTATGTAATTACCCTTATCTTTTGTCTTAATTCCTACTTGTCACCTGCTTTTTGTACTGGAGACCTTTGCCCTATGTCACCACAAGGGTCCTGGTTGCTTTGTTCCTCCAGCTCCAAGGGAAATGCATGCACTTGAACACTCCACCTTGTCTCTTCTGGCATCCTTTATACAATGTTACAGGAAGAGGCCTAACCATGTCTGCAGATGTCAAACAGACGCTACAGGATTCCTCTACACTGTCTGACCTGCACCGTCATATGGGGTAACCCTGGAAGCTTGCAGTGTTCCCAAACCCCAAGACTCGAATCTCTTTTTCAACTCCAGCATCATTGATGGGAGGCAGAGTGTCCCTGTGTCCCCAGCACCATGGACCCTGGGTGCTGCCCGATGCCATTGCTCCCTTTCCTGATCTTGTATTGTTCCCTACCAGACCCTTGGCTTCTAGTGCTCCATGGCCTGTGTCCATCATGGGGATCATTGCCCTGGCACTTCCTGGAGCACAAGTCTCTTTGGCATCCCTGTCACTTTCATCACCACAGCTTTCTCCTCTGCCACTTCCTGTTTGTCCTAGAAATGGAGAATAGTGGATCCTAAGTGCTTTACATATATTAACTCCATGAATCTTCACAACAACACTAAGTTACTTTCCACTTCTACAGAGGATGAAACTGAGATACAGAGAGGGTAAGAAATATGTCTGAGGCCACACAGTAGGTACATGGCCAAGCAAGGACTTAAATCTATGAAGCCTATCTTCAGAACTCAGCTCTCAACCATTACACACTGGTCTCCACTGATCACAAATCGAACTCTCTTTTTCCCCAGGGAGGGTGCAGATGCAGACCCACAAACACATATACATACACGCCAAGGACTGGCCTTGTTGGATGAGTCTAACAGGAACCCATGCACCTAATTCATCAAAAGAGCTATATACAAAGCTTATTGCCCATGTACCATTACTTTATATCCAACAATTTTCAAAGCAGGGGATGCTCTCAAGGTCCCAGAAGCATGCCGGGTACTTTCATGCCTATTATCTCATTTATCCTTACAATAGCATTCTGAAGTAGGTACTATTATCTCCATCTTACAGGTAAGAAAACTGAAGCTCAGAGGGGTTAAGCAACTCGCACTAGGTCACACAACTAATAAGGAGTGAAGCCAAGATTTGGACATAAACCTTTCTATTCAGTGAAGGGTGCCTAGGTGATGGACTAGGGACCCAGCTCACCACATCACACTGCCTTACAACTCTGAATGCTTCAGGAATTCTGAACAGGAGCTGTCAAAGAAGAATAACAGGAAGGTCCAGAGTTAACTTAAAGAGAAACTGGCATTTATATTAGATTTAAAGTTTGTATTACAGTATTAATATAAGGATTCCAGAAATATGTGAATTCCAAAATAAACTTGAGCTTATCTCTGGAGTCTCACCTACCTCTTCACCTCTCACTTGCCAAAACACATCCATTGAGGAAACTCAACCTGAAACATCTCTATAAAGTATTTGGGTTGGAAGTCAATTCCATAAAATCTGCACTTACTAAAACCTTTTCTCTGAAAATGTACTAATAATATATAGCTAGAACTTGCAGACAATGTCATCATTGTTATGGAGATTTGTAGCCAAAATATTCTATTTTGTAGAGGTTTTGTTATTGCCCAGTGATGACATTTTTTGGACAATTTTTAAGAGAGGCAGATGTTCATCTATTTGCTGGTTTTTCCTAGCTTACAAAGCCAACAATGATTTAGACCCAAATTGCTTTTGATCTTCCCAAGTACCTCATTTTTATTATTAAGGGACTTACAGTACAAACGATCTGTCATTTGAGCAGGAACACCCATATGTCAGATGTGGTCGGTTTGATTAGTGGTGCTAAACCCCTGCTAGCAGTTAAAAGAGGTGACTTGTAGAAGTCACAGTGTGGTTAAAGAATTCTGGGGGGGCTCTCTTTGAGAAAGCCCAATACACAAGAATTCTAACCAGCAAAGTAAGTGAATTGGGGGTGACTTCCTGCTGGGTTCCAGTGGTGATGTAAAAATACACAGAACTGGCATTTCATTGTGGATTCTAACCCAGATTCTGCTTCATATCAGCTGTGAGGCCTTGGACAAGCTACTTAGCCACTTTAAACCTCAGTCATAACCTCTGGGCACATTTAATATTTATGTTTTAAACTGTTATGGGGTAACAAATTTTGACATACCTAGTATGGTGTCTGGCACAAAATAGCTATTGAAAATATTTTTCAGTCTTTTAATCTGAAAGACTAAATCTTTCAGAGTCAATTCTGAATTTGCATTTTAAATAATTTTTCATCTAAAAGGGCAAAAGCTTAATTTACATGCATTTCTCTAAGAACATATCTGTTCATCAAAGTAAAAAGGGAAATCCTGAAAGTCTGTAACAGATGCCAGGAATATGTGAAATCCTATTCTCAATTTCCAGGCAGTTGCCTGCCTAACGACTTGGTGTTAGTTGGCCATGTTTGATACTCCCTACTAAAGACTTCAGGGGCGGTGGGATTTACTAACTATGAGGTGAGCAGACCACCCCCTCACTCCGTATCGCCAAGGAGAAAATGTAAATTGCCCATTGTCATTGCTTAGTTCAGTTCAGTTTAGTTCAATGATCTATGGGCAAGACAATGCCTGAGGTGAAAGATACAAACATGAAAGAGATATGATTCTTAGCTTTGAGGGGTTCGAGGGCTGGTGGGAAGACAGATGGACACACTGAGAATTTTGTGTGAGCTGGTCAACTCTGTGATTGGCATATGAGCATGGAGCATATGGGCTTGGAGAAGTCACAAACAGCTTTCTGGAGGAGGTGATGCCTGGGTTCAATCTGGAAGAAGCCATGCATGCATGCCTCCATCCTTCCATTTCTTTATTCAGCAAATATATTTCAAGTGCTAACTACATGTCAAACATTGTTTTAAGCATTGAGGTGAGAGTGGTGAACGAGACAGTCTCTCCTCTTGTGGAAATTACATCCTACTTAGGGGAGACAGAAAACAAAAAAGCAAATAAATATATAAACAGCTTTAGACAGCAATACAAATGCTAAGAAGAAAGTGAGGAGTGAGAAGTAATGGAGGATGTGGGACATGGAACTGGAGGAGGCTATTTTAAGTAAGACTCTCTGAGCAGATAACATTGAGTCAAGACCTGAATGATGGGATGGAGATAGCCATGAAAAGATCTAGTGTCAGAGCCTTCTAGGCAGAGGCAATGGTAAAAGCCCCATGGTAAGAACTACTTTGGTCTATTCACAAACAAAACAAAGTTTAAAACACCAGCTAGAAACCAGTGTAGCCAGAGAGCAATGAGAGAGGGAGGGAATGGCTTGAGGTGAGGGCGAAAAGGAAAGTCTCTTTGCCTTATGATCCATGGTAAACAGAGTCCCCTGTGCATGGGAAGCCACTGGAGGGTTTAAAGTGGGAGAGGGGCATGATCTGATTTTAGGCTTTAAAAGAAGTTTGCAGCAGGAGGTTGGCAGCGCAAGTCCAGAAGAAGGCAATTCCAGGCAGAGGTAGAGTGTGTCCCTTCCACATGCGTACTTCCTCTGGTCAGGGTTGTCTTCCTGCCGCCTCTCATGTCTCTCCTTCCTGTCACAGCATGCATGAGGGCATGGTCTGTGTACACAACCAGGGACCTAAGAGATGCCACTTTTGGGCAGTAATCTGTGGATAATCCCCCCTACTTCTAGCAATTCTGGCCCAATTGCTAGTCACCTCATGTAACACCAGTGAGGGCTCATATCCATTTAGTACTCATACATTCTTTTTGCAGCATTTCTTCATGATTATTTGATTTTACACAGGAAGGTAAAAACATCAGGCAATTTTTTAAATCATCATGTGACAGATAAAGAAGTTGATGCACAGAGAGGTGAATCAGTATGCTCAAGGTCACACAGCTAGTTGGTGACAGTTAGGACTAGAATCCTAGTCCCCTGATTCACAGCCTGTATTTGTCTACAGTGGTTCACAGTGGAAATGCTATTGATATTTGGTGGAGTGGCTGGTGGCGGTGAGCAGTTCTCCATTGTATTAGACTGTTCTAGACATTGTAGAACATTTTGAATCCTTGGTCCTTGCCAGTAACCTCCAAGCAAGAAGCCTTGTGGCAACAAATAAGGCCCCCATACATTTCCATACATCTCCTAGGGAAGGCTGGTGCTACTGTGGTGGGAAACAGTGGAGTCCAATCCTCTCTTGTTATAGATAAAAAGGCTGAGTCACCAGCAGCAGCAGAGACTTAGCAGGTACTTTCATATTTTTAACAAATAGTTTCTGATTGCCTAGTATGTAAGTATTCTGTGTTATATGCTGTGTATTCAGTGTTGAAGAAGGACGTAGTGCTTGTCCTCAGGGAGTTTACAGCATGGAGAGGGTGAGGGTGAAGCACAGGATGCTAATGAACAATTACAAGGCAATGAGTGGTCAGTGTCATGGTGGGTTCATACAGGTAGCATAAGGACATAAAGAAGGGCACCTAGTCCCAGTTTGGAGGCACAGGGAAGGAGGAATTTTCCAACATCCATAGCTTTCCATGGAATCTAATAAGCTTGCATTAATGAAGATGTTTAAATATGATCTGGATTATCGGATGGCTGGGAAAATGTTCAAAAGTACCTAAGGGAGGTCAAACTCACTGATGATTAGTGTCCTTTCCAGCTCTGCAGCCTGGAATTTCTGTTGTATTCAAGAAGACCATAAACAGAATGTACTTCCATTTGATTCCTATAATTTATGTGGCAATGAGGTGATCCCATGTTAAACTGGTTGTTAGGGCCCGAATGTTTGTGTCCCTCCAAAGTCATATGTTGAAACCTAATCATCAATGTGATAGAATTAATAGATAGGGCCTTTGAGGGGCTTTGCCCTTACCAGTGGGACAAGTGACCTTATAAAAGAAGCCACAGAGAGAAGCCTCACTCCTTTCACCATGTGAAAACACAGCTAGATGTCATCTGTGAACCAGAAAGAGGGTCCCCACCAGACAACAACCAGACACCAAATCTGTCTGTACCCTGATCTTGGACTTTCCTCCCTCTAGAATGGTGAGAAATAAATTTTTATTGTTTATAAGCCACCTTCTTTATGGTATTTTGTTATGGCAGTCCCAATAGGCTAAGCCACTGGGTTATAAAGAGAATAAAATACTAAGAATAATCTGCTTTCCCTCAAAGTGATTTCTTTTTTTTTATTATTATTATACTTTAAGTTCTAGGGTACATGTGCACAATATGCAGGTTTGTTACATAGGTATACATGTGCCATGTTGGTTTGCTGCACCCATTAACTCGTCATTTACATTAGATATCTTTCCTAATGCTATCCCTCCCCAATCCCCCCACCCCACGACAGGCCCCCATGTGTGATGTTCCCTGCCCTGTGTCCAGGTGTTCTCATTGTTCAATTCCCACCTATGAGTCAGAACATGTGGTGTTTGGTTTTCTGTCCTTGCGATAGTTTGCTCAGAATAATGGTTTACAGCTTCATCCATGTCCCTGAAAAGGACATGAACTCATCCTTTTTTATGGCTGCATAGTATTCCATGTTGTATATGTGCTACATTTTCTTAATCCAGTCTATCATTGATGGATATTTGAGTTGGTTCCAAGTCTTTGCTGTTGTGAATAGTGCTGCAATAAGCATACGTGTGCATGTGTCCTTATAGTAGCATGATTTATAATCTTTTGGGTATATACCCAGTATTGGGATCACTGGGTCAAATGGTATTTCTGTTCTAGATCCTTGAGGAATCACCACACTGTCTTCCACAATGGCTGAACTAGTTTACACTCCCACCAACAGTGTAAAAGTGTTCCTATTTCTCCACATCCTCTCCAGCACCTGTTGTTTTCTGACTTTTTAATGATCGCCATTCTAACTGGTGTGAGATGGTATCTCATTGTGGTTTTGATTTGCATTTCTCTGATGACCAGTGATGATGAGCATTTTTTCATGTGTCTGTTGGCTACATAAATGTCCTCTTTTGAGAAGTGTCCCTTCACATCCTTTGCCCACTTTTTGATGGGGTTGTTTGATTTTTTTCTTGTAAATTTGTTTAAGTTCTTTGTAGATTCTGAATATTAGCCCTTTGTCAGATGGGTAGATTGCAAAAATCTTCTCCCATTCTATAGGTTGCCTGTTCACTCTGATGGTAGTTTCTTTTGCTGTTCAGAAGCTCTTTAGTATAATTAGATCCCATTTGTCTATTTGGGCTTTTGTTGCCATTGCTTTTGGTGTTTTAGTCATGAAGTCCTTGCCCATGCCTATGTCCTGAATGGTAATGCCCAGGTTTCCTTCTAGGGCTTTCATGGTTTTAGGTATAGCATTTAAGTCTTTAATCCATCTTGAATTAATTTTTGTATAAGGTGTAAGGAAGGGACCCAGTTTCAGCTTTCTATATATGGCTAGCCAGTTATCCCAGTTATCCCTATTTATTAAATAGGGAATCCTTTCCCCATTGCTTGTCTTTGTCAGGTTTGTCAAAGATCAGATGGTTATAGATGTGTGATGTTACTTCTGAGGCCTCTGTTCTCTTCCATCAGTCTATATCTCTGTTTTGGTACCACTACCATTCCTCAGCAAATGTAAAAGAACAGAAATCACAACAAACTGCCTCTCAGACCACAGTGCAATCAAATTAGAACTCAGGACTAAGAAACTCATTCAAAACCTCACAACTACATGGCAACTGAACAACCTGCTCCTAAATGACTACAGGGTAAATAACGAAATGAAGGCAGAAATAAAGATATTCTTTGAAACCAATGAGAACAAAGGCACAATGTACCAGAATTTCTGAGACACATTTAAAGCAGTGTGTAGAGGGAAATTTATAGCACTAAATGCTCACAGAGAAAGTAGGAAAGATCTAAAATCGACATCCTAATATCACAATTAAAAGAACTAGAGAAACAAGAGCAAACAAATTCAAAAGCAAGCAGAAGGCAGGAAACAACTAAGAGCAGAACTGAAGGAGACAGAGACAAAAAAAACCTTCAAAAAATCATTGAATCCAGGAGCTGGATTTTTGAAAAGATTAACAAAATTGATAGACCACTAGCAAGACTAATAAAGAAGAAAAGAGAGAAGAACGAAATAGATGCAATAAAACATGATAAAGGGAATATCACCACTGATCCCCCAGAAATACAAACTACCATCAGAGAATACTATAAACACCTCTATGCAAATAAACTAGAAAATCTAGAAGAAATGGATAAATTCTGGACACATACACCCTCCCAAGACTAATCCAGGAAGAAGTTGAATCCCTGAATAGACCAATAACAGGCTCTGAAATTGAGGCAATAATTAATAGCCTACCAATGAAAAAAAGTCCAGGACCAGATGGATTCACAGCCGAATTCTACCAGAGGTACAAAGAGGAGCTGGTACCATTCCTTCTGAAACTATTCCAATCAATAGAAAAAAAGAGAATCTTCCCTAACTCATTTTATGAGGTATCATCCTGATACCAAAGCCTGGCAGAGACACAACAAAAAAGAATTTTAGACCAATATCCCTGATGAACATTGATGCAAAAATCCTCAATAAAATACTGGCGAACCAAATCCATCAGCACATCAAAAAGTTTATCCACCAGGATCAAGTCAGCTTCATCCTTGGGATGCAAGGCTGGTTCAACATATGCAAATCAATAAATGTAATCCATCACATAAACAGAACCAAAGACAAAAACCACATGATTATCTCAATAGATACAGAAAAGGCCTTTGACAAAATTCAACAGCCCTTCATGCTAAAAACTCTCAATAAACTAGGTCTTGATGGAACGTGTCTTAAAATAATAAGAGCTATTTAAGACAAACCCACAGCCAATATCATACTGAATGGGCAAAAACTGGAAGCATTCCCTTTGAAAACTGGCACAAGACAGGGATGCCCTCTCTCACCTCTCCTATTCAACATAGTGTTGGAAGTTCTGGCCAGGGCAGTTAGGCAAGAGAAAGAAATAAATGGTATTCAATTAGGAAGAGAGAAAGTCAAATTATCCCTGTTCGCAGATGACATGATTGCATCTTTAGAAAACCCCATTGTCTCAGCCCAAAATCTCCTTAAGCTGATAAGCAACTTCAGCAAAATCTCAGGATACAAAATCAATGTGCAAAAATCACAAGCATTCCTATACACCAACAACAGACAAACAGAGAGTCAAATCATGAGTGAACTCCCATTCACAATTGCTACAAAGAGAATAAAATACCTAGGAATCCAACTTACAAGGGATGTGAGGGACCTCTTCAAGGAGAACTACAAACCACTGCTCAACAAAATAAAAGAAGATACAAACAAATGGAAGAACATTCCATGCTCATGGATAGGAAGAACCAATATCGTGAAAATGGCCATACTGCCCAAGGTGATTTATAGATTCAATACCATCCCCATCAAGCTACCATTGACTTTCTTCATAGAATTGGAAAAAAACTACCTTAAAGTCCATATGGAACCAAAAAAGAGCCCGCATTGCCAAGACAATCTTAAGCAAAAAGAACAAACCTGGAGGCATCGTGCTACCTGACTTCAAACTATACTACAAGGCTACAGTAATCAAAGTGCTTTCTACCAAGTATTGACCCACTAAACCTGACCTTTATTCCATCTGTCCACTCATACAGAGGGTTCTGTTAGGACTAAGCAAGCCCCAGCTCTGGGTGATGCGGGTGGGCTTTGGGGAGGACAGGGCAGGGCAGGACAGGTCCTCTATGGAGGAATTTCTAATTGGGCACTAAGAATTTTTTCTTCCTAGGTAGCCAGAAGAGCTGAGGAGAGCCCCTTAGCTCCAATTTATGCTGCCTTCTGCTGATCCAGGGAGACTGGCAGTTTAAATATTAGCTGGGGACAGTTCACTAACACCTCTGTGACAGGGAAGAGAGTCTCAAGGGACAAGGGTGCCCAAGAACCACAAACCTCATTCTGCCTTCCAGGAAGTGAAGTGTCAGCTTTCAGCAAACGTTCCCTCTGCACAAGGACAGAAAATGCCATCTAGAGAGCTGCTCTAACTGGGTTAAAAGTCATGTTTGTGTCACTTGTGTCAAAAGGACATGGCTTAGAAAAAGGACTCAACCACTAGACAGGGAGATGATTGTGGATTGCTGATGGCTTAGATTTAATCTTCAAAGGATAAAGCTGTCAGTGTTAGCTTTTCTTGTTGCTTCTGTATTTCAGATTGGAAAATTTTTACTCAAACCAGATATATGTCAGCTATCTATGGGATAATTTAAAGAGAAAAACAATGGCTATTAGATTTTTTTTTTCAATTCTCTCTTCTCTGTCCATCATTCATGTTCTATTTACCATCTAAATGCTTCCTCTAATTTCAAACATTCACTCCAGTTTGGCTTTAACAAATCCTTTCATGAGGGCTCAACTTTATCTTACCATCAACTTGGTTTTGATGGAGGAGAGGCATTGAGATAAATGGGCTATGCTCTTTAAGAATCTAGATTAATTCACTTTCTGTGTTCAATGTTCAGTTTAGGATTCCAAAGATATCTTGTTGTGGTTAATCAAACTCTCCACTGACCTCTGGCTCAGAATCATCAACACATTTAGGAAAAATTCTTGTTTTTGGGAACTCCTCAATTTTCAGGAGTGTGTATTTTAAGCTCCATCTTCCTTCTTTCTCATCCTCACTTCCTGTTCTGCATGGCTTGGGCTTCTGTTTTTATCTCCTTTCTTAAGTTTTCTCCCTTTTTCTTCATTGTTTCCTTCTTTGTTTTCCCCAATTTCACTCAAACCCCACCTTCTTTTGACTCAAGAATTTCTCTCCAGCAGGATGCTCTCCTTAGGATATAGCTTAAGATTCCAAGGCTCTCCACATATTCAAACCAAAAGTTATTCTAGGGTCTTTTCCCTAAATAATATTAAGTAATTATTTAACCTTTGTTAGAAATACATGGTCCCTTATAGAAAATGTAACATGCAACCCAAAAGGTAAAAACTACCTATGATCCTCCTACCTCAAAATGAACACTTGACATTTTGGTGTATTTTCTTTCAAATATGTAGATGTATATATTCTAAGCAAAACACTTTTTTCCTTAATTAAAAAATCATAAAAGAACATTCCAAATTCCCAGAAATGCAGAGGTATGATGAGTCACTCCATGGAGATCTGGGCCAAAGGCAGCTGGCAGAACTCACTCCAGATCCTCAACAAACAGAGCTTGTGGTTGTCATTCAGCATTCACGGAGAGTTTTGCTTGATTTTTCACACCCCTCAACTGTGCATCAGCATCACCTGGGATGACAGAAAAAAATACAGATGTCTGGTTCCCACCTGCAGAAGTTTTGTCTCAGTTAGTCCAGGATGAAGCCGTAGCACCAACACTTTTGTTTTCCAATACCCCTACATAATTCTGAATTATAGCTGGAGTAGACAATGGGTACCAAGAGTCTGTGTTGGGCTCTTGCACCATGGTGAACCATACCTGAAGATGCCATATAAGTTGGAGGCTTTGGGAGCTTATGAGTTGCCTCTCTGCTTGATGTGGAAAGGTATTGTGGTGGTGAGGCGGGCATGAAAACTTAGCTTTCTAATGGCCAATTGGCTGGAAGACTCTGAATTGTTTTATGTTGTCATTTCATTCCTCCTCACCCTTGTAGGGTCCAAGGGAAAGCCTCTTCCTTGACTATGGAAGGTTTGCTGAACAATCAACTCGCAAAAGGCAGGTTAATTGGAGAAAGGGCATACAAATTTAGAATGAATGAATACAGAATGAAGATCCAATGGTAAAGGAGAAACTGTTCATTTTTATGCTTAGGTTCAACAAAGTATGGACAGCTATGTAGAGATATATTTGGACAAAAAGGTTATGATCTGATGCTAGAGGACTGATTGGGGAAGCCCAGTGAGGCCTGTCAGTCTAGATTCCTCTTGGCTTCTGTGTGTCATTCCTTCCTCCTGGGTATGAAGGGGTATGAAACAGGGCCTTCCCTGGAATTAGGGTCCCATGACCTAGAGTCAAACAAGATGGGTCACGTCATTTCTCTATGGCCAGTTTTTATACAGAAAGGCAGAATGAAAGTTAGAGTAAGATTTTTATGTTTAATGGCTGGCTTTGGGGACAAGGGGTTCTAGTTTCTATGACCTGCTCTAGGGACGAGGGATTCTAGTTTCTTTGGCTAGCCTTGGGGGAGAATGACACTAACAGACAAGAGGGCTGGAGAAGGTCAGAGAAAAATTTTTGCTTCTGAGGCCTTCATTTTGGCCTCAGAACCCCAGGGTGTTTTCTGAACCCCAACACCCTCTTCATTTTCCATTTTCCAGCATATTCCAGGTACATGAACTGAACTCCCTTCATGGCCTCCCTGTCCCTTCCCAACAGGTCCCGCTTCTTCCTTTACTCAAGTTCTCCTCACTCCCATGGGCAATGACTGGAGGATTGCAGATTGTTGGCTAATGCTTACAGTCTTTTGTCTTCCTGAGAAACTACTGGCTATATAGCGATAAAGAAATGTATACATAACAAGATAAAGATAGTGAAATCTTGATTAATCAGAAGCTTCAATTTTCAGAAAAATATTAGCTCTATTCAATTTTTAGGAGGGAGCAGTAATCATAGGAAAATAATTTGAGGGTCAAAGATTTCATTGACAACAAAACCAAGCAGTCAACAGATTCCTGGGGTTTCTAAACCTAGGATCCATGGATAGATTATAGGGATATTATGAACCCTGGAAATTGAAGGCAAAATGGTGTGTTTGTGTGTGTGTGTGTGTGTGTGTGTGTGTGTGTGTGCGCATGCATGTGCACATGTATTTTTCTGTGAAAAGGGTCAGGATTTTTTCCAAAGGGGTCCTAATTCAATACAGTTTAAGAATCACTATTTGAAGGTGTATTTTGCTGTGTGGTTTCTATACTCCAGCATTACTTCTTATCCTTCCATCTTCCTTGCCTCTCACATCAATCTAATTTGTGTCTTGTCTCCATTCACCCCCCAAACCCACTTCCCTAGGCCAGGCCCTTTCCACCTTTCACTTTGAAACTGAAGATGTCTCTCGACACAAACAAATGAAAAACACATCCCATGCTTATGGATGAGTAGAATCAATATTGTGAAAATGACCATACTGCCAAAAGCAGTCTACAAATTCTATTCAATTCCCATCAAAATACCACCATCTTTCTTCACAGAATGAGAGAAAAAACTCCAAAATTTACAAGGAACCAAAAAAGAGCCCACATAGCTAAACCAAGACTAAGCAAAAAGAACAAATCTGGAGGCATCACATTACCTGATTTCAAAGTATACTATAAGGCCATAGTCACCAAAACAACATGGTACTGGCATAAAAATGGCAGATACCCCAATGGAACAGAATAGAGAATCCAGAAATAAACCCAAATACATACAGCCAACTGATCTTCAACAAAGCAAACAAAAACATAAAGTGGGAAAAGGGCACCCTATTCAACAAATGGTGCTGGGATAATTGGCAAGCCATATGCAGGAGAATGAAACTGGATCCTCATCTCTCACTTTATGCCAAAATCAAATCAAGATGGATCAAATAGTTCAATCTAAGACCTGAAACTATAAAAATACTAGAAGGTAACATCGGAAAAACCCTTCTAGACATTGGCTTAGGCAAAGATTTCATGGCCAAGCTCCCAAAAGCAAATGCAACAAAAACAAAGACAAATAGGTGGGACTAAATTAAACTAAAGAGCTTTGCACAGCAAAAGGAACTCAGCAGAGTCAACAGACAACCCACAGAGTGGAAGAAAATCTTCATAATCTATACATCTGACAAAGTACTAATATCCAGAGTCTTTAAGGAACTTAAACAAATTAGCAAGAAAAAAACAATCCCATCAAAAAGTGGGCTAAGGACATGAATAGACAATTCTCAAAAGAAGATATACAAGTGGCCAACAAATGTATGAAAAAATGCTCAACATCACTAATGATCAGGGAAATGCAAATCAAAACCGTGATGTGATACCACCTTACTCCCACAAAAATGGCCAGAATCAAAAGATAGAATAATAATAGATGTTGGTGTGGATGCAGTGAACACAGAACACTCCTACATTGCTGGTGGGAATGTAAACTAGTAAAACCACTATGGAAAACAGTGTGGAGATTCCTTAACTAAAAGTAAAACTAACATTTGATTCAACAATTCCACCACTGGGTACCTACCCAGAGGGAATGATGTCGTTATATGAAAAAGGTACTTGGACATATATTTATAGCAGCACAATTTGCAATTGCAAAAATATGGAACCAGCCCAAATTCCCATCAGTCAATAAGTGGGTAAAGAAACTGTAGTATATATATATATATATATATATATATATATATATGTATGATGGAATACTATTCAGCCATAAAAAGGAATGAATTAATGGCATTCACAACAACCTGGATGGGATTGGAGACTATTATGCTAAGTGAAGTAACTCACGAATGGAAAACCAAGCATTGTATGTTCTCATTTATAGATGGGAGCTAAGCTATGAGGATGTAAAGGCATAAGAATGATACAATGGACTTTGGGGACTCAGGGGGAATGGCTGGGAAAGGGGTGAGGGATAAAAGGCTACAAATTTGGTTCAGTGTATACTGCTCAGGTGATGGGTGCACTGAAATCTCAGAAAGCACCACTAAAGAACTAACTCATGTAACCAAATACCACCTGTTCCCCCAAAACCTACGATTGGACAAAAAGAACATTAAAAAAGAAAGAAAGAGAAAAAGAAAGAAGGAAGGAAGGAAAGAAGGAAAGAAAGAAAAAGAAAGAAAGAAAGAAGAAAGACAGAAAGAAAGAGGGAAAGAAAGAAAGGGGGAGGGAGAGAGGAAAAAGGGAAGGAAGGGAAAGGGAAGGAAAGAAAGAAAGAAGAAGGAAAGAAAGAAGGAAGGAAGGAAAGAAGGAAAGAAAGAAAAAGAAAGAAAGAAGAAAGACAGAAAGAAAGAGGGAAAGAAAGGGGGAGGGAGGGAGGGAAAAGGGAAGGAAGGGAAAGGGAAGGAAAGAAAGAAAGAAGAAGGAAAGAAAGAAAGAAAAAAGAAAGAGAAAGAAAGGAAGGAAGGAAGGGAGAAGGAGAGAGGGAGGGAGGGGAAAAAGGAAGGAAGAAAGGAAGGAAAGGGAAGAGAAAGAAAGAAAGAAGAAAGAAAGAGAAAGAAAAAAAGTTGCAGAAGTCTCTGATCTAGATTACTCTCCCTGCTTTCTGCCTTCCTTTCTTTGCTCCTTCCTTTACCAAACATCTCTCCCCCATCTAATTCATTTCATGGCTACAAGATACTCTTTTAAACCCAGATCTGATCAAAGCCATGCTCCAACTTAAAATGTGTCCTCAAAGTGCCTACAGGAAAGCAATTATGCCTATTGTCAGGTAACTTAAGTCCTTTTACACTCTGGTCCCAGCTAGCTTTCTACCACTCTACATCCCCACCTCTGCACCTTGACATCTTCTATGCCCTCCACCTGAAATGATCTTTCCTTTCCTTCTCTTATTATACTCTAAACATTAATTGGCATCTCTACTATTGACCCTGCCATAATTCCACCAGTTCCCACCCTGAACTCCCAAGAATTTTGCCTGTGCTGGAATACTCCAAATATACTGTGGGTTTGGTTCCAGACCACCACAATAAAGTGAATATTGCAATAAAATGAGACACACTTCTTTTTTTTGTTTCTCAATATATATAAAAGTTATGGAGATTCCATTCCAAGATGGCCAAATAGGAACAGCTCTGGTCCACAGCTCCCAGCATGATCAATGCAGAAGATGGTGATTTCTGCATTTCCAACTGAGGTAACTGGTTCATCTCATTGGGCCTGGTTGGACAGTGGGTGCAGCCCACGGAGGGTGAATTGAAGCAGGGTGGGGAATCGCCTCACCCAGGAAGTACAAGGGGTTGGGGGATTTCCCTTTCCTAGCCAAGAAAAGCCATGACAGACTGTACCTGGAAAATTGGGACACTCCTGTCCAAATACTGAGCTTTTCCAATGGTCTTAGCAAATGGCACACCAGGAGATTATATCCTGCGCCTGGCTCAGTGGGTCCCACACCCATGGAGCCTTTCTCACTGCTAGTGCAGCAGTCTGAGATCAACCTGCAAGGCAACAGCCTGGCAGGGGGAGGGGCGTCTACCATTGCTGAGGCTTGAGTAGGTAAACAAAGTGGCCAGGGAAGCTCGAACTGGATGGAGCCCACACAGCTCTGCAAGGCCTGCTGCCTCTGTAGACCCCACCTGTGGGGGCAGGGCATAGATGAACAAAAAGGCAGCAGAAACCTCTGCAGACTTAAATGTCCCTGTCTGACAGCTCTGAAGAGAGCAGTGGTTCTCCGAGCATGGTGTTTGAGCTCTGAGAATGGACAGACTGCCTCCTCAAATGGATTTCTGACCCCTATGTAGCCTAACTGGGAGACATCTCCCAGTAGGGGCTGACTTACACCTCATACAGGCGGGTGCCCCTCTGGGACGAAGCTTCCAGAGGAAGGAACAGGCAGCAATATTTGCTGTTCTGCAATATTTGCTGTCCTGCAGCCTCTGCTGGTGATACCCAGGCAAACAGGGTCTGGAGTGGACCTCCAGCAAATTCCAACAGACCTGCAGTTGAGGGACCTCACTCTTAGAAGGAAAACTAACAAACAGAAAGGAATAGCATCAACATCAACAAAAAGGACATCCACACCAAAACCCCAGCTGTAGGTCATCAGCATCAAAGACCAAAGTTAGATAAAACCACAAAGATGGGGAGAAACCAGAGCACAAAAGCTGAAAATTCTAAAAACCGAGGACTTCTTCTCCTCCAAAGGATTGCAGCTCCTCACCAGCAATGAAACAAAGCTGGACAGAGAATGACTTTGATGAGTTGACAGAAGTAGGCTTCAGAGGGTCAGTAATAACAAACTGCTCCTAGCTAAAGGAGGATGTTCGAACCCATCGCAAGGAAGCTAAAAACCTTGAAAAAAGATAGGACAAATGGCTAACTAGAATAAACAGTGTAGAGAAGACCTTAAATGACCTGAGGGAGCTGAAAAACATGACATGAGAACTACGTGATGCATGCACAAGCTTCAATAGCTAATTCAAACAAGTGGAAGAAAGGGCACCAGTGATTGAAGATCAAATTAATGAAATAAAGTGAGAAGAGAAGTTTAGAGAAAAAAGAGTAAAAAGAAACAAACAAAGCCTCCAAGAAATATGGGACTATGTGAAAAGACCGAATATACGTTTGATTGGTGTACCTGAAAGTGACAGGGAGAATGGAACCAAGTTGGAAAACACTCTTCAGGATATTATCCAGGAGAACTTCCCCAACCTAGCAAGGCAGGCCAACATTCAAATTCAGGAAGTACAGAGAACACCACAAAGATACTCCTTTGTGTGTATCTATGAAGGGCAACCCCAAGACACATAATTGTCAGATTCACCAAGGTTGAAATGCAGGGGAAAATGTTAAGGGCAGCCAGAGAGAAAGGTCGGGTTACCCAGAAAGGAAAGCCCATCAGACTAACAGCAGATCTCTTGGCAGCAACTCTACAAGCCAGATGAGAGTGGGGGCCAACATTCAACATTCTTAAAGAAAAGAATTTTCAACCCAGAATTTCATATCCAGCCAAACAAAGCTTCATAAGTGAAGGAGAAATAAAATCCTTTACAGACAAGCAAAGGCTGAGACATTTTGTCACCACCAGGCCTGCCTTACAAGAACTCCCTAAGGAAGAAGTAAACATGGAAAGGAACAACCAGTACCAGCCACTGCAAAAACATGCCAAATTGTAAAGACCATCGATGGCTAAGAAGAAACTGCATCAACTAATGGGCAAAATAACCAACTAACATCATAATGACAGGATCACATTCACACATATCAGTATTAACCTTAAATGTAAATGGGCTAAATGCCCCAATTAAAAGACACAGACTGGCAAATTTGATAAAGAGACAAGATCCATCAGTGTGCTATATTCAGGAGACCCATCTCACGTGCAGAGACACACACAGGCTCAAAATAAAAGGATGGAGGAAGATCTACCAAGCAAATGGAAAGCAAAAAAAACAGGGGTTGCAATCCTAGTCTCTGATAAAACAGACTTTAAACCAACAAAGATCAAAAAGACAAAGAAGGCCATTACATAATGGTACAGGGATCAATGCAACAAGAAGAGCTAACTATCCTAAATATATATGCACCCAATACAGGACCACCCAGATTCATAAAGGAAGTCCTTAGGACCTACAAAAAGACTTAGACTCCAACACAGTAATAATGGGAGCCTTTAACACCCCACTGTCAATATTAGACAGACCAACGAGACAGAAGGTTAATAAGGATATCCAGGACTTGAACTCAGCTCTGCACCAAGCAGACCTAATAGACATCTACAGAACTCTCCATCCCAAATCAACAGAATATACATTCTTCCCAGCACCACATCACACTTATTCCAAAATTGACCACATAGTTGGAAGTAAAGCACTCCTCAGCAAATATAAAATAACAGAAATCACAACAAACTGTCTCTCAGACCACAGTGCAATCAAATTATAATTCAGGACTAAGAAATTCACTGAAAACCGCACAACTACATGGAAACTGAACAACCTGCTCCTGAATGATTACTGGATAAATAACGAAATGAAGGCAAAAATAAAGATGTTCTTTGAAACCAATGAGAACAAAGACACAACATACGAGAATCTCTGGGACACATTTAAAGCAGTGTGTAGAAGGAAATTTATAGCACTAAATGCCCACAGGAGAAAGCAGGAAAGATCTAAAATCGACATCCTAACATCACAGTTAAAAGAACTAGAGAAACAAGAGCAAACAAATTCAAAAGCTAGCAGAAGGCAAGAAACAACTAAGATCAGAGAAGAACTGAAGGAGATAGAGACATTAAAAAAACCTTCAAAAAATCAATGAATCCAGGAGCTGGTTTTTTGAAAGGATTAACAAAATTGATAGACCACTAGCAAGACTAATAGAGAAGAAAAGAGAGAAGAATGAAATAGATGCAATAAAAAATGATAAAGGGGATATCTTTGCCAATCCCACAGAAATACAAACTACCATCAGAGAATACTATAAACACCTCTATGCAAATAAACTAGAAAATCTAGAAGAAATGGATAAATTCTGGACACATACACCCTCCCAAGACTAACCCAGGAAGAAGTTGAATCCCTGAATAGACCAATAACAGGCTCTGAAATTGAGGCAATAATTAATAGCCCACCAATGAAAATAGTCCAGGACCAGACAGATTCATAGCTGAATTCTACCAGAGGTACAAGAAGGAGCTGGTACGACTCCTTCTGAAACTATTTCAATTAATAGAAAAAGAGGGAATCCTCCCTAACTCATTTTATGAGGCCAGCCTCATCCTGATACCAAAGCCTGGCAGAGACACAACAAAAAAAGAGAATTTTAGACCAACATCCCTGATGAACATCGATGCAAAAATCCTCAATAAAATACTGGCAAACCAAATCCAGCAGCACATCAAAAAGTTTATCCACCAGGATCAAGTCAGCTTCATCCTTGGGATGCAAGGGTGGTTCAACATACACAAATCAATAAACGTAATCCATCACATAAACAGAACCAAAGACAAAAACCACATGATTATCTCAATAGATACAGAAAAGGCCTTTGACAAAATTCAACAGCCCTTCATGCTAAAAACTCTCAATAAACTAGGTGTTGATGGAATGTATCTCAAAATAATAAGAGCTATTTAAGACAAACCCACAGCCAATATCATACTGAATGGGCAAAAACTGGAAGCATTCCCTTTGAAAACTGGCACAAGACAGGGATGCCCTCTCTCACCTCTCCTATTCAACATAGTATTGCAAGGTCTGGCCAGGGCAGTTAGGCAAGAGAAAGAAATAAATGGCATTCAATTAGGAAAAGAGGAAGTCAAATTGTCCCTGTTTGCAGATGACATGATTGTATATTCAGAAAACCCTATTGTCTCAGCCCAAAATCTCCTTAAGCTGATAAGCAACTTCAGCAAAGTCTCAGGATACAAAATCAATGTGCAAAAATCACAAGCATTCCTATACACTAATAGCAGACAAACAGAGAGTGAAATCATGAGTGAACTCCCATTCACAATTGCTACAAAGAGAATAAAATACCTAGGAATCCAACTTACAAGGGATGTGAAGGACCTCTTCAAGGAGAACTACAAACCACTGCTCAGTGAAATAAAAGAGGACACAAACAAATAGAAGAACATTCCATGCTCATGGATAGGAAGAATCAATATCGTGAAAATGGCCATACTGCCCAAGGCAATTTATAGATTCAATGCCATCCCCATCAAGCTACCATTGACTTTCTTCACAGAACTGGAAAAACTACTTTAAAGTTCATATGCAACCAAAAAAGAGCCCACATTGCCGAAACAATCCTAAGCAAAAAGAACAAAGCTGGAGGCATCTTGCTACCTGATTTCAAACTATACTACAAGGCTACAGTAACCAAAACAGCATGGCACTGGTACCAAAACAGATATATTGACCAATGGAACAGAACAGAGGCCTCAGAAATAATGCCACATATCTACAACCATCTGATCTTTGACAAACCTGACAAAAACAAGCAATGGGGAAAGGATTCCCTATTTAATAAATGGTCCTGGGAAAACTGGCTAGCCATATGTAGAAAGCTGAAACTGGATCCCTTCCTTACACCTTATACAAAAATTAATTCAAGATGGATTAAAGACTTAAATGTTAGTCCTAAAAACCCTAGAAGAAAACCTAGGCAATACCATTCAGGACACAGGTACAGGCAAGGACTTAATGACTAAAACACCAAAAGCAATGGCAACAAAAACCCAAATAGACAAATGGGGTCTAATTAAACTAAAGAGCTTCTACACAGCAAAAAGAGTGAACAGGCAACCTACAGAATGGGAGAAGACTTTTGCAATCTACCCATCTGATGAAGGGCTAATATACAGAATCAACAAAGGACTTTAACAAATTTATAAGAAAAAAACAACCTCATCAAAAAGTGGGCAAAGGATATGAAGAGACACTTCTCAAAAGAAGACATTTATGCAACCAACGGACACATGAAAAAATGCTCATCATCACTGGTCATCAGAAAAATGCAAATCAAAACCACAATAAGATACCATCTTATACCAGTTAGAATACCATCTCACACCAGTTAGAATCATTAAAAAGTCAGGAAACAACAGATGCTGGAGAAGATGTGGAGAAATAGGAACACTTTTACACTGTTGGTGGGAGTGTAAACTAGTTCAACCATTGTGGAAGACAGTGTGGTGATTCCTCAAGGATCTAGAGCTAGAAATACCATTTGACCCAGCGATCTCATTACTGGGTATACACCCAAAGGATTATAAATCATGCTATTATAAAGACACATGCACACGTATGTTTATTGTGGCACTATTCACAATAGCAAAAACTTGGATCCAACCCAAGTGTCCATCAATGATAGACTGGATTAAGAAAATGTGGTCCATATACACCATGGAATACTATACAGCCATAAAAAAAGATGAGTTCATGTCCTTTGCAGAGACATGGATGAAGCTGGAAACCATCATTCTGAGCAAACTATTGCAGACAGAAAACCAAACATAGGTGGGAATTGAACAGTGAGAACACTTGGACACAGGGCAGGGAACATCACACATGGGGGCCTGTCATGGGGTGGGGGCCAGGGGGAGGGATAGCATTAGGAGAAATACCTAATGTAATGTAAATGACAAGTTAATGGGTGCAGCAAACCAACATGGCACATGTATACCTATGTAACAAACCTGCATATTGTGCACATGTACCCTAGAACTTAAAGCATAATAAAAAAAGTTATGTTTACACTCTATTGTAGTCTATTAAATGTGCAATTGCATTATGTCTAAAAAATGTACATGCCTTAATTTAAAAATATCATATTGCTAAAAAGTACTAACACAGAAACATGAAGTGAGCACATGTTCTCAGAAAAATGGCACGGATAGACTTGATTGACACAGGGTTGCCACAAATCTCAATTTGTAAAAATGCAATATCTGTGAAGCGCAATAAAGCAAAGCCCAATAAAATGAGGTATATCTGCGACTTGTCTTTTTATGCAAGTAAAAATCATTTCTGTACATGTTTCCATTTCCCTTGAGGACAATGCACACATGATTTATCTCTGTATCCTCTACAGGTACTAATATAACATTTTGGCATGTAATTAGTGCTCTATAAATGTTTGTTTAATATTACCGTCTGTATTAGTCAGCTTGTGTTACAAAATACCAAAACCTGGGTGATTTATACAACAGAAATTAAGTTCTCACAGTTCTGGAGTCTGGAAGTCCAAGATCAAGGTGCCAGAAAATTTGGTTTATGGTGAGGTCTCACTTCCTGGTTTGTAAGAAGACTGCCTTCTCAGGATGTCCTCATGACCTCTTTGCCTCTTCTCATGACCTCTTTTCCATGTGCACAGACAGAGAGCACGCACTCTGGTTTTGTCTCCTCTTCTTATGAGGTCACCCGACCTGGTACATTAGGGCCCCACCCTTATGACCTCATTTAAACTCGATTACCTTTGTAAAAACCCTGTCTCTAAACCCCGTCTCTACTAAAAATAAAAAAAATTAGCCGGACATGGTGGCGGGTGCCTGTAGTCCCAGCTTCTCGGGAGGCTGAGGCAGGAGAATGGAGTGAACCCAGGAGGCAGAGGTTGCAGTGAGCCGAGATTGCACCACTGCACTCCATCCTGGGCGACAGAGTGAGACTCCGTCTCCAGTTAAAAAAAAAAAAAAAAAAAAAAAAGCCTGTTTCTAAATACAGTTACATTGGGGGTTAGAGCTTCAACATATGAATTTTAGGGGCACACAGTTAAGTCCATAACACCCTCTTTGTTCTCTATCTGTATCTATCTAAAGTACAAATAGACAGCCTCTGATGTGCTTGATAAGGATCTAGAGTCTTGGTTGGTTTCTCAGTCAACAAATAAGAAGCTAGTTGTATTTAATGTCCTTTATTTACTAAGAGGAAAAGAGACACCACTTGACACTTTAGCATGTTGTTTTCCAAACTCTAGTCATCTGTACATCACCATCATGATTTTTGTCATCTCATCATGCCAAATGTACCACTGTTTACATAGAATCACTCTTCACATTGGTTCATGTTTTTACTTCAGCATTTTAGAAAATACTATATGTGAAATCATAGGTTTGATTACATTTCCATAATATACATTAAAACAAATATATTATAATTAAAGTAATTTGTTCAGAATGTTTGCTACTCTACCCCACTGAGCCCTACCACTGTACCGGGATGGTCTCATTTCCATCTCTGTTGATGTCAGGCTCAGTCACTTGACTGGCTTTGTCCAGTGATGTTTGCTGCTCCTAAGCAGAAGATTTAAGTGGCATTTCCTGGACTGGTCACAATTCTTTCCCAGCCTCAAGACTGTACTTTAGCCTAGTACTGAAAAGAAGAAAATATGAAACAAAGCTGAAACCCACTGGCAACCTACAGGTTTGGGAGTGGGAGATAAATGTTTTTTATTGTAAGCCACTGAGATTTTCTTATAGGTCATTCGTTACTGCAGCCTAACTTAACCTATGCTGACTAATCAATTGCTCATTCTATATTACCTAAAGTCATCTTATATAATAACACTTTGAGAAATACTCCTAAAGTGTCTTCTGCGGACTTGAATTGGGGAACAACTGTAAAGTATTGATGCATTTTTCAAATGACTCATTGCTTTCATCTTATTGAGAAATTATTTAAATGGAATGTTTTTAAACCTGTGAATGTTCCACATCCTTACAAATCATGGCCTATAGATTTGCTGTTCCACTGGGTCCCTGCTCTTGTAGCATCCATAGCTCATGATGGCAATTCTTTCACAGAAAGGGGGAAACCATTGCACTTTAAAAATAGCCTTTAGTCTCAAGAAGTGGTGATGGAGACTTGGCACTCAGATGACCAAAAAGGCACTGCTTGTCTCAAATCCTCCAGTTTCTCCCACAGATACTTCAAAGACTTTAAAGGAAGCTGGACTTTGGGAAGTGCCAGGCCCTTGAAGTTGGGCACAGAGCATGTGGGAATGCTTTTCAGGGCTAAGACAGGTGGATGATTTTTAACATAAGAGGACTGAGGATTAAAAAAAAAAAAAACACACAGAGTGTAAAATTATTCTTTATCTGTTTGCCCATTATCTAATCCATGTAATCTTCTACAAAATACATGTTTTCTGCTATGATCAGGGAATGGCAATGAAGTGATTCATGAATATTCAGGTTTTAAAGAGTTGTCATACCTGCTACGTAAGAATAACACAATTTTAAAGAACCACATTGTCATTAAAATAATATATAAATAGAAGACATAATTAAACCATTATTTAATTCGAAACATACTTCTTAAAGCTGCTGTGGGCCTCTGTGGAGAACAACAACCATCTTTTGACTTCTGTTCCCCTCCATTCTTCTCCATTCTGCTGCCCTAGATAGTAATTATCTCCTTTTTGCCAAATAAGAAGTCTTTCTTAGTTCTCTTTCTCTTTAACTCCTTGGCTACATTTAACAATTAACCTCCATCTTGAATTTCACTCTAATCCAGTGTTCTATGAAAGTCCACTTTCCCAATTCTTCTTTGAACTCCTAGAAAATTTTTTTTTCACTTTCTCAGCTCATTTTCTTCCTCTTATGTAAGTGAGCCTGCTCCTTCAATATCCTTTGACCTCTGTTTTTGTCCTGTTACCCTCTTTGCTTTAATAAACTTACCCATCACTACAGTATCATTTTGAGGCTGTCATCTCCATCCCTGGCAAATATTTTGCTCCCAGGATTTGTAATTTCCACCAACTCAGAGGTCATATCTACTTGGATGTCCTACTATCATTTCAAACTCAACATGGACAAAACCACGCTATCTTCTGACCAATACAATCTACCTTTTTACTGCTCACCACATTCCCATTCTCCTAGGAATCATCATTTATTCATCCCTCTTTTTTAGGACCTCAATTCAATCTATCTTCAAGTAAGTTATTTTTATCTTTAAAGTATTCTTTGGATCTTTTTGTTTTCTTCTAATTTCTACTTTGAATATCCTTGTCCAGACTACATAGCACCCTGCAACAGCATCATGCCATGATGTATGAAAGATGCTCAGTGAGGCAGATGCCTCTGGTTGCCTATTAAGTATCTAGTCTCCCCTCCTTTTTTATTACAATAGCTCCAGTAACGTGGGGGAGGGAGTCAATAGCAACACACCCAAGTAAAAATATCTTTCCTGTTATCCCTGCATCTAGGGGTGGATGACTTAGTTCTGCCGATGAGCAACTCTACTACACAAGAATTCTGGGAGAGCTATGGTTTTCCCGATAAAAGGGAAAACCCAGCTGGTGCGTGCCTTTGTCTTTCTCCTTTCCTTCTCTGCCCCCCACCGTGGAATGTAGATGCAATGTCTGTGGTTAAAACGCCATAGTTTAAATCAGACAAGCTTAAGTTTTAAACCCTACCTCAGATCCTTTTTGTGTGGAGACCATGGAAAACTTACCTATCCTCTTTAAGCCTCACTTTCTTATCTGTAAAATGGGTACAACAATATCACTAGGTTGTTGGGAAGATTAAAAGTATTAATATGTTTATAAAACGTTGAGAATGATGATGCATATGACCTTGCCATTACCAGTAAATGGTGGATATGATTCTGGCTGTTTCCATTCTCTGAACTCCTGTTGTGCTTAGAATAATTATGATACATATTTTCACTGCCACATTTCGTCTCCTAGATTACCTGCCTCCTTGGAGACAAGGAGACTAGAACCACCTTGAGGCCATTGACTATCTTATCTGCTTGTTTTATAGCCTTCGAATTGCCTTGTTCAGTTCTAGGTGTGTAGTGGGCTCTTTAAAACAGTAATTTATTGACAGATTATCTGATAAGTACACGAAAATCAGGTCTCAGGACAAATTAAGTATTTGTAGAAGTTAAGATACCAAGGGGAAATGCTATAAGAATTATGATTTTGCACTGAAAACTTATCTAACCATCTTCAGAGAAAAACCTGGATGTAAACAGTGAGCCTGCTGTGGAAGGTTTCTACCCTGCACCAGGCCTCATACTGAGTCCTAATTCAGCCTCTCTTCCCAACCCCTCACATGCTCATTCAACTCCAAAGCACTGGGGAGCAGTGCAGATTTCCCTGGGAAAAGAACTTCCTAAACATCTCCTTTAACATCTCAGTCTTTCTCCTCTTGTCTCTTCCTGGTTGCTTTCCTTCTTTTCAGCTTTCTCCCCTGAAAAAAGACTTGGGAAAATCCCCATATGAAGACCCTTGTTTGCAACACTTAGGTTCCCTCCTGAGCTTGTACACCCTCCCTGGCCACCAGCAAACCCAAAGTCCTAGTGGTAAGCAGGGATTGCATGGCACATCCCCGGGAGACAGCATACTTCTTAGGATCTCCCTCTGGGGAGGGTGATTTGTAGATTTATTGCAGCTTGATGTGGCTTCATTCCTATGCACCAGGGCAGTTTTTCACTTCCTTTACATCACCTCCAGCCCTACTCTGCTACTTCCCTCCATTCTCTACTTCTCTCACCTCCACACTGCAGCCTTCTGTTTCTGTCATCTCTCTTTGTCCTAATCATCAACCTCCATCCTTTTTGTTTCCAGAAGGCCTGCGGCTAGTGACTGAGGCGGGGGTGCACCACGTCTTCAACCAAGGGCAGCACAGAAGAAGTAGAGTCCCTCTCAGCTGGAGGGTCTGATGATGCTTCTCTCCTCATCAAAGCTGGAGGCAGGAGGCAGCTTCCTGTCCATGACTCTCACCGCCTTGTCTTGGTCATGGCAAGTTTTTATTTGCTCCCCAAATAGACCAGGGTTCTATGAATAGGCACACCCAGTTATGAATGGAGAGAAGCTTTAAATCAGGATATTCTAACACCTTTATTACTCACGGTCGGTAGGGACCAGAAATATGGAGATTAAAGTGTCCATCATGTCACTAGAATCCCTTGGGTATAGGATCTTACTGCGTGGCCTTATCTTTCTTTTATCAAAACATACACACACAAAAGACATTTACCTGCCACATGCACCCCCAGGATTTGAAAATGGAGCACAATAAAAATAAGCTGACAGTGGGAGAAAGTGGCATATTCATTTTCTCTGTCATTACCTTTGATTATGAAAAAGCCCTGAGCAGGTGTCAGGTTTTTCCGCAGCTCTCTCAGGAAGATCTGGGCTCCAGGTATTTCCCACGTGAGTTCATGGGATGCGGGAAGATGTAGGCACTGAAGGCCGCTGACATCCTATTATGACTGAGCAGCAAATCTGCCAGGAAATAAACATTCTAATGTAGATTTCTAGGATTTGCTCCAATTTTCTCATGAAAAGAAAGCCATCTCTGACAATTTACAGATCATTTAGCTTCTCCACATGATGTGTTTGATTCTCTTTTCTCCCCTTTCCTCTTCTTACTTGAGTCTGCCACCACCGGCTATTGCCCTGGTTGTGTTTGTTACTGTGTGTGTGAGTGTGCATGTCTCGGCATGTATGTAACCTTGAACTTGTACATTAACATGCTTATGATTCTCTGGGATCATTTTTATTTTCAAATATGGAGACTGCCTCGTCCCTCCCCTCCCTCCCCTCTTCTCCTCTTCCTACCAAGCTGCTCTTCTGTGCCTCTGTTGTAACTGGGTCATGTTTTTGACTCTAGCAAGAGGAAACAAGGGGCCTTCAGTGGGAAAGCAAGAGGTTTCCAGTGCTCACCAAATACAGATGCTCAGGAAATGGGGGACTCATGTGGCTTACATATAGGGAACTTCACAGCTAAAATACCATGTCCTGTGTAGGAGGCCCAGATCACTTCTCGGCGTGTCCCAGCCTGCCTGCCTCCAAATGTCCTCTGGAATAATTCAACTTCTTATCTAAGGTACGAGCCAGCTTCCTTGAACTGCCAACTGCTCGATTGCACAACAAATCGGTTATATAAGAGGATCTTAAGAAAGAATAAAATCATGAGCACCCCATAATTGCCTCTCTCCAGTCTTCAGCCCTAGACCCAAGGAAGAGGGCCCAGTAGGGGCAGTTGGTCGATTTGTAAACAGAAACTGCAGAGTGGACCGTTGGCTTTGTCGAATGATGTTCAAAAGCTGCACGTTGTCTTTAATGTTTCCTTGGACTTCCCCCACCCCCACTCCACCTCATCACCCCAAATGCAGGCCCTAATTATCCTGGATGAAAATAGAAGGCTCCTCATCATTTATTTATTTTTAGCACTTGCTCAAACTAATTGGTAGACCTGCAACCCATACATAATACAGTGATCTGGAAGAAACTGACAGCTACTTAATGACAAATTCTATTGTACGAGGACAGAGAACGTGAGGCTTAATCTGCAGTAGGGTCTCGTTTCTGATACATTTTGTCTTTAAGGGTTATTACCAGAAAGTACTCAGCCAAAGCTCAGGGAGGCCAGCCCAGCCCTCTCCCTGCTTCTCCTGGCTTTCAGTGGTGGGTTGGCTGGATCTGAGCCTTTGAGGGAATGAGGCCTGGTATTTAAGAGGGCCATGTCCTGGAAAGGCCATGTCTTGATCACTAAATAAAGAAGGTCATGAAGAATCTGGGAAGAGCAGGAATTCTGGAGGCAGACAAACCTAGGGAAACTCAAAGCTTGAACATTCATCATCTATGTGACTTTGGAGAAGTTGCTTAACCTTTCAGACCCTCAGTTTCCTCATGTCTCAAAATGGGGAGCATAAGATCTGCCCTTCAGAGTGCTTTGGAGGATTAATGTGGAAACACCAATTATGCTGCATAATACAAGCTTAGATATCGATAAAAACTTCTTTCACTCTATGAATTTACAGCATCCACAAGATCTCTTACATCTACAGCTATATTTCTTAGACCTATTTGCTCTAGGGAGCTATGAACACCAAGATTTGCACTTCCATTTTATTTTTTATTGGGAATATAATATAAACAAGATATCAAGCTACCATGCAAGACATCACCAAGAAGATTCTGGAATTCTATGACTGATTCCACTTGACCATGTGCTCAAGCGCTGTGAAATCAAGAAGGCCTACTTTTGAATCCTGGACTAAATGTGTAATCTTTGGTAAATTATTTAATCTTTCTAAGCCTTAATTTTCTCTTTTTATTTTTAGGAATTTTGTGAATATTAAAAAGAATAACGAGTATAAAGTATCTAATTAAGTGCTTGAAATAGATTAGGTACCCTTAAAATATTACTTTCTTCTCTCCATTGATTAATCTTTCATATTAATTTTCTACTGTTTTGAACTGAAATATATATTCAGTCAAGTAACAAATGTTTGTTGAGCATCTACTGTGTGGCAGAGACTGTTCTAGATGTTAGAGACCTAATATTCTGGCTGAGGGGGAAAGAAGATAAGCTGACAAACACAAATTTATATAGTTTTGTTTTAAAAACATATTTATATAGTTTTGTTTAAAAAAGAGCCCAGAGGAAGAGCTGACTTTGTAGACTGCGCTAACCTGTTAGAGATTTTTTCAGACAGGCTTGCCTATGTGAGTATGCTATCTAGATCAAACATAAATGCTACATAGTGCTTACATTATTAAGCCTTCTAGGTAAGTGTCATGTAGCAGTAGCCCCTTGATTTTATTTGAAAACAATCTGAATATCAGACCTGTAAATTATTTAATGGACCTCCTTCCATGAGGTTTATGTTACATGTTACTTTCTTCACTCAACTATATTTCATTTCATGGAGGAACACTTACATAAGCATATAGAGAGCTTTTTCGTCTGTTTATATAGCTGCTTATAATTCCAAAATATGTGCACACACACACACACACACACACCATTATTTAGCCATCCCCTTATTGATGGGAATTTTCTACCTGTTCGGGGGGAGGAAAATTAGAAAATTGATATCCTTGTTCCTATATTATTATGCTCATATGATAATTTGTGTAGGATATATTCTTTTTATATTTTGAATTTTCAAAATGTCAATCACATGAACCCAAAATAGTATCAACTGTCATGGTTTTCACAGATAATTTCTCTTTTTCAATTGCATTCATCTTTCTTGACTATTTGCCAATAGTTCATCAATTACATTAGTTTTCTGGAAACTCTTGGACAAGGTTTTGTTAGGTGCGCCTTTCTGCTTTCCCATGGATTTCCTCTGGGTGGGCTGCAGAGCACTGGCTGAGTGTGGGATGCAGGGTGAAGCAGATTGGGGGTACAAGCTTCTGGGCTGCTTCTTGCTAAGCATGATCATGGACACATTTCTTCACCTCTCCAGGTCTTACTTCTTTGTCTACAATCTGAGGATAATTCCCTCCCACCTTTATTCACTAATGCATGTTATTCTTTTGGCCATTCACCTGGGACATCAATCTCCAATTCCTAGAAGTATCCAGGAGAGTTGGTGCAGAAGACTCTCCCTCTTTAGTGTCCTCCACAGTAACTTCTGTTCCCTCACATAGCTGCCTTCTGAGGAAATTTACTCCTTTAATTTTAAAAAATAGGCTTTATTTTTTAGAGCAGTTTTAGGTTCACAGCAAAATTGAGCAGAAAATACAGAGAGTTCTCATATGCCCCCAGTACAGAGCCTGTACCACTGATAATATCCCTGTATCAGAGTGGCACCTTTGTTACAATCGATGAACTACATTGGCACACCATTATCACCCAAAGCCCATAGTTCCATCGTTTATATCAGGGTTCACCTTTGTTGTTGCACAGTCTATGGATGGCATGTGTCTACCATTATAGTATCATACAGAATATAGTTTCGGTGCACTAAAAATCCGCGGTGTTCCACCTATTCATTTCTTCTTCCCCTCTAACTCCTGGCAATCAGATTTTTAAAATGTCTTCCTAGTTTTGCCTTTTCCAGAATGTTCTATAGTTAGGATGGTATAGTACACAATCTTTTTTTTTTTTTTTTTGAGGTGGAGTCTCGCTCTGTCACCCAGGCTGGAGTGCAGTGGTGCGATCTCAGCTCACTGCAAGCTCTGCCTCCCGGGTTCACGCCATTATCCTGCCTCAGCCTCCTGAGTAGCTGGGACTACAGGCGCCCGCCACCACACCCGGCTAATTTTTTGTATTTTTAGTAGAGATGGGGTTTCACTGTGTTAGCCAGGATGGTTCGATCTCCTGACCTCGTGATCTGCCTGCCTCGGCCTCCCAAAGTGCTGGGATTACAGGCGTGAGCCACTGCGCCCAGCCCAGTATGTAACCTTTTAAGATTGATGTATTTTATTTAATAACATGCATTTGGGATTCTCCCATGTCTTTTCAGGGCTCAATAGCTCATTTCTTTTTAGTGCTGAATAATATTCCATTGTATGGATACACCACAGTTTTTTATCCATATACCCACTGAAGGACATCTTGGTTGCTTTCAATTTTTGGAAAATATAAATAAAGCTGCAATAGCCATCTGCGTGCAAGTTTTTGTGTAGAGATAAGTTTCAGATTAATTTGGGTAAACACCAAGAAGCTCAATTAGTGGATTGCATGATAAAAAATGTTTAGTTTTGTAAGAAACTCCCATCAACTGTCTTCCAAAGTGGCTGCACTCTTTTGCATTCTCATCGGCAATTAATGAGAGATTCTGTTGCTCCCTATCTTTGAAAGCATTTGGTATTGTCAGTGTTTTGGATTTTTGGTAATTCTAATGGGTGTGTAGTGGTATCTCATTGTTTTAGTCTGTAATTTCCTGATGACATGTGATGTGGAGCATGACTCTTAATTTTCTTACTTCATTTTATTGATTTTTGGTTTGGCTTAGTAGTGTCTTTATTGCAAAAAATAATACTTGCCTCATGGGATTATTATGAGAAATAAGGAAAGAATCTGATAATTTCAAATACAGAGGTGAATTTATAGACTTCATTTCTATATCTTGCTCAAGTTTGATAAGGCTAGAGCTAGAAGCCACATTGGTAGAAAGTTAGTGCCCAGCAATGGTGTTTAAGTTGCATAGGACAGTGGATTTCAAATATTTTGGTCTCAAGATCCTTTTACAGTCTTAAAAATTACTTAGGACCCCAAAGAGCTGTTGTTTATGAGAAATAAATCCCTTTATATTTACCATATAAGAAATTAAAAATTAGAAAAATTATATGTATTAATTTATTAATAACAATAATAAACCCATTACATGTTGCTATAAATAACATTGTATGAGAAAATGTCTATATTTTAAAAACAAAAAAATTAATGAGAAGAATGGCATTGTGTGACTTTTTTTGGAAATCTTTTTAATGTCCAGCTCAAGACTTCCAGATTCTCAGATCTGCTTATGCATTCAATCAGTTGCTGTATGTTTTTTTGTTTCAAGCACATAAAGAAAATTTGGCTGTACATAAATATGTAGCTGGAAAAAAGATATGTAGCTCCATGAACAGCTGGGAAGGATCTGCAGAACTATGAGGAGTTCTTGTGTCATGCTTTGAGAACCACTGACGTAAGTGCATGGTATCTGGTCCACACTTTTACATATTCTCAGTTTGGCCATCAAGTCCCCACAGTTATGACTTTGCAGCAAAGATCTTGATAAAACAAAAAACTGGACCCTAATGTAAGAAATGATGTACTGAGATTCTCTGAGGGTTTGAAGCCTAAAGAGTATTACCCACAAGACCCACTTACCACTTTATATTATGCCCAAAATAACGAACAGTGCTGAATAAGAGCACAGGCTCTGGAGACAAAAGAATTGGGCTCTATTCCAAGTCCTACCATGTAAAAATTGTGTGTATTGAGAAATGGCTTAATCTATCTACACCTTAATTTCTTCATCTGTAAAATACTCAATTTCATAGGGTTCTCATGAAGATTAATGAGATAATGCATTTGAAGTTTTTCATATAGAGTTGACATTAAATGCTTCACAAATGTTAGTTCTTAGATCAACAGCACTCGATTTCTCACTAAGATCAACATTCTATGAGCTTTAATACAAGCCAACAGCAAGACCTTTCTTTAAAAAGACACTAAGAGTGGCTGGCAGGATGGCCAAATATGAACAGCTCCAGTCTGCAGCTCCCAGTGAGATCAACACAGAAGGCAGGTGATTTCTGCATTTCTAACTGAGATACCAAGCTCATCTCATTGGAACTGGCTAGACAGTGAGTGAAGCCCATGGAAGGTGAGCAGAAGCAGGGTGGGGAGTTGCCTCAACCTGGAAGTGCAAGGGCTTGGGGAACTCCCTCCCCTAGCCAAGGGAAGCCATGAGGGACTGTACTGTGAGGAACAGTGCATTCCAGCCCAGATACTATGCTTTTCCCATGGTCTTCAAAACCTGCAGACCAGGAGATTCCCTTGGGTGCCTACACCACCAGGGCCCTGGGTTTCAAGCACAAAACTGTGAAGCCATTTGGGCAGACACCGAGCTAGCTGCAGGAGTTTTTTCTTTCATACCCCAGTGGCACGTGGAATGCCAGTGAGACAGAACTGTTCACTCCCCTGGAAAGGGGGTACTGAAGCCAGGGGGCCAAGTGGTCTAGCTCAGCAGATCCCACCTCCATAGAGCTCAGCAAGCTAAGATCCACTGGCTTGAAATTCTCACTGCCAGTACAGCAGTCTAAGTTGACCTGGGATGCTCTAACTTGGTTGGGGGAGGGGCGTCCACAATTACCAAAGCTTGAGTAGGCGGTTTTCCCCTCACAGTGTAAACAAAGACGCCAGGAAGTTTGAACTGGGCAGAGCCCACTGCAGCTTGGGAAAGCCACTATAGCCAGATTCCCTCTCTAGATTCTTCCTCTCTGGGCAAGGCATCTGTGAAAGAAAGGCAGAAGCCCCAGTCAGGGACTTATAGATAAAACTACCATCTCCCTTGGATAGAGCACCAAGAGGAAGGGAGAGCTGTGGGCACAGCTTCAGCAGACTTAAACGTTCCTACTTGCCAGCTCTGAAGAGAGCAGTGGATCTCCCAGCACAGCGTTTGAGATCTGCTAAGGGACACACTGCCTCCTCAAGTAAGTCCCTGACCTCTGTGCTTCTTGACTGAGAGACAACTCCCAGCAGGGATCAACAGACACCTCATGCAGGAGAGCTCTGGCTGGCATCTGGTGGGTGCCCCTCTGGGATGAAGCTTCCAGAGGAAGGAACAGGCAGCAATCTTTGCTGTTCTGAAGCCTCCGCTGGAGATACCCAGGCAAACACGGTCTGGAGTGGACCTCCAGCAAACTTCAGGAGACCTGCAGCAGAGAGGCCTGACTGTTAGAAGGAAAACTAACAAACAGAAAGGAATAGCATCAACATCTACAAAAAGGACGTCCACACAAAAACCCCATCCAAAGGTCACCAACATCAAAGACCAAAGGTAGATAAATCCAAGAAGATGAGGAAAAACCAGTGCAAAAAGGCAGAGAATTCCAAAAACCAGAATGCCTTTTCTCCTCAAAAGGATCACAACTGCTTGCCAGCAAGGGAACAAAACTGGACAGAGAATGAGTTTGATGAATTGACAGAAGTAGGCTTCAGAAGGTGGGTAATAACAAACTCCTCCAAGTTAAAGGAGCATGTTCTAACCCAATGCAAGGAAGCTAAGAACCTTGAAAAAAGGTTAGAGGAATTGCTAACTAGAATAACCAGTTTAGAGAAGAACACAAATCACCTGATGGAGCTGAAAAACACAGCAAGACATTTTCATGAAGCATACACAAGTATCAATAGCCAAATTGATCAAGCAGAAGAAAGGATATCAGAGGTTGAAGATCAACTTAATGAAATAAAGCTTGAAGACAAGATTGGAGAAAAAAGAATGAAAAGGAATGAACAAAGCCTCAAGAAATATGGTACTATGTGAAAAGACCAAACATACATTTGATTGGTGTACCTGAAAGTGATGGGGAGAATCGAACCAAGTTGGAAAACACTCTTCAGGACATTACCCAGGAGAAATTCCCCAACCTAGTAAGACAGGCCAGCATTCAAATTCAGGAAATACAGAGAACATCACAAAGATACTCCTCGAGAAGAGCAACCCCAAGACACATAATTGTCAGATTCTCCAAGGTTGAAACAAAGGAAAAAAAGTTAAGGGCAGCCAGAGAGAAAGGTCAGGTTACCCACAAAGGGAGCTCATTAGACTAACAGCAGAACTCTCTGCAGAACCTCTATAACCCAGAAGAGAGTGAAGACCAATATTCAACATTCTTAAAGAAAAGAATTTTCAACCCAGTGTTTCATATTCAGCCAAACTAAGCTTCATAAGCAAGTGGGGGCCAATATCCAACATTGTTAAAGAAAAGAATTTTCAACCCAGTATTTCATATCGAGCCAAACTAAGCTTTATAAGTGAAGGAGAAATAAAATCCTTTACAGACAAGCAAATGCTGAGAGATTTCATCACCACCAGGCCTGCCTTACAAGAGCTCCTGAAGGAAGCACCAAATATGGAAAGGAAACACCAGTACCAGCCACTGCAAAAATATACAAAATTGTAAAGATCATTGACATGATGAAGAAATTGCATCAAGTAATGGGCAAAGCATCATAGTTGGCTAGCATCATAATGACAGGATCAAATTCACACATAACAATATTAACCTTAAAGGTAAACAGGTTAAATGGCACAATTAAAAGGCACAGACTGGCAATTGGATAAAGAGTCAAGATCCATCAGTGTGCTGTATTCAGGAGACCCATCTCACATGCAAAGACACATATAGGCTCAAAATGAGTGGATGGAGGAATATTTACCAAGCAAATGGAAAGCAAAAAAAGCAGGGGTTGCAATCCTAGTCTCTGATAAAACAGACTTTAAACCAACAAAGATAAAAAAGACAAAGAAGGCCATTACATAATGGTAAAGGGATCAATGCAACAAGAAGAGCTAACTATCCTAAATATATATGCACCCAATATAGGCACATCCAGATTCATAAAGTAAGTTCTTACAGACCTACAAAGAGACTTAGATTCCCACACAATAATAATGGGAGACTTTAACACCCCACTGTCAATATTAGACAGATCAATGAGACAGAAAATTAACAAGGATATTCAGGACTTGAACTCAGCTCTGGACCAAGTGGACCTAATAGACATCTACAGAACTCTCCACCCCAAATCAACAGAATATACGTTCTTCTCAGCACCACATCACACTTATTCTAAAATTGACCACATAATTGGAAGTAAAACACCCCTCAGCAAATTCAAAAGAACAGAAATCATAACAGCCTCTCAGACCACAGTACAATCAAATTAGAACTCAGGATTAAGAAACTCTCTCAAAACCACACAACTACATGGAAACTGAACAACCTGCTCCTGAATGACTGCTGGGTAAATAACGAAATTAAGGCAGAAATAAATAAGTTCTTTGAAACCAATGAGAACAAAGACACAACATACCAGAATCTCTGGGACACAGCGTTTAAAGGGAAATTTCTAGTGCTAAATGTTCATAGGAGAAAGTGGGAAAGATCTAAAATTGACACACCCTAACATTACAATTAAAAGAACTAGAGAAGCAAGAGCAAACAAATTCAAAAGCTAGCTGAAGACAAGAAATAACTAAGATCAGAGCAGAACTGAAGGAGATGGAGACACAAAAAGCCCTTCAAAAAATCAATGAATCTAGGAGCTGGGTTTTTGAAAAGATCAACAAAATTGATAGACCACTATCCATTCTAATAAAGAAGAAAAGAGAGAAGAATCAAATAGACACAATAAAAAATGATAAAGGGGATATCACCACTGATCCCACAGAAATACAAACTACCATCAGATAGTACTATAAACACCTCTTCGCAAATAAACTAGGAAATCTAGAAAAAATGGATAAATTCCTGGACACATACACCTTCCCAAGACTAAACCAGGAAAATGTTGAATCCCATAACAAGCTCTGAAATTGAGGCAGTAATTAATAGCCTACCAATGAAAAAAAAAGCCCGGGATGAGACGGATTCACAGCCGAATTCTACCAGAACTACAAAGAGCAGCTGGTACGATTCCTTCTGAAAATATTCCAAACAATAGATAAAGAGAGACTGCTACCTAACTCATTTTATGAGGCCAGCATCATCCTGATACCAAAACCTGGCAGGGACACAACAGAAAAAGTAGATTTCAGGCCAATATCCCTGATGAGCGTTGATGCAAAAATCCTCAATAAAATACTGGCAAACCAAATCCAGCAGCACATCAAAAAGCTTATCCACCAAGATCAAGTCGGCTTCATCCCTGGGATGCAAGGCTGGGTCAACAAACACATACCAATAAACGTTATTCATCACATAAACAGAACCAAAGACAAAAACCACATGATTATCTCAATAGATGGAGAAAAGTCCTTGGATAAAATTCAACACCGCTTCATGCTAAAACCTCTCAATAAACTAGGTATAGATGGAACATATCTCAAAATAATAAGAGCTATTTATGACGAACCCACAGCCAATATCATACTGAATGGGCAAAAACTGGAAGCATTTCCTTTGAAAACTGGCACAAGACAAGGATGCCCTCTCTCACCACACCTATTCAACATAATATTGGAAGTTTCGGCCAAGGCAATCAGACAAGAGAAAGAAAGAAATCATATTCAAGTAGGAAGAAAGGAAGTCAAATTATCTCTGTTTGCAGATGACATGTTTGTATATTTAGAAAACCCCATTGTCTCAGCCCAAAATCTCCTTAAGCTGATAAGCAACTTCAGCAAAGTCTCAGGATATGAAATCAATGTGCAAAAATCACAAGCATTCTTATACACCAATAATAGATAAACAGAGAGCCAAATCATGAGTAAACTCCCATTTACAATTGCTTCAAAGAGAATGAAATACCTAGGAATACAACTCACAAGGGATGTGAGGGACCTCTTCAAGGAGAACTACAAACCACTGCTCAAGGAAATAAGAGAGGACACAAACAAATGGAAAAACATTCCATGCTCATGGATAGCAAGAATCAACGTTGTGAAAATGGCCATACTGCCCAAAGTAATTTATAGATTCAATGCTATTCCCATCGAACTACCATTGACTTTCTTCACAGAATTAGAAAAAACTACTTTAAAGTTCATATGGAACCAAAAAAGAGCCCACATAGCCAAGACAATCCTAAGCAAAAAGAACAAAGCTGGAGGTGTCATGCTACCTGACTTCAAACTATACTACAAGGCTACAGTAGCCAAAACAGCATGGCACTGGTACCAAAACAGATATATAACCAATGGAACAGAAGAGAGGCCTCAGAAATAATGCCACGCATCTACAACCATCAGATCCTTGACAAACATGACAAAAACAAGCAATGGGGAAATGATTCCCCATCATTTAATAAATGATGTTGGGAAAACTGGCTAGCCATATGCAGAAAACTGAAATTGGACCCCTTCCTTACACCTTAAAACAAAAATTAACTCAAGATGGATTAAAGACTTAAACATAAGACCTAAAACCATAAAAACCCTAGAAGAAAACCTAAGCAGTACCATTCAGGACATAGGCATGGGCAAAGACTTCATGTTTAAAACACCAAAAGCAATGGCAACAAAAGCCAAAATTGACAAATGGGATCTAATTAAACTAAAGAGCTTCTGCACAGCAAAAGAAACTAACATCAGAGTGAACAGGTAACCTACATAATGGAAGAAAATTTTTCCAATCTATCCATCTGACAAAGGGTTAATATCCAGAATCTACAAGGAACTTACACAAATTTACAAGAAAAAAACAAACAACCCAATCAAAAAGTGGGCAAAGGATATGAGCAGACACTTCTCAAAAGAAGTCATTTATGTGGACAACAAACATATGAAAAATAGCTCATCATCACCGGTCATTAGAGAAATGCAAATCAAAACCACAATGAAATACCATCTCACACCAGTTAGAATGGCAATCATTAAAAAGTCAGGAAACAGATCCTGGAGAGGATGTGGAGAAATAGGAATGCTTTTACACTGTTGGTAGGAGTGTAAATTAGTTCAACCATGGTGGAAGACAGTGTGGCAATTCCTCAAGGATCTAGAACCAGAAATACCATTTGACTTGGCAATCCCAAAGGATTATAAATTATTCTGCTATAAAGACACATGCACACATATGTTTATTGCAGCACTATTCACAATAATGAAGACTTGGAACCAACTGAAATGCCCATCAGTGATAGACTGGATAAAGAAAATGTGGCACATATATATACCATGGAATACTATACAGCCATAAAAAAGGATGAGTTTATGTCCTTTGCAGAGACATGGATGAAGCTGGAAACCATCATTCTCAGCAAACTAACACAAGAAAAGAAAACCAAACATGGCATGTTCTCACTCATAGGTGGGAGTTGAACAATGAGAACACATGGACATAGGTAGGGGAACATCATACACTGGGGCCTGTTTGGGGGTGGGGGCTAGGGGAGGGATAGCATCAGGAGAAATATCTAATGTAAATGACTCGTTGATGGGTGCAGCAAACCACCATGCCACGTGTACACCCATGTAACAAAACTGCATGTTCTGCACGTGTATCCCAGAACTTAAAGTATATATAAAAAAAAGACACCAGGCTGGGCACAGTGGCTCACGCCTGTAATCCCAGCACTTTGGGAGGCCGAGGCGGGCAGATCACGAGGTCAAGAGATCGAGACAATTCTGGCCAACATGGTGAAACCCGTCTCTACTAAAAGTACAAAAATTATCTGGGCGTGGTGGCACTTGCCTGTAGTCCCAGCTACTCGGGAGGCTGAGGTAGGAGAATTGCTTGAGCCCGGGGAGGCAGAGGTTGCAGTGAGCCAAGATCACGCTACTGCACTCCAGCCTGGTGACAGAGCAAGACTCCGTCTCAAAAAAAAAAAAAAAAAAAAAGACACCAAGAAGACATACACATATAATGACTGGTAACAAATAATTGCTTAAGGTGGAATTTTTAAAAGAAGCCTAGATATCTTGTTTTTATTATATCATCAGTTTTTTTTAAGGGACACTGATAATGGCTATATCTACAAATGCAAAGAAGAGATGCAAATTTGGGTAATTTTCCAGTTATATTAGCCAATGTCCACAATTTTGTCCAGAAATACCTACATAATTAAAGAATTAAATATCAGGCAACTTGAACCATCCAGCTAATTCCCTCAATTCCTCATAACATTTTATGATTGTAAATTTAACCAGTTTACAAAGAATTGGTCTTCCACAATCCAAATGGGAGCTGGTTAAGAAGCCTCTGTAAGGCGTTTGCTTCCTATCTGCTGCTGAAGCACAAAGTCTGCAGGGCAGGAATTCAGGAAGGGAAATTCATCACTATCAGGCCAGAACCCACAAGCATGAGCTGCCACTCCATAAGAATAGACTAAAACCATATCCATTCTTATAGTTTCTAATCTTGGAGATGCAGGTATCCTGCTGAAGCTGGCCCCTTGTCACAGAGCTAAACAAACATACCTGGTCCAGGAGTCAGTGACACTGAAGGAAGATCCAGGAGAAAAGGGGAATAATTGAGGCCCAGCTCTGCTTTATTCCAAGGTGAGTTTGCAGATCAGCAACGAAGTGTGTGAGCTACAAAATGGCTTTTGCTTTCTTCCTGCCTTCCAGAATAGCATGACACGTGGCTCATGCTAACTGGAAACACAGAAGAAAGGGAAGTCTGAGATGGGTAGTTCAGCCTAGCCAAACTGACACATTACAAAGCTATCACAATAAGTATGAATTTAGGCCTAGCATATGGTCAGTTTCCATCAATATTCCATGTCTGCTTAAAAAGAATGTTTGTTTTTCTATTGGTGGACGCAATGTTCAATGTATACACTCTGTCAAGCTTGTTGACTATGCTATTTAGATTTCCTTGGTTTTAATCACATTTTAGTTAGCTTGATCTATCAGTTACCAACAGAGGCAGATTAAAAATTCAAGTTGTTAGGAGGGATTTGATTTGTTTATTTCCTTAAAGTTCTGTCAATTATCTGTTTTATGTATTTGGAAGCTATGATATTAAGTAAACTAAGATGCTTTTAATTATATTGTTTGTCTCTGGTAATAATTTTTGGCTTGGGGCCTATTCACTCAACAGAGATAAACCCAGAACACAAAAGAGTAAAACCATAAAACTTGCTCTTTTTTTGGACTTTACCTGTCTTGACTTCAAATGATGGTGGCAAGGAAAAAAAAAACCTCTCATCTGAAAACTACTGTAAACCAAATAACTCTCTTTTGAAAACTACTGTAAACTTCTCATCACATGATATACATCCAAAATTCACGCCACCTGTATGGTACAGACACTTTAGACAGATAGATAATTATTTTAATATAATTCTAGGTTGATAAGTTGCCCAGGAAACTGGCAACAAGCAAAGGCAATCCCAGCCAGTAAGAACTCCAATAAATAGAGTGAATATGATCCAAAGAACATGATTTCTCAATAAAAAATTACAGCACATATACGAACTAAATAAAATGAGTGGTAATCAGCATAAACAATAGCAAAATCAGATCCATAAAACTATTGGTAGTGGAATGATCATAGAGTTGTTATTTTATATACAATTATTTAATAGTAAGTTTCAGGAAATTAAAAAGAGGTTTGCAAATATAAGCAGTTACAAAAGACCATAAGAATGAGCAAGTAGCTCTGAAAAAGAATCAAAGAACATGCCCAGAAATTAAAGTTATGATAATTGAATTTTTCAAAGTAATTGTAGCTGGCAGTTACTCAAAAGTTAAACATAGATTTGCTATATGACCCAGCAATTACATTTCTAGGCCTATACTCCAAAGAACTTGAAAGCAGGCCCTTAGACAAATACTCGTACATAAATTTTTATACCAGCACTACTTACAATACCCAAAAGCTAGAAACAACCCAAATGTCAATCAACAGATGAAAGGATAACAAAATGTGGTATACCCATACAGTGGAGTATTATTTGGCTATAAAAAAGAGTGAAATTCTCATACATGCTACAACATAGATGAACCTTGAAAACATTATGCTAAGTAAAAGAAGCTACATACAAAGGGTCACATATTGTATAATTCTACTTACATGGAATATCTAGAGTACGCAGACCCATAGAGATAGAAAGCAGATTGGTGGTTGTCAGGAGCTAGGGGAAAGGAGTAATAGGGAGTGCGTGCCTAATGAGCACAGGGTTTTCTTTTGGTTTGATGAAACTTTTTTCAATGAACAAGACAGAAGTGATCATTGCAGTTATGTGTATGTCCTAAAAGCAACTGAATCATGCACTTTAAAATGGTCGATTTTATCTTGTGTGAATTTAATTTCACCTCTATAAAATACTCATTGGGTATGTTCAACCGAAGATTTGGCACAGGTGAGTAGTGAATTAGTGAAATGAAAAATAGATGCCATTAAACTACTCAGGATGTCATAGATAGACACAGATATGCAGGATATGTTAAAATACACAGAGGGCAGAATGATATGGTCTAGAATTTCAAAAACAGATTAAAAATTAAAATGGAAAGAAGCATATTTGAAGGGAAAATAACAGAATTTTTCAGAACAATTTGTTCAAAGATTCCAACCCTCAGAACCAGGAAACCCAAAAAGTTCCAAGATAAAGGAAATTCACACCTAGACATATTCTAGAAAAGCTGTAGAAAGCCTAAGGCAAAGAGGAGATCCTAGAAGAAGCCAGAAAAAAATTGACTTCCAAAGCAATGACAATTAGACAGATGGCTAACTTCCCAACAGTAACAATAAAATACAAACAACAGGAATAAAATATTCAATGTGCTGAGAGAAAAAATGCTATTAGCCTAGACTTTCAAAGAAAGCAAAAATATCTTTCAATAATGAAGGAAAAATACTTTTTGTAAAGACAAGCCAACAAAAAATCGAGAGTTGTACCACCAACAGATCCTCTCTGAAGACAATTCTAGTTGGACATCTGGTTTTGGGTCTGACATGTACAGAGCTTAGAAGTTGCCACTCCATCTTAAAAACAAGCAAAAAGCTGAACAAACTGAAAATCAGTCACCCTTCTTAGATCCAACAAAGAAGTGAGGTCATAGGGCAAACTGCAGTCCCCCAAATTGGAGAGACAGAGAGATGGGTCGAGAGAATAGCAACTTACTCAGCAGCAGAAACCTTCGTGGGAACCAGTGCCAGTGTAGGAAAACCTGAACTGTAATTGATGAATTGCCAGAGGTTCAGTGTGGACAAGTCTGAGAGTTAAAAGCTCCAGGAGGACCTAGTCACAGGGGGCCCTAATCCTAGGGGGACTCCACACTTTTATGAGTTTTACCTGCAGGAGCTTTTGGCAAGGAGAAGAAAAATGGAACCATTTAAAAATGCACCAGGGCATTCTGTTCTTAACAAGGCCTGATGTCAGGAGAAACTATTTTACCAGAATCTAATTTGCTAGGGTTTTATCAGAGCCTAACCTACCTAGGGAAAAGGAAATATCCAACTTCAGCTTAGACTTCCATGTAGGGAAAGGGAAATACTCAAAACTCTAGTCCTCTCTAGCTTTCTGTGTGTGAGAAAGGAAATACCAGACTCTAGCCCACTCCATCCATCTTGATGCGTCTAAGGAGATTTTTAAAACTGAGAAAGAAGCACTGGTGACATTCACAGCCCAGTGACGTAGGCTCACCAAAAGACTGAGACCTAATCATAGGGTGATAGAAGGCTTTCATTCCCTCCCATACCTTACAACCACATTACTAAAAGCTTGCTTATAGCAGTTCCTTGAAACCAGTACACTATGGTCACTTTTCAACAAAAAATTACAAGGCATACTCAAAGGGAAGACACATAGTTTGAAGGAACTGAAGAAGCATTTGAATCAGAGTGAGATATGGCAGGAATGTCGAAATTATTAAAGCAGGAATTTTTAAACAAACTACAGTTAATACGTTAAGGTCTTTAATCGAAAAAGTAGACAACATGCAAGAACAGACAGATAATGTCAGCAGAAAGATGGAAATTCTAGGAAAGAATCAAGAAAATTCTGAAAGATACACTTTCAGAAAAAAAAGTTTTGGATATTAGTTAATATTAGATAAATCTAAAAATAATTTGACTGGACAAAACAATAAATTAATATCTAACTTTCGTGACTAAATAAAAGATATAACTGAAATATTTGATATGAAAGCATTTAAGTTGTGGGGAAGATGATAAGGGTTAAAGTGTCATAAGGTTTTTTATTGTCTGAGAGGACAATAAAGGTGTTAAGTAAATTAAAATACTAGAGTAGCCACTAAAGAAGACTGCTTAATGTCCCCTATATCTATCCTCTTTCTTATATAATGATGAAGCCTCAATTTTTAGCTAAACACATTTGTTAATCTGTTCTCATGCTGCTAATAAAGACATACCCGAGACTGGGTAATTTATAAAGGAAGAGTTTTAATTAACTCACAGTCCCACATGGCTGGGGAGGCCTCAAAATCATGACGGAAGGCAAATGAGGAGCAAAGTCACGTCTTACATGGCAGCAGGCGAGAGAGCGTGTGTGGAAGAACCCCCCTTTATAAAACTATCAGATCTCATAAGACTTATTCACTATCACTAGAAGAGCATGAGAAAGACCTGTCCCCTGATTCAATTACCTCCCACCAGGTCCCTCCCATGACACACAGAAATTATGGAAACTACAACTCAGGACGAGATTTGGGTGGGGATACAGACAAACCATATCACCCTGTGACAAATTTTCAGCCTCTGAGGCTGTAATGATTGAGATGTAGTGGACTGCATTTTTTATTTCCAAATATATGCTGCTCCTTCTTGTGGGAGGATTTTACCTGCCATTCTACTGACATGAGGTTTGGCTATGTAATTTATGGTGCCCTTATTTTGGGAAGATTGTTTTCCCACTCTGAGGATGTCAGGCTTGGCCAAGTGACTCATTTAGCCAAGGAACTCTCAGGGGGAGTCAGTTTTCAGCACCATCATGAAGGTTTTCAGAGCAGAGTTTGTCAGGGCCATGATGAAGTTCTGCCATATCTCTTCCTTCTGCCACATTCTTAGCAATGTTTCAGAAAAAGACTGGTTCTTCAGCGTGGGCCCAAGAATGAAGTGGCAAAGCTGCAAGGAACATGTAATATAAAAGAGAAATGAACTTGGGTTATGTAATGCCATTTAGATTTTGGAATTGTTTAGTATTGCAGCATAACTTAGCCTGATACAGAAATTAACATTTACAAATACAATGCTTCTATCATAACAACAACTACAACAAACAAAGCAAGCAAACAAACAAACAACTTCATATTTAAAATATAGGTATTGGCTTTCAGACTGTGAAGTGGGTAGCAAGGCAACTTACAGCAGCCTGGAAAGATGGCAGTTTACACTATGCAGTGGTAAACCATTGAGTAAAACGATTACCTTTGCGAACTTGAAAGGCAAATAAGGTACCTAATGAACTTATGATTTAAGTGAAGAATGTGCGAAAACAGAATGAGATTCTAAATTTGTATTTTACCACAATATAATTCAGCCTGAAAGGACTAATAGACTACATATGACTCATGCGACTAAATTTATCAGTAATCACAATAAAGTGCATAGACGCTACCTTGAAAAGACAAGATTTTCAGATTAGAGATTTTAAAAACTCCAGCTATATGCTATTCCTAGGAGACACATCTAAAGCATAAAGGCACTGGAGAAATTGACAGCATAAGGAAGGAAAACAAACAGGCCCACAAGAACAAAGGAAAACTGATAGAAGTTTCTAATTCCATGTTCTTCAACTGCGTAGATATAGCTAGAGCATTCTGAAACTAAGACAAATTTCAATTAAGAACAAAATAGTTCAATTTCAATTCAAAACAGCCTCAGAGGTCTTTGTCATGGACTAAATGAATTATATCTCCCCAAAATTCATGCTGAAGTCCTAACCCCTAGTAGCTTTAAATGAGACTGCATTTGGAGATAGGATTGTTTAAATAGGTAATTAAGTTAAAATGAGGTCATTAGGGTGGGCCTTCATCTAACACAACTGGTGTCCTTATAAGAAGAGGAGATTAGGACACAGACAGGTAGAGAGAGAAGACCATGCAAAGACACAGGGAGACAGTGGCCTTTACAAACCAAAGAAAAAGACCTCAGGAGAAACAAACCCTGCTGACACCTTGATCTCGAACTTCTAACAAATTTCTGTCTTTCAAGCCACCCCCTGTATGGTACTTTGTTATGACAGCTCTCACAAGCAAATAGAGCCTTAAGGAAGAGTAATTAATTGTGATAGAAGCAATAACTTATTTGATATTTTCAGGCCATTTGCTTTGGATAATTCTAAAGATCACAAAAGTGACCATGTGCTATGGAAAGATGTCTTCTGGCAACTCTGTCCTTACAAAGACACTTTTAATAATGGGTCTTGGCACAGAGGTAACCAGTATTGTGCCCTGGGGCAGGTCTCACCATTGTTCTCCTCTATGGGCAGCCACAAAGAGCCAAAGATGCAATGCTGTCCAAGGGAGTGCCATCTGGGAAGAAGTTTCTAAAGAAAACAGGGGGCTCTGTCTCCTAGATTTGCCATTCCTATCCAGTTTAATTGTAAACATTTATAAGAAAAAAAGTCCTCTTTCTTTCACATTACATTGGGCTGGAGCCAAATGTGATTCGACATGCTGATGGTGTTGAGTAATAGCAATACCATAATAATCATTTTAGAAAACAATTCTCTCCCATCAGCTCTTGCTGAACATATTTAGATGCTGGAGATAGCATTAGGGGGTGAGAAACATTTGTCCTTTAAAGACTTCAATTTCAAGACTTTGATTGTTCACTGGCGTTATCAATTGTTATTCATATGTGCTAATCAAGTTATTCCAATGTTTTTATTTCTTCCTACAAATGCATTCATTTAGAAAACACTTCATGTTATCCCCGAGCTAATTATTTAATAAGAAAAGGCTTCTTTCATTTTTCGCTTTCTCATCTCTCTTCTTTCAACACTGAGGTCAGGTTTCTCATCTGAAACTTCAATGTTTCTATAAATTCATACATTGAGGGCATTTTGTTTTGGTCCAGTGTTTTTTCCCCCTGGAAAAAGAAAGTTGTATTTATATGCTTCTAATAAATGCAAGACTTTGTTCTGCTGATCTTTTCTTTTTTCTCACCCCCTCAGGGGGGTGGCTAGAAATCTGCGCAATCCTTGTTTAAAAAAAAAATAAAGAATGAAAGACAATATGATACAGTTGGTCTCTGTTGATTACTTAAGGAGTCTGGTGACTGTGAAAATCCTGATCAAAGGCAATGGACAATAAAAGCCAAGATTGTGGGGTTAGAAGCTGTAGGTCAGCAGGATTTAGCAAATGGCGACAGAGCATTGCTTATGATTTTTAAAATCTTCTTATACTTTTCTTTTTCCCTTATTTCTTTTTTTCTTCCTGCTTTTTTATCTTTCTGTCTCTATTTTCTGCATTTCGTTTCCTTTTTTTTTCTTTCTTGTGAAAAAGGAACCTACTAGGCTGAATCATATATTTAAAATGGTGATATATCTGCCAAAAGCAATTGCGACGAAAACAAAAATTGACAAATGGGATCTAATTAAACTAAAGAGCTTCTGCACAGCAAAATAAACTATCAACAGGGTAAGCAGACAACCTACAGAATGGGAGAAAATATTTGCAAACTATGCCTCTGACAAAGGTCTAACATCCAGAATCCATAAGGAACTTAAACAAATTTACAAGCAAAAATCAAACAACCCCATTAAAAAGTGGGCAAAGTATATGAACAGATGCTTTTCAAAAGAAGACATACATGTGGCCAATAAGCAAATGAAAAGTGCTGAAAATTACTAATCATTAAAGAAATGCAAGTCAAAACCACAATGAGATACCATCTCACACCAGTCAAAATGATAGTTATTCACTATTATTAAAAAGTCAAGAAACAACAGATGCTGGTGAGGTTGTGGAGAAAAGGGAACACTCATACACTGTTGGTGGGAGTGTAAATTAGTTCATCCATTGTGGAAAGCAGTGTGACAATTACTCAAAGAACTTAAAACAGAATTACCATTTGACCCAGAAATCCCATTATTGGCTATATATCTAATGGAATATAAATAATTCTACCAAAAAGACATATGTGCACATAGGTTCATTGTAGCACAATTTACAATAGCAAAGACATGGAATCAACCTAAATGCCCATCAACAGTAGACAGGATAAAGAAATGTGGTGCTTATACACCATGGAATTCTATATAGCCATAAAAAAATGAGATCACGTGTTTTGCAACAACATGGATAGAACTGAAGACCATGATCCTAAGCAAACTAACACAGGAACAGAAAAACCAAATATCATACGTTCTCACTTATAAGTGGGAGCTAAACAATGAGAACACATGGATACTAGGAGGGGAACAACAAACACTGGGATCTGCTTGAGGGTGGAGAGTGGAAGGAGGGAGAAAATCAGAAAAAATATCTGTTGGGTACTATGCTTATTTTCCAGGTGATGAAATTATCTGTACCCCAAACCCCTGTGATATGCAGTTTATCTATACAACAAACTTGCACATGTATCCCTGAACCTAAAATAAAAGTTTCAAAAAGGTCAAATATCAGCAATTTTACACACGTCAATCTACGACAACAAACAAAATTCAAGATTTAAAATGTTTATTTATACATGCCAAAAAAGAAAATAAAAGCACTATATATTTTTTTTTAGTAGAGCTTTTTCCTTATTAGAGAAGGCAACATGATTTAGGACTGACAGCCAAGGCTACGGATTTAGCCAGGCCTGAGATGGAATCCCAGTTCTACAAGCTGCTCTTTGCAAGGCCTTGGTCAAGTGACTTGATCTTTCTGAGCCTCAGTTTCCTCATCTATAAAATGAGATGAGATATCTATCTTACAGGGTTGTTCTGAGGTCCAAATTGAGGTAAATATAAAAAGGCATGCCATCTTATAAAGTGACCCATTATTGTGGCATGAAATACATGTGTGTCTGTTTTATGGCATGTTTAGATGTTTTGATGATTAGGAAAATGCAAATTAATTCAAAAGCATTACTGAATACTTATAGTTTTTAGCCAATACATACAGGGTAATTCAAAAAGAATTAAACATTGAAAAATATGTTACTCAATGACTAGTAACATATAATAAGCACCAACTCAGAACCACTCTTACAGTTCATGTGTCTTGAGAAATCTGTGGATCATTTTTGTTTCACATTGAGCCTAGCCCCCAAGAAATCAATAAAGAGGGCTGGCAGAGATCTCTGTGTTCCTCAGGCCACGGTCTAGAACATTCTCTATAAATTGTAGAAAATGAAACCTTCTTGCACCCTCTGCAGGTTGTGATAGAAGCAGATAAAGTAAAATGATAAAACTTCAGTTGTTGTTTCTAAACTCAGGTGGACGATGAAGAGCTTGTTTCTAATTTAGTGAGGTCATTTCATTTCACTAGAAAAGTTAATTTCCACAGCATCCATATATGAGGCCCCAAATAACAACCTGTCACTGAAATGTAAAGGATTCCCCAGTAGTTAATGCTTTTTGTGCTGTATCACACACGGGGCTTTGGGCCAGTGTGTGTGTGTGGGTGCACACACACACACACGTGCACACATGTGTGTGGGAAGAACATAGTGTCAGGAGTCATAAATCAGGATATACTGAAGGATTTTTCCCACAGCTTCAGGAAATCTCTGGAAACCAAATTTTCCAGCAGAATAAGGGTCCCCCTCACTTCCATTGTGCAGTCTAGAAATACCATCATGAATATATTTCAGGGCGCTGGGTAGGGCTTACTGCTTAAATATTTACTTGACTCTGGAATAGTGGCCACCCAGGTCCCCAGACTATCACACCATTGCCATCTTGTGGGGTGAGGCAAGAATCTCCCAGTCCTGGAGAAATGAAGGGCTGCATCCTGGCAGCCATTTCAGACATGGACAGATGTGCCACAGCCTGGGGTGAATGAACAAGAGGAGTGTAGATTTGCCTGATTTTTGTAAGAATTATTGTGATAGTTCCTTTACAGCACCAGATTTGACTACATGTGATGATATAACTTGATTACCAAGTAATATGCCTTTAAATATTGTTAATTATTGTTGAATCACCTTTCATTTTCTCAATCAGCGGGTACTGACAGTGTGCTGTAGGTGTCTGCATGATTTTGGTGTTTGCAAAAGAGATTTCTATTCTCTAGGAAGTTTGGAACCCTTGCCCTAGGCCAGCTCACTGAGCTCTGCCTGGATCTCTGCCATGCTCTGGTCTGAACTGACCTGATATGTGAGCCTAATATTTGTCCCTGAGGCATTTTCTGGAATGTGTTCTACCCTTGCTGGAGCAGAGTTCTCTAGAGCAGTGGGTAGCATCTTCTCAGGACCCAGAGGGTCTTCTACAGGACATTTTGAAGAGCAAGGCTGACCACCAGCCCTGTGGCACCATTTCCTCTAGTTGGATCTGAAGACCTGATTCTTTAAGGGAAGGAAACCATTTGCTTTTTAAAATTATGACCCCATTAAAAAAAAAAAGAAAGAAAGAATATGTCATATTCTAGCCCACAAGCAAGCAAAAGCTGAGGACAAAAAATATATAAAAAACAAAAAAATAAATGACCAAGCCTGGATGGCCTGAGGAAACTCAGGATGCTTCCCTGGCTTCCATAGGGCTTCTGACACCTTTTAGAAGATTGTTCCCCCGACATCCACCACCTTTATTCATGCCACCTACCCTGCCTCTTGAGGCCTCTAGATGCCATCATCCCGGATGCCTCTTCTGACCTACAGCTGTAAGGAGGACATAGACAGACACACGTGGTCTTTCACAGCCCACACCAGATCAGGAAATATTTGGTTATGAGTGCTCTCTTATTTGTGGTTATTTCTTGCTTTTAATTTTGTAGCCGGCACCAAATCTCCTACTAGAGGATACTGCCTCACAAGCTGACAGCTCTCAAAGAGGGGAAAAATGTCAAAACTCAGCAAATTGCCTGAGCTCATTGCTGGAAGCAATACAGGTTGTCTAATTAAAAGGTTGACAAAAGCTTGGTTTCTTGGAGCAAACCTGAAACACAAACAGAAAAGCTGGTGGACCTGACCTGCCACCTTGTTATCTGCATCTCCTGGGTGCTGGCTAGCTCTCTTCCTCTTTTGTTGTGGCCTAAGTACTTATTTGTCTTCATTCTTGGGGCTGCTGCCATTGTGACCCCTTTAGGTTGTGGGTACCCATTTTGTGACCTGCATTTTGTGTCCATTGTGTGACCTGCATTTTGCCCCAGGAGAGGGTGTCAGGTTGAATCCGTGGATTCAGATACCGAGTCTGCTGAAGTCAGATTGTCTGACTACAATCCACCTGGCATCCATCAAAGACAAATAAACAAGTTGTGCTTATCACTGAGTTGCCTGGTGTAGCGAAACTATAAATTAGAAATATAACGGCCTCCTCCACAGTGTCACGTGGCTCAGGCAAGGCCCTGGTAGTCCTTGCTCTTAACTGCGTATATGTGTCTTTGAACGTCATCCATCATGGGATTAGCTTGGGTGCAAACTTTGTTTAATTTTGTCCTTTTACATTTAGAATATATGCATTGTTTATATTTGGCCTGAAAGCAAACAGGCCAAAAGATAAACAAGGGTTGCCTTTGTCTGGTAACTCTAGGCACTTTTTTTCCCCTTTGGTTTTATTTTATCCAAAGTTTCTATAATGAGGACTGAATAATGCCTATAATGTAGGAAAACATGAACAGTTCCTTTTATTTTTAAAATTTTGAAAATAAAAAATCCTAACTTAGGTGTACATGAGGGGAGCTGGAAGACAAGGGGAACTTAGTTGAAGGAGTAGGCAAATTCTGACTGTCAGATCGGAGCACCCCTGGGAGAAAGTCAGAGCCAAGTTGCCACTCCAGCAAACTGCCATCAGCCGTCTTTGCACCTCAGCTCTGTGTCCTGTCGGAGGCCTGCCTATTGCAGCTGCCAGGCTCAGCCTTCCTGCTGCGACAGTGCTGATCTTCTTGCAGGATTTCAAACCAAGGAGTGATGTTAGTGAAGTGCTTTCTCCCGCCTGCCCCCACCACACCCGTGCCAACTTTGCCTAAGGGAATCACAATCACAGGACTTCTAGAATGAAGGCTGTGGGGCTTGTCAGTTATTTTTAGATGCACCCTTTGACTCTTCCTACTTTTTCTAAGCAGTCTCATAGGTGAGTATGCTGGAGTAAGGTGGTTTTCCTAAGGGTTTTTGTTTTTTTAGAGTGCCTCAATCAATTTTTTGAAACAGAGGGCAGATCTGTGTCAAAATCTGTGTCCCTTTGACTAAACCAACCAGGTCACTCCCTTCCATCAGTCCTAGGGATCTCATCTACACAGAGCCTTGCAGAGTTGACTGAACAGCATGGTTGTTTTTGGATCTACGTACACACAGTTCTAGTTAAAACATCAGTCCGTTCTGTAGGAAGATAAACTAGCCCTACTGATTGTTTGTGGCAAGTGTATTTGGATGATGATAATATTTGAGCATTCCCTTTTAATCTGATTGACTTGGTACCTGAATTGAGACTGGGGATGGAAAAGCTCACCCAAAATACTCTGATTCCTTGATGTAAGAAAAGATCAACAAGAGCTCCATTCAAAGCACATTTTTGACCAAAGGGTTAATTTTTTTTTAATTTAGAAGTTATTTCAGAAAACTTATTCTATAGAATTTGAGAAAGTTAATTTTGAACTCTGAGAAAGCAGAGCCTTCATTTATTGTCTGCTTGCTTCTAAAATGGTTCTGCCAAAAGTTTTGCATACAAACACACTGTGAAGAGATAATAGTGATACAAGTCATGCAGCCAAGAATCACTGGGGGAAATGCAAATCCGCTGGCTTTTCAGCTCAGAGGCAGCAAATGCTGAAGTCATCTCATATTCACCCGAGGCCCTCAGATCTGCACATCGATATATGAAATTGGAGGCTAATATGCAGATATTGATTTCTCTAAAGGGGAGTGTCAATATTTACAGTCCCAAGAGGTGGCAACTGACTGAAGCAAAACCAAAGTTGTGATGGCGACTGCCAAGGTCACGGCCGAACCATAACCCTGCTCTTCACAAGACAGGTCAGTGCCTCCACCCCCAAATAGTGCCAGATGATTTAGAGGGAAGGTGAAATTTTCATCTGGTCCCCTAGACATGACCAGTCCATCACTTCATATCCAGGTGTTGTAAAACTCCAGACGACTGACTAGATGTCCTCCATCACATAAACTTAGTCAAATTAAAATCATCTTGGGCAAGGGGGGCTTTTTCAAATTAATTGTTCAGGACAACTCTTCCCAAAATTGTGATGCTACTATAGCAGTGCATGCCCCTTAGAAATATTGACATAATTTTCTAAGGAAACAGCAGTGATCCCTAACCCTGGCTGCTCATTAGAATCTACCTCCAGAGATTCAGAGTTAACTGATCTGTGCCAGGGTGCAGGCATCTGTAGTTTTTAGGAGTGCCCTTAGCGAGTCTAATGGGAGCTAGTGTCGAGGACCACTGGTCTACAGGTTCTCCACCTCCCTTTCCCATTTCATCCCTGCTTCTCCACTAGCTACACCTCATATCCGAGTCTTATGTTTGCACTTACCTACTTTTTATGTTTGTGTATCTTTGCTCAAGTCATGTCTCTTGTGAGAAATTATCCACCCATATCGGGGTACTTATTCTTCCTTATATGAACCATTCTCTGAGTAGGTCCCAACTCGAATCACCTTAGAATTTTCCCACTTCTCCATGCCTCCAGCAAGCCATGCATCACACCAGGGCAGTTTCAAGTGGACAGACCTGTTTCTCCTGGAAGTGGGTGGGCTCCTTGAGGTGAGAGACCATGCCTTGCTTCCCTGGGTGCCTAAAGCATGCCCACCCAGCTTAGTGCAAGTCACAGTAGCCACTCTATCAATACTGGTTGCAAAGATGGATGAAAATGCAGGTTCATGTTTGGTATCAGGACCTTTTAGAAATCAGGGAAGACTAGAATCATTTGTATATTTGAGGGTAGTCAGATTTTTTTTTTAAGTAAAAAAAAATCCCAATTTTAAATTTGAGGTTCTTGGCGCATATGAGACCAGGGTCAAATGTCCCCCAGAACCCTCTCTTTATGATGTCGTCTTTGGATACCATCAGGATAACTCAGATTGGTTCAGCCCCAAGTGCCCCCAGTTACCTCGGTAACACATAGAATATAACTTTGTCCCCTAATGGGAAAGAATGTCAGATTTCTATGCCAACCAGAAGATGGATGGATGTCAAGACAGATGGTGGAAAAGTTGTGAGGTAGACTATTTATATTGGGTGGGGGGTTCTTCCTTTTATTTCAAGACATGCCCCCACTTCAAATTCCTCTTTTTAAATTTTTTATGTAACTCATTATTGAGTGCAAAATTTTTACCACATGAATCTGCATCGACATAATATTTATCTTGTATACAAAAAGCAATGAAACAGAGCAGCAGGGTCAAAACAATGTCAGCATCAAAACTTTCAGGATTAATATCTGTGGACTGAAGAACATTCCAGAGACAACAGTGGTGCCTTGTTTGAAAAACTGCTGCATCACCAACACTGTTGATGGTAAAGAAGATAACTGTGTGAAAAATCACAGATTTTAACAAAGCATTTTAGAAAAGTTATACCCTAGGTGAAGAAGTTTTAGGAATGCCTTCACTCATGTATTTCGCTTATGATTTCCTTTTTGTGTATGCACAAAAGCTAAAGTAAAAAGTCATAGCCATGGTTCTTATTTAATTTACTATGTTTATTCTTACTTCATGATACATAAAATAGTGGTGTCTTTATTAGTTTGCCAGGGATGCCGTAAGAAAGTATCACAGATTGGGTGGCTTAAACACCACAGATGTATTTTCTCTCAGTTGTAGAGGCTGGAAATCTGAAATGAAGGTATTGGTAGGGTTTCTTCTGAGGTCATAGTTTGTAGATGGCCATTTTCTTTCTGTGTCCTCACGTTGTCTTCCCTTTTTGTGTGTCTGTGTCCTAATCGTCTTTTTTTTTTTTTTTTTTTTTTGGGATAGGTTCTCAGTCTGTCACCCAGGCTGGAAAGGATCCTCTCACCTCATCCTCCCGAATAGCTAAGACTACAGACAGGTGCCACCACGCCCAGTCAATTTTTGTATATTTTGTAGAAACAGGGTTTTGCCATGTTGTCCAGGCTGGTCTCAAACTCCTGGGCTCAAGTCATCCACCAGCCTCAGTCTCCCAAATTGTTGGTATTACAGGCATAAGCCACTGCACCCTGCCCTAATCTCCTCTTCTTATAAGGACACTTGTCATATTGGACTAAGGCCCACCCCCCCGTCCTCATTTTCACTTCATGACCCCTTTAAAGACCCTATCTCCAAATATCGTCTTGTTTTAAACTAGGAATTGGGACTTCACATATGAATTTTAAGGGAACACAATTCTGGCCATAACAGTGGCCTTACAATTGATGGCTTCTTACTTTCAGTGAAATTTAAAGTATATACTTCAGAAGATTGTAATTATATTAAATGAGTGTCTGCAGCTGGAATGCACTCCCTGATCCTTAGCTGTTTATCATTACCTGTTTCATAGGGTGGTTGAAGGGACTAAATAAGATAGCACTTCCGAAGTCCTTAGCACAGAACCAAGTATATAGTGAGTGCTCAATGAATGTTGGCTACTATGATCATTATTAATTTGGAAGCATTTTCATATGAGTAAGAAGTTACTGAGAAAAAAAAAATCACAGTACTCTCTTAAAATAGGTAGTGATCTTTTTAAAAAATCTTAGAATTTGATGATGACTTTGAAAACCCTAGTGTACAATCAAGAAAGCACTAAGTTGGCAGCCACGATTCAGGCATAATGCTTACAAGATTACTTTAATGTACAAAAGTGTTTTGTAATTACCTAATTGTCTGGCACCACTTCAAGTCCTATTTTTTAACCCCTTTAAGCCAGGCCAGAAACATTGCCAGTGAGTGTGACACAGTGATGCAAAATGCATTAAGCTTTTACAGCAGAGCCTCAAGACCCCCAATGGCATCAAGAGATTAATAATTGGAGTAAGAAAGATAGATGTATTTTATGAATAATTCAGTCTATCATTAGAAATTAGAAACTTGAGAGCCTTGCTACATGGGAGAGTAAACAGAAGCTTGCCTTAATGGGTTATAATTTTAAAATGAGGAAGACTTTGCCAATTGTCACTAACGTAAGCTTCAAGCACACTTCTCAATGAAAAGAAACTCCCTAGAAATGAGGTCACCCACTGGGGTCAAGTTCAAGATAAAGAGATGAATACTTTCCTGCTCTGGTTTACCAACTGCTTCTTTGTCATCTTGAATAAAATAATTAACCGCTTTATAAGTAAACCTGTGAAGTTTTAAAGCCACACACATGTTTTATCTCTAAACCAGGCATCCTTCACCAAGCCATACCATCAGATTGCTTCTTCCATCCTCAACACCCAGAGTTTTTCATGGAGTCCACCTTTATTAAAATTTCCCAACCAACCCTGGAGCTTTCTAATACTGTCAACAAAAGAAAACTAGTCATGGTAGTCCTAGGAAGAGTTTGTACATTTTGCGCCTGGCTTTAGGTGTGTAAAACTCCCATCTTTGCCTTCAAACTCAAAGGAGTCACTCAAATGATGGACATTTCCATTCAAGCCTGAGGGAAGGATTTTGTTAAGAAAATACTGTATAAGTCTGTACATTTCCATCTATTAAAAACAGGGTATGGATCGGTGGCAGAGACAAAGCTGTGTGCTCACTAAACCCATTTCACGCTCTTCCTGGGAACATAGCAAAGCCACTCTTCCCAGTCTCCCTGTGCAGTCACTGGGGCCTTGTTATGAGTTCCAGCCAACTTAACGCATAACACTCTCAGGTCTAGACCTAAAGCTCCCAGAGTCATCCTGTCCTCTCTCAGCTACCATCTTCCACCTGGATAATATGCAAGCTTGGAGACAAGAATGCTCCGGGCAACCTCCAGAGACAAGTACTGAAAATGGCAGAAGCACTGTTTGGAAGGAGCCTGGATCCTGAAGGTCTGCAGAGTGCATACTCTCCACCTTTACTGACCATATCACTTTGTCACATATGGGAGAAAGTCACTTTGACTGTGGTTAAGCCACTGAGATGTAGTGGTTGCTTTTTTACAGAAGCTAGCTGTGTTTACCTTGAATACTATAGGTATTGATTTTCCTGATAGGACTAATATAAGGATTAATTTATTTGTTCGCTTTTTAATTTATTCAACAAGTATCGTTTCAAATCCACTACACAAGAGTCAGGCTGCTAGACACCAGTTCATGAAGTAGAGTCAACTGTGATTCAGAGCTTGGACTTTGGAATCAAAATAGGGGTTCGGATCCTGCCTCTGTCACTTACCAGCTATGTAACTTTGAACATGTTACTTAATTTCTCTGTGCTTCAGTTTTTTCACCTGTAAAATAGGGGTAATAACACTATCTACCTCATGGGGTTGTTGTCCTAAGAATTAAATGAACTAATTAATGCATGCAAACTACTTTGTTCCTTATCCAGTGTATATCTCAATGAAACTTGATATTATTGCAGAGTCAATTATTGCAAATCTCCAATTTTCTAAATTCAACATAAAATGAGCTGTTATTAGTAGTCAAATTTATAAGTACATCGTACTTGTGTAGCCAAGAAACTCAAATCCAGTGATAACCCTTGAAGGGACTGAAGGAATGTGATCACCAAGGCAGGTTCCCAGCACCTGCTCTCCTTTGGATAAATAGGCATGCGCTCTGGCAGTGCATGCCAGAATATCTCATTTTAGTTAAGCAAAAGTATAAAGTTACTGGTGAGTTTATTTGAAGATTTGGAAGAAGAAGAAGAAGATAGAAAATGAAAATTAGAGGAGGTTTTCCTTACTTCAGGTTGCTGACACAAACATTTCCTTGGTTCTCTGGAGGCTTTTCCAGTGGGGTTGGCCCATTAAATAAATATATGTTTCTTTTTGCTTTTAGAAAATCCAGTAATGCAAACTCTTATGTTTATTTAATATTTTCCTATTTGTTTTCCTAGCCAAAATAATGTCTGCTGGGCAGGCAATTCCTTGAGAAGATCCAGTATACCCTGTCCTGACACAGAGTCAAGAGTTTTCAGGAAGAAAATACAAAATGCCATTTTAGAGAAAGAATTAGATGGGCTGGTATTCAGAGAGTCCATTAACCTGGAGTAATAGCAAAACACACACACACAAAACAAAATAAAACTCTGGATAAATTGGCATTGAAAGACTCCAGGCCCAGAAAATACCTTTTAAAAACGTTTATAATATATATACTTCTCTGGGCCCTTTGTTCTGATTTCAATTGTCAGTAGCTAAAGAAAGTGAACTTTTATGATGTGAATTAAGGAACTGGAGAAAATGGGAGATTACGTTAAAACAAAAAGCTGGTGACTTGCTTTGGGAGAGAAGTAAAACCCAAACCAGGTTACAAATAAGCCCTCCTTGACTATGCACAATGCCCATGGGTTGTACCAAAAAAGACAGTTTGAGCAAAGATCTCAGGGCATTAAAAATGGGAAGGCTGCAACTTCCTAAAAAGCAAACCAGGCAGGTAGCTTAATCTATTTTCCATTACGAACTGAAAAGATTGCATTGTCCCAAGCACCAAAAAAGGTCAGTGTGAACTTTAAAACTTCCATTTTATTTGTTCAGCACTTTGCATAGGACAGAGCCATTTGTGAGCAAGAAAAACAATTTTGTGACTAGAACCTCAAAAAGTCGGAGGAAGATAGAAGCAGCCTCTTCTTGGCACTGCCCAGGATGTGACCAGATAGGTCAGCAGCTTTCTGTGCCTTTGTCCTCCAGTACTGTGCGTAGAAAAGGGTCTGGGCCAGGAGTGGTGCCACGCGCCTATAGTCCCAGTTACTCAGGAGGTTGAGGCAGGAGAATTGCTTGAATCCAGGAGGCGGAGGCTGCAGTGAGCCGGGACAGCGCCACTGCACTCCAGCCTGGGCGACGGAGCGAGACTCTGAGACTCAGTCTCAAAAAAAAAAGAAAAAGAAAAGAAAAGAAAAGAAAAGAAAAGGGCTTGGGAACCAGCTGCCCCCTGTGGGATTAGATCCTGCAATTTCTGAAAAGTTTTTTGAACATTCTTGATTAAGGCGAACTAATCATGTTTACTTTTCAGTGGTCTTTCACTTTAAACAGAGTGTTTTCTACTTTTGAAGAAAGAAACTCTGTCTACCATTTGAAGTCAGAAAATGAGCTTAACAAACTGAGTTAAGGGGTTACCTTTTGAAACCAGTTTTCATTCAGATTGGGCCCAGCATTTCCGTAGCAGCCCAGGACCCCCAGGAGAAAGGAACAGCTCTGTTTTCATTTCATTCTCTCATGTCCACATTCCACCATAGTTGTGACTCTCTGGAGTTGTCTTTGGGGAATTTAGGACTGATCAAGACCTTAAAAAGGCTATACAGCAACAGGAAACTCCAGAACAAATCCTTCCCAAGGAGAACTTTCCAAGCCTGGAAATAGCTCCTTCTCAACCTGACTACCTAACCACCACTATTGGCTGTTAGTGGAACTTCAACCCCAAGTTAGAAATTTGGTACCAGATCAGTTCTGTGTGTTTCATATATCACCTCAATTTAATCTTCACAATAACCCTAATAATAAATAATAAATATATGAGGCAAAACAATAATAAATATATGAGGCAGAATGATTATTATCCAATTCTATAGGTGAGGAAGCTGAGGCCCAGAGAAGTTGGGTAACTTACCCCAAGTCATACTGCTAGTCAGTGGCAAAGCTAGTATTCAAATGCAGAGAGCATGACCACAAAGCGTATGAACTTAGCCACTAACTATATTACCTCTCCTAACATCTGAAATCTTTAAGAGAAGAAAGAAGGTATCTCTGACATTGAAAATGCAGGCAAATTGATGGGGAGATTTTTTTTTTTAAGCAGAGTAGCACTCCTAGCACTCTTTATTTCACACTTTGCAGGGGCTCATCCATTCCTGTAAGACTCTCCTTGGTGACATCCACAGGACTGCTGAGCTTCAAGTAGTTTCTACTGGGTCTCACAGTACACTTCCCTAGGACATCATTATCCTGGCAGATCAAGTACCATGGGAGGAAGCTGCTCTCAGTCCCTCCAACCAAATAAGCTATTCACATTTTCCAAGATCCCTGATTATGTGCCTGAATAGAAAATTTGGTTTCTGATTAATAAGCATCCTTGCCTTTATGCTTCTACAAAAAGCGTTTGTGCTAATAATGTGATGCTTAATAATGAGATGTCTGTCACAGGAAGGGAAATGGCAATGGGGAAACAATGATGTTGGGCCGAGTTTAAATGTCATGCTTTTAAAAAAACCTTCACCCCAAAGAGTCACACCGAAGTCACTTATGTGTGCTAAAGGTGTTGCAAAGCAGAGATGGTTTTTTTCTTTCCTGTTTCATTGGTGATTTCAGGGTGCTTTTGCACTTTTCAGAAGGGTCCTGGATCTGGAAGTGTCTAAGCATCAGGCTGGCAGAGCTTGGCAGAGTGACATTCCTGCCAAGTTCAGGACAAATCTATTTCTCCCTCTGTTACCATTAGAACCTTCATCTCTACATTTAGGACATGACACGTGCCAAACTGCCCAATTACTCCTTGCCTGTCATTAAAGTGTGCAGCTAAACACTGGGTTTGAGAATACATCATCGCAACTGTCTAAACACAAGCCCAAGTGTATTCAAGAGCCCCAGAGAGGATCAGGGTACAGGACTAAAACAATTCAAATGGGCCAACATTCAAAATGTCATATACAGTCATGCACAAAAAAAGGTTGTGCCTGTGGAGAAAACTGAATTGACATCCATAAAGCATAAAGGCATGAGTTTTGTGTTTTCTGAGCTTCTGGGAGGGCCCGCCCTCCTCTGCCTTGCCTGCATGGCTCATTGCCTGTGAGGGAACAGTGAGAAAGGCTTTGTTTTGAAAGAAGCCTGGCCAGATAGATGACACTAGCCAAGTACCCTGGCAGTCCTGTAAACCAGCTTGATTCCAGTCAAATCAGAGGGGACTGATAGAAATAGGAGGAGAGTGCTGGAGGGGGCAACTGGTTAGTATAAAAAATAAAAATAGCCATTTTGACTAAATTATATTGGAGAATCTAAAATATAGAACCACTGCGAAGAGTAACCTAGCCTATCTGGTCAGCATAGGTTAAGTTATGACACAGTAATAAGCAACTCTAGATTTGTGGTGGCTGAACCCGACAAAGGCAGATTTCCCAAAATACTCGTTGTTCATCACTATTCAGTAGAGAGGCTTCACTCATCATGCCCCTCATAGATCCAGGCTGATGGAACAGCCACCATCTCCAATACCATGCTTTCCTTTTCCAGAGGGAAAGAAAGCCCTGTAGGGTCTCAAAGTAGCAACTAAATGATCTGGCCTGGAAGTGATGTCATCTCATCTGCTCAAGATTCATTGGCCAGAATTAGTCACATGGCCCCAGCAACCACAAGAGGGCCATGGCGTGTACTGCCATCTACCATTAATGACTACCACAGCCATCCTAGGTCACATCTCTAAGCAGCAAAGTTGGAGTCATAACTTTGCACGGTCTATGACTAACACAAAAGCAGGGGCTCACAGGCCTTTGGCCCAGCCTAGCTATAGAGTTAATCTAGGGGCCTCTGAGGATGGGGAGAGGCCCTTGAGAATGGGTTGCTTTCCACAGCCTAGAACTCTAGCTTTGGTCAGATACCCCATTCTTACTCCTGAAGAGGTCAGAATCCCTAGCTTAGTCCTACAATAATTGATCCCTTGCTTATCTTTGTGGAGTCCCCCAGATTGGGGAAAATTTGAAAACATATTGAATCCTTTGGACTCTTCCTGGCCCAGGTGCTCCTGCCTTCTTGGTAGGAGAAAAACAGATCCCCGGAGCAGGGGCTGTAGGGAACTATTTTCTGACATTGGTTCCAATCCAGAATTCCTGCAAGAGGTCTGTGATAGCTGCAGTATCTGTAAACTGCTAAAGAATACACCTTCCCAGATGTGTATTGCTATTTTTAGAATGCATGCAGCAATTGTGATCCATAAAATATACATTCGATTTTAAAAAGGTACTGAGTTCATTTTATCATTGCACATTTTCTCAATCTGCAGCTCCTCAAAGCAATTTTTAGCATAATTTGGGAGGGGAGTGAGGAGTGGTGGTGGTCTGCCAGATTTTGTTTTGTTTTGTTTTTTGACATTATAAAGATATAAAGAAGACCTTGTACTGTTGGAAATCTCTGCTCCCTGAATTAAAACTGATTTACATAGCGCCATTACCATATTACAGTATTCTGTATTTGCCTATATATTTATTTTATCAGTGGCTTTTATGCTTTCGCATGCTTTCATATTGCTTAGCATCCTTTTGTTTAACTTGAAGAGCTTCCCTTAGCAATTTTTATAAGGTTGGTCTAGTAATGATGAAGTCCCTCAGCTTTTGCTTATCTCAGAAAATCTTTATCACTCCCTTATATTTGAAGGACAGTTTTGCTGGGCAGGTTAGCTGCATAGGGTGCTTTGTGAGGGTCTTTTTTCTAGGCTTCTCAGACCTTTTTGGTGAAATTTCTGGACAACTAATAGCAATATGTAAACATTTCAGTGGTTGCTTTTGAAGCTGATATTTGTCTTCTGAGAGAATTATCCCATTGAGAGTGGGATAAGGCAGGAGGATAAGTAGCATCTTGAGAATACCAGACTAAAGCTTCGTATAAATAGAACCACTGCCTGCTGGGAGGTCAGTGCAGGTAACATTTGGTCAAGGGGCATCAACAGAAGTACTAAATCAACAATTAGGGAGCTGGAATAGAGGGGATTATACACACAAACCCTCCAGCGCCCATTGCAATAACTAAATGGCTGGCATCACTTATTTCAGGTGGGTCAGAGTAATCTGCCCAAAGTTGTAAGTGGAGTGAAGGGCAGGTGAAGGTCAGGATTATAGCAATATTCCAGCCCATGATTTTCTGTCATGTTAGCACAAAAGATAAACCCAACTGTCTGGCCACTTTCATTTGTGGGTAGTTTATCACACAAGCTATGTCAAATAAACCAAGCCTCCTGCACCCATCACCGCCCCACCGTATATGGGGCCAAGGAAAGTTTTATGTCCTGAAGGCCACTATTTGTGACCTAGACCCAAGGGAGCCCCCCTGCTCTGAACCTTGCTTTGAACCCTGCCTCATAAGGGGTCACCAGTGTGACTTCATAGCCAGTAAGGCCAAGGACATGACTTCTTGTGTTACTCTGAGTCCCCATGTGTCTTTGTAATAAGTTCACATCAGTTAGTTTGTGACTCTTACTTTTGACTCTCTCCTTAGAGGTCTATCACCATTATTCATTTGCATGATGGCAGTTCTTTTTTCTTAATGGTATACAATGAGCAAAAACCAGAATAGAAATTCCACCTTTGGCCGGGTGCAGTAGCTCCCACCTGTAAACCCAGCACTTTGGGAGGTCAAGGCAGGCAGACCACTTTAGGCTGGGAGTTCAAGACCAGCTTGGGCAGCATGGCGAAACCCTGTCTCTACTGAAAATACAAAAATTAACCTGGCATGGTGGTGCATGCTTGTAATCCTAGCTACTCAAGAGGCTGAGGTATGTGAATCACTTGAACCTGAGATACAGAATTTGCAGTGAGCTGAGATCGCACCACTGCACTCCAGCCTGGGTGACAGAGCGAGACTCCTGTCTCCAAAAAAAAAAAAAAAAGAAGAAGAAGAAGAAGAAAAGAAGAACAGAGAAAGAAAGAAAGAAAGAGTCCCTCCTTTGTGTCTCAGTCCTTCTTATTTAAGCAGTTTCCAGCCAAAACCCCAAGGTGGTTGTCCTAAGCTCCCCTCTCAAGGCTAGGAAAGAGAAAAAGGGAGATGGGGTTGGTCTGCAGCTAATAGGCATGGGAAACAGGAAGTCAAAGGCATTATTTGGTGAAAAGAGAGACTTGGAGGAAAGCTGCAATCCAAAGCACCACATACACGGGGGGCTGGCAGGCTCCCAATCCCAAGAGAAGCACCTGCAATCTGCCAGACGATGGTAGCGAGGATTCTGAGAGCCGAATGTGGAGAAATTACTCCAGCATTGATTCACAGAGCCCAGCTCCTCTTATGAGGCTTCCGGGTGCAGCTGTGGGTGGAGAAGGAACTGGTGAAGGAGAAAATGTTTGGACTTTACTTTCTGTGTTTAGTGTAAACCCAAGGGCCCCTTGGAGTCCAAAAATTATTGGAGAGTAAAAGAGCACTGGCAGCCGTGGGGATTGCAGCCAGTCTTTGCTCAGCAGGCTGTCTTCCAGTAAGATTAGGATCACAGAGCTCATCAGCCAAAACCCATCTCTGAATGTCCAGGGTGAATGGTGTGCACACACAGAAATAATCTATTGCCTTGGCCCTGGGGGACAATCCCGCGGCCAGACCCGGGTTGAGGTCAGGGCCTGCAGGCTGCCTGAGAAAGCTAATAGGACACCATGAGCTAATGGAGTGAACCCAGATAAAAAGAAAGGGCTTAGGAGGGACAGAAGAACCGCAGAGCATCTCCTTGCTAATGAAACTCCTTGAGACATGCAGAAGCAAGAAAGTTTTGGGGGGAGCAAGAATCTGCATTCTTAACAGCTCCCAAAGTGATTCCACTGCAGGTGGTGCCACAAGCCACATTTTGGTAGACGGCAGGTTTCAGAGGACGGACACGTGGCATCCTGTTGACATAGGAAGCATACTTTTCAATTTTCAAATGTTTTTGTAAATCTCCAGGAGATAGCAGTTTGCTGAGTTGGCAAATGGGCAGCACTTGGGCAGATAATGGGCTGAGCTTGTGGGGCCAGGGGCCAGCCTGCTGTAATCTTCCAGGCCTCTACATTCTCTTCTCAGGCACGATGGCAAGACCAAAGGGAACAGTAAAAAGGTTCTTTGGGGGACAGGGAGATAGCTGGGAGTCCTGTGCCAAGGGTATTGTGTACCGGCCTCCCGTGCGAGTAGGGCCCTGCACACAGACACAACCACAGGTAGTCATGGCAACTTTTGTGTCTAGGACGTGTGCATGCCAGCTTGCTTACTCTCTTGTGCAGATTTGCCCTTGGCCTTACTGAATGTAAATCTGTGAAATGAAGATCAAAGGTATCTTCGTACAAGGACCTGGTCCTCTGCCTCAGGGTCTCACCTTCATCTTGTCATGAAGCCTGCATCCTGAGTCTATGATCTCAATGTTTCTGAAACTGGAGTCTGAGTAATTTTTAGAAACCCTAGACATTCTTTATTTGGGGTTTTATCTTAATGATAATCGTAAAACAGAAGTTTTACCAGTTATAAAGACAAGAGTTTTCTTTTGGAGTAGCAATTCCCATTTGGAAGTCCTCTTCCATCAAATAAAATTTGATTTTTTTTTAAGTCAGTGTCTCTCTAGCTGTGGTCTTCAAGAGAATAGCAGATCTTTCTGTACATTCTCAGTGATCTATGTGAATGGTCTTTTTCTTTCCTCTCTTAAAAGTGGAAAACAATGTTTTCTTTGCAATGTGACAATAGTTTAGATACAAGACCCAGAAGTGAAATTCTATTTGGCTTTGTAATGACTTTGGGTGGAAAATCTCCAAAGATGAACTATGTCTTGTGCCAATTCATTTGAACTGAATTCAATCCAACAAGTATTTATGGAACTGTGGTCTTGATGCTACGGCAGGCACAAGGGAATAGAGAGTGCTAAGGATCCTGGTCCTCTTGGGGGAGAATTATTGTACAAGGATCTATGGGAGCATTCTCCCTGGAGGAGGCAGAAAAAGCTTCTCAGAAGGATGAGCTCACCAGAATGACTGGGGGAGAGAGAGAGAGAGAGAGAGAGAGAAGCAACAGCAGCATGGGCAAAGGCATGGCACTGCCAGTAGTCTACCATGACTGGAATATAAGGTTGGAGGGTAGATGGCCTGGGAAGGTAGAGAAATAGTCAAGAACCATGTGTGCTGTGCTTAGGAGCTTCAGCTTGTTGGCAGAAAAATGGGGCCACTGTTTGGGGTTATAATGCCTTTCTGAAATCTCTGCCTCTGTATGTCTTCATCACCCTCTCTTGATTGAAAAGCCTGAACTCTCTCAAGGGCCATTTTTTATTGGTCTCACACTCCTAGGTATAAAGAGGTAAAAAATACTGTCATCTTAGCAATCAGTCCAGAGTTCCAATTAGGAAAAGACATGTCTTTGTGTGAAAAATAATATGTTGATAAGAACTCAAGGTAGATTCCAAATACCTGAGAATTCAAGGTTTTAAACATCAGAAGAAGGGAAATCATTTTGCGTAGTTGGAGAGAAAGAATTTGGGGTTTTGGTGGGGATTTCAGTGGAAAAGGGAGTTGCTAAGAAGGGAGGGGAAAGGGATATGGAATATGGTGGAGGGATGTCTCCCAACTCAACAGTCAGGGAAGTCTTTAAAATTCATAAATGCTGTGTGCAAGTCATGTTTCTGTCATAGGATATTGAGGACAGGTTTGAATTTTAGGGCAGACTTGAACTGGGGTATAGAATGGAAGCTGCAAAGCAGAATGTGTTGTAGCACCTGAGGTGGCCCTGAAAACATAAGCTCCTGGGAAGTGCAGCTACTTTGGAAAGGGCTTTGCATTCCCTGGGCTATGGTTTTGGACTAGATCTTGAGGGTTTGACAGAGAATTTTATGTGTCAACTTGGCTAGGCTATGATGCCCAGTTGTTTGGTCAAACATAAATCTGGATGTTTCCATGAAGATTAATTTTAGATGTGATTAACATTTATAATCAGTAGGCTTTGAGTAAAGCAGATTACCCTCCATTATTGAGTAGGCATCATCCAATCAGCTGAAAGCCTTAAGAGCGAGCAAGTACGCGCATGCACACACACACACACACACACACACAGAGAGAGAGAGAGAGAGAGAGAGAGAACTGAGTTGCTGAAGAAAAGGCAATTCTGCCTCCCAACTTCAAAAGAGAAACGCTGCCTGAGTTTTTTGACTGCTGCCCTGCCCTGCAGATTTTGGACTCAAGACTGCAACATTGACTCTTACCTGAATTTCTGGACTACCAGCTCACCCTACGGATTTCAGACTTGCCAGTCCCCACAATTATGTCAGCTGATTTAAAATAAAAATATCGATAGATAGATGATAGATAGATAGATAGATAGATAGATAGATAGATAGATATAGATAGATAGATAATGGTATCCTACTGGTTCTGTTTCTCCAGAGAATCCTGAGTGACATTGTTCTATAGTAGATATTTCCAGGTTCCGGGGAGGAGTAAGCCTTTTCTCACGATTTGAGAAAATGCCCAAAGGAAAGGGATTCAAACATGTCTCTTCCTTGGCTCGTTAGGATGTAAGTGCTCTGTGGCAGACACTGCTAGATCCCAACCCTAAAGCTGTTTTCTCTTATTCCTTCCTTACTAAAATAACTCTAATTTGGCTGGCACATTTCTTCACTGATTTGCCCTTCCCTCTCTCCCGTTCTTCCTGTCTGGAATATAGATGCAAAGCCTCATGGTACAGCAGTCACCTTGCAATCATGAAGATAAAAGCCACAAAGAATGGTAGCTCAGAAGGTGGAAGGACTCTGCATAGTTGAAGACACTATGATTAGATGTATCAGCCCTGGACTTAAGTACCTCTGCTTTTCTTAATAGGAGAAAAATAACCCTCTTCCTTCCTTATGCCAATCTTCTCGAGTTCCTTGCTACTTGCAGCTGAGTCCACTCTTGACTGATATCACCTAATCTCAGTCGCTATCAGATTAAACAACAGCATTACTTTCAGAGGGCCACCAAGAAAAAATTGCCTGGGAGAAGAGTAAGGAGCCTGAAGATCTGACTAACTTTCTCTGTAGCCCTTTACCGAATAGCAGATTAGCTGAGCTCATATGATCGTATCAACTAGTCATCACCTTGATTAGAACACAGAAGAAGTAAGTGTTCGTGGATTCAAACTGAAGAGTCGGATGGAGGAGTGTCAAGGACCTGTCATCATAAGGAGGCAGAAAGTGAGAGGGTATCTTTAACTATAAGTGATGGTTTTATAAAGTAGATGCACAGTTTTAGAAAGTAGGAAACCCACTACAAATGAAGTGTCTGAACATATAGTCCAGAAGGTGTCTGGTTTAAACAAAAAAGAAATTACTACTTAGGGGCATGAACAGCACCCTATCTATAAATAAAGACTGCCATCATATCTGTTTTCTCCTACACTTGCCCTTCATGTTTTTCTCCTTATTCACTCAATCATTCATTCATTCCACAAAGATTTATTAAGCATATAGGCACTAGGGACACAAAGATGAATAAGACAAAGTTCATGCCATTCAAAAGGAAAAATTGGGTGGAAAAACAGAATTGTGAGCAGATAAATAACCAAATTTGTTTAAGTGCTATAGAAAAGATAAGAATAATAAGTCATGAACCACAGACTGTGCCCAGAGGACTTAGGAATGACCCCATAGCATAGAAGACATCTGGAGCTGAACTTTGAAGTTTAAATAGGATTTTCCTGCTAGAGACTGGGGAAGGCCATTTCCATTTCCTACATCCCTACCTTTGAAGCCATGAATATTGAAGGGTATTTGACCCATCCACTATCAGGAGAGGCTTCTCTGAGGTGAGCAGGAGTTAATGAGGAAGGAAGAGAATTCTGGGCAGAGGGAGCAGCTTACACAGAAGCCCTGTGGAAGCTGGAGTTTGACAGGCAAGAGGAAATGGAACTCAGATAGTGAGGGGGAGAGCAGTTATGAGATGAAGCTGGGGACATTTTTTGGGGGTCAGAATGATATGGGAATAGACCATGTAAAGGAATTGTTGGGTGTTTTGGTTTTTGTTTTTTTCATAAGCCAATGAGAAGTCACTGAACTGTTTTATGTACGTAGACCACATGATCATCTTAACTGTAATCAGAAGCTCTTAGACTAACAAACCGTGGTTTCTTCCAGTAGCCTGGGATTCTGAGTTTTCCTTGCCACCTTTATAAATCTAAGCTGTAGACTCATTGGTGGGAACAGTTATAGGTATCAGAATATCTTCCCATCTCTCATAGTCTTATAGTTTTCTTCTCAATAAAGGCAGGCACAATGGCAAACTTTAATAACTGTCAGGTGTAATTAAGAACAGCCACTCTCCTTTAGACTTGCGTAGGAAGCCCTTTCCACTGAGGAAGCCACCCAGTCAGTCTCTGGGTGGCATCCGATGAAGCCAAGGGTTAGTAAAAGCACCAGGAAAAGGTGTAGATAATAGCAGGAGTTAATGATATCTACATATAAGACAATGTCCAAAGAGCAGGACCTGGAGCCCGGCAGATATCACTGCATTGACAGCTGCATTTTATTCATACCCTCCTGAATATGTCATTTTCCATGGTTAGGATGTCAGGCTGTGACCTGAATTTCCAAGTGTGTTGCTTGTACCATCAACCATTAGCTTGCAGCAAGGCAGGAATTTAAGTATGTATAGTGGGGCTTGCATATTCAGTGTTTTAGGTAAGGAAGATGACTTGGATCTTGGCCCAGCTGAAAAGGAGTTGCCTTTCTTTTATATCAATATGGTCTTACTTAAAAGAACATATTTACACAAACACACATAGTACACACAAAGAAAATTCTCAAAGGCTTTCTAGGGAGGACCTTTTAAGAAGCAAAGCTCTCAGAAGCATATTTTATTTGCAAAGGTAAGGAGCTAAATTGCAGGGTTAAAGGCAAGAATGAAAGGGCTGAGAAATACTATGCCAAAGACATGATGATTCCTCTGGAATCTCAAATTTTTCTCTAGGGAAAGAAGGAAACAAGGTCAAATAGAAAAGCATGGGAAAAAATTAAATATGGCTATGCTTTAAATTGCAAGCAACACTTTCAGGAATGCTTGGCTGCACTATTGGTAGGAGGTAGGGGAACTAGAGTTCTTTTCCAGAAATCTGCTTAGGGTATGGGAGTGGATTTTGAAAACAAACAAAATCCATTTTAGCCTCAAACTTGAAAGGGCTAGGAGTCATGTATTCCCAACTGCTGAACATACTCTAACTGCTTACCTGGACTTTGTTTTGCCCTGTGGCAAACAGGCCTTTTGATGACCAAGGCTGGCTGTGACACCCAGAAGTGAGCAAACAGATCACCATGTAATCGCTTAAACACATCAAATGGCCAAGTCTTTTTTGAAGAACTCAGTCTTGTCATTTGACAGAAATAAGCAGTATTTTCTAGACAATCTCTTCTCTTGCCCAGCCCTCGAAAGAGCCCTCTTTTCTTCCCCATTCCAAGCATCCTTGTGCTGTTTCTCATTCTTCTTACTTTCATCAAAACATTTTCTAAAGCACTTTTAACCAACGATAGCATTTTGAATGAAGAATCTATTCTATCAAAGCAGCAGTGGGAATATGGCTTGTTTGTGGGTTTAAGTTCTGAAATTTTAGTTACACTCTGCACTGAACATCTACTATATACATCGAGGACTTTTTTCTTTTGTTGTTTGGTTCCCATATGGAAGTATGATTTGTCTGTTCAGCATGCTTTCCTTTGGAGAATTACCCCTCCCTAGTCCATAGCAATTTTGCTCAGCCTGTATGGTTTAGGTGAAATTTCCCTTCCCTTCCTCTTCCCCTAGGAAAGAGCTTTTGACCCAGTCCTGGCCAATCACAGTATTCTAAAATCTTTTGCTAAATGATTGGTTCAAGAGTGAGCATGTAGCAGTTGCTGGCATTTGAATATTCTCATTTCTCTTTGACTGCAGCTCTCTGTGCCCTGTTGCAATAAAAAATTCAGTTAATACAGTAATTAGCTCTCTCTTTTGTTCCCAAAGAAAATTGAAATTTAAAATGGATGTGCATAAACAAATAGATTTTGCTTATAAATGGAAAACTTGGCTCAGGTAAGGGCTCCTGGGAGCTCCACAAGGACTTAAAAGACAAAACTGACATGAACCATTTCAATACACAAATAAACTCTTTCACCCTCCCATCTAAATACACACAATTTGACTTAGCAAAACTTGCATATACACTATTCGGTGTTTGTTTCGTTTTCTCAAAAAAGACTTTTGCTGCTGACGATAAAACAACCCTGAAAACATCCCATTTCTTTGGAATATAGAATCAACCCCCTTACACACAGCTTGGGTTATGGAAACTGTTTGTGGGTCCGTTTATTAGTAAATCCCTAATGACACTGGGCATTTGTCATTTTCTCTCCACTTTCAACTTAAAATTGTAATAGTATACCTATGTTCAACACTCCTTTCACATTTATGGCTTTTATACTTACTGGACATGATGAGGTTAATAACCTTTGGAAAAATGCCTCAGAAATTAAGCAGAAATCAGCAAAGTGGTCATAGGTGAAAATGACTGGACATGGTTGCTTTTGCCTTTTTTGGTGGCAAGCAGAATAGACACTTTTTTTCCCCTTAAAGCAAAGCTTTGTTCCTATTCATGTAATTAACAAAACTTCATAAGTAGAAGAGCTTCTGTACTGATTAAGCCAGTGTTATGTTAGCCCTTCTGCAAAACTTAGGATCAGAAGATTTGAAAATTAGTTAACAGGTTTGGAATAGTATTGCTGTCCTAAGTTTGCTTTCCAACTCCAGGAAAGGCACTTACTGTAATGAAAAATAGGAAGGAAACTTTGTTGATATCCCCATGTGCAGAATACTAAAGAAGAGACAGAGGTTGCACTGGGTAGATGCTAATGCCACGCTAATTCTGAGAGTCTTTGGTTCTATTTATTTTCTTTCTCCACCCATTGTGAGCAACCTTGATCATACAGCTTGCCTTTAGGGAAGCCAGAGAACATGAGGGCCTGGTCCTCTTTGCAGCTAGTATACGTAACACACTTGTTAAGAGCACAGGCTTAGTAATCAGAGAGACCTGGGTCCACATTCTGCCTGTTTTTTTACTAGATGTGTGACCTCAAGCATGTGGCCACATTTCTGAGCCTGTTTTTTCAATCTATAAAATGAGAATACTAATGAATGCCTTCCTCATTGAGCTGTTATGATTAAGTGACAATGCTTGTCAAGTTCCTAGAACATATCTTGGAACATGATAAATTTACCCTTATTACTACTATTATAGATAAATCATTTGGAATTCTGGTTTAAATTTTTCCTTTTGAAAAAAAAAAGTTTTTGAGGGAAAACCTCAAGGAAGCAGAAAAGCAGAGAATAGTATAAAGAAGCTCCCATGTACCCATTACCCAACTAAGTCAAGTCATCAACTAATAATAGTGACTCTTGCTTTATTTATGCCCCAACCCCCACCCCCACCCACCACTTATCCACCAAAATCCCAAACATAAATAATTTCATCTGGGGCTTATAGACGTCTTTGTTAGAGAGTGTCTGCCCCAAAAGACCAATCTACTCCAGCTGTGTTGGCAAGAAAGACTCTGGATTATCATAGTGAATTTTCCTAGGTTTACCTTTTCCAAAATGAATCCCAAAGAATATTTTTCCACAGTGTGTTAATAGGTTTTTATGCCAAAAGTGTACAGTTCTCTGGTAAAGTAAATTCTCAAATCATTAAATTAAGAAATGTGATTCTTCTTTATGCTACATGTTTTTTGGAACATTTAATAGGCTGTTACACCATCAGCCTCTAAGAAGACGATAGAGAGTGCAGAGTTTCTTACACAAATTAAACTCTGCAACTATCTTCTCTAGTGGCATCTTGGGGAACAAATGCTCAATGGAACATACTTTGGCCAGCACAGAATCAGACAAATGTTATTTTGTGGGATTTTGCCACTATTTGAGTAGCCAGATGGCCTGCTCCAGACCACAGATCTGCACTTTCTTTGAGTTTCTTTGAGCTTCTGCAGTTTCTATTTGCTTAGTGCAACTAGAAAGAAGCCAGAATCTTGAGTTCTGGGACTACTGTGCTTATTGGTAAAGGAGACATGGTATAGATTCTTTCGGTATCTTGACACACAGGGAAGGGCCATTAAAACAACCTGGGAAGTGAGAGAAGAGTTGAATAGAATTGAATTGAATGTGAGATATAATATCCTAAGTGCCTCCCAAGCCCTGAATTCCTAAACAACAGCAGTCCACATAAGCAGAGCCCTGTTAACTTGAGGATTTGCATATTACACTGTCATTGACTGTTGGCATTAGATTGGGATTTGTGCTTAATGACTTAAAGAAGGGGAGAAATGGGGAACTTGGAAGATGTTTTAAAAATGTTGAGTCAGGCTGGGCTCAGTGGCTCACGCCTGTAATCCCAGCACTTTGGGAGGCCAAGGCGGGTGGATCAGGAGGTCAGGAGATCGAGACCATCCTGGCTAACATGGTGAAACTCCGTCTGTACTAAAAATACAAAAAAAATTAGCCGGGCGTGGTGGCACATGCCTGTAATCCCAGCCACTCGGGAGGCTGAGGCAGGAGAATCGCTTGAACCCGAGAGGCGGAGGTTGCAGTGAGAAGAGATCGCGCCACTGCACTCCAGCCTGGGCAACGACGGAGCGAAACTCCATCTCAAAAAAAAAAAAAAAAGTTGAGTCAAAGTTCCCCTCTGAAGTGTGCCATCAAGAACATGGGATGCCTCTTCGGTTATGAGATGACTGTGCTGTCCTGTGTGCCTCTGTGAATCTTACTTTTCAAATGATACTGAGAGAGAGTCACCTGCAAGAAAGGGGAAAGCCGTGAGATATAGTAGGTATTTACTGAAGTCCACTCACATCTAGTTCTCCTCTCTTTCTGGGAGCCTTAAAGTACTTCTCAACTCTCTTACAGTCAAGTGGAGCCATTTGACTAGTTCTTGCAGCCATTTGACTAGGAGCAGAAGTAAAATAAGTCACTTCCGGGCCTAGGTAGTGAGAGGCCCAGACATGATTCTCCAGGCTTTCATTTCCTTGCCGCAATGACCAGGGAGTTGTCTGCGTATTTTGGATGGTACAGCTATAAATGGAGTAGCATCTACCAACCTGGGGAACCTGAATGACTCCGCTGAGCGGAGCTCCTCACTCATCCATGATGGACAAATACTGTGAGCAAAAATAAACCTTTGTTGTGTTAAGCTACTAGGTTTTGGGGGTTCATTTTTCACCAAGGCACAACTGATGCTTCCTGATGATATAGGAGGCATAGCTGTGTGTATTATACCCCACTTATCTTCCACACACTCAAACAGGCTAGCACCTAGCATGGGTGTCCAACAGCAAATCTTAATGAAATAGAATTATGAATACTTTACATTAGAGCCTGGTCTCTGATGATAAGTTAAAATTATGAAAAGCGTATCAAAGGATGATATGGTGTGAATGTGTCCTCTAAAAGCTCATGTGTTGGAAACGTAGTCCCCAATGCAGCAATGTTGAAAGGTAGGGCTTTTAGTAGGTGACTGAATCATCCAGAGGATTGAATTAATTCATTCATGGATTAATTGGTTATTGAGGGAGTGGGATAAGTGCTATGACAGTGGGGTTTTTTTTTATAAAAGTCAGCTTTGCTATCTCTCTCCTGAGCCCCCTTTGGGACTCTACAGAGTTCCCACAAGCAAGAAGGCTTTCACCAGATATAGTTCCTCAATCTTGGACTTTACAGCCTCCAGAACTGTAAGAAATAAATTTCTTTCCTTTATAAATTACCTAGTCTAAGATATTCTGGTGTAGCAACAGAAAACAGACTAAGACAGATGGATATATATTTCTGAGCCTCCTCTCTTCATAGTCACTAAGTAGTCAACTCAGCTGAGTTCTCTGACATTCTTCTTTATTTATCATAAAGATGAATCAAGGAGAGGGGTTCTGAAGCCTCTAATAGCTGCCAAGTAATACATACTAATAGCCAACTAGTTTACTAAGTGATTACTAGTACCAGGCAGTTTCCCAGCACTTTAGATACATGTTTATTTCATTTAATCTTCATAACAACCCAGAAGTTAGTACTAATATCATCACTATTTTACAGATCCTTGCCTTACAGAGAAAACATAGGGAATTTGAGTACCTTGCCCTAAGTCACAAAAAGTAAGAAGCACTAGAAATGGAATAAAATTCAAGACAGCCCACACTCTAACCACTATATTTTATGACCCTCACAATTATCTTTTAAAAGTAATGTCTCCAGCTGTTTTTCCACTTCAATCTCTTCCTGCCTTCCCCTATTTCTCCATTAACCAGCCATTTCTTTAACCATCACTGATTGAATAAAGAGCAGAAGCATGAATCCCCAACTTCATCTACTTTTTAAATTGACATACATTATTTTATGTAGGCTGAGGTTGTTTATGTGGTAGGTGGGTGATCCTGGTGCAAGCCTGGATAAACTGAAAGGGCCCATCAGGGTGTGCAAAGGCTGACCAACTAAGGTTGACCTTCTGATTCTTGTTTAGCTATCCTACTAGATGGGGAGGACAAAGTATGCTGAATATTTGAAGCACACAAGACCAAATTGTTGATTAATGAAAAGAATTTTTAAAATATTTTATTTTTTGATATAAAAAGTAATTCTTTTGTAAGAAATATGAAAAATACAAAGAGGTATAAAGAAGCAACTTAAAATCACCTATAATTGCACCTAACATGCATTTAACCTACATTTAATCAGATAGTCCCATAGTATTTGTTGAAAATATTTTCCTTTCTCTACTGAATTGCTTTGGTGATCTTGTTGAAAATCAGTTAGCCATATATATAATGTATTTATTATTAGATTCTCTATTCTGTTCCATTGATCTATTTGTCTATTTTTATGGGGAAAAATAGTGTCTAGATTTCTGTAGCTTCATAGTAACTCTTAAAATCAGATAATGTGGGCCTCCTTTGTTCTTTTTTTTCCCATTTTGATTGTTAGTTTATTTTTTCGAGACAGGGTCTGGCTCTGTTGCCCAGGCTGGAGTATAGTAGTGTGATCTCTGCTCACTGCAGCCTCAACCTCCCAGGCTCAAGCAATCCTCCCACCTCAGCTTCCCAAGTAGTGCACACCACCATAACTGGCTAATTCTTGTATTTTGCGGGGAGATGGGATTTTACCATATTGCCCAGGTTGGTCTCAAAGTCCTGAGCTCAAGCGATCCACCTGCCTCAGCCTCCTAAAGTGCTGGGATTACAGGAGTGAGCCACCACGCTCGGCCCAAAGTTATTTTGACATTCTACATCCTTTGTTTAAATATACATTTTACTATTAATTAACATGGCAATTTCTTTTAAATAAATGTCTATTGACATTTTGATAGAGATTGTGTTGAGTCTATAGGTCAGTTTGGGAAGAATTGGCATCTTACCAATATTAAGTCTTCCAGTTCAGGAGAATAGTATATCTCTTCATATATTTAGGTATTTTAAAAATTCTCTCAAGAAGTTTGCTATTTTTAGTCCAGAAGTCTTGCACTGCTTTAGATACATCTTGCAAATTTTGATATGTGGTTCAAATATTTTATAATTTCACTTGCCATTCCTTCTTTAACACTTGGGTTATTTAAAGGTATATTGTTTAATTTCTTAATATTTTGGCTTTTTTCTTTTAGATTTTTTACTGACTTCCAAGTTAATTCTCTTGAAATAAGAAAATATGTTATGTAAAATTTTAATCTTTTGAAATTTATTGAGACATTTTGTAGCCCTGCATATGGTCTATCTTAGTGAGCATTTGATGTACACTTGAAAAGAAGATGTATTCTGCTATTTTGAGATGTTGTGTTCAAATAGGTCAAAGAAATCAAGATGGCTAACAGTGTTGCTCAAATCTTCTGTATTTTTAATGAGGTTACACATGCATGTGCACACACACACTCCCCAGCTTCAGTTTCAAAAGTTATATTTTTGCTGAGTACAAAACTCATGATTAACAATTTTTTTTTTCTTCTAGCACTTTAAAGACATCATTCCAATTTTTTCTGGGCTCATTTTTTCTAAGGAGAGGTCCACCATCATACATATTGTTATTTTCCTATGTGTAGTGTGTCTTTTTTCACTCTGGCTGCTTTCAAATTTTTTCTCTTCATCTGATATTCATCTGCTTGATGATGATGAATCTATTTGTGATTTTCTTTGTATTAATTCTGCTTGTGCTTCACTGAGTTTCTTGGCTCTGTGTGTTGTTATTTTCATCAAATTTAGAAAGATTTTCACCATTATTTTTTCAAATGTTTTTTCTCTCTCTCTCTTCTCCACCTGGGAAATCAATTAAATGTGTGTTAGGCTTTTTGGTATTGTCTCACAGGTCACTGAGTCCCTGTCTATTTTTTTGAAACTTTTTTCTCTGTTACTTTGATTATATTGATTTGTCTTCAAGTTTACCAGCATTTCTGCTGTCTGCAGTCTGTTCTTAAGCCTAATTACTCCATTTTTCATTTCATTTGTTACACATATTAATTCTAGAATGTCTTCTTTTTGATTTTTCTACTGAGTTTCCACATCTAGTCACTTTTTATGACCATGTTTTTACTTAAATCTTTGAGAATGTTTATAATAGCTGCTTTAAAGTCTTTTTCAGCAAATTCAAATGTATGAGAAATTTCAGGAGCTGTTTGTGTTGACTTGTTTTCCTGTTTCTTTTCATGTCTAGTAAGTTCTAACTGTATACTGGACATTGTTGATAATATACTGTAGAAACTCCAGATTCTGTTGTCTTCCCTAAAATGGATTTTTTTCTTTCAACAGTGTAATTGCTAATCATTCCCCATGAATATGTAATCACTTGGGTTTAAGCTTTATTAGTAACCTGCTTCAGTTTTTCCCTATTTTAAAGCTTTTACTCAGCTTTGAGAGACATAGATTTTACTACAAAATCATGGTCTTCATGGAATTTCAAAAGGAAAGCCTTACCCAGCAATTGCTCTCCTGGACATTTAGTTCAGAGAAATAAAAATTTATGTTGCAGAAAAACCCATACGCTAATGACTATAGAAACTTTACTTGTGATAACTAAAAACTGGAAACAACCAAGATATCCCTCATTAGGTGAATGGCTAACCACATTGCATTATAGCCATACCATGAAATGGTGCTCAGCAACAAAGTGAAACTATTGATATATGCAACAATTTGAGTGGATCTCAAGAGCACTGCGCTGAGTTAAAAGACAAAAAAGCCAACCTCAAAAGGTCACATACTGTATGACTGCATATATGTAACATTTACTAAATGACAAAATTACAGAGATTGAGGATATTTTAGGTCACTGCCAGGGGTTAGAGAGGGTTGTGGAGAAGAGGTTGGGCATGACTATAAAGGATTCACATGAGGGGCTTTTTCGTGGTGATGGAGTTGTTTTGTATCTTTTTTTTTCTTTCTTTTTAGGGACCGAATCTCCCCTTTCACCCAGGCTGGAGTGCAGTGGCACAATCACTGCTCATTGCAGCCTCAAACTCCTAGGTTCAAGTGATACTCCCACCTCAGCCTCTTGAGTAGCTGGGACTACAAGTGCACCCCACCATGCCTGGCTAATTTTTAATTTTTATTTTTTTGGTAGAGATGGGGTCTCACTGTGTAGCCCAGGCTGATGTCAACCTCCTGACCTTATGGCCTTATGTTTATGGAGAACACAGAGGGTGAAGCACTTGTAAAAGACTGAAGAATGAAACAGAAAATGAGTAGGAGGCCCAGGGTAATTTGTAAAAAAGGTTAGATATCTTTCTGCCTTGGCCTCCCTAAGAGCTAGGATTACAGGAGTGAGCTACCCTACCTGGCATAGTTTTGTATTTTGATTGCAGTAGAGGTTACATGAATTTACTCATAGGATGAAATGGCATAGAACTGTACACATGTATTGTGCTAAGTTTATAGACTGGTTTTGTTATTGTATTCTAGTTATGTAAGATAACCATGGGAGAAACTGAGTGACGGGTACATGAGAGCTATCTTTGTAACTTCCTGTGACTTTACTATTTATTAATTCTAAATAAAAGGCTTAGAAGAAACAAAGAAAAGCCTGAGATTTTTGCCAAGCCCTTCCAACTTCAAAGTCTGTTTCCTCTGTATTGAATAACAGCTAAAATTCTGCCCAGCTTTTTCAGACTTCTAGCTATTGAGTTCTGCTCAGCAAATTGGAATCTTCCTCTTGCCTCTAGTTCATCCATGGATTTGAAGAGAGTTTGTCATCAGATCTGCAGGTTTCTTCTTTTACAAGTGCCTCCTTTTCAGGATTTCCCTCCTTAATTTCCAGCCACTCTTGCAGGCCCACATTGCATCTTCAGATACCTCAGGTTAATAAGATGGTAGCTTTCTCTGCTTGAATTCCAGCCACTCTATACTTTGTAGAATGCAGAGTGCCCTCAGAGGAACAGTCAGATAAAGGCAGACCTCACCCACTGTTGTTCCCTTCTTCCAAGAGTTGAATCCCTTAGAAATTCTGCCCACTTTTTTTCAATCTCCAGTGCCTTCAAATCATTATGTCACATAAATATATAGGCAAATACACACATATAAAACAGTGCATGCATAAAAGCCAATTACAAATTCATATTATTCTACATCTTTAGAATTTTTTACAGATTACAAACCACTGTTCCACTTTATGAATATCAATTTTGTGAGTTAAAAGGAATATTATCATACACTATCTGATTTTTATACAAATTATCCTGGGCCTCTTTCTCATTTCCTGATCATTCTTCAGTCTTACAAGTGCTTCACCCTTTGTGTTCTCCATAAGCATTTTGGTTCACTAGGGCTCACCCCTCATTCTCTGGCTATTTTCACTTTGCCTATTACCCATAGGTAATCTCATAATTTTAACTACTTCCTATGAACTACCAGATTCCATCATTTAATGTAAAGTCATGGCCTCTGATTAGATACCAACTCATAATTGCCTATTGGGATTCTGAGTATTGAGAATCAGAATATCTAATTGCCTACTAGAATCTCCACATGCATGCACACAGACCTCAAAGAGCATGTTCAAAATTCAACACTATATCTTCCCCTAAGATTTTATTTTCTTCCTATATTTTCTGTTTCTTGGAGCGGTACCACCACTGTTAGCACTCACGCTAGAAAAATGTAAGTTGTCTCTCACCCTTCAGGTCCAAATACTCATCAAGTCCTGCCAAGTTTACACCTTATTTGAGCTCCACCTCTCCTTTCTATCCTACCTCTACCCTAGTTCAGTATCTCAGCATTTCTCATCTAGACTATTGCAATAAACTCCCAATTGGTCTCTTCATTTCTAATCTTGCATGGTCTAGGCCAGGGGTTATACGTCTAAGAGGGCAGAAAGCAAACTTGGACTGTGATCTAAGTTAAAGAGGAACCATGAGTTAATAAGTGCCTCTATGGCAATATAGAAATCCCCCAAATTAGATTGTTAACATCAGCAAAAATTAATATGTTTGTTCTCTTTTAGTGAAGGCAGACAGATTTAATAATAGTAGGTCCTTGGGTAGACCATGGGTAGGCAGACCACAGCTTCTGATGGCCCTGGTCCATTTGAGAAATAAAGTTATATATAATATATATAAAATATTACATACGTAATAAGTTATACATAAAACTTTATTTCTCAAATGGCTAAAGTTGAGGGATCTCCGAGGATTTTTCTAGGACCTTCATGCTAGGATCTGGTGCTATTTTATAAGGAATAAACTTATCAGGAGCAAAATAAGTCCCAGATGTACTTCTGCTATGGATGACCAAGTTTGAGGCAAAAAAAAAAAAAAAAAAAAAAAGCCAGCCTCCTCCCTAACCCAAAAGGAAAGGCTCCAAGCTCTTGTTTTCTTACTTCTCCCCTCATCTTATTATGTTCTACCAGCAAGTTTCTGGTTAGAAACTTTCACCAAACATCTTGGCATCAGGCACTATGCATATCAAAACAGAACAATAAAAGTGAGGCGTGAAGAAGTAAGCAAACAGAAATGAGCAGCAAGTCCGTGGAGATTTCCTCACTTTATGAGGATCAAATCCCACACATGGGAACATCGTAAGGCAGGACCAAGAGTGTTTCTTCATGTCTCCTTTTTTTCCTGTTTCCCTTTCCCAATATATTTTCCCTTTCTTATTTGTTTAAAGGGAGAAATTAAATGCATACTCTGATGAAATCTTTGGGTCCTGGTCAATTCGTTTTCAGTTACACTGGAGTAGGGAGGATGCGGTGAAGGAGAGACATATCAACTCCCTCAGCTCTTTCTTGTTTTCAGTAAACTTCCTGAGTCATGCTGGAGGCAGTCTTAGCCACAGGGAATTTCATATGCTGAGAAGATGGTCTTCTAGAGCAGTGCTTCTCAAACTTTAATGAGAATGTGAATCACCCGAGCATCTTCTGAGTCAGTGGGTCTGGGATGGCACAGGATGATCTGCATTTCTAACAAGCACCCAGGTGATGCCAATGCTAATGGTCCCTGGGCCACACTTGGAGTATTGAGGTCCTATCATTGTCATCATAAGACATAGCATTTGCTGAATATCTACCTGCACTAGGCTCTGACCTAGATGTTGAATTGACATTTATTTTCAAACCAGAAACAGTCTCCTAGGTCCTGGGGAAGGTACAAAGATGAATATTTGATTCCTACCCTCAATGAGTTTCCAGACCATATCTAAGCTCAAAGCCAAGGACATAAAATAGCACTATGATTATAACGTGAAAAGGCCCCATAATAAGGGCATAGGACCTATTGCCAAATCCATGGTAAGCAACTTAAAATGTACCTGTAAATGAAATTCTCTCTTTCTCTTTCTTTTCTCTCTCTCTCATACTCACTATTCTTAGACCTTAAAGTTAGTTATATTCTGGGTAAATGCTTACAGCATTTACCTTTACACAGGGGGCAGGGGAGAAGTAATAAATTTTGAAGGTAGATCTTGAAAGGCAGGAATGTAAAGCACTGGAAATTTTTTAATTGAAATTATCCCCGAAAACCTGTCTTCTGGAATATCCATAGTAAGTATTTCCTATTGTCCATTACTGCTAAATTTGGTCATATCTTGGATCTTACTCTTAATTCTGCTGGAACCCCTGTTCTTCATTTACATGTGTGGTATAAGTTCTAATATTAAGGCCCAATATTATGTGCTGCCTTCAGGTGACATCGGAAGGGCTTTGAATGGCCTAACTGCAAGTTCCCCTCCCCAGTCTGCTTCTGTGAATAAGGTCCCTTAGCCAAACAGCCCACCTCGTCAAAGAGACCAGGTGCAATTCCTGCTCATCCCTGAGTAGTAGGTTTTGTTTCCCTTCCAGCCTAGAGAATTATTCAAACAAGCCAATCACTCCTCCCATGAAAACCAGGGGTCATCCATCCTTTTGATACTACAAAGCCTGCCTCACAGCCCCTGATGGCTCATTATGCTCTTGAGTGCAACCCCCGTGTGGCTCTTCAGGGTGTGCGCTGCCCTCCTCTCCCAGGGTTTGAGTTTCTGGACATGGAGTATAATACACTCCTGTATATCTCATCTGTCCAGTGCTGGATGTTTTGTGTTCAACCCCAGAACAGGAATCCCAATGAAGTTAATAGGAAGCCATTAAAACATGTGATTTGGCTTTCAGTGGGATTTTAGTTTGATGAGTGTACTAAATGGCATGCAGGTGTAAGTTTGCCACACAGAACATGGATTTCAGAAAGCTTTGAGATTCCGTTTATTACCATCATTACCTCCAACATTGAGGCATGGGCTTATGCTAACTCCCAGATGCCTTGGTATTTAAAACCTTTTGACTGGACATTGCATTTTCATCTCAGTAATTCTTTCACTTATACTAATGGTGTTCACTGTCTAACACAAAGTTGGAAACATTTTAACTGCTCATATGTATCATAATTTACCCTGAAATCAATCTGGACTATGTTAAACTCAATACCATAATCAGTACTAAAATGCAAATACCATAGAAGGATGTTTATAGCAGCATTATTTGTAAGAGTCCCAAACTGGAATGTCCATGAGGAACCAATGTCTCAAGCAAAATGTTCATCAGGAGTAGAATGAATAAATAAACCAAGAAATATGTATAGAGTGGAATACTATTCAGTGATGAAAATAAGCAGGGCCAGTCGCCGTGGCTCACACGTGTAATCCCAGCACTTTGGGAGGCCGAGGTGGGTGGATCACCTGAGGTCAGGAGCTTGAGACCAGCCTGACCAACATGCAGAAACCCTGTCTCTACTAAAAATACAAAATTAGCTGGGCATGGTGGTGCATGCCTGTAATCCCAGCTACTCGGGAGGCTGAAGCAGGAGAATTGCTTGAACCCAGGAGACAGAGGTTGCAGTGAGCCGAGATTGCACCATTGCACTCCAGCCTGAGCAACGAGAGGGAAACTCCATCTCAAAAAAAAACAAAAAACAAAACAAAACAAAAAAAGAAAATAGCAAAGTACAGCCACATGCAACAACTTAGATAAGTCTCACAAATATAATACTGACCTAAAGAACCAGATACCAAAGAAAACATATGTATGATTACATTTTATAAAATGTTAAGAGTCAAATTAACCTATGGTATTAAAAGTAATCATAGTAGCTACTTTGGGGAAAGAAGAATGAGGTAGCAATTAGGAAGATAAATGAAGGAGAGATTCTAGAGGTATGTTTAATGTTCAAATTTTTTTTTTTTTTTTTAGACAGAGTCTCACTCTGCCACCCAGGCTGGAGTGCAGTGGTGTTTACTTGGCTCACTGCCACCTCCACCTCCCAGGTTCAAGTGATTCTGTTGCCTCAGCCTCTGAAGTAGCTGGGATTACATGTGTGCACCACCACACCTGGCTAATTTTTGTATTTTTAGTAGAGACAGGGTTTCTCCATGTTGGCCAGGCTGGTCTTGAACTCATGACTTCAAGCGATCCAACTGCCTTGGCCTCCCAAAGTGCTGGGATTATAGGCGTGAGCCACTGCTCCTGGCCTTAATGTTCAATTTCTTGATCTGAGTTATGGTTTAATGAGAATATTCATTTTGTGATAATTCATTGTGCTCTACGCTATTCTCTCTTTTCTGTATATTTCAATAGAAAGACATATTAGCAGTAAGAAATCAATATCCATGTAACAATTATTTATTAAGTGCTTTCTATATGCTTAATATGAAGACGAGGTTTCTATGGTGACCAAGACCAGCATGGTCCCCTATAGTGTGTCAAGATGAGTATTGGTCACTAAAAATTATTGCCCTAGGAAGTAAGTGATAAAACCTATAAGAAATGGAAGTGCAAACTGTTGCAGGGGTTCAAGGGAGGGCACGATCAGTTTTGGCTGGGGCATCAGGAGAGGTTTCATGGAAGAGGTGACACAGCAGGTGGGCCATGAAGGACAGGTGAAATTTATATATGTGGACATGGTAAAAGACTTTGCAGGTAGAGAAAATGGTACCCATAGGGTGAGTATAAAGTGAATGGGGAGAGTATAAGGTCAAATGCTTTAGGGTGGCTGAAGCACAGGAAGATGGCAGGGAGTGATGGGAAATGAAAACAAAATCCAGTCCTGGAAGTCTCTTACGGTTAGGCTAAAGAGTCAGGCTCCATCCTGCAGAGGGTGGGGTTTTAATGAAGGAGAAGTGAGCTTTAGGAAGATAAAAATAGCCACAATATGGCCATCAGATCTTAGGTGGCAAGAGCCAGCTATGGAAAGCCAGGTAAGAGACTGGCTACAATCCAGACCTGAGGTGTTAAGTGCTTGGATTCATGTACCTACAACTGTGACAGAGAAAGGTGCTGAGTATGCACTTCAAAGGAGCAAATGAGTCAAATGGATCTGATGTTTCAATCCCAGCTCTACCACTTTACATCTTTGTAAAACTAGGGGAAACTGGCTGGGTGCGGTGGCTCACGCCTGTAACCCCAGCTCTTTGGGAGGCTGAGGCGGACGGATCAGGAGGTCAGGAGATTGAGACCAAGGTGAAACCCCATCTTTACTAAAAATACCAAAAATTAGCCGGCGCAGTGGCAGGCGCCTGTAGTCCCAGCTACTCGGGAGACTGAGGCAGGAGAATGGCGTGAACCCAGGAGGCGGAGCTTGCAGTGAGTCAAGATTGTGCTACTGCACTCCAGCCTGGGGGACAGAGCGAGACTCTGTCTCAAAAAAAAAAAAAAAAAAAAAAAAAAAAACTAGGGGAAACTAACATTTCCAAGCATTAGTTTTCTTCTTTGTAAAGTGGAGCTAACATAGAGTTGCGATAAGGGTTATGAATATCAATGAAGCAAGTACACTGCTCATAATAGCAAGCTGATAAATGGTAGTGGTCATTGCAATCATTATTACCTCAGTTTTCTTTGTGTCTAGCCTAAGTTAGATTCCTTTCACCCAGAAGTTGAACATCAACCTTTAAGTGTTGCAACCCCAATTTTGGGACTCCCCTCCAGAAGGTTCTCGGTTTTGCCTAAGAAGGAATTCAAGGGCGAGCCAGTGGTGGAAGGAAACAGCTTTATTGAGGGAGTAGTATTAGAGCTTCATGACTGCTGCTGCAGAGTAGGGCTGCCCCATAGGCAGTGTGTCAAGAGTAGCAGCTCAGGGCAGTTCTACAACCACATTTATATTCACTTTTAATTATGTGCAAATTAGGGGGCAGGCTATTCGGAAATTTCTAGAAAAAGGAGTGGTAACTTCCAGGTAGGGTTGTTTCCAGAAAATGAGTAAACTGTCATGATATTGGAAGGCCTGCCTTATAGAGCCAGTCTTCAATGTGGTCCAGAGCCGAGCCCTGCCTCTTGAGTTGAGTCCCACCTCCTACCCCATAAAGAGGCAACCTCTTTCAACAAATTGAAGCCCTCTTGAAATTCCTTCCAAACATAGTGTATAAAAGAAGACAAAAGAAAAGAAAAATGTGTGTGTGTGAATGTCTCACTGCAAATTCCCAGCATTAACAAAAAAATAACTGTGCTCTAGAAGTCAAAAACCATGATCAGGTCTTTAGGTGGACTAATGACCATCTTCCATCAAGTTCAAATGCAGCTTCAAGGTCATGAGTCACACCAGTGACTGCCCCTGACTAGAAGAGATGGTTTTTCACAAGGGAAATTTTTATTTATTTATTTAACATCAGACACCACTCTGTCTGACTCAAAATGTGGTTAGCTTCTGTAACAAAATCCATGTAAATAGATCTCCCATGAGCCATTGCAAAGATTCTCAGCAACTTCATGCATAATGGAAGCTTATGTGAGTGTGGGTTGCCTCAGGCGGGCGCCTTTTCAGATCTCCTTTGGGTTTCTCTTGTGATTTTTGTGTTCTCCCTCCTTCAGATGTTTGGGTTCTCTGAGATGTCATCCCACAGAGATAATTTCAATCCTGGATTGAAGAGCCGGTCAAGAAAGAAAAAAAAAAAAAGAAAGTGAATATTTATTTTTCCCTTTGGAATTAATTTGTCTGACATAAACCTCACAAAATGGCTGTCAAGAAAATAGGCTTAGCTTCACCAAAAACTGAAAAGTTGTCTGTATTTTAAAAGGTATCCTGTGAAAATGATAACTTTAGCCTGAAAGATTAATTTCCACAAAATATATTCTATGTACTGGCGTTTGTTATTTTACATTTTACATATTTATGACAATTAAACAGACTCAATTTAGTTCTGGTTTGGCTTAAATTTGGGCTGAGTTTGATACATTATGTCTCTTCTCTGGAGGCCATTTATCTGATAGCTATATCAACCTAGAATTTAGGGGATAAACATCCTCCATCACTGTATACACAATTCTAACCAGCTTGGATATCTGGTTTCCCATGTTAGAGAAGATTAGAAGCAAGAGGGAAGCTAGAATTAGATGCATTGACAACTGTAAGCAATGTTAGCTGACAACCTGACACAGAGGGAAATAAGCACATCCATGAAAACATAAAACCTAAAGTTTGGAGTCATTACATGTAGGGATAAATCAACAGCTACTGACCGCCAAAGCATACTGAGAAATGTTTCAAGTAGTCATCATACATATATCATAAAGTCATCATACATTTAAAAATGCTCTCCATTCAAAATGATTTAAATTGATTTTCGCTGTTCCTGGGGGTAATATTCAGAAATTTAAAATGTTTACTTATGTGTACAACACTTATTCTTCAATGTCAATGGATAAAAAAGATGTTAGTATATATTTATAAGTATGGCAGCATCTATCAGTTTCATTAGTTTTAAAAATATAAACACATTGTGAGAATTACTAAAGCATTTCTGTTTTAGGTCAATTTCCAATATAGTGCCTAACACTGATACTGCATTTCTTTTTTTCTTTCTTTCTTTTTTTTTTTTTTTTTTTTTTGAGATGGAGTCTCACTCTGTTGCCCATGCTGGAGTGCAGTGGTGTGATCTTGGCTCACTGCAACCTCCGCCGCCTGGGTTCAAGCAATTCTCCTGCCTCAGCCTCCCGTGCAGCTGGGATTATAGGCATGCACCACCATGCCCAGTTAATTTTTGTGTTTTTAGTAGGGATGGGGTTTTTGCCATGTTGGTCAGGCTGGTTTCAAACTCCTGACCTCAAGCAATCATTCCCCCTTAGTCTCCCAAAGTGCTGGGATTACAGGCATGAGCCACTGTGCCTGGACCCTAATATTGTATTTTTAAAATAACTCCATAGTAGTGTTTCTTGGAAAATTGGTTGCAATAGAAGTTTTATAGAAAAAAAAAAAGGACATGAAAGTTTAAGGTATATCACAAAATATGTTACCTATATAAAAGGTTTTGAGATGTCCCACAGTAAAGAAACATCCCTATTTTTGTTAGATTTAATTTTTCTTAAACGTTTGACCAATGAACCTTCTTCAATGTGAAAATTATCTACATTTTACAGTATTTGTTTTCTACCAATTGCACTTCTGAAAGTACTGGTCTCTGGAGATGGTGCCTGTATCAGTCAGGGATCCAGTAGGAAACAGATGTCAACTCAAAAGGGTTTGACTGATGTGAGTCTAATGAAGGGACTATTCTGAAGGTATGGCTAGAGGTAAGAGAACCAACAAGAATCCAGGTGTTAACAGTGAGGAGAAACTGTTATCATCCATAGACCTGAAGACCCAAAGGCAGGGTATAGCATTCCTAGGGCCTGAAGAGAGATGAGATAGTGGAAGAGGAGCCTTTCATAGTAGCTGGAGCCAGTGCTGTGCCTCCTGGGAAATGTTTAACAGCCTGCTCTTCAGGAGAAAAAAAAACCTATTTGTAATACTGATTTTTATGCAGTAAATCCTCCCACTATGGACAATTTCAAGCTACCGATGTGGTCAGTGAACGTGGAGTTTGGAAGAGATGCAGAGTAGCACATCATTATGTATTTTGATCACACAGGTAGAGGTAAGGAACTTCAAAAGCATAGATAATAGTAAAATGCAGTAAAATAATTAGGAAGTCATGGGTTTTGAATATTTGTTATTTTTAATATAATCTATTTAATTGTACATATATATGTGCTTTATTTTTTAATACTGACTATGTTTAGCAACTGGCCCACAAAATTACTGGAAATTTAACAAGCCACAGCAACAGCAAACCACTGGCTGTGGCCATAGAGGGAATAACCACTATCCAAACCAGAATTCTGAGAAGGATCCTGGGAAAGAGATACCAGGCCCTCTAATCTCTAACCAAGGAGCTGAGAGAACACTGCATCCATGAGAGTATGCTTTCTGCATGAGTCAGCCCCCAGGGTGCAGGGCCAGCAGTAAAGGATAGAGAATGAATCTAGTGGGTAGAGATAAATGACAAATAACCACTGGAATTCCTAAATGTATATGTTTGAGATTCAGGGTTAGGCTAGTTGTATGAGGATTCCCCTAAAGTACCTTTAAAAGTACATAATGAGGCAAAAATCACCAGGAATCTATTTTTTTAATGCTCCTTAAGTGATTATGATATACAACAAGATTTAGAGTAAGGTCTTGCTTGAATATGGCTCTCAAGTATTAACGGTGCCACAAGTGACTGTTTTTCTTTTTATTTGAGCTTAACTGTTATCTAACTTGTCCATTTGAGAACATCTTCCTAGATTATCTCATTACTTCAGGAGGTGAGATAAATATAAGTGGTGGTTTTAGGATTCTAGGATTCAGATGGGAGTTGTACTTTAGCCAGGAGCTGGAAAGGCTAGAGCCAGGACAGAGAAGAGACACTTAGGTAATTTAGAGCACTGCCTAAGCAGCCAAGCAGAGTACAGTGGTCCTTCAGAGCTGAGGAGGCAGAGGTCAGAATTTGGGGCAATTTAAATGGGTAGAATCTGCAGAAGAGGTACCTTAGCATGGGCTATTATAACAAAATACTATCAACTGGGTGGCTCAAACAACAGAAATTTATCTCTCACAGTTCTGGAGGCTGGGAAGTCCAAGATCAAGATGCCCACTGAATCTGTCCCCCAGTGAGGGCTCTCTTCCTGGTTTGCAAATGGTCACTTTCTTGCTGTGTCCTCACATGGCATAGAGAGATGGAGAATGCTAATCTTTCTTCCTCTTCTTCTAAGGACACTAATCGCATTATGAAGCCCCCCGACCCTATGACCTCATGTAAATCTAATTACTTCCCAAAGGCCTCCACTCCAAATAACATCACAGTGGGGGTTAGGAATTGAACCTATTAATTTTAGAGGGACACAAACATTCAGCCCATAACAAGAGCACAGCAGAGAAGAAGGACCTGTGCAGAGGAAGAGCCCAGGAGTTCTCTGGTTCTGTGGATTTCATCCATGAGTTTTTGACTGAGGTCTAGTATATACAGTCAAGGGGACGACTTCCCAGAGAGTGGTTACTAAAGGATTGACAGAGGAAAAGAGATCGTAGAGATCAAGCAGTACTGGAGGATGGGAATAGTAGCTCAGCTGCAGAGAAGAGATCTTGTTTTGTTAACACCTCTCTAACAACCTGGGCATTCAGCTGAGACATCAGAAAGCACCTGGCTTGGGGTAAGTACTTTCTCTCTTAGCCTCCTCAGCAGAGTTCCAAGAGAGTATTAAGGCCTAACACCCCAAGGAATCCATTGAATATAATGAATTAACTTCTTTCCTAAGCATCTAGAACAAGGGTCAGCAAATTTAAATGGGCCAGATAGTACATTTTTTGTAGGCTTTCAGTCCAAGAGGCAAAACCTAGACTATTACATAAGCACTTAAACTGTATAACCATTTACAAATGTAAAAACTATTCTTAGCTCATGGGTCACACAAAAATAGGAGATGGGCTGGATAGGGACCAAAGGCAATAGGATGTAAAGTGAGTCTTGGTGAACAGATGGTAAATTAGTGACAGAAATATAATAGGAAAGGGTATTTGTTGACAGAAAAATATATTTAAAGGGCACAGACATGGATAAGGGCTAGGAGCGAGGGGGGTGAAACAAACAAGGACACTATGGCTGGAACAAGAGTTAGCTGCCGGAAGCGGAGGCTCAGAGGTAAGCTGGATGAACACTTATATGGGATGCCAGAGTTAATATGAAGTGGAAATAAACTTCCACATTTCTGGTTGGATTGTTGATTTCCCACTTCTTAAAGTTAACTCTCAGTTTTCCTTCTCAAAATTTTCCTCCCATCGCATATCTATTTTAGTAATGACATCATTGTCTATTCTGTTATTTATGAAGGAAAGCAGACTCCTAAATTCACTTCTCATCACTCTATAGTCAAATCAGAAAGATTCGCATTTATCCGTCTTCACTGTCACCACCCAAACCCCACATACTGCGTCTCTCTAACCCAACTACTTTGCTAACGTCCTGTTTCCATTTTGTTTCCCTTGCATCCATCCTTCACAGAGTAGCCACAATAATTATTTAAAAACATAAATTGGAGTCTGTTTCTTTCCTGTGTAGTACCCTTCAATGTTTTCTCCTTTTGCATAGAGTAAAATCCAAGCTCTGTAATTGTTCTTCACACATTCGTGTATGTTTTCAGCACATGCTTTCCTCTCCCACTAAATCTCACACGTCCCCAGTGCTGTCCTCCCTCAAGCTCTCTGGTCTTCTGGTTTTCCCAGGTACATTTGTCAATAGCATTCCCTTCTTGGGTCTTCCCCCTTCTCCTCACATAGCCAGATTCTTTTCATAGTCTTTTCCTTCAAGTTTCATCACAAAGTCACATTCTCAGAGAGACCTTCTTAATTGTCTATAGCGATTCACTGGGTTTGTTTTTTAATTTTAAAAAAAGTTCTTACTTGTTGTCAAATAAAACACAAACAACACAAACCTGCATAAAAAATATTACTTAATGAATCACTATATGGTGAACACCATCGCAACCACAAACCAGCTGAAGAAACAGACCATTGACAGCCTCCCAGAATCCTTTTCACTGGCCCCGTACCCAACACAGTCCTCTCTCATACCACTAAAGTAAATGTTATAATTGCTTCCTCACATTTATCTATAATTTCATCATTCAAGTCCTCATCCCTAAACATTATAGCCTTGTCCATCTTTTTGTTTAACTTGATATGTCTTTTAATTCTCTTTATTTACCGTTCCTTTTTTTTATTACCATTTTTAACACTTCAACAAATTAAGGAACAATTTACATATGATAAAGTTCATGAATTTCCAATGTATAGTTCTATGAGCTTTGACAAATGTATATACCTATGCAACTACCATTCCAATCAAAACACAGCCTGTCTCATCTCTCCAGAAAGTTCTGCCTTGCCCATTCCAGTCAGTTGCCTCCCCTACAGGCAACCACTGTTCTAATCTTTACTATTCTTTCTGTTTACCTCATCCTAGAAGTATGTGTAAGAGAAATCACACAGTATGTACTCTTTTGTGTCTAATATCTTTCACGCAGCATGTTTTTGAGATGCATTTCTGTTGTTTTGTGTATCAGCACTTTTTTTCTTCATATTGCTGAGTAGTCTTCCATTTATGAATATACAACAATTTGTTCATTCTTCTGTGGATAAACATTTGGGCTATTTTTAGTTTTTGACTATTGTTAATAAAGCCATTATAAACATTCATGTAAAAATGTGCATTACAATATCATTTAACACCCAGAAATGACTTAAATATCCAACAATAAGGGATTGGTTAAGCCAATCTTAATATAATAATACGAAAGTATGAAATCATTTAAAATTGTTTACTAAGAATTTTTTGAGGGATGCAAAATATTTATAATAGAAGGTTAAAGGAGAAAAGTAGAATGCAACTTCTTCTGCAATATTATTCTCAACTCCGTTAAATATGTGCTTATGCATATATGAATATATATTTTATATAAATGTGAATGAAAACTCACCAAAATATTAATGAGACTTTTCTTAAATGGTTTGATTACTGGTGACTTTAGTTTTATTGTTTATATTTCTTTGTATTTTCTCAGCTATTCCCAATCAGAATATTATTATAAGAAATTATAATATACATATTATCTATAAATATACATTTATAGATAACTATGGTAATTTTATAAGTTATAAATATTATTTAAAAATAAAATTGCTGTAAGGAAAATTTGTATTTAGCTATAATACAAAAAATAGTATACTAGCTACTTGGCTAAATGGCTAAATGACAGAGCCATTTTAACCCAAAGTTACACTGAATGAATATTTTACTTCTGGGATCCTGATGTTTCTTTGGCACCACTGTCTACAAACCCAAAACAGGATATGTAAGGAGGTTGTTAGTATTTGTGAAAACATTTACAACAGTAAAACAAACACACATAGAAACAGTGTGGATTTGTAGGGGTGAGAGCTCTCATAAACCAGCATGAAATTTCTGCATTACTAGGCACCCAGTGCCTAACACATAGCAGGTTTTCAATCAACACTTATTGAATTCATGAACAGACATGTACAAAACCTAGTGAAATAATTTGACATGATAGAAAGGCTGTATACGCACCAGTGTAATTAAGGAGATGCTGATACGAGCACAAAGTTTTGGAAGATGAGGGAGCAGGACAAAAGAAGTCTTCAGAGAGAGTAACACTTGAATGAAATCTTTAAGAATTAGTGGGAAATGCATGAGATAAACAAGAGAAGAGATGGCCTTCCAGGCAGAAGAAAAAGCATAAGGAAAGAGACGAATCTGGGGCAAGCCTATCACATTCCAGGAAATGCCAGGGCTAGAATAAAGGGTTTACCAATGCAGGCAGTTGGAGTTCAAGCTTGAAAGAGTTGGAAGGAAATAAAGAATACCAAATACCAGTTTGAAGTAAAGTGAGCTTACTACTCTATTTGATGAGTGAGTTGCACACAGGAGGGTAGCATTCAGATATCTCATAGCCCATGCAGGGCTCAATATGCCTGGCAAAGACAAGGCATAATACTCAGGTGTGAGTTCAGCCAGTTTCCCAACAGAAAGGGCTGCATATAGGGTGAAAAGAAGGAATCACATCAGATCAGGCAAAGACTATTCTGATCTCAAGTCTCTGATTGGCTCCTAGGTGGACTCTAAATTTTGCATAATTAATTGGTTCCCTTCAGATTTCATGTCACTGATGCTGGAAAGATGGATTTTAAGTGTTGTAGGATGAGTTGGGTGAAATTCAAGAGGGGTAGGGTTATTTCATGGACACCTTTGATTAAATTTGCCCGATGTTCTTAAGTAAGAGAACACAGAGACAGTGTAGCAGGACCCTGTGTGGCATGCTAAGACATTTCAACTCTTTTTCCTGGTCTATTCTCCAACTTCCTAACTGGTCTCCTTTCCTCTGGTCCCGCCCTCCTCCAATACATTTTCTGTAGCTTATGAACCACAGGTTGTTGATGTCCATTCAACAGATAATGACTGAAGACCTAGCAAAAATGGGATGCTCTGACTTCCTTGCTTAAAATTGTTCAGTGGTCCTTGTTGCATATTTACAAAGTCCAAAGTCTTTAGTGGGGCAGCCAAGGATGTCTAAGATCTGATATCAGCCTTCATTCCTGCATTGTCCTTCACCCTCATTCCCCTGACTAAGATACCTCTCAAATGCTACTGGTGCTTTGAAGTTAGACATGGCTATCAATTTCAGCTGCATCACTTACCTAGTCATGTGACTTTGGGCACATTTCTCAGCCCCTTGAAGCCTCAGCTTCTCTATCTGTAATATGGAGTCATAACACTACCTTCCTTATAGGATTGGTTTTATGATCAATGCTGATCTTGTTCATAAACTAGCCCAGTGCCTGGCACATAGAGTTCATTTTATGTCAGCTATTATAATTATACCAGGTAGGGCTCCACAGAGGACCAAAGGAGACACATAAGTGCCTGCCTGCCCCCAACTTTTCCTCAGTAAAGCTGAACAACCTGATGCCACTTCAAAACCAATAGTCTTTAAATGTTCAATATTCATTTTGAAGAGTGTTGAGCCCTGCGTGGGCTGTGAGTTAGCTGGGTGCTTCCCTCCTGTATACATCTCACTCATCAAAGCAAATACTCAGCCACTGATCAGCCCGCTCTTCTCAGAAGGTAGCTTATCATCCTCCAGCATTACTTGAACTTCTCCCTGGGAAGAAGATTGTAAACCCCTCTCACTCAACTCAACTACCCTCTGTCTCAGGGCTATGAGAGTTCCTTGGCAAGGGAGAGATACAGAGGAATTTACCACCAGCCTACAGCCAAGTAAGCATAATGTTCCAGCAAGGGGAGCAGGGAAAAGGGTTTCTTTTCTTATGTTTCACAGAACAGATATGCAATTACAACTTTCTTTTACCCTATTTGGAATAGAAAATAACAGATTCTTTTTAAATTTTAAAGAAATGCGTAAAACAAACAAGTATGTGTAATAGTGTGTTTACAGATTTTAAATGTTCTCCCTTATTGTAGATATGCAGGTAATATTTTAGAAAGTGTAAGCTGTCATTTGCCTGAGACTAACATACAGTGGTAATAGCCTATTAATAGTAGGGTCAGGGTTCTAAAACCCCACCTACAAATTGTTCCTGAGGATCTTCCATAAGCAGATGCCTAGGCTACTTCACAGCCCAGGCCTTCACTGTGCTGAGTCTTCTGCCTACTATTTACTTCCATGTGCCATCTATATTAGTTTCCTAGAGCTGCCATAACAAATTGCCACAAACGTTGATGGTTTAAAACAGCAGAAATGTATTATCTCGCAGTTCCAGAGGTTAAAAGTCCAATGTCAAGGTGCCAGCAGGTTTGATTCTTTCTGGGGTCTAGAGGAAGAATATGTTGCATGCCTCACTCCTAGTTTCTAGTGGTTGCTGACAATCCTTGGCATTTTTTTGATTTGTAGATGCATCACCCCAATCTCTGCCTCTGCCACCATGTGGTGTTCTCCTCATGTGTCTCTGTGTCCAAATTTCTCTCTTCTTTTATAAAGATACCAGTCATTGGGTTGGGGCCTACCCTAATCCAGTATGACTTCATCTTAACTTGATTTAATCTGAAGACTCTTTATTTCTGACTAAGGTCACATTCACAGGGGGGTTAAGAGGAATATATATTTTGAGGAGGCCTGATGTAACTCAAACCACCATCCATCTGGATAGCTTTTAAACTTCAGTTTAATGGTACCTTAGAGACGATGCACCTGATTCTGTCCTCCCAGGTAGAATTGTTCACTCCTTTTTTATGCTTTTTCTGAGCCTCTGTTCAACTTTCTGTTGCCTATATCCTATAACTCTCTTTGTCCCTGTCAAAATATTCAAGCATCAAAAAACATTCAAGTGTCAGCAACAAAAGCTTTCCTCTTCCTCTTTCTCCTGCTCCTTATCCCATTCCAGCCACCTCGAAAGGTATCTGTGTTTGTGTTGTGATCCTTCATATGCAGATCAGGATAACAGGTAGAGCTGAAAAATAGACAAAATCTAAGGTAGGTGCTAAATTGATTTACATTAGCAATGGAATTAACCACTATAGAGGAAAATAATATATTCAGAGGTCAAAGGGAGGATGAAAGTGGGATCTGAAAACCTCTTGATATTCAACACAATGTTGTATATCTTTTTGACTCACCAGTAATAGCATAGTACCTGGATCTTGGCAGGTAATCGTTGAATAAATGGTGTTAATCTTACAATCTTTGGGAGCTACTGAAATATTAGGTTGTGAGAATGAAGGCACAACAAGTTTTGTGCTTTAGAAAGATCACTGTTGCAGAACTCTGGAATTTGTAGAGCTATATCCCAAGGATCTAGAACTCAGATTTCTTTTTTTTATTATTATTATTTGAGACAGAGTCTCACTCTGTCACCCAGGCTGGAGTGCAGTGGTGCGATCTCGGCTCACTGCAACCTCCGCCTCCCAGGTTCAAGCGATTCTCCTGCCTCAGCCTCCCAAGTAGCTGGGACTACAGGTGCCCGCCACCACGCCTGGCTAATTTTTCTATTTTTAGTAGAGACGGGGTTTCGCCATACTGGCCAGGCTGGTCTCAAACTCCTGACTTTGTGATCCGCCCACCTCAGCCTCCCAAAGTGCTGGGATTACAGGCATGATGCTGGGATTCTAGGCCACCATGCCTGGCCTAGAACTCAGGTTTCTTATATCTTTCATAAATTGTGTTTGGTTTCAATGTAAATTATTTTGTCTTCTTAGAGTTCTGAATCTTTATAGAAAAACATCAGAAAAATCTAAATTCAGAGACATTCAACAAAATGCCTGACAAATACCCCTCAAAACTATCAAGGTCATCAAAAACAAGAAAAGGCAGAGAAAACTATTAGAGACTCGATGAGGCTGAGAAGACACAACTGCTAAAGTAATGTGGTATTTTGAGTAAGATCTTGGAACAGGAAAAGGACATCAGGGGAAAACTAGTGAAATCTGAATACATTGTAGAGCATAGTTAATAATAATGTGTCAATATTGGTTCCTTAGCTGTGACAAATGTCTCATAGTAAAGTAAGATTGTTAACAGTAGAGGAAACTAGATGAGGGAATACAAGAACCCTCTATCTTTGCATTCTGTAAATCTAAAACTATTATAAAATATAAATGCTTATTTTTAAAAAGTTTGAGGAAAAATGATTTTATTTACTTCCTATAAATAAAACCCCACTCTCCTGCCTTACTAAATGTTTTAAACATTCTTGAGACTTTCTTTAACATTTGAGGATCTTATCTAAAGCTCAGAGACATCATTCTATTAAGGGACACTTTACAGGATTGTGTAACTGTGATACGAAGCAGAGGCCTCTAAACTCTCGAATTTCAAAAACCAGTGAAAGTTCAGAAAAAAACTAGGAATCTATCAGAGTGTTTCATATTATTCATTGTGTCAAATAAGACTAATACTTTTTTAGAAAGACTACCATTCTATTATTGCTAACACATTATAAAAGACTGTTTTAACAACTCAAAATGAAAAGAATAAAAGTAAGAATAAAGAAAAGACCTTTTCATTGAATGTTATCATTATGAAAAACTTCCACATAGTTCTTATATGTCTTAGTTTGCTGCAGACTGGCCAAAACTATTTCCTAGGCATTGACCAGCATTTGGGAACCACTGGATAAGGGATGTGGCTGAATCTGTACTGAACCCAAGGAAGTCACTGGAAGGGCCTTCTGTTTTGCTTTGTTTTTAATAAAAATTGCTGATATCCTTGATTTAGCTCTTTTTATTGATTAAAAAAAGATCTTTTTGGAGCATTTTCTCCTTAGAACATCAAATCAGAGTTTACTGCCAGTTTTTTAATTTGCTAGTTTTTGAGGTCTTGATCAATTTGCTTACTCTCTTTAACCTCCCTTTGTCTTCCACTATAAAGTGGGGACGATAATGCTATGGTAGGCAAGTCCTAAAGTGGCCCCCAAAAGTCCTGCTTTCTGGTATTCATGTATAATCCACTCCCTGGAGTGTGGGTTGGATCCAGTGATTCACTTCTACCAAATACAATATGGTGAAAGTAATAAGATACCACTTCTAAGATTAGAGTACAAAGAGACCGTGCCTCCCAACTTAAGAGCTCGCTTCACTTTCTTGCTCACTCACTATGAGGGAAGCCAGCCACCATACTGTGAGCTGCCTTACGGAGGAACCCACGTGGGAATAAACTGAGGGAGACCTCAGCTAGGTTAAGATCTGAGGTCTTCTCACAGCTGTGTTATGAGCTTAGAAGATAATTTTCCCCCAGTCAAGCCTTTAGATGAGACCACACCAGACCAACAGCAGGACTGCAACCTTCTGAGAGACCTTGACCCAGAGGTACCTAGCTAAGCCACAACCAGATCCCTGACCCACAAAAATTGTGAGGTAATGAATATTTGTTGTTTCAAGCTGCTAAATTTGTGTAATTTGTTATATGGCAATAGATAACTAATACATATGCTTTTGCAAAAGTTTTGTGAAGAATGATAGGGAAACTGGGTTTAATTAGATTCCATATGCTAATGAACTCAAATATATGAAGAAGGGAGCACCATGGCTGGCTCATAAAATGCAGTCTACAAATGTTAGTTTCCCCTCCATTCCCCTCTCAAATGAGAACAATAATACCTGCTCTATTGTGAAAATGTTTTGAAAGCTGTAATGTACTGGGCAATTATAATACATGTAGTAATGTAAGGTATTATTGTAATAGTAAAGAAAACATTGTTACTTTAAAAGCCATTTGCAGTTTACACTAGTTGACTCGGAAGAAAGGCAAAAATTATTATGAAGAAAGCAGTTGTTTTGTTCAAGGAGGGAGGGAGACTAAGCAGGTATGATTATGAAAGAGAAGAAAATTTTAATGGGAGCTGGAATTCAAAGCAGGAGGTGACCCTGATAATGTGTCACCCCTGAGAAGTATTGGCCATCTTGGGAAGGTGTGGCCTTTTCATAACACAGGAGAGGGGTCCTCATACTATTTAATGTGTATGTGAAAAAAAAAAGCCTGTCTCTAGAAAGGTGGAGAGTCTGGAACATATGGGCAGGACATACATGGATTACACAGTGCATACAGGACTGCAGTTTAGCCCCAGAATAAAGCTTAGAATTGAGTCTGGGGACAGAATCTAAACTGCAGGCATAAAGCAAATTATTCTATTAACACTCAAGAAATGTGGTCTTTCCCAAAGCATGGAGGACAATCAGGTTTTTACTACATCCTCATTTTATTTATTATTATCAATTATTAATAGTATGAATTACAATTAATTAATTTATCTTATTAATCTCTTATTAATCAGATACAAAGGAGACGTGTTGTTTACTAATCAAGGAACTAAGTCAGCAGTAAGTTAAAATTTTCCATAACTTACATCATTTTAATAAACCTTTGTAGTTTCTTGGGTTATTTTTTTTATTTTTTTTTTAGTATACATATTTTTAAAAAACTAAGAATCTAGAAAAGTTCAGAGAATAAGACACTTATATAATCACGTTCGGTGTTTCGTTCTGAGATGTGGCTGTATGTCTCCTTTATTTAACTCTTTCACAAGCCTTAGGACAAAGTCTAAGCTGCTGGGTACAGCATTCAAGGCCTTTATGATCTGCCTCATGGGTATCTCTCCAATCTCATTTCCCACCCAATACTTACTCCTTCTACAACACACTCCAGCAACACCAAACTGCTAGAGTTCCAGAACTCACCCTGCTGTTTCAGACTTCTCTTCCTATAATTTACCACCCACTTCATCCTTAGGAACTCAACTCCAAGGTCACCTGCATGGGGAAGCATCCTCTACCTCCATCAATCCTTTCTCCTAGCCCCTGCTGTCCTGGGTTTTCTGTTTCCATAACTGCACTTATGGGTCAGAATGCGGGATGTTTAGAGCCACCACTTACTGGCTGTGTGACCTTGGGCAAGTTACTTAACTATTCTATCCTTCAATTCCTTGCTTACAAAATGAGGATAATACCGGGCGCGGTGGCTCCCGCCTGTAGTTCCAGCACTTTGGGAGGCCGAGGCGGGCGGATCACGAGGTCAGGAGATCGAGACCATCCCGGCTAACACGGTGAAACCCCGTCTCTACTAAAAATACAAAAAATTACCCAGGCTTGGTGGCGGGGGCCTATAGTCCCAGCTACTCGCGAGGCTGATGCGGGAGAATGGTGTGAACCCGGGAGGCGGAGCTTGGAGTGAGCAGAGATTGCTCCACTGCACTCCAGCCTGGGCCACAGAGCAAGACTCTGTCTCAAAAAAATAAATAAATAAATAAAATAAAATAAAATAAAATAAAATAAAAAATGAGGATAATACTAGTACCTGTGACATAGCTTTATCATGAGGATTCAATGAATTAATACTTGTAAAGCACTTAGAACAGTGCCTGGCACAGACTTAGTGCTCAATAAATGTCAGTTATTACTTTTATTAAAATTATTAATTTACTTATCTTTCTGTTTGCTGATTTGATTCTGAGCTCCTTGAAATTAAGGACAACACAATGCCCAGCACAAAGTAGAATCTGAACATACATTTCATGCTAATCAAAATTTTAATTTAGGTAAAATACATGTGTGTATGTATATATGTATTTTTTTAATTAAAAACTTCTGTACCTATGCATACCTTAGTGAATTGTGAGCTAATAATGCCCAGAGGTTATACACTTGAACTGAATTTCTTTTTTGATATTCCATGGGCATCTATTAATAATAACAATAAAATTCTATTTTGTTTAAAAACAAGCTCCAAAATACACAATGCCCACAGTCCATGGAGAAGCAAACAAGGTAATCCTTATATTTTCCTTCATGTAAACAAAACACCAAATTTAATTTGCATCTGCATGAAGAAGAGGTTTTCTTTAAAAAAATTCACTAAAAGCAGAAGATGGCATTTAGAAAGAATAATTAAATGCATCTGAAACTCAGGAGATAAAAATAGATGAAGAGTTTTGTAATAAAAACGGCCTAGCCAGATCCCCTCCCTCTCCCTCCAACTTTAAAAATGATGGTACTTGGAGGACAGAAGGAGCTTTTCTTTTAGCGTATCCCTGAAGGCTCTGAGTGTGGATTTTGACTCTGAAAGCCTCTACCTCCTCTTAATGCACAAAGTAGATGTTGTCACAGAATTAGCTTTGACCCCTAAGAAGAAAGATGTTGTCACAGATTTGGCTTTGACCACTTAGGAGGTTTGGTTTCTCTCACCTTCATTCTCCTTGACTCTCTCTAAGAGAAACATTATGGGGCTTGTTTTCCATCCCTCCCTCCCTCTCTCCCTCCCTCCCTCCCTTCCTTCCTTTCTTTCTTCCTCTCTCTTTTCCTCCCTCCCTCCCTCTCTCTCTTCCTTCCTATCTTTTTTATATATATTTTGGACTGTATTTCTGAGAGAGAAATTCCCTAGAATCTCACTGAACCAGCTAACAGAACACCAGCAATGATTAGTGGAGACTGACATCCCCAGGAGAGATTGCCAACCTTTTTCCTGTCTCTGGTGAACTTCCTTAGACAGCACCCACTCTCCCTCCTACCCTTAGGTCATCAGTATCTCTTTCTGCTGCCAAGCAGGCTCATATCTCATATCTGTCTATCTTTGTTTCTTTTTTCTTTTGAGACAGGGTTTCACTCTGTCACTCAGGCTGGAGTACAGTAATGCGATCTTGACTCACTGCAACCTCTGCCTCCTAGGCTCAGGTGATCCTCCTGCCTCAGCCTCCTAAGTAGCTCGGACTACAGGAGCAGGCCACCATGAACAGCTAATTTTTGTACTTTGTGTAGATATGGGGTCTCACTATCTTGCCCAGGCTGCTCTTGAACTCCTGGGCTCAAACCAGGCCTTTCAAAGAGCTGGGATTACAGGCATAAGTCACTGTGCCTGACCACATCTCCTTGTCTTAAAAAAAACAAATAAAAGCTTCACTTGTCTACCTCCTCAAGCTACCATACTATTCTTTTCTTCTTTCAGAGCTGAATTTCTTGATTATGTCACAGACTACTTTTGTTTTCCTCACTACCTATTTAATCCATAACTCCCTAACCTTCACTGCTCCACTAAAACAGCCATCTAGAATAGCTGTTCTTAAATTCTGGGGAGGATTCAAAATCCCTTTGGGAATCTGGTGGATGTTATAGATCATCTCACTGTGGGTGGGCAGGAGGATGTAAACTTTTTTTGCATACAAAATTTTGCACATAATTGTAGAGATTAAAAGACTTCCTGAAGTTTATCCAGAGAGCCCTTAAGAACCAAAGGTTAAGACCCTTTGCTCTAAATGGTCACAAGAATCTTTTAACCATCTTCATTTCCACTCTTGAAAGGTTTAGGGGAAGAGCAAACACTTTGGATTAAAACTTAGCACCTGGGTTCAAATTCTTCCACTTGATATCTGAATGACCTTGGCCAAGTTACTTAGTATCTCTGACCATCAATTTCCTCACCTGTAAAATGAGGAAGAAGCTATCTTGCTCAAAGTGTGTTGTGGATAATCCATGTACTGACATGTAAAAAAATACCTAAGATCATACTCTACACCTGTGAGGCACTAGATCAGTGAAATTCTCCAGCCTCCTTCAGTCCACCTTATAATATACTGTCCTCTTCCAAGCTTTCTGACTGTTCCTTCTTTGTTTAATTCATTGGCTTTGTCTTATCCTGCTGCCCCACCAGATTAGGTGCTCCCCACGGTTCACCATGTAGCTGGACTTTCACACCCACGCTTTCCCTCAGAGTATGTCCTCATCACCAGTCCTTCACCTCTTACCTCAGCACCGATCATACCTCTGCCCCTGGTCTTTTTATCTTTAGTTCTCACTGCAATGGCATATTTCCACCATGACTGAAATTCAGTACATCAAAAACCAAACTTACCTCTTGAAGACTTGCAAAATGGGGTCTTCCCTCTTGGCTTTCCTCTGTTTCCCCATCATTCCCCCAGCATCCCAGCCCTCTGGGATCCTTAGCATGTTTTCCGCCTCCTCCAACTGCCTCACATCATAAGCAACCAGTGGCTGGCATCCCTTGTATCTTTTGCGGCATCTCTTCTTGGCTAGAGTCCCATGTATCTTTTGCTGCATCTCTTTCCTTTCATTCTCGTTTCCACTGCCACTGTCACCACACACTAGAGTTTCTTCTAATAGCTTCCCTGGCCATTCCTCCCTCCAATCCATCCTGAATAACACTATAAAAATAATCTTCCTAAAATGCCACTTGCTTTCCTACCTCACCACTGCTCTGTACCAAGAAGTTCCCCATTGCCTGCCACTTGAACCACAGTTCCTTTTCCATTGCCCATTCCTCCAAACTCAACACTGTTACCAATTGGGTTGGGGAGGAAAATGATTAACAAAATTGACCAGAAACTTTATTAACATGTTCATGTTCAAGCACTCACTAGAAATTGATGTGTGTTCTGTGGAGAAGGTATAGACTTGTTCCCCAAAAAAGTATGAGAGAAGGACGATTTTTTTTTTCAGACGGCGTCTCGCTCTGTCGCCCAGGCTGGAGTGCAGTGGCGTGATCCCAGCTCACTGTAAGCTCCGCTTCCTGGATTCACGCCATTCTCCCGCCTCAGCCTCCCCAGTAGCTGGGACTACAGGCGCCCTCCACCCCGCCCGGCTACCTTTTTTTATATTTTTAGTAGAGACAGTGTTTCCCCGTGTTAGCCAGGATGGTCTCGATCTCCTGGCCTCGTGATCCACCCGCCTCGGCCTCCCAAAGTGCTAGGATTACAGGCGTGAGCCACCGTGCCCGGCTGAGACAATTTAAAAATCGGTTTGCTTAACAACAACTAATGTCACTCAGACAATGAAAACGGAATTTAGGGTTTTGGAGAAATTTAAATGACAGAAGCATATTGTGGTTTGCCATGATGAATGCCAGCTGGCATTGGTACTATTCACCAAGGAAGGACAACACTGGCACCAAAGGCATAGACCAGTGCACCAAACCACTCTCCAGATTAGAGCATGTGTTTTGAGATTCTGGAGGCTACTCTGCTCTGTGGCTGCTGGCTCCACAATGTGGGTCCTGCCTGGCACAAAAGCAGTCCTCAGCAGAAGTCTGTGCGAATTCAAAGAACAACCAAAGAGAACAGAGAAGTGGAAGTTTTGAATAGACATGTCAATCTAAATATATATTCTTCATGCATTTTAGAAAATCTTCGATGTGCAGCCACATCGTTTCCCTGCGGACCTGTCTCAGGTTCCACCTCCTTCACATGACCTTAACTGACCTCTCCAGGCCTCTCTGAATTCATAGTACTTATTACATAACCCAGAGGTTTCCCAAACTTCCTCTATTCACAGGGTCCTAAGTGTCTCTCCCTTTCTTCCATGGGGTCTGTAGACCAAAAAAAATACCTAATAGTTTCATTACTAAGTAGTTACACCCAAACAACTTAATAAGTAATCATGTTCTAAAAACTTGGCAGCTGTTTAAAAAAATAGTGCATGTAAATTGAAAGAAAGTATATGATCTTATAGCTGAAAAACCCTAAAGACTCCATCAAAAAAACTCTTAGATTTGATAAATGAATTCAGTAAGTTTCAGCATACAAAAATCAGGAGCATTTCTATATAACACTAATGATCAAGCTGAGAACCAGATCAAGAAGGCACTCCCATTTACAATACCTACCAAAAGAATAAAATACCTAAGAATATATTATATTAACTAAGGAGATGAAAGATGTCTACAAGAAAAACTATAAAACACTGTTTAAAGAAGTTAAAGATAACACAAATAAATGGAAAAATATCCCATGCTCATAGATCAGAAAAATCAATATCATTAAAATGATTCTACTGCCCAAAGCAATCTACAGAATCAGTGCAATCCCTATCAAGATACAAACATTTTTTCACAGAATTAGATGAAACCTTTTTTTTTTTTTTTTTTTTTTTTTTTGAGCCGGAGTCTTGCTCTGTCTCCCAGGCTGAAGTGCAATGGCGCAATCTCAGCTCACTGCAACCTCCGCCTCCCGGGTTCAAGCGATTCTTCTGCCTCAGCCTCCTAAGTAGCTGGGATTACAGGCACCTGCCACCACATCCAGCTAATTTTTGTATTTTTTAGTAGAGATGGGGTTTTGCCACGTTGGCCAGGCTGGTCTCAAACTCCTGACCTCAGGTGATCCATCCACCTTGGCCTCCCAAAGTGCTGGGATTACAATTCTAAAATTCACATGGGACCAAAAAAGATCCCAAACAGCCAAAGCAATTCTAAGCAAAAAGACAAAGCTGGAGGCATTACATTAGCTTACTTCAAATAATACTGCGAGGGTATAGTAACCAAAGCAGCATGGTACTAGTATAAAAATAGATACATAAATCTATGGAACAGAATAGAGAACCCAGAAATAAAGTCACATGTCTACAGCCAACTGATCTTTGGCAAAGTCAACAAAAATACGCACTGGGGAAAGAAGCTCTTTTCAATAAATGGTGCTGGGAAAATCAGATTGCCATATGCAGAATAATGAAATTGGGCCCCTTTCTTATACCGTATACAAAAATCACTCAAAATTGATTAAAGACTTAAATGTAGGACCTGAAACTATAAAAATACTAAAAGAAAACCAAGGGAAAACTCTTCTGGATATCGGCCTAGGCAAATAATTCCTGACTAAGACCTCAAAAGAACAAGCAACAAAACCAAAAATAGACAAACAGGACTTAATTAAACTAAAAACTTCTGCACAGCAAAAGGTATACATCAACAGAGTGAACAGCCTACAGAATGGGAGAAAATATTTAACAAGTATGCTTCCAATGGGGGACAAATATCCAGAATTTACAAGAAACTCTAACAACTCAACAACAAAAAGTACAAATAACCCCATTTAAAAGTGGGCAAAGGACATTAATAGACATTTTTCAAAAGAAGACTTACAAATGGCCAACAAAAATATGAAAGAATGCTCAATGACAGTAATCATCAGAGAAATGCAAATTAAAACCACAATGAGATATCATCTCACACCAGTCAAAATGGCAACTATTTAAAAACTCAAACAAATTACGGATGTTGGCAAGGATGTAGAGAAAGGAGAATGCTTGTACACTGTTGGTGGGAATGTAAATTAATATCATCTCTATGGAAAACAGTATGGAGATTTTTCAAAGAACTAAAAATAGAAACTTCTACTGCATCCAGCAACCCCACTATTGGGTATCTACCCAAATGGAAAAAAAAATCATTATATTAAAAAATACTTACCCTCATATGTTTAGCACAGCACTATGCATAAGAGCAAAGATATGGAATCAATGTAAGTGTCCATCAATGGATGATTGGATAAAGAAAATGTGATATAGCTGTATATATATGTGTGTATGTGTGTGTGTGTGCACGTTTGTGTATATATACACAATGAAATACTATTCATCCATTAAAAAGAATGAAATTATGTATTTTGCAGCAATGTGGGTGGAACTAGAGGACATTATCTTAACTGAAACAACTCAGATATAGAAAGTCAAATACTGCATGTTCTTACTCATAAATGGGAGCCCAATAATTGGTACACATGGACATAGAGTGTGAAATAATAGATACTGGTGTCTCCAAAGGGTGGGAGGGTGAGAGTGAGGTGAGGGATGAAAAAATAACTTAATGGGTACAATGTACACTATTTGAGTGATGGTTACACTAAAATCTTAGACTTCACCGCTACGCAATATATCCATGTAAAAAACTGCACTTGTGCTCCTAAAATTTATAAAAATAAAGGAAAAAATGTTATTCTTATATAACCACATTTGCTTACTAATGGGATGTGTGTGCCGGTCAGACCACAGCACAACTTCTCAGACTTTGAGCTCAGATTGGACACCACAACCCTCATTGCCTGTTCCATATTGATTTTTGCACATTACTTGCATTTTTATCACAGCAACTGCCAAGAATCCAACATTGCAAGGATGTGATAAGATTGAAAGGAATGTAGTTTGATCTAATGTTAAAACTATACATTTCCTCAAACTAGTAGTTTACATGGCAGAGGATGAGCATCACTCTGTTTTGTTTTATTTTAAATTTTAAAATATCTTGTGGTGCCCTTGTGAATTTAGTACAGCACCTGGGATGCCTCAGCATACAATTTAGGGATCTCAAATCTAATCCCTTGCTACTCATGGGCCAACAATATTGGCATCAATGGGGAACTGATTCTCACCTTATTTCCACTCCCATAGACTTGCTGAATCAGAATGTGCAGTTTAACAAGCTGCCTAAGAGATTCATATGTATTTGACAGTTTGAGAAGCATAGTTATAAACCACTACTCATCACCTAATCACATCCTTCTGTTGTAAGATCTCTGATATTATTATACATTTCTAAAATTCTTGCATTGTTTAGCCTTTTCTGTGAAACCTTCCCAAGTAGATAGTTATCTAGATGGAAGGCAGAGGTAGTCTTGTGTTTTGAGATTCTCCCAAATGTCCAGCACAGAGCCTTGCATGGAGTAAGAGGCTCAAATATCTGCTGAATGAGTACATCCAGTATCTAGACCTCCCAGCTGTCCTAGGCAGAGTTGTTTATGCAACAAAATTATTGACAAAACCAGATAAAGCCAAGATCCCAAAGACACAAAGAATATTCTTCGTAGGTTTAGAATGAACATGGCATTTTTAGAATGTCAGTTTGATCATGTTAGTCCTTTAAAATGGACACACCACATAATTTGAGTCATGGCAAGAAGAAAATTATATTCTACTGTTTATCTCAATAGGAAGATAATTATGTTTTAGGAACAAGTGTCCAAAAACTACAGTGAAATGACTAAATAAAAATGAAAGCAGAGTATAAATTGTTAAAGGTTAGGTAGACTGCATTTCCTGAAAACATAATGCACTAAGTGTTCCAAAATAATTCTGCCATTTATTAATTGCACTCACGAATCATTTGAATGCCAAGATCTGCATGTGTGCAAAATGTCATGGAAATTGGATTCAATTCTGTTTGAAACAGCTGTCTCCACTACAGCCAAACTGAATGTACCAAGTTCTTGGGAACAAATTTGAAAGGGAAAGGAAGCAGAAATTTGCTTTGTCAGAGGGTTCAGGTTTGCCTAAATGTCACCACTACTCCCCACTTTTATTTTCTCTCCAGAGATTATCTCTCACATTGAACATTCCATTGGCTCATTGAGATGAGGCAACAAGCTAACAGATGCAAGGTCTCTCTGTGATCTCCCTGTAGGCTAACTTGCATTAGTCTTATTAACCACAAACCACCTTTCTCACCCCAATCAGCCACTGCTTAGATGTGGGAAGCGAGAGAGGCAAATTCAGATAGGAGCATAGAACAATGGAATCTTAGAGGCCAATAGCTCAGTCTCATAAACTTCCACTCCTCACCAAGTACTCACAACTACAGCTCTGTAACATATCCCAACTCTTTTTCCCACCACCTCCATGGCTACCATCTTCTCTCACCTGGATTACTGCAGCAGGCTCTTATCTAGTGCCTGCTTCATTTTCACCCCTACTACAACAGTCCATCTCCACAAGTAACTTTAAAAAATAAAATAAGACAAAAAGAGACCCCATCCCTACTTGCCTAAAACTGTCCAATGGTCCAAAATTGCTCATGAATATGAGAATAAAATCCAAACCCCTCTCCATAGCCAACCAGACTCACAGGATCCAGCCACTGCACGCCTGTTAGCCCTCACCTCATGTCACCTTCTCTCTCACTCACTACGCTTCAGCCATGCTGAGCTTCTTATTCCTGGAATATGCCAACCTTCTTCAGTATTTGGGACCTTGCTCTAGGTAAACACTCCTAGCCTAAATTTTGTATGGATAACTATTTCTCATCACTCAATCTCAGGAAAGAAGGAATCTCATCAGAGTTTTCCTGACTACCACCGTATATAAATATTTTATTTGCAAATATAAATGTTTACTCCCAACAAACTCACATCTCTTTATATGCCTTTCTTCCATTTCTTTTTCTTTATACTCTTACCCTGTCTGAATGTATCCTATTTGTTTGTTTGTCAATGGCAGTTTTATAAATCATGTTCCCTCAAAAGAGTGAATAATCAATGTGTTTTATTCATTCCCACACCCCTAGAGCACAGCCTGAACATAATAAGCACGTGCTTGGAAGGCCTTAGGAATTGTCTATTCCTGCTCCCTTGTTTTCCGAGAATAATTGAGATCCAGAGAAGCTATTGGTTCGTGATGCAACACACATAGCCAGTTAAGAATGGAGCCAAAGTGAGGGCATGGTCCTGTAGTTTCTAGACAACTGCTATTTCTGCTACACCTTCTTGCTGTTCATTTAAATGAAAATTAATCTTATTTTGAGTAGTTTTTTAAAATTGTTTAAAATAAGTTCAGGTGACTCTGATTCAGGAATGCCCCATCTTTAGGTATGAAAAAAGTTCTGTGAAAGTTCATCCACGCCCTTCTGTGCAAAAACTTCTTTAATTCACCATACTTCCTTAAGGTATTAACATACAAGTTGGTTTAGACTTCAAGGTGGAAAGAGTTTTTTCTAAACTTTCTTTTTCCATTATTGAAATAAATCTGTTGACGAAATTAACATATCAGATGGAACAACAAAACTAGAAATAACTAAGATCTCTAAAGATAATTTATTCATTAAATTAGAACTTTTAAATACAGGCAAAAGAGAAAATAACTATTATTAAAATGTTCCAACCAAATTGCTGCTTATCTTACACTATGCTAATTAGTAACAGCACCCAAAATTCACTCTTCCACAATAATCAGAGAAAACCGGAGATTATAGAAAGGCTGTGGGAAGAGGGAGGTGGTGGGGTGCTACTAGTTATTAGAAAGGCTCAATAATAACCATTAAGGTTTGAGTTCAAATTCCATCCTTTGGGGTTTGTGCCTGGATTCTGAACACCTTTATCCTCTTCCCGTTACTCTTAGGACAGCCTTTTAATATTTGCATGATAGGTTTCTCATACAATTAAATCCCCTCCGACCCATTCTCTGCACTGCAGATAGAATGAGTCTAGTAACACACAAGTCATATCAGGTCCTTCTGCTACTTCCAACTCTCCGAAGTCTTCCCATTGCCCTTCTGAGAGAAAAATGCAGACTCCTTAATATGAACTGCCTGTCCCATTGCAGTCCTATCCTGCTCATTTCTCAAGTGTAATCCATCCCCTGTGCTGTCTGCCTTCACCACACTGGGTCTATTTAGTGCTCACCTGGGAGCCATGGTAGATGCTCACTTCTTTGCTGGATGTGTGTTCTTCTTTTAAATTCTGGAGATAGTACATGCTGTGAATTAAATTGTGTCTTTCTCCAAAAAAGTGTATGCTAAAACCCTAACCCCCCAGTGTGGCTATATTTGGAGACAGGGACTTTAGGAGTGGTCATAAGGGTGGGGCCCTGATTCAACAGGATTAGCGTCCTTATTAAAAGAGATACCAGAGAGACCAACCAGCACACACATTGTCTCTCTCCCCACCCTACCTCTCTCTTTCATCACACATACACAGATCCTTGAGCACACAGTGAGATGGTGGCTGCCCACAAACCAAGGCAGGAGTCCTGAAAATGAAACCTACATTGCTGGCACCTTGATTTTGAACTTTTAGCCTCCAGAACTATAAGAAATATATTCTGTTGTTTAAGCCACTCAATCTATGCTATTTTGTTATAGCAGCCCAAACTGACTAAGATATTATACATAATATTAAGATATAATATCACTATAATAATAATCTACTTTTTGTGTTCCAGGCATTGTGATAGCCATTTTATATGGGTTACCTTACTTCATCTTCAAGACAACCTTTAATGTGGCCATTCTTGTCTCCATTTTCCAAATAAAATAACTGAAGTTCAGAGAAATTATATTTTTCTTTTAGCCATGATAAGCCTGAAATTGAGAATGGTTAGGTGATGTAAACGAAGCACGGCTGCCTTCGGGTGCACTGAGGAGCAGGGACTGTGGCTTGGCTCTATCTGGCTGCATGTCCTTTGCACTAAGTAGCTACCTGACCCAGTGTTTGCCCTAAAGGGGGATTAAACCCTAATGTCCCATGAAGGACTGCTGAAGAACCTTGAGGTGCTTTGCCTGGAAATATGCCATAGCTGCCTCAAGTATCTGAAGGACTTGGAAGAGGGATTAGATTTACTTGGAAGAAGGATTAAATCTATTTTACAAGAATTTAAGTGACGGCATTTGAATCATTGGCAGAAAGTTTCATAAAACAGCTTTCGCCCTAGTATAAAAAATTTTGTCTAACTGTCCCTAGGGGGAATGGGGTGTCTGGAGACCTAGACCTCTCTTCATGGATGGGTTCAGGAAGGACCTGCAAATTAATTTAAGGGAAGTTATGGAGATGATCAGGCAGCAGGTAGTAGTTGAAGCAGGCTACCTCTAAGGTTCCATCCAGTTCTGGGACTAAATGACACTTGGTTTTCACAACTGATGGACTCTTCATGATCTTATTATTGGTACAATCACTACAGTTGGCAAAATACGCAGCTCTAAACCAGCCAGACCAGTTTGGTGAAGATGTGGTTGCATTTTTCAAATATTATTATAACCAGCCCTCATTTTACTGAATGCCTGAGCATTGGTACAAAGCTTTCCCTCTTGTTTAGGAATGAGTCATCCTGCTTGTGAGTTGGTGCAGACCATTACATTCTCCACCTCATTTTATCTTCTTCCCCTGCCTTCCAAAGCCCAAACCAGGATGGTGAACTACAACAAGGCTCAGGGAAGGGAGTTAAACTCCCCAGTTTTCATACTTACTAATCAAAATCACAATTATATCATTTTGTTAAAGGTAGGTAATGGCAATTGGATAAGAAGGAAAGAAAATGAATATTTCTAGCTTTCTATAGTTCACTTTGCCAAGTTGGCAACAAATTCATTCTTTTTCCAGAACTGTTTTGCTTTTCACTATTTTGCCTCACATTGAATTGTACAAACCATCAAGTTCTTGTTCTCTCAATACATCTAAGTAACACTGGATTTTTTTTCATTTTTAATTTCAAGCACAGTCCTCAATAAATTTAATTCTACTAATTTATATTTTTCTTCAAAGCAATAAATACCTTGAGTCCCTACTCTGTGTGAAGATCTATAGTAGTCTTTGTGATACAAAAATGAAAAATTCCTGACCTCTTCACTGGAGGAGAACCTTACAGGATTCTTAAGTTGCAAATTATAGAAACAAAACTTAAATTAGCTGACGCGAAAAAAAATGTATTGGCTAACATGTTCAACTGCAGAAGTGGTGACATGAACTAGAGCCTCGAGCATTTTCCAGATGTTTTCTTCCCATCTGTTATCTCAGCTTGCCCTCTGTTCTGGCAATTCTCCCCTTGAAGGTGACATCATAACCACCCAGTTGACACCAGGAACTCCAGGTTGCACCTTTCCAGATTCACCACCCAACAGGAAAGTCTCCTCTGCATATTTGCAGGCTAAAAACTAGTGGGGAAGAACTTGATTACCCCAACATGGGTCACCTGCTAACAATCACTATGGCTGAAGAGGCAGAGACAGCTATTGTTCAAATCTCATATTGGAACAAAGAGTTTTGGCAAGGAGTGAGAGAAGGAGGAACTTTCCTAAAAAGAAGAGGTGGGGTGCTACTCCCTGAATAAAGAATGGCTGCTGGGCAGAGAAAAGACCACAAATCTACCTCAAGTAACTTACTCTTTTATAGGGAAAACAGACATGCAAAAAAGTAATAATAATGCAATGTTATACATGCTTCAATGGAAGTACATTCAAGAGTTAGGCTGAGGGTTATAAAAATATGAGAAAGAAATTAATTCAGCCTAAGAGTTTAAGTAAAACTATAAAGAGGAGGTAATTTTTGAGTTGTAAAGTTTATGGGGAAATGAGAAAAGATGGGAAATATGCTGAAATTGAGTTGAGCTAGTCCTTGGGTACAGAGGTGAGAAGTTTAGATACCATTCAGTGGGCTACAGAGTGAGACTTCAGAACTTTACACAGACTGAGTGGCATAGTGGCATAGTATTGTCTTTAGACTGAGACAAGAGCGATCTTCACTGGAACATAGCCTTTAGGAGACCCAGCTCTGACTCTCTTATACCACACCAATTTCCACAAGTTGAGGAGTCCATAGGGCCAACAGGATATGCCTATCCAGAGCCTATACTCTAGATCACAGTCTGCTTTCTTGAGAACTGACATTTTCTGGTGAGAAAATCATAAGCCTGCTTTTAGGGTTTGTAAATTGTGCATTCCTCCACAGGTCCATCCTTTATGCCAAGAGGTGGCTGTTTTTTGGTGGGATTTGGGAAAAAGCTTGGATATGTAGGCTGAACTGTCCACCTATGTGAGGCCTCTTGCAGTGGGACAGTGATTGGGTGGGAAAAGAAGGAGTTGGGCAATGGACTAGGAACCTCCATTTTAACTCTTCTTTGGGCCCCACAAATGTTAGGAGTAGGACTGAGACATACATTATCAGGTAGCAGTGTGGGAAATGCCTGGTAGTGGGGAAATGGTGGAAGCAGAAAGGAACATATGGGTTTGAGAGAAAATTCTGAAGTAGCTTGGTAGGATTTAATGATCAATTGAATGTGAGGCATAAGGAGAGAAAAGAATTTAAAAAGGCTTGAGTTTCTAGCTTGAGTAATTGTGATGCCATAACAAAATGAATAGTATAGGAGGGTAAACAGGAGTGGAGGAAAGATAATATTATGATAAAAATTATTTTCTTTTGACTTCAGTATGAATGTGGATTACCAGTGTTCCTTTGGAGAGATGGCAATAAGAGCCAGAAAAAGAGTTACTTAATTATTTTAAAATACATATTTAAAACTCTCCTCTCAATCCTAATTTACTTTCATATTTGACCACTCACCTATTCTTTCAACATAATCATGCTTCGTTACTTAGAGCTCTGGTTACAAGGGATAGAAAACTAACTCAGTAGCATAAGCATAAGCAAAAAATAGGATTTCCTGGCTTACATCATTTAAAGGTTTAGAAATAATGTTGTTTTCAGATCCAGCTTGGTTCAGGGTTTCAAAGAATGTCATTAGGCCCCAACCTTTTTTATCTCTAGGTTCAATTTCCCTTTGGCTGGATTCCATTTTCCTGATGGCTGCTGAGAACATCAGGCTTATGTCCTCACAGTGCCAATCCTTTAGGAAGAGAAAACACTCCTTTCTCTGTCATTGACAAAACAGGGCAAAATTAACTAGATTGGACCTGATTGGCTAGACTTGTGTCACGTGCCCTTTCCTGATCCAATGACTGTCCTGGGGAATGCCATGCTCTAATGGGGCAGGACTGGTCATATGTCTACTCCTGAAGCAAAGAATGGAGTCAACTTCATCTGAAGCACATGCCTGAAAGTAAGGGTGATTGACTAGGGCAGTGTTACTAGGAGAATGGGGGAACAGAGCCCAGGCCACGTAAACAATGGATGTCCACTAGACTCACCATAACACTGTCTTATTTTTTTAAGTGGAAATAATAATTATAAATCTCACTGGGATGTCAGGAAAATTAACTGTAAAGTAAAATTGACAAACCAACTAGGCCTTACAGGCACCTTTAGAACATTCCACCCAACAACAGCAGAACATGCTTTTCTCAAATGCACATGGAATATTCTCTAGGATAGACTACAAGCTAGGCCATAAAATTCAATAAAACTCAATAAATTTTAATGAATGAAAATAATATGAAGTATGTTCTCCTACTGTGAAGAAATGAAATTAGAAACAACATCGAAAGAAATTCGGGAAATATACAAATATGCAGACAGTTCTAAATAACATGTGGATCAAAAATGAAATTAGAAAATACTTTGAGACAAATGAAAATGAAGGCAAAGCATGCCAAACTTATGCAATATAACTAAAGCAGTGCTCAAAATGAAATTTATAGATATAAATACCTCTCTTAAAAATGAAGAAAGATCTTAAACTAATAACCTACCATTTCACTTTCTGATACTGGATAAAGAAGAGTAAACTACTTTCAAATCAAGCAGAAGGAAGGAAGTAATAAATATTACAATGAAAATTAATGAACTAGACAATAGAAAAACAATAGAGAAAAATCAGTATAACCAAAAGCTGATTCTTTCCAAAGGTAAAGAAAACTGGCAAACCATTAGCTAGATTGACCAAGAAAAAAAGAGAGAAGACTCAAATCACTAGAGTCAGAAATGAAAAAGGAGACATTACTATCAATCTTACAGGATATAAAGGATCATAAATTAATAATATGGACAATTGCCTGACAGTAAATTAGATAAATGAAATGGACAAATTATTAGAAAGATCCAAACTACTGAAGCTGACTCCAAAAAAAGTAGACAATATGAACAAACCTGTAACAAGCAAAGAAATTGAATTAGTAATCTGCCCACAAAGAAAATTATAGGTCCAGATGTCTTCACTGCTGAACTCTACCAAACATTTAAAGAAGAATTAGTACCAACTTTTTCACAAACTCTGCCAAGAAATAGAAAAGAGACAAACTACACCACTATAAGATCAATATGACTCTGAAATCAAAACCAGACAAAACCATCAGAAGAAAAGAAACTATAGACCAATGTCGCTTTTAAATGTGGAAGCAGATATCCTCAATAAAATACTAGCAAACTGAATCCAGAAATATATAGAAAGAATTATACAACATAATCAAGTGAGATATATTACAGGCAGGCAAGGTTGGTTTAACAAAATAAGTGTAAAACTTACACTCTAAAAACTGCAAAATGTTGTTGAAAGAAGTTAAAGATCTAAATAAATGCAAAAACAACCCATGTTCATGGATTCAAAAATGTAAGATTGTTAAAATGGTAATATTTCCAAACTTACCTACATATTCAATGCAATCCCTATCTGAATCCCAGCTGATTTCTTTGTGGAAATCAACAAGCTGATTTTAAAATTCATATGGAATTGCAAGATACCAAAATAACCAAAACAGTTATGAAAAAAAACAAAGACAGGGGTCTCAAACTTGCTGATTTCAAAACTTACTACAATGCAATGGTAATCAAGACAGTGTGGTACTGGCATGTAGATCAATGGTATAGAATTGTAAGCCCAAAAATAAACCATGTGTCTATGGCCAACTGAGTTTTGATAATTGTCCCAAGACCATCAAATGGAGAAAGAATAATATTTTCAATAAATGGTGCTGGAACAACTGGATATCCACATTACAAAATGAAGTTGGACCCTTATTTCACATCATTAACAGAAATTAATTCAAAATGTGTCAAAGACCCAAAAGACCTAAATACAAGAGCTAAATTTTAAAACTCTTAGAATATTGGTGTAAAGCATAATGACTTCAGATTTGTCAATAAGTTCTCAGATATGATATCAAAAGCAGGAGCAACAGAAGAAAAAATAGATAAATTGCACTTCATTAAAATTAAAAACTTTTGTGATTCAAGGATCACTACCAAGAAAGTGAAAAGACACAGAATGACAGAATATATTTGCAAATCAAATATCTGATAACAGATGTATCTAGAATACATAAAGAACACGTACAACTCAATAATTAAAAGACAACACAATTTAAAAATTAGAAAATGATCTGAATTAACATTCTTCCAAAGACAATATACAAATGGCCAATAAGCATATAAGATGCTCAACTTCATTAGTCATCAGGGAATTGCAAATCAAATCTACAATGAAATATTACTTCACATCCACTAGGATGGCTAGAATTAAAAAGTCAGATGATAACAAGTGTTGAAGATCTGGAAAAACAAGAACCTTCATCCATGGCTAGTGGCAATATAAAGGTGTAGCCACTTTGGAAAATATTTTGACATTCTTCAAATCATCCCTATGACCCAGCAATTGCACTCCTAGGTATATACACAAGAGAAATGAAAGCATGTCCACGCATAAACTTGTACACAGATGTTTATAACCAAAAGGTGGGAACAACCCAAATGTCCATCTCTTGATAAGTGCATAAACAAAATGTGGTATATCTAAACAGTGGAATATTATTTGACCATGAAAATGGATGAGGTATTGATACATGCTACAACATGAATTAACCTTGAAAACAGCGTGCTAAGTGAAAGAAGCCTAACACAAAAGACCACATATACATGATTCTATCTAGATTAAATGTCCAAATCTATAAAGACAAAAAAATAAAGTAGTTGTTGCTTAGGGCTGGGGGGGAATGCAAGGACAGGGAGACGATAGCTAAAGGGCACAGAGTTTTTTCAAAAAGTGACAAAAATGCTCTAAAATTGGGTGTTGTGATAGTTGCTTATAACTGTGAATATACCCCAAACCATTGAATTGGATACTTTAAATGCATGAAATGTGTGCTATATGATTTATATCTCAGAAAAAGATGTTTAAAAAAAATTAAGGCAGTTTGATAGGAATGGAAATAAATGAATAAACAAATAAATACAATTGACACATATTTATGACAAAATGTCCATATTCTCTTTGAGGACAAGAATTGCCAGAGATATTAAGTTATTCTGGAACTAAATAGACAAATAATATTTAGGAATTAAAATTCATAATTTCTTGAAAGCTTAAAAATAAAAGGAGTTCCAGCCAATCTAACTGCATGTGATGAGGTAATCCACATTTTCTGGGGCTCAAGTTTCCATGTGAGGACTACTTCCAGTGTAACCCTCCTGGCCTGTCGTAGTCCCCTCTCCGGTAGTCCTCTCTCCCCAACTCAGGAACAACTTATCTGATTGGTGAATTTGAAAAAGAAACGAAGCATTTTCTGTCCTGGAGCCCTGCCTGCCTGCAGAGAGGGCAGTTAGTAAGCTTCTTATATCAATCTTTGGCCTAGAAGAGGTAAGTTTACTGCTTGAGGCTAAGTTCAGTTCAAGGGGAGAAGGTTTTAAAGACTGATGTGGTGGTTTTAAAACATGTCTGCAAATTCCTTGACATTCTTCCCATCAAGATGTGTAGTCTATGATCCCTCCCTTTGAAACTGGGTGGGACTTTGTGACTGTCTTAATAAACAGAATGCTGTGGTCGTGGTTCAGCTTGATTCCTGGGGCTGTTAGAAAGCCACACAGCTTCTGTTGGTTTCTCTTGGGACTCTCACTTTGAGACCGTTCAGTCTCTGTGAAAGAAGTCCAGGTGCCCTGAGGTCACCATATGGATAGGCGTAGGGGAGTGATGTCATTCCAGTCCCAGCTGATGGAGTCTTTTCAGCTCAGTTGCTAGATGTGTGCATGCATACTCCCATTTCCAGACACTTTTAAGTACAAACACAAGAGAGACCTGAGTGAAACTTACCCTGATAAGCCTGGCCAACTTTCACAGCAGAAGGAAATAAATGATTACTTCATGTCACTGTTTTGGGTGGCTTATTACACGGCAAGAAGAAGGAAAAAAAGAAAAACATCTGGAACATACATGCTCTACACCCTAGGCTTTACTAGTAATGAAGATGGACCTCCTTTTTAATCCCCTTTCTTATTTCTCAATTGGTTACAAACTCAGGAAAGAAAGAAATCTATTTTGTGGCTCCCTGAAACTCCAACTGTAATTGCCCAGTATAAGAATTTCTCCCGCCCCACTCTGTGGGCATGTATGGGCCCTAGGTCTCTGTTTGACTCTCTCTAGTGATTGGAAATGCCTCCTAAAATGTTCAAATTACGATGGCTGTTTCTTAGAATGTTCTTTCTTAAGTTTATTAAAAAGCTTCTGAAACAGCACAGAACAAAACTGTTCCATCTTCTACATACACATCTTTCAAACCTTTCATGACAGACATCACATATTTCTCAGTCAATTATCTCAATTTCCTTCCACTTTTCCTCTTATACAAGGTTAAAATAGTGCAATGGTCCTTAAATTCAAGCATGCGTCTGAATCATCCAGAGGGCTTGTTACAACATGGATTCCAGGACCTCATCCTCAGAGTTTCTGATTCAGGAGATCTGTGGTAGGGCTGGAGAATTTTCATATCAGACAAGTTCCCACGCACTGCTGATGCTGGGATCCAGGGACCATTCTTTGAGAACCACTGGGCTTGAGATGTATAGGATGGTAGAAAGAGTCTTCACTGAGAAGTTGAAGACATGGGTTGTCATGCCGGCTGTGCCATCTTCTAAAAAAAAAAAAAAAACCAAAGGTTTCTAACAAAACAGAGATCCCTAATAAAAACTAAGATCCCTGCCAATATCACACAGTTGTGAGGATGGACAGTGATAACAGCACATAAGTGCTTTGCAAACTGTCTGGGGCTATGTAGACAGGAAATGTGGCTTGAAGAGATTTGCCTATAGACTCCATCTAAGTGTTAATATCCTTTTTTCAGAGTGACATGAGAATTCAGCACCACATGACAGCTGAAGACTGTAGCAGAATCTACTAACCCATTTCCTGTTTGCTCCTACAGATTCCTGTTCTTCCCAGAAGCTCTTGTAATCTGGAAATAAAAGTAAATTGTGAACATATACTGAGTGGTTTCCGCATGCACATGGAAGAGGTTACATTCCGAAAGGAGAAGAGCTGAGCTGCTTCCTAGCTGGGACAATTAATTATTCTGAGCCTCAGTTTCCTTTGGGGAAAGGGATAACAATAGCACTACCTCAAAAGTTGTTGTGAGGATTAAATGAGTTAATATATGTAAAGCCCTTAGAAACAGGCTTGGCAAGGATTCATTACTGTTGTTATTGTTGTTTCTCCATTTTAAAAATGAGGATTGAGACTTTGAGAGTTTGAGTAATATAACTTAAACTCTCACAGCTGGGAGCTCTCTGCAAGCCTCTTTCTCAGTTAAACAGAGAAATTAGGCCAGGGATGTCAAAATAAAATGTGAAGACCACAGCTCTCGCATCATCACCTCTGCTGGTGAAAGGCATTGCTAATTGATCACAGCATTCTGCCCCGTAGAGTCTGGACAAGGCTTCATAACCCTCTTGGAGACTGTGCTGTGGTTGGTGAGAGCTACTTCGGACTCCATGAGACAGACATGTTTGGCCACACCAGAGCAGGAAAACCGAATCCTGGGACACTTTTAGAACACTAAATTGGAAGCACTAAAACCCAGTAATGGAAACCAGGAATTAAAGTCTCAGGCTACCAACTGATGGGGGAAAAAATCCTAGTGCTGGCCCCTCTTCTCCTTCTAAATTCATTTCCCTGACTCACAGCCTTCCAGATCTTGGAGTGAAGTCAAAGAAAAGAAAGCCATTTCTACTGCCATTCTACCTTTGGTATATAGGCCAATGGTCTCTTCATCACTTAAAAAAAAACTTCGTGTTTCAAAAGACATGCTTCAGTGACTCAATTTTGTCCAAGGCAAACTTTATATTAAATACTTCCTGATCAGCAGCAGGAACTCCATTAAAACCAAATAAAAAGAAACACATTTTAAGGATCAAAGAAGATGAAACATTACAGAAATGCCACCATGATATTCAAAGGTCCAGTAGTTCTACATTGTGAGTCCTCAATTCTTTACAATAGTTCTAGAAAAAGTAATTGTTTAATCATGATGAAGACATGGCTATAAGTAATATTAATTAATTTGCCTTGGGCCTACATTTAATTCTTCTACCATACTGAGAAGGGGATTATTATGCATAGTAATGGATAATCTTCAAAGCAATGTTCTAGCATTCCCCCACCCCTTCTCCACCATACCCACACAGGCACTTTCTCTTAACACTATTCCCTGGCCAGCTTCATAAGTTCTCATTCTAGTCCAGAGCTCAGAACAGAGCTAAGTTCTCCTGGAAGGTAGACACACTTATAATCAGAACTAACATGTATTAAACTCTCAGATGTTCCAGAAAGAGTTTTGTTCATTTAACAAGCACTCATACAGTGCCTTCTAGGTACCAGCTACTTTTTTCTAAGCATTTCACAAATACTAACTCATTTCATCCTCACAACAGACTTATAACATTTTACAGAAGAACAAAACTAGGCACAGAAAAGGCAAACAACTCGCCTGAGATCACGCAACTAGAAAGTGGCACAACAATACCAGGAGGAGCAGGGGTGATAATATAGCATGGTGAAGGTGTAATATTAGGTTTTCATGGCTATCTGCAGATGAACTTAGTAATTTTTAGTTAGCCCAACAAGGTAGGCACTGTTAATTCTTTCCATTTTAGAGTTAACAAGAACCAAGACTAAAAAGGCTAAGTAACTTGCCCATTACCACACAATTAATATACCCAGTCTCTCAGAGTGCAGAGCAGGCACCTGTACCCAACAGGCTGTATAGGAGAGACTTCCACCTCTGTTCCTGCTATGGTTTGTTGCAGACATAATTCCCCTGTTTCTGGCTCTGCAGTGAAGGCTTTCTACCACCACCATCATCACCAATGCTGCTACTGCATTGTTATGTGGCTCTTGAATAAACCATTTCAATCATTCGAGCAACCCAACTTCCCACCTCCCAGGTCCCACACACTGTTGCCCTCAAGGCAAATCCAGACACAGGAGTCTGTTTGTCTCCCCTCAGGGTGAAGGTTAGTCCTGCAATAGCCAGGACTTAGTCATGCTAACTGCCAGGCACTCCTCTGAGCACCTCATCAAACCTGCTCAAATATAATTGTTGTGCCAAGAAACAGACAGCTTCGTATCGCATAACCCTTAACCTAAGAATCTGCATTTCTTGAAAGCAAGAAATTTTCTGGCATATACAGCAGGAATAGTTATCTATGGCAGAGTCTGAAACAAATAATGCAGTTAAGTTTAGCCTTAAATTGAAATTGGGGAGAGAGAATTGCAAAACAACGTGCAATGGAAATACAGTATTAGCTGCTCAGCCATTTAATATATTTACCATTTGGAGAACAGGGAGTTTCTCTGGAGGTGTTGGTAACCAAAACACTTGGATGTTAAGGAATGGGCATAACGAACAAGCTAGGGGGTTGGGCTACCTTTGAGATTCTCTCTCTCTTTTTGATTCACAGAAGTGAAGCAGCAATTCCTGTTCATTTCCTGGCGGCCCACTCCTAGGAGTTGCAAACAAGATGTTTTCTATGGATGCTCTTTATCTTTGGAATCCTCTTCCTTCCTGGACTGGAAACTGCAGAATCAAAATCTCTTGGCCTTCCACAAAGCCTTTTCTAAGGTTTGTCTTTTTAATTGAGCTTCCACTTAAGGATACTTAAGAATCTCTTTGTTTACTACAGACAACACCATGAAACTTCACCATAAAATGGTGTGGGATCCTCTTTTTTTTCTGATTTTTGAAGATCCAACTCAAGGCTAACTTTAGCAACCACTCCTTCCTCTTGTACTTTTCTATTAAGAATTTTTTTTTAGACCCTAGAAAAGGTCTTTATAATGATTTGCTTAGGACTTAGTTTTGACTCCCAGAGGAGTTTAGCCCTTTCTAAGAGGAATGCACAGACATAAAGTCTGTGGAAGTCAAAGTCCAATGGTCATGCTAAGCCAAACCTAGGCATCAGTGTAAGTTCCAACTAATCCCATAGGGGAAAAAATGTTTTTAAACATCCAGGACAAATGAGAGGCCATAAATTAATTTTACAATATTTTTCATGACTTTAAAAGCTTAGGAAATTTAGCTGCTTTTTCTAAGCTTGTCTTGCACAAAAAAATTGAAATACTGTTTATATGTCCATATTTGAGAAACCAAGCTGAGCTAAGATCATTAAACTTTTAGGAAAAAAAGATCATATGAACACAAACTTTCCAAAAGCAACATATTTAGTAATGAACGAAGTTTATTTCCACTACTGAAATTCATTTTCTTGTGTGTCCCATTGTCCTAGTAAAACTTTAGTGAGGAAATCAACATGAATGTTAAAATAGGGATATGACAGTTTGTGATCTAGCTGGCTCTTATTAACTCTTGATTTGCACATTTCCACAGGGGCCACTGCCTGCAAAACCATTCATCCCTTTTTCTAAAACCTGTTTATAGCCAGGACGCAGCTTCACGCTCACACCGGTTTGTCATCATACTGCTATTTCCCAGCACCTGTCAAAACCCTGTGATGGGCTTGTAAAGCACAAAGGTCACTTGTGGTGATCCAGGAAGGCAGGAAGGCCCCATAATGCTTTCAGATTAGAGTATCCTCTGCACCTTGGCTTCTATACTCCTGCTTCCTGCCTGCCTGCCTGCCCTTGAAGGCGTCCTGGTGGGACCATGGAACTGGAGGATGCCGGTTCCACAACTCACACACTGTGAAGACTCCAGTTCTTGGATTTTTGATGACCTCTGGGTCCCTCACTTGCCGACTCCCCACCTCCACCCCTGCTAGCCTTGTGTTTGAAATGACAAGCTGCTGTTTATTTATAGCTCCCTTTCCCACTTTTAAAAGAAACCAGTGGTTAAAGATGTGCCAGGTGGTGCTGTTGATAAACAACAAGTTCTAATACCAGATTTCCTCCTGGGAATTCAGACCCCATTTATTCTGGCTGCTGATCGACATGGGAGGAAACTTGGCTGTGGCTTCGAGACATTTTTCCTTTGGTAGCTCATCTCCAACCCCCACAGAGTGACAGAAATTGGCTGTGCAGGAGTCCCTGGGGCTATTTCTGATAGTGGCCAACATTTACTCTAATGTTACCCAACTTACAAAGTTTCTGAGGCCAGGCCACCTCCTCCCTGAGCACCCAGTCTTAGGATGGTAACTATGTTACTCCAGGATTCCCCTGGTCATGCCCCTTTATCTGCCATAGCCAAACAAAATCCATCCTTTAGACCTGTTGCACTTTCCACCAAAACATTTATCTCTGTTCCTGGACATAGTATATGCTCAATAGATATATTTGAAAGTTGAACGAACTCTATCCATCCTTTTCCAGTTTCATTGATATTCCCCCATTCTAGAATTAGTGCCTCAATCCATCAACTGTTTTTCTTATTGCTAAGCTTCATGAGAGACAGTGGGGTGCGCTGGAGCCTGAAGGTCTGATCAAGATCATCTTTGCCACTTCTTGATTATGTGGTCTCGGGCCAGCTTCCTTACACATGTGAGCAAGTACTAATTGAGTGGTTACAGGTCAAGGACTATGCAAGACACAGGAGATGGAGAAATGAAAGACAAAGTGCCTTCCCACAAGCTGCAAAGATCCCACAGCCTAGTGGAGAAAGCATAGAAACAACAATTGCTGTATAGTGTGGTGGAGGCATGTGATAGAGACGTCATGGATGCACAGTGAAGGGTCTGAGTCCAGCTGTTGGTGGAAGGGGCAGCAGTCAGGGAAGGCTTTCCAGAGGGAATGTCACAACAGCTAGGTCTAGAGTTATGATTTAGCCATTTGGAGAAGAGGAGAAAGGAATTATCTGGCACACAGCACAAAATATGCAAAGTCAAGAAATGTCAGGGGGCTCAGTGTCAGTTTGAAAAATCTGGCGCAAAGAGTTCATATGGAAGAATGGTGGGAGACGATGTTGGAATGCGAGGTAAGCAGCCTGTGTTCTACAACAGAGCATTTGATTTTTACCCCATAGATCATGGGGAGCAAATGAAAGATTTAAAAACAGAAGTAGCCTGATCAGATATGCATTTTAGAATGCTCACTCTAAGGAACAGAAAGCAGTAAAGGGAGTTAAAATGCATTCATTTAACAAATATTTAGTGACATCTTCTGTGTGCCTGGCACACATTTGGCAGGCACAGTTTCTGCCAACCAGAGCGTGCAGTCAAGTTTAGAGACAAGAGGAAGACTTGGAGGCCAATATAAGGCAGTGTGAATGAATAGAAGAATATTGATTTGAGAAATATTTCGAAGGCAGAATTAATAAGACTCAGTGACAGCTTAGCTGGGTGAGGGGAGAAGGGACAAGCAGAGATCTTGGATGACATCCAGGTGTCTAATTTGGGCAATTGGGTATCCAATGATGACATCCATACAGTGTTTCTTAACAGAAGTGCCAGTAGCATTTTTGACAGGACAATTCTTGGTGTATGGGACTCTCTTGTGCATTTTTTAATGTTTGACATCCTTGGCTACAATCCACTTAAATGCCAATAGTATTGCCTGGTCATTGCAACATCAAAAAAGTCCCCTCCCATACCCCCACACCCCCACATCCCCAACACACACATTTCCAAATACCTCCTGAGAGCCAGAATACAGAAGGAAGAATGGATTGGGTTTGGGGAGGAGAAATTAAACCAGTTTAGGGAGTGTTGAATTTGCAATTCTAATCAAAGCCTTCCATATCTGTGGAGCATCCAGTATGTACCATCACCTTTCCCTGCTTATTACCAGCAGGACATAGGCAAGTGGAGATGTCAACTTCCTACTCAAGGGACACTGGTACTGCCCTCACCTACAGACCACAAAATTGGCCCACCTGCCCAGCCACCACAGAATTCACCTTCTCCCATCAAAACATATTTTTTAAGCAATTACAATTTTCCTTCTTACTACTTCCTTCTCCACATTCTGACAATACCAACATTCCAGAAGTTGTCCAGGGCTAAGAAGAGCTGTGGTCCAGCATTGCATCTGACATGCTAGGGAGACGTATCAAGGGCAGGCTCACTCTCAATCTCAGCTTTTTCAATCTTCCAACCTAACTTGGTTCCACAGTTCAGCTCGGTTCACCATAAGCTTCTTTCTTCTGATAACCCATTCAAATGCCCTTGAGTTTGTTCTCACTGTTTCCTTTACAGGTGATCTGATATTCCCCTCTGGCTCTGGTATTAGAGCTATAAGAAAGACATGCTCCCACATCCCACTGCAATCTCTATAGGACTCACTTCATTAACTGATGAAGCCAGTGGCGTGAATGTAATCGCCCAGAGCACATGTGTTAGGTAAAATGGTCCAAGGACAGAGCTTTGTGAACACCAACACTGAAGAAAGGAACAGTGGTTTAGGCACCCACAGAAGATGCAAGAAGCAAGAGGCACAGAGCAGAAGGAAAACCAGGAGGAGCTACAAAGGAAAATACCTCATGAAGAAAGGACTGATCCAGTATTAAATATGAAAGGAAAGTCAAATACAATAAAAACTAAAAAGAATATTCTAAATTCAACAATGGGGAAGAAATGAGTATCTTTGGTTTACCAGTTGAGATAAATAGATTATGTTGCGTTAACAAATGACCCCACATACTAACAGCTCGTGATATCATAGAGGCTTATTTCTTGCTCTCATTGTGTGTCCACTATGAATTATTGGCTACTGATCTGTTCAGGTCCTTCTCACTCTAAGATCCAGGCAGAAAGGATAGCCTCCATCTAGAAGGAAAAGATCAAAGGAGGAATCATGCAATGAATCTTAGAGCTTCTGCTTGGAAATGTGGCAAACATGATTTTACTCACATTTTATTGACCGAGGCAAGTCATATAGCCAAGCCTGATGTCAAATGAACAAGGATAATCAGAAAGTTGTCTGGTAGAGAGGAGGTGATAAAAAGAAGTTCCACGGGGAGTGACAGAAAACATTTGTGCACAATAACACAGTCTCCCACACTGGGCAAAAGACATGGTGTATATAAAAAATTACTATGGAAGAAGTAATTCATTATGGCTTTATCCCTAATTTACCCAATGCAGAGCTATTATTATCATTATTAACCTTCTGTGTCTCCATCATGTCATCCCCATATTCAAGAGCCATTGTTCCCTCTATTTTGTTCAACTCAGACCTGATCCTTGTTTGCATTCAGCTCCTACCATCCCTTTTCTCACCTACTAAGTTACTCTTACCACTCTCTATCTCAAGGGACTTTCTTTTTTCCCCCAATCCCTGTCTCTCAGCTCCTTATGAGCCCACCTCAAAGCCACTCTGCAGAAAGCCATCTTAGATTAAAGCAACTCAGCCCTAACAAACTCCTCTGTTGTACAGTACGTCCTGTATTATTTGGTCCCAACACAATGTGCTATGTAAATGCCTGGTGGTGGTTTCAAATGTGAATGTGTGTATAAAACGTTTTGGGAAGACTGAGATTGAGGTGCAGGAGGGGGTGAGGTGGGAGAATATGGGTTCTGGGCTAGTTACCCTCTGGGTTTCTCTCTAAATCTGTTCTCCATCATTCCCTGCCTTGTTCTGTGCCCCAGGAGGCTGACTTCCATAGATGGTAAAACCAGATTTCCTTACCTTCTGGCTGCCAGTGGGTTCAGCCAATGGGAGGCACCAGTATGAAGACTGGAAGATCAGAGAGGAACCAGGGTATTTATGCTCTCCCACACCCAACCCCCGCCCTGCTCTGACCCTGGCAGTGGCCAGATGCTGTGGATTGAGCTTCTGTCAGGCAACCTCTCTTCCACTATTCAAGCTCCAGTGGCGCTATTCCTGTCTCTTGTTTCTTCAAGCTAGGTCATGGTCTTTTATATTGCAAATTCCATAACTGGAACCTGAGAGAAGGAGGGCCAACCCCTTCCACTCCTACCCACAACATTCATACACTTTAAGGCATTTTGTTGGTCACCTTTCACCTATACTTCCCTCTGGATCCTTATATCCTCCTCTTTAAGTTCAAGTCGTCTAGCTGTATTGAGAGGCTAGCATGAAGCCTCTCTGATGGCTAAACAAGACCCCTGCCTCCCAAAGGACAGATGCCTGACTGGAGTGATGGCTCATGTGGTCTAGAGAATTCATGTTTCTAAAAAGCCATTGGCCTGAATCTAACTATATAAACATGCATTCATAAAATCATGATGCAGAAGACTTAGTAATCCCAGTAAAGTTATCTAGCCTTATTAAAGTGGAAAACAACATAGTGACCATCCCTAGATGACCATGCTAAAGCTTTAAAAATCAAATTGAACAAAGTATATAAAAGTCCCAAAGAAATGATAGGTTTAGAAGTCCTCAAAGGTCACCTTAATTTCCTCATGCTCCAGTAATTCCACTTTGGAAAAAAGTAGGGTATAAATTAATCAACATGTGGTCATGGAAGTTATCTAAGGCCTTGCCACTCGAAGTGGCCTACAAACCAGCAACATCAGCATACCCAGGAGCTTGTCAGAAATGCAGACTCTGAGGTGCTCCCAGACCTGCTGGTCACAGTCTGCATATTAATCTAACAGGATTACCAGGTGATTCCTTTGCCCATTGACACTGGAGAAGCACTGGTCTAAAAGAGTTCTCAAACTATCCGGGATGAAGAAGCAGTTGTTGTTGTTTTTTTTGTTTTGTTTTGTTTGTTTTTTTGGTTGCCCCTCCCCCAGTCTGTTGTGCACTGATACCTTAGAAAATATAATAAAAATGAATTACTAGAATAATGAAAAAAGAGATCTACAAAATACAAAGTCAGACTTTTTATTAGTAGATTCAGACAACACATAATTATGCTATCAAATTGCTGTAGAAATCTTTTAATGCATGCAGTCTATTTCTCTAGATTCCTTGTCATTGACAAATATCAGGTCACAGATGGACAGCAGACTATGGATCACACTGAGTAGTGCTGCTCTAAGTTATTGTCATTTTGCAGGCAATCAACAGAGGAAACCGAAGCCTAGACAAATAATATACCTGAGGTGACAAAGCTGGTTCACAGGAGAGCCAGAATTGAGACTTATATCTCCCAAATTGTTTCCAACAGACCATATTAATCCTTTTGTTTTCTTTTTTTTTTTTTTTTTTTTTTTTTAGTATTTATTGATCATTCTTGGGTGTTTCTCACAGAGGGGGATTTGGCAGGGTCACAGGACAATCGTGGAGGGAAGGTCAGCAGATAAACAAGTGAACAAAGGACAGACCATATTAATCCTAAGAAACTTTTAAACTTTTATTGAACACTTGATTTGAGCCAGGTACAGTGTTTTACAGGGATTGTCTTGTAGTCACCCCCATTCCTGTGAAGTTGATGCTGTCAATGCCCTCATTTTACAGTTGAGAAACCTGAGGTTTAGAGAGGTTAATATCTTTCACAAGTTTCCATGACTGAGTGGTGAAGATGAAATTGGAACCCAAGTTTAACCACAATTAAAGAAAATGTGCTTGTATTAGGGGTCTCCAGAGAAACAGAACCAATAGGATATATATTTATCTGTCTATCTATCTATCTATCTATCTGAGAGTTTGTTTATTTATTTATTTATTTATTTTGAAACAGAATCTTGTTCTGTGGCCCAGGTTGGAATGCAGTGGCATGATCTCAGCTCACTGCAATCTCTGCCTCCTGGGTTCAAGTGATTCTTGTGCCTCAGCCTCCCGAGTAGCTGGGACTACATGCCCTCACCACCACGTCCGGCTAATTTTTGTATTTTTAGTAGAGATGGGGTTTCACTGTGTTGGCCAGGCTGGTTTCGAACTCCTGACCTCAAGTGATCCACCCACCTCAACCTCCCAAAGTGCTGGGACTACAGGCATGAGTCTGTGTGCCTGGCTGAGAGATTTATTATAATGAATTTGCTCTAGTGATTATGGAGGAGAGCAAGTCTTAAGGTAGAGCATAAGTCAGCAAGCTGGGGACCCAGGAGAGCCAATGAGTTAGTTCCAGTTTGAAGGCCAGCAGGCTCAAGGCCCAAGAGCTAATGCTTCGATTTGAGTCTGAAAGTAGGAAATAAGTTGCTATCCCAGTTTGAAGGTAGTCAAGCAGGAAGAATTCTCTCTTACTTGAAAGAGGGTCAGCCTTTTTGTTCTCTTCAGGCCTTCAGCTGATCAAATGCGACCCACCCTCATGAGGGAGAGCAATCTGCTTTGTTCTATCCACTGATTTAAATGTTAATCTTATCCAAAAACTGCCTCACAGAAACACCCACAATAATGTATTACCAAATATCAGGGCCACCTGTGGCCCAATCAAGTTAATACATAAAATTCAGCATCACAGTACTTAACCACTATCTCACTCTGCCTCCCCTCTCCTCTTTGTTCATGAATTATTAATTATAGCAACAAACGCATCAGTTATACAGAACTCATAGGCTTGGGCTTGCAGGCAATTCTACTTCACATGAAAACAACATTCTGGCCCAGTATCCCTAGGGGCGTCTGGAATTTTAATTGAGAAATCTGTAGGGCTTTTCGATATATTCAAACATCACTGTGTCTGTTACTGGTGCATTACTGACAGTGAAATCCAGTGCCTGAAGCCACCTTCTCTTCTCCTAGTTCACATTCCCCAGCTGTGGTCTGCATGCCTGGTGAGTGCTCAGAAAATGAGACTTACTGCCTGGCACACTCTTAAACACAGCCTTGAGAATTAGATTCAGGGTTGACTCTCAAGTGTTGCGTTACATAAAGACCCAGTTCCTGAGGCAGAGTTTTGGGTGTTTCGAGGATACTCGAGGACCTCGTCATCACATCACATTTCTTTGAGGCTTAAGGAGCTCTTGGGTGCTCCTGCTTAAAGGAAAGGTCTGGACTGGACCCACATGATTTGGGGGCTAAAAGGGAATGGACAGAGGAAGACAGGTACTATGTTTCTCTCTCTATCTCTTTTTCCATCTCTTTCTTTCTTTCTTTCTTTCTTTTTCTTTCTTTCTTTCTTTTTCTTTCTTTCTTTTCTCTCTCTTAAACACACACACACACACACACACACACACACACACGCATAGATCACCAATTTTTATTTAGCCTAGTGCTTCCCAAGTGATATGATTTGGATCTGTGTCCCTGCCCAAATCTCATATCAAATTGTAATTCCCAATGCTGGAGGTGGGGCCTGATGGAAGGTGATTGGATCATGGGGATGGTTTCTCATGGTTTAACACCATCCCCCTTGTCCCCCTTGGTGCTGTCATCATGATAGGGAATTCTTGTGAGATCTGGTTTTTTAAAAGTGTGTGGAACCTCCTCCCTCTCTCTTGCTCCTGCTCCAGCCATGTAAGACATGCCTGCTTCCCCTTCACCTTCCACCATGATTGTAAATTTCTTGAGGCCTCTCCAGAAGCAGAAGTCACCAGGCTTCCTATACGGCCTGCAGAAATGTGAGCCAATTAAATATCTTTTCTTTATAAATTATCCAGTCTCAGATATTTCTTTATAGCAGTGCAAGAATGGACTAAAACATCATGTAGTCACAGATCAGTAAATCCCAGCTCTTTCCACTTATGAAGAACTGTTTAAAGGCACAGATTCTGGTGGCAGACAATGAATCCCATTGAAAAGGCCTTGCTTTAGCTGTTTTCTCTGCCTAGAATCCTCCCCCACTGATACCTGCTTGGCCAACTTCCCCAACTCTTTGAAGTCTTTATTCAAATCTCTCCTGCTCGACGACATGATTGTATATCTAGAAAACCCCATTGTCTCAGCCCAAAATCTCCTTAAGCTGATAAGCAACTTCAGCAAAGTCTCAGGATACAAAATCAATGTACAAAAATCACAAGCATTCTTATACACCAACAAGAGACAAATAGAGAGCCAAATCATGAGTGAACTCCCAATCACAATTGCTTCAAAGAGAATAAAATACCTAGGAATCCAACTTACAAGGGATGTGAAGGACCTCTTCAAGGAGAACTACAAACCACTGCTCAAGGAAATAAAAGAGGATACAAACAAATGGAAGAACATTCCATGCTCATGGGTAGGAGGAATCAATATCATGAAAATGGCCATACTGCCCAAGGTAATTTACAGATTCAATGCCATCCCCATCAAGCTACCAATGACTTTCTTCACAGAATTGGAAAAAACTACTTTAAAGTTCATATGGAACTAAAAAAGAGCCCGCATCGCCAAGTCAATCCTAAGCCAAAAGAACAAAGCTGGAGGCATCACACTACCTGACTTCAAACTATACTACAAGGCTACAGTAACCAAAACAGCATGGTACTGGTACCAAAACAGAGATATAGATCAATGGAACAGAACAGAGCCCTCAGAAATAACGCCGCATATCTACAACTATCTGATCTTTGACAAACCTGAGAAAAACAAGCAACGGGGAAAGGATTCCCTATTTAATAAATGGTGCTGGGAAAATTGGCTAGCCATATGTAGAAAGCTGAAACTGGATCCCTTCCTTACACCTTATACAAAAATCAATTCAAGATGGATTAAAGACTTAAACGTTAGACCTAAAACCATAAAAAACCTAGAAGAAAACCTAGGCATTACCATTCAGGACATAGGCATGGGCAAGGACTTCATGTCTAAAACACCAAAAGCAATGGCAACAAAAGACAAAATTGACAAATGGGATCTAATTAAACTAAAGAGCTTCTGCACAGCAAAAGAAACTACCATCAGAGTGAACAGGCAACCTACAAAATGGGAGAAAATTTTTGCAACCTACTCATCTGACAAAGGGCTAATATCCAGAATCTACAATGAACTCAAACAAATTTACAAGAAAAAAACAAACAACCCCATCAAAAAGTGGGTGAAGGAAATGATCAGACACTTCTCAAAAGAAGACATTTATGCAGCCAGAAAACACATGAAAAAATGTGCATCATCACTGGCCATCAGAGAAATGCAAATCAAAACCACAATGAGATAGCATCTCACACCAGTTAGAATGGCAATCATTAAAAAGTCAGGAAACAACAGGTGCTGGAGAGGATGTGGAGAAATAGGAACACTTTTACACTGTTGGTGGGACTGTAAACTAGTTCAACCATTGTGGAAGTCAGTGTGGCGATTCCTCAGGGATCTAGAACTAGAAATACCATTTGACCCAGCCATCCCATTACTGGGTATATACCCAAATGACTATAAATCATGCTGCTATAAAGACACACGCACAGGTATGTTTATTGCGGCATTATTCACAATAGGGAAGACTTGGAACCAACCCAAATGTCCAACAATGATAGACTGGATTAAGAAAATGTGGCACATATACACCATGGAATACTATGCAGCCATAAAAAATGGTGGGTTCATGTCCTTTGTAGGGACATAGATGAAATTGGAAATCATCATTCTCAGTAAACTATCGCAAGAACAAAAAACCAAACACCGCATATTCTCACTCATAGGTGGGAATTGAACAATGAGATCACATGGACACAGGAAGGGGAATATCACCCTCTGGGGACTGTTGTGGGGTGGGGGGAGGGGGGAGGGATAGCATCGGGAGATATACCTAATGCTAGATGACGAGTTAGTGGGTGCAGCACACCAGCATGGCACATGTATACATATGTAACTAACCTGCACTATGTGCACATGTACCCTAAAACTTAAAGTATAATAATAAAAAAAAAAATCTCTCCTGCTCAATCTAAACAGCTGAATTAGTTTCCTAGAGCTGCTGAAACAAAGTATCACAAACTTGGTGGATTAAAACAACAGAAATTTACTCTATTACACTTCTAAGGGCTAGAAGTTTAAAACCAAGATGTAATCAGGACCATGCTCTCTCTGAAGGCTCCAAGGGACCCTCCTTACTTGACTCTTCCTAGATTTGGGTGGTTGCTGTCAATCCTTGACATTCCTTGGCTTGTAGATACATCACTCCAATCTCTGTCTCTGTCTTCATGTGCCATTCTCCCTGTTTGTCCATTTTCTCTTCCTAGAAGCACACCACTCATTGGGCTAGAGTCCCATTCCATTATTACTTTAAGTTAAATCATTATATCTGCAGACTTTATTTACAAATAAGGTCAAATTTTGAGGTTCTGGGTTAACATGAATTTGGGGATGAACATGAAGCCTTCCCTCTGGCTTCCAAAAATTCATCTCTATCTCATGTGAAAAATGCATTCACCAAATCCAATGTCTCCCAAATTCTTAACCCATTGTAGCATCAGCTCTAAGCCTCAAATCTCATCTAGATACAGTCAATTCAAAAAGTTCCAAATCTCATCTACTAAATCATTTAAATGATGTATGGGCGAGACCCCATGTATGGTTTGTCCTGGGAAAAAAATTATCTCCATTTGTGAGCCTGTGAAACCTAAAAAACAAGTTACTTGCTTACAAAACACAATAGCGAGGCATAGATAGGATAGACATTCCCATTTCTAAAAGGGACAAAATAGAAGAAATAAAGGGGTTAGTGATTTAAGGCATATTTGCAACCAAACAGGGCAAATTCCACCAGGTTTCCAGGCCTGAGACTAATTCTCTTTGGCTCATCGCTCTGCCCCTAGGCCTGCTGGGGCAGCCCCACCCTTTGGGTTCTTGGTGTCAGTCCTGCCCTTTGGGCACCTGACTCTGCCCTCAAAGTCATTCTTTCTTCATTTCATCTCATCTCTATTTCATTCAAGATGAGCAGTGTTTCTTCTACTCTCAAAACTCAAATCAGTCTTCCCTGGATGTCAAGGGGATCTATGCCATTAGACAAAAGGGTTTTTTACAGATCCTTCCTAGGTAACTCAATCTCTATTGTTGGTTTCTGCTGAGATGGTTGATTGGATCTGTGAGTCACACACCTAATCTCCTTAGCAAACAGTTGTTCAACCACACCCTTAGCCCTGTTTCCAGATAGATGTAGAATTTCTCAAATAATCAAGTGCTGGTTCTTTTTTGCCTAACAGTTTATTCCTCAACTTATATTTTTCTTCTCACAACTTACTATAAGTAACAAAGAGAAGCCAGGCTGTACCTTCCATACTTTGCTTGGGAATGTCCTCAGCTAAATATCCAAGTTCATCACTTACAAGTTTTACTTTCTATTCAAAAGCTGACCACAAATGAGTCAAGTTTTCTGCCACTTTATAACAAGGAACACTTTTCCTTCAGTGTATAATAACATGTTCTCATTTCCATCTGGACTTAATTGAAGCACTTTTAACTTTAATATCTGTGGCAGCATTCTGTTCATTAGAATATATATATAATTTCTGTAAGATAATAGAAGTTTTCTCTACAATTCTCCTTACTTCTTTGTGAGTCCTCACCAGAATTACCTTCATTCGTATGTCTGCCAACAATACCTTCAAGGCAATCTAGGCTTTTTCCATCATGCACCTCAAAATTCTTCCAACCTCTATCATTACCCAATTTCAAAGCCACTTTCACATTTTTAGGCATTTATTATAGCAGCACCCAACTCTTGGTACCAAAATCTGTATTGGTCAAGGTTCCCTAGAGATTTGTTTTAAGGAATTGGGAAGCTTGCATATCCAAAATCCATAGAGCAGGCTAGTAAGCTGGAAGCTCATGCAGAAGTTAATGTTACTGTCTTGTCTTAAGTACAAAATTTGTAGAGCAAGCCCAAAGGCTAGAAACTCAGGCAGGAATTAAGTCTGTGTTCTTGAGGCATAATTTCTTCTTTTCTGGAAACCTTGGTTTTGAAGGCTTTTAAGACTTTGAACTGATTGGGTGAGGTCCCACCTACATTATCAAGGGTAATCTTTACTTAAAGTCAACCATAGTAGATTTTAACCACAAAATGCCTTCACAGGAATACCTAAATTAGTGTTTGGTTAAATAACTGATGCTATAGTATATCCAAATGGACACAAAACTAACCGTTACAACTGCTGACCAACACCCCACCCCTCCCTGGCACTCCTATTCCCCTACCTTGACCTTTATTTACTTTTTGCCACAGCACTTAATATCTTCTAATATATCCTATAATTTACTTATGTATTATGTTAATTACTGTATCATTCTTCCTTGAATTTATGAAAATAAAGAATCTTTTCTATTCTTTCACTGATATATTCCAAACACCTAGAATAGTGTCCAGCACTCAATAAGTACATGTTGAATGAATGAATTCAGACTGTGGAACTAACTGGAAAGTTACCATCATTGGATGAATTATTTAGCTCCACTGAACAATTAAAAGCAAATAAGCAAACGAGAATCTACCTCTTAAGGCTGTCATAAAGATTAAACAAAATAATGTTTATAAAGGGCCAGGCACACAGAGAGCACTCAATAAACGACATCAATGATTGTCATCACATGTGACAGCTCCCTCCCATTATTCTTTCAGCAAATGCTTACAAAGCACCTACTATGTGTTTTGTACAGTTTCAGGCACAGGAGATTCCATGGAGAGTGTAACAAAGTCTCTGCCATCTTGGAACTTACTTTCTTCTGTCAAAATAAGGTCATGAACTTACAAATTTCCTGCCCTAGATGACTATTTGCTACCTTTTTTATTACAAACTATGGCTCTACTGCAAGGTGAGGTTCATGGGCAATAAGAAGATCTTGCCCAGCAGGTGGAACATAGTTGATCAAGGACACGATGGGCATCTACTTCAAACTTCATCCCTCCTTCACTGTCAAATACTTTGCCACACAACTGTAAGGCCCTGCCTGTCTGAGCAGTGGGATAACACTTGGCCTTACAGTTGGATGGTGGGGCTTCCAAACACACAGGGTCAGGGTGATTAGCATCACATCCAAAGCCTCCTCTCCTTCATTCAGGGTGAGCAAGGGCTTATTTCATGTATGACTTAAGCAAAGAAAGAGAAATCATTAGAGTGAAATCAAGGAGAGCTTCCCAGGCTGGTCCAGTCTGCACAATGCTAGTTCCAGCATTTTTGAACAGCATTTTGAGGATTCCCTACCCACCTAAACCCAGAGGCAGATTCACATGTCTGGGTATGGTGATGTGGGTGAACCCTGAGAAATTGCCGAGGGCTGCAGAGTATCCCCAGTTCAATGGTTCTCAACTTTGACTGCTCTTTTCTATAATCTGGGGAGCCCTTAAAATTTCTGATGTCCAGGCTGCAAGTAAATCAGAATCTCTTGGTGTGAGATCCAGGCATCAGTGCTTTTTAAAGTTTCCTGGAGATTCCAATGTGTGGTTGAGATTCAGAACTCCACCCCTAAAGGCTCCAGGTCACACTTTAGACCAATGTTTCTAAAAGTTTCACATGCATATGAGCCACCTGGGGATCTTGCTAATGGTGCGGGCTCTGCTTCAGCAGCTTTGGTGCTGAGATTCTGCATTTCTAAGAAGCTCCCAGGCAGACACTGAGGCTACTAGTCAGCAATTACATTTTCAGTAGCAAGACTCTACTAATTTCTTATCCAAAATACGCCCTGGAGGTTTGGGTAGTTTTAAAACTAATACAGGAGTTGGTACTGACTCTAGAAAGAGTATAGGATGGCTCCAAAACTCACAAAGAAATGGGTTTTTCTACAAGCCTTCTTTTGTTGTTGCTTTTTTTTTTTATTTTTGTTTTTTGCTTTTTTGAGATAGGATCTTGCTCTGTTGCTCAGGCTGGAGTGCAATGGTGCAATCAGGCTCACTGCAGCCTGGAACTCCTGGACTCAAGCAATCCTCCCACCTCAGCCTCCTGAGTGGCTAGGACTATAGGTATGCAACCACCACACCCAGCTTATTTATTTATTTATTTTGAGACGGGGTCTCATTCTGTCACCCAGGCTGGAGTGCAGTGGCGTGATCTTGGCTCACTTCAACCTCCACCTCCCAGGTTCAAGTGATTCTCATGCCCCAGCCTCCCAAGTAGCTGGGAGTAGCTGGGACTACAGGCGCACGCCACCACACCTGGCTAAATTTTTGTACTTTTTGGTAGAGACAGGGTTTAATCATGTTGGCCAGGCTGGTCTGAAACTCCTGGGCTCAAGTGATCCTCCCGCTTCGACCTCTCAAAATGTTGGAATTACAGCCATGAGCCACCAAGCCTGGCCCCTAAAAGCCTTCTTAAGCTGTACCTATGGCCTGAGGTATGCAAGCTGGCATAGCTAGAGAAGTACATGGTGGTGATCAAGAAATGTGACTTCTGGGGGTAAATCGAGCAGATTCAAACCCTGATTCCACCCATCCCCAGCAGTGTTGTCTTTGGCAAGTCATTTAATTTCTTTATGCCTCAATTTCTCCATCTGTAAAATGGGGATGTTAACCATATCTACCTCATAGTCTTGTTATAAAAATTAAATGACAATATAGATAAAGCACCTAGAATATAGGTGGAAAATAGTAAGCTATTTCATCAGTTGTTAGCTATTATAATTCTTAGAGTTAGGTTTTAGGGTCAAGACAGACATGGGTTTGAATCTTAGCCACGTAACAGCTATGCAAGATTGATCAGGGGATTTGACCCCTCTAAGCCTTGATTCTGTTATCTGTGAATGCCTAGTCTACCGACTTGCTGAAATGGTCAAAATAAGTGTAAAGCATATGGTGCACAGTAGGCCTCTAAGTGGTACTTAATGAAGGGTCAGATCTGGGCTAGACTTCTTCAGGTGCTAAGAGTGTGGCTTCTGGCTAACTATGTGACTGGAAGCAGGGTCACTACCTCTCTAAGTCTCTGTTTCTGTATCAGTGAAATAAGCGATGACAGCAGTGTGGTTGGGAGGATAAATGAGGTATATGAAAGTGCTTTATAAACTGTAAAGCTAAAAACGCACGTATAGGTTTAACAGTGTAAAGATATTTCTTTGTCCCCCATTGATGGAAAATGGAAAGTGAGATTATTTTTTGTGCTGACTGTTGTGGGACTGACAAACACTTTCCCGAAGATTTTCTTTCAGTGAAGTGGGAAGTTAACTCAGGTAACATCTCACTTTTTATTCAAGCCTGGTTACACTTTGAAAAAAAAATGTCATCACTCATTTAAAAAAATATTTTTTGCTTTACAGTGGCTTCTCTGCAAATAAAGTTTGCTTCCATCTCACCCTCTTTTCTTTTACAGATTTTGGTGGCACCCCTGAGCCAAGATCTCTTCAAGCACATCCCAATAAGTCCATTAAAAGGGGATGGGGAAAGGCTGTGTGCCTAATGGGTCTCTAAAAGCAAAATCGGATAATGCACTCCAGAGGGAGCCCCCAAAGAGGGTGAGGTGGCACCCAGCAGTGCCAGGCCACTTGTCTCAGCTAATAAAATTCCCCTAGCAGCCGTTCCAGGTGCCCAGCCCCTAAGTGCCATCTGGCACCCACATCTTGAGATCTGCCGCTTCTGTGTGTGATCCAGACAGCTACAGCTCACTTCCATGTGGCAACACAAGTGTATTGACATTTATCATTGGCTTACACTTTCCAGAGCAGAGAGAGACAGGCCTGGCAGACACAGAGGATGTACATCTCTGCGGTATCACACCCAGCAGCTGACATGGGGGATTACTTTTCTATTCTGTCACCCTTTGGCACAGACGCCTCTGCTCAGTGCTAATGACAATCACTAGCTTGTGCTTTGAACAAGGAGAGGAGAGAGAGTTACTTCAAAATCTGTGCTCCATGCAAGCACTTCTTTCTAGGACAAGATTATGCAACTTTTGCAGATACAATTCACATTTCAAAAAAAAGAGAAGGAATATATATCCATATGTTTCTCTTAAAAATACTGTGGCATTATTTGAGCATGTATCTGTGCATTTGTCAGCATGTTCACATATGCATGTGTATGTGGATAAACAGCGTATAAAAATACAGGTTATTTTCCCACAAACTGTGTCCTAATGTTGCATTAAGCAGCACACTTAGTTTTCCATTATTAGGACTCAGACATTTGTTTCCTATCCCATGAAAGAACTAAAAATCTGCCAGAAAGCCAAAACGTTTTCCTTTCTGTTTAAACTCATTGTAATTCCATTAACAAGAGTCTGAAATGAGCCCTGAGCAAAAGAGAAAACATGACTCAACTTTTAGAACCCCTGAAAATGCTATGTAAACCAGAATGTTCCCAAACATTGCCTCGTTTATGCAGGTGTTACCCCATTCTTCCTAGTGGTGTTTTTTTTTTAGGCACAAGCCATTGTTTTAAGGGTGAGCTCATGGTCAAAACAATGCATCTTACATAACTGTGGCTATCAAAAAAGAAACCTCTCACCCATGTTATCAAGCGTTCTTATTTATGGTGAGCTCACAGTCAAATAATCAGCCTTAAAACCAGCCAGTGAATCATGCTGCCATGGTGGCAGGAAGATGACGACAGGGTCGACGTTTTGAATCCTCCAGAGAGGAGACCAAGGAGGAAATGCTGGTTGGTGAACAAACGTTTGTGAGGGAAAACAAAAAGACCTTACCAGGAAGGAATAATGGACATAGGCTACTATTATGCCAAGTGTGTTACCATGAACCATGGAGTAGCTCAATAAATATTATCCGAGTTGAATTGAAAGATCTCTATCAGCCTGAACAAAGGCAAAGACAGAACTCAAATTCTATTAAGGATATGCATTTGCAAAAAAAGGATAATGAAGCAAAAGAATTCTACTCGAATGCACTTGACTTTGGATTGACTTTCCTGTCCTCAGGTATTGGGGAGGAGCTGACAAGAATGTTCCCTGAAATAAGAAGGTAAAAGATCATGGAAACTAAGAACCGGAAGTAAGAAAGATGAGGTGCCTTGAGTCCAGGGATATGAGTAACTCCAAAGACAAGAAAAATAACTCCTCATCCAGGACTTTTGACTTAAAATTATTTTGCCTCCCTATGGGTCTCTTATGGGTCCAGGCCTTCTGGTGCTTGCAAATGATGGCCCAAACCTTCTTGAGGGATATTAATCAGTCCATTTAAGTGCCAAATGGAAGCAGTTACGTTCTCACCGTAGAAACACAAATCAAGGGTCAGAAGAAATCTCAAGAAGTCTTCCAAGGCAAGGACTTTGCAATTATAATAATAAGAGAGATGATGTGGAGAAATGGGCCTTATCATACCCCACTGAGAGGAACGTAAATTGATGGAATATTTCCAGAGGACAGCTTGGCAATATGTACATCTAGAGTGTAATTGACCCAATAAAGTCTAGCACTTTATTAATAGGAAATAAGCAATTAAGGCTTTGTACAAAGTTAAAGCTAAAATGGAGTTCATCCTGCTGTTGTTTCTAATAGTGAAAAATGGAAACAATTTAAATTTTCTGTAACAGAACTGGATGAATAGTTAGTACATATATGAACTGAAACCTGTCAGCCATTAGGTTGATGTATAAGAAGAGTAGCAGGGAAGCACTATATTATTCAATCAAAAAAGTTCTAAAACTATATATCTGATATCATCCCATTTTTGTGTAATGCATGTATAGAAGGATACACACCTAAATATTGAGAATAGTTGTCTCTAGATAGAGGGATAATGTTTGAATTTCATTTTTTTCTTTATATTTATTTTTAATTTCTAAATGTGCCACAGCAAATGTATTATTTTAATTATTTTCTAAATGAGTATTTTTAAAGTATGTTCCTGTAAACATTGGCACTTAAATCCCACCAATTTCCCTATTATTTGGAGTGGGGGTGGGGAGTGTGGAGAAGGAGGATCAGCAGAGATCAAAACCATCATTTAAAATTACTACTATTGATATAGTTTTACCAACAAATGAAGCCAGAAAATAGGGTCCTAGGTCTGGGCTGGAGAAGAGGCAGCTCAAACCAACTGCTCTGAGAAGTTTCAAAGCTCCAGGCATCCCTCCAGGGACCTTTTATGGCTACTCCCTCCTCCCTCTCCTCCTGATGAGACAGCACCCAAGTGCAATTTCACATCCTTATGGTTGCAGGTGGAGCATTTGTTTCATGGGCAGTTGTCTCAATTCTAACTGACCTCTGCTGAGGTGTCCTTGGCCCCACCCTGTCACTGGATGCTGTGCACAGGTACCCATCTGGTCTTTCACGGTGCCATGCCTTTTCACCGATTCCACTTGAGAAGTTCCTGCACTCTCTAGCCTCCTCATGCTGACCCCAGCCTCTGCTCTCCCTGCCAGTCTCAAACCTTCTCCATTCTTCAACTGGGGCCTAGAGATGAACCTGGATTTTCTTCACATCTCCCGCAAGGTGGGAGAAACTGGGTTACCATCCTTGACTTTTCTCCTGACTAACCACAGTGTCCATGTTGCCCCTTGGTGCTGCTTCTAGACCACTCTCCCGTTTTCCTGATCATCAACTCTCATGCCCATCCAGTTTTAAAGTTTATGTCATTAAATATCATCACTCACTACCCCTTCTTGTCAAGTTCATGCACCAAACCTCAGGTTGCACCCTTCATTCCTTGAAGATTTTGCAGCATGCTTCACAGTCACTCTCTCCATTACTATTCCTGGTATAAGAATGTGTGGGTTCAATATTCAGGGAGATAAACTTTCCTCAGCCTTGGATTCTTAGTTTCTTGATCCTTTCTCCTCTTGTGATATGGTGCTCCAACTGCTTTATCTGTTCACTCTCATGATCACATCCTAAACCTTGTTCCCAATAACTGAAATCCTCCATCATCTCAATTTAAGTCTACTGTCACCTCCTGTCTTTCTAGCTCTTTCTCTCTAGTACTCCTCCCTCCAAACCCTTCAACTCACCAGGATCTAAAATGCTTTGATTCTATCTCATTTGTGCTATCTTTAACCTCTCTCATATTCTTACTTCCCTCCTAACCCAGCTTAAATTCCATGATCAATTATTACAATCACTTCCTTGCATAGGCACTCAAGTTCTTGCTTCTTTCTCTTATTTCATTTTGCTAACTTAACAAAACTCCAACCCTGGTTAGATCCAATCCTCTGCCTATTCTGTGCCTGCACCTTTGCAGCTGAATGTAGCTGGAGAAAGCCAAAATTATTTTGGATGGTTTCATTTAAATTCATGATTGCACTTTTATGATCCACTCTCTCCTTAAACCTACTTCTCTACATTCACTCTCATCTGATGACCTTAACTCCTATTTCACTGAGAAAACAGAAGCAACTAGAAGGAAACTTGCACCACTACACCTACCAGCCTTCTAGCATCGGTGTGCATGTACCTTCTGCTCTCCAATTGCTATGAATGAACAGTCCGTGCTCCCAGCCAAGGCCAACCCCTCCAGTTATGCACTAGATCCCATTTCCTCTCACTAACTCCAGGTCATTGCTACAGTAGTTCTCTCTTCTCTCCTGCATTATTATTTTTTCTCTCTACTGGCTTTATCCATCAGCTTATGAATATTGTTATTTCTCCTACCCAAAGTCTCCCTTGATTCCACTTCTCCCTCCAGCCACAACCTCACACTATTATTCCTTTTATCACAAAACTCCTCAAGGAGGAGGACAAAAACTTGTCTGTATTCACTGTCTCCAATCCACTCACCCCTCCAAATTCTCTAGAATGCACTCAATGAAGCTTTGCAACTCTGAAACTACTCCAGTGAAGGTCTTCAATGAACTTTCCTTTGCCACGTTCAGTTGTCAATTCTCAGCTCTCATCGTAGTTGCCATATCAGCAATATTGAGCAAGGTGACTGCTTTCTTCTTGAACCACTCCCTTCATCCAGCTGGAAGAACACTATTTTTTCCTAGATTTTCTCCTACCTCATTTGCTGCTCTGTCTTAGCTTCCTTTGCTGGTCCTTCTCTTCCTCCTAACCAAGACCTCCTTAACATTGGGGGATGCTATGGCTTAGTCCTTGAACCTGTTCTCTTTTCTATCCACACTCCCTTTCCTGGTCTTCTCATCCAATCCCATGGTTTTAAATACCATGTCTATCCTTATACTGCCCACGTTTATATCTTCATCCCTGGCTTCTCCCCTGAACTCCAGGATCATAGATCCACCTACTACTCAACATCTGTAGTTGGATGTCTAACTGGACATGTCAAAAAGCAAGTTCCTGCTCTTAAGCACCAAATTTGCTTCTCCTCGGCATTTTCCACATCAAATAATGGCAACTCTCTTCTTCTAAGTGCTCTGTACAAAATGCTTGGCATCTTCCTCAGTTTCTCTTTTTCTCTTATATTAGATATGAGATAACCTATCAAGAAATCCTGTTGGCTCTTCCTTCAAAATATATACAGACCCTGACCACTTCCTATCCTTTTGTTGCTGTTACCCTGGGACAGGCTACCATTATTTCTTGTCTGGATATTTGGACACAGGTTTGCCTTCTCCATCTAACAGTCTGTTCTTTATTTAGCAGCCAGAGTGATCCTGCTAAACGCTAGTCAACTTGGGTCATACTCTTACTGAAATCCTCCAATCACTCCTCATTTCTCCTGGAGAGTAAGCCAAATCCATTACAATGATCTCTAAAGCCCTGAATGATCAGGCTGTCCTCTTGAATACCAAATCTTTCTCTATTTTTTCATGTGGCAGTTGTAAAACATGGTCCTCAAGTTCCTTGACAGTCTTCCCATTGAGAGGCCAGTGGTCTTTGTCTCCTACCTTTGAATCTGCTCTCTGTAATTACCTGATCAATAGGTTACAGCAGTTTCCACTTTCCGCCTTTTGGGACAGTTGCTCTTTGAACCCAGCCACCATGGGTGAGGCAGTCTAGCTGCCTGGAAAGCAGCCCATGTGGAGAGGAACTGAGGCCCCTGGCTAGTAGCCCTGCAGAGCCCTCAGCTGACAGGCAGCACCTCCTTGCCAGCCACGTGAGTGATCCATCTTAGAAGTGCATGCCCCAGCCCCTCACTGATTCACCCCAGCTGATGTCACATGGAACAGAGAGAAGCCATCCCCATCAACCCCTGCTCAAATTGCAGAAATTATTAACAAAGAAGTGATTATTGTTCTAAGCAATTAAGTTTTGCAGTGGCTTATATTAGGCAGCCATAGAGAATTCCCTCACTGCAGTTCCCTCGCTCACTCCCCACTGGCCACTGTGCCCTCTTGGCTGTTCCCTGGAACACCTGCAAATGCTTTTGTCTCTGGGCCTTTGCACTTGCGGTTCCCTTCTACCTCCAATATATACACATGCAGCTGTCCCACTCACCTCCCTTAGACCATTAACCACTTATTATCTTTTCAGTAAGACCTTCCCTCCTAAACTGGCAAACCACATATGCTACCACAAGGTTTCCCCCTCTTTTACTTTATTTATTTATTTATTTTTTTGCCAGGGTAATCATCACTGTCTAACATACTGCCTGATTTATTCATTTGGATTGTTCATTGCATGTTGGGCTCACTAGAAGGTAGACTCCATGATGGCAGGAATCCTTTTCTGTTTCATTCCCCGTGGCTTCCCTTTAGTCTAGAATAGTGTCTCTCCCACATGTTCTTCAATTAATATTCGTGATTCTACTGCAGTCATGTGCAGGGGACCCTGTAAAGAGTGTTTTTGTTGTTGTTGTAGTTTTGTTTTATTTTTTTTCCTCAGCTTTCACCTTCCCTTCCAATCTATCTTCTCTCCAGGATCTGTGTCTTCTCTCCTCCTTCCCTTTCTACCTTCCTACTGGACTAAAGCAGCATCTTTACTCCAGTCTCAAACAAAGGAAGACCCTTTACAAGTTATTCCTCACCCTGGAAGGACTTTCTCCTTCCTGGTGTCAGGAACCTCTTTTGTATCATATCCTGTGTTCATTCCACATTCGTATTTATTTTGAAACTTTATGCTCAGACCTCCATGCCTCATTTTTGCTGGCAAAAAGAGTAAACACTTCAACTAGTAAAATAAATGAGCAAGACCAGAGAGAGCACAGTGCTTCGGCTACATATTGCTGTGTAAAAACCACCTCAAAACTCAGAGGCTTGAAACAACAATTATTTATTTATTTTGTTCATGAGTCTGAAATTTGAGCAGGGCTCAGGGGGGACAGATTTCCTCTGCACCACATGGCATCAGCAGGGGCAAATCAATTAGGGGCTGGGATGTCTGCTTTCAAGTGCTTTTTAGAATTTAGAGATTCCTTCTCTGTCTCAAAAAAATCTGGCTTTCAAACTTTATCAGACTTTTTCTTAAAAAAAAAAAACCTCTCATTTGAAGCTCAGAGGCGAGCTTAGCCACTTTTCTTAGACTGCATCTGCCATGTCTTTGTGAAGCAAAGAATGCCACTGACCAATGTGCAGGGAAACTGAGGGCAAGGCATTTTATGACCATTGAAAAGTGCAGTCTCTACTAAAAATACAAAAATTAACCAGGTGGCACATGCCTGTAATACCAGCCACTCAGGAGGCTGAGGCAGGAGAATTCCCTGAACCGAGAGTCAAAGGTTGCAGTAAGCTGAGACTGCACCACAGCACTCCTGCCTGGGTGACAGAGCAAGATTCTGTCTCAAAAAAATAAAAATAAAAAAATGCAATTACTCAAATAATGTATACTGATTGCATTTCATTGATTCATTAATTCATTTAATATTTTGATTATGAAAATGGGCATATAGTTACATAGCTATATACAGCTTATAGCTATGTGACTATATATGTTAGTCTCTTTGTGTTGTATATCCATTTCCTAGAACACTGCCTGACATATAAGTGCTTTAAAAAAAGTTTAGAAAATTGAATAATAATAATAATAGTTAATATGTATAATAGTTAAATGTATTATGAATTTTTGCTAGGCACTATTCTTAGCACTTTATATGAATTACCTTTTTTAAAACTTTCAACAAGCCAATGAGGTAATATTATTGTTATTATTAGTATCCCTGTTTTACAGACAAATAAACTGAGACACATTAAAAACCTGCTGGGGGCTGTGTGTGGTGGCTCACGCCTGTAATCCTAGCACTTTGGGAGGCAGAGGAGGGCAGATCACCTATGGTCAGGAGTTCAAGACCAGCCTGACCAAAATGGCGAAACCCCATCTCTACTAAAAATACAAAAATTAGCCAGGAATGGTGGCAGGCACCTATAATCCCAGCTACTCAGGAAGCTGAGGCAGGAAAATCACTTCAACCTGGGGGGGCAGAGGTTGCAGTGAGCCGAGATCGCGCCATTGCACTCCAGCCTGGACGTGCAGGGTTTTTTTGAGACTTTAGTCTCAAAAAAAAAAAAAAAAAAAAATCCTGCTGGGAAGTGGCAGGCTGGGATTCAAGCCCAGGGAGTTAGACATTGGTGTGTACTCTCTTAATCATCCTATATGCATATATGCATAGGATGATTTGGAGACTACATAGGAGAGGTATCATAACCTAGCTTTGAGGGGTCACTTCCCAAAATGGTGATTTCTGAGCTGAATCCTAAAGGACAAAAAGGAATAATAGAATGAGAGGTTGGTTCTAGAGACTGAGGAAGGGCTTTCTTGGCAGGATTTGCAAGATTGCCTGCTGAGTTCCAGGCATTAGGCTAGGGGTAGGAAATACAAAGAGGAATAAGACATGCTCCTTGACTTCTATACAGAAAACTTGGGCATATTGCCAAAACAACGTGTGGTAAGAGTGAATGTAGATGTACATAAGGTGCTGTGGAAAGATAGAGAGAGCAGGAATCAAACCAGGGTCAAAAGTTCAGTGAGGGCTTCCCAGAGGTGGTGGCATTCGAGTTAACTGTTGAAGGATGAGTTTGCCAGACAAACAAGGAGTGGGAGGGGCATTTCAGGCAGAGAGAATGACACAGGCAATAAAAGAATCAGATGGCTTCTGAGACCAAGAAAGCCTCAAATATGCTAGGAAAACCATCATATTTTTCTTTCTTTAATATTTCCAGAAAATGAGTCTGCAATGTTGCACAGCATTGTCTCACACCCCTTGAGAGTAGAAGGTTGTGTTTGATGTTCGATCTTTGTTTATCTGCCTGAGATATAGACAACCCCACACGAACCCTTGTTCTCCAGCCAAGGTACATGAGACTCACCATTCTTGTCTTTCAGGGGACATTGCTAAACTAGTTTTCCTTTCTTCACAGACTGGAGGCATTCAGTTCCCTCCTCGGCCACTTCACTCAGTAAGCGAGGAGTGCATATTGAAAGTCAGCCTGTGCATAGAATGAGGCTGGACGCTGTAAGGAATAAACAAGAATGCAGCGTATTTTCCTGCCTTCCAGAGGCTACTTACCCTCCGTCTGTAGGGCCTGCTTTTCAAACCTCAAATCACAGCGCTGTTACCCTTTTGATGCTCTCCAGTGTCCCTATATAACATAGAAGTTAAAGATCCGTGCTTTAAAATCATATGGATAAGTGATGTGACAAGCGACTTTCTAATCTTTTCGAGTATTAGTGTCCTCATCTGTGAAATGTGATAATACTATTAACATCATGAGCTATTTCTGAGGATTAAAAGAGTTAATGTATGTGTAGGAAATTAAGACAACTTTGGAAATAACTCTTAGCAAGCATGACTCAAAAATGTCATTTAAGGATAAATGAGAATTTGTTCATTTACATGACTCAAAAATCCAGGGGTATTCCAATTACAGGACAAGTTTGATCCAGAGGCTCAAATACTGTTACAAGGACTTCGGCTTTCTCCACCTCCTTTTTTGGCTTTGCTTGAGGCTCCAGGTGATATCAAGATGTCAGCCAAGAAGCCCAGACCGCATCCTACCATGTTCTAGCCCAACATTCAAATGGAAGTTCTGGGTCTGACATTCATTGGTCTGAAGATGCCCATCTCTGACCTTAATACTGTGGCCAAGGAGTGGAACATGCTGAATGGGGTAAGCCATGAAGTCATCCTTGGAGATAAGCAGGTGTCAATTCCACTCAAACAAGTTCTAAGATTGGGAATGGGAAAGTTACCCAGAGTAAAACTGGGGTACTGTTTTACCAGAAAAAAAAGGAGAAAAAAATAGCAATGTAACTATATGCAAGTTAATCTCTTCATGCCTCAATTTTTCATCTGATAATTGGGTATAATGATAGTATTTACCTGATAAAGTTGCTATGAGAATGAAAAGAGTTAGTATTTATGAAACATTTAGAACAGTGCATGTTAGTATAAGTCTAACATGAATTTTGTGTTTTTTAAGATGTTTTATGATATCATAAAACAATATGTCCACGACATCATTTAAGACACCCCTATCACCATAGCTAAAACATAATAAATACTTAATGAAAGGTCAACAGGGATTAAATTTCAGTTGTGGATACCCCAAACAAACATTAACTCAACACTCCTCTTAAAGAAGAGCCTGCCCAGTGCTGAGTAAAAAAAATGTATTATCTGCAGCAGACATTTGTTATTTGTTGCTGCCTAAAACCTCTTGAATACTCTTTCTACATTTTGATAGTTTCCATTACTTTTCAAGAGTGTCTCATGAATCCTGACTACCCCTAAATAGGATACAAAAAACACTTTATTTTTCCCACCCCTTCCCACACTGCGCTTCAGTTTCTTTCAATCCTGTTGGATCCATGAGAGACTTTCATTTGGAAATGAGTTAAGGAAATGAGGGGGGCATGGAACATGCATTGCGCTGGTGCAGGTGGTGGCAGACATCTGGTTGGTCCCAGGGTCAGTGTGAGGCATCACCCTTAACAGGTCAGTTCTCTACGGTAGTGTTAAGCATTGTTCCTAGAGCATTAGCCCAGAGATTATTCCTCTAGCTCTTCTGAAGATTCTAGGAGTGTTTAATATTCCCTTAACAACACTTCTTACATAAAGCAGGTAGAGTGATAACGTTATCTGCAAATGAGAACACTAACTGATACTGCCTAAGAATTCCCACAGCTCTGGCACTGCACAAGCTTTCATTACAGCTGTATGCATACATTTTATGTATCCCTTGCATACAGCTGTATGTATCCCTATGCCTGTGTCTCATCTTCTTATCAGACTGTTCCCCACAAAGCGAGCAAGGTGCCTTTTAAAAAACTAATGCCAATCCCAGCACTTTGGGAGGCCAGGTGTGTGGATCACCTGAGGTCAGGAGTTCGAGACCAGCCTGGCCAACATGGTGAAACCTCGTCTCTCCTAAAAATACAAAAATTAGCCAGGCATGGTGGCGGGTGCCTGTAATCCCAGCTACTAAAGAGGTACAAGCAGGAGAATTGCTTGAACCCGAGAGGTGGAGGTTGCAGTGAGCCGAGATCACACCACTGCACTCCAGCCTGGACGACAGAGTGAGACTCCATCTCGAAAAAAAAAAAACAAAAACTAATGCTGGAAAAACACCAATTCTCTGTATGACTGAATAAATGGAGACATCACTGACCTGAAAGATCATGTGGGAGAACATAAGAATCTTAAAATGTGAAAGAATTAGGAAATTATCTAGCTCTTACCAAGCACTGGGCAGATGAGAAGTTGAAGACCCGGAAAAGTTAATTTGGCTTGAAATTTTACCCTTATATTTCTAGTTGATATTAAGGATAATATTAATTATTTTTAAGATTCCCTAATTTTATTTTGTTGCTATTATTTGAAAGAATTGAACTGGCTTTGGACATCTATTATTCTTTTCATAGAGACTTTGAGCTTTATGACATTTATTGCAAAGAGCTTCAGCCAGCGATAACATCAAACAGGAACATACTCTGTATTTGTTTTGTAGTGGCTGTACCCCGCTGCTGGCTCAGAGGAAGGTGCAGCCTTCAGAGCGTGGATTCTGGAGCCAGAATGGCTGAATTTGAATTCTGACCCTGGAACTTTCTAGCAATGTAACTATATGCAAGTTATTCTCTTCATACCTCAATTTTCCATCTGATAATTGGGTATAATGATAGTATTTACCTCATAAAGTTGCTGTGAGAATGAAAAGAGTTAATATTTATGAAACATTTAGAACGGTGCATGTTAGTATAAGTCTAACATGAATTTTGTGTTTTTTTAAGATATTAAGCTTGCAGTTAACCAAACTCTCGCATGTCTTTCAAGTATGTGGCTGCCAATTTATTCTCTCCCAATCTCAAGTTGTGCCATTGATTTCATTTTTAGAGCCCAAAGGTAAGACTTTGAGTATCCCTTTGGTGGTGCTGGCTCAGCATCACTTTCATTTTCCTTCACTCTCTGCACCCCACCCACCTACCCACCCACCCATTTCCTGGTGCAGGTGCTAACAAGAGAGTTGGAAACAGAAGGGAAAGAAGTCTGCTGCAAACTAAGCGTGCAGTGTGCAGTCATTGAGATTTGACTGCATCTTAACATTGGCACTCAACCAAATTTAAGTGGCTCTAAGTACTTTTAAATTAGGCATATAGTTAAAATTTGACAAGCACATAAACTTAATAGCTGATTTCCAGGCAAAATTACTACCAAAACTGATTTTAACTGCCAGTAAAATAAGCCCAGGGGGTTGTTATTCAAGGTAGCCCAGTAAAATGAAATAAGGATCAGGACAATGGGAACAGTTGTGAAGATGACAAAACTGTCATGTCTACAGGTGGAACTAAGTGTCTGCCCTGTTAATGGATATAGACACAATTCAGGGAAGCAAGCCATCCAAATGCATCACTTGAATCCTGTTTGGTTGTTCTGACGTAGAAGAAGAAAAGAAAGAGAATCAATTGAGGAAATGTAAGATGCAGAACTACAAAAATAAACTTGCCGTCCCTGACATCTGTGTTTATAAATGCACTATATTAAACAGCAGAGATTTTCCCCATCGTTAGCCAACACCAAGATGGCGTCTTGCAGGCTTTGTTTTTTCTTCACCCCTAATCGTAAGGGCTTTCTTTACTCTCTCTTTGCTTCCAGCTTTTGTCTTATTCTCCCCATAAAGAGTTGGCAGAGCATGGCTGGGCAATTTCAGAAACATGGTTTATAAGTGACTTGCTCTATTATTTTGCTATTAAAAGTGAGTCTGTGCTAACTATTCTTTGATGAAGAAGCAGTCCCTTCCAGCCCCCAGGTGGAGATTTTCCCTATCAATAACGCCAGAACAAGTTTGAATCAAAGAAATGACACATACAGTGGCCAGATGTTTGGAGAATAAGAAAGGGAGCTAAGTTCACACAATTGTTCTGCCTTCTTGCTTTCCGCTGAGGTTCTTTCCTGTGAGCTGTAGGACTCATTAACAGACAGCTCTGCTCTGGGCATGCACACCGACAGCCTCAGCCTAGCCCTTCAGCGAGAGGCTGCTAACAGGCGGCCTTCCTTTTCCTGTGCAGCTGGTGTTTGCAGAAGGACATGATTTGAAAGTTGATTTATTTACCCTGTCTTTGAAAAAAAATGAATGGACATAGATGTCTGTTTGTTAAAACAATTAATAAACTCTAATAATATGATTAGAATTTAACAGAAAAACATCGTTGGCTTGCAGGTGGAAATCCAAGGTCTTCAACTTTTAGGATGTTCATCATGTAGCTGTCTCACTCAGAACAAGATAAGATGACGTGTTTGGTCTTTAAAAACAAAACAGTCAGGAGATCGAGACCATCCCGGCTAAAACGGTGAAACCCCGTCTCTACTAAAAATACAAAAAATTAGCCGGGCGTAGTGGCGGGCGCCTGTAGTCCCAGCTACTTGGGAGGCTGAGGCAGGAGAATGGCGTGAACCCGGGAGGCGGAGCTTGCAGTGAGCCGAGATCCCGCCACTGCACTCCAGCCTGGGCGACAGAGCGAGACTCCGTCTCAAAAAAAAAAAAAAAAAACAAAACAAAACAAAAAAACAGCTGATCAGTTCTTGTTTTTTACTCTACAGCCTTTGAGTCATGAATGAAGAAAATCACTTTCACTTGTGGGAGCCAGTGGGCTCCAGTTCGTGTTGTCTCTGTTGTCCGTGGAGACTTTGAAGATGTTTATATGCACCTCAACTATCAAGAGGAAGAGAACATGCCAGAAAGGGCCTCTTCCTCTTGGGCTAGCTCCTCCTCTCAAGTCCCTTCAAAAAGTCAGTGTGTCTGAGACACAATAGACACAGCTTAAATAAAGTGAAGAGGGATAGGCCGTAGAAGAAGTAGTTTCTGTCTTTAAAAAATGTATTCATTATTTTGGGGAATAATATAAACCTGAACACCAATTTAAAAAACTTTAAAGGACTATTCAGTGAAAAATCATTCTCTCTCCCACCCTCACTCCCCATCAGCCACCATGTTCCCAAACCAGAGGCAACTGCCATTATATTTCTAGAGTATTCTTCCAGAGACATCCTATGTAGATATAAACATTCATACATACACATATATATGCTTTTAAAATATGCAAATGATGTACAATACACATTGTTCTGCACTTTGCTTTTTTTTTTTCATTTAACAATACATCAGACAAAGATGTTTTTTCTGCTCAAAGTGCCATCAAGAGAGAAAAGTCATTCTTCAGTTCAATGATCTGCATCTGTTTCTGGCTTATTGTATTGACAACAAACAAAATGCAAGTCAAATTCTATTGCAGCCATAGGTAATCTCGGCCTGGAGAAATGTGAATCCTCTTTAAAACCTTACAACTCTGAATAACAGGAAGTGTGGAGTGCATAGAGGAGAAAGGGAAGGATGAATTATGCTTAATAGAACGTTTTATGGAACTGACAGTTGAGCCGAGAGACATTTTGGATGCCATCTTGCAAAATGATTCCTTGCCTAGCTCTAGTAAGTAGAATGCAAAGTTATTGGCTATAATAGCATAATTTTTGCTAGTTAAGGATCTCTATAGGTGGCATAGTGTCAATATTCTGGATATGACATGAGGGAGGTAGAAAGAGAACAGGCTTTGGAATCAGGCAGACCTAGATGTTAATACTGGATATACCAGTTATTAATTTAAACTAGTTTTCTAACCTCTCAGACCCTTGGTTTTCCTTTATGTAAAATGGAAATACTGTACATAAAGAGTGGTTGTGACAATTTGTCTTTTTTTAAAAAAAAAACACATCATAGGTGTCCACTATTACTGTGATGCTGCATAACAAATAATTCCCCCATTCTCCATGACTTGAAATAATGAATATTCATGTTGTATTCATGTTTCCATTCACTGTAGTTTAGATGTACCCAGCTGCTCTTGCCTGAGCTTTTCTGGCCTCTAGGCTTGGGTCTGTTTCAGGTCTGCTTTACACGTCTCGATTTCAGGTCAAAGGGTGACAATTGCCTGGTGGCATGCTTTTCTCTCATGGCAGAAGATAGAACCTCAAGAGGACTGGCAGCAACTCACCATGCCTCTTATAGACTCAGCTGGTCTATAAGACCAGAACATTGTTACTTCTGCCCACATTCCATGGGCCAAAACATCACAGGGCCAGGGCCAAGGCCAAATTCAATGAAGTAGGAGGAATATTCTCCCTGTAGTGAACCACAGCAAAAGCAGGCAGGGGAGGAAGAATCATAAATAATAGATTCAGGCCCCCAGTGCAACACCAGGCATCTACAGTGTTCACATAAATGGGAGCTATTATCACTATAGTATCAAATAGGAAAGGTATTAGAGATAGCACTGAATGTATAATAATTCTAAAACACACCTTAAAAGCAATTTAATTTTTTAAAAAACCACTTTAAAAAGTCAATCGGTTTGTAATTTTGTTCTTCTCGTAATCAGAGTAGGCATATATGGTCCCTCTGTGTGAATCTGAAAAAAAGGTGCCTCTCTAAGCAGATGAACCCTAGGGCCAACAGCTAGGCAAGTGCATAACAAGATCCCCCTTCCATGTGGTAAATGCAGCTCTGCAAAGAGCCCCTGGCTGGGCTGGGAGAGCTGAAAGGGAGCTGCCCTCTCCACTGAGCCTATTGTGCAGTGCACGACCTACACACCGTATGTTGCAGCACAGCTCCTAAGAGTAGAAGGTGGCCTGGGAGCCTCATCCTGCTTTCGGTTCTGGTTCATTGACACCATTGCTATAAACAATTTCCTTGGAGCTTTGATTCACAGCTTTCTTTCTGCTTTCCAAGTTATGGACTAGAAAATTGGAGCTTTGGGGACACACTGGCACCTATTTCGCAGAGCTCCTGCGGCTTTTTACGTCTCCCATCTGAATCCAGACCCAGGTGACCTAGCAGCTCCCAGACAGCTCTAGGGCCTGGAAACTGGGATCACAGAGAAATGTACAGACTTACACAACTTAATTTTCTTCATCCTGACTGACAGGATGAGGACAGAAGGGAAGAGGAGGGAACTCTAAAGAAGCTTTAGAAGGCACTGACATTATAAGCTTGTGGATAGATAAGCAGCTCATGGGGAGTGGAGTGCGAAGCAGCAAACATGGGGGGAGAGATTGATGGAGGCACCCCAGGGTGGGGAGCGGGGAGATCCTTATGTCTACACATAACAACTGCTGTGAGAAAAGATGTGCAATTCAGTCCTGCATTGCTTATTTGGAAAATTAATTAGTAAGTGGTTAGCAAACAATGGTTCCACTGAACAGAATATTAATCTTCCCCCAAATTTATTTAGACCCTAGGCATAGAGGGGAGAGGAAGAAGGAAGGATCTGGCAGAGGAGGAGGGAGGGAGGGAGAGAAAGAGAAGGGTACAGGATGGGAAAGGATAGGAGAGGAGGGGAGGGAAGGCAGGACCTGTATCTGCTTTGTTCCCCAGGATCAAGCACAGGACCCGGCCTGGAGAAGGTGCTCATTAACATGAGAGTGTATGAGTGAAAGAGAAGGGAGATTGCAATATTGACATCCGTGATTCTACTAAAAGCATCGCCAGTTGACTACAGTGAGACATCTTACATTCCCACTGATCTGCTAAATATGTTATTTGGAGAGTCACCCCACACTCTTTGTAGCATAACTCATCAGTCTTGTCTACCGCCTATCTCATCATCCTAGATTTAGTTCTTTTCCCCCTCCTGCAGGCAGTGTAAAGGCCAGCATCCCGCGCTCCTTGCCCTCTCGCCCTCTCCTGCTTCAGTTTTCCTGTTTTCTTGCCTGTAAGTGTCTGTTAGACACTTCCTCTGAGGTTTATTTGCAGTCTGACCTGTGAATCTTTGAAATATTCTCTCTCATGGTCTCACTCCAGTGACACCATGAGCAAGGCATTGGTAATGACAGCTCATTTGGAGATATTAGCGGCTAGGCTGTTTTCTTTTATGCTGTCTAGGTGTAGGCTCTGGAAGAAGACGGAAGCACTGAAGGATGTTTCCTGAGTGAATTTGAACACTGTGCAGAAAAAAAACCTGGCTTCCTTTCATCTTTAAAATGTAATTGGGTCCAATCAGGTCTAAAATGATAGTGTCTGGAAGTCCACTCTCAGGAATGAGTCCTACCATTGGTCAACCCAGCCTCCTTGCCAGACCTTTCCAGATCTGTTCGGAACCCAGCTGCTGGAGTGGAGATTCAACATTCTGGGTATGGCATGTTTATTTCGAAACAATCATGAGGCTTGATTTGATGTAGTGAAAGAAATTAGTGCTTGCTGAATACGGCCCAATTATTACAGCATTAATTCATACGGATTAGCAGCTGACATCGGCTGGGAAGCACACATCAGGACATTTCAATACGTTTGGCTAAAAAGAGCTGCCTCTCCATGGATGCCGAACTCCCCAGCTCCACCCCCAAGCCCAGATGATGACTCCATATGGGAATGACTTTCACATCAAGGGCATGTAGCGTTATTTTAATATTAGCTGGCAAGGGACAAACAGAGGCATGGTTGGGAGATGCCCCGAAAGCTGGTCATCAAACAGATCCCCTTTAAGACCTACTTTTTCCCAAGCCCAGGTTCTAACCACTAAATGACTCTTCAAAGATGGAAGAAACTGGTACATGCTAATAGGAAACATAACCAAACACTTTCTTGTGAAGTATCAAATTTAGTATGTGAATCTACACCTTGTGCAAGCAGTTAAGTATGTTCTCAGCTGCAAGTAACAGTAGCTTAAACAAATAAAGGACTGTTTACTTACTGTTATGGAACTGAACTGAGTCCTGCCCAAATTCATATGTTGGATCCCTAATCCCCACAACCTCAGAACGTGGCTGTATTTGGAGACAGGGCCTTTAGAGAGGTGACTGAGTTAAAATGAATCATGGCCCTTGGCTGGGCCCTTTATTATTCAGAATTCTCCACAGAAGCAGAACCATTAGGGTATGTACACACACACAGAGATGCACACACACACACACACACACACACACTGTAAGGAATTGGTTCACACAATTTTGGAGGCTGGTAGGTTCTAAGGTCCAAAATCTACAGGATGAGCAGGAAAACTGGAGACCCAGGAGAGCCCATGTGTGAATTCCAGTCTGAGTTCCAATGCCTAAGAACTAGGAAAGCTGATGGTGTAAATAAATTCCAATCTAAAGGCCCAGAAAGAGCTAATGTTTCAGTTAGAGTCCAAAGGCTGGAAGAAAGCTGATGTTTCAGTTCAAAGGCCATCAGGCAGGAAGAATTCTCCTGTACTTATGGAAGGGCCAGCCTCTTTGTTCTCTTCAGGCCTGCAACTGATTGAATGAAGCCCACTTACATCAGGAACAGCAATCATTTTATTCTGTTTACCCATTTAAATGTTAATTTCATTCAGAACCACCCTCACAGACACACCCAGAATAATGTTTGACCAACTATCTGGGAACCCAGCAGCGTAGTCAAGTTGACATGTAATATTGACCATCATGGCCCAATCCAATCTGACTGGTGCCCTCATAAGAGGAAATTTGGACATACAAAGAGGCACTGGGGATGTACCCATTAAAAATAGCCATCTGCAAGCCACAGAGAAAGGCCTCAGAAGAAATCAAATCTGCCAATACCAACAGCTTGATCTTGGAGTTCTAGCCTCCAGAACCATGGGAAAGCAAATTTCTGTTGCTTAAGGCATCCGGTCTGTGGTATTTTGTTATGACAGTCCTAACTAACTAATATACACACACAGCAAGAAGTCAAAGGATAGACAGCTGCTGGTGCTGGTTCCACAGTTCAGTGGCATCCAGACACATGTCTTTAGGATTCTTTTTGGCCTCTTTTTATGTATTAGACCCATGGTTACATGATGGCTACGGCACCCCAGGCAGGAAGAAGCAGTAGGAGATAGGAATTTATCTCTGTGAGGCTTCAGGAAGAAATAACCTCTCCAATACACAGCTGCCTACGTCTATTGGCCAAAACTGCGTGGCCACTATGATTTGTCAGAGAAGCTAAAAAATAAAGTATGAACCTTCCCAGACTTTACAGTGAAAGAAGGCAAGGGAGAGGGAGTTGGGATTGTATGTTGAATGAGCCTTCCTACAATACCTGTCACAACTTGGTTAACAGAAAGAATTTCATGCCAGGAATGTTTTGCACACAGTGGACACTAGATAAAGTCATTGTGACTGAAATGGTGAGGTTGAGTGTTTGTGATTCTCATCAGGCATGTTTTCTGTCCCTCCTCAGATCCCCTTGGTACCATCATTTCTGGGCCCCTTGGCCACTGGCTTTTTCTCACTCTATAGAGACCCACCAGATCCATTTGGGCCTGAGCAGTTTCAGCATTTGGGGTTGCTTGCCAAGAGGGTCAGACCCTCCCTGTAGGGACTGCTGTATCCCAAGGCTCATTAGCCATGTGGCCTTCTGTTTCTAGGTTTTTGTTGTTGTTTTGCCACTCCTGGTTTTGAATGAAACATTTCACCTTAAGGTTCTGGCTTCCCAAGCAGCTCCCAGCAAAGCCAGGTATTGCTGGGAGATATGAGAAGAGTCAATTCCCCCGTGGAGTAAAATTTGACCAAAGGCAAATAGGGAATGAGAGAAAGTCCAGTAAATTCCCTCTTTCTTTCCTCTGTGGACTTCTACAAGATATGGTTTCTCTGTACATCCTCATTGGAGATGTCCACACAACTGAGTAGACACTGGATTAATTTTTTTGTGGCTGCTATAACAAATTACCACAGACTGGGTGGTTTTAAATAGGAATTTATTCTCTCACAGTTCTGGAGGCCAGAAGTTCAAAATCAAGGTATTGGCAGGGCCTCATTTCCTCCAAAGGCTCTAGGGGAGATTCAGTTCTTTGCTTCTTCCAGGTTCTGGCAGCTTCAAGCACTCCTTGGTTTGTGGTCACACCACTCCAATCATTGGCTCCATGGTCACATTGCCTCCTCCTCTGCTGCCTGTCAAATCTCTCATGTCTCTTGTGAGGACACTCGACATTAGATTCAGGGCCCATCTAGATAATGCAGGATGTTCTCTTCATCTCAAGATCCTTAATTACATCTGCAAAACCCCCTTTTCCAAATGAGGTCACATTCATAGGTTCCAGGAATTAGAATGTGGACATATCTTTTGAGGGGCCACCATTCAGCCCACCACAGACACCCTCACTGAACAATGAACAAGGCTGTGTCTCTTCACAGCTCATCATGAAGCAGTGGCTGGAATAGAAACGTATCCACCTTGCATTGCTCCCCTGTCATTTCTTTTGTTCTTGTTCTCACTGTCTGGAGAATGCACCTCTTAAATGAAGCATCGGTACTCAATACTTGTGATAAGGTTTAGCTGTGTCCCCACCCAAATCTCATCTTGAGTCGTAGCTCCCATAATCCCCACATGTCATGGGAGGGACCCAGTGGGAGGTAATTGAATCATGGGGGTGGTTTTTTCCCGTGCTGTTCTTGTGATAGTGAATAAGCTTCACAAGAGCTGATGGTTTTATAAAAGGCAATTCCCCTGCACACTCTTTCTTGCCTGCTGCCACATAAGACGTGACTTTGCTCCTCCTTTGCCTTCCACCATGATTGTGAGGCCCCCTCAGCCATGTGGAACTATGAGTCCATTAAACCTCTTTTACTTTATAAATTACCCAATCTCGGGTATTTCTTCATAGCACTGTGAAAATGGACTAATATACACCTTGCCTCAGGCTCTGTTTTCAAGAAGATGAAGACTTAAATAATAATTAAACAATAATGTTACAGATCCTAGTTGTCTTAGTCAATTTAGACTGCTATAATGAAAGACCATAGAGTGGGTGCCTTGTAGCTGGGTTTTCACATGGTAGAAAGAGCAAGCTAGCTTTCTGGGATCTCTTTTATAAGGACACTAATTTCATTCAGAGGGTCCTACCCTTATTATCTAATCACCTCCCAAAAGCCTTGCCTCCTACTACTGTCACTTTGTGGGTTAGGATTTTAACATATGAATTTGGGACAGGACATAGAGGATACAAGCATTCAGTCCATAGCAATAGTGTATACAGACAGACCCTAAGCTTTGACATCAGAGAGACTTAAATTCAAGTCCAGGCTCAGCAAATTGGTAGCCATGTAACCTCAGGCAGGTCATTCACTTATCCTCTCTAAGACCAGAGTTTTCACTTTTTAATATGAGTAATAATAATTCTTAGTTGTAGGGACATTACAGAGATAAAGTGAAATTATGTTTGCCAAATACTCAGCAAAAACATGTAATAGGTACCCAATACATGTTAGCTATTATGAATATTAATACAGGCATACCTCAGAGATATTGCAGGTTCAGTTCCAGACCACTGTAATAAAGTTAATAATGCAATAAAGAAAGTCACACACATTTTTTGGTTTCACAGTACACATTAAAGTTATGGTTATACTATACTGTAGTCTATTAAGTATGCAATAGCGCTATGTCTAAAAAAACAATGCACATACCTTAATTTAAAAATATTTTATTGCTAAAAAATGCTAACATTCATCTGAGCCTTCAGCAAGTTGCAATTCTGCTGGTGAAGGGTCTTACCTTAATGTTGATGGTTGCTGACTGATCAGGGTGGCGGTAGCTGAAGATTAGAGTGGCTGTGGCAATTCATTAAAATAAGACAGCAATAAAATTTACCACATCAATTGACTCTTCCTTTCATGAAAGATTTCTCTGTAGCATGTGATGCTGTATGATAGCATTTTACCCACAGTAGAACTTCTTTCATAATTGGACTGAATCCTCTTAAGCACTACTGCTACTTTATCAACTATGTAATATTCTAAATGCGTTGTTTTCATTTCCACAATATTTGCAGCATCTTCACTAGGAGTAAATTCCATCTCTAAAACCATTTTATTTGCTCATTCATAAGAAGCAACACCTCATCCATTAAAGTTTTATCAGGAGATTACAGCTATTCAGTCCCATCTTCAGGCTCCACCTCTAATTCTAGTTCTCTTGCTATTTCCACCACATCTGCAGTTACTTCCTCCACTGAAGTCTTGAGCCTCTGAAAGTCATCCACGACGGTTGGAATCAATTTCTTCCAAATCCTGTTACTGTGGATATTTTGACCTCCTCCCATGAATCATGAGTGTTCATAATGGCATCTAGAATGGTAAATTCTTTCCAGAAGGTTTCAACTTACTTTGCCCAGATTCATCAGAGGAATTATTATGTATGGCAGCTATAGACTTACAACATATATTTATTAATTAATAAGACTTGAAGTCAAAATTACTCCTTGATCCATGGGCTGCAGAATGGATGTTATGTTAGCAGGGATGAAACATTTCTCTTATACATCTCCATCAGAGCACTTGGGTGACTAGAAACATTGTCCATGAGCAGTAATATTTTCGAAGAAATCTTTTTTTTCTAGCAGTAGGTCTCAGCAGTGGGCTTAAAATATTCAGTAAACTATGCTCTAAACAGGTGTGCTGTCATTCAGGTTTGTTATTCCATCTACAGAACATGGGAGGAGTAGATTTAGTATAACTCCTTAAGGGATTTAGAATTTTCAGAATGGTAAATGGGCATTGCCTTTAACTTAAAGACACCAGTTGCATTAGCTCCTTACAAGAGAGTCAGCCTGACCTTTGAAGCTTTGAAGCCAGGCATTGACTTCTCCTCTCTAGCTATAAAAGTCTTAGATGAAATCTTCTTCCAAAAAAGGCTGTTTTATCTACATTGAAAATCTGTTGTTTAGTGTAGCCACCTTCATCAATGATCTTGGCTAAATCTTCTGGATAACCTGATGCAGCTTCTACAGCCACACTTGCTGCTTCATCTTGCACTTTTATGTTATAGAGACAGCTTCTTTCCTTAAGCCTCATGAACCAACCTCTTCCAGCTTCAAACTTTTCTTCTCCAGCTTTCTCACATCTCTCAGCCTTCATAGAATTGAAGAGACTTAGGGCCTTTCTCTGGATTGGGCTTTGGCTTATGGGACTACTGTGGCTGGTTTGATCTTTTATATGGATCACTAAAACTTTTCCCATATCAGCAATAAGGCTGTTTCACTTGCTTACGATTCATGCGTTCACTGGAGGAGCACTTTGAATTTCCTTCAAGAACTTTTCCTTTGCATTCACAGCTCGATTAACTGTTTGGTGCAAGAGACTTCGCTTTTGGCCTATCTCAGCTTTCATCATGCTTTTCTCACTAAAATTTCTAGCTTTTGATTTAAAGTGAGAGACGTGAGATTCTTCCTTTTACTTGAAGGCCATTGTAGGGTTATTAATTGGCCTAATTTCAATATTGCTGTAGAAAAGGAATGAGGAAGCCCCAGGAGACAGGCCTATCAGGGATGCACTCAGAATATACACAACATTAATTGATTAAGTTTGGCATCTTCCATAGGTGTGGTTTGTGGCACCCCAAAATGATTTCAATAGTACTCCATCACAGATATAATAATAATGAAAAAGTTTGAAATATTTGGAGAATTACCAAAATGTGATACAGAGTCACAAAGTAAGTGTATTTTGTTGGAAAAAAGGTGATGCCAATAGACTCGCTTAACACAGGGTTTCCATAAATCTTCATTTCATAAAAAACACAGTATCTGAGATGTGCCACAAAGCAAAGTGAAACAAAATGAGGTGTGCCTGTGTACAAACGGATATTAGCAAAATATTCCCTAAGGCCATCTGCAGTGAAGTAACTCTCTTCGGGCTCTGGGACAATGGTGGATGGTGTCCACAGGACAACGTGGGCTCACTCCCACAGGTAGACAAGAGATCGTAGTTTCCTTGCAGCTCCCAACATGCGCATTTGAAGAACAGCAGAAATGGTCATCCCATACATCATTATGTCAGTGTTCACTGAGATAATAAAGTTTCAAGATCTTTTATGACTTCGCTCCAATTGACTAGTCCATTTTATTTCCTGCTTTTCCCTCCATGGGTCCTAACTTCTTGCGTTGCTGGTCCATTGCCAGCTAAACAGACTCAACTTCATGCTGTACTTACTACCTCAAATGCCCTCCTACCATTCATTCATGCACAAGTTACAATTCTAAATGCTTTGCTGCATTATCTTATTTAAGTACTGGAGCAGAATGAAGAAAAAAAAGGCAACCTCTCCCTTTATATAATTTATGTAACAGATTAGAGAAGAGAAAAATACTTACGTTATTCTAATGAAGTACGGTCAGGCTTCAGAAAGAGAAACTCCTGAGTGATATAGGAACAAAGAGCAGAGAAATCAAACCTATTATCTGCTTACCCAAACCTACCCATTCTGCAAGGCTTAGGTCACAAACTAGCCCTTCACCACTCAGCAATCCTCTCACACTCATCAGAACAAACTGCTCCTCTGTGTTTAATATATTTTACTTAGTCATATTAAACAGCACTTGCTTTATGCTATGCTTTGAGATAAATACTTGATCTTGATGTACATTGTATCATTGAACCTTTACAATACTCCTATTAAATAAATTATTCATATTTTATAGGCAAAGAAGCTGAAGTTTAGAGACTTATGTAAGCAGATCTTTGCGCCAATACTTCCCTCTTTCAGGAATCCTCTTCCGATTGTTGCCTGGCTGCCTCCTTCCTTAGGTCTAAACTTGGTTGTCACCTCTTCCAAGAAGCCTTCCTTGACCATCCATTCTTAAACCGCCACCATGTCAACTCACTCTTCCCCATTACTCTATTTTCTTCAGAGAGCACTATCACTCTCTGAAATTATACTTTTTATTTATTTGTTTGCATGCTTATTGTCTGTCTTCCTCTGTTAGAATGTGTAAGTACAATTAGGTCAATAAAGGTCTTTTTCTCTAAGTCAGGTCATTCTGAATCTTTGGCATTTAGAGAACTATCTGGTACATAGCAGGCATTCATTGGATGAATTAATAATATAACCAAAGTCATATAGCTGGTAAGTGGTAGAGTTCAGATTTCAACCTATGTTTGTCTTTCTCCAAAGTCTAGGATTTAATTCCTTTTATAGACTTTATTCTATGCATCTTGCTTTGGAATTGGTTTTTTTTTTTTTTTTTTTTTGGTTGTTGGTTTTTTTTTTTTTTGGTTTTGTTTTTTGTTTTTTTTTTTAACTCTTTGTCCTGTATGGTTCTGAAGGCAATGGCAACCATGACATAGACATCTTTGTGCCTCTCCTAGCTCCTATCAGGATACCACCTTGCTCCCCAGACACCGCACCCATATTTGCAGAGATGAATTGAATGTGTTTCCATGACAACACCAGAGGAGGAAGAGGGGCTCTGAGGCCCCGTATGATTTTCCTCTCCTCTCCACTGAGGCTAGCATCACAGGCTGTGGAAGCTTCCCCCTGAGAGCTCTCAGCAGGTAGGTCAACAGGCGAGCCTCAGGCCCGAGGTGCCACTCATGGTCTTGAAAGGAAGGCATCACCTTGGCGCTGAGCTAGCTGGCTGTCTGTGCAGTGTGGCTTGAGTGATCCACATTCCAGGGATGGAGATTTCAGCTCAGCCTCCATCTGAGGATTAAGGGTAAAGTCCTTGAGTTTATTGGAAGAGAATCATAGTCCTTATGGCAAAAAAAAAAAAAAAAAAAAAACAGAACAAAAACAAAAACAAAAAACCTTGCTTGTCCCCATTACTGAGGGAGGGGTTCTTCCCACTGAGAGTAGCCGGGCATTTCAGTGGGAGGGCAGCCATTGTTTCACACAGGGAGTGGACATAGCTCAGCAAAAAGGCTCCCTGACACATGATAGCTTCCTGCCCTGTCTCTGACTCTTGACTTTTCACATTTTCCCTTAGCAAAAATAACTGATGGAAACTTACAAAACTCCCCACTCAGTCCCCTTTCTCTGTTCCTTTGGAAAGATGGGGCAGTGAAGCATTTCTTTAGGGTTTACAAAAAAAAAAAAAAATCACTCTGTTGTCATCAGAAGAGCCAGAGGAATAAAGAAGTCAAAGTGGCTCCTGGGCAGAGTGCCAGGTTGGCAACCCTGAAGGCAAACCATGACCCCCTGCCCCCTAGAGCCACCCAGAAGGTATGAGCTGCAGGAAGGTCAGCCGCCTCTCCAACTTTTCCTCCAGGGAACCAGCCACAGTGAAGAGAGCTGCCTCTCCTTCACTATGCTTTCCTTTTTGGATAGAGATTTGGAAAAGGCAGTCCACTTTCATGAATTGGCAGATAAGGCAGCTGCCTATGATTTGACAGCAGCCAGACAGGATATCTTCCCTCAAGATATCTCCCTATTGCCTAAATTTCCTCCATTAGTGGGATTCCCTTGAGTGTTACAGCATTAGTCTTAGAGAGAATGCTACTAAAATGCAAACTCTCCTGGAAAGGTTAATAGTCCACTAGGTAGGGGTCAGCAAAGTTTTTCTGTAAAGGGCGAGATGGTAGATATTTTAGGTATGTGGAACGTACAATCTCTGTTGCAGCTACTTACCTCTACCTTTGGTGCAAGAGCAGTCAAAACTAGTATGTAAATGAATGGGCACGGCTGTGCTCCAATAAACTTTATTTACAAAACCTGGCAGCAGGCTGGATTTGGCCCATGGGCCATAATTTGCCAACCTAGCACTAGACTATAAATCAGTGACTTTTCTTACCACCTCTTTATCCCTAGTGCCTTTCATGTGAGCTACACAGTGAAGAGTTGCTGAAATAGTTTTGTTAAAGTACTTAGCCAACAACAGTTCAAGATAACTAATCTGTCCAGAAGTAGACTCGAGATAGGTGGATACAGTGGGAGTCTCCAACGGTTAAGAACTGAGGAGACAGGGCTCTAAAATCAAATTTACCAACTTACCACTTTTAACCAAACAGATCCCATTGGTTATAGTCATAAGTCTCAGAATCCTGTAACTGGCTGAGATTCCTGAATTCTCCATGTCAGACCAGTGTAAAGTAAAGGCTAAGAGCAATGGAAATTAGTGACAAGCAAGGAACCCTGAGCGTGGTTGCTCTTTCTGGTTTTGGCACTTTTGTTAAATCCCTGTACTCCAGAAAGGTATTTGCTCCTGTCATTCCATAGAGTAAACCAGATTCCCACTGCTCTGACTTTAGCTCTGCTAAAGCCCTTTGGTATGGGGTGGACTGGTGTTTTGTTTTGTTTCGTTTTTTGAGATGGAGTCTTGCTCTGTTGCCCAGGTGTGATCTCAGCTCACTGCAACCACTGCCACCTGGGTTCAAGTCATTCTCCTGTCTCAGCCTCCCGAGTAGCTGGGACTACAGGTACGTGCCACCATGCCCAGCTAATTTTTGTATTTTTTGTAGAGACGGGGTTTCACCATGTTGACCAGGCTGGTCTCTAAGTCCTGACCTCAGGTGATCCATCCACCTCGGCCTCCCAAAGTGCTAGGATTACAGGCGTGAGCCACTGCACCAGGCTTGTTTTTTAAAAAGTCAGCTCTGCAATTCCATATCCTACTCACCTTATTTTCTCCCTTGATGCAGTTACATCCCTGTGGGAATCATGGCATCTAAAGTCTGCCTGTTGGTGTCTTTCAGGATGTGGAAATCAGGATGGTGAATTTCAGCATTGATTTTAGGAGATGATAACTACCGCCGCCTTAACTTCAACTGTTTTCTGGACTACTTTCTTGATTTAGTAGAGACTGGACCAGAAAGGCCTGAGTTGTGTGTAGGCTTGCAGTTCCAGACATTTGGGGATCTTGCCTCAGCAGGACAGGTAAGGATATGCTGCAACAACAACAACAACAACAAAACAGAATTATAGTTTCTTAACACAACCCGCTTGTATTTATTGCTCATGTTACATGTTCAACATGGCTTGGCAGACAGGCTGTTCTCATCGTTGTCATTCCTGGACCCAGATAACATAGGATCTGTCATGATATGTGCCTTCTCGGTCATCTCCTTAGGGGAAAGGGCATGACAAATCTTACACCAGCTTCCAAAGCCTCTGCCCAGAAGTGTTATATCTGTTCACATTTCATTGACAAAACAAGTGACATGCCACATGGAACTCCAAAATAGTGTGAAGACCAATCCTACCACATGCCTGGAAGGATGAAATAATTGTAGGCAGGCCACATGACTACTATAGAATCCGAAAAAAGGGTCATGCATGAAGAGTCAAGTAACCTCATGGGAAAGATACCTAACTAGAAGTTGAGTACTGATACTGCAGGGAAAATTCTGAAGACCCTAAGAACAGAAGTTAATCTGAATATTTCCGGTGGTGTAGCAGATAAAAGGAACACTCATGGAGGGAAGAAAAATTCTTCAGGGCCAAGCTGGAGTGAGGTATGGGCTGGGCGGTCACTGAGTACAATTGACACTCCGCAATGAAAGAAACCATCAGACTGCCTTCTTTCTGGAAGAAACAACTGTTTTAAAAGTCTGAGGCAACTGCAATGTGGTTATACTAGATTATGTATAAAACAAAGGGAACAAGGAGTACTTCTTGTAGTTCCAGCACAGAGATAGTTCTGAGAGGAGATAACATGATCAGCGTGGGAAGACATGACAGATTCTGATGGAGAAGACAATGGAGAGATGAGGAAAAAGGTGGTGTGCCTGCCTCATTCTGGCCTACCAGTCACACCCTCTATGTACCATGGCACCAGTGTGTAAGGGCAAAAGCAAGAGGCCTCAGAGCAAGACTTGTATAGTTGTGCAGGTTGGGGACTGCACAATGTCTCAGTTAGGCTGCTATAATAAAGTACCACAAGAAGTACTCCTTGTTTTATGCATTATCTAGTATAGCAACCAGTCAGGCTGCTATAACAAAGTACCATAGACTGGGTGGCTGATAAATAACAGAAATTTATTTCTTACAGTTCTGGGGGCTGAAAATCTGAGATAAGGGTGACAGCAAGATCGGATTCTGGTGAAGGCCCTCTTCCAGGTTGCAGACTACCATCTTCTTGTTGTATCCTCACATTGCAGAAGAGCCAAAGCAGCTCTCTGGGGTCTCTTTGATAAGGGCACTAATCCCATTCATAAGGAATCCCCTCCTTGACCTAATCACCTCCCAAAGGCCCCACCTCCCATTACCTTCACATTGGTGGTTAGGATTCCAACACACGAATTTGGGAGGTACACATTCAGTCCATAGCACACACCTCTAAGCAGTGCTGATCGCACTCTGATTATGTGAACAGAGCACCCCGGAGCTGGAAGTGCACAGTCTGAGGAATCATGAGTGGCAGCCCTGCCTCCAAGCCCTCTTCAAATTCTTAGACTCTTGCTCTTTACTTCACACAGCTCCTGACCTCATTAGTGTGGTTTCCTATTTCTGGCATCGCCCTTGCCCTTTGAATCTGACAACAGACTCAAGATGCCTTGTTTCGACTCTGTCAGCGCTTACTTACCAGTACATAGCTTAGATATTCCCCAGGAGCAAGGTCACAAAAGATGAATTCTTAGCCATGCAAGGTATGTAACCACAGTGAGGAGAGGCAGAGGAAGACTACTGTTCACAGGCCCAGTGACGTACTCCACCAAACACCCCAAACCAGGAAGAGGAATCAGGATAAGACTGGGACTCTCATAAGCAGAGTTACTTCTTTTTCCAGTTACTGTGATTCTACCAGGCCACTAAGATGGCCTGAACTAAAGAAGCACCTGTAACAGCGGGTATGCTCAGCGCCTAGCCCAATTTTTGATATAAAGTAGATGATTGTTAACTGTTTATTGAAAAAAATCATGAATATGTATATTTAAAGAACAGTTCAACTTTCTTCTTTCCATAGTTATAAGGGTGATGGGAATTTGACCACAAAGCAAGCTATTGAAATATGAAAAATTCAAGCAAACCAAAGTGGAGGGAGGAAGGTAGGAAACCAAGCATTTAGAGTTGGAATACTGCTTTGAGGGTATGTCTTCTAAATATACCCTCCTTTATGAATTGGCTTGGATAATTTTAGTCCTAAAATGTTCAGTGTTGAGGTGAGTTTTGAGTTTTTAAATGCTTATAAAAATACTAGGCAGACTCATGATTAGATTTAGTACTGGCACCACACATCAAAGGTGGTTCCACCTTGAACTCTGACATTAAACTTGAACAGTACTGCTACCACAATGTCCAGCAAATAGAGGGGAAACTGCTTAGGCTCTTGGTCCTTTGGAATGAAAGCAATGCACTTACATACTTCTCCCCTAAAGTAAGCATAAATATAAATTATAATTGAATGTACGTGGTGTGAGATAATCATTTTTCATGAAATCATGATGCTCAGGAAAATAAATACTGATGTTGAGGCCAACTCAACTTCAGAAAAACATTTGCCTCAAAATGCATATATGACCTCATCCTCATTCTTATTTTACCTTTTCTTCTTAACAGGCTTATGTTGAAATGTAGGCATTATGAAAAGCTGACTTGCCTTCCATAAGGCCCTTGGCCCATAAATATCTGTCCTCAAATAAACAGAAGCCCTACCTTGAAACAAAGAAAGTCTGTAAGGGAGGATGGGCAGGACAGAGGGCAGATGTAGCTTTATTTTTAGCACATTGTTATCAAATACATTATTCTCTGCTGAGATATGTATTGGCCATCACAAAAACCCATGCTTAACAAAGCTTTCATTTTTAAATTTGCATAATGCCTTATTCGCATGCATAGAATTCCACAAAGTATTGCTTCTGACCAAAGAATTCATTCCACATACACACACACAAAAATTGTGACAAGGGGCTCATGTCCATGGAATTCACTGATTTCATCACATGCCCATCACCCTGAAGCAGCTGGCCTTATAAAAAGTGGAATGGCCTATGGAAGCCTCAATTACAGCACAATTTGGGAGAATACTCTGAAGGTCAAGGTTCTGTCTTTCGAGATGCCTCATGTGCTTTGAATCAGTGACGAATACATGGTCCAATTTCTTCCTTAGCCAGAACATATGGGTCCAGAAAGCAAGGATGAAAGTGGGAGTGGCTTATCTCACTAGTATCCTTAATAGCCACTCCCAGAATGCTTGCTTTCTGTTCCTGAAACTCTGGGCTCTTCTGGTTGGAAGCTGGAGTGCAGTGGCAAGATCACTGCTCACTGAAGTCTCAACCTCCCAAGCTCAAGCAATCCTCCCACCTCAGCCTCAAGAGTAGCTGGGACCACAGGTTTGCGCCACCATGCCCAGATAATTTTTTATTTTTTTGTAGAGGCAGGGTGTCCCTATGTTGTTCAGGCTTGTCTTGTACTCCTGGGCTCAAGTGATCCTCCTCCCTCAGCCTCCCAAGGCATTGGGATTACAAGAGTCAACCACCACACCTGGCGCAGAGGTCTATATTCATAATAGAGAAATGTTTGTACCAGGTGACACACAAATTGTTCCACTGATTCAGAAGTTGAGAGTGTCAGTGAATCACCTGGGGCTCCTATCCCCACTGACCTAGCAGGTAGGGGATTACTGTACTGGTTGATCCTGGTTACTAAGAGAAATCAGATTTATTTTATAAAACTCTATTTAGAACACAAGAGTTTCCCCAGAGTATTTCTTAGTATACCCATCTCCAATATAAAAGCTAATGGAAAATGACAGCATCTATAGCCAAAGCAAAAAGTTATTATTTTTGTATAGAACTTCAAACACGGTATGTGAATAGCCAAAGGGGTAGACTGTGTGAATTATTAAGCTATTACCTCACAGCTCCAAAGCTACCTTTCTGTATTCTGTTCAGTGATGCTGGGGCTATCTATAGATCTCTCTTTTGGGGAGTTGGCTCTCTGTTATGTTCTATAGTAGGGAACACTAGTGGGATATCAGAAGGCCTGGGGTAGGAAGCTGCTGTTCCTCCCAACTATTGCCCAAGCAGGGACCCCTCACCCTGGCATTGATAGTGTCCATCTATTTCAGCATTGACAGAATCACAGGCAATGCCCCTTCCCCTGAGCTTTGTTTCCTCAGCCCTATGGGTAGTTGCTACTTCCAGCAATTACTGGTTCCTTTAGTGGTTACTTTTGTTCCTTCATCCCTCCCATACCTATGTGATCAATTCTCCATATTAAATTCCCTCCGTTAAAATATCAGATGTGGTTTTTGGTTTCCTGACTACACACTGATTAATACAGCCTTAAAAAGGAAGCTCAAGATCATTTGACATCTCAATTACTATCACTTTTTCAGAAATATTTATTACGATGCTCAACTGCAAAAAAAAGGAGAGGAATATTAAGAAAATGTAATATGGAATTACTGTTTTTCAAATGCCATCATCCAAACAGAAAAGAGAGAAATCCCTGTGAATGCCTGTTGAGAAACAAATTCATTTTATTAAAAGGTTTCCCTCTTTGTATTTGGAGGTTAAAGAAATGATAGACTTTATTGTTCCACCAAACAAACCATTTCACTTATTTTTGGTAAATTACACTAAATGTGGTTTAATTACTGTGTCCAGAATAGCATTTCACATCTGTGGCCCCAAAAGCTATTATCACTATGGACATTTAGGGAAAAGAAATGGAGCCCTCTTATGGCCAATTTAAATGCTACAGCACCCTTGCAGTTCCACACTGATCGTGTTAACATCTGACCTAGATCACTAGATCTTTGGACAGAGATACCTCAGGGGTCCTACCCTACATCACCACTAAACTGACATGGAGTGTGTTGCCCAGAGAAATAATGTCTGTGCTTCTTGGCACTGTGCATATATGACATACAAACACTTATACACTGTGTAAACAAGGTCATTAAATGCCCAATTTTATAAGAAGGAAATAAAGGGAATAGGATAGGTCTGACTCTGCCTAGAATATCATTTGAAAGAGATACTTTGATCCCTTACCTGGCAGAGGTCTTAATACAAGCCACAGTAATTTCCTTCTGAATTAGTTTCATACACAGGTAAGGCCCCAGGGTATCATAGAAGGGAAACTCAATAAATTCACCAAAAGATTGGTGTGCAAGGGGTTTGTGTTGAAATCCACACGTTATTACCTTTTGTAGGCAAAGATAAGAGAATCCAGTGAAATGGAGTGTTAGAGACCTCAAAGGACAAACTGGTGCAAGAGAGGCATGGAAGGGGGGAGGCAATTAGGCTTGGGAGTTGGGTGTCACTGGGTTCTAATGCCATCTTAGCTCATTTCTAGCTGTGTGACATAGGGCAGATTATTTAACCTCTCTGTTTCTCAGCTTCCTCATCTGTAAAATAGAAATAACCCCGTCTAGTTCAAGACAACATAGAGTGTAGTGGTTGAGACCAGCTGCCTGGCTTCAAATCCCAAGCCTGCCCCTTACTGTGTGACATTAAGCAAGTTATTTAACATTTCTGTACTGTATTCATAAAATGGAATATAATCGTACTGTCCCGGCAGGGTTGTTTTGAAGATTAAGTGATTTGATAGACATGAAGCACTTGGGCAGGTGTCTGGCTGGGTCTGCAATCATTGACACTGTTTGAAGCACCTCATGATGCCTTGTGCATGGTGAACGCACAATGTTAGCTTTATTATTGGCTATCAATTATTGTTAACAATGTATTTGTTATCTTTTTCCTATCTACTTCTTTTTTTTATTAGGTCAAGTCGTATGAAACTGCCATTTTTATAGATCAAAAATACTTGAAGATAGCCATTCCTTGGTTTAACCTAATACAGAATAATGCTTGTCACTAGGTCACATGAAGGGTTATTGGCAAGGGCATAAGACCAAGGAAGAAAATAGAGCTTTCTGCCACATGCAGGTCACTGAGCCCTGGAACCCTTACTTGATGGAGTGTTTCCTGTTCCTGCCTGCGATAACAAATCCCTTGAGCAGTTTAATGAGACTTAGTCCTTCAGCTCTCCTTATGCTAGCCTCAGAAAGGAAGAAGGTGGGAGGAGTGTATGGGAAAGGAGAAGTGATGGGTCTATATACCAACTAGGCAGGTCAGGGGAACAGAATCCATTCCAGGTAGTTCCATATGGTGCAGGAAAAAAAATGAAAAGTATTGTAGGGGACACTGAAGCCACAAGAAGTCAGCAACAGCTGGGAGTGGCCACAGCCTCGGCAGCTGGAAAGATAGAGGGCAGAGGTGGCACTGCCAGAGACCAGGGCCAGGACCACCAGCAAGAGAAGCAGCCATGTGGGGCTGCCTAGCCACTTGAACACCCAAAGCTCAAAGGAAAGAGGGGGAATCTCTCTCCCTTCTGCTCCTCCTTCTCCCAACAGTGCCTGTGTTGGCTGAATTAATCATACCTCTATTGGCAAAGGAGCCTGGTACATGTAGTGTGCAAGGACTGTCCTCTTGAATATAGAGCAGAACAGGAAGGAAGAGAGGGATAGATATGAGAGCAAAGAGGCAAATGCTTATGCAGAGAAGCACTAGCTGTGAGGAGAGGAAGGGAAGAATGGGAGGTGGCATGACCACGACATACAATCCAGCTGCTGCCATTTTGTCTCTGGTCCGTCAAAGTCTCTGTAATCCAGCAGAGCTGGAATCCTGACACTTGCCTACCCTGGCCAGGTAATTCCAAAGGAAAACTGTGGGAACCACAATTAACCTATCTTTGGTGACTTCATAAAGTAGAGAAGGACACAAGCATCCCCAGCAGGTGTGTTCTGGGATTCTTCTGTTCAACTTGAGACCATTCTAGCAGGGAAGTGAAGAGGCCTCCCCTGCCATGCTCACAGCCTCAAACCTTTAGTCCTGGGACCAGGGCCGAAGACCAGAGAACAAGACCTCAAGAAGAGACTCCTCAGTTTACAAGTTATCTCATCTGAAACTACGGAAATCCGACAATGAAATGCAATGGGGTGTCCCAGATTGAGAATTTTCTTGGATTGTCTTGGAGAAAAAAGGGGGCATTAGCTGAGAAACTAGGTGATATGGTTTGTCTCTGTGTCCTCACCCAAACGTCATCTTGAATGATAGCTCCCATGATTCCCATGTGTTGTGGGAGGGACCCGGTAGGAGATAATTGAATCATGGGTCAGTTTTCCCCATACTGTTCTCGTGGTAGTGAATAAGACTCACGAGATCTGATGGTTTTATAAGGAGTTCCCCTTTCACTTGATCCTCATTCTCTCTTGTCTGCTGCCATGTAAGAGGTGTCTTTCTCCTTCCACCACGATTATGAGGCCTTCCTAGCCACATGGAACTGTGAGTCCATTAAACCTCTTTTTCTTATAAATTACCCAGTCTCAGGTATGTCTTTATCAGCAGCGTGAAGACAGATTAATAAACTAGGTAAAGTCTTTATTTAGCTCACAGGATTTTACCCTTGCTAATTTCTTAGTTTTGACAAATGTATTATCAATATGTAAGACATTAACATTAGACAAAGCTGGGTGAAGATTATATGGGAACTCTCTGTACTATTTTCCCTCCTGTAAATCTGCGTTTATTTCAAAATTTTGAAAAATTAAACTCCCTCCTCCAGAAAGGTTTCTTCCATTGCCTTTAGCAAGCAGCTCCAGGGATGGTGTGGTGTAATTGCTAACTTACTGAGGCATCACCTTCAGGGAGAAGTCGATCCCCTCCCCAAATCCCTGTAACAGTCGGTGAACACATCCAGGCAACTGTCGGGAAGATCACATGTGGGACAGATTTCTGCAGACGTTTCACTACTCATAGAAAATACAAATGAATTAACTCCAGCCTACTTACAATGGAAATTATTAACTCTTACGTGGTTAGTGCAGGCATTATCGTTATTCTCATCAAAAGGCTTTTTGTCATGGCCCCTTGTGCTAAGGTTCTGAGCTGGGTGCTACTCAGGTTTAGCAGACAAAGTTCATGCTCTAAAGAAGTTCTTAGTCACGGTAACTGGGCACAGATATTTGGGGCTCATCTATAAATAAACAAATTTAAATTGACCCTCATCTTTAAAAATGGCCTTAAATGACTTTTAGAAAAAGCAGAGTATAAATGTTTACATATGTACAATTGTAACCAGTTTAGGAAGGAATTTGATTCATTGGCATATAAGTGTGAATTATTTTATTTTATTTTCCAGTTAACTGCTCTCACTGTTTTCTATTAAAGTTCCCATTTTTCCACTGGGTGGTGGCTACCCTTAAAACATCTTAATCCAATTCTATAAGTTTTTATTCATTTTCAGTAATTGAAACAGTCTCATCTGGTTATGAAGACCTATGTATTTTAAATTTTCAATGTTGCATTTGATTCAAAGCTGCTCCCCTTCCCTGAATAGGGGGGTGTGTGGCTCATTTTTTTTCCCTCTGACATCTTTCCAACAGTTATTAATACTTCTCCGGCACTGGGAAGGGGGGCGAGCAGGGGAAAGTTTCCCTTTGAGGCTGGTTGTGATGAAGTTATTTGCCCACTGTTATGGACTGAATGTTTGCCTCCTTCCCCAAAAATTCATATGTTAAAATCCTAACCCCCAATGTGATATTCTTTGAAGGTGGGGCCTTTAGGAGGTGGTTAGGTCATGAGGGTGGAGGGATTAATGCCCATTTTTTTTTTAAAGACACTAGAGAACTCACTCGCCCTCTGTCTTCCATGTGAGGACACAACAAAAAGATTCCAGTCTGCAACCCGGAAGATCTTCACCAGAACCCACCCATGTTGGCACCCTGATCTCAGACTTCCAGCCCCCATAACTCTGAGATATAAATTTCTGTTGTTTATAAGCCACTCAGTCTATGACAATGTATTATAGTAGCCCGAACTAAGGGACTCCCTTTCTGTAAACTTGTGGCCACTAATCTATCTTCTAGACTATAGTCTCCTCCATGGTTACTGATGGAAATTGTAACAATCTCTAAGAATGGGATACTTGACTCTATCTACTTTTAATCCACAAGCACTGTCCTCACAGCCACATTTTCCTGATAGAACATGCCTCTTTCGTTATCCCCCTGGCAATCCCCAGCAAGCTTGGAGATATGGTTTGGCTCTGTGTCCCCACCCAAATCTCATGTTGAATTGTAATTCCCAAAGTGTTGGGGCAGGGACCTGGTGGGAGGTGATTGGATTATAAGGGTGGATTTCCCTATGCTGTTCTCATGATAGTGAGTGAGTTCTCACGAGATCTGATCATTTAAAAGTATGTGGCACTTCCCCCTTTGCTCTCTCTCTCTCTCTCCTGCCACTATGTGAAGAAGGTGCTTGTTTCCCCTTCACCTTCCACCATGAATGTAAGTTTCTTGGCCTCTCAGTCATGCTTCCTGTTAAGCCTGCAGAATTGTGAGTCAATTAAATTTGTTTTCTTCATAAATTACCCAGTCTCAGATAGTTCTTTATAGCAGTGTGAGAAGGGATTAATACACCTGGGGTCGCCAAACCCACACATCATCTGCTGCCCCAATCTGGGGCACAGGCTCATCACATCTTCTGGGCTTATCAGAAACCAGAATCCTGAGAGAGTGGTTTTGCCCATTCTTCTCTGCCTGGTTGTGCCCTTCTCAAATAACACAGGGTAGGTCAGGAAACCTGGTGGCTGGTTAGCCAGGAAAAGAAATGTCACTCACAGCTGGTAATTTGGGAAGTCGCCTTCTCTGGACTTTAGGAAGAGAAACAATTTGTGTTCACCCTCCTATCCCCAGATGGAAATAGAAATGAAGGACTGACCTCTCTTTAGTGTGCCCCCCACAAAAGAAGTTTGGCCTTGACCTCCCCCTTATATCTCTTGTTGGGTAGGACCCAACCTCAGCCAGCATCTCTCACTTCTGGAACTAGAGAGTCTAACATCAAGAATTACTTCTTATTTGAACTTGGCCCTAGAAAAATGAAGAGGCTTCTTCCACCAGGACACTATCTCTACTGTGTGTAACCTCCAGTGCAGAAAAAGATCTCAGTAAGGACCTCCCACCAGAGTGCCATGCACACATGCATAGATACATTCTTAAATGAAACAGCTGCTCCCTCAATAAGATTGACCTCTGTGTCTCCAAGGACCTATTATTTGAGATGTAATGTGATGCTGTAGATCTGTGCCACCTTCACACGTGTTTGAACTTTGTGTATTATTTATTCTTTAAAACAATCATGGCAGGGGATTGGGAAGGCAAAAATTAGCAGTGGTTGCTTGGAAGTTCCATCCATATAAAATCTGGAGGTTGGGGGACGTTGTCTCCCCATGAATACTCTTGAGGGGGCGCTATCTTTATCAAAGGACAAAGTAATTAGCCAAACTCATCCAAAACCACAGCTTCATATTGGCCGTCTGGAGTGTCCCTAGAGAACTTTCCTTCTGCCTCATTCAAGGGCCTCTCGCATTGATTATTTAACAACTGACACCTCCCTGCTTCTCTCTCGTGTGCTTAGACCCGTGGAAAGGTCATTACCCCAGTGTTGCTTCTCTCTCTTTGTAATGCTCCTTCTGGGGATTTAGCTGAAATAAAACAATAACATTGAAGGCTGAGGGATGGAAAAGCTCTCTCTCATTCCATCCAGGAGCAATAAATGTTCACAACATTGAACATTTTGTTCCTATAAACATTTGCTGATGGCCTACTACATGCCAGGTATAAAGTAAGTGTTGGGAGATGAAGATGAATAACTCATCATCCCTGCCTTTCAGGAGCACACAGCCTGGCAGGGGATACAAATAATTGTAAAGGCTCAGAGAAAGTATGCCTGATGTTTTTTAGGAGGGACTCACTTTTTATTCACGGGTACCAAGGTAAAGCTAAGAGAGGAAGTAATGTATGAGCTAGGGTCTGGAAGGGTGAGAAGTCAAGGGGGTGTGGTGAAGAGAAGCTTTGCTCCAGGCAACTAAACCAATTAAACAAAGTCTGGAAAACTAAGGGCTCTGGCATTCTCAGCAGTAGGACTGTACTGTCTGACTGAGCTAAAGCCAAGGGTGTAAGCCTTTGGGAGTGATTTCCCTGGTAACCATATCAATAGATCCTGAAGAATAACCTTACCACCTGTGTCCAGGCCATAGGAGAACTGGCTAAACACTGGAGGTTCTGGGAGCAAAATTGCCCACATTGAACTTTTATTGGTGTTCATATTTGTATTAAGCACCTGCTCGTATACCAGGAAGTTCAGTAAGTATGAGTAAACCTCACTTAATCCTTACAAGTACCCTTTAAGTTGGGACTATGAGTATATATATACCCCAATCTGTAGATGAGAATACAGGTTTAGCAATGTAAATAATTGTGTCAAAATAATGAACTGAGCCAGGTTCGAACCGAGGTGAATATGACCCTAATCTCATATTCTTCCAAATCTCATATTCCTAACCACCTTTTCCCTGCAAGAGAAATTGTGAGACATGATCTTCCATTGAGGACTGTGTATGTAATTTCTTTCAATTTTATAGCATAAATCATATTTTGAAGGCCACATGACTCTTGCTAATTAGGATCAGGTAATTTTGTCCAACATTACACATGGGATTAATTATCCTGAGATGAAAAGAACTTCCACCCTCCACAACTGATTCAATACTGTTCCAAATGGTTGACCCAATCCCAGCTAAACCATTTGCTCTACTAGCCCCTCTAAGAATTATTCATTCCTCAGCATAGGCATTACATGTGGTTGGCTCCTTTTTCAAAAAGATCAGCCCTTCATCTTCCCCAAATCATGGGCCCATCGGTTCTCTGGAAAATTATTCCAAACTCCACAACACTTTTTCTCTTTTTTTTTTTTTATTAATTTTCTTTATTGTCTGTTTTCTTTTTTTATATACACTTTAACTTTTAGGGTACATGTGCACAATGTGCAGGTTTGTTACATATGTATACATGTGCCATGTTGGTGTGCTGCACACAGTAACTCCTCAGTTAACATTAGGTATATCTCCAAATGCTATCCCTCTCCCCTCCCCCCACCCCACAACAGTCCCCAGAGTGTGATGTTCCCCTTCCTGTGTCCATGTGTTCTCATTGTTCAGTTCCCACCTATGAGTGAGAACATGCAGTGTTTGGTTTTTTGTCCTTGCGATAGTTTACTGAGAATGATGATTTCCAATTTCATCCATGTCCCTACAAAGGATATGAACTCACCATTTTTTATGGCTGCATAGTATTCCATGGTGTATATGTGCCACATTTTCTTAATCCAGTCTATCGTTGTTGGACATTTGGGTTGGTTCCAAGTCTTTCCTATTGTGAATAGGGCCGCAATAAACATACGTGTGCATGTGTCTTTATAGCAGCATGTTTTATAGTCCTTTGGGTATATACCCAGTAATGGGATGGCTGGGTCAAATGGTATTTCTAGTTCTAGATCCCTGAGGAATCGCCACACTGACTTCCACAATGGTTGAACTAGTTTACAGTCCCACCAACAGTGTAAAAGTGTTCCTATTTCTCCACATCCTCTCCAGCACCTGTTGTTTCCTGACTTCTTAATGATCGCCATTCTAACTGGTGTGAGATGGTATCTCATTGTGGTTTTGATTTGCATTTCTCTGATGGCCAGTGATGATGAGCATTTTTTCATGTGTCTTTTGGCTGCATAAATGTCTTCTTTTGAGAAGTGTCTGTTCATATCCTTCGCCCACTTTTTGATGGGGTTGTTTGTTTTTTCTTGTAAATTTGTTTGAGTTCATTGTAGATTCTGGATATTAGCCCTTTGTCAGATGAGTAGATTGCAAAAATTTTCTCCCATTCTGTAGGCTGCCTGTTCACTCTGGTGGTAGTTTCTTTTGCTGTGCAGAAGCTCTTTAGTTTAATTAGATCCATTTGTCAATTTTGGCTTTTGCACAACACTTTTTTTCTAATGACTATAGGAACAGATTGAATATGAGAGCTAAGCAGATTTTAAATATAAGTATGTTTTTTACTAAAGCCCTTTGTATCAGTTAAGAATTGTGTTAAGCTCCAAGTAAAAGAGGTCCCCCAAAACATAGGTTTAAACAAATTAGGAAACTTATTTTTCTCAGGTAATGAAGAATGTGGACATGGGAGGTCCAGGGTGGGAATGGTAGCTCACAATTCACCAGGGACTTAGACTCCTTTTACATTTCTGTTCAGTCATCTTTAAAGGTTGTCTAGTGGCCTCAAGATGGCTGCCAGAGTTCTAGCCATCCTGTTCAAGCTCCAGACAAGAAGAATGAGAAGAGCAGTGGACAAAACAGTATGCCATGGGAGTCAACCCCTTTTTAAGGAGCTTCTCTAGGAAGTTCCTCTCAACAACTTCCACTTCTATTTCACCAGCCAAAACTTGGCTACTTCTATCTGCAAAGGAGTTTGGGAAATTTAGAGGATTTTTCTTTGTTTCATTATTTTCACACATCAGATAGATATATGGCTACTCCTTCCCCAGACAGGGTTCTATTAGGTAGGGAGAAAGTGAGAGGATAGGCTGGCCTGGCTAGTTAAAATAAGGCTGCTTTCTGAGTCAGATTCAGAGGAACTGGACTCTCAGAGGCACAGAAGCAGGCTCTGCCAGGCCTCAGGCTTCTACGTCAGGTAGGAAAATAACTTTGGTCCTGTGTCACATCTTCAGGGTTGGAGAAGGAGCATCTCTCTTTAAGGAACAAGAAGACTACATTTTTTAATTTCAGGGAATGATTGGGAACTTATCCCAGGTCAGCAGTGGGTCTGGGAAGGAGATCTGGACATTCTTCAAAGGAGATTTTGCCTTTTCCAGACTTCCCATTTCTATTCCTCTTGCATTCCTGTGCTCTAGTCCCTGCTGCAAATGAGAAACTTCACTTTTTTTTTTTTTTTAACAGGTCAGGGTGTTTGGGGATGTTGGTACAGAAGAAGAACAGTTATGTCTGCCTCAAATTTACCAGACAGAGCAGGTAACCCAATTTTTAAAGGCAGATGTATCCTAACCATCATCAAAGCTTCATTCACCTTTGAATTTAAGGTTTTGCCCTCAAACCATGATTTTTGTTATCCTGCTAAGATCTTACATGGAGTTGTTAGTTTAATTAAATTCAGCTATTTCAAGATGGAATACTTGACTGAACATAGGAGAAAGCTGAGAACTACAAAGACAAAAATGAATCCTGCCCTATCATCTTATTTAGAAAAACTTTTTCTTATATTCATTCCTTCATTTCATTCAACTGTATTGATCAAGCAGCTCCATGTGCTAGGTTCAGGATACACCACAGGTCTTGAAACCTGGTACATACCCACGAGGAATGTGTTCCCAATTGCATGAGAAACAGTGAGGAGCCAATTATAGTTCAGAGTAGCAAGGGCGATGATGTCTATGCATAGTCTTAAAAAACGGAAAGATGGGGCTACTGCCATACAGCAGAAAATCAGTTTGGAAGAAAGGTCAGGGAAGGCTTGTTGGACATGGTGAAATCCGAGACCTAATTCATCAATTTTCAGGAGCATCGAGCCTGAACTTCAAAGTCAATCCTCTTTTAAACTAACAAAACCAAATCATGTGCTCATGCGCTTATCTGGAAAATAAAAACATACGTAATATTAGTACTCAAAAGCTAAGATCACAGGTAAATTCAATTTCAAAGCAAAAATCAAAATGAACAATCAACACAGTGGACCATTTCCTCTTATTAGCAGATGAGGAAAGCTTAAAATTAATCGTGTCGCCTGGTACAGCAAGCAGTCACTTCAAAGTTAAACGCTAGGTGGTGTTCTTAGCACGGTTTGCTATCTTTGACGTCTTAGAAACAGTGAGGGTTCACTCCTTTCCAGGAAAAAGAAAGCAAAATGCTGAATACCCCTATCACAAAATTGATTTTATAAGAATAAATAACACCTTTAATGGTATTCTTTTCTTACCATGAGCAATACATTTATTTTTTTTTAACAGTAAATATTTTCTGGTAGATAGGCACATTATTCCTTGCAAAAATGAGATGGAACCACTAGAGGGACAAACTCTCCCAGGACCTAGTCAGCCAAGCAGTTTTGTAAAGGCAGCAATAGCCTCTGGATACCGAAGCCAGGAGTTAGAGAACCGTATTCAAGTGTCCCCCAAGCAACCTGAACCCATTACTCAACTTCATAGTCTCCTTGGAGAAGTTCGCAATTTAGAAGAAGTTGATAGAAAATGTTTTACACCCAAATCACCAAAGCTGGGCCTTGTTACATGCCTGCCTCCTCCTCCACCAAGTAGAAAATGTTAGATTAGAAGATTAAGGGATACTATGCAAAGCACGTTAAGCTCCTTGAGTAAAAGGAATTAGGAGGATATCAGATGGTAGCAATAAGTTTCAAAGACGACAAACGGAAGAGTGATACCTTACCTTGTAAAACCATTCTCCATAAAATAGGAAAAAATCAGATAGCACAAGGCAGAGAAGAAAAAAAAGAAGGAAATAATAACAACAGAAAATATTTTAGGCCAATAATCAACCTACAGAGGGGAAGAATATAGATCTCTTTTATCTAAAAGGAATGAATAGTTTTTTTAATGTTGAAACTAGAAACCAACTAATACAACACTAGGCAGAGAATACAAAAGTAGAAAATGATTTAGTCCTGAAAAATATTTTAGGCAAATAGTTCATTGATATTTGGTTTCCAAACACTGGTCAAAGAACCAGTCCTGATCCATGACAAAGTTTTCACTGGTCTGTGATGAAAAGCAGAAAATAAGGACATCATAAAAAGTCTTTCAGAAAGCTAATTTTTTTTTTTTTTAAGATGGAGTTTCACTCTTGTTGCTCAGGCTGGAGTACAATGATGCAATCTAGGCTCACTGCAATCTCCGCCTCCTGGGTTCAAGTGATTCTCCTGCCTCAGCCTCCCGAGTAGCTGGGATTACAGGCGCCCACGACCATGCCCAGCTAATTTTTTTTTTTTTTTGTATTTTTAGTAGAGATGGAGTTTCACCATGTTGGCCAGACTGGTCTCGAACTCCTGACCTCAGGTGATCCCCCCACCTCGGCCTCCCAAAGTGCTAGGATCACAGATGTGAGACACCGCGCCCAGCCTAGAAATCTAAATTTGATAGATTTAAAGAACTTATTTTTATTCTAAAATTAGATCTTTTCTGCCTTTTTATGGTACAAGATGTTTTCTAAAGTTAAAAAAAGAAAGAAAAAGCTTCTCCTAGGAAGTGGTCATCATAGAGGTGTTTATGTGTTATTTCATTCTGTTTTGTTATTAGTCCTTATTTTGCAAACTCTAATGTACCATCATTATGTATAGTTTTGAAATGTTACTGGTCTGAGAAATCCAAAAGTCTGAGAACTACTGCATCAACAACTAATTTAAGAGAGAACTAACTAGTCAGCAAGGTGTTATTCACTCATTTATTCAAGAGCCAATTACAGTCCAGAGTAGCAAGAGGGATGATGTCTAAATATTCATTGAATCCTTTGTTGGTCCTGGGCTGCATTGGGCCAGGGGTGATGAGCATTAGCAAGGCTGGCATTGGTCCTCCTCACAGAACATGCCATCTGGCAGGAATGTCTGGGGTGGTGAGCAGGTTGAGGCCCATTGTGATGTTAAGGATGATGGTATATTAAGCTTGTAATTGCACATGGGATAATTTTTTACAACGTATGTAGAATTTTGCACTATATCTTTTTTAATCCACCTTGGATGAACAGTGTGTTTCTTTCCTGTAAAAACTGAGTAAGTGAATGTCTGTTTCTATCAAGCTACTTTAAAAATATATATCCACATCTCACTATGATAGTTGCCAAGACTCTTGGTTCAAGGCCCTGGGCTGGCTGTCTACATACAATGTGCCACAAAAGGCATCTCTGTAAAGATGGAACCCCAAAGGTTGCAGAATGAATATCCCTTACCTATTCTGAAAAGGTACAGCAGTAAGGTCTAGGTGCGGACAAGGGAAGTTATTTCTCACCCTGCCAAGGAGAAGGAAGAGTCAGCTTAAGGGATCTATGGAGGCTCTTTTTTCCAAAGCATCCCTGTAGAGGCATCCCTGAGGGACAGCCAGCCAGCTGGTTATGTTGCTTTTCAATGTGACATTTCTGGACTCTTGGGATCATTGGGTTATATTTGGAATTCATCCTGGCCACTGTCTGGGTCTCCCATCTTTAACAGGCACATCAGCAGGACAGTTTTAGATAGAAAAGATCGATAAAATCTGGCAGCACTTGCACTGGTTTCCATGGTGACATGCTGAGCACCTACTGGTCCTTAAAGACCAGCAATATGAATAGTTAAAATGAATTATTTCAGGGCCCTCTAGCCTAGAATATAGGGATCCAAGATAAGAAAATTTTTTAAAGCCTATTCTTCTGGAACATAATTGATAGCTATAGATACATACACAGGAAGGGACATTAGAAAGAAATATCCAAGCATGATTTTGTTTATAGAAAAATAAAAACAAACAGAGATTGGCTATAAGTATTTTTATATCAGAGAATTGTTTCAGTGCATTACCTGGAGCCTTACTTGCTGAGGTCTTCAGGTCCTTTAGGGAAGTGTTTCAGAACATGTACAATCTTATCATTTCTTTTATCAGAACTTGAGTTCTCATAACTATACACCACTGTGCCTTACTTTACATTTATATTCACTTTAAGTTACTGTTTCTACAATAAACCCTCCACCCCCAATACACTGAGGCACATTTGGCCCCTTTGAGCCAGTGTGGGCTGCCAGCACTGTGAATAGGGAACGTCCTCTCTGCCTCACAACATCTGCACACTTGATTCAGAGATGTCTTTCCTGTATCCCTCACCGTCCTCTGACAGAACCCCATGGATCAGCTTTACAGGTCTCTATTTCCAAATCTGCAGGGGTCTCTCTCTAACACCTGACTAGTTAAATAGGATTCCCAGATTTAGCCCATCTATCTCTGGCCACCTGATCTTAACACTTCCCTTCTGGTTGGAATTTTCCATGGATGGATCCACCTTGAATTCCCCTCTTTCAATTACTCCTTCAAAAAGCAATTCCTAGAGGCCATCCTTGTAAAGCAAGATGATGGACCACCCTCTTTGGAGACCACCCTTAAGATAGCCTCACCAGACACCAACTGGCCCCATGGGATTTCTTCCTGCCTTCTTCTTCCCTCCCTTCCTTTGTAAATTCAATGTTAGATTTCAAATCAAAATCCTCAGCTCATCATTCACTATTCTCACTGATCCATGCAAGGCTCAGTATGCATGTATTTATAGACTTCTTATATAACAAAGATTGATGTCTTGTATGAAAGTACTTTCAATGTACACAAATTGTGTGGCATCATTCACTTCATTCTGTTCCTCACTTTTTCACTCAGGAGTCTCTTCATGTTGCTGCACATATATCAAGTCTGTTGTTTAACTGCTTAATAATACTCCCTAGTGCACATCCAGTACAAGCGCTTCTCCAGTCACCCAGTAAGAAACCACAGATTGCTGACACTTCCCTGTAAAACAATGAACATCTTCATATATGCCCCACTATAGACCTGTGTGAGACTTTCTCTGGGATGAGAACCCAGACATCCCACCCACAACAATCTTCTGGATTCCCCATCTGGATTGCTGGGTCAGAGGATATGCATATTCTTAATTTGACCAAATAGGACCAGAGGCTCTCCAGTGTGGCTCCAACAGTCCACATCCCCAACAGCACTGCATGAGGATCTTTACATCCCCCATCCCCATCTCCCTGCAACACTTGGCTGGAGTTCCAGCTTTGTAAGTTGTGCTAATCTGATAGATTTGAAGTTGCTATTGTTTACACTTTCATCTCTTACAAACCCCCAACGAGTCTGAGCATCTTGTCATAAGTTAGATATCATTTAAAAATTATCATTTTAGTTTCTTTTTCTCATGAATCATGTTTTTTTCCTTTTACTAGATTTCTACTGGAATTCCCAAACTCCTCATCAGTTCTCTGTTACTTTTATCCATGACTATTTTCATGAAAACAGAAAAGCTTATTTTGATGTAATTAAATCCATCAATTTTAGCCTCAGGTTACTGGTTTGGGGGTTTTCTATCTTAGATGGAATTCTACAATCTTTCCAGCAAATATAATGTTTATTGTAGGTATTTGTCACATGACCTTTATAAATTAGAACATTCTCTTTCAGACCTGATTTTCTAAGAGTTTTAATTTTTAATCATGAAGTTATTGAATTTTATCCAATGCTTTTTCTGGTTCTATTACGATCATCCTATAGTTTTTCTCCTTTAGTGTATTCATGTGGTGAGTTACATTGGCTCATTTTCTGATGTTGAATCATCCTTGCTTTCTTGTTTTAAAGGATTTTTAATATTTTAATACAGTTTAGATCAGTGTGTCTGGTTCATTTCAGCTCCTTCACTGCCAAACCAGGGGGCAGGGACTAGTTCAGTTTCTCTGCCTTCTCTTTGTCAGTGATGATCAGGGTATAAAGGAATCTGTTGCATGGAACTTTAAACTTCATATTGTCCTTACTTTTCTTGATCTTGACAGATTTGGCATCCTTTCACCAGGCTGTAAGCAGAAAACCCTTGATTTCCTCAATTTTCTGAGGCATGGCGATAAGGTACACCCGGCGCAGACTCATCCTTGCTTTTATGGAGATAAAACTGTCCTAATTTTGTGTTATCTCTAAGATAATAATATCTTACTTTATAACAAAAATTATTGTTAGGGGCAGAGCAAGATGGTGGAATAGAATCCTACACCTTTCATCCCTTTTACTGGAACACCAAATTTTAATAACTACCTGCCCATGGAAAAGCACCATCCCAAAAACCAAAAATTAGGTGAGGAATCATAATACCTGCTTTTAACTTCGTATCACTGAAAGAGGCATTGAGGAGTGCAGGAGAGACAGTCTCGAATCATGGATACCACACCTCCTCCATCTGCTGTCAGCAGAGAGAGGTGCAGAGAGAGGGAGAATCTGTGCACTTTGGGGAGGGAAAATGCAGCAACTTGGGGATTTTACATTGAACTGGGTGCTGCCCCATCACAGTGGAGAATAAAGCCTTGCTGGTCTCAACCAGCACCTGCACACCAGAGGGAGCATTTGGAATAGCCCTAGCCAGAGGGAATCGCTCATCCTAGCGGTAAGAACTGGAGTTTTTCAGCAAGCCTCGCTACTGCAGGCTGAAGTGCACTGAGGGCCTAGGTAAACTTGAAAGGCAGTCTAGGACACAAGGACTGCAATACCTAGGCAACTCCTAGTGCAAGGCTGGGCTGAGAGTCAGCGAATTAGGGTGGTACCTAGTGAGAACTAGGTGACCTAGGGAGACACCAGTGGGCGCAGCTAAGGAAGTGCTTGTGCTACTCCTCCCCACAACTCCAGGCAGTGCAGCTCGAAGCAATGAAAGTGACTCCTTCCTTCTGCTTGAGGAGGGCAGAGTGAAGAATAAAGAGGACTTTGTCTTGCATTTTGGATACCAGCTCAGTCACAGTAGGATAGTGTACCAGGTAGAGTCATGAAGCCCCTATTCCAGACCCTAGCTCCCAAACCACATTTCAAGACACACCTTGGGCCAAAAGTGTACCCTCTTTCTTAAAGGGAAAGGTAAGTCCAAGCAGGTTTTATCATCTGTTAACGAAAGAGCCCTTGGGCCCTGAATAACCGGCAGTGATACCCAGGGAGTACACAATGGGCCTTGGGCTCTGAGACATGCTGGTTTCAGGGGAAATGCCACACATTCCCAGCTGTGGCAACTATGGTGGGAGACTCCTTCTGTTTGAGAAAAGCAGAGGGAAAAGTAAATGGGACTTTGTCTTGCACCCTAGGTACCAGCTCTGCCAAGGTGGGGTAGAGCAGGCTCTTGGAGTCCCTGAGTCCAGGCCTAGGCTCTTGGATGACATTTCTGGAAATGCCCTAGGCAAAAGGAGAGCCCACTGCCCTGCAGGGTGAGTCCCAGGCCTGGCAGCATCCATCACAAGCTGACTGAAGAGCACTTGGGCTTTAAGTGACATCAGCAGTGGCCTGGCAGAATCCCCCATGGGTTGGTGGTGGTGGTGGCCACAGAGAGAGGTCCCTCTGCCTGTGAAAAGGGAAGGGAAGAGCGGGAGGGACTTTGTATTGTGATTTGAGTGCCAGCTTAGCTGCCATAAAATGGAGTATCAGGTAATTTGCTAAGGTTTTTTACTTCAAACCCTGACTCCCAGACAGCATCTCTGGACATGCCTAGGGCCTTGGGAAACTCATTACCCTGAAGGGAAGGGCCTTGAAGAAGACTCAGTGCTGTGCTGGCTTCAAGTCTGATCCAGTGCAGTCCCAGTAGTGACGGCCACAGGAGTGCTTGCATCACCACACTCCCAGTTCCAGGTGGCTCAGAACAGAGAGTAAGACTCTGTGTGTTTGGGAGAAAGTAAGGAAAATGAACAAGAGTCTTTGTATGGTAATCCGGAGAATTCTTCCAGATTATATTAAAGACAACCAAGGTGGTACTTCTGTGAGTCTACAAAAACTACAGTATTATTGGGACTAGGCACAAGTCCCTTTGAGTATCTGGAAAGCCTTTCCAAGAAGGAAAGACACAAACCTAGACTGTGAAGACGACAATAAATGCCTAACTCTTCAATGCCCAGACACCAACAAATATCTACAAGCATCAATAACATCCAGGAAAACAAGACACCACTAAATGAACTAGATAAGTCACCAGGGACCAAGCCTGGAGAAACAGATATATGGTCTTTCAGAGAGATAATTCAAAATAGCTCTTCTGAGGAAACTAAAATTCAAGATAACACAGAGAAGGAATTCAGAATTCTGTTAGATAAATTTAACAAAGAGATTGAAATAATTAAAAAGAATCAAGCAGAAATTCTAGAGTTGAAAAGTGCAATTGACATATTGAAGAATGCATCAGAATATCTTAATAGTAGAATGGATCAAGGAGAAAAAAAGAATTAGTGAGCTTGAAGACAGGCTATTTGAAAATATGCAGAGAGAAAAAAGAATAAAAAGAATCAAAAGCAATGAGAAGATCTATAAGATCTAGAAAATAGTCTCAAAAAAGCAAATCTAAGAGTTACTGGCCTTAAAGAGGAGGTAGAGAAAGAAATAGGAATAGAAAGTTTATTCAAAGGAATAACATCAGAGAACTTCCCAAGCCTAGAGAAAGATAACAACATTCAGGTACAAGAAGGTTATGGAACATCAAGCAGATTTAACCCAAAGAACACTATCTCAAGGCATTTAATAATTAAACTCCCAAGGGATAAAGAACAAATTTTAAAAACAGCAAGAGAAAAGAAATAAATATACAATAGAACTCCAATACATCTAACAGCAAACTGCAGTGGAAAACTTACAGGCCAGGAGAAACTGGTATGACATATTTGAAGTGCTGAAAGAAAAATCTTTCATCCTAGAATAGTATATTTAGCAAAAATGTCCTTTAAGCATGAAGGAGAAATAAAGACCTTCCCAGACCAACAAAACCGAGGGATTTCATCAACATCAGACCTGTCCTACAAGAAATGCTAAAGGGTGGTCTTCAATCTGAAATGAAGGGATATTAATGAGCAAGAAGAAGTCATCTGAAGGTACAAAACTCACTGGTAATATTAAGGACACAGAAAAACACAGAATAGTATAACACTGTAGTTGTGGTGTGTAAACTTCTATCAACTTAAGTAGAAAGACTAAATGATGAACTAATAAAAAATAATAACTACATCAATTTTTCAAGACATGGACAGAACAGTAAGACATAAAGAGAAACAACAAAAAGTTAAAAAGTGGGGGGACAAAATTAAAGTGTAGCCCTTCTTTAGTTTTCTTTTTGTGTGTTTGTTTGCTTGTTTATGCAATCAGTTTTAAGTTATCACCAGCTTAAAATAATGGGCTGTAAGATAGTATTTGCAACCTTCATGGTAACTTCAAATTGGAAAACATACAATGATAAACAAAAAATGAAAAAGCAAGAAATTATATCTTACCACCAGAGAAAATCATCTCCACTTTAAGAATGACAGGAAGGAAAAAAGGAAAAGAAGACTGCAAAACAATGAGACAATAAATAACAAACTGGCAGGAGTAAGTCCAATGTTATCAACAGTAATAGTGAATGTAAATGGACTAAACTCTTCAATCTAAAGAAACAGAGTGGCTAAATGGATGAAAGAACAGGACCCAGTGATCTGTTGCCTACTAGAAACACACTCTACCTACAAAGATACACATAGACTGGAAAATAAAGGGAAGGAAAGAGATATTCCATGCAAATGGAGCCCAAGAAAGAGCAGGAGTAGTTATATTTATATTATAGAAAACAGATTTCAAGACAAAAACTGTAAGAAGAGCCAAGAAAGTAATTATATAATGATAAAGGGGTCCATTCAGCAAGAGCATATAATAAATGTAAGTATATATGCATCCAACACTGGAGCAAGCTACATGTATAAAGCAATTATTATTAGAGATAAAAAAAAAAGAGATAGACCCCCAACAAAATAACAGCTGGAGACTTCAACACCTCACTTTCCTCATTGGACAGATCTCCCAGAGAGAAAATCAACAATAAAAAAATTAGACTTAATGTGCACTATAGAACAAATAGACCTGATAGATATTTACAGAATGTTTCATCCAATGGCTGCAGAATACACATTTTTCTTCTCAGCATGTGGATCATTCTTAAGGATAGACCATATGCTAGGTCACAAAATAAGTCTTAAAATATTTAAAAAATTACAATAATATCAAGCATTTTCTCTGACCACAATGGAATAAAACCACAAATTAATAACAAGAGGAATTTTGGAAACTGTACAACCACATAGAAATTAAACAATATGCCCCTGAATGACCAGTGGGTCAATGAAGAAATTAAGAAGGAAATTGAAATTTTTTTTGAAACAAATGATAATAGAAACAGAACCTATAGGATACATCAAAAGCAGTACTAACAGGGAAATTTATAACTTTAAGTGCCTATATCAAAAAAGAAGAAAAACTTTAAATGAATAACCTAATGATACATCTTAAAGAACTAGAAAAGTGAGAGCAAACCAAACGCAAAAATTAGTAGAAGAAACGAGATAATAAAGATCAGAGCAGAAATAAATGAAATTGAAATGAAGAAAATCATACAAAATATCAGCCAGGCACAGTGGCTCATGCCTTGAATTTTACTGTAGCACTTTGGGAGGCCAAGGCAGGGGAATGGCTTGAGCTCAGGAGTTTAAGACCAGCCTAGGAAACATGGCAAAAACCCACCTCTACAAAAAGTACAAAAAATTAGTCAGGTGTGATGGCATACATACACATCTGACCAGCTACTCAGGAGGTTGAGGTGGGAGGATCACCTGAGCCCAGGAGGTCAAGGCTGCAGTGAGCTGTGATCATGCTACTGCACTCCAGCCCGGACAATATAGTGAGACTGTGTCTCAAAATGAAAAGGATCAGTGAAACAAAAAGCTGGTTTTTTGAAAAGATAAACAAAATTGACAAGTCTTTAGCTTAGACCAAGAAAAAAAGAGAGATGACTCAAATAAAATCAGAGATGAAAAAGGGGACATTACAACTGACACTGCGAAAGTCAAAGGATCATTAGTGGCTACTATGAGCAACTATATGCCAATAAATTGGAAAATCTAGAAGAAATGTACAAATTCCTAGACACAACAACCTACTAAGATTGAACCATGAAGAAATTCAAAACCTGAACTCACCAATAAAAAATAATGAGATCAAAGCTGCAATAAAAAATCTCCCAGTAAAGAAAACCCCAGGACCCAATGGCTTCACTGCTGAACTCTATTAAACATTTAAAGAAGTAATACCAATCCTACTCAAACTGTTCCAATAAATAGAGTAAGAGGGAATACTTCCAAACTCATTCTACAAGGCTAGTATTACCCTGATACCAAAACCAGACAAGGACACATCAAAGAAAGAAAACTATAGGCCAATATCTCTTATGAATATTGATGCAAAAATTCTCAACAAAATATCCAGCAAACAAAATTCAACAATACATTAAAAAGATCATTCATCATAACCAAGTGAGATTCATCCCAAGGATAAAAGGATGGTTCAACATATGCAAATCAATCAATGTGATACATCATATCACATTGTAGGACAAAAATCATATAATCATTTCACTTGATGCTGCAAAAGCATTGGATAAAGTTCCCCACCCCTTCATGATAAAAAAAAAAAAACCTCAAAGACCTGGGTATAGAAGGAACATACCTTAACATAATAAAAGCCACGTATGATAGACCCACAGTTGGGATCATATTAAATGGGGAATAACTGAAAGCTTTTCCTCTTAGATCTGGAACATGAGAAGGATGCCCACTTTTACCAGTGTTATTCAACATAATACTGGAAGTCTTAATTAGAGCAATCAGATAAGAGAAAGAAATAGAGCATCCAAGCTGAAAGGAATAAATCAAATTATCCTTCTTTCCAGAAGATATGATCTTATATCCAGAAAAAACTAAAGACTCCACCAAAAAACTATTAGGACGGATAAACAAAATTCAGTTAAATTTGCAGAATACAGAATAAACATACAAAATCAGTATCATTTCTACATGCCAATAGTGAACAATCTGAAAAAATACATCAAAAAAGTAATCCCATTTATAATAACCACAAACAAAATTAAATACCTAGGAATTAACTGAAAAGGTAAAAGATCTCTACAATGAAAACTCTAAGCAGGGTGTGGTGGCTCATGCCTATAATCCCAGCTCTTTGGGAGGCCAAGGCGGGTGGATCACTTGAGGCCAGGAATTCGAGACCAGCCTGGCCAGCATGGAGAAACCCTGGCCTTACTAAAAATATAAGAAAAAAAATCATTAGCCAGGCATGGTGGTGCATGCCTGTAATCTCAGCTACTCAGGAGGCTGAGGTGGGAGGATTGCTTGAGCCTGGGAGATGGAGGTTGCAGTGAGCCAAGATTGTGCCACTGCACACCAGCCTGGGTGACAGAGTGAGACCCTATCTCAGAAAAAAAAGAAAAGAAAAGAAAACTCTAAAACACTAATGAAAGAAATTGAAGAAGACACCCAAAAAATGGAAAGATATTCCATGTTTATGGATTGGAAGAATCAATAATGTTAAAATGTCCATACTACCCAAAGCAATCTGCAGATTTAATGCAATCCCTATCAAAATACCAAAGACATTCTTCACAAAAATAGAAAAAAAATCCTAAAATTTATATGGAATCATAAAATACCCAGAATAGCCAAAGCTATCCTGAGCAAAAAGAACAAAACTGGAAGAATCACATTACCTGACTTCAAATTACACCACAGAGCTATAGTAACAAAAATAGTACGGTACTAGCATAAAAACAGACACATAGACCAGTGGAACAGAAGAGAGAACCCAGAAACAAATTTACACACCTACAGTAAAACTCATTTTCAACAAAGTTGCCAAGAACAGACACTAGGAAAAAAGACAATTTGTTCAATAAATGGTACTGGAAAAACTGTATATCCACATGCAGATGAATGAAACCTGGTCACTATCTCCTTATACAAAAAAATCAAATCAAAATGGACTAAAGACTTGCATGTAAGACCTCAAACTATGAAACGACTCCACAAAAACATTGAAGAAACTAAACTGTACAAGACATTGGTCTGAGCAAACATTTCTTAAGCAATATCCCACAAGCACATGCAACCAAAGCAAAAATAGATAAATGGTATCACATCAAGTTAAAAAGCTTCTGCACAAAGGAAACAATCAACAAAGTGAAGAGACAACCCACAGAATGGGAGAAAATATTTGCAAACTACCTGTCTGACAAGGGATTAATAAGTATAATATATAAGGAGCTCAAATTATCCCATTAAAAATGGGACAAAGACCTGAATAGACATTTCTCAAAATAAGATATACAAATAGAAAACAAGTATATGAAAATTAACAAAGAGGTGAAAGAGCTCTGCAATGAAAACTGTAAAATACTAATGAAAAAAATTGAAGAACACACACAAAATTTGTATTTCTCTGATAATCATTGATTGTCAGAGAAATACAAGTCAAAACTACCTCTTCAGGTAGTAACAAATGCTGGTGAGGATGTAGAGAAAAGAGAACCCTTATACAGTGTTGGTGGAAATGTAAATTAGTACAACCACTATGATGAACAGTTTGAAGGTTCCTCAAAAAACTAAAAATAGAGCTACCATGTGATCCAGCAATCCTATTGCTAGGTATATACTCAAAAGAAATAAAGTCAGCATATCAAAGAGATGTCTGCACTCCCATGTTTGTTGCAGCACTTCACATTAGCCAAGATTTGGAATCAACCTAAGTGCCCATCAACAGATGAATGAATTTTGAAAAATGTGGAACTTACACATAACAGAGTACTACTCAGCCATAAAAAAGAATGAGATTCTGTCATTTGCAACAACATGGATGGAACTGGAGGTCATTAGCTCAAATGAAATAGGCCAGGCACAAAAAGACAAACATCACATATTCTCACTTATTTGTGGGATCTAAAAATCAAAACAATTGAACTCATGGAGACATAGAAGGATGGTTACCAGAGGCTGAGAAGGGCAGTGGGAGTGTGGGGAGATGTTGGGAAAGGTTAATGGGTACAAAAAATATATAATGAATGACTAAAACCTAGTATTTGATAGCATAACAGGATGATTGTACTCAATAATAATGTAATTACATATTTTTAATAACTAAAAGAATATAATTGGGTTGTTTGTAACACAAAAGATAAATGCTTGAGGGGAAGGATGTCTAATTTTACGTGATGTGATTATTACGCATTGCATGCATGTATCAAAGCATGTCATGTACCCTATAAATACATATACCTACTATAGATTCATGAAAATTTAAAATGAAAATTTATTATTATGACATACTATTAATTTGGCCTTGCTAATATTTTATTTTCATTTCTGTGTTTAAAAGTGAACTGTGCCTATAATTTTCTTTTCTTGTACTCTTTCTATTTGTTTTGGAACCAAGACTATACAACCCTCAAAAAATTTTAAGAGCTTTTTTTTGCATTTGAAATTTTGTAGAATTCATCCGTAACACCATCTTGGCCTGAGGCTTTAGAAAAAGGGAGAACTTTGATTTTTCATTACGATTTCTTTTTTTTTTTTTTTTTGGAGATAGAGCCTGGTTCTGTCACCCAGGCTGGAATGCAGTGGCATGATCTCTGATCTCTGTTCACTGGAAGCTCTGCCTCCTGGGCAGCACATGCCTCCACACCCGGCTATTTTTTATTTTTTATTTTTTTTGTACTTTAGTAGAGACAGGGTTTCACCATGTTGGCCAGGCTGGCCTCAAATTCCTGAGCTCAGCAATCCGCCCGCCTAGGCCTCCCAAAGTGCTAGGATTACAGGCATGAGCCACCATGCCCAGCCTACAATTTCTTTAGTTCTTATCAGTTAATTCAAGTTTACATTTCCTTTTGTGCTAATTTTAACATTTTATATTTTTCTAAAAATTGTGCATTTCATCTGTTTTCAAATAACGATGCTTATTTTGAAAACTTCAAATTAGTACATAGTTTTTCGAAATATTAATTCTGTAAATATTTCTTGTGTTGAAAGTAATTTCCCTTTTTCTTTTCTGTAATTGGTTATTTGTATTTTTTCTCTTCTTTGTGATTAATCTTTCCAGAGATCTATCATTGATATTTTCAAAGAACTGACATCAATTTGATTCATTTAAATGTTTCATTGTTCTTTATTATATTGATTTCTTCCTTGAGCCTTATTATATATATCCTTTGTTCTTTGTCTTTTTAAACTTCTTAAGTTTAATAATTTGCTTTCAGCCTCTTAACTTTCTAATTCCTTAAGTTTATGCTTAATTTATTTGCTTTTGACTTCTCTTGTTTCCTGTTAAATGTATTTAAAGCTATAACATTTTTTCTAAGTATTACTTTAGTTGTTTTCACAAATTTTGGCATCGACTATTTTCAAGGCTAATTCATGTCTAAGTATTTCGTGTTTACCTTAAGATTTTTGAAAGTGGTGCTAATTTTAGCCCAAATGTCTAGGCATATGGAAATTTTAACATATGAGATTACTAGTTTATAGACATGTGAGATTTTTATAGAGTTTCTTTAGGTATTGGTTTCTAATTTGATTGACGAGAGTCAGATAATAATGTGTATGATATTGATCTTTTGGAATTTATTGAAGTTTTCTTTGCATGATTAATGTTTGTAAAGTGTGGAGGGGCTTCAAGATGGCTGACTAGAAGCATTTCATGTGCTCTTCCTCCCCTTAGAAGAACCAATACAGTGTGTAGACAATCACGTTTCAAATACATTATCCAAGAAAGAACACCAGAATTCAAAAGAAAAGTGACAGGAAACACTGAAAACAAAGACTTAGAAGAAAGAGAGGCAGCCTGCTTGACTGGGATCAGCTGGGAGCCAGGAGTGACTTCCCAACATGGGGAAAGGGCTAAGTGAGAGACTTTCAGCAGCTCACATCCCCACCATGGAATTATGCAAATCTGACCACGCTGGATCCTCCCAACCCCTGGGAATAACAAAGGGAGCTGCTGGGAGACTGTGACACAGAACTGCTTCAGGGAGGGAGCTCATGCTGTGTCCCATACACTTTCTGAGACCTATGCAGGTATTGCAAGGTGTCATTTTTAAGTGCAGCCTTTCACAAACTGCGGGCTTTCCTAGGGCCCAGCAGCACTGGGACTGAGGTGTTAGGGAAACTTGGGCTGTTGCTGTTGGGACTGCAACACAAGCTAGGAATGGGCTCCCACACCTGGGGCTGACAAGGAAGCAGTATATGGGCTGCAGCTGCCAGTGCTGGGAAGTGAGCGCCATCAGGACTGACACTGGGATGTGAGCTGGGCCCACGTTGCTTCTGGGATTCATTGCAAGTTGGGTGGGAGCTCCTGCAGCCAGGCTGAGGTGTGAGCTAGGTGCAGGCTACCACCACGACTGGTGGCCATGCCTCATCAGAATTGGGCATGAGAGGGATGCATATTACCCACTGGTTTAGGCTGTGGCCACTGAGGCTGGCTTCACAATGGCAGGGACTCAATGCAGCTGCTACCATCCCTCACCCAAGCGGTCCACCTGGGATCTGAGGATGCCTCTGCTCACCATGGCTGGCACCCGCTCTCCTCATTTGGAGGCCTGAGCATAAGCCTGCCCAACCCGGCTTTATCCCCAATGCTAAAGCACATAGCTTGGGGTCCTGGGGATTTCTCAACCCAATCCACCATATGGATTGCCTTAACACTCCTCCCAGGGGCCTGAGGTTTGGCCTAAATACCCAATCACTACAACCTCAGCTGACACCTACCTGTCAGCACCACACGCAGGTCTAGAGACTGGCCATTCCAGCACACTGCAGACACCGCCAAAACATATACACACTGCTTGGGACCCAGGGAATCATCCTATCACAGTTATTGCCATTGCCTTTGCCACACTGGCTACCTCAAGGCCTAAGAACCAACTCATCCACCCACTCCACTGCTGCTACTACTAGCATCCCAGAAAGCCACCTTTAGGCCCAAGAATTGGCCTGTAGATAACAAACAAACCAACACAGATGCCAGCATGCACCACCCTAGGGTACAAGGATACACGTACTCACCCCATCACTGCTACGACTAGGGCCTGAAGACTGGCCCACCTGACATTCCAGTCCCAAACACAACTTTGCCACAGCCTCCACTAATAACTGCACCCTAACATAATAAGGAAATCACAGATACCAATAATGTTGTTTACAACCAAAGAAATCATATGGAGACTACACTACTACACACCACAGAATCAAAGCTAAGGTGCCCTACTCAACCAACAACATCTTCTGGAAAAAGATTTTTCCCTATGAAAGTAAATTTAAAAATAGAAGTAACTGTTACAGTCACCAGATGCACAGAACAAGATAAGGACACATTGAAAACCAGGGAACATTGAAAACCAGGGAAATATTGAAAACCAGGGAAATATTACACCTCTAAAAGAACACAATAATTTTCCAGCAGAAGATACTAATCAAAAAGAAATTCTTGGCCAGGTGTGGTGGCTCATGCCTGTAATCCCAGCACTTTGGGAGGCTGAGGCAGGTGGATCACTTGAGGTCAGGAGTCTGAGACCAGCCTGGCCAACATGGTAAAACATTGTCCCTACTAAAAGTACAAAAATTAGCTAGGCATGGTGGCGCACACCTGTAATCCCAGCTACTTGGGAGGCTGAGGCACAGGAATCGCTTGAACCCGGGAAGCATAGGCTTCAGTGAGCTGAGATAACGCCACTGTGCTCCAGCCTGAGTGACAGAGCGAGACTGTGGCAAAGAAAAACAAAGAAAGAAAGAAGAAAGAAAGAAAGAAAGAAAGAGAAAAGAAATTCTTGAAAGCCAAGATTAAAAATTCAAACTATTGATTTTAAAGAAGCTAGATGAGATAGATACAAGATAATTCTGAAAAATAATGCAGGAAAATTAGAAAAACAATTCAGGATATGGATGAGAAATTTACCAAAGAGGTAGATATTTAAAAAAAAAATTCTGGAACCAAAGAATTCATTGAAGGAAATAAAAAATATATTTGAAAGCGGCAATAACAAAATAGGTAGGAAGAAAGAATCTCAGAACTTGAAGACAGGTCTTTTGAAATAATCCAGACAAAAAAAAAAACGATTTTTAAAAAATGAACAAAGTTTTCATAACATTTGAGGCAGCATAAAGCAATTATATTTAAGAATTATTGGATTCCTCAATAGGGAAGAGAGAAAAAAAGGATTAGAAAAACTGTTTCATGAAATAATAGATGACTCCCAAGTCTAGCAAGATATTTAGACATCCAGATACAGAAGCTTGACAATCCCCAAGCAGATAGGATGCAATAAGATCTTCTCCATAGTACATCATAGTCAGACTGTCTAAAGTCATAGATAAAGACTGAATCCTAAAAACAGCAAGAGAAAGGTATCTAGTCAACTATAAAGGAAACCTCATCAGAGTAACAGTAAATTTTTCAGCAGAAACATCACAAGTCAGAAGAGAATGGGAAAATATATTCAGTGTTGAAAGACAAATACTGTCAGCCAAGAATACTATAGTCAGCAAAATTATTCATCATAAATGGAGAAAGAAAGTCTTTCCCAAATATGCAAATGCTGGGAAAATTTATAACCACTGAGCCAGACTTATGAGAAATGTTTATGAGAGTCTTAAACCTGGAAGTGAAAAGATGACTTTCACCATCATGAAATCACATGAAACTATAAAACTCACTGGTAAAGCAATCACAAGAAGAAAGAAGACTGAAATGATACCACCACTACAGAAATCTACCAAACCACAACAACAAACAATAAAGGAAAAATTAAGTAGCAAAAAATATATAAAACAACCAGAAAATAATTAACAATATGATAGGAACAAAACCTCACATATGAATAACAACCTTGAATATAAATGGATTAAATACTCCACTTAAAATTATAGAATGGCTATATGTATTTTTTTAAGTGATCCAATTATTTGTTGCTTACAAGAAATCCACCTTGCTAGTAAAGACACATATACAAAAGTAAAGGAATGGAAAAAGATATTCTATGCAAATGAAAACCAAAAGCAAGCAGGAGTAGCTTAACATAAATCAGATAAAATAGACTTTAAGTCAAAAATAGTTTTAAAAAAAGACAAAGGAGGTCATTATGTAATGATAAAGGGATCAATCCAGCTAGTAGATATAAAAATGCACTCAACACTGGAGCATCCAGATTCATAAGGCAGACATTACTAGATCTAAAGAGAGAGATAGACTGCAATACAATAATAGTGGGGGACTTCAACACCTCATTCTCAGAATTAGACAGATCATCTAAACAGAAAATCAAAAAACAAATATTGGATCTAAGCTAGTCTTTAGAACAAATGAATGTGATAGACATTTACAGAACATCCTATTCAACAACTGCAGAATATACATTTTTTTTAATTAGCACATAAAACACTCTTCGGGATAGATCATATGTTAGGCCACAAAACAATTCTCAACAATTTTTTTAAAAAATCAAAATTATAACAAATATCTTTCAGACCACATGGAATAGAACTAGAAATCAATGGAAAGAGAAACTATGGAAACTATGTAAATACATAAAAATTACACAGTGTACTCATGAACAACCATTGTGTCAACAAAGAAATTAAGATGAGTATCAAAACACTTTTTGAAACAAATGAAAAGGGAAACATAACATACCAAAACCTGTAGGATACAGTAAAAGCAGTGCTAAGAGGGAAATTTATACCAATAAATGTTTATATCAAGAAAGTAGATAGATTACAAATTAACAATTTAACAATGTTTAAAGAAACAAGCCAAACCCAGAATTAGCAGAATAAAAGAAATAATAAAGATCAGAGCGTAATTAAATGAAATAAAGACTAAAAAATAATACAAAGCATCAATAAAACTAAAAGCTGTTTCTTTGAAAAGGTAAACAAAATAAACTGGTAGCTAGACTAACCAAGAAGACAGAAGATCCAAATAAACAAAATCAGAAATGAAAAGAAGACATTACAATTGATACCACAGAAATATAAAAGATTGTCAGAGACTATTGTGAACAACTATACACTAAAAACCTAAAGAAAATGAACAAATTCCTGGAAACATACAAGCTACCAAGACTGAATCAAGAAGAAATTAAAAACCTGAAAGAACCAATAATGAGTAGTGAGATTGAATCAGTAATAAGAAGTATTCCAATATAGAAAAACCTAGGACTGGATGAATTCTCAGCTGAATTCTACCAAATGTAGAAAGAACTAATCCCAATCCTCCTGAAATTATTCCAAAAAAAATTCAAAGGAAATTCTTCCTAACTAATTCTACAAAGCCAGCATCATCCTCATATGAAAACCAGACAAGGACACAACAAAAAAAGAAAACTACAAGCCAATATTCCTGATGAACATAGATGCAAAAATCCTGAACAAAATACTAGCAAACTGAATCCAATAGCACATCAAAAAGATAATACATCATGATCAAGAAGGATTTATACCAGGAATGCAAGAATGGTTCAACATATACGACTCAATAAATGTGATACATCACATCTACAGAATGAAAAACAAAAAACATATGATCATTTCAGTAGACGAAGAAAAAGCATTTGATAGAATTCAACATCACTTCATGGTAAAAGCTCTCAACAAACTAGGCATAGAAGGAACGTCTGTCAACATAATAAAGACCATATAGGATAAACTCATGGCTAACATTATACTGAATGAGGAAAAGTTGAAAGCCCTTCCTCTAAGAACAAAACAAGGATGTCCACTTCCAGCACTCCAATTCAACATAGTTCTAGAAGTCCAAGCCTTAGCAATCAGGCAAGTGAAAGAAATAAAAGGCATCCAAAGTAAAAAAGTCGAAGTTTAATTGTTCTTCTTTGCTGATAATGTGATCTTATATCTAGAAAAACCTAAAGACTTTACCAAAAAAACTCTTAGATTTGATAAATGAGTTCACCAAAGTGGCAGGATACAAAATCAATGTACAAGAATTAGTAATGTTTTGATACATCAATAATGATCAAGCTGAGAAAGAAATCAAGAAGGCAGTGCTGTTTACAATAGCTACAAAAAATTAAAACACCTAGGAATATATTTAACCAAGGAAGTGAAAGATCTCTACAAGAAAAACTACAAAAACACTGATGAAAGAAATTAAAGATGACACAAACAAATGAAAAAATATTCATGCTTGTGAATCAGAAGAATTAATATCCTTAAAATGACCATATTGCCCAAAGCAATCTACAGATTCAATGCAATCCCTACCAAAATGCTAGTATCACCCCTCACAGAATTAGAAAAAGACAATTCTAAAATGCATATGAAACCAAAACATAGCCCTAATATCCATAGCAATACTAATCAAAAAAGATCAAAGCTTGAGGCATCACATTATCTGACTTCAAAATATATTAGAAGGCTATAGTAACCAAAACAGTATGATATTGGTATAAAAATAGACACATGGATCAACGGAACAGAATACAGAACCCAGAAATAAAGCTACGTATTTATAGCCAGTTGATCTTGGACAAAAGCAACAAAGGCTTACATTGGGGAAAGGACACCCTCTTCAATAAATGGTGCTGGGAAAATGAGATAGCCACATGCAGAAGAATGAGACTGTATCCCTATTTCTGACATATACAGAAATCAACTCAAAATAGATTAAAGACTTAAACATCAGGCCTGAAACTATAAACATACAAAAAGAAAACCTAGGCAAAACTCTTCTGAACATTAGTTGAGGCAAAAAATTTATGACTAAGACCTTAAAAGCCCAGGCAACAAAAACAGACAAATGGGATGTAATTAAGCTAAAATGCTTCTGCACAGCAAAAGAAATAATCAACAGATAGAAGAAACAACCTGTTGAGTGGGAAAAAAATCATTTCAAATATTTTCCAATATTAGGGGACTAGTATCCAGAATGTACAAGGAACTCAACAAAAAAATAATAATCCCATTAAAAAAAGGGAAAAGGACATGAATAGACAATTCTCAAAGGAAGACTTTCAAATGGCCAACATTTGAAAAAATGCTCAACATCACTAATCATCAGAGAAATGCAAACCAAAACCACAATGAGATATTCATCTTACCCCAATCAGAATGACTACTATTTAAAAGGCAAAAAATAACAGACGTTGGTGAGGATGCAGAGGAAAGAGAACACTCATACACTGCTGGTGGGAATACAGCCACTCTGGAAAACAATATGGAGATTTCTCAAGAAACTAAACATAGAATTACCATTCAATCCAGCAATCCCACAACTAAGTATCTACCCAAAGGAAAATAAATCAGTATATGAAAGGGATAACTGCACTGTCTTGTTTATTTACAACACATTCAAAATAACAAAGGTATGAAATTAACCTAAGTGTTCATCAACAGATGGTTGGATTAAAAAGTGAGGTGCATATGTACACAATGGAATACTATTAAGCCATAAAAAGAATGAAATCATGTCATTTGAAGTAATATGGATGGAACTAGAGGTCATTATATTAAGTGAAATAATTCAGGCACAAAGAAACAAACATCACATGTTCTCACTTATATGTGGGAACTAAAAAATTGTATCACATGGCAGTAAAGAGTAAAAAGATAGAAGACAGAGACTGGGAAAGTTGAGTGGGATGTAGTGGGGAGAATGAAGAGAAGTGAGTTAAAAGGTATAAACACACAGTTACATAAAAAAAATAAATTCAATGTTTGGTAGCAGAGTAGAGTGATTATAGTTAACAAAAATGCATTGTATTTGGGTGACAGATACCCTGAATATCCTGACTTGATCACTACACATTATATACATGTAACAACTTTTACATGTACCCCATACATTTTTATAAATTAAAAAATGATAATTAAAAATTTTGTAAAGGTTCCATGTGTGCTTAAAAATAGCTGTATTTTCCTTTTGTTGAGTATTAACTAAATGGAGAAAAAGAATGTGTGTCTATGCGTATGCATATGCAATTGAGAGGTGACAGCGTGCTGGCAGCCCTCATAGCCCTCGCTCACTCTTGGCACCTCCTTGGCCTTGGCACCCACTCTGCCCACACTTGAGGAGCCCTTCAGCCCACCGCTGCACTGTGGGAGCCCCTTTCTGGGCTGGCCAAGGCCGGAGCCGGCTCCCTCAGCTTGTGGGGAGGTGTGGAGGGAGAAGCGCGGCGGGAACCGGGGCTGCGGGCCACACTTGCAGGCCAGCGCGAGTTCCAGGTGGGCGTGGGCTAGGCAGGCCCTGCACTCGGAGCGGCCAGCTGGCCCACTGCCCCAGGCAGTGAGGGGCTTAGCACCTGGGCCAGCAGCTGCTGTGCTCCACTTCTCGCCAGGTCTTAGCTGCCTCCCCACAGGGCAGGGCTCGGGACCTGCAGCCTGCCATGCCTGAACCTCCCCCGGCCCGCCGTGGGCTCCTGCACGGCCCGAGCCTCCCCGACTAGTGCCGACCCTGCTTCACAGTGCCCAGTCCCATCGACCGCCCAAGGGCTGAGAAGTGCGGGCCCACGGCGTGGGACTGGCAGGCACCTCCACCTGTGGCCCCGGTGCAGGATCCACTGGGTGAAGCCAGCTGGGCTCCTGAGTCTGGTGGGGACTTGGAGAAGCTTTATGTCTAGCTAAGGGATTGTAAATACACCAATCGGCACTCTGTATCTAGCTCAAGGTTTGTAAACACACCAATCAGCCCCCTGTGTCTAGCTCAGGGTTTGTGAATGCACCAATCCACACTCTGTATCTAGCTACTGTGGTGGGGACTTGGAGAACCTATGTGTTGATACTCCATATCTAGCTAATCTAGCGGGGACATGGAGAACTTTTGTGTCTAGCTCAGAGATTGTAAACGCACCAATCAGCACCCTGTCAAAACGGACCAATCAGCTCTCTGTAAAATGGACCAATCAGCTAATCAGCTCTCTGTAAAATGGACCAGTCAGCAGGATGTGGGTGGGGCCAGATAAGAGAATAAAAGCAGGCTGCCCCAGTCAGCAGGGACAATTTGCTCAGGTCCCCTTCCACGCTGTGGAAGCTTTGTTCTTTTGCTCTTTGCAATAAATTTTGGTGTTGCTCACTCTTTGGGTCCACACTGCCTTTATGAGCTGTAACACTCACCACGAAGGTCTGCAGCTTCACTCCTGAAGCCAGCGAGACCACGAACCCACCAGAAGGAAGAAACTCCGAACACATCCGAGCATCAGAAGGAACAAACTCTGGACACGCTGCTTTTAAGAACTGTGACACTCACCGCTAGGGTCCGCGGCTTCATTCTCGAAGTTGGTGAGGCCAAGAACCCACCAATTCTGGACACACAATGTCTAAAGATCATTAATTGTATTATTCACATGTTCTAAAGCTCTGATTATTTTTTGTGTGTTTGATCTATCATTTTTGCGAGGGAAATATTAACACTTCCAATTATAATAGTTGACTTAGTAATTCTCCCTAAACTTTTTCAAGTTGTTGCATAGTATTTCTTGAGGTTATATAGTTTACTTCATAGGTATTTATGTGGTTTATTAATGTTTACATGTTATTACTCCATATTCTTTTATCCAAGATACATCCTCTTTGTGTCTTATGACATATTTTACCTTGAATTCTGCTTTTTCAGATATTATAATACCACTCCATCTAATTTGATTCATGTTTTATCTAATATAGCTTATTACATCCTTTTATTTTCAAATTTTTGATATCCTATTTCAGTGTGTTTCTTACAGACTGCAAATTGTTATAATCTTTTTATTATTCTGAAATTCTCTCTTTATATTGATAAAATTAAACCATTTGTATTCATTATAATAATTTTAATACTATAACATTTCTGCCTTATTTTATGTTTTCAATTTATTGTATTTTTTATGATGTGTGCTTCTTTTCTCTTTTCTCGCCTTTTCTCCTTTCTTTAAAAAGTACACATTCTTTTTTTAAAATATAAATTTTTTAGGTTTATGATGTTTGACTTTAAACTAAGGCCCATTTTGTGTTTATTTCTATTAATTTCCCAATTACTCGTATATCTCAATATCCTTTGAGACATCATTAGCTTCTTTCATTTCTTATTTTTAAATGCTGCAGTGCTCCAAGACCCAGTCCTCATTCTTCTCCATCCTTACTCAGTTCCTAGGAAATCCTATTCAGTCCAATGGCTTTAAATATTAATTATATACTGATGAATTCCACATCGTTACCAGGCCTCCAAACCTGTGTATACAACTTCTTCTTCAGTATCTCTGCTTTAATGTTCACTGTGGACCTCAAATTTAACCTGCCCAAAGTAGAAGGTTCATTTACTTCAAGGTTGTATAATTGTGGTCTCCTACAGTATCTCCAAAATCCTAGGGGTTTTCTTTGGTTTCTCGTTGTCTACTACTTCACATTAAAATCTTCAACAAGACTACCATCTTTATGTTAAATTATATTCCCAATCTGCCCACTTTTGTCACCTCCACAGCTATCACCCTCGTCCATATCACTATCATCTCTCACCTGGATCATTGTAATTACCTACTAACTGTCCTCACTGTCACCTCATTTCCACTATTGCCTAACACCCCCCAACCGCCACCTCCATAATATATTTATCTCCACAAAGATCTATTTTTAACAGAGAAAATAACACTGCTCCCATACTCAGAGTCTTCTGCTGACTTCCCATCACGATTACATCCAAACTCCTTACCATAGCCTGTTAGGAAAGTGGACATATAATTTATCCATCCAAACCAGGCAGTGTTGAGACTGAAAGAGGCTCTATTAGTAAAGACACCGGGAACAATGACAACTTTACAACTTGATTCCTCCCCTACTCCCTCAGCTCCAACATGCTGCTCTGTTTAATCGTTCCCACAACAAGGTCTTTCATGAGCAAAAATTCAACAAGGATGTATCAAATGCGGAGTATGTGAGGATGCAACAGTGAACACAACAAAGTTTCTCATTTCATGGAGTTCACATTCTAAAAGCTTCTTCCATTTGGAAGACATCCTCCAGATTCTCACACAGCTTAAGCATTCATATTATCCAAATATCTGGTCAAATGTCCCTTTTTAGAAAGATATTCCCAGGATATCCTGCTGCAATAGCCTGACTAACCATCCCATCAATCTCTATCACTAACCCTGATTTATGCTTTTCATGTTTCACCTGAAATTATATTATTCCATTAATTGTTTTCTTATAGCCCGTGTACTATTAATAGTTTGTTCTTGTACTACTATAAAGAAATATGCGAGACTGGGTAATTTACAAAGAAAAGAGGTTTAATTGACTCACAGTTCTGCAGGCTGTACAGGTTGGGGAGGCCTTAGGAAACTTTCAATCATGGCGGAAGGTGAAGGAGAACCAGGCACATCTTACATGGCTGGAGTAGGAGGGAAGAGAGATAGGGGGAGATGCCACACACTTTTAAACAACCAGATCTCCTGAGAACTCACTCACTATCATGAGAACAGCAAGGGGGAAATCCACCTCCATGATCAAATCCTCTCCCACCAGGCCCTACCTCCAATATAGGGGGTTATAATTCAAATGAGATTTGGGTGGGGACACAAATCCAAACCATACCAGCCTGTCTGTCCCTTAGAATGTAAGCTTCAAGAGGACAAGGATGTGGCCTGCCTTAGTCACTGCTGTATCCCCAGCTCCTAGAACATTCCTAAACCATCAATATGTATTGAATAAATAAATAATGAATAGTTCATTGGGGACATTAAATTTATATGAAACTTTCCCTTTGGGAACATTTAACTATGTTATTCAATAATATTTAATAACAGCCAATTCCCCAGAGGTATCTACAGAGAATATCTCTATCACAATCATTTTTCTTGAAACAACTTTTTCCATGCATTCATTTCATATAAATGGCTGTTCTCTCTGCACTGAAAGTTGAACAAGACAAATAGAATTCACGTATAAATCTGAATTCTCTTAGCATCGCTGAAACCCAGACGAAAAGCACATGTGTGAAGAAGCTGGTGAGGCTTTCCCTTTCATGGGTCTTCTATGGCATATATTTATCCACCAGTCTCCTGAATGAAAGGCTGCACTTTTTAAATTCCAAACTAAGCACTTCAAAGGAAGAGCCTCCTGCTTTCCTAAATATGCTTAGTGCAAAAGATTGCATTGCAAGGGCTATCTGGGGGCATTTCTACCTGTGGCCAAAATCCAAATGTCTTGAGGTTTTTTTTTTTTTTTTCAGATTATTGTTTATATGCTTCAGATTGTTTATATGCTGCATATATGTTTATATGCAGATAAGCATATGAGAGAGAATGGGCTATAATTATTAAATAATGAAAACAATTTTTCCACACAACTTATGAATATCATCCTCATGAAGATTGGCTAATCAAATGTTTCTCCCTGCATTCTGCCAAGAATTTAATTAAAAATGGCTTTGATGGTGTGTATCCAAGGAAAACTAATTCCTGGTTTTAACTAAGGAATAAATGAATACTTAAAGCAGGTTGCTATGATGGACCAGGAGTGCACAAGTAGAGTTTTGTTTTGTTTTGTTTTGTTTTTTGTTTTTGTTTTTGTTTTTTTGAGATGGAGTTTTGCTTTTGTTGCCCAGGCTGGAGTGCAATGGCACAGTCTCGACTCACTGCAACCTCCACCTCCTGGGTTCAAGCGATTCTCTTGCCTCAGCCTTCCAAGTAGCTGAGATTACAGGCGCCCACCACCATGCCCAGCTAATGTTTTTTGTATTTTTAGTAGAGACAGGGTTTCACTATGTTGGCCAGGCTGGTCTCGAACCCCTGGCCTTAGGTAATCCACCTGCCTCGGCCTCCCAAAGTGCTGGGATTACAGGCATGAGCCACTGCACCCAGCCACAAGTAGGATTTTGACACATTGAACTGGTTTGCATGCCAAATCTAGTCAATGGCTTAAATAAGTTGTTGAGAAAGATGTTTCTTTGGTGCAAAGAATACAGAATAAGAAAAGTGAAAATATTTGATTCAACAAACTTTTTGAGAGTTACCTATCAAATACTCCATGGAAAGCAATACTGCTCAGACCACTACAGTCGCCTTGCATTAAGCATCTCATGATCTCCATTTCAATCATAATACTTCTTCAGATGAATTTTATTCATGTATTTCATTCCACTCTTACCTGATTCCCTATAGTGTCTTTGTATTATTGCCTTGGACTGCAGCTATGCTTTGGTGGCAAGAATGTAGCCTGTGTTCAAGATCAACTTGAACAGGTTAAACTTTTCAATTGGCTGCATAAAGTTTGGCAGGCACTTAATCTGTCTCAGTTTGCTCAGTTTGTTACACCACAAAATGCAGCTAGTGATACCTACCTATTGGGTTGCTATGAGGGGTGAGTGTGACCATATATGGGAGTATTTCTCAATGATCAATGGCATAGGCAAGACCAGAATCAGGGTGAGATGAATGAGAAGCAACATTTAAGAGGACACCAAAAAACTACCATCAGGATAAATATTTTAATAAAATATGTTGCAGAAATCTAAATCAATGGAAAAAATCCATGATGAACAAAATACCAAAAATTCAGGCTCTGGATATGAGAATATGAGAGATATAACAGTATGTTTGATAGAGGTATAACAGACAAACATTTGACCAGTGGTCTTTCTTGCCACGTCATACGGTTTTAATCCTGTCCTTTACTTCTCAGCAGCTGGCTTCAGAGCATCCATCAGTGTCTGCCTCCTCACTATCCAGCCAGCTGGGAGCTTTTTTCTCCTTGCTATTTGCTTAAATTCTTGCTTTCTCTTCCTTGGAGTACATAGTTGCCTTTCTGACAATTTTCAACTCTTACTCTTCAAGTTCCTTTATTGTCCTGCTAGGGGTGCTCCAGTTCTTTGGAAAAACTCTCTTTTTAGCTCAGGATTTGGTGCCAAGAGTATTTTAGCCTTGTTTTTTCTGATGTTGGACTCCTGCATCAAATGCTGGCTCTTCCTCAAGATCTCAAGTTCAAGTAATGTTGCAAAAAGTGTGCACTCTCAAGTGAGCTGTTCACACAGAGTTCCATTTACTGGTCCATCTAGGTGACAAGCCAATACATACAACCTACAGATTTCATGGAAACACAAAGGCAACCAATGTCTGATTATCAGTTACATGAAGCAAGTTTAGAAGACTAGGTGATATGTCCCTGAGAGAGAGACTCTTCTCTCTGTCACTCAGGGAAGGACTCTCTTCTTCTGTTGCAAGCATGGGGCATTGATTGATTTATTAATTCATTGATTTTTCTTATCACCATCATCAGATCCCTATTTCTACCAATAATTACTACCCTTTACTGGTTATTTACTATGTGCTAGTTGCTGTGCATACATTGTTTCATTCAATCCTTGTAGCATGCTTTTGGAGTAGGAATTATTAACTTATTTAAGGATGAGGAAACCCAATCTTAGAGATGCTCTTATAGCTATCAATAATAAATTCTCTTATGTATTCACTCTACAAATATTTATAAAGTTCCTTAAATAATTGAGCTTCTGTGCTAGTATCTTTGGAAACTAAAATAGACTGGCTGAGTGCTATGGTTTGAATGCTTGAGTCGTTCCAAAATTCATGTTGAAACATAATCCCTAATGCAACAGTATTAAGAAATAGGGCATTTAGAAGGTTATTCGGCCATGAGAAATTCACCCCCTTGAATGAATTGGTGCCTTATAAAAGGGCTTGAGTGGGCACAGGCACAGCATTCCTCCCCTGTGGAGGAAGAAGTGTCCAAGGTGCCATCTTGGAAGAAGAGACGGGGACCTCACCAGACACTGAACCTGCTGGTGCCTTGATCTTGGACTTGCCAGCCTCCAGAACTGTGAGAAATACATTTCTATTATCTATAAATTACCCAGTCTAAAATAACGTATTTTGTTAACAGCAATATATATAGACTAAGAAACTGAGGTAAGCAGAAAAGGGATTTATAAAAGGATATTGAGTAGCTCGCAGAATCCCAGAGAGAAGAGATGCCCACAGAAAAAAGCCTAGAGTCACATCAGAGACCCAATCTGGTGAGGAACTTGTCACCACTGACTCCACTGTCAGGGGTGCTGGAATATGCTATCAGCACTGTCACCACTAGTCCCCCTGGGACTTGTTCCTGCTACACTGCCACCGCCAATAGAGAGCCTCTTGGATGTCCTTGCTGCTTTGCAACATTAGTTCTCCATTCAAAACCTAACCTGGGGCACCTTTTGGAAAACTATAAGTCACACATCCACACCCTAACTACAAGGAAGACTGGGAATATGAGGATCTAGAAGCTTCTACAGAAAGAGGTGATTTGGATCTCCAACAGAGACTCAATTTTTTAAATGTAGGAAGGAACTTCAGGTGCTGGCACATCCAAAAGAATCACAGGTAACTGCTACATTGAGTCCTTGCCCTTCAGGCACTTATAAATGAACAGGGCAGAAGACGCACACCAATGACCACAGTATGTAAGAAATGCCACCAAAGATGAGGACAAAAAAAAATCCTTCTTGGCAGGAGGTAGAGGATGCATTCTCACTGGAGATAACAGGACAAATTCAAAGAAGGGATCACACTTCTACTGAGTCTTACAAAGTGGTAGAATTTGATAGATTATGATGCTGAGTGGGTCAAATAGGAAAAACAATTCAAAGAACAAGATACCCAAGCAAAAATGTACAAGGTTTATTGGCAAGGATGAGTACTCACATTGTGCTGAGTAGAGCAGAGGGTCTTCGGTGTGATTTAGGTGTGAAATGACCAAGGCTTTTGGCCATGGTGAAGGGGAAGAAGGAATAGACTCAGCAGTAATTATGAGGGAAAGATCAACTGGGCTTACTCCTCCTTCTAGATCTTGTTATGTTTATACTTCCTCATTTGTGTCTATGATTGTCTGAGTAACAACTGTCTCCTCTATCAGATAGGAACCTTCATAAGCAGGGACAGTGCCTGCTATTTCTCCCCATCATATACCTGGTGGCTTGCCTAGTAATGGCTGCACTGAAGGAGCTCAGTAGATACTTATTGAAGGGAAGACAGATTGATAAACAAGAAGATTGATATACAGTTAGAGAAAAGGGAGTGAGGAGAGAAGAGATCATTCTGAGATCTTTTAGACATGTTGAATTTGAGATTCAAAAGAGATATCTTAGGGGACATTTTTCAAGTGGATCTTTGGGGAAAAAGGGATTTCTAGACTACTATAAAATTGGGTAGGTAAGTCTGTTCTGCATATGTGTATAGTGGCTAACACATCTCAAGTATGTGTTTCCATAATGACATATTACATATGCAGTGGAGAAAACTGGCTTTGGGAAAAAAGTGATATTTGAAGATGGTTCTTCATTTCACATTGCTTGTGCCACTACTCATACATTCCTCTGACTTGTACAAATATTCAACACATTACCATGTGATCTAAATAGAGAGACAGATCTCTGAGGAGTTTCGTCAAGCCACCTGTCCTCTTACAGTTGCAGTATGAAACTGAGTAAGAGTGAACATCCAATCCACATTGGGAGAAGAAAATAATTTATGTCAAAGATGCAGTCTCCAGGTTCCCTTGGGTTCACTGTATATTCATAAGGGGGCTCCCCCCTACCCAGTATACATGTGAAAGTGTTCCTTGGTCCTATGCCATAATTCATATCAAGAGCTGATTAATTTTTCACAGTAAGCCTTTTAGTGTATATGGGTTTTTTTTTTTTTCAGTCTTGCTCTTTGGGGGTCAAGTGACCCAAGAAGGGTCTGGTGGCTAATATAGTGCAGGATTTAAGGAATTACACAAGTGCTGGAATGTTTCCACCAAGCTTCCTTGGTAACAGCGGCCAGGTGATAGGGAACATTTTATAAATTAAGCCGCTTTTGCCAGAAAAGGAAGTAGAACGGCCACTTCATTATAGTTAACTGTTTCTCTCCCAATAATAAGAAAAGTGAATGATATATGTCCTCTGTGTCTTGCCCAAACTCAGCTAAAAATAATAACTAATTCTGGGTCACACGGATCTCAGAAGAAACTAAATTATCCAGATTAGCAAATATAAACTGTGTTTGAAAAGGAAAAAGACAGGTAGTAGACATTTGTGGCTTTGTGCTTCCCGGAAGCCCTTATTTTGGTAATAGAACCCACATCTTCCCTGTGACAATTGCACCTTCCTTGTCACAGTTTCTGTGGTTTAATGAAGCATACCCAGACCCCCAGGGTGGGCACGTGGCCCAGGTCTGCCTACAGGGAGCTCTGAGTACCTGGCTAGAGAGGTCAGGTTAGGGATTGGCATAAATCTCACCAAGTTAGTCAGAAAGAATCCTGGGATCTGTAGCTGTCATCATTCCTGAGTAATTTCAGAGACATGTGGGCCCAACCTCATAAAACAGTTACATCACAAGGATACCTAGCAGCCCTTTGATCATTAAACACATAGTGACTTTAAACACAAGTGTTAGGGACAGATTTTTGTGTGCTCCTCAAATTCATATGTTGAAATCCTAACCCCCAAGCTGATGGTAATAGGAGGTGGGGCCTTTGGGTGGAAGGTGATTAGGACATGAAGGAGGAGCCCTCATGAATGGGATTAGTGCCCTTATGAGAAGAGACCCAAGAACTTGCTTCCTCTCTCTGTTCTCCACCATGTGAGACACAATGAGAAGACAGCCACCTACAAATCAGGAAGAAGGCCATCACCAGGAACCAAATAAGCTAGTACCTTGATCTTGGACTTCCCAGCCTCCACAACTATGGGAAATCAATTTCTGTTGTTTAAGCCACTCAATCTATGGTATTCTATTATAGCAAACTTTACCAACTAAGACAATAAGCTTCTTTGTATAATGTATACACAATTATTTGTGTATTTCTTTCCCCATCACTGAGCTATGGACCCAGGGAACAAAAGCCATATATATATATTTTAATCTCATATTCCCAGAAGACCTAGCACACATGTGCTTCACACATGAAGTCATTGGATACATACATCAAACTGAATCAGCTTCAGGTCTGCCGAGGCATAGGTGATGGATTCCCTAAAGCGGATGGACACAATGGCAAAACACTGTTCAGAGAGGTTCCCTGACCTATCCAAGGTTTCACTTAATAGATATATTATGAAGGAGATAACTTTATAAAAACCATTACTTCATTTGCTAAAGCCCTTCATGAGACAACTCCTTCAGAACTAAAAGCAAAATACTTCACTTGCTGAGGAAAAGGTATTTTTCCATTTGTGCATAATAAATGACCATGTTTCCTTCTCTGCTTTGACCACGAGGAAGCTCTGAGGCAAATTTACTGCTCAGTCATTGCAAGTGTGTAAGATCTTTTGGGTTTGCTCATCTCCCTTCCGCACTTGTTCTAATTTCATTTATCTGGTGCTGCTACTTAATTTTAAATTTGTATTTTATTATATGTATTTTCTATATATTCTTTGTAGAACAAGATATGTGATATTAATAGGCCAGTTATGGCTCAACTAATAACAGTTTGAAAGTACATGGATACCTGAGATAACAGTGCTGAGTGACTAGAACAAGGGGTTACATGCTTGGTTCTTATAAGGTAGGAGGCTTTGTTTTTCTAAAATGTAACTCCTGCTCTGGAGATGCTACTGGTGGTGAGAGCACTTCCCTGGGCTTCTGCCCTGACCAGTGATGAAATATTTACCCTCAGCAGGTTCTCTCTTCTAGTATAGGGTAGTGTTGCTTACTGTTCAACTCCACTTGGATTAATCAGTTAATGTGTGAAATCATTTTGAATATGAAAAGTTCTGGGTCAGGTACGCAGCAGTCATTGCTGTCTGAGTTACTATGCTAATCCTTGCCTTTGTGAGAGAGGAGTGTGCTTAAAGTCCTTCTATGAAACCATTCCTCTCAGGAGTCTGTCAAAGTCACCAGAAAAATAGGTAGATCCAGCCATTGGCAAAGAGGGACCCAACCTGGGCATCTGAATATGACTCAGAGAAACCAAACACGAGACATAGAAAGAGGTTGCAGGCAAGAATCTAGGGCTTGCAGGGGCACCAGACCATCAAGACTTCCAGGAGAAATTACGGAAACATCTGCAAGGTTAAGTCAGGAAGTCCAGGGGCTACTTCCCAGAGAGGGAAGTGCCTTTCTTGGGACTGCTGCTACAGAGCTGAAACGGTGCATAACCTGGGGCCAAGGAGGCTGATTGAAGATGAGGGATTAGACTCCAAGAAGGATCAAGAATCCATCAACTCAACTCCACTCCTTCAGCCACACCGAGGTGAGGACAAGCCTTGGGCTTTGGGACACAGTGAACTCTGCATTAACCAGGCCAAGAAGTGGCTCCATGTTAACTGCATTACAAGAAAGAATTTATGTTCAGCAAATCTCTTGACCACATTTGCTTCTGTTCCCTCCCAGCCTTTGCCAACCATGGCACTACAAAGAGCTAATCATCAAAAGATAAAGCAAATAGGTTTCATTGCTGAGTGATAATCAAACAGTTGCCAAAACTTTGCAATCTTAGTGCTTGGAAAATACAAGGTCTACAAAACCTCAGCTGAAGAACAGATAATTAGCCAGAAAAATCTAGGAGGGGCTTGGACTGCTTTGGGCATGAAAGGAATGTCTTTCTTCAACTCCACAGGGATGTGGTGAGGTAGGAGTGGGGTGGGGGCTGGACTATTGGATACTCACTGCAAGTTCTGCCAGCTTGGCAACACATCTCCTGCTTCTCTGGGCTGGCTCACCCAGCACAAATTCAACCCTTTGCTTGTTGCATATCCTTTTACATTTCCCCAGAGGGAGCTCACTCTCAGCCTTCCCACTTAGAATCACCACCCTTGGGACCCCAACACTTTAGATCCGTCCAGCATTGTTCAGCCTGACAGATGACCCAGCCTCCTGGTTTTCTTAAAATAACAAGAGAACATTTGCTCTCTGGAAATACAAGGTCGCATCCAAATTTAAAGAAGAAAAATAGGAGAGGAAAGCATTCAAACAAAACTCTTGGAATTGGGCTCCTGTGGTAACATTTGGAATAAAGGAAAACAGGAAAGCAATTGCAATATTAAAAATAGATGATTTCCTGCATGTAAATTCTTTGCTGACCTTGTTGATTGCAGCATGGTCCATGTTTGCTGGCTTGCCACCTTCTGACTTCATGAGAGTTCATACCAAGGGACAGTTCTCAGGGCTCAGAATTCAACCCCTAGTTAAAAAGCATTTGTTTACAAATCTGCCTATTGGCATCAACCCTTTTCTCTTTAATCCTTGATGCTTATCGGAGATTAATTATTTATCCTTTGTTTTATTCCTATGTGTCCAGGAGGAACGTACTGAATATCAAGAATACTTCAGAGGATCCTGGAGCAGACATGGTACCTCCACATAACACAGTGCACCTTGATGATATTAGCATCCACTGCCAATAAGCATAAAAGTAATCATGGGAAAGGTAATGCATTATCTGGCTGAAAGAGCATTCATCCCTCAATGGATACTTAATCAGCAGCCAGGCACTACTCTATGCTCTGGGGTCACACCCATGCCCTCAGCAACTTTATATGCTAGTTGGGTGAAATAAACAATAAACATAGTAAATAAGTTAGATAATATGCTATAAGATAGGTATATAAAAAAAGAAAAAGTAAAGTGGAGTAGGGGGATTGGGCAAGTAAGGTATTAAATACAATAGAGAAGGCCTTAGGAAAAAGGTAAAATTTGAGCACAGGTTTACTGTGAAGGGAGTAGCTAGGCAGATATGTTGATAAAGTTTCCAGCCTGGCACAGCAGCCTGAGCAAAGGCCCTGAGGCAGGACCATGATAATTAGTTGACAGCAAGATCTGGTGTCTCTCTCTTTCACTGTCAGGGAGGTCTGAGACAAGGCAGCAGTTAGTTATTCTCTGTGGGTAGCAGAGAGAGTGGCTTTGAAGCAGAAGGAGCAATGATGAAATGGTTTCGTTGATGAAAAAATGGGCAGCTTTTGGAATTGGGGTGAGCCGGAGTGAAAGGAAAGGTTAAAGGCTCAACAAAAGGGAACAGCTTCCAAGATTCCACTCTCTGGGTGGAGAATGAGACCTGGAATCCAAAGGGCACACCCAAGACAAATCAGCTGGAGACAAGGGGCCCCATCCCCGTGTTTTGAATCCCCTTGCAGTTACGAGTATGGCTCAGCGCTTTCTGAAGCTCTCCTGGAATCTGGCCTTGGCTCACAGAACTTTCAGACTGAATTGCTCCCTCTTGGCTTTGCTTGTTGCCTAATGCCCTTCTCTTGATCACCTTGGTCCTTGGAGTTCTCTTAACCATTTTCTGTTCAGGGCCACTCTGGAAATTAGATCTACCTAAGTGATGACCAACACCTCACAGAACTGACCCTCCCCCTCCCTCCATTGGGGCTGATGAATTTACTGTAATCATCTGTGAATTCAAACCCCATTGTTAAAGAGGAAGAGGCAGAGTCACATCTACCCCTTCCTCTTGGGGTAGATGCGTTTTTGAAAAAATGCACCTGGTGTTCAGGTGATTTTTCAAAATGCATTTGGCTTTCTCTCTCGTAGCCATTAGGGTTCTAGAATAAGAGAGGGTGAGCTAGAAGCTTGTGTATTTACAACCCCCATAGCTTCCCAGTTGATACGGTTTGGCTGTGTTCCCCCCAAATCTCACCTTGAATTGTAGTTCCCATAATCCCCACGTGTTGTGGGAGGGACCCAATGGGAGGTAGTTGAATCATGCTGTTCTGTGACAGTGAGTGAGTTCTCACAAGACCTGATGGTTTTATAAGGGGCTTTTCCCCCGTAGTTCAGCACTGCTCCTTCCCACCACCTTGTGAAGAAGGTGCCTTACTTCCCCTTCACCTTGTGCCATGATTGTAAGTTTCCTGTGGCCTCCCCAGCCATGCTGAACTGTGAGTCAACTCAGCCTCTTTCCTTTATAAATTACCCAGTCTTGGGCAGTTCTTTATAGGAGTGTGAGAATGGACTAATCCACCAGTGTTCTTGGGAGACAATCAACACTCCCCAGCAGCCTTCCTTCCTCTAGAGCTGTATCTTTCTGAGTCCCCTGTTTGCTTACTGAAGGCATTGACATTTCTCTAAGGGGCCCTCCTTTTTACTGCTTCCAAATGTATACACCTGCTGCCTTGCAATACTCTTCTGGCCCTCTCTTCACCTGGCTAAATCCTACGCACTCTTCAAGTCCCAGCTTAGTCAGTCCTCCTCAAGGAAAGATTTTTTAATCCCTCAGACTAAATTGGGCCACTGTACTTCCAGAACTTAGCATGGCAACTGGCACATAGTAAGTGCTCAGTAAACATTGATGCTTCATAAATTCATTTGATATACAAATGCATGAGTGAGGGAACAGAAAGAGAAGCTAAAATCAATGTGAGAAACAAAGTTTTTAATTGGAAGATCAAGATAACAAAAGTCCCTACCACAAAGAGAAGGAGAAGAGAATAAAAGACAATGGTACAATCTTTAAGGCCTGATGTGCTTTTGCTTAAGGCAGTATCAGGTCGATCAGGTCAATCACCTGAGAAAGCAATGGGGTTCCAGGGTATTCATCTTGTGGCTTAGTGTCAAGAAGTAATATTGTCAGCCATGTGAGCTGAGACTGCAATGAGCTGGATTTCCCCTGGCAGAAGGGGTAATAGGAGGACACAGCCAGGAAAATCAAGCACATAGTGAACACCCTGCTTGGAGGGGTGAAGAAACTATATTGCAAGAACACAATTTCAAGTTGTTGTTCTGTCTTGATTCATTGTGTATGACTTTGGACAAATCACTTAACCTTTGGAATTGCACTTCCTTTTTAAAAAAATAAAGATAGGGGTCTCCCTGTGATGCCCAGGCTGGTCTTGAACTCCTGGGCTCAAGCTATCCTCCCACCTTGGCCTCCCAAAAGCTGGGATTATAGGCATGAGCCACTGTGCTCAGCCGGAATTTCACTTTCATTGTCCAGAAAAATAAACTGTGGGACTACTATGCGGATATTGGGAGAAACATGAATATTAGCCAAGTTTACGTATGGCCCAAGGTCCAACACAATAGTGGTATTATTCATGATCCCCAACGCTATCCCCAGCTGTTCCCCAGTAAGAGTTTATTAGTCCCACTGCTATTTCCTGATTTGTTTCCATTCAGGAAGCTTCGAACTAATGGTTAGCAGAGGGGCACATTGCAAAAATAAAAATTCTCACTTTTAACTTTTCCATCCCCTTTAATCCCCACTGCCCAGCCTTCCTCTCTCCCCAGCGAGGGCTGGAGTTGTGCCATCCCCGTGATCAATCACACACTGGGGAGCGCCTCGTGGCGGGGTGGAGGCTGTGGGCAGGGGGAGAGCTGGCCCAGCACGTCTGTTGAGTATGATGTCCTTTCGTGATGCCCTTACAAACAGAAGCGAGGAAACAGGCCGTCATTTATCATGTGGCTTTGTAGTGGATGCTGATAATGCAGAACAGCCAGACCACTCTTGAGGTCGCTCCATTGAAGTACTTACTGAGTCAGCTGTCGGGAGCCAGTCGGAAAGGGAGGTTCCCCATATGACTTGCCTTACTGCCAGGGACCTCCCCGCAGTAACAACTGCCCACTCCTCGATGGAATGGAGCCTGCCATTTGCCCTCCGGAAGCCACCCAGCCTCCTGGGTTATGGGCATTGAAAGTTTTTGGCCTCTAGGGGGAGCTGAAGACCTCTCCCCATTCCAGCCCATTCACCCCACTCACCCCCCAACTCCCCAAGCCAGGCACACTATTGGGCAAGAGGGTGGAGCTTTTTGGTGAGATGGTGGCTGCATGGTCCTTGAACCATTCACTGTTGCAGGCGCCATTCTGTTTAGCCACACCTAGGTCACTTGCCTGCTCTTGGTTGGGTTACGAAGTAAGGTAGCTTTAGCCACATCCAAACTGCACAGACACGTTTCCAGAAGTGAGGGAAGGGGAAGTGTGATGGGCACTATAGCGACCACTGGCATGACGTCTTCTATTTCTCTGAATTTCCTCTACCCTTACCAGCACAACATCTAGCACCATGCTTTGGCCCAAAGCAGGGTTCAATCAATGAATTTACTGGCAAGAAAACACTTAAATCCACAAACGAACACATCGTGAAAGCCATGCAAGGGCAGAGCTCCCTGGAAGTACTCTTTTAAAAGGGGCTTTTTCTCCCCCAGGTACTCACCTAAGAAGATGTTGAGCCAAGAGAATGATATTGCTAAAAGGTCAGCCTCTCAACACAGCCACCCTCTCTCCTTTTGACCTTGGCTACTCTTTTCCATGTCATGACGGCCTCCGTGTTGCTAAGTTTGGTCCCATCTGACTTACCCCATCAGCAACATTTGACCCAGTTGATAACTTTCTTCTCCTTGAAACCTTTTCTTCTCTTGGCTTTTAGGACGTCACACTCACTTGGTTTTCCTCCTACCTCCCTGGTCATTCCTTCTCAGCTTCTTCTGCTGGTTGTCCTCATCCTTCCAATCCTTGATTGTTCAGTCCCCATGGATCAGTACTTGGGCCTCCTCATTCCTATGGACACTCACTCCCTGGGTGATCTCATCCAGGTTATAGATTTCATACTATCCGTGTGCTACAACTCCAACATGTGTGTCTCTAGCCTAAACCCCTTTCCTGAACTCCAGATCTTACATCAACCTTCCTGTCCGAAATGTCTACTGGAATGTCCAATAGACATCTCCAACCAATCTCATCCAAAACTGAACCCTTGATAACTCTCCCTCCACTACTACCAAAAAAAAAAACTCCTCCCATAATCCTCCCATAATCCAGTCACGCAGGCAAAAATCCATAGTGCTATTCTTGACTTCTCTCTTCCTCTTACACTCTACGTCTTGTCTGTCAGAAAATTCTATAGGCTCTATCTTCAAAAGATATTCAGAATTTAATACCACCTCCATTGCTACCACCCTACTTTTAACAAGTATCCCTCCTTCCTGACTTTGCTTCCTACCCCACCCTTATCCTCACAGCCCATTCTTAACATGTTAGCCAACTGATCCAATTAAAACGTCAGTCAGATCATGTTAATCCTCTGCTCCATAACCACAGTAGCTGTAAAAGCTGTGCCCTTGTGCCCTGTGTGGCCTATGTGATCTGCCTCTCACTCACTGTATCCCACTTACTAACACCCCTATTCTCTCTACTCCAGTCTCTTGGCCTCCTTGGTCAGATATTCCTGGCATGCCTCAACCCCAGGGCCTTTGCACTTGCCCTTTCCTCTTCCTGGCATGCTCTTCCCCTAAATATTCACACAATTCCCTCTCAACTCCTTTAAGTCTTTACTTGAAGGTCACTTTCTTAAGAGAAGTTTTTCCTGAAACTACATCTAAATTTCAACATGCCCACCCTTTGTGTCCCTCTTCCCTTCTTATTTTTTTCCTTTCCTTTTATCACTATAATTTGTATATTCTTTTAATATTATTATTGAATATAATATTATAGAATATTAATATTCTTTAAGGAATATTTGTTTAATATTTAATGTGTAATTTATTTAATTGATATTTAATTATATTCTTTTTACCTATTTTATCTTTTTTTCTTTTTGAGACAGGATCTTGCTCTGCCACTCAGTCTGGAGTGCAGTGGTGTGATCATAGCTCACTGCAGCCTCAACCTCCCAGACTCAAGCAACCCTCCCACCTCAGCCTCCTAAGTAGCTGGGAGTAGGTGCACACCACCATGCCTTGCTATACCTACTTTAGCTTGTATATTGCATCTTATCCAACTAGATTATATGCTCCATAAGGACAGGAATATTTTCATATGTTTTGATCATCAGGAGCAAATGTCAAAGTGTTAGAAACTACAATAGTGCTTTCACATATAAAAGAAAGCAAACAGTATAGCCTAATTGTACAGCTAAGATGTGAGTCTTTTGAAATCCACACTATTTGGCCTTGACTTCCAACTAAACTCAGTGATCAGGCAGGATGGATTTCCAAGTTTTGAGGCTAATTTTTGGTAGAGAGGCAGCCATGAAAATTTTCTACTCATGTCACTTCCTAGCTGAACAGTTTTCAATAGCTTCCCGTTGCCTCCACTGCCTTAAGGAGCGAAGTTTATACCTCCCTCATCCATACCTTTCTCAGGTGATCTCCTGCATCAGCAATACAAATGTCTTCTCCAGCCAAACTGCCTTATCCACTGTTTCCCCAAATAGCCTTGAGCTTCTCTTTCTCCATATTCTTTCTCATTTCTTTCTTTCTTCTGAAATATCCTCCTTTATTTCCTCTATTCCTCCATCCAAGTCCACAATTGTTTTAAAGACATGCTTTCTTCTCCATCTGCTGAAATTTAACCTTCTCTTTCAACTTACATGGCACCTCTTTTATAAAGGCTTCCTTGAATTTATCAGATGAAACACTCCCTATCCTCTTGTAATTTCATGGTATTTTGCTTCTACCTTTATTCCATCTCATTTCACAGTACAGTCATGCAGGAGTCCACAGCAGAGATTCTGGAGCCTAAGTTGAATGACTTTGCACAAGTAATGTGGCCTCTCTGTGCTTCTGTTTCTTTCTCTGTAAAATGAGGTTAATAGCAGTTCCTACCATATAGGATTTTATGATGATTAAGTGTATTAACATGTAAAACACTTAGAACAGCATCTCTCCTCTGAGTGTTTTGATGTTGTTACTGCTGTTAGCAATTCTTCATTTTCAGTCCACTTGACTTTGTTGGGTGAAACATCACAGCTGGATTTCTTCCAGTTGTTTAATACATACACTTTAATCTTATTAAATAATGAGTGTATCATTTCCTTTTTCTCAATTTGGAGGTGCAGGTAAATTAAATCCAATGTAAGGAATTATTGATACTATAGACAATTTTATTGATTTTTTTCTGAATTACACAATGCATAACCACAATGCAAGTGTTACATGGAATTGAACTGAATTCCCGTGTATTGAATTCAACTTAATCACACATGCTGTGAGGAACAGAAAGATGAAGACAAGGCCCTGACCTCATAGAACCACTATCTCTATTCAGCAAGATTAATATATACACAAGTAGCTTTCCAATATCTGCTATATGCTACATATCATATGGTTCTTTTACTTATATCTTAATATTTCAGTTTTTCTCAGTCTTCTAATATCTTTTTATTATTTTGAACCCAGGGTGCATTAGTTCATTTGAAAGAGTTTTTTGTTTTAATGTGGGAACACAAGCCATCAGTTGTAGTCTATTATTGTCTACTTAATGAAATTGTTTTTGAAACCCTGCCCATTCACCTTTAACCTTGAGGCCCATGCATAGTTTCCGTATTTATTAAATGATTAACTCACTTACTAGAGGTATTTATGAGTTCTTGGCTCAGCCTGAGCCTGCCAGTCCTGGTCGAGAGACAGGAATGGTTCCAGAATGACCTCCCCAGTCTTCTGCTGAGACCCATCTCTCATCGCCCCCACGTGTCTCCGTTCCTGATCATCCCTACATGCTTTTCTTCCACATCCACTTCACTCTCTTCTCCAGGAGGTACAATTGCATCTGGTCCTCATTGTGGTGATAATTTCACTTTGCAGTTATTTTTATAAATGTTTAATCAGGTGTGCAGGCAAAAAGATGAAAAGTGAAGGGTGGCTGTTTCTAAATATTTATTCAGAAAACAAATTCAGCAATATTCAATCTGGCCTCTTCCTCAGGGACACTGGCATTGACATCCTCATAGCAGCAGCCTAAGACCCTCAGTCCTTGAAGGTGAGTCCTGGAACTATAGCCTAATACCCATGAAATTGTTTTTTCACGCCTAATAGTGTCCTCACCCTGCGTGCTGGATAAACAGGCGCTGAAGTGGTTTCTATGCCAGGCTTGTTTTCCTTCTGAAACATGATCCTTAAAGTAACTTCAGAAAACAGAAGGTCAACTCTAAAGACAAAAAAAAAAGAATCCATGGTTACATAAAAAAGCCTTTCAGTAAACTAAGATACTATTCACAGAAGTTGTAAAATAATATGTTACTAGTTCATAATTTTAAGTATTTAGAATAAGAGGACTCATGAGGAAAGTGCCTACAAGCATCTAAGGGTAGTACCTTGGGTCATTTTTCTGAAGGTGATTAAGATGAAACAAAGTGTTCTTCATAGTATAACATAGGCCACTTTGAAATATAAAACTGTGAGTATTTAACTCTTAAAAAGGACAAAGAAATGTCAGATGATAACGTGGATGCTAAAGGTTATGGCAATGGTTCGTTTTCCTAGCAAGCCCACAAAGCTGGCCAAGAGAGAATGGCTTTCACTTTGGAAATACCCTCAAGACGTAAGTTTCACCTTCCAGGTATCTTTGGAATGCAAGATCAGGAATTATGAATGAGCTCTCCCAAATACCCTCAGCGTCATTGGACCTAGGCTAACAACGATGAAGATAAGACCCCACATTGTTTAAGAATCTGGCCTGAAGAAGCTGGATGGAAGACTACAGGAAGCACTAAAATTCATCTTGGGTAGTTTGGAAACTACTTTTCCCATTGCAGCTGTAACCACGCTATGACCACAAGAGTTTTGGTGGACAGAGCCCTACCCTTTATCAGGCATGTGAACATCCCAATAAAATTTCTATACCACTTACAAAAGATAAAGGAATTCACATGGTTTCCCAGACCAAGTTCTACTGATAGGATATGCAATTCAGTCAACAATCACAGCAAGTAAATAAAACAGAAATTTGAGATTACAAACCTTAACGAGATGAATGAGGTAGATGAGGCCCTCCTGGGCAGAAAAAGCAGCAGAAGCAACAGTGATCTTCCGCCATGGTGTTCAGAAATACAAAGTTGTGTCAGACAAGATTGAATTATCAGAGGATTTGACTGCAGTTTGCAAGCTTACATAAAAAGGAGGAGAGGACCCATCTGTTCTGTTGAACAATGGTTTTCTGAAACTTCGTCAAATTGAAAGGGTAATCCAGTTAATTAATCAGACTCTATCAGATATCGACTGGAAGCTGAAACCAACGCTCGTTAAAATGAGGGTGAGGTTCTTGTACCTCAATGAAAGTTACTACAACCTTTGCCAGAAGGTGTATGAAAACACTCTTTTTTTAAAAAAAAAAAAAATCACATTACTTTTATTTTAAAATTTTTTTATTTTTAATTTTTGTGGGTACATATTAACTTTTAATTTTTGTGGGTACATATTAATAGTACATATTAGTAACCATTTTAACTGAGGTAAGATGATATCTCATTATAGTTTTGATTTGTATTTCTGGAAGTACTCTTTTGTGGAAAAGAAAACAAATGTCTCTGGGTGAGATGTTAACTCACTACTTTGCTTTTACTTTAAAGCAAAAAAGTACTAAACAATTAAAAGAAAGAAATCGATCTGCACCAAATATTTGTATCATTTCATCTTCTCAACATGTGAGGTTACAAAAAAGGAAACGGAGGCTCAAAGAAGCAAAGTAGTTTAAGGAGCTTTCCATAGCTAGTAAGTTTCTACCCAGCATTTCAGATCAGAATTAAAAGTATCCATAGCCCCAGCTATTTCCACAATATGCTGCCGCCATTTGGGGCAAAGTTCTCTGTGTGGATGAAAGGAGAGAAAGACCAAGGGAATGCTCTGAAGAGGTAAGTAGGAGGCCTTCCTGTCCTGAATAGTAAGATAATGGCTGAAGATTAAATGGGGAAGCTTTTCTGCATGTGGGTGCTAATGAGATCACATTAATATGTCAGCTTTTGCTGGCTCCAAAGCTCAGCAACTAAACTGCAGGAAACCTACTCCCTCCCCATTCAATATTCTCTTTCGTTTAGAATGTCAGGCAGTCCCTAAGTTTCACACTGCACAGCAGATTAATGTCATCCTTTGGTGACACTGCAGCCATCTGGCAGGTTGGCCCAGCTGCTCCTTCACACCTCTCAGGGCTCTCCCTGTAGCGCTGCCACACCCCAGCTATTTGTTCAAAGCTGAGGATTGATTACCTGAGCTGATTTTCTGTTCCTCTCTACTTTGGTTCCCTTCTCTGAGTTCTGGGCCTATATATACAAATGTCTTTCACACTTCTCAACAGAATGTCCCAAAGATATCTCAAATACAATACAACCAATAAATAAATACATTATCTTCTCTAAAAATCTTCTCTTCACGTGAGCTGAGTTTTGATAAATAAACGACACCAGTACTCATAGTGACTCAAATCAAAAACCTGGAGTCACATATCTCTGGCTTCTTCAACCCGACACCAAGTCCTATCAATTCTACATTCCTCTCGACTATGATCTCTCTCCTCTCTATTTCCTGAAGGTCGAATGGGTAAACCAAATGCTCTGGGGTTCTATCCGCATTCCCACTCCCTTTGTCCAAGGCCTTATCATCTTTCTCCTCTTTACTGACTTCCATGTTTCTTACCAGGATCACCTTTCCATAATGCATATTGCACCAAATTACCAGGTTCCCTATGGTACAAAATTCTAATGACCTTGGGTTTGGCATTTATGGCCCTTTAGGATTTGCCCCCTACTCATTTTTCCACCAAAGTTGAATGATTGGCACATTTATACTTTCTTAAATTTACTGACTCCAAAATAGCATGAAGAGATGATGCACACTGGGGCTCAAGATGTAGACAGTGAATAATCGAGTTACGTTATCCAAGAATAATGAAGTTAGATCATAACTTGGATATCTTAAGAAAGAAACATAGGATGGTTTACTATTTGGAATGAACAACAATATGAGGGACAGAGAATACTGAACACCAGCAACTCTCTAAATTATATCTGTGTTCTGTGTTCCAACAAATGAAAGAACATTGTGTTCTGTGTTCCAGCAAATGAAAGAACATTCAAAACAAGCAAGTTTAGAAGGCAAAAAACTTTATTGAGAATGTATGGATTGAATGTACTCCACATAAGAGGCATGGCTAAATGAATGTTCATCAAGGCCTGAGATGTGTGACCCTAAGAAACAAGACTGATGGTTTAATAAAGAACCAACAAAGACCAAGAAAAAAGATGAAAATGCTAACACTGAAAGATAAAACACCGGCTGCAGGATGTGGGAGAAATGTCTACTAACTGTAAAGCATGTGGTTTGAGGTGTTCATCTGCAAGGACGTGTATTGAGAAAACAAAATGGTGGTTGGCCTATGCTTTTCTCATGAAGCAGAGCAACTCCAGCAGCCTGAGAGAAGGCAGAAAGACACATAGATTAATTTATCTTGCTCAGAGATACAGAGTCTGTCTAAGAAGAATTGAATATGTGAGTGCTGTCTTTTGAGATGGACATAGAACTCTTTCTTCCCCTACCCCAACCCAAATTTCTAGATTTATTTGGAGACAACAATCTCCCTAAAACAACATGGTGGGTGTATGTGTGTGTGTAGCAAATGCATTATATAAGGCTGGCTCCTCATAAGTAATAAATAAAATAATAAAGATGTGAGTGGAAAACAAAAGAGTCAATTCTAAGAATTGTGGTCCTTTTAATAATAAGAAGAAGAGGAGTAAGAAAAGAAAACATTTTTACAGAACTTAATGTGCATTTTATGTATTAATTAGTTCTGAGGACAATCCTATATTAGACTAGCATAAACTATGCTGTAGGAAAAAGAAATTTAAAACTCCAAAATCTCAGTAATTAAGTTAGCACAACACAAGTTTATTTCTTGCTCATGCCAAGTTTGATTTAGGCAAGCAGAGACTCTCTTCTACCTGCTAACTCAAGGATTCAGGCTCTCTCCATCTTGTGATCACACAAGTGCTCTGTGGTAGAAGGCAAAGCAGCTCTTAACTGCCTCAGCCTTGCAATGACACATGATACTTCTACCCCCAGTCCACCAGTTAGAACTAGTCAAATGGCCCCAGTCACAGCCAGGGAGGCTGGGAAATGTTGGGAAGCTCATGAATATCTCAATGAGCACTGTCTCCTCCATGTCCCTTGTGAGGAATGTAATAGCATAAGCCCTATGATTTTTACAGATGATGAGAAAGTGGCACAAGGAAAAAATAATGTATCCAGATTCACACTGCTGGTAAGTGGCAGACCTGACCTTTCAACCAAACAATCTGGTTCTAGGATCCATGCTTTTAAAAATTGTATTGTCTTTCAAAAGCAATAGAATTACCAATGACTTTATTAATGATTTATATTAGAGAAACAATCTATGGACGAAGACAGAAAATCCTCCCTTGGAACCCAGAGCTATGTTACATGAGCACCAGCTGGACGCTGGAAATTAGACAACAAAATACACAATCACTTTTCTGTAGACCTGAGAAGGGATTCAACAAGCAGGCTGGTGGTCAACAAGGGCGACCGAGGGAAATCCCTGCATCCTACCTATTGGCAAGCATCTAGTCCAGACATGTCTCTCTTACTGACAGTAAGAGAGTTTAAAAAAAAAAAATCAGCCTGAGACATACAGGGAAAGTACTTGAAAACCCAAGACAAAGGGAATAAGAGATTGCCAAAACAGGAGTCTGTTCTCTACAACAGGGGTGGGTAAACATTCCCGTAAAGGTCCATCTGGGAAATATTTTAGGATTTATGGAACCCTACAGTTTCTATCATGACTACCCATCTCTGCAGAACTGCAAGGGAGCATTTCCATAAATGAAAGGGTATGGCTGAGACCCTGTGAAACTTTATTTACAAAAACAGATTTGGCCCATGGGCTGTAGTTTGCCAGCCCCTGCTCTAAAAAAAGGAAACTGAGAAGAAATGTAAATGATCAGTAAACATTTGAAAAATATTCTATTTAATAGGAATCCAAGAATTTACAAATCTAAACAATGATGTAATTGTTGTCAGCAAACAACTGACAAATATTTTTAAGAGTTTATTGTTAGAAGGTTTCTGGGAGATGACTTTATATATTTCTGATAACAATGTGAATAAGTATAGTTTTTCTTGAATTTAATTTGTGGACATAGGTCAAGATTCTTGAAAGTATTATACACCTAAAATGTTTACTTCCAATATTTAAAAAATAATCAAATAGGAGCTCCAAAACTTTTTTATAAGTATTATCATCCCAGCATTACTTATAAAGTTTTTAAATGAAAAAATAAAACACTAATAATAGAAACATGGTTGAATATAATACAGCATATTATATTCAACCACGTTTCTATTTTTTATTTTTTCTTTTAAAATCTCATTTTGTTTTTTCTTTTAAAATTTCATTTTTGAGAACTATCTAGTGATATGAAAAATAAGATAATGCTAGGTAAAAATAGTACAGAATATTATGTATATATATGCATAATATATTAATATATACTCATATATATGTGCCAATTTCATAACTATGTATTTTAAACTGCATAAGATAAGGACAGAACAGAAATCATAAATAGTAATAATCAGGATGTAGAAATATAGGAGGGTGCATCTTCGTTTTTCTGAGTTATTCACATTTTCTATGAAAACATTTCATAATCAGAAAAAAATGTATACAATGCAAAGTGAAACTCATGAGCTTTTGAGTCAGACCTGATTTGAATTTTAGCTCTGCTGAAATCACCGGTTTGTGATCTTGGGCAAATTATCATATAGCTTTGAACTTCCATTTTCTCATTTAAAAAATACAGATAATAACACCTACTCCACATGATTTTTTTTCAATGATTACATGAGTTAATATATATAAAGCCTCTAGTACATATTATGTTCTCAATAAATATCAGTTAATTACACTTTTAGAAAAGCATATGAATTTGGGATTGCACAGAAAAGGCTGAGAGACCAGGAATCTGGGAGTGGGGGTGGTCATGATAAAAGTTGTAAAAATTGAAGAGAGGGACAGCCAAGAGACTTGTTTGTGTGGGATTAGGGTAAGGGGAGATGGAAGGGAAAGACAAAGGAGACAGAGAAAGAAAGCAGGTGGAGAGGAGAGAGAAACTGACTATTGTTTCAGAGACAGAGGTGCTTTTCCCAGTCTAGATCAGGTGACTGTGAAACAGCTTCAGTCAGGAGTTGAGAGGGAGAACTGAGACTCTGGCAGAGGCACTACGGTTCTTTTTCTGAGTAGGGGCTAAAAGAAAAACCTTCTCCTAGAGGGAAACTGGTAAAGAGGCCCTCAGAGATCAGGGTTGAATGCGAAAGGAGGGGCTCAATGCCACATGGAGCTAAGCAAGTGTTTATGCCCGGTTAATAGTTACCCCTTGAAAGGAAGGTCTAGTACCTCACCCTAGACCTGACCACTGTGGGTTTGTTCCCTGGGATTTCCCACATCGCAGCAAAATCTCTCAACAAAGCACAGGGGATGCGAAAACAAACAAACATTTGGGAGGTGGTGGAAGAGGAAGAGACAAGAAGAAAGGAACACCAAAGAGAAGTAGTGAAAAAAGGATTTCGCTCTAACAGTAGGGTCTTCATGGCAGAAGACTCTTCCTCGTTCCTGTGCAGGTCACTAGGGAATCCTCTGTAGATAACAGAGCCCCTTATATGACACCAGTGGCACCAATCGCAGTTGAGCAAACAGCTTCTCAAATATCCCTTGCTCCTTCTCACCTCCCAGCCCACACCAGCTGTATCCTCACAGCAGGTACAGTTTTCAAATGCATTTTATCTTGTCTCTTCCCCACTCTCCTGCTCCTACCTAAACACAGTACATGCATGCACACACATGTCTGCTCTTTCTGGCTACCTCCTTATATACACCTTTACTTCTCAGCACTCATGTCCCTTTCTCTGACCTCCCAGAAGAGTCACCCACTGCTCTACAGTGACACTGTCTGTACATTTGTCTCTCCCATCCATTCAATTGTGGTGAACTCCTTGAGGACAGAGACCATGTCTCATGGGCCATTGTTGCTTAGGCTCCTAGTGCAGCATCTGGCATATAATCTAGCTGGTCTCTTATGGTCATTTTTTAGCACGCCTCTGTCACCACCATGGCACTCAACATAGCTCTTTTTGGTGCCTTAGGCCCCATCTTCTGACCCACAAGACAAAATGACCTCATAAATCATAGAGTGAGAAGAAAGAGAAGCTGCAGGCAGCAGAGACCTGGTACACAATGAGGAATTGTGGACTCGAGCTGTGGCAACAGAGAGGACCAGGGCTGCAAAACAATTGCATAACTCCAACCTGTCTCACGTTCTTCCAGTTCTCCCCTTGGTTTCACATTTTCTGCAATATTGCAACATGTCTACCAAATACTGGGCCAAGATGAGTATAGGAAATCAGTCTGCCAGTCTCCAACTTGGCTGGTGGTTCTTGCTCTCCATACAATTTTGAACCTAAATCTGCAGCCCATATTTCTTGGCAATAAGTCAGCAAGCTATTCTTGGCAGAACTAAGGATGTGATCTTGTCAATAAGGCAATCAGAACTACTATCTATTGAGCATGTATATAGTAGGTGTTTTACATACATCAGTTTCCTTAGTCCTCACAACAAACCTTTGAGGTGAACAACACTGTCTCAATTTTGCAGTTGAAAAATCAATGGAGTTTGAATAACTTGCCCAATGTCACACAATTAAAAGTGTTACAGTCAGGATTTGAAATAAGTATTTCTATATTATTTAAACTCTACTGCCAAGAACCAGGGATATAAGAAATTTACTAGAGATTGCTCTGAAAGCCAAATGCTTAGTTAGGAAACCTGACCTCAAATTAGATGTTCACTTATGATAGTAAGTGACTTATCTAAAAGACCATGGATCTAGTTGTACTGTTGATAACTTTGCACCCTTTCAGAGACTTGGGTTGTAGTGGTAGCATCATAGACCTCAAAAGCATGTTGGAAGTTGACCCCAATTAACACCACTGGGCATACTCAGTTTAGCTGTAATATCATGTAACTGCTACAACATCCTTAAGACCCCAGGTTCTGTTTTCCAGGGTGACTGATGACAGTTTTGTTTTCAGAACAAACAAGTAGAGTGGGATAAGGATTCCCAGTGGATATTTAGTCTCTAGAGATGTCTATGACCCACATTTTAAGCCCTAGAAAGAAATACAGTCCACTTGCCGAAAGGTCTTCCCATGATGTTGGTTCAGAAAAAGATAAACCCAATTAGGTATAACCAACAAAGTGAGGAGGGCTGCCAAGCAGAGGAAAATTCCACACCATTAAAAAGGCAGTAAGACAAATCTACTTTTCTATGGGTTTAAGAGGGCCTGGGGTGACTGGATTAACTCTGACATCTGTGCTCAGATTCAAACCTTTGGTGGAAGAAAAGCTTATAGCTTAATTTTGCAAGACCCAGCATGAAACCTTTGTTGGCCAGTAGGGAGATGGGGTCTGAGAAAATTGGATTAGAGCTCCTGAAATAAGGACTTGAGCAATGGAGAGGAAAGTGCAATTATAAGCAACTGTACCAGACAAGACTTTTTCCTGTGTGATGTTTCAATCCCAGAAAAGATCACAAGCTGTATAACCAAATCTTTACTGGTCTGGATTTCAACTGGATTCATAGTAACATATGCTGGCCTTGTGATTAAAATGTTCTTAATCAAAATATTTTGAACATACATATTTATAAAACTAACAGAACCCTGCAAGTTTTAAGTTATCAGTCCTTTTCCAAAAAAACAAAATGTTGATTTCCCGGTGCTGAATTTTTTTTAATAAAATAAAATAAAAATGAACATGTATATTTGGGGGAAAAAAGACATGGAGACTATAATTAAGAGATGTACCATCTAGCTTATCAGAGTATAAGAAAGAGGTAGTAGAGAAAATGTAGAAGAAGGCAATATTCAAAGAGATGGTGAATAAGAATTTTCCCAAATGTATGAGGCAGAAATCCTCAGACACAGAAAACCAAGTAAAGCAAAATAAATAAAAAGAGATTCGAGGCTAGATACTAGATACATTGTAAGATACTGCAGAATATCAAAACAAGGAAAGAAAGAGGGAGGGAAAGAAGAAGGGAGGAAAAGAGAAGCGAATATAATTTTTTTAATGGAAAAAAGAAAGAAAATCATAAAAGCAGCCAGAGAACAAGTCAGATTACTGATATAGGTACAAATTTGATTGACATCTAATTGCTCAATAGAGAAAGTAGGGCCTATTCTCAATAGTCACAAAAAATCAGAAAATAATGGATTTTTTTTAAGCAGAGAGGAAAAAACCATCAACCTAGAATGATATTACTACAGAAATGATCTTTGAAGAACAATAGCAAAATAAAAATATTTTTAGAAAATAAAAATTGAGAGATTCTTTTTAAAGGAATGTCTAAAAGATTTACTCCAGAAAGAAGGAAAATGAGCCCCCAGGGAAGCCTGAGATGTAAGAAGAAATAGTGAGCAAACAAAATGTTAAATGAGTGGATTAATCTAAAGCAACTCTGTAATTTGAGGGCTTAAAGACTACAAGAACTTGGCTCACGCCTGTAATCCCAGCACTTTGGGAGGCCGAGGCGGGCGGATCACGAGGTCAGGAGATCGAGACCATCCCGGCTAAAACGGTGAAACCCCGTCTCTACTAAAAATACAAAAAATTAGCCGGGCGTGGTGGCGGGCGCCTGTAGTCCCAGCTACTAGGGAGGCTGAGGCAGGAGAATGGCGTGAACCTGGGAGGCGGAGCTTGCAGTGAGCCGAGATCCCGCCACTGCACTCCAGCCTGGGCGACAGAGCGAGACTCCGTCTCAAAAAAAAAAAAAAAGACTACAAGAACTAAAATACTGGATAATAATAGCAGTTACTCATAAGTTGGGATGGAGTGAACAGAATTAAGGGTGTCTTACGTTGTTTATATTATTTGGGAAAAGAATAAGTGAATGAATCAACTTTAGCCTTTGCTAAATTAAAATACATTCTAAATTTATAGGGAATCATTTAAACAATAAAAATAAAGATATAATTTGCAATTAATTGAGGAGAAAAATGAAATGGGAAAACAAACGCAATGCAAAAGAAAGTATTTAAGAAGAAGAAAGGACATATGAAATATAAATAGAAATAAAGATAAATAGAAAACACAACATAAAAAGTAAAATAAATCTAAATATAGCTGTAATCACAATAAATGTAAATGCATAAATGCGCCAGTTAAAAGCCAAAGACTGTCAGACTAGATTTCAAAAAACATTCACCAGTATGTTACTTACAAGACTGCCAATTAAAAACTAGGGACATAAATAGACTGAGACTAAAAGGATGAATATTATCATGCAAATACTAAATAAAATCTAAATTGACATCAGACAAAATCAACTTAAAGGAGCAAAACATTGTTTAAGGCAATAAATCACTACATAGTTTTTTAAAAGTTAAAGTTGCTAATAAGATGTAACAAATACAAAATTGATACATCCTTCATTATCGTAAGAGATTTTAATATATCTCCATTGGTAACTGAGTGATCAGGTAGGCAAAGTAACCAGTAAGAATATGAACTTGACTAATATAATTAATTAACAGGTTTGATATAATGATGATATATGAAAGAATGTATCTAAAATTTGGTAAATTGGCATTTTTTTCAAACTTACACAGAACACATATGAAAATTGAATATGTGTAAGGCCATTAAATAAATCTCAAAGAATTTCAAGAAATCAGAATTTACACAAAAGTTATCTGACTAAAATGCAATTATATCAGAAATCAATAATGAAACAACCAAACTCTTTTTTAAAAAAATTAAGCACATGCTTCTGAATAACTCCAGTCAAAGAATAAATCACTTAACAATCGTTTTTAATTTTTAGCATGAAAAGAGAATAAAAACATATGTGATACAGCAAAACCAAAGCTTAGGGCAAAATCTGGGGGAAAATGCTTTTCTAAAAAATAAAGACTAACAAGTTAGCAAGCTAAATATATAACTTAAGAAGTTAGTAACAAAATATGTATAAAGTAGAAAAATGATAAATATAAAAGCTAAAGTAGAAAAAGTAGTAAATATAAAAGCTAAAGCTAATGAAATGGTAAACAGATTAACTAGAGAATATCATTAAAGCAAATGTGAGTTCTTTGAAAAAACTAATAAATTAACAAACCTCTGAAGATATTATGAAGAAATGAAAAGGAAAAAATAAACACTATTTGAAATAATTAATCAAACATAATTACCAATGCAGAAGAGTGACAGGATAACAAGTGAACATTAGTAACAAGTAAATTAGAAAACTAAGATATATAAACACATCTCAGGGAAAAAATGAGAAAACTAATTCAGGAAGACAGAAAATCTGAATAATCCTACATTTATTAAAGAAATAAAATCAATAATTTTTAATATTTTTGCAAAGTGAAACTAATTCTTGAACATTTTACCAGTGAGTTGTACCAAACACTCAGAGAACAGATACCGGTTGAGTATCCCTTATTTAAAATGTTTGGTGGCCGGGTGCAGTGGCTCACACCTGTAATCCCAGCACTTTGGGAGGCAGAGGTGGTCGGATCACCTGAGGTCAGAAGTTCGAGATCAGCCTGGCCAACATGGTGAAACTCCATCTCTACTAAAAAAATATATATATATTAGCCAGGTGTGGTGGCGCATGCTTGTAATCCCAGCTACTCAGGAAGCTGAGGCAAGAGAATCACTTGAACCCAGGAGGCAGAGATTGCAGTGAGCCAAGATCACACCACTGCACTCCAGTCTGGGCAACAGAGTGAGACTCTGTCTCAAAATAAATAAATAAATAAAATTTTTTTAAAAATACAATGTTTGGGACCAGAAATGTTTCAAATTTTGATTTTTTTGAGGTGGGGGTGGGGGGAGTTTCAGAATATTTGCATTATACCAGTTGAGCATCCCAAATCTGAAAATCCTTAATCTGAAATGCTCCAATGAGCATTCCCTTTGAACATCATGTCAACACTCAAAAAGTTTGGATTTGGAGATTCTCAGATTTTGGATTTTGGATACTAGGGCAATCCCTCACTATCCAGCATCATATTAGGGATGCTAAACTTGTGATTCTAATCTTACACAACTTTTTCAGGAACAAAAAAAAGGAAAAGAAAAAACCCACCCACCTCATTTCATGAGGTTTCATGAGGCTAGTATAACCTTCAAACCAAAAACAGTCAGGAAATAAATCTTGAATATTAAAAGTAGGAAAGCAGAAATGAAAATTTAATAAAATGTCTGAAAAATAAAATTAAAAATTTTCTAAAAACATAAAGGTATAAAATATGGAAGATAACGTAAGAAAAGATAAGCGAATGTAAAAAGTAGAGGTTCTTCTTCAAAGACTTTCCTCCCCATTTAATTAGAAATAAATAATAACTTCTCTTAGAAGCAAAATGTGTTCAAAGACCTGTGCTAACTTTCCTAAATATCTGCTAGCTGTAATAAAGAAATCAAAGTACTTTATGTTCTTAGCTCCCACAATTTAGCCTAAATATTTGCCCTGGCATGCTTATACTGGTCCAAGCAAGCATTAGGTCACAGCCTGTTCCTTTTCCTTATTTAAAGGTGTTTCTGCCTTTCTCAGCATTCCACAAGTTGCGTCCTCCTTCCTTTGTTCTCCTCTACCTTTGCCTCTTTTAAAAAGTTCTAAGTTGCTAGCCAATCGAGACAAATACAGAATGTGAGGTTCCGTTCCAGCCAATGGAAAATGGACACAGCAGTAGGGTGAACGTGTCAGGTTATAAATGACCCTCTCTCCTTTGTTCAGTGTTATACTCTCGAGGCAAAACTGCTGGCGAGTGTACCCTTTCTGCAGGAAATAAAAATGGTCTTGCTGAATAAATTAAATTTATGTTCAAGTGCTATTTTGTCACGACACCAGGGAACAAGCATTTCAAACAGAGAACCAAAGAGAATATAAAAGTTATTACTAGAGAATTGAAAGAAACAGTCCACTATATCCTACAGATAGAAGTTCCAAAACAGCAAACACCAAGAATGGTGGGGAAGATATTATGAAAGAAATAAAACAAGGAAATTTCCCAGAACCACAGAAACAAGTTTCCAGATTGAAAAAGCCCACTGAGTATTCATTATGATAAATGAAGACCCCACCACATTGCATTATTGCAAACCTCAAAACACCAAGTTATGCTTAATGGTATATCCCGGGCTTTTTGTGAAGTATGTCATTTTAATATACAGGATCAGGAATTATAATGACATGGGATTCCTCACAGAGACCCAGCTTCTGTTGATCCTTTCCTTGTAGTAAGATGGTTTAAAGAAACAAACAAAACAAGTAAGATGTAGCTATTTTAATCTCTCGTTGGAGAAAAGTATGTTCATTGCAGCACTATTCACAATAACAAAGGCATGGAATCAACCTAAATTCCCATCAGTGATAGAATGGATAAAGAAATGTGGTGCATATACACCATGGAATACCATGCAGCCGTAAACAGTATGAAATCATGTCCTTTGCAGGGACATGGATGGAGCAGAAGGCTGTTATCCTCAGCAAACTTAATGCAGGAACAGAAGCCCAAATATCGCATGATCTCACTTACAAATGGGAACTGAATGATGAGAACACATGGACACATGATGGGATACAGCACACACTGGGGCCTGTGGGAGGGTGGCGGGGGAGGAGTATCAGGAGGGAGAGTATCAGGAAAAATAGCTAATGGATGCTGGGCTTAATATCGGGGTGATGGGAAGATCTGTGGAGCAAACCATCACGGCACAGATTTACCTATGTAACAAACCTGCACATCCTGCACATGTACCCCCTGAACATTAAAAAAATGAAATTAGAAAAAGGAAAAATAAAAGCATTCTATGATCTATAAGGCTATATGTTACAGTAAATTTTTGAAATCATAAACTACATGCAATAAAAACATTAAAAATATTTAAAAACATAGAAATGACATAAATGTTGAATTTATCTGGCAAAGATTTTAAAGCAGCTATCATAAAAATATTTTAATGCGTAATTACAAACATACTTAAAATAAATGAAAAAACAGAAAGTCTCAGCAAAGAAATAAAAGATATAACAAAGAACCAAATTGAAATCTGAACTAAAAACCACAATAACTGAAATAAAATATTCATTGGATGGGCTCAACAACACAATAGAGAGGAGAGAGGGAAGAATCAATGAACATGAAAGTAGAACAATAGAAATCACCCAATCTAAAGAACAAAAAGAAAATAAACTGAAAACATAAAATGACATACTTAAGACCTAACATATTAATTACATCATCATAAATGATCTGAATGCACCAATTAAAAGGCAGAGGTTGGCAGAATGGTTTTTTTTTTTTTTTAATGACCCAACTCAATGCTCAAGGGCATTTTTGTCAGTGAAAAAAGCCAACCTCAAAAAGTTATATACCAGCCAGGTGCAGTGTCTCATACCTGTAATCCCAATGCTTTGGGAGGCTGACGTAGGAAGATTACTTCAGGCCAGGAGTTCAAGAACAGCCTGAGCAACATAGTGAGATTCCCATCTCTACAAATTTAAAAAAAAAAAATAGCTGGGTGTGGTGGCATGTGCATGTATATAGTCCCAGCTAGAGGCTGAGGTGAGAGGATCACCTAAGCCCAGGAGGTCAAGGCTGCAGTGAGCCATGATCATGCACTGGGTGCATGCCTGGGTGATAGAATGTGACCCTGTATCAAAAAAAATTAAAAAGTCATATACCATGTAATTCCATTTGCATTACATTGTCAAAATGACAAAATTACGAAAGTGGAAAGCAGAGTAGTGGCTGCCAGGGGCTAGGGATGATGCGGGAGGGGGCTGGGTATGATTACAAAGGGGTAGCCTAAGGGAGATATTTGTGGTGATGGAACAGCTCTGTGTCTTGACTTCAGTGATGGTTATGTGAATCTACATACATGATGAAACAGTATGAACTATGCACAGGCATTGTACCAATGGTAGATTCCTGGTTTTAATATTGCTTTACAGTTGTATAAGCTATAATCATTGAGAGAAATTGAGTGAAACGTAAATGGAAACTCTCTGTATTATTTTTATAACTTTCTGTGAATTTATAATTATTTCAAAATTAAAAGATTTTTAAAAACTTATAAAGCATATCTTTTTCCAAGTCTTAGGCATACAGAGATGAATAAAACAAGAGTTCCTGCCTTCAGAGTCCTGCCATCTGGTTAACTATATAATCCTTTTGGGAAGATGGGTAAAACCCAAAGATACAAAAGATAGAAATAGCCTTTTTTTTTTTTTTGAGACGGAGTCTCATTCTTTCGCCCAGGCTGGAGGGCAGTGGCGCGATGTCGGCTCACTCTGCTCACTGCAAGCTCCGCCTCCCGGGCTCACGCCCTTCTCCTGCCTCAGCCTCCTGAGTAGCTGGAACTACAGAGAAATAGCCATTTTAAAAGGGGTTGTAGCTGTATGAGTGGTGCTAGGATTATAAAGTCTAAAGATGCCAAGACTCCAAGCACTGGGTCTCTTAATAACAATTTAAAATTCAAAGTGTTTGCTGGGCTTAGTTGCTCACGCCTGTATTCCCAGTACTTTGGAAGGCTGAGGCAGGAGGATCGCTTGAGGCCAGGAGTTAGAGAATAATTTATTATGAAACAGTCTGTGCCTACACCAGAATATGTGCAAAAGTATGAACACACTCTGACCCGCCAGCCGACTAAAGAATCCCCAAATTAACCACACAATTGAAGCTAACCCAACTCCCATCCTCCTCCCCTCAGACATAACTGTCACCGTGAATTTTGTGTTTACCATACCCTTGCTTTTAAAAATTAGTTGACTATATACTCTGGTTTCTCTTCAGATCGTATAAATCTTTCGCCTTTTACTAAAAATTAGTTGACTACAATGTAAGTATTCCCTGACAGCGTTTGTTTAGCTTTGCTTGTGTGTTTGTTAATACACTGTTTTTCTTTTTCCTGTTTTTTTTTTTTTTTTTTGGAGATGGAGTCTTGCTCTGTCGCCCAGGCTCAAGTGCAGTGGTGCGATCTTGGCTCACTGCAACCTCCACCTCCCAGGTTCAAGCGATTCTCTTGCCTCAGCCTCCTGAGTAGCTGGGAGTACAGGCGCGCACCATGACCATGACGCCCAGCTAATTTTTGTAGCTAATACACTCCCATTAACAGTCTTATACATATCTCCTGGTGTACATGTGCAAGAGTTTCTCTAGGGTACATACCTAGGAGTGAAATTGCTGGGTCATAGGAATGTCATCTTTACCTGTGATTGATAATGCCGAATTGTTTTCCAAAGAAAATGTACTAATTTACAGTCTCAACAGCAGTACATAAGATTCTGTTTTTCCACATCCTCATTAATACTTAATATTGTCAGACTTCATAAGTTTTTGTACATCTAGTGGGTATAAAATGATATTATAATTCTAATTTGCAAATCTGCACTTCTCTGATTACTAATGGAGTTGAGGGACTTTAAATATGCTGAATAGTCATTTATATTTCTTTTGTGAATTACCTAATCATGTTTTGGGCGCATCTTTCAATGGGTTATAGTCATTCTTTATATATTCCAGGTCCTAATCCCTTCTTTGTCAGTTAGATGTAGTGTAAAGGTTTTCTTCCACTTTGAGGCTGACCATTTTACTCTCCTTGTGGTATTTTTGGTAAACAGAAGTCCTTTATTTTAATGAAGTGAAATGTATTAATCTCTTCCTTTTGCTTTGTGCTTTTTGTGTCTCTTAATTCCACAGAGAAGGAAAAATTTTACTTTAGAAAAAATATAGGGGAATATCTTTATGACCTCTGGAGAGGGAAGGATTTCTCAAACAAGATCCCAAAAGTGCTAATCATAAACCGTTGCTATTTAACAACCACTTCTAGGGATTGTAAGGATGAATCAGGAGGATACGCTGAGCTCTGGCCACCTTTGTTTTCATTATTTCCTTGGAGAAGTAGGTTCCCCTGTGTTGCTGTTGAATGGGGGTGGGCTCACAACAAAAGACTGTTAGCACAGCCAAGGCAACTGCCCATGCCCTAGTTGCATCCATCCGGCCTGCGTGGCTACCACCTTTTCAGGAGAGAGGCAGGGGGACCCACCACAGTTTGTTCACCTTTAGTTCTTCTTTGTTACTAGCTTTGATGGGGGTCTGTTTCCGCTAATCTTAACTGTGGCAAAAATGCTCCAGGATGTCTATTCTTCTAGTTATATATGGAATTTCCTGGACTTCATTTGATTGCTTGGGATGGGGGCTGAGTAGATGCAGCTATTTCCAGGCATCCTTGCCTTTTCTTTCCTGAAAAACCATTGTGTTAGCAACACAGTTCTAGGTGGGGCAACACTATTCACATACATTTTGTTTTTTACTATATAATCTCAAACCAAGTTTTCTTTTTAGAAATATGCATATACACTTGCAGCTAATGCTACTTTCAACAATCCTCTGTGTAATACTATTTGTATGTTTCTTTTAATCGTTTTTACCATTTTAAGGCTCATTTTTTTCCTGTGCAATTTCAGGAGGCTTCTTCCCCCTCCCCCATCACCCCCTCCCCCTTTTCCCATATATCTGTATATGGGTCATTATCCTCTTCTCCATCAACATCTTCTCAGCATAACTGAATGCCCTAGGGAGATTGGGCTGGTGAGGCTCTGCCATGATTAATGGATTTCTTTTCACTCTTCAGTAATTGGCTGGCTTCCACTAAGGGCAGCTAATGTCTCTGTAGCTAGTTGGATTAAGTAGATTAGGTTACCAGTATTGCTGCTTATCTCATTCTAGAATCAATGATCCAATTCACACGTTCACCACCTATAAATCTGGGGAAACTATTACACAGAAGCCCTAGTAATTGATTAGTGGGTATTTCCTGAAATGAATCATTTATAAGGTGATGCCTTGGTTCCCAGCCTATTTCTGAGGCAATTAGGACCTACTGAGTTGCTTATTTGTTTACACTTTGATGACATCCATTTATTTCTGGTCTAAAGTCTGAATCTCACACCCAGTTTCTTAATGTTCTGGCCACCAGCTCTTTCTCATTTCTTTCTTTGTGCTTCTTTCTGAAACCTTTTCAGCCAGATGCCCAGTTTATGACACAGCTGATCTCCAGTATCTATCTGTCTGTTGATTTTGATAGCGCCGAAATAGGGTCATTTTGATTCTTGGAGCAAACTGTAGCCAGGACCCACCTCCTTTTGCCTTTGCCGTCTCAGTGCTCACTGGCCATGCCAGAGGAAAAGCCTGGAGGGGATGTGTAGGTAGAGGACACTTGCAGAGTGCTCTGACTCTCCTCCCAAGACCTGTATGTCAACAGAGCCTGCCAACAGAGAACAGCTGTTCTTCAACATGAGAGTCTGCTTCAGGCCGGAATCCTTTTTTACAATTTATGACTTCATATATGCCAGGCACTAAATTACAGACTGTACCTTAAAATCTGGGTGTGGTGGGAAGTCAGGTAATAATTGCTACCACACACCGAGCACTTCTATGAGCAAGGTGGTTTGTGCTAAGAGTTTCTCCTACAGCATTTCATTTAACTTATAGCCATCATGTGTCCTGGGTGTTATCATCTCATGCAAGAAACCTAAAGCTGATGGAGGTTATGTACATTTTCTGGGTCATTCAATTAATAAGTGAAGAAATTCAATCAAGCATTGACTTAGCTAATTCAAAATGGTACTTTTAACCAGTACAACATCCTGCCTCCCTCTTGAAAACATAAATGATTGGTCAGAATTACATGGCATTAGCTAAAAGGAGGTCACAGAAAGGCTGGTCACAGAAAGGTTACATGTAGGCTGCATAGCCCTGGGCTATAGAGTAGAAGGAAATGGGTCCTAGGAAGCATATAATCCCATGGTTCTCAAACTTTTTTTTCTTATTGTGGTTAAGAAAAACATGACATAAAACAAAAGATGGGATGCTTCAAAAGTTTGTGAAGATACAGCAAGATAGCTGTGCATCTTTGCACAGGGGCCATGGAATCTTCTCTGTATTGTTGCAGTTTTAGGATATACGCTGCCAAAATGAGCACTCCCAAATTTTTTAACTTGCAACTCACAACGTGAAACACATTTTACATCATGACTCCATACACACATCCATCTATAACTGAAACGAAATTCTACTTTGTAATCCTTGCACTTCTTCCATGTAGTACACTACATTTTTCTATTACATTTTCTATTTAAAAAAAAAAAATCTGGCCATAGCCTATTAAGTGGACTTTACAACTTGCAAATACTGATCTCTAAACATCAACGGATGGAAAATGGAGGCTCCAGGATATGTTGGATACCTGGCGCAGTGCCTGGCAAATAACAATCCTGAGTGTCTTTGCCTTATCTCCCTGTGTGATGCAGCAAGCCTGTGTAGTACCTCACCGGCAGAGCTGGGATGGAATCCAGGTTTGCCAATTCCCAATTTAGGGTTTCTCAGTCAAGGAAAGTTTGTCAAAGAGGAGGGATTCTCTCGTGGAAGAGTTTCTTCACAGGGGTGGGCAGAAGTGGGAAGAAACAATGAAGTCGTGGAAGACTCACACTGCCCACCATGGACCTTGCCCGAGGGCACAGGATACTACAACAGGACTGTCTAATTCCAAAGCCCACACTCTTTTTGTGGTTGTCTACCCTGGTTGCTCTGTAAAACCACCTAGGAACTCATCAACAATACCAATGCCTGGGCTACACTCATCAATTTAATTGGATTGTTTAGAGGTGGAGTGTTTTCTAAGGATCCCCAGCCAATTTTAAAGCAGAGCTACCATCTCAGTGCAGTGCAGAAGACACCTCATAAAACTGTTCTCACCAACCTTTCAAGCCTCAGCTGCAAGGCTGCCCTCTGGACCCCAGGGAGTCCTGACTTAAAGCGACAGTCAAAAGTAACTGCCCTTTCCTTGTATCCCTCCAGCCTTCACAGGTCCCTTTATCTGGTGCTTATCTCTCCTGCTACATGATGCAGGGCTTATGCCTTACTCACTGTTGTATCCAAGTGTGGAATAAATATTTACAGTATGCCCTTTGCTCAGATGGCTCTTCTTTTCCAAGCCATTCAGGCTTTTCAACTTTCCTGTGATTTAGCTGTAACTCCTAAAGAGGGTGATTCAATTCTCCCTATTGAAGTACTACCTCAGGTAGCTTTTTTTTTTTTAAATTCTCCCCAGGATCAGTTCCACAGAGGACAAAAGGAACTCTCATTTCACAGTTGCAAAATCTTGACCAGTGAGGACCAGTCACTGAAGGCAGTGAGGCTACAGTGTCCCTTCCCACATGGCTGGGCTTTCTCTCCCAGTCTCTCCCCTCCAGTCGTCTCCCCTAGGTTTTCAAATCCTCCAGGGTTTCTGACAAGGCAGTGTTCTCCGGGGTGCAGCGCCCTGGACAGGAAGTAAGGAAGAAGGACTCCCTGTCCAGTTCGTGACCATCAGTGTGTCACACCTTGAGGCCTCACTTTTCCGTTTTGTTAGCTGGGAACGAAAACATTCCTAACTCAATTGTCACCCTCCGCTCCTTTCCCCCTCGGGGATTATATAAGAACCCTTATACATGAAAACAAGCTTTGTTCAGGTCCTTGAGCTTTTCTGAGGACAGCTTTGTATAAATATAAGATACCTTTTGTTATTGTGTGTGGCCCAAGGGATTTCCAAAAAGAAGCTGGGAGCCAGCAATGCTCATTTTTATAGGCAGAAAATAGCTGTTGGGAAAACAACCTGATGTGTGGAGCACAATGTTCTTATCGAGTAGACAGAATTATCTTTCCCAGGCAGCCATGAAGATGAAACACCTGGTGCACACGTTTCCTGCCCCTTCACATATTTTGAAAGAAAGAGACCTTTACCCTGACCTGTCAAGCAATGATCTTCATGAACTTCTGTCCACAGACTCTGACTGTTATCTTGGCTTGCTTCTGTGGATTTAAATGGTAAACATAGCTGATCCTCACTCATAGGGCATCTTCTTCTCCAGATATCACGCAGACCTTATCTGATCCACACATGCATTTCTTCTTCCTTAAAATGCAGTCACTGGACAGGGCTCACCTCACTGATGTCAGGGGCTAAGGGCCAGGGGTTTCCTGCTTTCAGCCCAACACAGTGTTGGGTGCTGGTGAGGAGATCAGGACCTTGAAGCCTTGACCCTGACCCGGCAATGACTGAAAAATCTTTTGGGAAAGAAAACAAAATAAAGCCACTGAAAACATTTAGAGAACTAAACAAACCTGTAATAAAATTTACTGTCTACCTTGAAGGCTTGAAAGTGTTTAAAGAAGGTAGAAATCAGTGTAGGAAAGTTCCATACAAAAGCACCAATACATGTAGAAGGTTCTCAATAATATTAGTTAAGTCAATGAAGGAAACCTGAAGTGAATGAAAAGCATTTGAAATGGTGGAGGAAGGAGCCAACAGCTGCAGAAGCCATGGAGCACAGTAGTTTAAGTGTTGATTGTAAAACAAGACAGATTGGCCTGAGTGTGCCACTCACCAACTGTGTGATTCTGAGCAAGCTGTGTCACCTCTCCAAGCTTAACTTTCCTCTTTCATAATAAATAACTAACAACAATAACTCTATCATAGGCTCAGGGGAAGAATTGTGTGACATAAATACAGGCAAAGCTCTTAGCACAATGCCAAGCATGGAGTAACTGTTCAAACAATGTTGAATATTGTTGTTGTTTATATTATTATTAGGGAAAACATGAACAAAGGCAGGAATTACTTAGTCTGTGCATGGGAAAATCTATTTTCCCTACAATAATAAAATAATCAAAATACTTGGTACTATTATTTAAAATCCCATCTCCCAGGCTAGATGAGATGCTATAAGCCATGATGGCATGGGTCATTAGGGCTCTTAGGAACTGTTGCATGGTACATAACATGGAATTTGAGCAGAAAGAGCCTGCCCACTGCAATATTGTGAAGGAAAGAAGATGTATATTAATGACCTCCTTCCAGCTCTGATTTCTCGCCTCTTGCCTTCTTTCCACACTCTTCCCCATTCCCACTACTTCCGTTTCCCCATCGTGCCTCAGTGACCTCACATTGTCTCTTCTCAACCCTCCCCTCCCCACTCCCTTCTCACCCTTCCACCCAAATTTAAAATCTCATCTCCCAGGCTGGATTGAAAGCCTGGTGAGTCAGGGGAAATGGGACTGACATGGTGGCCTCTCAGGCAATGTTGATAGCATATGGGGTCAGGGGCAGAGATTACCTTGGTTGTGTCTTGATCTATCAAGTCATATATGGGTAGCTGCTCACCTCTTACACATGGAGCACTCAGCAGGAAAACTTCCAGTTCCCTTACAAATCAAATTTTCAAGTGAGAACTTAAGGAATTCTTCATTTTCCTAATAAAAGAAACACAAATGCCATAAGTAAGCCATGATATCACAGGTCATTAGGGCTGTTACATACTGTTGCACAGTTGGTGCACTGCACATAAAGGCCTGATGTAGGCATCTGCTTGTCAAGCTGTGCACTGATGGGGCTATGGGCATCCACCCTGCTTCCTTCCCAATTTGTCCTATGGATGACAGTCATGATCCTACTGAAATGGTCTTGACCACATTTTTAGTTTCATAAGGCTATCTTGGCTCCAAGTTACCTACAGGATAAAACCCCAATTTTCTAGCCTGGCAGAGAAAGCTTTTCACATCCATCCCTGCCTTCCTCTCCTCATCTCCTGCAGTGATAAACTCCTCCTCAGTTCCAGTCCCCCCGCCGAACACTGTATCTTTTCAAAACATTGTCCTTCAATCTGAACACTATCTCTAATATTCTTCACCTGATAAACTCCTCCTGCTCTACTAGAACCTCCTCCAGTATCATTTCCAAAGTAAAAGTTTTCATATCTTTTCCAGCCTTTGGATTCTGCAGTTTATACCTCAAATGTTTAGCACATAGTGGATGCTTAGAGATACTTCTTAAATGAATAAGTTCTAACTTCAATAATATCATTTATCAAGAGGTATGGGAATTGTCCTATTTCTTGTTGGTTTTCTCATCAGACTGTGAGGCTCTCAAAAGGGTGAAGGGAGGGGAGATTGTGTCTGTTATTTTTGTATCCTCAGAACCTAGTACAGTGACTCATATAATAGGCTTTAAATCAAAATTTGACAAATGAATGAAATTTTAAGATATCTTTTGCAAAATGATTTTTTTCTCATTCTACATTCTTTCACGACTAGGCTTCTCTTCTCTCTTAATGCTGAGTTGGAGGAGAGGGAGGAGTATAGGGAATTTTTGTTATCTTACCTCTCCAGAATATAGGTGAAAATATAAAACATAGGGCCCGGGCAGGAAGTCTCCTGTCTTAGGTTAAGATCCCTAACATCAGAGGTTGCAATGGCAGAGTCAGGAGTCTTCTGCAAGCACATGCAAGTGAAACCTTGTAAGGCAGTGAGGGAAGCAAGACAGGGCTGGGAAGAAGCAAAGTGAGGATATGCGGTCAGCTGCAGTTCAGTCTCTGTCCGGTCCCACAGATAGCACTGGAACAAGGATGGCCTTACAGAATTGTCCCAACTTGAAGCAAGGGGGCTGGGCTTTTATACCCCTGTATTAGTGGTTGGCTGCAAGCCACACCCAGAGGTTAGGGAAAAACCTCTCAGGTATTTCTGGGCGGATCAGCTCCTGTAGGCTAAGGGCAAGGCTTCAGTGAAAGGTGCAGCTGCAAGCCATTGATCACCAACACCTACAGAGCTGAGTGACAAGAGAGCTCATCTGGTAAACAGATATGAGCAGCACTGCAACAGCCCCTATCAACCCCTAAAACTAAGGAAGGTGATAGAAAGTGTTTACTCCAGAAGGGTCATCCAGCCTTTATTTAAAACCTATCTGCTCCTGCTTGATCAACAAGTCTATCAAACTGGGTTATCTGAGCTGGTTCCTCACTTTTTAACAGATTCAAACCAACAAGGTAGAAGAGGGAGCAGAAATCCTTAAAGGTAAGTGCACCAATAGAAGCAGATAAGAAACAGGAACTCCAAAAAGCACAGCAGACTGGAACCTTGTAGTGTAGAGCCCGAGAGGGTTGTGAATTAAAGAAAAGACTAAAACAAATTGAGATTTACAATGATGCACTAAGTCAAGAAGAAAATGTTAAATAAGCTGTATTTGGCATTCTATGCTTAAGAATACAAGGTGATGTGCAACACAATTTTAAATGATGTCCTTTAAAAGTCGGAAGCTTTGGCCAGGCTGGGTGGTTCATGCTTGTAACTTCAGCACTGTGGGAGGCCAAGGCTGGAGGTTTGCTTGAGGACAGGAGTTCAAGACCAGCTTGAACAACCTAATGAGACTCTGTCTCCACAAGAAATAAAAAAAATAAATAAAAACTTTGGAAGTTTTAGGTATGCAAACAATCACATAGACATTTTATTGTTGCCGTATATCTCCTTCTCTGCCAGCCTGGATAAGTGAGGCATTACTGATCTATATCTTTGAGAACCTCTGACACCCAGGATCCCACTGAAGCTTCTTAAGAGTAGCATAATTTCCACCTTGTTTAAAAGTTCTGGTAGTTTGTAATCCACCTAGTGTGATTAAATAATCAGGGCTGATAGAAACCGTCTTGAATCATCACATACACCCACACATGCATCAGTCTGATATGGAAAGAGCTTTAGACTAGAATCAGACAGACTTCAAGTTCCTCCCCTGTCATTAACATCTGTGTGACCCTAACCAAATCATTTATTTTCCCTGAGTCTCAGTGTCTTCACCTATAGACAGAAAATAAATATTCATATTTATTATATTCTTAACATTTATTGTGTTCTTATATATACAATATATTACATATATTTACATACATGTGGTCACATATATAATCACATACTAATATATAATATATTATTTTATATAATATATTACATATTTATTATAATTATATATCAACATATAATTACATATATTGTATAATTATATAATATAATACACAATAATCATATGTTACATTATTATATTTATTATATTCACAATATTAGTATGTCTCATCAGTCTCTTGTGACGAGCAAATGATACAATGTTTATGAAGTTACTTTGTAAGGGGCAAAATATAATCTAAATGAAAGTGAAGTATTTTGTCCCTTTCTTCCTTCCAATGAACTCTTTGACAGTTTTTCTACATCCATAAAACTGGTGAGACACACATGGATGCCATTTCCTATAGATTCAGTATGTCCCAGTCCACTACCACCTGACCTCTTATTCTGCCATCCCAGGGGGTGGCCTGGACCCCCATTTCTAGCTCTTGTTTCAGAATGACTGCCTTTGGAGAATGGAGTTTCTCAGGAAGGACATTGCACAATCAGAAAACGCTGATCTGCCAAGTCTGTAACATTTTTTTCCTGGAGCACTTTCAGGAATGTGTCACAGGAGGTGGGGGAGATGGGCAATGGAACAGAGAGTACTAGGCACCAGCAACCAGGTAATAAAATGTTCAAGCATTCCTTTTCAAAATCTAATGAAGACATCAACCTTCATTAAGTCAAAGGGTCTGGGGTCCACAGTCGTGAGATTTACTGAGCCCCTTCAAAAAGCTAGAGAAACAATGACCAAAAGGCAGGCAATAGAGCAACAGGCATTTGATTCTAGAACTCAATGATGTCTATTTTCAACAAGTGTTGAATTTGCCAATAGCTATTAGCCCTAAACACAATCCTGCAGCTCAGTGTGTGCTGGAGCCAGCTTGCACTGGCTCAAGAGAGCTGATTCTTCATGGCTCTTTCCAGCCATGCTCAGCAATGTCATGGTGGAGCTTGTAATTGGCCATGGTGGCACTATTTGCATCATGAAAGTCAGCAGGTGCCACAAATTTTCCCCTAAAGGACCCTCTTACCATCACACTACTGCTTAACTGTGTATCCAAATGCCAATAAGATGCATGGAATCCTGAAATCGCTTTCAGAAGAACAATGTTGTTCTCGAATTTTCATGTGAACCACTGAAAAAAAATGTCTTATGTATATATATAACTTCTTTGCTTTTATATTTCAAATTCACCTTCCTCATATAGCCTCTCTTTTAGGCTGAATGTGGAAAGTGGCTGCTACTGACCTGAGAAAACGTCTGAGGCATTGTTATGTCCTTGACATTGTCAACTTCTTTGCTTTTTCCATGTTTCCCAGGCTGTACCCTCCATCAGCATAGAGGACACCTCCAGAAAGCAATTTTCTTTCACAAGGAGTATACCTTGAGGTGTCCTATAGGTAAGTGTGAGCAAGATGTTGTTCTTGCTTGGAAGAATTTTGCAAAGCAGATTGGATCCAGCTGAAAGAAACCAACCTTACTACAATATAGTTTTCTTCTTTCTTTTAATACCGAATTTGTAACATACATGTAATTACAGTCCTAGAGGGGAAAGAGAGAGAGAGAATCAGGCAAAAAAAAAAAAATGCTTGAAGAAATAATGACTGGAACTTTACAAATTGGATGGAAACATGAACACATGGATCTAAGAAGTTCAACAAGTCTCATGTAAGATAAATACAGAGAAAGCCACTCCTAGACAAATGACAGTCAAATTGATTAAACATAAACAGAAAGAGAACATCTTAAAAGCAGCCAAAAAAATAAAAACATATATACCAGGAACAATGATATGAATGATGGCTAATTTCTTTTTCTTTTTCTTTTTCTTTTTCTTTTTTCTTTTCTTTTTTTTTTTTTTTTTTGAGACGGAATCTCGCTCTTTCGCCCAGGCTGGAGTGCAGTGGCGCGATCTCTGCTCACTGCAAGCTCCACCTCCCGGGTTCACGCCATTCTCCTGCCTCAGCCTCTGGAGTAGCTGGGACTACAGGCGCCCGCCACCACGCCCAGCTAATTTTTTGTATTTTTAGTAGAGACGGGATTTCACCATGTTAGCCAGGATGGTCTCAATCTCCTGACCTCGTGATCCGCCTGCCTCAGCCTCCCAAAGTGCTGGGATTACTGGCGTGAGCCACTGTGCCCGGCCCGGCCTCTTTTTTTTTTTTTTTTTTTTTTTGAGATGGAGTCCCACTCTGTCACCCAGGCTGGAGTGCAATGGCGCAATCGCTGGTTCAAGCGATTCTCTTGCTAAGCCTCCTGAGTAGCTGAGATTACAGTCCTGCACCACCACACACCGTTAATTTTTTGTATTTTTAGTAGAGATGGGGTTTCACCATGTTGGTCAGGCTGTCTGGAGCTGCTGACTTCAAATGACTGACCCGCCTCGGCTTCCCAAAGTGCTGAGATTATAGGCGTGAGCCACCATGCCCGGCCGAATGATGGCTAATTTCTTATTAGAATCTATGCAAGACAGAAAACATATCAGAAGACAATGGAATAGTATTTAAAGGAAATAAAACTGTTGCCATAAAATTCTATATCCACCTAAGAAAAATTCTTCAAAAATTGAGGTAAAATAAAAACATTTTCAAATGAAAGGCTGAGAGAATTTACCACCAACAGACCTACACTGCAACAAATGTTAAGAAAAATGTTTAAAGATAAATAATACCAGATAGAAACTTGGGCATGCAGAAAGGAAAAAAAAAAAGAGAAAAATGATTAATGAACTTCCAGTTTCCTGTCAATTATGTGAAGAACTTAGAAGTCACCATTCCGTCCTAACAGGTAAAAAGTTGGACAAACTGATAATTAAGCAACCTTTCTTAGATTCATCAGAGAAATGAGGTCACAAGGCAAACCAATGCCCTCAAAATTGAAGAGACAGGCAAATACAGAGAACCACAGCTTACTAAAGCAAAAACTCACGAGCAGAAACCACCTTGGGAACAAGTACTGAAGTAGAAAAACCTAAACTGTAATTGATTAATTGCTGGAAACTCACTGCAAAAAAACTCTGAGAGTTAAAAATTCTGGGGGAACCCAGTCACAGGAAGGCTCCCACACTTTTATGAGTTTGACCTCCAGGAGATCTACCTGAGTAGGGAGGGGATCTACTCCTCCTGAGTAGATCTCCTGGAGGTCAAACTCATACAAGTGAATATTGAATATTTGGGAAAAATAATGAATATTGGGGAAAAAATCCCCCATGCTCTGGCAGCAGGAAGGGGAAAAGGAATTATTTTGTAATATGTCAGAACATTCTATTTTTCATAACAAGTCTTGCCCTCAGGAGAAATTATTTTACCAGATACTAACTTGCTGGGGTTTATCACTACCATAAGACCAAAACCAGACAAAGACATTACAAGAAAAGAAAACCCTGCAGACCAATATTGCTCATGAACATAAATGCAAAAATCCTCAACAAAATATTAGCCAGTCAAATCCAATCACGTATAAAAAGAAGTAGAGCCAAGACGACCAAATAGGAACAGCTCCAGTCTACAGCTCCCAGCGTGAGTGACGCAGAAGACAGGTGATTTCTGCATTTCCAACTAAGGTACCAGGTTCAGCTCACTGGGGAGTGTCTGACAGTGGGTGCAGTGCACTGAGCGTGAGCCAAAGCGGGGCGAGGCATCACCTCACCCGGGAAGCACAAGGGGTCAGAGAATTCCCTTTCCTAATCAAAGAAAGGGGTGACAGATGGCACCTGGAAAATCGGGTCACTCCCACCCTAATACTGCACTTTTCCAACAGTCTTAGCAAATGGCACACCAGGAGATTATATCCCATGCCTGGCTCAGAGGGTCCTATGCCCACGGAGCCTCGCTCATTGCTAGCACAGCAGTCTGAGATCAAATTGCAAGGCAGCAGTGAGGCTGGGGGAGGGGTGCCCACCATTGCTGAGGCTTGAGTAGGTAAACAAAGTGGCCTGGAAGCTCGAACTGGGTGGAGCCCACTGCAGCTCAAGGAGGCCTGCCTGCCTCCATAGACTTCACCTCTGGGGGCAGGGCATAGCCAAACAAAAGGCAGCAGAAACCTCTGCAGACTTAAATGTCCCTGTCTGACAGCTTTGAAGAGAGTAGTGGTTCTCCCAGCATGCAGCTGGAGATCTGAGAACGGACAGACTGCCTCCTCAAGTGGGTCCCTGACCCCCGACTAGCCTAACTGGGAGGCAGCCCCCAGTAGGGGCAGACTGACACCTCACACAGCCAGGTACTCCTCTGAGACAAAACTTCCAGAGGAATGATCAGGCAGCAACATTTGCTGTTCACCAGTATCTGCTGTTCTGCAGCCTCCGCTACTGATACCCAGGCAAAACAGGGTCTGGAGTGGACCTCCAGCAGACTCCAACAAACCTGCAGCTGAGGGTCCTGACTGTTAAAAGGAAAACTAACAAACAGAAAGGACATCCATACCAAAACCTCATCTGTACGTCACCATCATCAAAGACCAAAGGTAGATAAAAACCACAAAGATGGGGAAAAAACAGAGCAGAAAACTGGAAACTCTAAAAATCAGAATGCCTCTCCTCCTCCAAAGGAACACAGCTCCTCACCAGCAATGGAACAAAGCTGGATGGAGAATGACTTTGATGAGTTGAGAGAAGAAGGCTTCAGATGATCAAACTACTCCAAGCTACAGGAGGAAGTTCGAACCCATGGCAAAGAAGTTAAAAACCTTGAAAAAATTAGATGAATGGCTAACTAGAATAACCAATGCAGAGAAGTCCTTAAAGGACCTGATGGAGCTGAAAACCAAGGCACGAGAACTATGTGCCTCATAAGCCTCACTAGCCAATGCAATCAACTGGAAGAAAGGGTATCAGTGATGGAAGATCAAATGAATGAAATGAAGAGAGAAGAGAAGTTTAGAGAAAAAACAATAAAAAGAAATGAGCAAGGCCTCCAAGAAATATGGGACTAGGTGAAAAGACCAAATCTACATCGATTGGTGTACCTGAAAATGACGGGAAGAATGGAACCAAGTTGGAAAACACTCTGCAGGATATTCTCCAGGAGAACTTCCCCAGTCTAGCAAGGCAGGCCAACATTCAAATTCAGGAAGTACAGAGAATGCCACAAAGATATTCCTCGAGAAGAGCAACTCCAAGATACATAATTTTCAGATTCACCAAAGTTGAAATGAAGGAAAAAATGTTAAGGGCAGCCAGAGAGAAACGTCGGGTTACCCACAAAGGGAAGCCTATCAGACTAACAGTTGATCTCTCAGCAGAAACTCTACAAGCCAGAAGAGAGTGGGGGCCAATATTCAACATTCTTAAAGAAAAGAATTTTCAAACCAGAATCTCATATCCAGCCAAACTAAGCTTCATAAGTGAAGCAGAAATAAAATACTTTACAGACAAGTGAATGCCGAGAGATTTTGTCACCACCTGGCCTGCCCTAAAAGAGCTCCTGAAGGAAGCACCAAACATGGAAAGGAAAAACCAGTACCAGCCACTGCAAAAACATTCCAAATTGTAAAGACCATCGAGGCTAGGAAGAAACTGCATCAACTAATGAGCAAAATAACCAGCTAACATCATAATGACAGGATCAAATTCACACATAACAATATTAACCTTAAATGTAAATGGGCTAAGTGCTCCAATTAAAAGACACAGACTGGCACATTGGATAAAGAGTCAAGACCCATCAGTGTGCTGTATTCAGGAAACCCATCTCATGTGCAGAGACACACATAGGCTCAAAATAAACACATGGAGGAAGATCTACCAAGCAAATGGAAAACAAAAAAAGGCAGGGGTTGTAATCCTAGTCTCAGATAAAACAGACTTTAAACCAACAAAGATCAAAAGAGACAAAGAAGGCCATTATATAATGGTAAAGAGATCAATTCAACAAGAAGAGCAAACTATACTAAATATATATGCACCCAATACAGGAGCACCCAGATTCATAAAGCAAATCCTTAGAGACCTACAAAGAGACTTAGACTCCCACACAATAATAATGGGAGATTTTAACACCCCACTGTCAACATTAGACAGATCAAAGAGACTGAAAGTTAACAAGGATATCCAGGAATTGAACTCAGCTCTGCACCAAGCGGACCTAATAGACATCTACAGAACTCTCCACCCCAAATCAACAGAATATACATTCTTTTCAGCACCACACCATACCTATTCCAAAATTGACCACATAGTTGGAAGTAAAGCACTCCTCAGCAAATGTAAAAGAAGAGAAATTATAACAAACTGTCTCTCAGACCACAGTGCAATCAAATTAGAACTCAGGATTAAGAAACGCACTCAAAACCGCTCAACTACATGAAAACTGAAAAACCTGCTCTTGAATGACTACTGGGTACATAACAAAATGAAGGCAGAAATAAAGATGTTCTTTGAAACCAACGAGAACAAAGACACAACATACCAGAATCTCTGGGACACATTCAAAGCAGTGTGTAGAGGGAAATTTATAGCACTAAATGCCCACAGGAGAAAGCAGGAAAGATCTAAAATTGACACCCTAACATCACAATTAAAAGAACTAGAGAAGCAAGAGCAAACACATTCAAAAGCTATCAGAAGGCAAGAAATAACTAAGATCAGAGCAGAACTGAAGGAAATAGAGACACAAAAAACCCTTCAAAAAATCAATGAATCCAAGAGTTTGTTTTTTGAAAAGATCAACAAAATTAATAGACTGCTAGCAAGACTAATAAAGAAGAAAAGAGAGAAGAATCAAATAGATGCAATAAAAAACGATAAAGGGAATATCACCACTGATCCCACAGAAATACAAACTACCATCAGAGAATACTATAAACACCTCTACGCAAATAAACTAGAAAATCTAGAAGAAATGAATAAATTCCTCAACACATACACCCTCCCAAGACTAAACCAGGAAGAAGTCGAATTCTGAATAGACCAATAACAGGCTCTGAAATTGAGGCAAAAATTAATAACTTACCAACCAAAAAAAGTCCAGGACCAGATGGATTCACAGCCGAATTCTACCAGAGGTACAAGGAGGAACTGGTACCATTCCTTCTGAAACCATTCCAATCAATAGAAAAAGAGAGAATCCTCCCTAACTCATTTTATGAGGCCAGCATCATCCTGATACCAAAGCCTGGCAGAGACACAACAAAAAAAGAATTTTAGACCAATATCCCTGATGAACATTGATGCAAAAATGCTCAATAAAATACTGGCAAACCAAATCCAGCAGCACATCAAAAAGCTAATCCACCATGATCAAGTGGGCTTCATCCCTGGGATGCAAGGCTGGTTCAACATACCCAAATCAATAAATGTAATCCAGCATATAAACAGAACCAAAGACAAAAACCACATGATTATCTCAATAGAAGCAGAAAAGGCCTTTGACAAAATTCAACAACCTTCATGCTAAAAACTCTCAATAAATTAGGTATTGATAGGACATATCTCAAAATAATAAGAGCTATCTATGACAGACCCACTGCCAATATCATACTGAATGGGCAAAAACTGGAAGCATTCCTTTGAAATCTGGCACAAGACAGGGATGCCCTCTCTCACCACTCCTGTTCAACATAGTGTTGGAAGTTCTGGCCAGGGAAATCAGGCAGGAGAAGGAAATAAAGGGTATTGATTTAGGAAAAGAGGAAGTCAAATTGTCCCTGTTTGCAGATGACATGATTGTATATTTAGAAAACCCCATTGTCTCAGCCCAAAATCTCCTTAAGCTGATAGGCAACTTCAGCAAAGTCTCAGGATACAAAATCAATGTGCAAAAATCACAAGCATTCTGATACACCAATAACAGACAAACAGAGAGCCAAATCATGAGTGAACTCCCATTCACAATTGCTTCAAAGAGAATAAAATACCCAGGAATCCAACTTACAAGGGATGTGAAGGACCTCTTCAAGGAGAACTATAAACCACTGCTCAATGAAATAAAAGAGGATACAAACAAATGGAAGAACATTCCATGCTCATGGGTAGGAAGAATCAATATCGTGAAAATGGCCATACTGCCCAAGGTAATTTATAGATTCAATGCCATCTCCATCAAGCTACCAATGACTTTCTTCACAGAATTGGAAAAAACAACTTTAAAGTTCATATGGAACCAAAAAAGAGCCCGCACTGCCAAGTCAATCCTAAGCCAAAAGAACAAAGCTGGAGGCATCATGCTACCTGACTTCAAACTATACTACAAGGATACAGTAACCAAAACAGCATGGTACTGGTACCAAAACAGAGATATAGACCAATGGAACAGAACAGAGCCCTCAGAAATAATGCCACATATCTACAACTATCTGATCCATGACAAACCTGAGAAAAACAAGAAATGGGGAAAGGATACCCTATTTAATAAATGGTGCTGGGAAAACTGGCTAGCCATATGTAGAAAGCTGAAACTAGATCCCTTCCTTACACCTTATACAAAAATTAATTCAAGATAGATTAAAGGCTTGCATGTCAGACCTAAAACCATAAAAACCCTAGAAGAAAACCTAGGCAATACCATTCAGGCCATTGGCATGGCCAAGGACCTCATGTCTAAAACACCAAAAGCAATGGCAACAAAAGCCAAAATAGACAAATGGGATCTAATTAAACTAAAGAGCTTCTGCACAGCAAAAGAAACTACCATCAGAGTGAACAGGCAACCTACAGAATGGGAGAACATTTTTGCAATCTACTCATCTGACAAAGGGCTAATATCCAGAATCTACAATGAACTCAAACAAATTTACAAGAAAAAAACAAACAACCCCATCAACAAGTGGGCAAAGGATATGAACAGACACTTCTCAAAAGAAGACATTTATGCCGCCAGAACACACATAAAAAATGCTCATCATCACTGGTCATCAGAGAAATGCAAATCAAAACCACAATGAGATGCCATCTACACCAGTTAGAATGGTGATCATTAAAAAGTCAGGAAGCAACATGTGGTAGAGAGGATGTGGAGAAATAGGAACACTTTTACACTGTTGGTGGGAGTGTAAACTAGTTCAACCAAAGTGGAAGTCAGTGTGGCAATTCCTCAGGGATCTAGAACTAGAAATACCATTTGACCCAGCCATCCCATTACTGGGTATATACCCAAAGGATTATAAAACATGCTGCTATAAAGACACATGCAGAAGTATGTTTATTGTGGCACTATTCACAATAGCAAAGACTTGGAACCAACCCAAATGTCCAACAATGATAGACTGGATTAAGAAAATGTGGCACATACACACCATGGAATACTATGCAGCCATAAAAAAGGATGAGTTCATGTCCTTTGTAGGGACATGGATGAAGCTGGAAACCTTCATTCTCAGCAAAGTATCGCAAGGACAAAAAACCAAACACTGCATGTTCTCACTCATAGGTGGGAATTGAAAATGAGAACACATGGACACAGGAAGGGGAACAGCACACACCGAGGCCTGTTTTGGAGTGGGGGGAGAGGGGAGGGATAGCATTAGGAGACATACCTAATGTTAAATGACGAGTTAATGGGTGCAGCATACCAACATGGCACATGTATACATAGGTAACAAACATGCACGTTGTGCACATGTACCCTAAAACAAAGTATAAACAAAAAAGAAGTAAACACCATGATCAAGTGGGATTTGTCCCAGGAATGCAAGGTTGGCTCAACATTTGAAAATTAATTAATGTAATCCATCACATCAACCAGCCAAAGAAGAAAAGTCACATGATCATATAAATAGATACAGAAAAAAGCATTTGTAAAATCCAATTCCCATTCATGATAAAGCATTCTCAGCAAACCAATAATGGAGCAAAACTTTCTTTTCTTAACTTGATAAAGAACATCTAAAAAATCCTATAGCTAACACTATACTTAATGATAAGAAACTTGTAGCTTTCCTGCTAAGATCAGGAACAAGCCAAGTATGTCCTCTCCCCCTATCTCTGCTTTTCAACATTGTACTGGAAGTCCTAGCTAATGCAATAAAACAAGAAAAGAAAGTAAAAGGTATATAGCTTCAGAAGGAAGAAATAAAATTGTCTTTATTCACAAATGACATGATTGTGTATATAGAAAATCCAGAAGAACCAGCAAATTCTTAGAATTAGTTGGCAATTAGAAGAAGTTGTAGGATACAAAGCTAATATACAAAAATTTGTTATATATCAGCAATAAACATGTGGAATTTGAAATTAAGAACACATCACCATTTACATTATCATTAAAAAATAATATACTTAGGTATAAATATTATAAAATGTGTTCAACATTTATATGAGGAAAATTCTGATGAAATATATCAAAAAACTAAATAAATGGAGAGATATTCCATGCAAATGAATAGGAATACTAAATATTACCAAGATGTCAGTTCTTTCCAACTTGATCTGTAGATTGAATATAGTCACAATCAAAATCCCAGCAAGTTATTTTGTAGATATTGACAAACTGATTGTAAAGTGTATGTGGAGGAGCAAAAGACCCAGAAAAACCAACTCAATATTGCAGGAGAAAACTATGTTGGAGGACTGACACTACCTGACATCAAGATTTACTATAAAGCTGCAATAATCAAGGCAGTGTGGTATCAGTGAAAGAATAAACAAGTAGAACAATGGAACAGAATAGAAAGCTCATAAAAAGACCTACATAAATATAGTCAACTGATCTTTGACAAAGGAGCAAAGGCAAATGGAGTAAAGATAACCTTTTTCATAAAAAAATTCAAAATGGATCACAGACTTAAATATAAAATGCAAAACTCTAAAACTCCTAGAACATAACACAAGAGAAAATCTATATGACCTTGGGTACAGTGATGACTTTTTAAATTCAACACCAAAGACATTACCTATGAAAGAAATAATTGATAAGTTGGACTTCTATAAAATGTAAAGCTTTTGTTCTACAAAAGATACTGTTAAGAAAATGAACAGACAAGCCATAGAATGGAAGAAAGTCTTTGCAAAAGATACATGTGATAAAGGATTGTTATCCAAAACACACGAAGAACTCTTAAAATTTAACAAAAAGAAAAAGAAACCTATTTTAAAATGGGCAAAAGGCCTGAACAAACACCTCACCAAAGAAGATATACAGATGGCAAGAAGGCAAATAAAAAGATGGTCAGCATCATATGTCACTAGGGAATTGCAAATTTAAACACCAATGAGATATTATTACATACCTATGAGAATGACCAAAACCTACTAACAACACCAAATACTAGTGAGAATATAGAGCAACAGGAACACTCATTCATGCTAGTGGGAATGTAAAATGGTACAGCCACTTTGGAAGACAGTTTGGCACTTTCTTACAAAGGTAAGTATACTCTAACCATATGATCCAGCAATTGCATTTCTTTGTATTTACTCAAATGTATTGAAATTTTATATCCACACAAAAGTCTGTAAATAGATATTTATAGAATTGTTTTTGTATAATGCCAAAACTTGGAAGCAACCATGGAGCAAAGAGCAGCCATTGCTACTGTGCCCTTTCTGAATTCCTGGTCTATTCCTGATACACCATTAACCTTGGAATAATTTTTTATGAAGAAATAGATAACCAGAACACTAACCATATCAATAATTATACTAAATGTAAATAAACTAAACCCTTCAAATAAAGGCAGACACTATCAGATGGATTTAAATTAGGCCCAACTATATACTGTTTACAAGAGAAACTCTTTGAATAAAATAATATTGATAGGTTAATGAAAAAGAAAAATGTATAAACATTAATCATAGAGATAGTGTGACTATATTAATATGAGGCAAAGTACACTTCAAGATAAGGAGTATTATTAGATGTAAAGAAAGATACTTCATAACAATAAAATGGTCTCTCCATCAAGAAGACAAGAGAATTCTTAAATGCCTATGTGTCTAGTAACAGTTCTATAATTATATAGCAAAAATTGATAAAATTAAAGAAGAAATAAAATCACAATTACAGGTGGAAATTTTAAGTTATTCCTCAATACTTGATAGACCAAGTCAATAAAAGTAAAGATATAGGATATTTGACTAACATTATCAACCAATAAGAAAACGGAGAAACAAACTGTGACATATTTGTAAGATGGAATACTACTCAGTAATAAAAACAAATAAATTATTGACATATACAGTACAGATGAATCTTAAAAACATTACGCTGAGTGTTTTAAAGCCTCATATACAAACAGTATGTGCTATATGATTTCATTTATACACAATTCAAGAACTGGGAAAACTAATATAAGGTAGAAAAAAATCAGAACTGTGGTTGCCTTTGGTGAGGGAGGGAGCTGGCAGTGATTGATTGTGAAGGGCATAAAATAACTTGCTGGTCTTGATGGCACTCTTATATTCTAAAAGTGGGTTGGGTTATATAGCTGCATGAGTTGTCAAAATCAGCAAATATACACTTAAGATTTATGCATTTTCTTGTTATTAAATTTTACATTAAAAGAAGAAGCTACAATAAATACAAATCTCTACTTAATGTTATGCATGCTGAAATATGTAAAGGAAAGCATACTGATGTCTGCAATTTACTTTGCAATACAATAAAGAAAAGATGAATTAATAGAGGGATAAATAGATGGATAGATTAATGATAAAGCAAATATAGTTCAATATTAGTAGACTTGAGGGGGAGGATATACAGGTGTTTACAATTCTTTCACCTATGCTGTAGCTTTAGCTTTTTCATAGTAAAATGGTAAAAATTAAAAAAATAAAGCTGAAAAGTTATTTAGGAAAGAAGTAGAGGACAGACAGGGGGTGAGTAGCTAGGCAGTTCCTCCTTTTTCTTTGCTGTGACTCTTGCTTTATAGATAGAAGAAAATGCTTCTATAAAAACTGAGTAAACAAAGAACCCAGTAGAGTGGAATTTTACAGGATATCTATATTAAGTGGTTTTCAAATCCTTCCAGAATATGTCGGAAATGCCCAGGTTCCTGAAGTTGTAGGAGATTTCCTTGCCTGAATTTGCCATGGTGTGTTCATGGACTGTGGTCTGTTTGGGATTAACTAGAATTCCCAAATGCAACAAGCATTTGCTTCCAAAAACACTCAGATCAAGAGACCTATTGAGAGTATAAGGTCTATAAATGGACATCTCAAAGGATCTTGTTGTTCTAATATAATCCAAAGAATGTTTCCTATATAGCCCTAAAAAGGATACAAGATAGGGGGTGGGGAGAGTCTCCTGTAATATAAACTCCATGAAGGCAGAAACATATCCACCTTGCTCACCATTTTATCCCCATACTTAATACAGTATCTAACACAAAGAAAAGTCCTGTTAAATATTTGCTGAAAAAATAAATGAATAATGATCCCTCCTATTGGAAATCGTGTGGGAACTTTTAAAATAAGTGATCACATTTCAACTGTCCTGTCTACTCTGAACCAGTAGAGACAACTTCCCAGCCAGTAGGGTCTTGATCAAATATAGAATTTTATATTTTTGTCTAAATGGTTAGTATGTCTTCCCAATGAGAGAACAACCAAAACAACAGTTCTTACTGCTATTACCATTTATTGAACAAGTACTCTAAAACTAGTAACTGTGTTAAGCAGCTTACCTTGTTGCCAGTTCTTACAGTAATCCTGAAAGGTACAAATGAGATGAGAAAAGCAGTGCTTACCCAAGATATTAATTCACCAAAGGATATACTGCTAGTAAGACTCAAAGCATTCAAATATAAGCTGCCTAACTCAAAATCTTATTTGCTACAAACATCTAGCACAGCATATGGTATGCGTGTTCTATACAATGTAATACATAAATAAATGTAGAAAGGCTACTATATCTAGATTGCTTGTCCCATGTGCATATGTGGACAGTTTACTCTTGGCAAACACCTACTGTAGACCATGGTGCGTGTGTGTGTAGTAACTGCCTAAACAATTAGAAGGAGGAAGGAAGCACATCCTCCCTGGCCTTTAGCCCCTCTCTTCCTCACTCCCTGGTCAACACAAGCCCATCTAAACCAGAAAGCTCTTTCTGCCTCTAGTAGAATTAGTGGCTCCAGAGTTATTATTCTCCACCCAGCACAGTTGTGTATTTTTTGGATGCTTGTTCTCAGGAGAGGACTCCTCCTGGGGTTTGTTGTTTCTCCATGCCCTTAATGGACACTGTGGAACACAGTTCCCCTTCTCACAGAAACTCTATCTAAGCACTGAATGTGTATGAATGCTCCTGTCCTGATCATGACCATCCCTAAACAAGAGCACAAGAATAGCACCCATGTGGGGACAAGAGACCATAGACCTGGGGAAGAAGCTCATCCTGCACAGAATTGAGAAGTAGTTGAAATATGTCTTCAGAGCAATCTACCACTCTTTCATTAGTGTCCCTCTTCTCCATGTTGAAAACCTTCCTATCCAGCTAGAGTCTATTAATACATGGGCCTGACTTAGAACAAGCATTACGAGGCCACTGTCAAAATGCCAAGCTGTTACAAGTAGAAACTCTTGGTTTTTTTCTTTTATTTTCTTTATTTTATTTATTTATTTATTTAATTTATTTATTTATTTGAGGCAGAGTCTCAGTCCATCACCCAGGCTGGAGTGCAGTGGTATGATCATGGTTACTTGCAGCCTTGACCTCTCAGGCTCAAGCGATCCTCCCACCTCAGCCTCTTGAGGAGCTAGGACTACAGGCATGCACAATCAAGCCTGGTTTTTTTTGTTGTTGTTTTCTTTTCTGTAAAAACAGGTCTTGCTAGGTTGTCAGAGCTGGTCTGAAACTCCTGGGCTCAAGTGATTCTCCAGCCTCAGCCTCCCAAAGTGCTGGTATTGTAGGCATGAGCCATTGCATCCAGTCTACAAGTAGACTCTCATGTCATACAGGTTCAGTATTATAAACCAGGATTCCATTGCTGAAAACACACTTCATTTCAATAGATGTGAACATCAACCAAAACAGAAAAAGAAAATTCCTCTCTATATATTTTCTTTTTAATATGAAATATATCATAATCTAGAATAGTGTATGACATACATACAGCTAAAATAATAATTACAATATTAATATGTATATTAATAACCAAATCCCAAAATCGTCTTGAGGACAATTACTGTATTAGTCCATTCTCACCTTGCTGTAAAGAATTACCTGAGACTGGCTAATTTATGAAGAAAAAAGGTTTAATTGACTTAAAATTTCTGCAGGCTACACAGGAAGCATGGCTGGGAGGCCTCAGGAAACTTACATTCATGGCAAACGCAAGGGGGAAGCAAGTACCTTCTTCACATGGCAGCAGACAAGAGAGAGTGGGGAAGGGTAAGTGCCACACACTTTTAAACCATTGGATCTCGTGAGAATTCACTCACTATCACGAGAATAACATGGGGGACATCCATCCCCATGATTCAGTCACCTCCTCCCAGATCCCTCCCCCAACATTGGGAATTACAATTCGTCATGAGATTTGGGTGGGGACACAGAGCCAAACCATATCAATTACCTAATTCAAGAAATAGATCATAAGCAATGTCCCAGAAGCCTCTCCACATGACCCTCCCCAACCACATCCCCCTACTTTCTCATCAGAGATATTCATTATCCAATCTCTAGTGATTAAAAAATAATCCTAGTTGTTCTTTACATTTTCAATATATATGTATATGTCCTAAATCAATATAATTTGGTTTTGTCTATTTTTGAACTTGATATAAATAGTCAAAGTCTTTTGACTATACGAATTCTAACCATAGGTATTCTTTTGTCACTTACACCTATGTCTCAACATTACATCTGTAGAATGCATCTCTGTTGTTGCTCAAGTAATGCTTTACAACATTAATTTTGAAATATTTCATAACTGCTCACCCATGTGAACTTTTCTTTATAAGGAAGAATAGATGGACTGAAGACCTCATCTTCCTTCTGGATAAATAGCCAAATGATAAGCATCACTATTCTTCATTTCAACAGGTTATCTTGATGTGACTTGTAGGAATGTCTTTAGAAAGAAAATGTTGAGAATAGTAATTACATTCTCTCTATCTTCTCCTTTTCCTCCTTCTTCTTCTTAGACACCTTCTTTTTCCCTTTCTCCGTAAAGATCTCTTGAAAGCAGTAGCCTTCATCTTTATTTTTTACAGAGACTCACAAAAAAATATTGAATGCATGAGTACATGAATAAATTTAAGATGCCTTTTCCAGAAAAGTGTTTGACATTATTCTTATGTTACATTCAGTTTTCCTGCATGTTCTGATAAGATGCCTGTTGGAGACTGAATATTTGTGTCCCTTCAAAATGTATATATTAAAAGGCTAGGCATGGTGGCTTATGCCTGTAATCCAAGCTCTTTGGGAGGCCAAGGTGGGCAGATCACTTGAGGTCAGGAGTTTGAGACCAGCCTAGTCAATATGGTGAAACACTGTCTCTACTAAAAATACAAAAATTAGCTGGGCATAGTGGCACATGCCTGTAGCACTAGCTACTTGGGAGGCTGAGGCAGGAGAATCACTTGAACCCAGGAGGCAGAAGTTGCAGCGAGCCAAGAATGTGCCACTGCCCTCCAGCCTGAGTGACAGAGTGAGACTCTATCTCATAAAAAAAAAAATTATACATTAAAGCCTTAACCTCCAGTGTGGCTGTATTTGAAGTAAGGAAGTAATTGAGGTTAAATGAGGTCATAAGAGTGGGATTCTGATTCAATAGGACTAGTGTCCTTATAAGAAGAGACATCAGAAAACTACCTCTCTCTCTCTCTCTCTCTCTCTCTCTTTCTCTGTCTCTGTCTCTCTCTCTCCATCTTTGCTCATGAATGCAATGAGGAAATTCTGTGTGAAGATACAACAAGAAGACAGCCATCTACAAGCCAAGAAGAGAGTCCTCACCAGCAATTGAACTGTCCAGAACCTTAATCTTGGATGTCTATCCTCCAGAGCAGTGAAAATAATAAATTTCTGCTATGGTGGCCCAAGCAGACTATACAATGCCTAAGCCTGCCTTCCTGAACTTATCAAACCACATAGTCAATTCCTTAACACATTTTGCTCAGGATGATAACTTCTTCCTTTGATGCTTTACCACTGGTAAAAGAGAAATAATACCTTTACTTAAATCTTCTCTTAGTACGAGGCATTTGAATTCACTGTTGTGATTATGCATAGAAACAGTCAAAGTTGTACATCTCACAGACAAGGCCATGCATTCTCATCTCTGTTGACTGCATTAATTTAATGCCAACAGAGTTGATCAATAGTTATTTCGTTTCCAATCTCAGGCAGACACCAAGAGGTTTGGGGATTGACTGGATACACCTCACCTGAAACCTGCCACAGGTATTTTTAGTTTCAGTCTTTTCCATAGTGAAAAGTATGTAATCTTAAAACAATCCTTTCTATTTAACATTCAAGTTTCCCTCAAAGATGGAAACATTTTTCTGCAGTAAGACACAATTGTAGGTCAATATAATATGCCACGCAGATATAGATAGCCTCCTCCACCTCTCAAACACATGGAAATGATGAGTTACAAAATATGGGATCCACAGGAGATATTTAAAAGAAAGCAAGAAAATCTTTAGGTGCCAGTACCCGGACAAGTAACTAAAGCTTAATAGATCATAGGTATTTTTGACCTGAAGTCTTTAGAGCCTGGAATGTGAATGTCTAACAAGGATAGGAGATAAAGTACTCACATGTCAGGTAGGAAGACCTGGGCTCCCTCATGAAGTCAGGAGACAGGAAAGGTTATCTTGGTGCTTGGGAACACCAGTAGAGTAAGCTGGTCATCTGGTTATGAGTGAAAAGGAATGAAAAGAAAGAAATCACTTGCGAGAAATTAGAACCTAAATCTGGTATGAGTACTACAGGAATTTCAAGCTAAGAAGCTGATAAAAAATGGTCCCGGTCTAGAATATCTATAAAAAGCTGTCAGAGGCACATGTGAAACCATCATATAAGACTCTTCTACAGCAATCTTAGACTTGAACGAAAACCACAAGACAAACAAACCACTGGTGAAGATAGGTTCACAGAAAATAAAATTACTTATACAAGAATGACTCTGCAAATGGAGCAAATGGGAGAAATCACACCTAAAAAACAGAAAAAATAACGGAATAATCTGAAGAATAATCTGAATAAGACTGCCAGAGTCTGACGTGATCCCGCAAAATTCATATGTTGAAATCCTAACCCCTAAGGTGATGATATTAGGAGGTGGAGCCTTTGGAAGGTAATTAGGTCATGGAGTGGAGACCTCATGAATAGTTTTAGTGCCCTTATAAAAGAGGCCCAAGAGAGGCCCCTTGTCTCTTCCACCATTTGAGGATACAATAAGAAAGTGCCATCTCTGAATCAAGAAGAGAGCCCTCACCAGGCACTGAATCTGCTCGTCTCAGTCTTGAACTTCCCAGCCTCTGTAACTATAAGAAATAAAGTTTTGTTATGTGTAAGTCACACAGTCTATAGTAGTTATAGCAGCCCAAACAAAGACAGAGACCCCTTCCAAAATAAATACATAAATCTATTGATATCTACTTATCTATATTATACAACAAGATAAGCATAAGGAGACTGCTAAGGAAAAATAACAGGGATTTGAATAGGAATGAGATAGAAATTCTAGAAACATAGTCAAAAGCTTAATGGATTGGGTTAGGCAGCAATCAACTGAAGACAGAATTCATCAAAGTGGAATGTAATAGTATTAGAATGACTACTAGTAAGAATATTAATGACTAACTTTTTTGGAAGATTCAGTCATTATTCTAAGTGATTTCTGTACAACAATTCATGTATTAGTTACCTATTGCTGCATTAAAAATCACCTCATAACTTAAATACTTAAAGCAACAACTATTATTATCTCAGTTTCTTTGAGTCAGAAATTCAGTGTGGCTTAACTGGGTGCCTCTGCTTCAAGTCTCTCACAAGTCTACAATTAAGGTGTTGTCTGGGGCTGCAGTCTCATCTAAAGGCTCAACTGAGGAAGAATACTTTTCCAGGCTCACTCATGGTTATTGGCAGATTCAGTCCCTTGTGGGCTATTGGACTGAGAGCCTCAGTATCTTGTTAGATATTGGCCAGAGGATTTTCTCAGTTCCTTAACACATTTTGGGCCTATCCATAGGGCAGTTCACAATATAACAGCAGGCCTCCCTCAGAGCAAGTAAGCAAGAGAGTTAAGGACAGCACGCAAGATGGAAATCACAGTCAATTTGTAACCTAATTTCAGAAGTGACATCCCATCCCTCCTATCATATTCTATTTATTAGAAGCAAGTCATTAGGTCCAGACCACACTCAAGGAAAGGGGATTGCACAAGGGTATGAACACCAAGAGGTAGGTTACTGGGGGCCTTCTTATAGGCTGCTTACCACAACTCATTTAACTTTTCCATAAACCCTTGGTATGTGAGAACTATTTGATCTACAAGTCACAGGTGAGGAAATTAAATCAAGAAAACCTCAAAAACAGAATGAAAATCTCCAGCATCCCATACATCTAATAGAAATTCCAGGGAGAATAGAAGAGAGGCAATATTCAAAGAGATTATAGGCAAAATTTTTTCTGAAAATAAAGAAATAAGACCTCAGGTTGAAGGAGCACACTATGTCCTAAATAACATAAATAAAAACAAATTTACAACTAGGTTCATTGCAGTAGAATTATAAATATTAAACTCAAAAAGAAAAAGCTTAAAGCTGCAGTTAACAGTTAAAGGAAAACCAACTATCTCCAAAGAAATAGCAATTTGATAGGCAGCAAACGTTTCATTAGCAATAATAGGTACCAGAAGACAAGGGAATGATATGTTTACATTAGGAAAGACAATTTTTAACAAAGAATTGTGTAACTGACTAAACTATCACTTAAGAGTAAAGGTGAAATAAAGACATTGTTAGACTAACAAAGGTTAAGGAATTTTTTTATATATAAATCCTCATAGAAAAGAATGTATCCTAATTTATTGAGAGTTTTTAGCATGAAGGGTTGTTGAATTTTGTCAAAGGCTTTTTCTGCATCTATTGAGATAATCATGTGGTTTTTGTCTTTGGCTCTGTTTATATGCTGGATTACATTTATTGATTTGCGTATATTGAACCAGCCTTGCATCCCAGGGATGAGGCCCACTTGATCATGGTGGATAAGCTTTTTGATGTGCTGCTGGATTCATTTTGCCAGTATTTTATTGAGGATTTTTGCATCAATGTTCATCAAGGATATTGGTCTAAAATTCTCTTTTTTTGTTGTGTCTCTGCCTGGCTTTGGTATCAGAATGATGCTGGCCTCATAAAATGAGTTAGGGGGGATTCCCTCTTTTTCTATTGATTGGAATAGTTTCAGAAGGAATGGTACCAGTTCCTCCTTGTACCTCTGGTAGAATTCGGCTGTGAATCCATCTGGTCCTGGACTCTTTTTGGTTGGTAAGCTATTGATTATTGCCACAATTTCAGAGCCTGTTATTGGTCTATTCAGAGATTCAACTTCTTCCTGGTTTAGTCTTGGGAGAGAGTATGTGTCCAGGAATTTATCCATTTCTTCTAGATTTTCTAGTTTATTTGCATAGAGGTGTTTGTAGTATTCCCTGATGGTAGTTTGTATTTCTGTGGGATCGGTGGTGATATCCCCTTTATCATTTTTTATTGCGTCTATTTGATTCTTCTCTCTTTTTTTCTTTATTAGTCTTGCTAGCGGTCTATCAATTTTGTTGATCCTTTCAAAAAACCAGCTCCTGGATTCATTAATTTTTTGAAGGGTTTTTTGTGTCTCTATTTCCTTCAGTTCTGCTCTGATTTTAGTTATTTCTTGCCTTCTGCTAGCTTTTGAATGTGTTTGCTCTTGCTTTTCTAGTTCTTTTAATTGTGATGTTAGGGTGTCAATTTTGGATCTTTCCTGCTTTCTCTTGTGGGCATTTAGTGCTATAAATTTCCCTCTACACACTGCTTTGAATGTGTCCCAGAGATTCTGGTATGTTGTGTCTTTGTTCTCATTGGTTTCAAAGAACATCTTTATTTCTGTCTTCATTTCGTTATGTACCCAGTAGTCATTCAAGAGCAGGTTGTTCAGTTTCCATGTAGTTGAGCAGTTTTGAGTGAGATTCTTAATCCTCAGTTCTAGTTTGATTGCACTGTGGTCTGAGAGATAGTTTATTATAATTTCTGTTCTTTTACATTTGCTGAGGAGAGCTTTACTTCCCAGTATGTGGTCAATTTTGGAATAGGTGTGGTGTGGTGCTGAAAAAAATGTGTATTCTGTTGATTTGGGGTGGAGAGTTCTGTAGATGTCTATTAGGTCTGCTTGGTGCAGAGCTGAGTTCAATTCCTGGGTATCCTTGTTGACTTTCTGTCTCGTTGATCTGTCTAATGTTGACAGAGGGCTGTTAAAGTCTCCCATTATTAATGTGTGGGAGTCTAAGTCTCTTTGTAGGTCACTCAGGACTTGCTTTATGAATCTGGGTGCTCCTGTATTGGGTGCATAAATATTTAGGATAGTTAGCTCCTCTTGTTGAATTGATCCCTTTACCATTATGTAATGGCCTTCTTTGTCTCTTTTGATCTTTGTTGGTTTAAAGTCTGTTTTATCAGAGACTAGGATTGCAACCCCTGCCTTTTTTTGTTTTCCATTGGCTTGGTAGATCTTCCTCCATCCTTTTATTTTGAGCCTATGTGTGTCTCTGCACGTGAGATGGGTTTCCTGAATACAGCACACTGATGGGTCTTGACTCTTTATCCAATTTGCCAGTCTGTGTCTTTTAATTGGGGCATTTAGTCCATTTACATTTAAAGTTAATATTGTTATGTGTGAATTTGATCTCAATAAATTAGGTATTGATGGGACGTATTTCAAAATAATAAGAGCTATCTATGATAAACCCACAGCCAATATCATATTGAATGGGCAAAAACTGGAAGCATTCCCTTTGAAAACTGGCACAAGAGAGGGATGCCCTCTCTCACCACTCCTATTCAACATAGTGTTAGAAGTTCTGGCCAGGGAAATCAGGCAGGAGAAGGAAATAAAGGGTATTCAATTAGGAAAAGAGGAAGTCAAATTGTCCCTGTTTGCAGATGACATGATTGTATATCTAGAAAACCCCATTGTCTCAGCCCAAAATCTCCTTAAGCTGATAAGCAACTTCAGCAAAGTCTCAGGATACAAAATCAATGTACAAAAATCACAAGCATTCTTATACACCAACAACAGACAAACAGAGAGCCAAATCATGAGTGAACACCCATTCACAATTGCTTCAAAGAGAATAAAATACCTAGGAATCCAACTTACAAGGGATGTGAAGGACCTCTTCAAGGAGAACTACAAACCACTGCTCAAGGAAATAAAAGAGGATACAAACAAATGGAGGAACATTCCATGCTCATGCATAGGAAGAATCAATATCATGAAAATGGCCATACTGCCCAAGGTAATTTATAGATTCAATGCCATCCCCATCAAGCTACCAATGACTTTCTTCACAGAATTGGAAAAAACTACTTTAAAGTTCATATGGAACCAAAAAAGAGCCCGCATCGCCAAGTCAATCCTAAGCCAAAAGAACAAAGCTGGAGGCATCACACTACCTGACTTCAAACTATACTACAAGGCTACAGTAACCAAAACAGCATGGTACTGGTACCAAAACAGAGATATAGATCAATGGAACAGAACAGAGCCCTCAGAAATAACGCCGCATATCTACAACTATCTGATCTTTGACAAACCTGAGAAAAACAAGCAATGGGGAAAGAATTTCCTATTTAATAAATGGTGCTGGGAAAACTGGCTAGCCATATGTAGAAAGCTGAAACTGGATCCCTTCCTTACACCTTATACAAAAATCAGTTCAAGATGGATTAAAGAGTTAAATGTTAGACCTAAAACCATAAAAACCCTAGAAGAAAACCTAGGCAATACCATTCAGGACATAGGCATGGGCAAGGACTTCATGTCTAAAACACCAAAAGCAATGGCAACAAAAGCCAAAATTGACAAATGGGATCTAATTAAACTAAAGAGCTTCTGCACAGCAAAAGAAACTACCATCAGAGTGAACAGGCAACCTACAAAATGGCAGAAAATTTTCGCAACCTACTCATCTGACAAAGGGCTAATATCCAGAATCTACAATGAACTCAAACAAATTTACAAGAAAAAAACAAACAACCCCATCAAAAAGTGGGCGAAGGACATGAACAGACACTTCTCAAAAGAAGACATTTATGCAGCCAAAAAAAACACATGAAAAAATGCTCATCATCACTGGCCATCAGAGAAATGCAAATCAAAACCACAATGAGATACCATCTCACACCAGTTAGAATGGCAATCATTAAAAAGTCAGGAAACAACAGATGCTGGAGAGGATGTGGAGAAATAGGAACACTTTTACACTGTTGGTGGGACTGTAAACTAGTTCAACCATTGTGGAAGTCAGTGTGGCAATTCCTCAGGGATCTAGAACTGGAAATACCATTTGACCCAGCCATCCCATTACTGGGTATATACCCAAAGGACTATAAATCATGCTGCTATAAAGACATATGCACATGTATGTTTATTGCGGCATTATTCACAATAGCAAAGACTTGGAACCAACCCAAATGTCCAACAATGATAGACTGGATTAAGAAAATGTGGCACATATACACCATGGAATACTATGCAGCCATAAAAAAGGATGAGTTCATGTCCTTTGTAGGGACATGGATGAAATTGGAAATCATCATTCTCAGTAAACTATCGCAAGAACAAAAAACCAAACACCGCATATTCTCACTCATAGGTGGGAATTGAACAATGAGATCACATGGACACAGGAAGGGGAATATCACACTCTGGGGACTGTTGTGGGGTGGGGGGAAGGGGGAGGGATAGCATCGGGAGATATACCTACTGCTAGATGATGAGTTACTGGGTGCAGCGCACCAGCATGGCACATGTATACATATGTAAGTAACCTGCACAATGTGCACGTGTACCCTAAAACTTAAAGTATAATAAAAAAAAAAAAAAAAGAAAAGAATGTATCCAAAAAGAAATTGAAACCAGAAGAAATGGAATGTATAAGTAATGGGGAACAAAGAAAAAATGGTAAATGTTATTAAGTTTAAAAAAGAATTAATTTTTCAAAAAGAAAACTAATTTTAGATTTTTTTTTTTTGAGACTGAGTCTCATTCTGTTACCCAGCCTGGAGTGCACTGGCTTGATCTCGGCTCACTGCAACCTCTGCCTTTCAGGTTCAAGCAATTCTCCTGCCTCAACCTTCTGAGTAGCTGGGACTATAGGCACATGCCACCACACACAGCTATTTTTTGTATTTTTAGTAGAGCTGGGGTTTCAGGATGTTGGCCAGGCTGGTCTCAAACTCCTGGCCCCAAGTGATCCACCCGTCTTTGCCTCCCAAAGTGCTGGGATTACAAGTGTGAGCCACCATGCCCAGCCTAGATAATTTAAATTCTAGTTAAGAAGGGGATATGGTTTGGCTGTGTTTCCATCCAAATCTTATCTTGAATTGTAGTTCCCATAATTCTCACATGTCATGGGAAAGACCTGGTGGGGAGTAATTGAATCATGGGGTTGGTTACCCTCTTGCTGTTCTCGTGATAGTGAGTAAGTTCTCATGACATCTGATGGTTTTATAAAGGGCTTTTCCCCCTTTTGCTTGGCACTTCTCCTTCCTGCCACCATGTGAAGAAAGACAGGTTTGCTTCCCCTTCCGCTATGATTGTAAGTTTCCTGAGACCTCCTCAGCCATGCTGAACTGTGAGTCAATTAAACCTCTTTTCTTTATAAATTACTCAGTCTTGGATATGTCTTTATTGGCAGTGTGAGAATGGACTAATATACATGGAAAATGGATAAGGAGATAGTTTAAAGTTAACTTATTCTGGGGCCAGGCCCAGTGCCTCATGTCTGTAACCCCAGTACTTTGGGAGGCCAAGGAGGGAGAATTGCTTGAGGCCAGGAGTTCAAGGCCAGCCTGGGCAACATAGCAAGACCCCATGTCTACAAAAATGTAATTTAAAAATTAGCCAAGCCAGGTGGCATGCACCTGTGGTCCCAGTTACTTGGAAGCCTGAGGCAGGAGGATTGCTTGAGCCCAGGAGTTTGAGGCTACAGTGAGCTATGATTGTGCCACTGCACTCCAGCCTGGGTGACAGAGCAGTACCCTGCCTCAAAAAAAAAAAGAAAAAAAGAAAAAAAGAAAAAAATACATTTAGATTGTTTCAAAAAGTTTACTATTTTAAATAATGCTACTAATAAAATTTTCATACAGATAGCCTTCTCCCTACTTTTGTTTGATTCAGTTTAATTCCTCAGTATAAATTCCTAGGAATAGGAATTAGTACATATAAATATTTTTAAGGTTTTCAATACAGCTGGACAAATCCATGCTCTACCTGAGTGGCTTTCCTAAGGTATTGTACCACTTGTTGATAAATTAGCAATAGTTGTTAAAGGATTTAGAAATGTTCTTTTTTTTTTTTTTTTTTTGAGACGGAGTCTCGCTCTGTCGCCCAGGCTGGAGTGCAGTGGCGCGATCTCGGCTCACTGCAAGCTCCGCCTCCTGGGTTCACGCCATTCTCCTGTCTCAGCCTCCCCAGTAGCTGGGACTACAGGCGCCTGCCACCACGCCAGGCTAATTTTTTGTATTTTTAGTAGAGGCGGGGTTTCACTGTTTTAGCCAGGATGGTCTCGATCTCCTGACCTCATGATCCGCCTGCCTCTGCCTCCCAAAGTGCTGGGATTACAGGCGTGAGCCACCGTGCCCGGCCAGGATTTAGAAATGTTCTTAACCTTAATTCTGCCTCCAGGAATAGATCTCCAAAAGAAAATAAATTGACACAGTGAATGTTTATCAAATAACTATAATAAAGAAAACATGGACAAGAAATAAATCTCAAACAACAAAAGACAGGTTATTACAGCACATTTCACAATAGAATACTGTGTGACCATTGCACAGTGGCACGTGCCTGTAGTCCCAGCTACCGGTGAGGCAAAGTTGAGCTGGGAGGGTTACCTGAGCTCAGGAGCTCTGGGCTGTAATACACTATATAATCATCTATCTGCACCAAGTTCAACATTAATATGGAGCAAGGACCACCAGGTTGCCTAAGAAGGCATGAATCAACCCAGGTCAAAAACCAAGCAGGTCAAAATTCTCATGCTGATCAGTAGTAGGATCACACCTGTGAATAGCCACTGCACTCCAGCCTGGGCAGCATAGCGAGACCCCCATCTCTTTTCTAAAAAATCAGAATTTAGAAGAGTATTTAATAATATGAAGAAATGTTCACATTGTATCTTTAATGAGAAAGTATTATAAAACACCATGTATATTATAATCTCATGATATTTATACATATGTGTGTATCATACATTTATTTATGTGTATATATGTATATCTGTGTATTTATATAGAGATATATATAATCACACATAAACATATAAATATTAAATAGCCATATGTATAGTATAATGATATATATGGTTAAATGCCAAATATTAATAATGTTATCCCAGGAAAAAAGTAATGAGTGATTTTAATATCTCGAATTTTTTTGGCTTTTTTCACAAAGAACATATAGTACTTTTCTGGCCCAAAAAAAAGCAGTGAAAAGAAAAATGAGGCCAAATATTTCACTCTAGTTCAACTCGTCCTCATAGAAATGATACCCTGGTGGGCATTGGGTTGCCTACTCTCATCTGTACTTCCTTTTCCTTCATAAGGAACCCCAATTCGTTTAGGCACACAATCAAGAGCTTCATGATGAAGCTTTAAGCTTTGACCATCCCACCCCAAGTTCCAAGAGAAACCCTGATTGGTCTAAGGATAATCCCATTCTCCTTGCTAGTAGCAGAGTTAGCAATGGGCCACCTCTGACCAATGAACTGTGAGGTGAGATCTGAGGTAGGGGTGAGAGCTTCTGGGGATCATTTGCTTGCTTCTGAGAGAGAGCTCAGGATGAGATGGTATCTCTTCTTCCTCCAAATTTATGTGTTTTGACCAAATGCAGCCATTTTGCTCCCTGTGTGATGCTGAAACTGCCACTGAAGGCAGAAAAGCAAGAGCTTGGAAAGCCTGGGTCCTTGAAGGTTTCACTGAGCTGCTGATTTCAATAAGGCTGAAGCGCGTTCTACCTCCAGACTTCCTGCTTTGTGAGGTGATAAGTTTTCTTATTGTTAAAACCAGTAGTTCCCAACTTTTGCTATGATTCAGAATCCCTAGGGGGATTTAAATAACACTGATCCCCAAGTTTTCCTAGTGTAAAGTCAGGGTCTTCAGAGGCCAAGCGCTCTGAGTCAGGGTTTTCTGTTAGTGACATCAGAAAGCATCTTGACTGATATAGACACCTTTGAGGATATCTCCACCGTTTTTGTTGTTGTTATTGTTGTTTTGGGTTTTTTTAAAACCTTCAAAGCAGAGATTTGTTTTGAGATTTTCACACCTAGGTTCCTCCTGGAACTGAGATCTTGGCTTCTAAAGTGCAGCATTATTGATTTCTTCTGTTTCCCGGGCATTTATAGCGAAACCCATCCAAAGCCAATTCCAGGTGACTTTGGATATTTGTAACACATTAAGGATTAAAGACGTGAAAGAACCTGCTTAGTCATTTAATAAAAGTATATATTTTATGTTTTCCAGAAATACTTTGTAAAGAGTTACCTTTTTACTGTATTTTTAGCAAATATTGAGTTTGGGTAGGACTGTCAAATGAATACAGTATTTAAATATCTCATGGTTTTGGTTGGTACATTGTGGAAAGTACAGGCCTTTACAATCTTCATACCTTGAGTTTCTATAAATTCCCAACAAACTTCAAAAAGTTTTTTTTATGCAAGTACATTCTTAAAATCATGTTTAGCAGAGGGCTGTTATAAATAGTACCTTTTTAAAAGAGAGTTCAACAAGCTCTCGGATATCTACTGCGGCATCAGTTCGTAATACACATCATTGAAAGTACCATATCTGAACAGTTGGTGGGTGCAACGGCATAACAAAGCTGTCTCTTGAGATAAATAGTAAAAAAAAAAAAAATCACAGAATCCCAAATGAGAATGACAACTCCAAACTGGCCCACCACTCTCTCTGCCCTGGCCCTGGGAGTACACTTGGCTGAGGAGACAACTATGCACCTTTCAGGCACTAACACTTCCCAGTCATGGCTGTACCATCAGCACAAGCTGTGGGCTACCAATAAAATATAATAAGCCAGACCCAAAAATCTCACGATCACTGTGGGAACCCGGTCAAGCCCACCATACTACTGATGGTTTTTGTGCCATTAAACAGCAAGTAAGTTAATAATTGCAGCAATTTATCTCAATGCTCCCTGCTGCTTTTAGTGCTTAACTCAAATATAACGTTCACCAGCTTCTGCCAGTAGGCAAGATGGAGAGCTTTATCAGAAAAAGTAAAGATCGCTTTGTGATTATTATTTTGCCTTAAGGCAAAGCTACCCTTAAGTGCCCCCACACAGCTCCTGGTGGGACGTTATCTCACGAAGGCTCTGGAAATGAGCACTATGGCATTTAGAAGATTTCCATCCATGCCTGCCCCACCCCACCCCCAACACACTTTTGAAAAATTGAATACGGTGCTGTCTTAAATCACAGAAAATGGCAATTGATAAGATATAGAGTAAGCTATGTTTTCCTCCCAGCATAGCCTGGCTGACCTGGGCACTCCCTGTTCCAGACCTACCTGGTCCTTGCTTAGCCGCAAAGGCCACTTACTGTCTTGCCATTCTATGTCTATTGCTCACCTGGTATGTTAAATGTTCAGGACAGTCATACTGTCTCCACGTATGGACTCAGTGTATTACAATACAGAGCTTAATTCTTGCAGACTAAGAACCCAGCAGGTTGCAGAGGTCAGGAGTAGCCTGGGACTAACTTTTAATTGAGTGTCTGGTGGGAGAATCTCTCGTTGTTTAAGAGAAATCATTTAAGCTTCCACTTAAAGTGATTCTGTCCCTAGGTATTTTTTTTTCATCACATGTCAGTGGATTGAAGATTCAGATAGCATCTGACATCAGTGACATCACAGTTTGCCTCTAGTGAATGTAAATTGTATTTGCAAAGAAGATATTTTCAGTAGTCAAATATTTCTGAATGAAAGATGCATGGAGAAGACCAGAAGAGAAAGAGAATGTGAACTTGCAAAAAGGTAGTATCTGTATAACAACCATCTCCCCAGAAGTAACTGCTGCTGCCCAGGCTCCCACACTCTCCAGAGAGCCTTCTACTGGAGGGCTAACTGGCCAATTCAAAGGAAAGAACCTTTCTCAAGATTTTACTTCTTTTTTCTTTTTCTTTCTTCTTTTCTTTTTCTTTTTCTTTTTTTTTTTTTTTTTTTTTTTTTTTTTTTTTTTTTTTTTTTTTTTTTGAGATGGAGTTTCACTCTTGTCGCCCAGGCTGGAGTGCAATATCATGATCTTGGCTCACTGCAACTTCTGCCTCCCAGCTTCAAGTGATTCTCCTGCTTCAACCTCCTGAGCAACTGGTATTACAGGCACCCACCACCATAACCGGCTAATATTTGTATTAGTAGAGATGGGGTTTCATTATGTTGGCCAGGCTGGTCTCAAACTACTGAACTCACGTGATCTGCCTGCCTCAGCCTCCCAAAGTGCTGGGATTACAGGTGTGAGCCATCGTGCCCAGCCAGATTTTACTTTAAAATCCTAAATTTTAACTTGTGATAATCTCCCCAGCATCCCATCCCAACTGTTGGTTATTTGCTTGAGAAGTCTCATTTCTATAAAATATTGAAGAAATCCAAAAATATGATAGCAAGTGCTTTTCACGACTGCTCTGTGCTTTCACCATCTCAAAAAGTTCCCAAACAACGTAAAGTTAATTGTGACATAAAAGCCCCAATGAATTTCCAAAGATCAGGCTAGACCAGGCAAGAAATGATATATGAAAGAACATATTATTATAAGCTCTGTCGATACATCTTTGTCACTTATTTTTGGTTGGTCTTGATATCAACTGGAATCTGAAGAATGGCAGATTTTTCCACAAGGCATTGAGAAATGTTACTAATGAGCCCCAAATTATTTGTTACAATCATAAATTCTGAAATCAGCTTCTGGAGTGAAAACCCAGATCTACTACTTACTAACTATATAACTTTGGACACATTAAGTTAACATGTCTAAACCTCAGTTTCTTCATCTGTAAATTGGTGATAATATTAGTAGCTAGCTCATAGGGTTGTTGTGAGAAATACATTAGATAACAGATATGTAACTGTGTATTACTCTGCCTAGTGAAATTAGCTCTTAATAATCTTAGGTTATTATCATTTTTGTTATTATTGTTAATATTAAATCAGTGGAAATGACATTGGCACATGAAGTGAAAGCCATTTAGCAACTGCTTGGCTAGAAATGGGACTTAGAGCCTCCAGACTGCTAACCCCATGCAAAGCTACAGCTTTAATAGGCTTGCCCAGCATCCATTTGCTGTTCTGCAGGGGAAGCAACCTTCACCAGGATCCTCTAGCATTTCCATGCAACCTAACATCAAAGTGCCAAACCCTGGAATTAGCAGAAAACACTGAGTGGCTGCCGTACTGAGCTAAGGCAGCTATGACTTCTTCAAAGCTGCCTTTTTTATGGAAACAAAAGGCGCCAGGGCCCTTGGTCATTCATGGCTGTGGTTCCTCCATGTCCTGTTTCCTTAGGACCCCGTAAGATCACCCTCCTGATCCATCACTAGTTGCCATTCTAATGATCTATCAGGAAAAGATACCTGCCATTGATTCGGTTTCCCTGGGGTGGACTCACAGTAATTTATGAACCAGCCAGAGTGTCCTCTCCTTGCGGACTTAATACGCTTAACAGCTAATTACATCTGTGTAGGGATTACACTTTACATTGTCCAGCTTTATGAAAACAAACCCTGGGCTTCCTCAGATTCCGTTAAATAGCTCCTTATCTCTAAGGCTGTGATCCTTATCAGTGCCATATGTTTGAGCACCCGTGCAGTTTCCAAATGACTCCACGAACGTCTTCTAGGGTCTAATTAGTCTACAGGCTGAAGGACAGGCCTGAACAGGGTCTCATCCTGAACTAGAAACCAGCAGGCCAAAGCCAAGGGGGAAGATTCCTCCCTGCCTTCTATCCTCCATAAACCAGTCAAAGGTCAAGGGTCCAGACCCGGATGACCACATGTCAATTCTACTCACAAGGTGACCAGCATGTCCGATGTCAACCTTCATACAATGTGGAGCTTGGGTGCTCAAGTCCCAGAGGATCATGGGATATCTTTAGCCAAAGTCAAAGTGAAGTCTTTGTCCTTCCCAAGGATGCTGTGGGAGGACTATTATAATAGTAACACTTGTGTTTAAAGGATAAACGTCTTTGGCTTTTTAACACAAGCTAGCTAAACCCTTCCAACCCCCAAGGAAACAAGTCAATGCTGCTGGCTTCCTTTTGCCACCATGGCAAGGGAGGTCTCCGCAGGGAAGCCAATTTGCCTCACATACTATTTTCTCAAGGCTTGGGAGATTCCCAGGCTTGGCAGACACTAAAAACACTCCTTCCCTTGGCTTATAACAATTCAGCTAAAGACCTTGTCTTAAGAAACTCATGCAAGGAGGTGATGCAGAGTGCAAAGATCAGGAAATGTCTCCCTGTGTGAAGAGCCCGTAGCAGAGGGGCAGGCTGTAGCTTTCCAGCCTGTGACTCACAGAGTCACTTCCCTGCTTCCCCCATCCTGGACTCAGCTCCTTGGCCACTGTGTCTCAGCTCCTCTTCCTGTCTCCATTCCGCCCAGACCCCTGAACAAAGCAGAAGTCTGGAGTCCACGGCAAAGACTGAAGTGTTGTGTATATATTTGGGCGTCATCTGTGGAAGCAGCTATTTTGAAAACAAAAAATAACTTTCCTGCCCTCAGAAGAACTTGGTGGGCTCTTAGAAGTGTCTCATTTAACTGTTTGAGACAGAAAACTTGGTTATCACTCATTGGAAAAAGAGAGGCAGACAGAGTGCATTCATTTTCATTGATCTGTAATAATAGGTAAGGTGGCCCCTTGAGTTGGCCTGGTGGATAATTGCTCTGCTCTAGAGCCAAATGGCCCTGGGTTTGATTCCCCACTTGTGTGCCCTAGTCTTCTCATCAGCGAAGTGGAGAAAACACATTTTCCTCATAGAATTATAGCAGAATTGACATCTTCACCACAGTGATTTTGCCTGGGCACTGTGGCTCACGCCTATAATCCCAGCACTTTGAGAGGCCAAGGAGGATCACTTGAGGCCTGGGCAACATAGCAAGATCCCATCTCTACAAAAAAAAAAAAAAAGTAAGGCATTTATTGCTTATTATATGCCAGGCACTGTCCTAAGTGCTTTACATACAGTATTTTATTGAATCCTCACAACAACCTTGTAAGGTGTGTTCTATTATTATCTCCACTTTATTAATGAGGAAACTGAGGCTCTGAGAGGTTGAGTAAGTTGCACATGATCACACAGCCACTAAATGGTGGATTCAAACACAGGTCTGTCTCACTTGAGAGCCCAGCTGCTTGGTGTCCAATATGCTGATGTAAAAGGGAACTTGAACTTGGAGGTCCCCTGGTCCAAATGCCTCCCTGAGTCCTTAACTCCTGGCAACTTCTTGACTCCTTCCCAACAGCCTTACAGAGCAACATCCTCTTACTCCAGAATGGGAAGAACCTGAAAGACATAAAGGAAAGGGCATGTGATTGGGAATCAGATGACCCAGGGTCTACTATTCTCATGGTTTCTATCCGTTGTCTAACTTTGCCCTTTGGGAAGACAAAAAAACCCAGAATGCTTTCCTTGAAAACCTCTTCATATATTGAAAGAGAGCCCTTGCCCTCAAATCTTCCCCTGTCTACTTCCAGCTTCCCAACCATTCTTTCTGTAAGACCACCCCGATCAGCCTCTACCAGGTATGCTGCAGCTTGTCAAGTTAACCCTTAAATGTGAGCACGAGCATTGAGGGTCAGAATCCAAGGGGGTCTGACCAGTTTGTAGACAACAGGATAACTCACTTTCTTGTCTCTACTTGTTTATCTAGTTATACAGTTGAAAATTTCCTTTGCTTCTTTGGAAACCCAATCATATTCTGAAAACACATTCAACAAAAGTCCCTAAGTACTTTTGTTCTTGCTGGTGTCAAGGAGGGCAGCTTAAAGGCACTAAAAATCAATTTGCTGAGAGTCAACTAGCTAAAATTCTATTCACCAAATGGCCAATTTTATCATTGCATTCCACAGCTATTTATTTAGGGCCTACTATTGTCAGGCACTGTTCTAGGTGCTGGGCATAAAGCAGTCAACACAATAGACAAAAACTTTCTAGAATTTCTCTGGCCACTTTTGAGTTTTTCTGATTCCTTTGGAATATCATTTTAAATTTTTTCAATATTTGGACATTTTTACCATTCTTTACCATTCATTTTCAAGTCATTGAAAATGATAAAATATATTTATGAAAGGTTTAAGCCTGCATTCCTCAACTTTTGGAAAATTGAAACTTCCATAGATCCTGCTATGAAGGCAGAGTGAAAATCAATCCATAAAAACTTCATAGAAACCCTCAAGTTGCTATAAACTTTATAAATAATACTGAAGAATGTTGGTTTATTGATCAATTTAATTTGATGAGTTAGTCAGTAGGCAAATTGTTCATTTGACAACCTGACCTTTAGTAAATTGATCACTGGCTAATTGATTTTTGGCAAACTGACATAACTAATTAGCAAACTAACCAACTTAAACCTGTTGCTAAGCCTGGTGTCCCACTCCAAAATTGGTGCAGAAATATCAAATAAATTTATTTGATGCAGCCTTTGAATCCTGACCAGTGAGCTCTTTCTGAGTCTTGACTGTTATACTTCAGCCTCCCCAGGCACCTGTCACCCAGCAATTTATTCTTCATGATATGAAAGTCTTTGTGCAGATCTTTAAACCAAAGGAACCAAGAAGAGCAGTACATTTCTTTGAAGGCCTCCATGCAGTTTGTTGAGGGCAGGTTAACTGACAATCTTTGAGAACTGTCTTTCAACAAGGTATGTCTACCACACTACGCTACCGCTAGCATCATCACATGAATATAAAAATAGCTAAGCTTTCTTGAATGCTTGCCACATTTGAAGTAGTGTGCTACCTGCTTTACACACATCTCATTTAATCTTCATCCAGATGAGGAACATAAGACACAGATAGGTTAAGTAACTTGCTCAAGACCACATAGCTAGTGAGTAACACACTCTTTCCTCTGGAAGTTAGATGTTTATTACAACGCTGAGCTTTTGTGTTTAGTCATTGCTTAGTGGAATTATCCCATAGGTAAAGCTACCTTAAAGAAGGGAATGTTGAAGCCAAGACATACTGACTAAGACACTTAAAGGTCCAGGTCACCTTAATATGTACCTGTCATTTGGCTGATTGATTTATTATAGGATGAGTCAGCTCACTGCCTGCCATCAAGAGAGATCTCATCCTGGCTTTTATCTCAAGTAAGAACATGTCCCCCATGTCTTCAGTAGACTGGATTCAATGCTGGTATATGTGACCTTTCATACTGAGGCTTCAAGCCTTAACTGCCCATCTTCACTTGTAACATGGTGATAACAGCACCTAATGCAAGGGCCTTTGCAAGGATTTAATGAGATAATATATGAGGCTCGATGCCTGGCATGTGGCAGATGATCAATAGCAGTTCTCCACCCTTCTAGCTGCTCATGTCTGAGTGACTGCAGAGCTACTTAGATGCCTATCACCATGAAATAGAGAGAAATAATGCAAATTAAGTACATTATATATATTTATTTTTAAATTCTATTATGCTGTGATTAAACTTGCTCCAGCATATCTGTTGTCCAAAATTAATGCTCACTGGTATTTTTTTTAAGTGAGCATTATTAACTAATTTTGTAAGAGCCAACTTACGAATGGATTCTGGCATAACATTTTGCTCCTCTGTCAAAGAAGCAATAAGCCTTCCTCCAGTACAAAGGGTCACAGGAAAAAAAGCTGGACCAAACTCTGAAATTCACTGATGAATAAGAAGATAAGAGAAGAATGAGGATGCTTTTTTCTCTCTTCATGACAGATCTTCAAGGTAATTTGCCAACCATATTAGACAGAGGAGCAGGGGAACAGCACAGCAATACATCATGATCTATCCACAATGATTGAATTGAGGGAAAATTCATTTCTGTTGACTCAAGTACAGGCTGCTGAAAAGATTCTCAAGGTGATTTATACAGAAGTACCCTTTGCTTGGTGAAACAGGTGTATTTGTGAAGTGTTGTGTGTGTTGCTTGATAATGTTTTTGAAATCCCCAAGAAAAAAATCATTATATGAAACAATCCTTACTGAATAATTCCTAGTAAAACTAATGAGATGATAGAACGTATTCTTTCTGTACTCTGTATGTTCATCCATTAGAAAAGTAAAAGGCAGCATGGGCACTGTGGCTCAAGCCTGTAATCCCAGCACTTTGGGAGGGCGAGGCGGATGGATCACTAGAGGTCAGGAGTTCAAGACCAGCCTGGCCAAATTGGTGAAACCCTGTTCTACTAAAAATACAAAAATTAGCTGGGTATAGTGGCACACACCTATAATCCCAGCTACTCAGGAGGCTGAGGCAGGAGAATTGCTTGAACCTGGGGGGACGGAGGTTGCAGTGAGCTGAGATCACACTGCTGTACTCCAGCCCAGGTGACAGAGTGAGACCCTGTCTCAAAAAAAAAAAAAAAAGAGTAAAGTAAAATACAGAACAGTAGTAAAAAGGACAATATAGCATTGCTTAACGATTACACCAAAGATTCCTTCCATGTTGCCATTCAGTCCCTGCTAACACGGAGTTCTTCCAGAGCACCAACACAATCTCATCTTGCTTTACAAGTGAAATGCAAATTTTGCAACATGAGGTGAACCAGACTAAATAAGCCTAATTTCCTCAGCCTTCTGTAACAGGGTTCTTACCTGGGTTTTTCCCATGAGCTCCCTGACTCTAAAGTCAGCTTAGGTGCCTCCATGGTAAATCTATGCATTACGATACTTAAAGAGGTTCCTGAACTCAGCTCTTTACATAAGAATGACTGAATAAAGAATAACTGAGCCAATAGTGAGAACTATGCTCAATTCATCAAGGTAAGACCATAAAGATATGTAGACTGTTCTGGAATAAGAGTGGCCTTCCTCCTCTCTGTGGTTCTGCTGATAACCCTTAACCCATGAACCTAAGGAAATAATTTTGACCACTGCCTAATAGGTTGTCTGGCACATAGTAAATCCTTAACAAACACTTGTGGAAATCATTAATGACACTCTTTTTGTGCATCCTACTCTGGCCTACCCACGTGGTCTACACTGTGATACCTACATCTTGCTTAGGGTCCCAATTACTTAAATGAGTTCATATTAACCAACTCTGTAAAATAATGTCTGGCGCATTTAAGCACGTTATAGATGCAATTAAATATGATCAAATAAATATATATAAATTAAATATTACTCACTTAATGTTTAGTATTAAGGGCTGAATCTGAACGTGACACTTGGTTTCTACGGAAGGCCTTGCTTTTCCCCACTATGTGTTTTGGGATGTCTGCCAGTTTTCTTGTTAACCTGGGGAGTGACTATGAGATATTGATGTTCACTTTCTGTCTAGCTTGAGTTCTCTGCCTCGTATCTGGGTTTTCATTCCAGTTATGTTCTCTCTGTGGCAATGAATGGAATGTTTTCAATCCCCTTTGTCAGGATAAGTTATTTCAGCTTAAAGAGATCTCCCGTGCAAAGCACCAGAATCTCGTTAAACCTCTCCTGGTAAGGTTTGTTCGGAGGGCTCCTGGTGAGTCATTCCATGTCTGGATCCTATGAGCTGCGCATAGACCCAGAGTCAGACATTGTGAGAGTACCTTTAACTGGAAGAACTCAACCCACAAAAGGACCTTTCTACAAATACATGTGTTTTCTAACTAAAATCTGAAATCATGAAAAATATAGGAAACAAGCTAGTTTAGCATTATTGAAAGTGTTGGTCCTGCATGATGTGATTAAGAAAGGATAATTTTATGAGTTAGTGAGGCTTGATGGCATGCGTTTCTTTGTTCTTATTGTGCTAAAGGAAAATAATGAGTTGATTTCCAGAGATATAGCTAAATGTGGCTGCAAGTGTCTAGCTATTCATGTCCCTGCCCATTTATTTTCTTTAGAGATAATCAAAGCTCTTGTATACGTTTGCACCAAACAGTAAATATGTAATGAAAATTTTTTTGAATCGGTGTCTTTCCTGAATTTATTCCCCCAAAATATTATTTCCTGAAGAAAGGAAAAGATAAACAGAGCAAAAAATGAAATAAAGTTAGAGTAAAAACCATTTTCTTATTCTGTTTTTCTATTGCAATATCTAAAAGTTGAGAGCTTCAAACAATTAAGGGATGAGGGTCCACTGTCACCAGCTTTTGGTAAGTACGCTGATTCTATGTTCTAAAATGCTTGGCATAAACAACAGGTGAGTATAAAATAAAAAATTAAACCACATATTTTCTTTTCTTTTTTTATTTTTAAACAAAAAAATTCACAAAAGTGCTGAATTTAACATCTAGGAGGCATTAAGTAATTACAGGAAAGTCATATGTTGCGTTATAAAGCAAATAAAATCTATGGTGCAATTTGATGTCTTCTCAATAACATTCACTTGATATCAACCACAGTTTACTGTAAACCTTGTCTTATCAGTAGTCTTCATTAGAATACTTTTTCCTAACTCAGATAACTCCCCCCTTATCTCTGAGTTAGACCTCTCCTGGGGCCAGTATGTTCTACTACCAGAACTTCAGGTCAACTTGGCTGTTAATTTCTCTCCGGGTTGCTCCTCCCAGATTCTGCCACTTTTCTCCATTTCAATCAAAAACAGGGTAAACCGTATTTTACCATTTTAATTTTTTAGCACCTAAGAGCAGTCTGTAACTTTTCCAAAAGTTAAACTTAAATTTGCTTTCACAAAAACGCTACAGATTTTTAATTATGCCTAAATCCTTAAATGGAAGAGATTCATTTAGGAAACGCAATCTTATAAAAATGTGTTAGAACCCCCTTTGAGCTGTGCTCACTGCATACCCAAGAATACATGGACTTGCCCAGTGCCCCTAAGGGAAAGGCCCATGCAAATGAGGAAAGATGTGTAAGAACAGCTATTTTTTTCCAAAGACTTTAGCTTTCTGGGTTTGCCTGCATTTTATCATCTGCTGATAAATATCTGAGTCAAAGGTAGAAAGAAAGACATGCTGGGGGTACAGGAAAATTGGGTTAAGTCAGCAACTAGAAAGCTGTGGGTTGTGGTTTTTTGCTTTTCGTCCTTTTGTTGAAGAGGACAAAGGAATGTGCATTGATAGGAAAACCTAATCCGGGGTAGTGAACTGAAACCCCCCCCTCCCCACAGCTCTCACCTCTCCTGCTGGGGTCGGGGGTGCAGAGAAGAAGGTGAGTGGAGAGAGAAATGGAAGATGAGGAGACGAGGGTTTAAAGGGAGGGAGAAGGACAGAAGTGGATCAAGGGAGAGAAGGAGGGAGGGCAGAAGCCAGAGGGAGAAACAGTAGCCCCACCTAAAACACACCAAAAGCCTCCAAGGAAAGCTTTGAAAATAAGACCCTGCAGGAAGCACTTTTAGAAACCACAGACTTTTCTTCAATACAGGGGCAAATGAGGAGAAAAAAAAATGCTAAGAACAAGAGGCATGGAAGACAGAAAAGAGAGGAAGAAGGCCAAACCTCACCTCCTAATCATTCTGCCTGAGGTGCTGAAAGCATTTCTTAATAAAGTGTGAAGTTTCAGCTGAATCCAAATTTCTGGCATTGGAAGCAATGCCAGAGCCACTTATGAAAAAGAAAATCTTCTCTTTTTCTTAAAGTGAAGAAAATCCTGTGTTTTCCTACAAGGTCTTCTCCATCCCAAATAACCTAGACTCTTCCATTCATTTACTGAAAGAGACTGTAACAACAGGAACAGATGAGGAACTCTCTACAAGGCCAGCCTGACCCACAGTTTACCAGTGTCTTTCAGGAGACCCTAATGTTCTCATCCCCAATCTGGAAGTGCCATCCCCAAGAACACACAACAGCAACAGCCCCACCCTTCATCACAAAGCTGTGCAGAACGTCTCAGTGACGTGCTAGTTTTGAACAATGATACAATAGGGTTGTTGCCAACCACAGGGAAAACAGGGATATTTAATAAACAGTGCTGCCATGATTGATAATCTGCTTGAAAAAAAGAATAAAGTTAGACTCCTATTTCACTTTGCTCCATATATGCAAATAATCCCAAATGGATTTAAATGCAATAAAAGAAGAAAATTTAGAATTGGGGGTTTAGAATTGGAAAGACCTTCTCTAATAAAATTTTTTAAAACCTAGGAGCCATTTTTTAAAAATAGGGAGAGGCATATTTGACTAGATAAACATTTCAAAATCTTGTATTAAAAAATCACAAAAAATAAGGTCACTTATTTGGGCCAATAATTTATTAAATAACTCCACCTACTGAATTTGGGTGATGGTAATCATTCAAAATGGCAATAATGGATCTTATGTTCTGACTCTGTAAGTATAGAGTAGAATATTATTAGAGACTGTAAATCTGGTCCATGCCTCCCTGCACTGCCATGGGTCTGATCACTTGTCTCAGGGTCTTTCACCCCCTGAGTTTCATGATTGGCTATTCTAACAGATATGGAGTTCACTGGAGGGCCAAGGAATCACATATCTCTGTTTTAACATCTCTAAAGTGCTTAGAATATAATATGAAAAAGTGTTGGGGGGTGTGTGTGGAGGGATGTGTGTGGGAGTGTGGATGTGTGGGGGTGGTGTGTGGTGGGTGTGTAGGACGTGTATGGGGGAATGTGAGGGGGGTTGTGACTGTGGGGGGTGGGTTGTGTGTGGGTGTGTGTGGGGTGTGGGTGAGTGCGGGGGTGTTGGATGTGTGGGTGTGTGGATGGGTGTGTGGGGGGTGGGTGTGTGTGGGGGTGTGCATGTGGGGGGGTGTGTGTATGTGGGTGGGTGTGGGTGTGTGGGTGGATCTGTGTGTGGGTATGTGTGTGCTGGTGGGTGTGTAGGTGTGTGGGGGTGGGTGTGACTGTGAGGGGGTGTGAGTGTGAGTATGGGGGGTTGGATGTGTGGGTGTGGGGGGGCTGGGAGGAGGTGTGGGTGTTGGGGGGTGTATGCGTGGCGTGTGTGTGTGTGTGTGTGTGTGTGTGTGTGTGTGTGTGAATTCTTTGTAATGAAGAAGAAGAGGGAAGAAGCAGTTAAACTTTAAACCAGACATACTTATCCTCAAAATAGTTGTGGTGATATTATACCCTCATACTTTGTACTACAAATACATTTATTGGTTTGTAAAATATATAATCAGTTTATGAAAATATCCCTTATAAGAAGAGTAAGAAAACCAGTAAAAATGTAAAACAACCACATGGAAATTATGTCTGATTCCTTCTTCTCCATTTTATTTTATTTTTACCTTTTTTCTTTGAGATGGAATCTGACCATGTTGGCCAGACTGGTCTTGAACTCCTGGGCTCAAGCGATCCTCCCACCTTGGCCCCCCAAAGTGCTGGGTTTTTAGGTGTCGGCCACTGTGCCCAGCCACCCCCTCTTCCATTTTAGAAATGATGGGTACAGTAATGCAACCTTGCAAAGGGATTCCTTCAAGTTTTTCAATGTTCTTTAATAAAATGACATCAATTGCTGAAAGCATTATGACCTTTGTTATGCTACATAATACTGATACAAAATGTGAATAGTACAAAGTTCATTATATATAAGGCTTTAATATATTACATTTGTTTCTACATAAACAGACTATAAATATATGTGCCATAGCATGTCTTATAGTCATTGTTCCCAGCATTTCACACTATGGTACCAAACAAAAAACACATTTTCTTTTTTGAAAAAAAGGACAGAACAAGGGCAAAAATCAGTAGAAATAGCTCTATATGTTAAAAGTCTAAATAATACAATAGATGTTATAATTTGGGCTATAAAATAATTTTGAAGTCTGGCTAATAATCATTCAGAGAGTGAACAAACCCAATCAGGTTTACTGGAGTAGAGGCCAAATAACTAAAATACTGATGGGTTGCGGGGTGAGAGTGGGTTGGGGACAGGGGGAAGAACAAAAGGGTAAAATCCTTCCTGAAACTTTGACACCACACACAGCTTCACATTGAACCTCCCGCATTCAGTCTCAGACATATCACATCAGGACAGATATGAGGGTATTCATTCCAGAAGAAACCAGAAGCTGGTTTGTGCAGTCAGAACTCTTCAACACGGCAGGGAGCCTTGAGCTGAATGTCCTTTCTTTGTGGTATTCTGAATAAAGGATCAGCCTGGGAGACAAGGAGCCAGAGCTGCATCATTTCCTTCCTGGGGCTTGGCCAGGAGACACGTAACGGTCTGGAAGGAACTCTCATTAGGAGTCAGAAACAGCACAACGAACTCTACTTTAGCCCAACTCGAAGAACACGCAACCTTCTAAAACCAGAAACCCCGTCTGAACCCTTTACATTTCAGAACAGACCCCATGCCCACCTCCACCAGAGCAAACACAATGCATTTGCAGGCTCCAGTACTCTCCAAAGCAAGGTAACGTTAGTCTTCCTTTCTATCAATCCGAATTCCACACTTAAGGCTTGGCTTGGGACCCACGTCCTAAACAAAGCCTCTTGGATAGACTCAGCCCTGCAAATCCTTCCCATCTTCAACACCTCGAACACTTACATTGCCTGGTTTATCTTCTAGTTTTACAGAAGTGTCAGCTCCCCAGGTACTGCTACTTCTTTGAGGATGGGGCCATTTCTTGAACGTCTTTGTTCTAAACCCATGGTGAGACCCGCAGCAGGGGGCATGATAAATGCTTTTTAAATGAATGAAAAAGAGGATCAGGTCAACACTGGGAGAAGACACAGACACATTCTTGGGTCACAAGCCTCTTCCAGGATATGCCTAGAAGACTGGCTCCCTGCAGTCCGAGGTCCTTTTTCTGTTGTCGAAATGAAAATCAAATGCGGCTACTTCCTGCTGGTGGAAAGAACAACACTTGAAAATCTGAGCAGCACCTCTCATGTGATGTCCAGGAGTTGGGGGTGTGGATGCTTCCTTTTAAACAGGAGGAGAGCTCAGTGTGGTCCCCGAGTCAGGCTGGAGAATCTGGGCTGTGCTACCGGTTTGCACTCCAATCTCTATCAGCTTTAAAAGTTCTGCTTCCTCACTGGAGTACACGGTGGTGTCTGTGTCATCGGAGTGATATCCGGACTGGTAGCCGCTTGTCTGGTTTGAGCCTTCAGATGCCACAGACTCCCTGCTTTTGCTGGGCACCATTCCACTGCAGAAGAAATGGCAAACAAAGGAGTTGGCAGAGAGAAGACAATTCTTTTGCTTTTTACCCTCACCCCATTCCCAACTCCATATGGCTGCCATCTCCCTGGAGACCGCAGCCCCGTATCTCTCCCAGTTGTTAATCAGCATAGCAGGTTTACAGGGACAAGGTCTATTTTCAGGTACTCGCATGAATTAGTAGTTGCAGATAAGTCCTCTTACTCAGGTCCAAGTCTTTCAAGCCTCAAATGAGATGAAAGGCAGTTCTCTCGAGTTATGCAAAGGCCCCAACTGATGGAACATGTTTATGGCCTCGCAGATTGACAAATTTGTATACAGTGACAGGCGCCAAAGGGCCACTTGCATGATATTCAAGGAAATTGGGATGTTCTTAAATTTCACTTGTGCTTTTCCTATTGTGGCAATTTGGGAATTACGGGGCATGTGTATGGTTGTAATAAAGCTCTTGAGCAACTTTAAACTTTAATAACTTGAAGCATGTGTGCAGTCAAGCCAGACATATCAAACGCTGCTTTTTACTCATCAAAACCACATTCCTTGGAAGGACTGAGAACCCCTGTCACTCAGCAGCAACTAGAAAATGTTTTCAATGGCATGGAATCCTGACAGACGGTAATCATGTCAAAGCCTAGAAATGCAGGCTGTGTTGATCTAAAACTTCAGGATTTACACTTTCACAAGCCATTCTAAGGTGTTTTTTCCCGGTAATAGGTGTTTTCCCCAACTTCTTCATGTTAAAACTGCAAAAGGGAATTTTAGTAACTCGTGTTTATACATAGTTTAAAAGTTACTTCAAATAATGAGAAATACAATTTTTTCTTTCAATTCAACCCCAACAAAACTAATGTAGGTGTCTCAAGCAATGGCATGGTGCTCTGCACATGATACTTGCCGAATAAACATTTTTTGAATCAATGAATGAAACATATCATTGACTTTCACAATTTCTTACCTTGGGCCTTAAAGAAAACAATAAAATAGCACAATGGCACCTTTTAATATGTTGGGGTTTTTTTTGTTTGTTTTCTTTTTGGTATGAGCATTATTCAAAAACCCATGAGTATTCCCATTTTATATAAAAGATTATAAGCAGATCAAAACCTCCTCTATTCTTACCTTTAGGTAAGAATACTCTAGCAAATAAACTCCAGCAAATACATAACTACACTTATTCTATTATTCTTATAAATATAGATTTTCATTGATTTGTTATGTTAAGAGAACGTACACGTATTCAAGACACCTACAAATTCCTACTGAGCCATAGAAGGGAGATTATATTTAAAACTAATTTTAATACTTTTCTCACAATGAAATACTTCGAATTCAGACAATAATATTTAAATGTCTCAAACAAATAGATATTGGCTTATTTATATATCATACTTCTTAAGCACAGATGCACCCATTTGTATACAGACTTAAAAATTCTTCAGAGTCCACAAAGATTGTAATCATATTGACAGCTTTACGGATCACATCCAATCACCTTTTTCATTTAGCCATTACTGACCACAGTAAATATACACAGAAATTCCCTAGTATTCATGAATTCTCATAAAAATTGACCAAATTCTCTAATTTATTTCAGATTATTTTTAGATTTATCACTTAATTTTATTGTGTGGTTAGTTTCCATTCTTTATTTGTTAAATTGATGCTAATTTCTCCAACCAACAAAGACCCCATAGGGAAAATTCTGCACTTACACTGAAAGTCCTAAGTTCCTTCCAAAAATTCCTATTGAAATTTGTCTTTTTAATATGGCTGAGTCTTACCCAAAAGATGGAGATAATTTGGTTCTGTCTTCCAAAGTTTTCAGCTCTTCTGAGGCAAGAACCATACCACTGTCCGTCTGGTTGTCCTTTTTAAGAGACAATGAGATGGCACAGTTAATTGAGCATATAAAATGACCAACTATTTAATTAAGCTGATTTCTCAACCCATCTATCATGTCTATCAAATAAGGTCCTGTGGAAGAACATAAAGGTATCATAGCCACAAATTGTCCAAGCTACAAAAGGAAGCAACTGCTTCCTATGAGTAGACACAGGCCAGGGAGAAGAGAAAATTTACAAATCAGCAGCTGAGAATGCCTGTTACCATCGCTGTCTTCACTATGACACTACTTGCACTTTAGTGAAATTGGTCAGAAAGCTACACTGTCTTGAACCTTGGACCAAGGGCTTTACTTATGAAAAAAACAAAGTTCCATCTCCATAATGACCCCATGATACACACACTCGAGGGCAGCCTTCTAATGAGGCTCCAAAACTTTAATGCTTAGGCTAATATTTATCTAGCTAGTGTTTCATCCTTTGTATTATTTCTAAGACTATTTTTAAAAGACGTACTTACATCTGGGATTACTTTTACTTCTGGTTCTTCTAACGGGATATCTTCAAATGTTTTTACACTCACAGGCCGGCTCTTTCGCTTACTGTTCTGCAGATACTGACTGCAAAAGAACAAATATTTATATTTTAGTGGTGGTATATTTGACTGCAGATCGGCTACCTAAGTTCATTATCTTTCAACCACAAACTTAATAGCAACCTTCAAAACATCCTTTAGAAAAACAAAACAAAATAAAAATCTTTCTCTGCTAGCACACATGGAAGGCTTAATTTCCTGAGAAAGTACATTTAAAAGTATAATATAACTGAGGAGTCTCGATGAGCCTGTTCTTTTGAATCCTACTTCTGAGGTCCAGTTCTGGACTAAAGACAACAACAGCAGATGGAGTGATCAACTGCCTTCTACTTGGCTTCCTGATTGCATGGGATTCCTCCATCGAGCTCTGGATATATTACTGAGTGTTTCACATCTGTCTGGCCATCTCCTGGGAAAGTTTTTCTGGATAATGCTCACAGAGCAACCATTCAATGAAAGATAGGCAGAGGAAACATCTGAAGGTCTCCTTAAAGGATACTGAACCCAGCAGTGATTTGAAGACAACCTCTTCCTCCTCCATGTAACAGAGGCTTGGTGTGCAAAGAGAAGGTGGGCTGAGTCTCACTGTCCCCTCGTTTTCGCCCCCAGAGTTGCTGTCTCAGGAAAGAGCAGTGGTTTGAGAATAACAAGATATTTTGCCTATTTCAGAGTCTACCACTGACTGCAGAAACTTGAGAAAGTCATGAATATTTCTGTGACCCTCTTGTCCCATCTATAAGATGTGTTGGCAGTAGCACTCCCTCCCCAGCTCACAGGGATGTTGGGAAGATGAATGACATAGAGAATGTTGGGCTTATTGCTCTTAGGAAGAATAATGCCCTCTTCAAACAAAGCTCATTTTTCTCCTTTGACTTCCAAAGCTTCCTTCAGGAGTCCAAAGAATAAGACTTGTTGAACAACAGATCCTCTCCTTCTTGAGAATGCTCCTTCCCGGCCGTGTGGCTTTGGGTGAGTCTAGTTGATGCTATCAAAATCACTTACAGCCCAAGTGGAGGGAAGGGAAGTCCTATTCACTGGAAGGGCCCACCGAGACAGAAAATACATTCTTCATTCCTATACCAGCCTACTTCCCACTACAAGCAGACTTCTGGAACATGCTGCATAGACCTTGGGCCAAAGGAGAAGAATGGAAATTAATTCTCTCTCCCCTACCCCAAGAGGCTGGTTCCTCCCTATAGAGAGAGGAGAGAATGAGATTTTCCGGTGACATCCTCACTCAGGAAACTCCACAAGTTAAGAGGATATGATACACAGGGTGCAAGCAAAGCCTACTTTCTAAGTCCAACCCCTAAAAGTAACAGTTGTCAAACACTACTGGTACCGTAGTCAATCATTCCTGCATTCACTTGTTCAGGAAGCCCTCACTGATAATCTGCCGCAAGCCTGACACTGTGCCAGAAGCTGTCTAAGCAGCATCTCATGATGTGTTCACCACGGTACCTCTCTAGGGGTGAGTATTACTATCCCAACTCTTCAGATGAGGAAACCAAGGCATAGAAAATTTGAGGAACTTATCCAAAATCACATAACTGGAATGTTTGGATTATTATTTTGAGGGCAATGAAGAGCCACTGAAGGATTTTAGGCATGGGATTGACAAGATCAGATATGCCCTTTAGAGAATTGACTCTGGATTGAAAAGAATAAGACTAGAGGCATAAGACCCAAGAGACAAATACTGCACTTCTTCAGGAGAAAGAAAGGCAGCTTGGCTAGAAAAAGGGAATGCCCATGAGGTTTGGAGACATGGGCTCATTCTAGAGATATCTAGGGGATAGAATCAACTAGGGTTGGCGAGTTTGGACAATAATTCAGCTGCCTTAGAAAGGACAGCTCCTTAAATTCTTAATCCAGTAATTTTTTAAATGGCATGATCCTCTCATGATTGACAAAGCATTTTCACAGACAATGGTGCATCTGTTTCTCCTAAGACGGAGAAACAGGTCTTTTAACTATTTCCCCTTTGGAGATGAGGGAGTCAAGGATTAGGGAGAAAATGGCTAATAAAAGGTAGAACTGGGACTCAAACTTAGGCCTTCAGACACTAAAGCCCATGTGAAGTTTTTGTTTTGTTTTACTCTACTCCATACAGACTCCCTTGGAAGAGTATCAGGAGGGAAAAGAAAGAAGAAAACAGCAGACACAATTGTTCAAGCCATTATTAAGCACCCAGTATGTGCACAGCACTGTTCTCTTGTCATGCATGCACTGATCATGCAGTAGCAGGGTCAGGGGTGTAAGTACGGGGTATGAAACAGACAAAAAGTGCAGAAAGGACAGTCCCACTGCAAACAGTCTAATGGTAGAGCCAAACTCAGGAATACCTAGCTAGCAGGCTGCCCCAAGCATCAATCTACAAGGGCCATTTAATCATCCCTAACAATTACAAAATGAAGAAAATGGTATGTACCAAAACCTTTCTCTAAGAGAGAACTGCAAAGAAATTTTTGATAAGCTGCTTGATGTGTGAGGTGAAACTCCCAGGGAAAATGACAGAGCAATTGCCGATGGTCCCCAAACTGCCCTCAAAGAAAGATGAGCCCAGCAAGTATGTGTTTTCTTGCAGGAAGCATGCAAACTTGAGGCCAGAGCTGGTCCACAGGGGAAATTAGAGGCAAAGCTAAGTCTAGACATGAGTGGTCCCTCCCCCACACACTTCTCAGCCTTTTCTCTAAATAAATGCTAAGTAAATATTTTTCAAATGGTTTAAAGGGGCAACAAATCATGAAGCTAGCTCCCACAGTGATATCTCTGTCCAACTCTATTTATAATGCAATAGAATTGAAAATTAGAAGGAGAAAGACTGCTCAGCTTTTGTACTTGGCCAGAAATGCGTAAGAGGATAGAACAAGCTCCCTGAGAAGTACCCCAGCCTCAACTCATTCTCCCCAGAGAAACAGAACCCCAGGAGAGCAACAGAATGAAGCATGCCGTGTGCAAATGCCTCTATCTGCTTTTCTTCAAAACCAGATGATTAAAATGTGACCGTGAGTTTTATTTTATAGAAAGGAAAAAAGGTGGAGGAGGTGGAGAGGAGATGCAGACAAAAGATTCCAATTTCCATTTTATTTTTCAAATTATGGCTGGATAAAAGAGAAACTGGGCTGGAAAAACCAATTCAAAAATCACAGACAGAAAATAGGAGCCAGGCCTGTGCTGGGAGTGTGGTGTCACATTTGTCCACGCTTCTGGGGATAAACGTTAGCAGCCCTTCTATATATCCAACATCGTATTTGGTGCTTCCATTACACAAACATGATTTCTTCTCCTGCTCAGCACCATATGCAAAGCACCCGGTGAGCCAGGAGGCTGCCGACTCGGATCATCACTCTACTTGGTCACAGAAAACACATGGAATGTAGTTCATGATCAAATGGCTTTCTGATAAAGGGGGAGGCAATAATGGTGTGTGGGAACAACTGTCACACTAAAAGGCCAGCTCAACTTGAACTGGAAATGTGTAAACACAGGAGTGGAATTGTAGTCTCATCTCATTACTGTTTCTCTCTGAGGGCCCTCCTTGGCATGGGAGGAAACAACATGGACTTAGGGGTCAGAGGAACTGGATTCATCTCAAGGATGTGATTTTAAGCAGCTCACTTAATAGGTATCTTTTACTGAGTGCTTTCAAGGGCCAGGTGCTTAGAAATAGATTATATCTTATAACTCTCAAAACAGCCATTTTCAAACAGCACCACTGACCTTGTCTCATTTCACAGATAAAGAAACTGAGGCAGAGGGTAGATGATTTGCCCCAAGTTGCACAGCTGCTACAAGACAGACTTGGGGGTCCTACTCATTTCTATCTGACTCTAATACCTGATCTTTAACTACAAGTTTGTACTGCCCTCAGGTAATAGAACTGAGCCTCATGTTCAATAATACATCAAAAAAAAAGATCATTGTTTCTACCTTGCCTGACTCTGAGTGTCATGATGTGGGCAACATCTGATAATATACGGCAAAGTTCTTTAAAAATATGCCTAATGCTTTTGACTTCAATGGAACGGTCAGCTGTCTTGCTGGCTTCTAAGCTTTCTTCCTTCCCATCAGTGTTTCTGCTGCCCCACACGACTCTAGAGGGCAAACTGTCCACGAGTTTCTCCTTAGCATCCCCTGCCATGTGGCAACCTGGCCAAGTTCTGGACATGAGAGAGCTCCCTGCCCCTCCCTGCAGCCCAGGCACACTCGGGCTGGCAGGCTGGACCCATGCTGTCAGGGGTTCCATTAAAGCAGGAAAACACCCAAACGGGTTAGGAAAGAAACAAAGCAAAATGAAGTAGTCCCAGCCTTAGTAAAGGGCAATTTTAATATCATATTGTAGAAAACCACACCAACTCTTTCCTTATGCACAGGTGCTGGGAGAGAGAAAAAAGAAAGCTGCCTTTAGAACCCCTCTGCAAATCAGGAAAGGACTGCAGTGCATGTGTTTTAAATAAGCCCAGACATCCCATTATGCAAATAAAATGCTGAAAATCAGACGTGGGAGGGGCTTCTGAGATGCAGTGTCCAGTCTAATTCCGGACACAGACCCATGGCTTTCTGTATCCTTGCCAGAGAGCCATAAGCATGTTCTCATGCAAGCACAGAACTCTTCCTTTCTGAATCTCTCCTAAGCCATTTAATTCACATTAATAAAAGCATACACGGGGATAATTTAAATGCAGATGTCTTTGTAAAACTCGTCTCTTTATTCTGGAAATTAGCAAACTGTGGCATTCCAGCTATTGCAGCTGCAGGGCTTGGAATTCTTAAAGGCAATGCTGTGGCAGCAGCGTGGGCTACAGATGGGAGGAAGCACACCTACCCAGGCCCTCTTCCAGGAGCATTCCCCATTATGTTAACCTCAGGGCTAAGGTTATGTGGAAGTGGGATGCAACAGCCTTAGACAAGGTCTTCCTTCCACTTCCAATCCCCCTCCCGAGATGGCCTTGAAGTCACCCTCCCCCGGGGGATGTTAGGCCATATACAGTACCTGATTCCTGCTGTGTTGTCATAATGGAATTTGGGGTCACATACTTCCTCCTCCTCCATACAGGAAACAGGTGAGGTAGGCAGAGAGAGTCCAGAATCCTCTTCCATGCTCAAAGTCTCTGATATCGGAAGAACAATGTAGTCTTTGCCATCCTGAAACAATAAACACAGAAGACTGTTGTTATGGCTTCAGTTCTTCAAGTGCCTTTTCATTAAAAACAAAGGGCACAGGGACTTCTTGGCTACATAGGGTGTGTGGCTTTCATATCTGAACATAGAACTTTAAGACAACAATACAAATCATGTGTCAGAAACAAAAAGCTGTTGAAATGGAAGGTATATTAAAGGAGAGAACTAAAAACAAGATGGGTAAGCAGCCCACAGGGAAGTGCAGTTACAATGAAGAGAAAGCAGGCTGTGGTCAGAGAGGTAACAACAGAACACAAGGAGCTACATAGAACAAAAAATCACTCATTCACAAAGCCCTAACCACACGAGCCAAGCCCTTCAAAGGGCATGGCATCCAGTTTTAGCCACCACATTTCAAGGCAATGGAAAAACTGATGACAGTCTAAAGAAAAGCAACAAATGGGTAGGAAAATGGGTCTTTTGAGAAAAGGTTGCACAACTTAATATTATTGCATCAAGAAAAAGAAATAAAGGGCTATTTGATATCTGTAAATGTTTGGAAGGTTTATTGATAAAAATAGAGCTGACCTATCGTCCCCCAGCTGTTCAAAAGAAAAGAAAGAGGAAATTCACTTCCATTGTAGTAAGAGGCATTGACTAGAGATTAAATAACATTCTAATAGTAAACACTACAACTCTAAAATCTTCCAGTGGAAGTTATAAGAACCTGGGATGATACCAAGACAGAAACCATCTCTTTTGCATAGCTTAGATGTATTTTTGCCTGCAGAATTTATTAAAAATTTCTTGAAATTTCTTCCATTGTTGATCTTCTGTGGATCAACCAGATTTTTTCTTTGTTTTAACTTTAGAAGAGGATTTGAAAATATAACAAAAAGATAAGTAGGTAGAAATCAGAGTGGTCTGCTCCCGGGTTATAAATTAGAATCCTATCTGTCTAAAAGGGTAATTACAGCTTTTAGAAAAGCATTATTACTCAGATGTAGAAGAATACAGTAGATTATTCAATGGCTGAGAGGATGGCATGGTAGCCATGAGACAGTTCAGGCAGTAGGAAAGTCCTTGACATCTAAGTACTCTTTGTAGGTGCTTCTTGGATGGAGGTGACAAACCTGCTGAGCATTAGCTTGCAAGAGATTTCCCAAATGTTCCACCAACTCTGAAAACGTGGGTCTCTGACTGGGCTCCCCGTGCCAGCAGTCCAGCATGGTCTGGTACCTAGAGAAGCAAAACACTGATTTCATTAAATGCCTCTTTCTTCCTGAATGCTGAAAATAAGCACTTAAATGAGTACACATTTGTAAAGAGCTGACGAGGTGAGATGCTAAATAAGGATACAAAACTGTGTAAGACACAGAGTCCCATACTCCAGAGGCTCAATGTGTATAGAAAACATTTAAAGCAACATCTAATAAAAACTAACTGGTTGCTTTGAATAATAAAGTACTATCTTTTCAAGAAGTGATGACTCCATGCTTGAAATTATCAAGAAAGGCCCCAAAGTAAAAGCAGGACACTAACTGGGCAATGAAGAAGGTCTATATAATGGAAAGTCTTCCAGGCAAGGAGAATTTGCGAGCAAAGAAAGAGAACACAGGAATACTTCTTAAAGTCTTACATTTCTGGTGTAGTATAATCAGGGGCCCTCATTCTAGTTCCTTCTTTCAATCGCCTACAAAATTCTTCATCAATCTTTACCCCAGGATATGGAGAAGCACCTAGAATAAAACAGGGAGGAGACATTCTTTGATTTGATTTTCTCTTATAGAAAACCCTGAGCCTGAATCTTGCACATCCTCATCACCTATGTATCTATTTTTTTTTTCAAAGCTTCCGAGAAGTTTTGCCTGATAGACATGAAGTACAGGAGAGGAAAAGACAACTTTTGTCTTCCTCTTTGGAGTCTGGATGGAAGGACAAAAAGAAATGACTTACCTAAGGAAAATATTTCCCACAGCAAAACACCAAAAGACCAGACGTCACTCTGGATTGTGTACACTCTGTCAAAAATTGTTTCTGGGGCCATCCATTTCAAAGGGAGGCGAGCCTACAGGGGTAGAAGACAAGGATTCAGAACCCAAATTAGCAAATATCTGAAGAAAAAAACTTCCTCTGTTCCTGAACACAGGTCCTGAAGCTCTCTACGAGGAGTTTTAATTCTGTTACTTAACCAAGCACTGGGTTCATATTTGAAACTTACATCTCCTTTTCTGACATAATCTGGATCTTTATAAATATCCCGGGCCAAGCCAAAGTCACAGATTTTAACCACGTTCTTCTCCGATAAGAGGATATTTCGTGCCGCCAGGTCCCTGTGGATACACTGCAAAGAGAATCATGTGTGCATTAGGTCTCGGCACAGCTGATCTCTTTCACATCTGTTGTGACCTCATGCATCAAAAAAAAATCCCACATCAGAAAGCCAACTGATTAACAAGGACTGGGTTAGTATCTTTTATCAACACTTCAGGAAAAAAGTCTGTGAGCTTTGCTGAGACACACATCTGCTTATTCCATAAACAGCCCCAGCCTTTGGAGTTAAATAATTAAGTTATAATATGATGATGGAATCATAAATAGGCTCCTCTAGGACACAAAAGAGTGTGTTTCTGGTCACATCCACACATTCCTTTTACCTGGCCCCATATTTGGTTTAAAACGTGTTATTCTAAGGAGGTCCGAGAACGGGATTTGTTTTTTGAATGAATGCACGGAAATCAGAAACAAGGGGCTCTCATTGGTTTAGTGCTCTTTGTTGGTTTCCCCCTTCCGTATGAAGCTGAAGCCAGACTGGCTCTGATAAACAATTCCCAATGTGGCTTCCCCTGATTTCAAAGTGCTGGGTTATTATAAAGGTCTATTAAGGCAATTTCAGCCTATCACAAGTCAGGTTGATTTTCTAGTGCATTAATAGTACAATGAGATTCATCTTGACTTCTTTCTCTTCCTTTTAGCTTCTCAGTTTCTCCTTTCTCTGTATCCTCCAAACTTCAGCTAACTTCCTACTACTCGGCAGCTTTAGCTCCACATGATATTTTGTAAGAAAATGAGTCTTGGGGAGCACAAGAAATGAATCAATGGCTTAGAAGAAAACTTTTTTTTTTTTTTTTTTTTTTTTTGAGAAGGAATCTCACTCTCGCCCAGGCTGGAGTGCAGTGGTGCAATCTCAGTTCACTGCAACCTTCACCTCCCAGGTTCAAGTGATTCTCCTGCCTCTGCCTCCCAAGTAGTTGGGACCACAGGTGTGCCACCACGCCCAGCTAATTATTATATTTTTAGTAGAGACGGGGTTTCACCATGGTGGCCAGGCTGGTCTCAAACTCCTGACCTCAGGTGATCCACACACCTTGGCCTCCCAAAGTGCTGGAATTACAGGCATGAGCCAACACACCTGGCCAAAAGGAGAATTCTTAAATCATTGGAGAAGTGATCATGTAAGCCAGGCATTGCTGACCTTCCCACACCTCAAATCTGTATGGCACTCTCCTCTGAACAAGGCATATTCAGAAGCACATTATCTAGCACAATTGAGCAACACTGGCAATTCCAAAAAACAGACAGTGTTTTTGACTTTTCCCCCCAAACAAAAAGTTTCCTTTTTTAACCCGACAACCAAGTGGATTCAAGAAATAGTCTGGTAGATGTAAGGAAAGTTAAAGCATTCCCACATTCATTTCCATTCTCTTCCTAGTCCCCAAAAGGAACCCTGACTAAGTGGCGAATTCCGGCCATAAAAAAATGGTAATAATAAGTCATAATCTCCAAGAAGTGTAAAGGGCCTTTCTCTTTGGGAAAACCCTATAAGGTCCCAGTTCTCCTCCTTCCCCTTGGGAGAGAGAACATAAGAGCTACCTAGCAGAAACATCAAAGAGCCTGAGGCCTTTAATGCTATGAGAAGGGGAAAACATGGGTTGAAGATTTCATTCTAATTTAGGAAAAACAAAAAAAAATATGACTTAAGTCTTTCTTTCTTCATTAAGCTGCATGAATACATTCTGTCAACTGATAGTTCTTCCTGATCCTTAATTTGAAGTATTGTTACCTAATATAAAATTACACCTTTTATCCTTTCCAGGGGAATCACTGCCACCAGCCTTGCTCCCCGCTTGGTGTTTACAACCTTTGGAATAGTTGTAACTTGTCACGTCCCCATCTCAGCCTTTGTTTGGCCTACTTTTCTAATTTTAGCTCTTTTAATCGCTCTCATCTGAAGCCTGTCCTTCCTCGTTTCTAATTATACTCCTAACAAATACTTTTTGATGGATGTTGATGAATGTAAAATAAATTAAAAATGATTCTCATGCCAAGATATCTGTAAGGCTCAGCCCCTCCCCTTTCCAGGTCATTGCTCAAATGTCAAGTTCTTAGTAAAGCCTTCCTCGTCTACCTTGTTTAAAGTAGATGTACACACACAGAGAAGCATAAACATACACAAGTGCATTGCTCCTGTGTATTCTATAACCCTTTCTTGCTTTATTTCCCCATAGCATTTACTCTCATCTAACCTACAACACGTTTTACTTGTTTATATTGCTTATTGTTTGCTCTACCCACTAGAACTGTAAACTCCATGAAGGTGAAGAGCTTTGCCTGATTGTTCACCACAGTATCCTCAGTGCTCAGAAGACTGCCTCACACTTAGTAGATGCTTGACAAGCCTTTATTATACAGCTTAATTTCATGAACTCCTTAACCACTCTTACTCAGCAGAAACAGAGCCTCCCCAGTAGAGCTCTTCTAAAAGACGTAGAAGTGGTGAATGAATTACAATCCCAAACAAGCACCAATGGCTGACACTGGACATCTTATTTCCAAACCTGTGATCTGAAAAGATAGCTGATTTCCCCTCAACCTTTCTTACCTTTCGCGATGCCAAGAACTCCATGCCCTTAGCCACTTGGAAGCTGTAACAGATGAGATGCTCCAAGGTCAGGAAGTCCTTATACAGATCTTCAGGAGCTGTCCAAAGAGGCAGGAGGATGGAGATCAGTATTTCCATGAGTTAGTGTGATGTTTCTAAGTTTGCTAGAGTAATAATCTTTTTAAGACTTGGGAGTTAAGTTTTTAGGAAATAGAAGCAGAGAGTCAATGCTTCTATCTTCTGTAAATCTCCTGAATCCCAGTATCATTAGCCTTCATCATACCCCCTTAGGAACAATACTGGTTTTTCCATTTTAGCCAAATTGAACCAGTAAATCCAGGAGGTAGAATAAGGTAACACTGACCTAGATAATCTGGGAAATAAAGAGGACATTTCCAAATTTGCCACTTACACTGTTTTTTGTCATGTACCCAGAGGGATAAACAATAGTTTCATATCAAGAACTCTAAAAATAAAACAACAATATTCAGGGTCATTGAATCTCTTCTCTCCAGGTTTTGTCCTGGGACAAAGGCCAAAAGTCAAACTATAATCTGCAATAGATAACTAAAAATACTAGAAATATATTTAATTCATTTTCAAACTTAAAAAGTGCTGTAAATACATTAAATCTGGCCTGGGAGGGTGTTTTTTCCTGAGAGATAACAGAAACATGGAAAGATAAATTTACGTAAATTGGTGGTATTTACTTCAGTGCAACTGGTACAAATAAACACTAAGATATTAAATGGGTGTTTCAAAATCATCTCTTTGGTCAGATAAGACTTATGGCTTCTTTCCTGGAGACAAATACCAGAGTAAACAAAAACTTAGTTGTAGTAATAAATTCGTAAGTATTTAAAAGGCTGTGAGCCTTTTTCTCAACAACTCAATCTCTTAGGTTTCTGGCTCACTGGCCACTGTTTTTTGAAAGACAAAGAGCAGGGTAGAGGCAGCACCACTCAGTGTGGGCCCAGCTAAATGAAGCCTAGACCACCTCCCCATGTGCTTCTAGACCAAGTCCCAGCCTCACACTACCTTCTCAGCTTCTAAGGAAAAGGAGTTAAATGCAAATTCTCTCTGTAGCCTCATGTCAAGGGAAACAGAGTGGGTTTCTTCCACTATTCTTCTAGACTTATGCCTCAAGGGGAGCCAGCCTGTCACCCATCTCTACATCCACAACGCTATCTCTGCTCCTTCTGAAGGAGGCAGAAATACAGTGTGTCCTGGAGCCGGCTGAAGTCCTGGAAGTTAGGCTGGGACCACAGCTCCACCCAAAAAGAGCACTAAAATATCACTCAGGCCAGGCACGGAGGCTTACGCCTATAATCCCAGCACTTTGGGAGGCTGAGGCAGGCGGATCACCTGAGATCAGGAGTTCGAGACCAGCCTGGCCAACATGGTGAAACCCCATCTTTACTAAAAATACAAAAAAAAAAAAAATTAGCTGGGCATGGTGGAAGGCACCTGTAATCCCAGCTACTCGGAAGGCTGAGGCACAAGAATCACTTGAACCCAAAAGGCGAAGGTTTCAGTGAGCCGAGATCGCACCATTGCACTCCAGCCTGGGCAACAGCATGAGACTCCACCTCAAAAAAATAAAAATAAACATAAAAACAAATAAATAAAATATCACTGGAAACATAACTTAATAAAGGCCAGGATATTTATCAAGACTCGCCTGAGGAAGTATGGTTGGAAGGAAGACTTGATAAGCCGCTTGGGGTAGGGTAGAAACAACAGATGGCTCCTAAACTGCCTTTGAGAAGGTTAGGTATAATGAAAAGACTTTTGCACAGGTAAAGCATGCAACGTGGGGCAAACCACTCTGGGGCTCTCCAAGGCAATGGAGAGGCTAGTCAACTACCAGAAAACTTGTGGCCTCTCTCACTAATAAATGCTGAACCAGTATTTTAAGAACACTGCTGTGGTTGTAGCCGACTGCTTAGCCCACTTGGACTACCCAGATTTCTCAGGCTAGCCCTGCTTCACTTCCCAGTCTAGGGCTTCCACACTTCACTTTTGGGGAGACAGAATGGAGGCAGTCTATTATAGAAATTCAGGTCTCTTTCAAATTATGAGGTAGTATTGGACTTTTCCCATGATCAAATTCCTTGTAACACCCTATCACCCTGTCTGCTCTGACAAGAGCATGCCATAGCATGCAGGAAGCACTAGCCAGTACCTTCCTCTTCTTCTACATCACTGAGGGACTTCTCCTCCACAAATCCAGAGCTGGCTGAGCTCTGGCTACTGGTGATGCTGTCCAAGCGCCGTTTCAGATCCACAGGGATTGCTCCAACGTAGTCTTTCCCTTGACGGAATCGTGCCCCTTTGGTCTATAAAAAAGCAAAGGAACAAACAAACTCCTTGAATACAAAATGAGTCTTTAAAAGTTTACAACCTTTAAAATGTAGTAAACCATGGAGATAATTGAAACTACTAAAAAGCAGACAAGGAGGACATCAATTTCAGGATTATGCAATCTCTGAGCTGAAACTTGGGGCAAGTTTTGTGCATAATAGGGTTTCTTCCACAAAGCCTAGCTCCTTCTTTAGCTTAAAGTGACAAATGCCACATTTTGAGTTGCATTCAGACACACTTTCAGCATTAGGATGCTCTTCACAGAGGGATTTACACTCCACGGGGCCAAATATGGCTAGGGGAGAGACAGAATAACCCAGAGATGTCCTACCCTCTGCCCTCCCCTTTCCTCGCTCATACCTGCCTTCTCCCCCATGTCCACACTCTGTAATGGGTCAGTAGATTAAAATCACATACATAAAACAGAAACATATGGCCCCCAGAAGGTAAAAGAGGAAGTTACAACAGCCAAGAGGTAATATGAGAAGATTCCTCACAAGTTCTTCACAAAATTTCAACTAAAAAACTAACCTGTACCATTTTGAGTTTCCCTTCATTTTATAACATGGCCAGAGCAGGATTAGGAGATGACATACCTTGTAGGGGACAAATTCATTTCTCTTGCTCCTCAGGTAAGTGGACAGGTTTCCAAATTTGCAGAATTCCACAATCACCATGAGTGGCCCTGCAGGCAGCATGTCCAGGAAGGAAAATGGGTTTTCACTCATATTCCTCACTAAGCGTTTAATATAGTGATGAACCCAAAAACACCTTAGAAGAAGGCTACAACCTTTCATTGGGACAGGAGTGTAGAAATCAGCTGGTCCCAATCCCCTTATATTGTAGCTTTTCTTTTTTCCAGAACACATTTTCACAAGATTAACCAAAATTTCAGAAGAAAACCCACCCATCTACTTGCTTTTCAGTGCAATCTCCTGATATGATTCCATTTTGGGGGTAACTACCCTTAAGCTTTCAAGTTTTAGGGAAGTTTACTCTTCTCTGGACATCTGTTACACAAGTAACAAACTGTATCATAGTAGCATGACATTTCTTAATTCAGAGAAAGTTTTACAATAATTTAATTCTAGTGCCAATTAAACCTCCATGAAATATATTTATTCCTAGGAATCCGCAAAGTATTCTAAGCTAAGAAAATCAAGGCCAGAGGAGTTGACTGCTTTCCCTCAAACACTATCAGAGAGGCATGTTAAAATTGGGTGACCAAAACCACCCACAGTTACTCACCTCCTGGCTTGGTACAGGCACCTAGAAGGTTGACCACATTGAGATGGTGACCAATATGAATGAGGATCTTGAGTTCAGACATGAGAGCTCGATGCTCACTGTGTGTTGCTCCTTCTACAAATACAGTACAAAGAGGGAAATCATAGGTATGGACATTTCCTTCAATAATTGGGGTCCCTCCCTCCCTGCATGCCACTATACAACTTACCCTCCGGGGTAACACAGCTGTGACCTAGTTTACAGACCACATGCATTTCCTCAAAAGTGAAGTGTAAATTCTATTTTCTAATTTGAAATAAAATTCATATTTTAAGTGAGCCAGAAAGTTTGATATTTAAAGGAACCCATTGTGAAACCTTTTGCAAAGCGGAGAATACATCTGCAGTGGAATCATGCCCAGATTCTCTTCTTCTGCAAAACTGGATTTTTGCATTTCAGGTTCACTATGATTCTGAGGGTCTGATCATTTCAGCACTTCCTCATAAGGAAGCAACACCATGTATTAAATATCTTCACGTGTTAGGGGCTATACCGAATGTTCCAGCCAATCTGTGCCGATCTGTGCAGGCGAATTAAGGCCAGCTGGAAAGACCAGTTGGCACATGAGGCTGATGGCACTAAGACTATGTGTTTGATCCTGTATGGACTGCTACACTTCCCACTAATTCACAGGCATGGTCCACATCTAAGGCTCTGATGAGCCACCTCAAAATTACACACTCCCTTGGCCACAAGAGAAAAAAGGCAGATGGAGAAAGATAGCTTTGAAATGCACAAAACCTATTGGCAAAGGGTCATTGGCACTGCCTTCATCAATGAAAGAACATCACAATTGAAGAAAGAAGCTTTACTGTCTAACCTCCTAAAATGAAAATGGCCAGACCAGAATTCCGTTACTATTAGAATTAACAATTATTTATAAAGCTTTTAATTTAAAAAATATAACCCATTATATTTTTTTCTAACACAACCATTCTTGTTTTGCAAATTATCTTTTACATATGAACATCTTTTACATATTCCAATTCTGGAGAACATGCTATTTTTGTATTTCACTATCTTCCTTTCCATGTCTCTAGATGGTCTATAATTATCTGATTCCACAATATATTAAGAAACAATTTTAATATAACCACAGTCCTTTTTCCCTGTACCCAGAACCACTAAGTACAACTGTGTTGGCTGAGCCCTGCACGAGGGTAACCAGGCAAGAAGGTGAAAGCCATTCCCAACTTTGCTTGCCAGACCATGCATCCTGGCATAAAGCTACAAAGGAGGATCCTTTTTCCAATTTGCACAAGGGCATTATTTAGGCTGACTGCATGTGTGGCTAGTAGGCCCACATAAGCACAAAGCTACTGATACAAGCCTTGCAACATATTTAAAGACTAGATAAAACAGAAAGATAGATCACCACATAATTTTGCTTTTACCTTTCAACATTTTGACTGCTACTGTCCTGCAAGTTGCTGTCTTGTCAATTCCAAAGGCATCTGCTTCAATCACTTGGCCAAAGGCACCACGGCCAAGAGGCTTACCTAGAGTCAACAACAACAGCAACAAGAAAACAGACTTGGATTACTATACAACCAAAGTGATACGCAGAGACATCAACTAGATAGGGTGACCATACATCCCAATTTAACATGGATAGTCCAGTTTACTCCTTTGTCCTGGCTTAATTATTTAATAACTCCCCCTTCACTCTCCAAATGTCCTGCTTTGGATGATTACATAGGGACCCTACCTCTAAGTGGCTATATGAATGATTATACAAATTCAAGAAATGGAATTAATATTTCTAAACCAGAATCCAACATCTGAATACACCACATTTGTCATCATTCTAATGGAGGAAGAGATGGCCTGGTAAACACAATATCAAATTAATAGCAATTGAAAATGCACCTAGCTTCAGCCGGTCTCTGGGGAATTCCCATTTGCTGGCATCATAAGGCAGTCGTTCACAATGTTCATCCAATGGGAGTTCATCTGGATCCATGACGATGGACAAGTAGCCTGTCTTCAGTTCCCCTCCATTGGCCTGGAAAGCATCAATCCTTCCAGTCATAAACACACTGTTGTTTGGCTGTTGTTTTGTGTGCTTGTTATTGCTGTTTATTGGAGCCTCATTCCTGTCTCATTTTCCAATAAAACTCATGGAGTTTGAGAGTGGTCCTATTATAACCCTGCTTCTAGTTTCCCTTGTCCCCCAAAGGAGCTCAGAATTAAGGTTTTAAAGCTTAATTACACTAGACAGTCCAAGCCCTTTTCCTCTCTAGTGGCTTCTATCAATTAAATCCCTGAGATCCAGCCAAAAGAAAGTGGGCAGGAACGTTATTGTATTGAAATAAAAATGTGCCCATTGAGCCAATAACAATGGGAAGAAACAACTCAAAGAACCCCAGTCAGTTTTCATTAATCATGAAAACCAATGTGCATGGGCAGAAGGGAAATTATTTTTTTACCCGCTTAACGGTCCGTAGGATGATGACAAGAAGTAGCCAGAAGAACATGGCAATCACCGCCGTGCCTACTAGAATAATGATTTCCAAGTTCGTCTTTTCCTGGGCACCTGGAAAGACACAATTGAATGAGTATCAACAGTTGGAAACTTATACTTTTTGTTTGTAAGATGACAAATTTTAGCACTAAAGCAAAATCCCAAGCTTACCAACTTGGAAAAATCCTAGAGGACAACAGTTACACACCCGTAACTTGAATGGAGTCTACAGAATTCTTTTTTTGAATTTAATTTATTTATTTATTTATTTATTTATTTATTTATTTATTTATTTATTTTTAGAGACAGGGTTTCTTTCTATGTTCCAGGCTGGAGTACCATGACACAATCATAGCTTATTGCAGCCTCCAATTCCTAGGCTCAAGCGATTCTCCCCCCTCAGCCTCCCGAGTAGCTGGGACTACAGGTGCATACCACCAAGCCCAGCTAATTTTTCTTTTATTTTCTGTAGAGACAGGGTCTCACTACATTGCCCAGGCTAGTCTCGAACTCCTGGCCTCTAGCCATCCCCCCTGCCTTGGCCTCCCAAAGTGCAGGGATTACAGGCATAAGCCACCACACCTGGCCTACAGAATTGTTAATGGAAAATTTAAAGCTTGCAAAACATTGCTCATGTAAACTTACAACAATAAAATTCTTAAGTAATTAAGCATAGAAGTAGTAATGTCTTAAAAGCCAAACATAGAAAGTGTTTAGAGGAAGAGCAGTCTTTGATGGAAAGAAAACAGATCATTCTCTACAGAGAAAAAAAAATATTTCTATTTGAGGAAAACAAAAGTCTTCTTTTAAACTGATAGTCAATATTTTGATCTGTGCAGAGTTTGCAAAAGGATCACATAAGAAACCAAGTAGGGAAATAAACAAAATTTTTTGACCTGAGAGTTACTAATGACCATGTATCTACTATGCACTCATCACTTTAAATATGCCATTCCACTTAATCTCCTCAACAACTCTCAGTTTTCAGATGAAGAAACAGAAGACCAGAGAGCTTAAGCTACTTGACTGAGGGCACACAGCTAGTCAGTGGTTCAGTCAAGAGATAAAGAGGCCTGTCCAACATGAACTAACCATTACATACACTACCCCATCCCTTGTGGCAGGAGTCTGAGTGAGGAGAAGAGGAAGAGCCAAGATGAGCACATCACGCATGGCCTGGTAATGGGAGTTTCAAATCACTCATGAAAGGAAAGAGAAGAGGAAACTAGAAGTCAGCAAGCAAAGCTGCAGATGCTCAGGGCTTCAGAGGACAGCTCTGAGTGGAAGAAACAAAATACAGAAACAGGCTTTCCACTAAGAGTGATTAGCAAAGAGATGATAAGGAAGCAGTCATCACTTGGGGCCTCCCATCAGAAGAGTGCAAGGAGAATCAAACCGGGCCACAAGCTGTGCGGATGGCCCACTACGGCCTCAAGAGAGAAGAAGACAAGTAAGAAACTGGTTTGCAAAATAAGTAACAAATTGGTTTGCAAAATAAAAGTTAACTTAACCATTGAGAGACAAGCACAATTATGCTTGGAGTAAATTTTGTTTCTCTGGTGGTCCTAGGGAAGTAATTCTCTATTTATACACACAGATTTAAAAGTCCAGTTGAACATAGAGGATAAAAAGTTCAAAGAGTCTGTTTTCTATGTGTTTGTATATTAATATTCTCGCATAACATTTGGGAACCCAGCAGGAGTATTAAATATCTAGCTCTGCCTTTCTTAGCATTCACTCCAGGTAAGAAGTAACTATAATCTCTGTGCCAGTGTTACCTAGTTAGGCATCTGTAACCAGCTGCAGGCCACCAACAAGAGGTAATGCAGAGCATCAGAGACAATCTAGACGTCATTCTGCGGATTTGCCCTAAAACATGAATCACTTTGGAAATGACAAAACCGCCATGGTCTTTGAAATCTTTATTTGCAAGTGTAGTTTATGAAATGCTAATAAGCTTATACATTTGAAAATATGTCAACATATCTCGATGCAATACTTGGCATCATAGATTTGGCAGAGTAAAGGGACCAAAATCTAGACTTTGAGAGACAAGTTAGGATGAGTTCATAGAAATCCATCGATCCCTTCTATCACCATACTTCTTTCTTACCCTTGCATACCATTCTTTTACCCCACAACACAGTTTTATTCTTTCCCTGGTGGGCTATAAAAAAAAAAGCCATAGGAATATACTTCTTAAGATAAAATATTCTGCCACAAATTACTTTTCCTAGCTAAGAAAATGACAGATTTCACATCACTTCTGCATACACACGTATTGAGATAAAAACCAAAAATTTTCCATGTCAGAAGAGCAATGGTCTATTGTTCACAAGTGAATCTTAATTATCTCTAGTCCAATTAAAACTCGGAATCCTTGTGACTATCTGGATAGCATTGACTGCCATGATTAGGCAGCAATTCTAATGTTTTTCCAAATAAATATAAAGGCATCATTTCTATAAGTTAATCAAGCCATTCAAACAAAGACAGAATCAGGGAGAAGAGGCTATTCATCCTGCCTGATTAAGAATTTTTCCACAATAAGAACTGCAGGAATAGGAAATGTGATGCAAGCAGAATTATAACAACATTAATTATGTTTGCTGGTTAAAAGAATACATACTCACTGAGAAAATTTACAAAGTACAAAGAATATTAAAAATCATCTGTCGTTGCCCTATTCAAAGTGAATGTGTGTCTATAAGATACAAACTAATCTTCAAAAACCACAGGATGTATCTATGACTTCCCACTGACCTTCTTTTTTTCTTTTAAGTTCCGGGATACATGTGCAGAATGCTCAGGTTTGTTACACAGGTAAACATGTGCCATGGTGATTTGCTGCACCTATTAATCCATCTCCTAGGTATTAAGCCCAGCATGCATTAGCTATTTTTCCTGATGCTCTCCTTCTCCCCAACCCACAGTAGGCCCCAGTGTGTGTTGTTCCCTTCCCTGTGTCTATGTGTTCACATTGTTCAGCTCCCACTTATAAGTGAGAATGTGTGGCGTTTGGTTTTCTGTTCCTGTGTTAGTTTGCTGAGGATAATGGCTTCCAGCTCCATCCATGCAGCTGCAAAGGACATGATCAGATTCCTTTTTACGGCTGCATAGCATTCCATGGTGTATATGTACCACATTTTTTTTTATCCCACTGACCTTCTATTATGAAAAATGCCTCCACTTTTGCACAGCCAAGAACACTGCATGCCTGGCAGGTGTAGAGGCCTTCGTCCTCCTTCCTCACTCTGCGGATAGTGAGGTTCCGGTTCCCATCCTTCAATACAATGCCTAACAGAGGAAGAAAACGATCATTCTCATTTATGATGATGTAGTCTGTGAAGTTTTTCAGGGAAATTTAGAAAATATAAATGCTGCCCTTCATCTTGTTCTATTATCTAACTCTGTAGAGTCACATGGGATCTACTGCTGACTAATCTCCTATATGGCTTTCATGAAAATTCAACAGGGCCCCATACTCCAATTCTAAGTCTGTGAAATGAGCCAGGTCATGGACACCAATACTGCTTTTTTTCTACATTACATCAAGAAATAATATGGCTTTTTAGATAACATCCCTGGGAAAGTTCTGCAACCCAAGAGTGATAGCCAAATTCTATTTACCTGAGTCTTCTACAAGGGTCTCATTATCTTTAAACCACATGATCTGTGGAGGGGGATTCCCAGATGCCGTGCATGAGACTTCGATGCTTTCCCCAATACTTGTCGTCTGATTCTCCAGGTTTCCTGTGATCGTGGGTGCCACACGCTCTAGACACACAAAAAGAAAATCACAGAACATGGAATTATAACTTTTGAAATGGTTCTGGTATCAGCAAACTTTTAAACAGTTTAAATTTAGTAAAAAGGAACTTGTTGATATATTAACTTCTGGGAAAATACACTGGTCACTGGGTAAAGTTAAATGAAACAAGTCAGTCAGGACACTGCAAACAGATTAATGGCTTTTAACATTCATATTAGTGATACTAGCTGGTAATCCCATCACAAAAGAAAGGTTCAGGGTCACCTTTATGGATTTTTCCTCTAATTAGACACAGCCTCCCCAGGTGAAAACTTCCCTCCCATGAAGATTCTAGTCAATAATACCCTAGAATCCCTTCAAATTTCTCTTGGAAGTGCCAAATTTTAGTATCATTCAACCAATAATGCCTTACATTTATTTGGCAATTCTTATAAAACTTGTTTACACAATTTGTGTTCCTCACTAGTGATCTTATGTAATGAGCAGAATAGGACTGTTAGCGTTATCTCACAGATGAAATAAATGATGTTCAGCGACATTAAACCACTTGTCCATGTCCCTGCAACTAAGTAAACAGTTGAACTGTTTACAGAATCTGGTGAGGCTAAAAGACCAGTTCAGTGCTATTTCCACTAAAACACAAACAAAACAACAATACCCTAAGGGAAGTCTTGGATTTAAAGAAAATGAAGCCCATGAGTATTTGTTTAAGTGTACAAGAACACTTTAGATTTATTCTTTCTTCAGATCATCAAAGTGCTGTGGAAATATCTTGTCCCAACCAACTGAACATCAAAAGGAATCATGCTGAAAAAATCCACGTCAACACTTAGCAAAATGAGATTACCTCAACAGCGTACTACATTGAAGTCTAAGCAAATGTACTGGATTCTAGCCTATTTCTAAGAATAGGTTTTAGGAAAACAAGTTAGGAGTCCTTAGGGAAGCAAAGCAGCTAACTGCGAGCACATATTTTCTGGGCACAGCTAGGCCAGGAGCCTACTTCACATCTCTTTCTCAATTCTGCCATAACCTTGAAGCCAGACAAGCCAACAGAAAATCCATGTGATCTATGTGGTGTGACTTGAAGGATGCTGGGGATGACTTGACCCCAAAGTATCTCTTATTATGACACCTGAGTCTTAAAACTAGCGAACTTTATGCTAGTGTCTGTCAGAAGGTGCCTCTTCAAATACGCCAAGGCCTCTGATGAAGACGTTACCCTCTAAAACTGTGGTATAGATGAATTTACTTGGGCAATTTCCTTCCTAACAGTAAAAAAAAAACAGAGGGCACATATATCCTAGGAATTGGAAAGGGACACCACAAGAGGAGAAAATGGAGAGAAGTGGCACAAAGAGACGCTCCCCAAATTTGCCTGATTTTCCCACAGACAAAGCCATGGCTGCCCAGCTTTTGCACAAGGCATGAGGTTAGACAAGGGGTAGACAGTGCCTCTATGGAGGAATTTACAGAGCTATCTGCTCACTGAAGTGATCGTCCCATTGACCTTGGGCTACGCTGGATCATGTGGGATGACCCAGAGGTACAGACAGTGAATGTAGCTTCCTTCCCATGGAGTCTTCTAGGTCTTAAACGCAGCCCATCATCCCACTCTTCATGCAGCAGGTGCCTTATTGAGCAGTTAGTATATGCTGCTATGCTCTATGACTAGAGCTATAGCAGGGAGCAAAACAGAGAACAATTCCTGTTCTCATGGACACAGAGACCTCACTGTGCTGTGACTTCCCAGTGGTTGCCTATGTTCTCCTCCTTTCCTTCATGTTTACCACTGTGAATTTCTGACACTCTCCTAGCTCATAGCAGGCATTCCACAAATATTTGTCTATTTAAATAAATGGATGCCCAAGATAAGGCAGAAGTTTCCCTGGTTCAAGCTAATATCCCTTGCATATACTAGTGAATTACTCCATCATCAGGTTTTGTTATTTTCTCCTTTCGATATATCATTTCATTATTATTAGCTTCTTTCTTCCTCAAGGACTTTCGGTGAAGAAGTGTGCACCAGTTTACAACATAATCTCCTAGAGGACAGTAATCTTTGCATAGCACCTGAATTGCACTACATTTAAGGCATTCCAACTGCCTCTGCACAATGATCCAGAATTGTCTCCCTACCTAGGACTGTGAGCTGCCTGACCACGCAATGTCTTTTCTTGGTCTTCCTGTCTTGAGCAAGGCAGACATAGTCTCCTTGGTCCTGCAAGGATGCATTCTTAAGCTCCATGATCAAAATGTCATTTGTGCTATTAGAGAACATGGTGGCATTCAATTTCCAAAGAGTATCCAAGTTCTTGCAAACAGGTGTGGGCAACTCTCCCACATGGATTGGCAGAGGCTGTGGGCCAAGCTTGTACCATGTGAGGTTCTCAAACGTAGATCTGTCTGCAGTGCACCACAAAGACACGCTCTCCTGCTCAGTGGGCTGCATGTCAGGTTGCAAAGTAATTTCAGGACCCCCTAAAATGAAGAGGCCATAGTTATTGAATGGTGATTTAACTTGGTACAGCTCACTATCATCTTGCTGCTTTCAGACTACTACAAAGTACCAAAAGAAATGAAGCTCTATCCGTTCCAGGTGATGTACTACAACTTGACAAACAAACTAGACAATTCAGGTCCCAAAATATCTTATTTGGCCAAACACATTACTTGAAAATGTAAACGAATTCCTCAGATATTTACCACATCTCCACTATGAGCTCTACGCAATGTTTAATATATTAAAAATCCAAAGCAAAATCTCTAATTCTAACAGAATTTTAAAATTAGGTCTTCATTAACACTAACACTCAATGATATGAAAGCTACATTTATGCCAATGAATTAGCCCTGGCTATAATATTCCATTCAGCACAATCAGCTAAAGCTTATCCATAAAACTAAGATGCACAGGCAAAATCGGCAGCATTGGGAGGGCACTGCTCCTATGTCCTTCTGATTGCCTCCATAAAGCCCACCCTCATCAACTGTTCCACAGCAAGCCCACCAATATGTACTGAAGCTCAATAAGCCAGGCACTGTGCCAGACTCTGAAGACTGAGATGTAAATACCACACAGAGCTTGTGGTTTAAAGCATCTGTGAAACCATTCTCTCTCCAGTGTAGTTAGACGCACTGACTTCACATAAGCCCAGGAGATACCTGAGAAGTTGTAATTTATGAATGAAAGCATCAATGATCAATCCAAGTCCTCTTTCCTAAATGCCATGCCACTCACATGAATGGCAAAAACAACAGGGAATTACATAGCTTAGTACCCACTGTGTGAGTGATCCAACCCAAACCTCCAGAGAAGAGTACTTACTGGTCACGTGGAAGGAGATCACCCTCTCTCCTCTCCCGACTTTGTTGACCGCTTCACATTTGTACAAAGCTGACACATTTGCCGCTTGGATAACAAGGGTACTTACAGTCTGTGCGGGGAAAAAACAAATCCCAGGCCATAAACAACGCGGCTGTTTGTGCACAAGCACTCAGTCCAGCAGTCTCCACAATCACTCCAACCTGCCTATGCCATTCCCACTTCTGCAGCGGTTGGACACGCTCAAATTTATGCAATTGCAGGTTGAGTATCCCTTACTCAAAACGCTTGGGACCAAAAGTGGTTTGGATTTTGGATTTTTTTTTTTGGATTTTGGAATATTTGCATTGTATACTTACCAGTTGAGCATCCCTAATCTGAAAATCCAAAATGCTCCAACGAGCGTTTCCTTTGAGCACCATGTCGGCACTCAAAAAGGTTCAGAATCTGGAGCATTTTGGATTTGGGGTTTTTAGGTTTGGGATATTTACTCAATTTGTATAATTATGCTGCTGTGGAGCTCACACATTATATAAAAAGGGCTTTGGAAGCCATGAAACTAATGATGTGTTTTAATATGATATGATACACATTTTTTCATTCTCATGTTTATAAAATCAGAATCACCCTACACAGATGCATAGATTTAATGTCATAGATGTTTTTATTTTTCTCTGATAAGCTATTAATAAGTTAATGGTACTGCTAAAAGTCAATGGTATTTTCAAAGTGACTTAATACGCTCTATTTAATCATCCAGACTATTTGATTATTAATCTCCAATATGCCTCACATATTATTGTACCATCCTTCCATTAAAGAGAGAGAGATTTTCAAATTTTAAAACTTCAAACTCACTTTGTTTTTTCCTTCAATTAGAGCAAATTGATTTTTATTAACTTCAATTTTATTTCCTCCCTGGAAGTCCTCCACACTTCTCCATTCTTCACAAGGGTATGGGTTTGTCACTGAGACAGCTTGGCTATAAGAAAGAGATAACAGCGCATATTATGATTTAATTTTTCTTTAATTAGAGTCAAGAGTAAGGAAAAGATTCAGACTTTGGTTATTCTGTTCTTAGAAATAACTTCCAACGCAGCCTACCATGGTACAAGACTTGGCGCCAATTAAAAATAGGCATTGACAATGAAGGAAAAGGTTCTAGGTAGATTCATTCAGGATACAGGAGGGAAGCAGCTATTCTGGGAATAAACCTTCATTCATAAATTGGATCGACAAGACAATTCAAGTTAATTTAGTTCAAAGGAAGGCAAGGAAACTTAGAAGCCACTGGGCTCCTTAAAGTAATTTCTCTGGGACCATGGTCTCTGTGAAGGAAATGATCAGCAGCTGAGGAAGAAGCTCATAGTGGCCATTTCAAAAACAACAACAGGAAGTGGACTGCTTAGGGTGGTGGTGGGTTGGCTGCTGTTGTTGTGTTTTTCCCTAAGGATGTCTGGACTTGTGTCAGAGCATGATAAGCTGGGCCTGAGACCCTGAGGACTGGGGCTGGGTCTATCACTGCCTCTCATCTATCAGCATTTCCTCTGAGAGATGGATCTTCACACACACAAGAAGGAGGGATGTGGTATTCACCAGCCGATTGGTATCGGGAGAAAAACCAAAGACTGGCAATTAGCAAACTGAGCAAATAGCCTGTGTTTGGAGAAGTGTACCTCACGGCTAACCTAACAAGGCTGAGCTTAGCTAACCCCAAAGGAGGATACTCCAAGCAAAGACATCCCCTAAAATGTAAGACACAGAGAAAGATGGATGGAGATTCAGGCTACCTCTTGAGAGAAAACTTTTTTTGGTTTAGGCTTCTCCATTTAGGATGGAGTCATATCATAGCTCAGCTGTAAGAAATGCAAGATGGCAGGAAAGCAAAGAGCATGTGGCCTTACTCACCTGGGCTCGTTGGCGCACTCTTCCTCCAACTGCCAATACCAGTGGATGTGATGCGGGGGAGGAATGGCATAGACCGTACATGTCAGCGTTTGAGTGGTGCCGTACTGGTAGGAATCCACAGGAGAGATTAGAGATTTCTCACCAATCTGGGGTGGGACTGAAGATGGGAAAAACAACTTTTGAATTGTCAGTCAGCTTTGAAGAATGGGAAATAGAGGATTTTAGCAACTAAAGCTGACTTTCTTTAAGCATATGATTTTGCTTCCACTTTCTTTTTCGAAGAACACCTAGATGTGGAAACAAGAGACCTGAGTTCTAGTGATACTCATAAAAATAACAACTAGCCAGGCATGGGGGCTTATGCCTGTAATCTCAGTATTTTGGGACGCCAAGGTAGGTGGATCGCTTAAGCCCAGGAGATCAAGACCAGCCTGGGCCACATGGTGAGACCCCATCTCTACCAAAAAAAAAAAAAAGGAATAAAGTAACGAAATAAAATAAAAATGACAATAAGCTAATAATAATAATAAACTAACAAGCTGAATGACTTTATGGAAGTGTTGAAATCCTGTGCCTCTCATCTGTATTACAGAGATAGTTCTCTCTGTCCTCTCAAGTTTAGGAGATCAGGGAAAGGCTACAGAAAACAGCTGAAATAGCACAGTAAATACATTTATTATGTGCCAAGCATTGTTTGAAGTGCTTTGCATGAATTCATTCACTTAATCCTCACAACCACTATTACTGTCCACAGCTTTATACGTGAGAAAAAAATGAAACAGAAAAAAATGACTCGCCCAAGGTCACTCAGTTAACGAACGGCAAAACCTGGAACAAACCTAGACACTCTGACTTCTGAACCCAAACACGTAAACCACCTCATGTTAAAGGAAGGTGTAAATCTTTAGAGAATGCATTCCTGCCACCATCATCTGAGTTTTTCATTCTCTCTCCCTCTTCCTCCCTCCCTCCCTCTCCACTCCCTTTCCCTCTTCCCCTTTCTTCCTTCTCCCTTCTCTCACTTCCTTCTTTCTTCTCTCCCTTTTTCCTTTCTTTCTTTTTTGACTCCAAAGTCAAAACTATTTCCTTATTACTGTCAACCTAAAGCCTCAGATTATGCTTTGAAGACTTGACTTCTTTTTTATGTTTATTTCATATAGCAGAGAATTTGCTAAAGTGAATAAAATATTTAGTGGCTTCATGAACTGATGAAATGGGCTATTTGCTGTCCGTGTTTTGTTTTTATTTCCTGTTCATTTCCTCCTCCCATCCTACTTATACACTTTCCAGTTTCTCCTCTCCCCAGTCCCCTACACCTATGCTGCTTCTAAACAACCTTTTTGGAACCTGTTAACTTTTTTTTTGAGACGGAGTTTTGCTCTTGTCACCAGGCTGGAGTACAATGGTGCGATCTCGGCTATCTGCAACCTCCACCTCCTGGGTTCAAGTGATTCTCCTGCCTCAGCCTCCCAAGTAGCTGGGATTACAGGTGCCCACCACCATGCCTGGCTAATTTTTATATTTTTAGTAGAGACGGGTTTTCATCATGTTGGCCAGGCTGGTCTCGAACTCCTGACCTCAGGTGATCCATCCGCCTCGGCCTCCCAAAGTGCTGGGATTACAGATGCAAACCACGGCACCCAGCCTATCTTTAAAATATTCCCTGAAAAAAAATAATAAAGCCAAGTTCAGCGGCCTACAGAAGAGTATCAGGACACGTAGGGAAGCACCTTAATGTCATGGGAAAATATCCTGAAGTTTTAATATGCCGTACCAGAAGGGGGAACAAAGAATTACAACAGAGAAGCATTTCTCAAACTGTTTGGAGTGAGAGATTAATGAATTTGCTCAGGGGAAAAAAGGTGCTCTGGTCAAATAGGTTTGTTAAACCTTGAATACTCTATGTCTCTCCTCCTGGAGAATACCAATATACATTAGCATATAAAAGGTTCTGCGAAGTCCTGCAATAAAGAAACCTGTTACACATCTACACATCACCTTAGCACCTCTCACACTCACTTGACCATGGCACCCTTCTCCCCACTCCATTCCAAACACTTATTTGTACCTTTCAGTTTCAGAAAACAAAGTTCAAATTATCTTTACATCAAAAACTTACTATCTTTCCTTTACAGACTCAAAATCAGATCCTGAACTCCTGTCAAAAAGGAAAAAAGAAAAGCTCCCAACCAAGCCAACAGTGTCAACTTCAAAAGCCTTCAGAGTTGGAACGTGCCTGCACATCTCTGATACATCAACTACAACATCAAACTAGAAGCTTTGCACAAAATCTAAGGAGAAGGGTCTTACACATCTGTGTACCAGGTGGGCAATTCCATGAGAGGGGAACATGGTAGTATAACTTAGCTTGACAACTGTCCCTGTGGGCATTCTTATTTCACAACATTTAGCTATCGAGGGTATCACTACTTTAATCTTGCATTTGTCCACCACAAAGCTCATTTACACGGCCTCTTAAACAAACATGGCCAGAGCACATGGTCCTACGTTTCACTTCAGCTTCACCACGCCAGATGACTTTTGTACGCAGGCCCAGCCATGATATGAGTGAAGCAGCAGGAGGCAGAGGAACGGTGGTTTGGCTGATTTGGAAGACAATGTATCATAATAAATCTTGGGCAGAGAGGAAAATTGAATGGACTCACCATACACAACCAGAGAGACCACATGGCTCTGCTTCTCCTTTGAAATGGGATTGGTAAGGATGACAGTGTAATTTCCTGTGTCTCTTTCACTCACTTCCATAATCGTCAGTACATGCCCCGCTTTAATTGTGTGATTGGACTCAAGGGGTATTCCATTTTTATACCTATGAAAAAAAATTCTCAGGAATTAGTATAGTCAAAGGATTTGCTCTCACACGAAATGATGCTTTGCATTTATTTCCAGTAGTTACCATTTTATTTCTGGGGGTGGGTAACCAAGGTACTTCGCAGGGATTCTGACACGCTCCCCCACCGTGGCTTCCACCAGAGATTCCATGCCACTTCCAAAAGCAACAAAAGGTTTTTCTGGAAGAAAATAAAAAAAAAAAAAGGTCAACTTACTGTAAATGGTCATTTGATTTAGTTTTTCATTTCAAGTGAAACGTCAAAGACCTTGAGGGTCTGAGTAGCTGCAGTTCCAAGATTTCCTGTACTATCTTTCAGTGGGTCACTTTTCAGCTTCTCCCACACCTCCCGTGTTTCTCCCACACCTCCTGTGTTTGCATTTGCTTTTCTCTCCCCGCTAGTGCACTCCCACAAGCCTAGTGATTGCTCAAGTCTCAACTCAAACACTTGCTCCTCTGTGCAGCTTTCTCTAAGTCCCCCAGGGATGCTTGGGTGCTCCTTCTCCTCTGCTCCCATGACAGCCTCCACACACCTCTTCCACCATGAGGCCCCAGGACTCAGTCCTCAGACCTCCTCTTTATTTACACCTTCCTCTAGCCTCAGGTTTAAAGTATCATTCACGTACCTCCTAAATGTGTTATCTTCTGCCCTGACTCCTCTGGGTTCCGGGTTGATATGTTAAATATCTCCACTTGGATGTTTAACAGGCATCTCCAGATAAACATATCTAACACTGTTTCCCTAAATCTCACTGCCTTCTCGATCTTTGCCATCTCAGTAAATAACACCATCATTTACTCAGTTGCTCATGCTAACGCTCGAGTCATCTTCCACTCTTTTTCTCTTATACTCCACAACCAATGAATTGATCAGCGGACCCTGTTGACTCTACCTTCAAAATATATCCAGAAGCAGATCACCTCTCACTACCTCCACCTCAACTACCCTTGTCTAAGCCACCCCTCAACTCTCACTTGGATAACTGCAATTAGCCTCCCAACTGACCTCCTTATTTCTGCCCCTATTTCCCTGAAGTATTCTGGAAAACAAAAGTAATTCTATAAAAACATAAGCCAGAGCACATCTCTCTCTGTGTATTTTGACAAGTGCATCTTGGCAAGTGAAATAATTTAAATAAATTTAGGACACTTAGTGATTTCTATTTTGTTCATTCAGAAGAAATTTTCAAGTTCTTGCTAGGGATGCCACGTGACCTAGAGGTCAAGAGCATAGCTTTGTAGTCAGGAACTTGAGTTCCAATCTCAGCTTCAAAGATGAGATGAGCTAATAAAGTAAGTGCTCACTAAATCATACTTGTTATAGTTGTTGCCACTTTTATGATTACAACTCTAATAAATAGCATTATCTAAGGTATTTTTAAAATTTCACTGTATTGATGCATTCTCATAATATAAACTCCAAAATCCTTTCCAAGGCTTATAAGTAGGATGCCACACAAATTACCATGTAAACTCAGACATTTATGTAAATGAAAGAGAATAAACAAAAAATTAAGGTGATTTTCTCAAGGCCAGTTCAATTTAATTCCAGTTCAATTACAGTTGACCCTTAAATAACACAAACTTGAACTACATGAGTCCACTTATAAGCAGATTTTCTTCCACCTCTGCCACCCCTGAGACAGCAAAACCACCCCCTCCTCTTCCCCCTTTTCCTCAGCCTACTCAACGTGAAGACAAGGATGAAGACCTTTATGATGATCCACTTACACTTAATGAATAGTAAATATATTTTCTCTTCCTTACAATTTTCTTAATAACATTTTCTTTTCTCTAGCTTTATTGGAAGAATACAGTATATAATACATATAACATATAAAATATGTGTTAATTGACTGTTTATGTTATCAGTAGGGCTTCCAGTCAACAGTAGGCCATTAGTTATGTTTTGTGGAAGTCAAAAGTTATACCTTGATTTTTTTTTTTTTTTTTTTTTTGAGAAGGAGTTTCACTCTTGTTGCCCAGGCTGGGGTACAATGGCACGATCTTGGCTCACTGCAACCTCCACCTCCTGGGTTCAAGCAATTCTCCTGCCTCAGCCTCCTGAGTAGCTGGGATTACAAGCTCCCACCACCACACCAGGCTAATTTTTTGGATTTTTAGTAGAGATGGGGTTCCACCATGTTGACCAGGCTGGTTTCGAACTCCTGATCTCAGGTGATCCACCCACCTCAGACTCCCAAAGTGTTGGGATTACAGGCGTGAGCCACCGCGCCCGGCCTATACATGGATTTTTGACTGCAGAGGAGGGAAAGTTAGGGGAACTCCCCTGAGTTCCCCCAATCCCTGAGTTGCTCACAGGTCAACTGTATATTGCTAAATGTTTCCCCAGTTTGCAAAGCTCATGCTTATTCAAGTAGGCCTCTCAGCCTTGCAATAAAATGAAAATTTAAAAACTACCTTAGCTAATACTATTTATCATAGTAACAATCCTAATAGCAGCAATAACTATAATAAGTAATACTAAATGAACTCTTACTGTATATCAGCACATCTCATCTTTAAAGTTGAGGTTTGAACCCAAGTTCCTGACTACAAAGCTATGCTCTTGACCTCTAGGTCATGTGGCCTCCCTAACAAGAAAAACTAGAAACTATCTTCTGAATGAACAAAATAGGAATCACTAAGTGACCTAAATTTATTTAAATTATCTCACTTGTCAAGGCACAGAATAATTTCCAAGACCATAGCTTACCATGGACCCTGACAAATGTGCTGTTCTTCTTGGTCATCAGCCCACTGGATGCTGCACAGGTGTACAATCCTTGGTCACTCCGGGTTACACCATCTATAGTTAAGGTGCTCAAAAATTTCTTCATCTCACTCCCAGACTGGGTTTTTAGGTCTCGGTTTACAAGTTTCTTATGCTGATGCTGAAAAAAAGAGTTGACTGAACTTCCAAAGCACAGCATATAACATTACCCAATAACTTCTAGTAACACACAGAATTAAATCTGGGCTTTGGTAAACATTATTTAATGCTAAAAACAGGGACACCAGAACTTTTAACCTCATGCAGACAACAAATATATTTTGTTTCAGGAGAAATAAATGGAACCAACTGAATTAGGATTTTTAAAACCTCACGTGGTGAAAGTGAGATGGATATAAACTGCAGAAACACAAGTAAATGTGACCACTGTTTAAGGAGCAGTGTATCTCATGCCACCTCTTAAAGAGAAATTCCCTTAAAAGGAATGTAGATCAAAAACTTTGGAGAACAGAGAAATGACATAATGTGGAAAGATGTAATCACCTAGAGAAAACTAATATTCATAGCCTGGCTATTGCAGAATAGGACAAAATTCCTGGTATTTCACCTTTTGGTGGGTGCTATCTGTTCTGCAATTCCCTTAAATTGTGTGTGTGTGTATGTGTGTGTGAGTGGGTGTGTATGTGTGTGTGTTTAAGGCTCTTACATTTTATCTGGCCAAAGAGGCCCCTATCTCTCAAGCAAACTTCACTGGGGCTTATTATCTAAGTATTTGGAGGTCTGGCTTTGAATCATTAGCGTTACCTTCGAAGAAGGGTATTCCCAGTTGAAGTCAATCCCCACATTTAGTTCAGTTCTTGCTGTACAATTTAAGACAAGCTTTTCTCCAACAGATAGTTCAATTCCATGAGACGGACTCAGAACCACATCATAAATCCTATACCCTAGAGCAAGTAAATTGAAAAAACAGAACATGAGAGAGCAAATAAGCCTATAACTTTGCACAGATTTATTTTTTAAAGTAATGCAACTTTAAAACATGCCACATTGTTTTTCCCTGCAGGCCTCACCAATACTTGGTAGCTCCCAGGAAAATGGCCAACAGAGGTTTACAAAGCACTACCTTCACAGATCTCAAAGATGTTGTAACCCAGTGGACAGAAAAGTAGTAAACTTTCAGTGGTCAGTAGCCCTAGGCCAGTAGGGCCAGCTTTAGCAAATTGCTGAAGTTTCCATAAAATAGTCATAATTGAAATAATTGATAGCAAGCAATGCTCTGAACATTGAATTCTTCATAAAATGTGCTCGAGTAATACCATTCGCTTTCATCCTTTTTTTAAAAAGTTTTCTTTTTCTTCCTTAATCTTGGCAAGAAAAGAGACAACCTCAATTGCACATGGGTTTATTTGGTAGAGAAGAGCAGATGAATTGCCCAACACCATATCCTGAGTTCCTATACTTTTCAATATCCTTCTTCACTCTATGTTGTTATCTCCAAGATCTTAATACAAGGATATGTTATTAATGATATGGAAAGGAAATGTCCTCTTACCTACAACGACAACTATGTACATAATAGACTGGTAACTTTCATCATTAATTTTTGCTTCACAGAAGACCATGCCAGCATAGCTGATCATGTAGCTGGGAATAGTAAAGCCCTTCTTGCTGTCCCAGGAAATTCTGTTACCATCAGGAACAAATCTCTTTTCTGGGTATCTCTGGGTAATAAAAAGACATATCAAATATTTAATCCAGTACCAAAAATGAGAGCCATGTACAATGATCACTGAAGAATTCATCTTATTTTTAAGAATACTAATTAGTTTTATTCATTGCATTTGACCCTTCCTAAAGGATCCTTAAAACTCATTGTGAATATTATAAACAGGTTACCCATCTTAATATTAGCTTAAAATTATAAAAACTTAAGAGACGATTGGAGGAGATGCAACTTACTGCACAAAGTGACACGTTGAGATTTGAAATGGACCCGAGACATGGAATCACCACAGTTTTGTTTTTGTTCTCAGTAATGTACACGACTCCATGTTGGTCACTAACAGAAGCAATAAATGGAGATCTGTAATCTAGAAGAAAATTTAGTTTTATTAATGAGTTAATAGTATTTACTAGAAAAGTTGGTCATTTTTCAGGTTCCTAAACTCTAACCAGACAAGTGAATGACTGGAAGGGACACCTCACACAACCAAAGGCATCCACAGATTATTCTGCTGATAGATATCTGTGCTACATGAGGGTGTGTGTGTATGTGTGTGTGTGTGTTTGTGCATGCACATGCATGTGTATATATCTGTGTGTATAAAAATTTTGAAAAAAAACTCCCAATTGAGATTGACTCCTTTCACAAGGTTTATTGACAAGCAGAATATATTTTTATAGATTTCACATTTTAAAAGATTAATCATTATAATTTTTTCAAAATGAAGGATAATATTTACTTTAAAATTTAAAGTTAAATCTATACACTTTACCGACAAGTTTTACTAATATTTAAAATACTCATGTGCTCTCTCTTTAGGTAAATAATGTAAATTCCATGAAAATAAATGAATGGATCCCAAAGGATCTTTAGATTAACAGGAAACAGCTAACACTTTTGAATTTGGTTATTCAAGAGGACCATTCATGTGAGCATTTTAAGATTCTGAAGACTAGGGATATGATTCTTTCTAAAACCATGTTTAATTGTTTTTGCATTTAGTTTAACATTTAGCAGTCATTGATATCTTCAATGACAAACATTTGAAAAGTCACCACTCCAAAGACTGAGAAGAAAACTGAAGAGATTCTGACTGGGTTCTTGGCTCACGCCTGTAATCCCAGCACTTTGGGAGGCTGAGGCAGGTGGATCACTTGAGGTCAGGAGTTTGAGACCAGCCTGACCAACGTGGCAAAACCCCATCTCTACGAAAAATACAAAAAATTAGCCAGGCATGATGGCACGCACCTGTAGTCCCAGCTATTTCAGAGGCTGAGGCAGGAGAATCATTTGAACCGGGGGGCAGAAGTTGCAGTGAGCTGAGATAGCACCACTGCACTTTAGCCTGGGCAACAAGAGCAAAACTCCGTCTCAAAAAAAAAAAAAAAAAAAGATTTCAAGGCCAATCAAACATTACTCATACAATGTTAACATGCTGCTGGAAACCTAGTCCATTCCTCAGAGATAGAGATGATGTGGTGTGGAGTCATGCTTGAAATCTCAGAGAGATAACATTTCACATTGCTATGCCCAACACATCCCATCAAGCATTCTCAGAGTGCTTCATAATAGTCAGTCAAAGTGAAGAAAGAGTTAATTAAACCACAGGGGACAAAGGCAGCTAATTCCCTGCAACAGCAGAAGTTTGATTTCCTTCCCAGCTGGAAAGCACAGAAAAGCAGCCAATCTAGCCCACCACATGCCATAGCCATTATCTTATGAGGCCAGGGCTCACTTCCTGGCTCCATCCATTGCTGAAGAGAATGGGGTCAGAAGACTAGGGAAGTAAGGTGGCGACCAGAGGGGACATTAAACACCTATCCATAGAGAATACTTCAGTGTTTCCTTTCCCATTGTTTAACTTCATGGCCAAAATCTTGGACAGCCCAACTCCTAGAACTTTAAGCTTAGACAGGAAGCAGAATTTAATGGTATACCCAAAGACAGGCAGTGTACCAATAAACAGTGCTAGGGATTGCCACTTCTTAATATTGCCTACCTTTCATCCACATGTTATGAAATATTACATAACTTGCTTACAGAGCAAGCCTTTGGAAGCTAAATTAACCCTTTGACGTAAGACTAAACCTATTTAGTAAATCAATTCTATTTCGGTATCTCAAAAAAAGGAAATAAACAAAAGAAACCCAAACCACCACCCAGCCTCTCAAAATAAAATATTTACTGAAACTCATGAAATGAATTTTCACATGTCTCCAAGTTTCCTGACTTAGGAAGAAGTAAATAATGAGATATGGGGGATGTTCATCTTGTAGTATTTCTAGACAGGCTGAAAGCAGGAAATCCTTGCAATCTTCTGACCGAGCTGCATCTCTCAAGACTGCCAGGTCAAAAGGAGCCAGAAATTCTCCAAGATGTGAGCCTTGTCTCTTTCAAATCTTGTGGAGGGAAGGAGGAGGGCACAGAATTCTATCTTTGACAGTGCTTACTCTGGGCAAAGATATTTCTCAAACATTGTGAATCCAGTGGCATAGGTTATTTTGATGTGGTCTCCACTTTTTCATTGCACTGACCATATTACACTACTGAAATGTAAGCAGAGATATGCAAGTGTGTTTCCCAAAGCTGATGAAATTCTTGCCCTGTAAAAGCTGCTTCTGGGAAAAAAGTCTAAGTCATCTTCACCTGTCTCAAATACTCTGGGATGTAAAAAGGCATATACGTAAATACATAAAATGTCTGTTTATCTTCACTGAAAAGAAAAATATTTGGTACATCCAACCAAACTATGATGCAGCCCTTACATTCCTTAAATTTATATCATAGGGATCTCATTAGTTAAGTTAGGTTTTCACAGAAAAGATAAGATAGTGTAAGATTTTTGAAACACAAAAGAATGCATAACTCATTATAAATGCAGAATATGTGTGACATTTATTTTATACTATATGGATGTTAAGTCAGCCTTCATAATATCAATCCCAAACTGCACATCCTAGAAAGATACAGCATATCATCCAAGATCTCAGACCAAACAAGCAAAGGAAAGAAACATTGTCCTGAAAAGAGTCTGAAGCAATGTCTTTATTTGCACATGAGTATGGGAATTGTTTTTTATGAAATACTAGTAAGAAAAAAAGGTTCCTATGTGCAAAAAACTCCAGAGCCCTTGGCAAAAAATGCTTTCCTATGCATTCTTGGGAAAATCTCCTACTCTGCTGTAGATAACTTATCTCTCCACAGAAATTTCTCCATAATTCACCCCCAAATCTTCCTCGATTTCAAGAATTTTAGGTTTTCTTCTCAAACATAGGAAGACTTTTTATAAGTCTCAATGGCCAACAGTGAACACAGATTTACCTTGGAAACAAAGATCAGACCCAAACTAACTGGGCAAAAAAGAGGTAACACGGCCCAAGCTCCAGAATCAATGAGTCTTATTTCTCAGAGAAAGCCTCAGGAGAGAAGAATTGTGTGTATTCCTCTTGGCAAACAGCCTTTAGAGCAAGCCCTTTGTTGTACTCAATTCTTCTTTGAGCCTATTGTCTTTTATAACTGGTAAAGAGACGTGGGAAATGAATTTTATTTCACCACTTACCTTGAACATAGACATAAATGACCGAGGCCAAGTCAGTTTCCCGGTAGAAGCACTTGTAGGCTCCAGTGTCATTTCCGATCACTTTTGGAATTGTGAGTGTCTTACAGAAGAGGCCATCGCTGCACTCAGTCACCTCCACCCTTTGCTCACTGCCACTCTGATTATTGGGCCAAAGCCAGTCCAAGTCCCTCTGTCCCCTGAAAAATTAATTTCAGGGAGGTATTAATATGAAGTGCCAGACTGTGAGGCTATTTCTAAGAAAAGAGAAAATTTGGTTTTGAAACTTAAATAAACTCTTCAACAGACACAGTCAGTCTTCTACCGGCCAGGCATGGTGGCTCATGCCTATAATCCCAGCACTTTGGGAGGCCAAGGCGGATGGATCACCTGAGGCCAGGAGTTCGAGACCAGGCTGGGCAACATGGTAAAACCCTGTCTCTACTAAAAATACAAAAATGAGCCAGGTGTGGTGGCGCATGCCTGTAATCCCAGCTACTCAGGAGGCTGAGGCATGAGAATTGCTTGAACCCGGGAGGTGGAGGTTGCAGTGAGCCAAAATCACACCACTGCACTTCAGCCTGGGCAAGAGGGCAACCCTGCCTCAAAAAAAAAAAAACAAAGTCTTCTACCAACAAGTCAGATTGACATATGATGAAAAGTTATAAACTCAGCTTCAGAAGTCACTTATAAAGATTCCTGAGTTTTCCATTAATTAATGCATTCTTTCTTTCAACAAATATCTATTAAGCATCTACTATGTGCCAAACTTGTTAAGGACTAGAGAAAGAGCAGTGAACAAATCAGACAAAAATCAATGCCTTTATGGAACCTCAGTCTAACTGGAGAAAACAGGCAATTAAAAAGTAAGGAAAGTTTATTGTATAAAAGATAGTGTTTAGTACTATGGAGAAAAATATAGAAGATACAAAGAAAAGAGTAAAGAATTTTGCAGGAGGTGGTCTTGATAAAGCTAGCCATAGGAACATCATGAAGAGCAGTATTACAGGAGCAAAAACAGCACATGGAAAGGCCCTGGAGCAGGTGCATATCTGGAGTATTAAGGGAACAGCCAGGAAACCAGAGCAGCCAGGTAAGAGTGAGCAAAGGGGAGTAAGAAGTGAGGTTAGGAAGGAAGGAGGTGCAAGTAAGAGTCCCTCAGGACCTTGTAAGGACCTCGCATTAAAACATAGATGGCTTGTACTGCAGCATTTCTCTACAAGGCCCCAAGGAAGATAAGAAGATAGTCAACATCAAGAAGAATGTAACATTATTGGCCCTTCATTCAAAGAACTTAAAATTTCCAGGAAGTTGCAGCTAAATCAATGAAGTTACTTTTAACACACTCCATGGTTTTTTTCAGAACATAAGAAATGTTTATGCAGAGTTTTAAAAAGGGAGCATGGGATCCTTGGGGATTTCAAATAACCTTGTTATCGAGGGTCGGTAAAAGGAAAATCTAATGGGAAATGTGTCTTAAACAAGTAAAGCTAGAGAAACAGCACCTGCTACTGTGTTTTTTCCCAAGGGCTGGGTATTGGTAAGGGGCTAGGGTATTCTTTATACTGCAGTCTAAAATAGATGTATGTCATTCGGTTTAATGCTTAGTATTCAACAAGTATGAAGCAATGGCAATAACCTACCCAAGGTCCTTTGTGGACCCCCAGCACTCTTCCAGGAGGGTAACATCACCTCCACTTGTCACAGTCTCTACCAAAAACACACAGGTCCTAAGAAGGCTCCATGCCTTTCGTGTGTGATCACTATGTTAAACCCAAGGGTCTTCTATCTTTCGTCCTGGGGTAAGGGTTGAAAGGCAAAATTTAAAGGCCTCTTCTTCTTGACAAAGAAGTCTACTTCTCCAGTTATCAAAAATCAATAGCATGACTTCTTGCTAGCAAGTGGGGAAAGATGCATTCCAGAATATCAAGGCAGGGCCCGAAGTCCATTATTTATGTAGATCATGCGCTCAGTAATATTACCCACTAAATATTAAATTGCTATTAAATATTACTGCCTAAGTAATTATAGTAATAAATTTCTTATAAAGCAAAGTTTTTGGAAAGGGATAATAAGTGTTCAAGAATCATACCAAGCATAATAAATATAGTCCCAAATTTTTTCAACTCTATTCCTTAAATGTATGCCCTCAACTTCATTTATTCATTCATATTTATTGAGCGTATGTCTACTATACGCCAGGTGGCTGTACTGGTTATTGGAATGTGGGTGTGGGTGTGTATTTGTGTGCGTGTGTGTGTGTGTGTGTGTATGCATGTTGGCAGAGAATAGTATAAAAACACCAGCAAAATTGTACAGAATTTTTGAGAGAAAATTCTTCTCATTTTCCATTATTACATCAGTTCTTAGAAACCTCACCACTTATGAACAATTACTACAAGCTCTATTATAATTCTGCTCTACTGGAAATTATTTCCACTCAATAAACAATCAGTTACTTAACACAAGAAATCTAGATCTAGAATGAATCCTTACCTGCAAGTAATTTGAAGAGTTGTATTAGCCTTAATTGTAAGTATGTCTTTTTGTATGCTGAGCCTGGGCAGATCAAGAGAAACACTAGGCAAACCTAGAAACAAATTAAATAAATGAATGTAGTTGCCACTGAGTTAGACCTAATAGGAAACACCTTCCATAAACAATGCATACTCTATACTTTAAAAGGCCTCTTCAGCAATTCATTGTATAAAACTGGGAATTTACTTTTCACCATTCTCAGTAAAAGTTCACAAGCTGTGTCATAACAGGAAGAATGGGCAGATGGTCATAAACCAACACAACAGTTCTGCAATTCATGGAGCTAGGGTGGAGTTCCTGTTTTCCTGCATTGCCAACTTCAAGGTCTTACAAAAGGATACGGGACATTGAAACCAAATGAACCTTCATCTGATGATCTCACTCCCTTGGGAAAGGACCCACTGACATTTCTTATAGAACATAGGATGTACACATTTGACTAAATTGCTGATTAACGAATCCCACTTAGACGGATTTTTATATAGTTCATCTACGTACCCTGAAGGGAGTGAGAGAATCTATGACCTTGTCTCATTTTCCTTTATCAATTTTCTAGTGCGCTTCCCCTGGTAACCAAACTGCCACAGCTGAAATAATGGCTCATAAAGACTGTACATTAAAAGCAAGGGAGAGAAACTGAGGAAGAGAAAACATTCCCCAATTCCACACATACATGCATATTAATATACTTTTATGTATGTGTGGAATTTTCCCAATTTTACACATATGTGCAAATTAATATACTTTTCTGTCTACTGTAATTCATTAGCATTACCCTTTTTTTAAAAAGTATATGAATATTTTCGTGAAAAATTTTCCCAGTTTCACACATACATGCAAACTAATGTACTTTTCTCTCTATTGTAATTCATTAGCATTACCCTTTTTTAAAAACGTATATAAATTTTTTTAAGTGCAATGCTAATGAATTACAATTGGGAGATCTGAACTTATTCATCAAAGCCCTGAACTCATCCTGACATCAAGCTTCAGACATAAGAAACTTGTCTTTACCTATAAGGGATAAGAACCAGAAAAGTACCATGGCATAGATTCCTCACCATGGGTCACTCTACAGCAAGATAACTGAATTCTCTGTCAACTAAATGTGAAGAGCTATGAGGTGTTGAAAAAGCATGAGAGAAAGAAAAATTGTCCACTATGCTAGGGTCTTAATAAATATCAAGACCTAGAAAATACCAGCTTTAAAAAAGTAATTGATGTTGGGCAGGCTCCCAAGCTTTCTAAGTCATATCAACTAAGAAAAAATGACTCCCTAGGCCTAAACTGGCATTGACCTTGCTGGGCAAATAAGAGAGTATGAACAAATAGGACGAAGTATGAGACGGAATAAATAGAGAGAGTATAAGTAAATACCCAGTGCAAACATCCAGTGCATTGAATCTGAGGATCCCAATATGAACAAATGCAGGCAAAATGAATAAGTGACTGCACATGTTCTCACACACCACACAGATGTGCAAAATAAGTTACTGACATAACTGGTCAATATCATGGTTTTTAAGTCAATAATATGGTTTTTAAAAAACTGGAAACTAAGTTATATCAATATATCTCAGAAATTAACTGGCATTGGTACTGACTTATGTTTAGAACAGTTTTGTTCTTAAGACTTTAGACTCTGTCAGAATATCCCTGGGTCTACAAATCTGCATTTTAACAAGCATTTCAAATTATCCTACCACAGATGGTCTATGGGCCACTCTTGGACAGTTGCTGGTCTGGGTGGTCATGTTTAATTAATTTGCACAGTACTTTGTGCGTGGAACGGGGGTTACATTTATGTTTTAAATAGAGAATGGGGTCTCGCTATGTTGCCCAGGCACTTCTTGAACTCCTGGACTCAAGCGATCCTCCTGCCTCTGCTTCCCTAAGTGCTGGGATTACAGGAATGAGCCACTGCACCCAGCCTGCACAGTACTTTTTAATATGAAAGAAATAACTGCCCCCAAAACAGGCAAACAAAAAACCAAAATGTTTAAAAGCAAAATGAAACCTGGAGTCCCACTTTGTCTAAGAAAAGGAAAATGAAAACAATTCATTTGGATAACACAGATTTCAAACTTGACTGGGGAACACTAGGTTGAGAAAGATGCTGAAAACATGATGTACAATTCACACTGCCATCCAAATGAGAAAAAAACCATTATTTGGGCACATTCTTGTGAGAAAACAAATGGCAGTAAAAATGATTCTCAATAAACTGTGCCCACTCGGCTACCAAAATCAGAAACTCTTGAAGGTCTCTCATAATTTATTGCCACAGATCACATTCTAGACACACTTTCCTGTGTAACAAATATTTTAAAAAAGAAAAGGTATGTCCTTCATTCATAGGAAGCTGAGACTATGCCATACTATTCTAGAGACACGTTTACAACAAAAATCTATTCAACAAGGCTCTCAATAACTTCAAATTCATATTTGTAGACCAACATAGTTTTTTGTTTTTTGTTTTTGCTCCATTAAATGTCATTCGTTTTCATTGGCAAGCTTGAGCTGGACTCTTCAGAAAGTTCTAAAGAAATAACTGTAAGAGGTACACATGCTACTACTCAATAAAAAGCCCTTCTATGTTCAAATCCCATAACCAATATTAATTAATTTGTGCACTGTTACCCTTCCAGCTCAAAGACGGGAAGGAAAAACAACAGTGCCTCTGTCTCTAGAATTTGATGGCACCAATTACAGCCCAATCCAATTAAGCAAGTAATGCACTCCAAAAGGGCAAGTTCACCATTATATTCAGGGCGACCGGCCTGCCGTTACTACTACGCTAGGAAACACCCCAGGCTTAAAAGCAACTCACTTCTTTGTGGAATACAGAGCAACCACATGTTCCAGACCTTCATTCTCTGCCCAGAAAGGGGGAGAGAGAGGGCTTGTCTGGGACAAATGAGTGTCCATGGTGGACTGGACCCGTTGAACCAAGTCATTATAAAGAAAATTCAGTAACCATGGACAGATGATCCTGGTACTGTATGTGGGTGTGAGTGTCTTCTAAGACATGTGATTCTTGTCTTAGGGAGTAAGAAATTTTTTTCCCTGAATTATTCGACTTTTTTTTTTTCTTTCTCTGACCCTTTCCCCTTTCTCACCCTGCAAAGGGTGGAAATCTGGATATCAGCAAACTGGCTGCAGGAAAGAAATATTATCTAAGGGGTTGAGAGAGAAAGGAAAGTGAGGAAGAAAAGACAGACAGCTATTGCATGAAGAACGTGTGTGTTCCTAATTGAAGGAGACGGAAATTTTAGGCGGCAGGGAGAGGAAGGAATGGCACTAAAGCTAGGTACCAAGGCCCACAGGAAAGGTTTTCGGAGCTTGAACTTCTGACTATGCGCTTACACCAAGGACCACAGCGCTTTGAAAGATGTGCAATGCTTTACGCAGGACAGTTGGCTGTTACTTGGAGACCCTTGGGGAAGCTGTCAAAGCCCCCAGGACAAGTCCCTATTCCCCCCCTTCTTCGCTCTGCAAGGAGAGCGGCGTCCTGCACCAAGGAAGGAAAAAAAGTTTCTCTCCGCTCCAGACCCCACTTCACACAGTGGTGTGCAAGTGTGTTCGAGCATGAAGACAACAACGGGCCGGGTCCCGCAAAGAGGCAGAACCGAGTGTACCGTCCGATCCGGGAGACCCGGCCTGAGATTCCGGCAAGGTTTTCTTCCCCGGGCCCGGACTAGGATGTTGCGCGCAGCCAGACAACTTTTCACCGCCTGTTCTCGCCTGCGGAGGCACCTCCTGCCTGCCAACCCCAGGCGCCTTCCCACCCCAGCCTCCCAAGAGCCTGAGGGTGTGTCGGCATCTCAGGACATGCTCCAGCCGAGGTCCCTGTCGCAAACCAGAGTCCTAGAAAAGGAACTGGGCTAGAGCACAGGCGACCACAGACTCGCTGGGTAATCTTGGGCCAGTCTCTGAGCCTCAGTTTCCCCACTGGTAAATGAAAGATCGCAAAATGTCAAGTCCTGTCCAACTCTCCAGCTCTACGATTCCGAGTTAGATCTGGCTTTCAGGTCCTCTCCGCCCTCACCCGACCTGTCTGCCTTCCTCCTCCAGAGTGGGCTCCTTACCCACAGAGGCGGCCCGGGTCTCCACGCAGAGCCACAGGGCGACGGCCAGCAGCACCTTGCTCTGCATCCTGCACCTCGAGCCGGGCGAAATGCCCAGAACTCGGGAGCCGGTTCTTTCTCCCAGCGCCTGTCTAGAGAAGGAGGCGCGGAGGTGGAACTCGCGGCACCCCGCAGCGCAGGACAGTTGAGCGCACAGGGCTAGGGAGCCCGGGCGCCGACCGCGGCTGCAGGGGCGTCTGCGGGTGCCGGTAGGAGAGGATATCCAGGCTGCCAGACGGACTTTCTGCGGCGCGCAAGTGATGCCCGGCGCAGGCAGAGGAAACGCAGCGACCACACATTGACCGCTCTCCCGGGGTCCCGGGACTCAGTGCAGGGTGGGAGCTGGTGCCGAAACTCTAGAGCGCGGAGGCGGGGCCATGCGGGGCGGGGCCGGAGCGGAGGAGGGGCTCTCCCGTGCGGCCAGCCCCGCCCCTCACCCGGGTACCCGGCGGCGATCTCCAGCTCCCCAAGCCCATTTACATCTCCCCATTTCCCCACACAACTGGACTGCGCTGGGCCCCAAGTCGCCCAGGAGAGAACATCCCAGAGCAACAACTTTGTTTCTGGTGTAAATAAAAAGTACTCGGTAACGGGCGCTGAGCAACTCCAAGATTTAATCGCTTGCCGGTCCCCGAAATTTGGGGAGCATCACCAGGAGCGCTGCGAAGAGCAGCGCTCCCTCACCAGGCGCGTCAAAGTGCAGGACCCTCTTCGCCATCGCGCGCGTCTGAAGTGGCCGAGAATCTGCAGCAGTTTGGAGCCACAAGGGAGAAGCGGATACTCAGCCAAGTATGCCGGGTCGCAAGCTGGCAGCGACTCCTGCCAGTAGTTTTGGTTTTTGTATAAGGGTATTTTGTTTGGCCAGTATAATTGTAGTTTAAAAAGCTGAATCTGGTTGCTCTTAATCAGAAAACGCACTTGCCCAGTTCGCCAACATTCCCGCTATTTCCCAAAATATTTGGCGGCTCCAAGTTTGAAGTGACCTGCCTAGCCCCAAGAAGGCTTTTGTCCATCGTGCTCCCCAACGAAGAGCCCTAGTGAAAGTTTGGCCATGCCCCTTTTCAGAGCAGAGCTTCCAGCCAAGATATCCTTAGTCCCAGGGGAAGGAGGCCAGCTGCCAGCGTGCTTCAGTGGAGGAGCAATGAAGCAAAAGCACCTAGGACACTCTGTGACCAAATTGCACAACTGTCTCCACGTGTGTGGACTTCTTGTGGCAGCTGTTTGGAGGGGAACTCCAATTCCTTCCTGACCACATTCGTTCCTTCTGGTTTTCTGTCCATATCTCCCCACACCTGGGGAGTGACATCAAATGTCCCCTAACTTCATTAAATATGAATCTTCCAGATGCCTATGTCTTTTACCTCCCAGAGGTGCTTTTTAATGACAACCTAAAGGACCATTCTTCACCAAGATAAACACACAGAATTATTATATCTACACCTAATTCAAACTAGATTGATTGTATACAATTAATGTAACCTGTTACTTATCTTCATCTGTTTTTAAATATTTACTGTATTCACGCTTTTACTTTTCCAAGTTGACAGGTGAAATATTTTAATGCTGAAATATAATGAATGTATATGGCAAAAAAAAATTTTGGAAAAACACAAAAAGGCTTAGAGTGAAAAGACTTTTCTTTTGGCAGAGGCATTTTTATGTTTCCTTTTTTTTCCAAGCAGATTCTTAAACACAAGTATGTAGACATGTCACCCTTCTCTTCCCACAATTGCTTGGTATAAATGCTATTTGAGCCTTGGCTTTTTTCCCTTTAAATTTGATTTATTTATTTGAGACAAGGTCTCACTATGTTGCCCAGGCTGGTCTCCAATGCCTGGACTCAGTCCATCCTCCTGCCTCAGTCTCCCAAAGTGCTGGGATTACAAGCACGAGCCACCCTGCCCAGCCTTCACTTTATAATATACACTGGAGATTCGTTCTACATCAACCTTTAAAGCTCCATCTTTTATTTATTTATTTATTTATTTATTTATTTATTTATTTTTATATAGAGGCAGGGTCTCACTATGTTGCCTAAGCTGGCTGCGAACAAAGCTCCATCCTTCCATCTTTTCAATGTTGGCATAGTGCTCTACTATATAGATGTACTCATATTTATCTGGGAGGTATTTATTTGGGGAGGGGAGAGAATCTTTAAAGAAACTCCTCTCTTCCTGCTAGTAAACTCAGCAAATAAAATAGGATGGACTCTGGCAAAGTTGGATAAAGGGGTGGGAGATGGAACCTGGTTTGGAGAGGGCAGTTTTTCTCCATCCCCATCACCAAACAATTCCCTATCAGCCTTATTTACAGTTCATGACACTTCCTCTTCCATGTCTCATTTAAGAAGATAGTGTCTCCTCTGAATGCAAACCAGAACCTGCAGGCCCGTGGTAATAGCCCCCTTTAGAAGTCTTGGAGGAAATGATGCGTCTTTGATGGCCGCAAGACCAGAATTTGGCAGAGTCTCAATGAAATCAGTCTACCACATTCCCTCCCACACAGCACTTAGAAGTGCCTTAGGTTCACAAAAAAAATGGCAAAGTCTGTTAAAAAAAAAAAAGATAGAAAAGAAAGAAAGAAAGGCTGTTCCATGTGCAGCACCCTCTCGTTATCTGGCATTGCAAAGGAGTGACTTTTGTGAGTTAACCCAACAGTAAGGCACCTAGCAAAGTGCCCCAAATGTGTTGAGTGTTCCATAGATGCTATTCAGATGCCACAGCAGAGTAGTAGCTAAGTGCACAGACTCTGGATTTTATTCCCAGATCTACCGCTTATGATCTGTGTGATCTTTACCAACTTACAAGTAACTTATCTATGAAACACAAAAAAAATTATAATAGTACCTTCTTCATAGGGTTCTTACAAGAATTAAAGGAGTTACTGCATGTAAGGCACTTGGAGTAGGCCCCAACACAGCTAGTAAAGATCTTGGACATAGAAAGCACCAGATACACATTAAGAAACATTCTGCAAAGGTTGCTTATACTACAATGCATGGGCTTCTTCATGCTGCTGAGATCTAAACTGCTAAGCAGGCTCATTCATTCAACAGTTTTTGAGCACCTACTATATGCTAGGCATTGAACCAGGAACTGGGGTTACGATGGTGAAAATAATGTCAAGATGAGCTTAAATGAGGAATCATTGTAATAGCCTCACCCAAGACAAATTTAATTTAATCTTTAAGCACTTCTTGTCTCCAGCTACTTTTCTGGGCTTGTACATACAGAATATACATTGTTCATACTCAAAGCACACTGCATAAATTACTCTCCATGATCTCCAAATTTGGTTACATTACCAACAGTATTTTGGACTCCATGTCTTAACAAGTTATATGAAGATTTGTCAAAGGTTAATAACTGTGGAAGTTCAATTGCTTCAAAGAGAATAAAATACCCAGGAATCCAACTTACAGGGGATGTGAAGGACCTCTTCAAGAAGAACTACAAACCATTGCTCAATGAAATAAAAGAGGACACAAACAAATGGAAGAACATTCCATGTTCATGGATAGGAAGAATCAATATCGTGAAAATGGCCATACTGCCCAAGGTAATTTGTAGATTCAATACCATCCCCATCAAGCTACCAATGACTTTCTTCACAGAATTGGAAAAAACTACTTTAAAGTTCATATGGAACCAAAAAAGAGCCTGAATTGCCAAGACAAATCTAAGCCAAAAGAACAAAGCTGGAGGCATCATGCTACCTGACTTCAAACTATACTACAAGGCTACAGTAACCAAAACAGCATGGTACTGGTACCAAAACAGAGATATAGACCAATGGAACAGAACAGAACCCTCAGAAATAATACCACACATCTACAACCATCTGATCTTCAACAAACCTGACAGAAACAAGCAATGGGGAAAGGATTCCCTATTTAATAAATGGTGCTGGGAAAACTGGCTAGCCATATGTAGAAAGCTGAAACTGGATCCCTTCCTTACACCTTATACAAAAATTAATTCAAGATGGATTAAAGACTTAAATGTCAGACCTAAAACCATAAAAACCCTAGAAGAAAACCTAGGCAATACCATTCAGGACATAGGCATGGGCAAGGACTTCATGACTAAAACACCAAAAGCAATGGCAACAAAAGCCAAAATTGACAAATGGGATCTCATTAAACTAAAGAGCTTCTGCACAGCAAAAGAAACTACCATCAGAGTGAACAGACAACCTACAGAATGGGAGAAAATTTTTGCAATCTACTCATCTGACAAAGGGCTAATATCCAGAATCTGCAAAGAACTCAAACAAATTTACAAGAAAAAAACAAACAATCGCATCAAAAAGTGGGCAAAGGACATGAACAGACACTTCTCAAAAGAAGACATTTATGCAGCCAACAGACACATGAGAAAATGCTCATCATCACTGGTCATCAGAGAAATGCAAATCAAAACCACAATGAGATAGCATCTCACACCAGTTAGAATGGCAATCATTAAAAAGTCAGGAAACAACAGGTGCTAGAGAGCATGTGGAGAAATAGGAACACTTTCACACTGTTGGTGGGACTGTAAACTAGTTCAACCATTGTGGAAGACAGTGTGGCAATTCCTCAGGGATCTAAACTAGAAATACCATTTGACCCAGCCATCCCATTACTGGGTATATACCCAAAGGATTATAAATCATGCTGCTATAAAGACACATGCACATGTATGTTTATTGCGGCACTATTCACAATAGCAAAGACTTGGAACCAACCCAAATATCCATCAATGATAGACTGGATTAAGAAAATGTGGCACATATACACCATGGAATACTATGCAGCCATAAAAAAGGATGAGTTCATGTCTTTTGTAGGGACATGGATGAAGCTGGAAACCATCATTCTCAGCAAACTATCGCAAGGACAAAAAACCAAACACCACATGTTCTCACTCATAGGTGGGAACTGAACAATGAGAACACATGGACACAGGAAGGGGAACATCACACTCCTGGGCCTGTTGTGGGGTGGGGGGAGGGGGGAGGGATAGCAGTAGGGGATATACCTAATGTAAATGACGAGTTAATGGGTACAGCACACCAACATGGCACATATATACATATGTAACAAACCTGCACATTAAACCTAGAACTTAAAGTATAATTTTAAAAAAATTAAAAAAAATAACTGTGGAAGTTGAACAGTGGTACTTAAAGATTCATTTGACTATTCTCTCTACTTTTACGTGTTTGAAAGTTTCCATGATTAAAAAAAAAAAAATCTGTTTTAAATGACTGTAATCAAAGGGATGCCCAGGCCAATACAACACTAACTTTTCCATTGTCTTTTCCTTGATTTGGTGAAAATAAGGATTTGGAATGTCCTTGAGCATTATCTTTTAATCATTTCAGGCAGCAGCTTCATCATTTGTCAATGAAAATAATAATTCTTACCTACCTTAAGGACTGTTACGAGACTCAGATGAGATCATCTCATGGAAGTGCTCTATAAAGTGTAAAATGGTGATGGTGGTAATAAGGATTCAATAGATGTTTAATTTTCTTCCTTAAAGTACTTGTTACCAAGGCCTTTCATCAGGTGTCTTCCACACATACCTTCATCGCCTAAGAACATCAGCTGTTCAAAAATATTTCCTGGCCAGGTATGGTGGCTCATGCCTGTAATCCCAGCAGTTTAGGAGGCTGAGGCAGGAGGATTGCTTGATGCCAGGAGGCTGAGGCTGCAGTGAGCTATGATTGCACCACAGCATTCCACCCTGGGTGACAGAGTGACACACTGACTAAAAAAAAAGATAGTATTTTCTATATTTCTTTGAGATATAGATATAGATATAGAGAAGAGATACATGGAGACATACATGCATAATAGAAAATTTTGCAGAAAATATCTAGAAGGGTACACACCAAAAAAATACCTACCTTGGGGAAATGATTGAGGCACAGAGGCAGAGGGATGAGAACATGTACTTTTTGCTTCATATATTTCTATAATTTTTTTCAAACCAAGAAAGTATTACTTTTACAAATAAAAAATATTATAAAAGACATCAACTCTCTTTTCTAGGGGCTGTTATATTTTTAAATATGACCATTTATTGATTACATGTTTGCATTGACAACTTTGTCATGTTTACTGTATTTTTCTTTCCATGTTCATTTATTTTCAACTTACCAGAGCCTATGACTACCTCACCAGATGTTGGCTCAGTTTCACAGCCCATCCATACTTACAACTATTGCGACTTGGGAGATCATGAGCATACCCTTTGTTTCTCATTATCTACCTTCTTTAAACATCTAAGTTTATTTTACTCCTTGTGAGATTTATTCATTTAACTTAAGCTATATTTGTATGTTCAAGAAAAAGAAGGCTATGTCACCACAAAGCCAGGCCTGCCTTGAATGTGTCCAACAGTGTTCAATTTTATTCACAAAGCCTTATATTCTAGTAAATATAAAGCAAACTCTCCATCCTTTTAGTGAAAGAGATTAAAGAGAACTTGATTACTTGCTCCCTGCAAAGGAAAAAAATCTCAGTTACTATAAACACGTATAACTATGTTCCAGTCCCAAACTCTCCCGTATAATTTCTTGGAATATCTCACATGAGAATAGATACAATAATTTTTAAATGTGTAAAATATGCAAAGAATTTAAATAACCAACTGAAAGTCCACACAGCACCAGAGAAGGGTGCTAAAAAATATTAAGAGCTAACACTTTTTGAGCACATCATTTGAGCAGGCTCTGTTCTGAGTACTTTATTTCTCATTTCATCCTCATAACATCCCATGAGGTGGCAAGCACTATTAGTATTCCTTAGAAAGAAAAGAAGTAAAGAGAAAAAATATTTATTCTTAATTTAAGTAAATGTCCCTTTGCCTTCCTAAAAGTCTTGCCCAAAAAAAAAGTTGTTATATCTCTTTGTAAATAATCAATGAAGTTTTTTCATCAATAATTAGGAATATGGTAAAAAAAAAAAACAGGGCATTCTTTGCTTTTTTCAATAACAATAAAAAGAAGGGGTAGATTTTTGGAGCAGTTACTATGTGTCAGGTATTTTCCTTGGATTATCTTATTTAATGCACATAATAACTCAATAGAAAAGATACTATAATTATTCCCATTTAAGGGAGATGGGAAAATGAGGTTTAGAAAGTTTTTTTTTTTTTTTTTTTTTTTTTTTTTTTTTGAGACGGAGTCTCGCTCTGTCGCCCAGGCCGGACTGCGGACTGCAGTGGCGCAATCTCGGCTCACTGCAAGCTCCGCTTCCCGGGTTCACGCCATTCTCCTGCCTCAGCCTCCCGAGTAGCTGGGACTACAGGCGCCCGCCACCGCGCCCGGCTAATTTTTTGTATTTTTAGTAGAGACGGGGTTTCACCTTGTTAGCCAGGATGGTCTCGATCTCCTGACCTCATGATCCACCCGCCTCGGCCTCCCAAAGTGCTGGGATTACAGGCGTGAGCCACCGCGCCCGGCCGAGGTTTAGAAAGTTTAAGTAACTTTTCCAATGTCCCATAACTGTAAGTGGTGGAATCAGGACTTAAAAGCAGAGCAGTATTAAGCACCCAAAACAGACCCCTCCTAGCACATACAAATAGCTTTTTGTTTTTGGTTTTTTGTTTTTTTGAGGACTAATCTCATTCAAGGCATGAGGCTAAGTGAATTGATGCCACTGACTTCCTCTGCCTCTCCATAACAATAGCTTCCATTTTCCTAGATGCATGAAAAGCTAAGTGACTTAGAAGAGGCACTCTGAGATGGCTGACCAAGGAAGAATGCAAAGCAGGTAATTAGATCTTGCCCTCCCCACCTGCAGAATCCCAGCCGCATTGAATATTTACCTTCCACCCAACCCCCAAACCACAGATCTTCTCTTCAAAAAAAAAAACAACAAAAAAAAAAACAAAAAAAAGGAGCAGTTGCTTCTATACAAATAATCACTTGCGCATTTGGGGCATTTCTTTTCTACCATGAATTTTTGTCATTTGTCCTCCTGGACATACCTTCCATACCCAGTGCAAATATCTGTCCCAAGTGATATGTTTTGTTTTTTTATTCAGCTGTCTGCTTCAATTCAGACTCTTCTAGGAGAAATAGGCAAAGGTAAATCTTACCTGAGCAAGTAGTTAAGTTTGGAAGGATAGTTGGTAAGGTCTAATAAAAACGGTTAAGGACATGATGATGGTGCCTATTAATAAAATCTATTTTGTATACTATAGACTTATTGTGTTATGTCTAATTAAATAAAGCTATTGTAAAGATACTTGGGTTAATGTTATATGTGCTAGCTATATAAAATGTACTTTATATGATTATTCTTAAATTCAAATTTAGATAATAGTCATCCATTTAATAAATATATCCAGTTATGCTGAATTTATACTTGATCATTGACAAATTAATGTGGACTATTTTGTTATTCACAGAACTAGGAAATTATTTTCCTTTTCCTGTACGCACATAGCACTTATGCAACATCTGATAGCATAATCACATATTTATTCAAATATTTCTCCCTCAAATCAGGGATTAGGTCACATTGATTTTGTATTCTCCGTGCCTAACACAGTCCCTGTGCATATTCACCTCTAAACACAATAATGATGTCCAAGTTATTTTTGTTATTTCCATTTCTGCTGCTATTTGTTCCTCCTTTGCTTTTTATTTTTCCAGAATCACATGCCTCTTGACTATTCATTGCAAATGTCTTTACAGAGAGCAACTTGTGGGAATAAATGGAACCATACAATGTCAACATAGACACAACGGAGTGAAAGAGTTAGTTCTTAATTTATTAAGCAGTGGGGATTGAAGATTTTTGTTTTTGATTTTGAGTACAATGAAGAAAAAGAAATAAAGCATTTACAAGATTTGCATGTACTATACAAGAAACGTGTGATTGAAATGTTGCATCTGTGTCATTTGCAGACTCGTAACCATTTTCCAGTGAATTAATACCATCCTCCCCCTTTAAGCCTATCAAGTTTTCAAAGAACTGAATAGTGCAAAAATATACTTTTGGTTCCCAGAGAAGTGCTACAGATTACCATTCCCATATAAGAAGAATGTATACACTTCCAGGTTAGTTGAATTAGTTTGCAATACTGTTCACATTTTTAGAGACTAAAAATAATGTTTCCTGGTAATGCCACTTCACCAGTGTTGAGAGCAAGTCAATGACAGCAGAAAAGTTTTATGTTCTTTGTATATAAATTTAGTCTCCAGAGTTTCCAAAACATTGGTGAATAGTCCCTGGAGGCATAAATAAAATTTTTTTCTTTGAGCAGTGTTTCTGAACGTTCATTTCTAATATATCACTGCCTTGCTTCACTTAATTAAAAAAAAATCTCCGCAAGGAATGCCTCACAAAGAGAGAAATTTCAAAATAAAATGAAAAATACAACTTTAGATCTAATTGATAATCATCCAATAATTGGTCAGGCTGGTCATAGGCAGATGAAAGGCTGTAAGGGAGTCATTTCATGCATCTGATCACATAATATAAATAAAAGATCCAGCTGTGGAGAAAATGATTCTAGTAACAAAGCACCACATCAAAAATATTCCACATTAAAATGGTCTTTGGATATATAGAAAAATGCTTCTATTTCCTTATCCTAAGAAAACTTGACCTTGCTGCTCCCTGAAGCTACTTAGTAGTCTAGTACTTTGACCTTTCCTTCAAACGAGTTCTTGAAAGATAAAAGGACATCCCTCACCTTCTCTCCTCATGTACAATAACTTCTTACTCTTGACTCTGCCCAGCATCTCCACAACAGACATCCCATTGTCCACCCTCTTCTTGAACTTCCGTCTTTGTTGAAGCTTGAAACATTCATGGGTACACTCCTACCTACCAGCCAATGCCCTTCACTGGCTGACATTCCTTTGCTCAACCCTAAACATAGGGATCGCCAAATCCATTCTTGGTCACCATCCCTTGTACTCTTCCATGACTTTCTCAGGAATTGTATTTCCTCTTTTGCCTTTGACTATCTTCCTTATGGAGAAAACTTGAAAAATTGTGCTCTCCAACTCTGATTTTCTACCCTAGCTCCAGCCTCTAATCTCTAATTCTTCCTGGACATCTCTGTGTATGTTCCACCAATTTCTTAAATTCAAAGTGCCAAAAACTGAATTCTTTGTCTGTTTATACCCACCCTGCCTCCTTCAGCCTTCTTAAGCTCGAAGTCCCTCTAGATGCTTATACTACATTCCATGATATCCCCCTGCCTTTTCTTTTCCTCTCAAATCCAATTTTGTCTACATTCTTTACTTCCCTCATATCCATCTCCTATTTTCATTCATCAGACTGCCCTGACTCGTGACCAGTTTGCCTTTTTCCTGGAATATTCCAGTCCACTCATCACTCTGCTGCCAAAGTTATCTTCCTAAAACACAAAGTTCATCTGTCCTTCACCTTGGACAGTTGACCTCTGTACATAGCATAAAGCCCCAAATCCCAAGCCTTGTATTTAAGGGTTTTGTTCTTTGCTGCTTCCTATTTATACAACTTACCTCCCGGTATACCGTGGACATACTCTTAGTCCAACTTTCTAGATTTCAGTGGCCACCTCCAGAAAATGCATTACACTTTTTTGTCTCTTGCTTACTGTATGCCTTGAATGTGCTTTATTCCAATATCTGCCCATACGTAGTTGGCCCCTCTTTAAAAAGAGGCCCCAGGAAGTCTCTGCAATCCCTACTCATTCCCATCTCCCCATCTGACTTACTCTCTCCATGCCTGCAAGAGTAAGGATTCCTTAAGTTGTAAGAAACAGGAAAACCAACTCAATTTGGCCTGAATGTATAGGATCATGTTGTTGTAAGTTATGGGCTGGCTTCAGACAGTTTTTTCCAGAGTCTCATTGTGTCATCCTGCTGTTTTTCTCTGTGATTTTCTCAATTCTGCCTTCAGGCTGTCCTCATAATAGAAAAAAAAAACATGACTACACATTCTCACCCCACACTGTCCACAGAAAGACAGTGTCTCTTGAGAAATAAAAGGGAAGATCCTTTGATCCTTTGACCTAAGCACATCTTAAATCTCATTGCCTTATCCCTAAACCAATTACCAGAAGCAGGAAGGATCTGATAGCCTATGTCAGAGTCCACCTTTGCAATTAAGAATAGGCTCAATAACACCAAACTACATAATTAAAATAGAAAAGGGACTATTACTCAAAAAATTCTAAATATTTTTCTAGGAAGCAGGGGGAAATGGATGTTAAAGAGACAGCTAATCAATGACAATTATATTCCCCACGGTCCAAGAATATCTGTTGTGACATAAAGGATATCATGCCTTATAACAGGTTTATTTGAGTATGTGTGTCTGTCTCTCTCATTATATTGTAAGATGAAAGACAAGTTTAGTGTGGCTTACATAATCGTTTACTCTAAACTTCCAAATAATTGATGACAAGATTTTCATTCTTCTTCTGAAATAGTTTTTTCTGCATCCAACAGTATCATCATAATAATGACTAACATGTATTGAGTTATCATGTGTCAGGCCCTGTTGTAAGCATTTTACGTGTGTTGACTCCCTTAATTCTCACCATCAGGCTACACATTTCACAGATGCAGAAATTAGGGCTGAGGGAGGTTAAGTAACTTACCCAATCCTAAGCAGCTTGTGTATGGAGGAGCCAGGACTTGAGCCAAAGCAATGTGTTTCCAAAGTCTACACTCCAAAGCTGACTCTTATGCTGGTTGTATTTACTAATCTCAATAAAATGTACCTGTTGGCAAAACAGTAAAAAGCTACTTATCTTTCAGCCCACCCATTCAGACTACCACTCAGTCTTGCCAATTCTTTTTTAATGTATCTGTCCTTTATGGTTTGTTCTTACATTAAATTGACCATTCAAATTCTGACCATCTCTTGGCTAGAATTCTAGACTAATATATTTAAGAATCAATCCATCTCATATTTCCATCCCAAACTATACACTTAGCCTCAATACTTTTCTTCCTGACCTGATCCCCCATATTAAAGGTGGAACATCTTTCAGCTCATAATCAGAAGAGAATAAGACCATCAGAAGTTAAATATCTAGAGTGGCTTGTGACAACAAGTCTTATGGGGCAGCATGGTAATTGATTCTTTGATGTTGTCCCACCTCTGAGATGGAACTCATATAACTGTGAGAGCCCTTCAGAGATTATACAATCCAGTGCCTTCTCTTCAGTCAGGAATCCATTAACCATTAAAGATTAATCTTGATTATTAGCATCTTGAAGAGGCATTGAAAAGATTCTCCACAACCACACTTGGAAATACAGAACTTCTCCCCCCAGCATGTAACTGTGACAGCGGCATGCCATGAGGTTTCACCCCACGTTATGTACCCAGTATCCTGCTGCAGTGCCAGAGGCCTGCTCCTTGAGCACAGATCACAGATTGCCAAGCAATCTCTACTAATTCATTACTTTGCTTTCTAATAGCAAGGTAATTATGATTTATCTATGCAAACACCAGCATTTTAGATGTTTTAAAAGTATTACGCATGCACTAGATATATTGTTCCTTTTCTTAGGGAATTTATGGATATGTATCATTTTATTTTTAAGTTTTAACTTTCTTATGTATTTATTTATTTGAGATTTATTAGTGTTGAATCAGTGGTTCTCAACCCCGGCTACACATTAGAATCTGCAGGGTCTGGGGAGCTTTGAAAACCTGGTAGCTGGCGCCTTCCTACATCATAAATCAAAATCTTTGGGAGGAAAGATTTGATCAATAGATTTTTGTTGTTGTTGTTTATTTGTTTTCTACTATGATTCTGTTGTGCAGCCAAAGTAGAGAGACATCATGTTAAACTCTTGTTCATGAGAACAGAAATATCTTTCCAAAATTTAGAAATAAAAACTTTATAGCTTCAGGATGATTCCGTCCATTGGGTACAAGAGCCACAGTGAGCTTTCCAAAGAGCACCAAAAATACATGAGAAATTTGAAAACCGTAACACATAAGAGCAAAATAATTTATTCCTAACAAACTCAAAATTATGAAGAATACTTTTAAATACATTTCACCCCCCAAAATCTGTTTCATGTGAATGACTGTTAAGGTGTTTGGCATGATTCAGGGTGAGTCTTCCACATGTAAGGGCATTTATAACAAGTTCTTAAAGCATTCCTGAGTATTTCAAATTGCTATTTAACATTTGACTGATGAAATGTTTCTACCTACCACTGGGAAAAAAAGTAGAAGAAGTAAAAAAGTCTGAAGTCAACAGTCTGGTACTAATAATTCACTTTGATAGGAAGAATTACAGCGTTCCAAGTCTTAGCTTCAAACAGAAGATAAGCTTTTTATGTTTGTTGAGGCAGCTCTCTCCTTTTTTTCTGAGTCATGCTTTTTGTGAAACGCTACTATGAATGAAAGAAGAACTGCGTGAGGGGGATTGAGTGGGAGGAAGACACCAAAATTGAGTTTCAAGAAATATACATCATCTAAATCAGTTAATCTGATCTAGAAACATTGCTGAACATAATGGAGTATGTGGTGTCGTCTTTTGCCCTTCCTAACTCCTAAAATCAAAAGTCAAATTCTAATAAACTAGAGTAATATGTAGAGCTAACTCATATCCAGTTAAAAGAATTCTTTAGGGTCTAGAATGAGGACCCCAGAGTACAGCCACCTTTAAAATTCTTGGCCGGGAGTGGTGGCTCGTGTCTGTAATCCCCAGCATTTTGGGAGGCCGAGGTGGGTGGATCACGAGTCAGGAGTTTAAGACCAGCCTGGTCAAGATGGTGAAACCCCGTCTCTACTAAAAATACAAAAAAATTAGCCGGGCATGATGGCGGGCGCCTGTAATCCCAGCCACTCGGGAAGCTGAGGCAGAGAATTGCTTGAACCCAGGAAGCAGAGGTTGCAGTGAGCCAAGATCACGCCACTGCACTCCAGCCTGGGCGACGGAGACTCGACTCAAAAAAAAAAAAAAAAAAAAAAAAAAAATTCTTTATAAGCTTGTGTTTCAAAAAGTTTTAAAACATCTGTATGTGTGTGCTTGTGTACAGAATACACACTAAAACCATACCCATCAGAATCTAACAGCGGTTATTCCTCAGTGAGAAAAATATGAATGACTCAAATTTTCTTCAACCATCACATAATACTTTTTATATGTATATGCATAGCAGAAAAGTCTTGAAGGGCTCACATGAAACTTAATTACTCCTGAGGACCAGAATGGGGTGGTAATGATGGAAGGGGTCTCATTTATTACTCTATATTCTTTCATATTATTGAATGTTTTTATTAATAATTTATAATTGAAAACGATAGTTTAAATAATAATAAACATATGATTAACATTTGAATTTTAAAAGAGCCATTAAAGACCATACTCATTCTTTCCAGTTGGGAAGTGTCTTTATTAATATCTCATCTGCCCAGGTGGGTAAGAGAACGTGAACAGAAATGCTCTCACATTTTTAATATTTGTTATGGCAACATCTCACTTCCAGGTACCAAAACCTGTGTCATTTTCCATTACTGCATAACAAATGACTCCAAAACCTAGTGGCTTCAAATAACGAGAATTTATTATCTCAGTTTTTGCAGGTCAGTGAGGGCAGTCTAACTGGGTTGATCTGATTCTGGGTCCTTCATGAGCTTGCGGTCAAGATGTCAGCAAGGGATGTGGTCATATGAAGGCTTGACTGGGGCTGAAGAATACCTTTCTGGTGTGACTCACTCACATGACTATTGGCAAGAGAACTCAGGTCTTCACTAAATATTGGGAATCTCTATAGGGCTACTTGAGTGTCCTTATGTCATGGAAGCTGCCTTCCGCAGAGCAAGTGACCCAAGGTAGCAAGGTGGAAGCCACACGTCTTCTATGACCCAGACCCAGAAGTCATACACTGTCAGGTCCACGGTATCCTATTAGTTCACAGTTCAGCCCTCTTCCGTGTGGGAGAACAGTAATTCCAGGACTTTCATACCAGGGGCAGGGGTTACTGGGGGCCCTCTTGGAGTTTATTACAATTTCCGTCATTAGTGTTTTATAGTTTTCAACATCCAAATCCTGACCATATTTTTATAGATGTATCCCAAAGTATTTCATATTCTTTGATGTCATTGTAAATGGTACCATTTTTAAGTTTTAATCTCCAATTGTTTTTTGCTATTATATAGAAATATAATCAATTTTTATATTGTCCTTGTAACCTGTGCCCTTGCTAATCTCACATATTAGTTCTAGTAGGTTTTGATAGATTTGGAGATTTTCTATGTAGATGATAATGTTACCATTAATAAAGACAGTTTTAGTTCTTCCTTTCCAATCTGTATGCCTTTTATTTATTTGTTGGCTTGTTGCATAGACTAGGATCTCTAATATAATGTTGAATAGAGGTAATGAGAATGTGCATCCTTGTCCCATATCCAAGCTTGAGAAGAAAGTATGTAGTTTTTCATCATTAAGTATGATGTTTTAGGTTTTCCATAGATACTTTTTATCAGGCTGAGGAAGTTCCCTTCTATTTCTAACTTATTGGAATTTATGATGAATAGATGTTGAATTTAGTCAAATGTTTTTTCTGACTCTATTGAAATAATAATATGGTTGTTCTTCTTTAGTCTGCTGCTATGTCAAATTGCATTGATTGATTTTTGAATGTTGAGCCAAACTTGCATTCCTGGCAAAATAACCACTTAGATATAATGTGCTTTCTTTTATTTTTTAATATATGGCTAGATTCAATTTGCCAATGTTTTGTTAAAAATTTTTGAACCTATATTAATGAGGGATATTAGTCTTCAGTTTTTTTTTTCTGTTTCTGTTTTGTTATCTTGACAATGATAGCCTCATAAAATTAGTTAAGAAGTATTCTCTTCTATTTGCTGAACCATAGATATTTGCAGGTAAAATGATATTATCTTGGACTTGATTCAAATTATTTTGGATGGATAGAGGGATGGATGTGAATATACATGATACAGGATAGTCCAGGAGTTTATAATTATTGAAGATTAGCAATGATTACGTAAGGATGTACGACACTTTTCTCTGTGCCTCTGTATATGCATGACATTTTTGATAATAAAATGTTTTCTTTCTTTTTTTTCTTTTTTTGAAACAGAATATTGCCCGGTCGCTCAGGCTGAAGTGCAGTGGGCATGATCTCAGCTAATTTTTATGTTTTAGTAAAGATGGGTTTCACCATGTTGTCCAGGCTCATCTCAAACTCCTGACCTCAAGTGATTCACCCTCCTCAGCCTCCCAAAGTATTTGGAGTACAGGCGTGAGCCACCGTGGCTGACCAAATATTTTCTTTAAAAATAAACCAGTGTCTTTTCCACAGCTCTATCCTAGTTTCCAATTAGTATGTGAGTAGAGGAGAGCATCTCAAAAGTTCAGCAAAGGGAGAAGTAGAGATTTAGACAGAGTTCATAATTCTTTTAATGACTGTACTGGTCATTAGCGTCCAAATGTGTATTAAGAGGAGGGTAGGATACACTGAGTACAGCTTCAATTCAAAGGTAGGATTTAAGACCATCTTAATTTCTTGGCTAGTTCTTCAACTTAGCTTTGAAAAACTATCCTGTAATGCAATGGTTGTCAAACTTTAATGTGCATGAGAGAGCTTTTTAAAACACAGTTTGCTGGCTGGGTGCGGTAGCTCACATCTGTAATCTCAGCACATTGGGAGGCCGAGGCGGGCAGATCACCTGAGGTCAGAAGTTCAAGACCAGCCTGGTCAACATGGTGAAACCCTGTCTCTATTAAAAATACAACAATTACCTGGGCATGATGGTGGGCACCTGCAATCCCAGCTACTTAGGAGGCTGAGGCAGAAGAATCGCTTGAATCCAGGAGACAGAGGTTGCAGTGAGCTGAGATAGCGCCACTGCACTGCAGCCTGGGCGACAGAGCAAGACTCTTTCTCATAAAATAAAATAAAATAAAATAAAATAAAATAAAATAAAATAAAATAAAACACACATTGCTTAGGACAGTAAAACTCTTTTGTATGATATTACAATAATGGATTCATGTTATACACTTATCAAAACCTATAGCATATACAACACCAAGAGTGAACCCTCATGTAAATTTTGGAATTTGGATAATAATGATGTGTCAGTGTAGGTTTATCAACTGTAACAAATGTACCATTTTGGTGCAGGATATTGACGGTGGGGAAGCCATGCATGTGTGGAACAAGGAGTGTATGCCAACTCTGTACTTTTCACTCAATTTTGCTGTGAACCTAAAACAGCTCTAAAATATAAAGTCTATTTAAAAGAGCAGAACAAAAACAAAAAACACATTGTTGGACTCCATCTTTAGAGTTTCTGATTCAGTAGGCTTGAGGTGGAGCCTACAATTCTGCCTTTCTAATGAGTTTCCAGGTAATAGTTATGATGTTGGTCCATCAGCCACCAAGAACTTCTATTCTAGTATAATGCTTTTGATCTCAGAAATTTAAGCCTTCTCACAATTTAAACTCGGGGTTCAATCCAAATAGAATAGTATTTCATTCACAAGCTACATTGACTCTGAATTCTGTTAGATTCATTTTAGCAAACTTTGCTTGGGCATCGACTATGTACCAAGGCTCTTGTTAACCTCTATAGATACAAGGACACATATTAATGTACTGTCCCTGCCATTAAAGATTTTATAGTCTGATGTTCTAATCTTCAGTCTTGTTTAGTAATTTTAGAAAATATTTATGTTCAGTTCTAATCTCTTTCACTTCTAATGGATTATTTTTAACTTTGCTTCTTTAAAACAAATTAACCATTGAGTTCAGCTTATAGTATAAAGCATTATGATTTTTTTCTACATCTTGCTCCATAATATAATTCAGGTCTTCCCAAGTGTCCCCCAGAAGGGACCTGAGAAATCATCCCATTCATTCACTTATTCCCATTTTACAGTTAAGGAAAGAGAGGCTCAGAAAAGGCAACTTTTCCAGGTCACTGAGCTACTAAGTAAGAGGGCTGGAACTAAATTCAAGTTGTAGGACCACTAATGCTGTGCTCTTTCTGTGACATCAGGCCTCATGACTTAAATTCCAACATCAAAGAAAATTATGGATCCCCACATCTAGAAAATATTACAAATTTCCGTAGAATTTCACATTTAAATTAAATTATTGAAGATCTTTGTGAATTAAAGAAGAAAAGGTGGGGGAAAAGATGAAGGGATTGGGTGGTGGTGGTAGAAGTCATAATAGTAGTAGTATAGTAGTCATAACTTTCCATGTGTTACATAGTGTGACTTTCTTAGAATATCCACTCTTCTCAATAACTCTTTGAAGTATGTACAATTATTATATCCATTTTACAGATGAGGAAACTGAAGCACAAGAAGTTTAGTAATTTGCCCAAAGAGACATGGCTTTTCAATTCAATTTCATTTAGTAGTCTTAGGTACACTTAATCCCCCAAATGTAACCAAATTCTGCTAGGAGGGAGGTGTAAGTAATATTGAATCATTGTGTAGAGTTTTGTATAGTTCTTCAAAGCACCAAATCTCTTTTAGATAGCTTAGCAAATCTTATTGAGGTAGTTGAAACATAAGGAAATTTAAAATTCTTTCTTCTGCACCCGTTAAAAATTTATTTAACAGTTCTATTTTTCTTAACAGGTCAAATATTAAATAAAAATTGTTCTTTCAGCAATTGGATTCATGAACAGGTCAAAAGGCTTCATTGGAGTGGATGATGCAGAAGGTACACATGCATTCACACACACGTAGACACACACACACCCTCATTCAGTCTCATACATAAACAAACATTACCTTATACCCTAGGGGAATATTTTTAGCTATCTTTAGCCAAACTGGTTTCACTTGGCAGACTGCAACCCCCTACAGGTGGCACCTATTTTCTGTGAAGTGTTTCCTTTTCCCAGAACTGAGACATCGGCACCACATACCTCCTTGCTCTTCTCAACATCTGTTTCTACTTATGTGCCAGATAGGGCCACCTGAGCTGTGAAGGGAAACAAAACAAAGGTTCATGGCTATTGTCTATCAAAATGTCATGTTTTGGTCCACCCAGATTGGGAAACTCGGTTGGAATGCCAAGCACTGGTCTACTGTAAGAAGGGGCTATGGGAAAAAAATATTTTCCTTATTCAACTGTTCGTGTTCATTAGGAAATAAGGTAGGGCTCTAGACCTTGGAGTCTAGGGAAACCAATTCATAGAGAGATTAATCATTCGCTATCACTTCTAAGGCATTGCATATTGCTGCACAGATGGTACAAAGAATATAGAAAGGCATAAAACTTACCCTGAAGAGGTTTATAAGATTAGGAACTCAGAATTGGTACATTAGAAAATAAGTATGTAAAGCTAGATAGTGTATCCAATTTACAGGGCAAGCAATTAAGTATCATAGGCATTCCTTGGAAGGAGTGATAACCAAGAACTGGGGTGATAGGAGAACCTCAGTGGTGATGAAACTTGAAAAAAGTAACTGATTTCATTGTCATGACAAATGAAATCATTTTATTTTAAAAGATTACCAGGATGAAAATGACCAAGTCATAACTCTCCTAAGACCCGAATCCCATGACACCCAAGAAAATCTGTGCCCGTGTTTCCTAAATGTGTTTATTTTCTGCTTCTCTTATTTTCCTATAGTCAACATTCAATTTATCCGCAGTTGAGGATAGAGACTGGCAAGGATAAATCTAGGGATATACCCTACCCTCCATTTTTGCCTTCAGGTTTCATTTCTCAAATGAAAGTTCTCAAAATTTTTACTAGAGTCGAGTAACATGCATCCAAATGTAATTACTTGAATATATACATGCGCAAGTCTACAAGTTGCCTGTAATGAGGATATTCATTGCAAAATTAGATGATGAAAATGTTAAAAAATGGAAACAACCTTAATACCTACCAGTAGGGAGGAGTTGCATATATTGCTCATGGAAAAAAAGCAAGCTGCCAAGCAGTAATGTCTAGTATGATTCCATTTCATTAAAACAACAATCAAAAAGAATACCTGTACCCTGTGCATGTACCTCATGCATAAACCAATTCTGGGAGGCAATATGAGAAATTGTTAATAATGCTAATATCTGTGGGACTGGCATTTGGCATTTCATTTTTTTACTTTATTTCTTCTTTGCTGATCAAGATTTTAAAATGTATACTACATTTATAATGTTTAAAAATAGTTTAATATACATGTATATATATGTAATATTTAAATTTTTGATTTTCAGATCTTCTGTTTAAACAACAAATGACCTGGAGACTCAAAGTGAAGCAGACTCAACAAAAGGTTCAGAAAAGTCAACCATTAAGCAGAGGAATGGCCACTAGGCACAGGTTTTTTTAAATTTAATGGTATTGGTCATGGCCTCACAGAAAACAAAATTTTCTTCAAGCAATAGATGATAAATATTTTGGGCTTTTGGTACTAATAAGTAGTTCAAAGCCTCAGTAGCTTGAATTTCAAAACTGAACAGGGCTCATGGAACTACTCAAAAATCGTGAGAGGCTGATGGTTTAAGAAGTGGGAAAGACATTGCTAAGATGATCTGTTTGCTGATGGCATTCTGTGACAGCTGCCAGCCTCAAGCAAGATTGAAGAATGCTAGATGTTGAAGTGGCCTTTCTTCTCCTTTGCCTGAAGAGCTCTGAGCAAGGCAGCCAGATGACCATGAACTCTGTGTTTGGGATCTGGAGATAAGTGGGAGAGGCTCAGAGCATCCTGCTGATGCACCAGTTCAGGGAAAGTTAGTTGACGCAACCCTTTGCCTTCCGCTTGGCTTGAATAAAATCAGGAAAAGTGGCTTAGACTCAGTACTTTCTCTGCCCTCCTCAGGGTCCACATGTTTCCTGACCCTTAACCTTTTTTTCTGTTCAGGGGCAGTCACCTGCACATGAGCTTAGCTGACAATGACATCCTGCCCATCTCAATGTCCTGTACCCATCCTTGTGGTTCACTGGGCTGCCCATGTCTTCTGCAGACAACTCGCTTCATGTCTAGCCATTGTCTGACCTAACCATTCAGCCAAGATGGTTTTCTTATTTAACAGGATTGGAGACCTTTGAAATGGGCAAGTTGGAGGGAGTCCCCGTAAAAACCAACTAGCTAATTTACAAAAACACAACCCTCAAGAAATAAATTGAACCGCCTTTTTTTTTTTCTTTTTTTTTTTTCTGATTCCTGTTAAGGAGGGTATAATGGCCAAACCTTTTAGGCTGATGATAAAACACCTGCTCAACACTAACTGTCCTTTTTTTCTTTCCTTTTAGAAAAATATATACAAATTTTGGAGCTCTAGTGACAGAAATGGATCAACTCTGTGTGTCCATTTTTCTGGTTACATCCTATAGGAAGTAAATGTACATTATAAATGATGGAACTCCCAATTATGATATAGTGGAGAAAGCACTGAGCTGAGGGTTAGAAAACCTGATTTTTATATCAATTCGGCCACTAAATACTCTGGACCCTGTTTCTTCATTAGCAAAATAAAGGAGAAGATTGTTGTCTTCTTGTTATGAAATGCTTTGCTTCCACGGATCAGCAGCAAGTCAGAGGCAGGAATCATACTCAGTTGCATTTTCTGCTCCATCTGGAGATCTACATTCAGTTTGTCACCTATCACAAGTGTCCTGGAATGAGGCAAATTCCCTCATTCTGGTAAATAATCAGAACCAGTTTTTTTGTCATGTTTGCTACTCTCTGAGAAACTTAGCGTGTTTTCAGAAATTATATTGTACGGTTAATTTTCCCCATGGTAGCCTGAGAACTTTAGTGTGGAAGAAGAGAAAAAAAAACAAGGAAGGAAGGAAGCAAGGAAGGAAGGGAGGGAGGAAGGAAGGGAGGGAGGAAGGAAGGGTGATAGATAGATGATGGACAATACATAAATGACAGGTAGGTAGGTGGATGAATAGACGATGGATGGATGGATGGATGGATGGATGGATGGATGGATGGATGGATGGATGGATGGATGAATAGACGGATGGATACGTGAATACATAGATAGATGGAATCAAGTTTCTAAGCATGGTCTCTAGAGCCAGACTACCTTGGTTCAAATCACAGTACTACAACTTTCTGACTGAATCACCTCAAATTATGTCACCTATTTGTGACTCAGTTAACTTAATGGAAATGGTAAAATTCAGAAAGCAATATTTACCTCATAAGGTGGTTGTCAAGATTAAGTAGGATTATTTATGTAAAGCTTTCAGCATAGTGCTGGATGTATAGTAAGTGCTCCATAAATATTAATTATTATTATAATTATTATTTAGGAAATAGTATGTATGTTTCCCTTTCACCATCATTCCAACCACCAATCCCCCTGACCCCACACACACACCCAGAGGTAACCACTGCTAGTGGTTTGGTGCATGTTTTCTCTTACATACATAGATATATACACATGCTCATGCACTCACAAACACACACTCCTTACAATTTTTGTGTTACTGTTCCCAAAAGTGGGTTATATATCATATATTGTTCTGAGATGATTGTTTCCTTTTGCTTAGCAATATGCCTTATAGAGCTTTGTATGTCATGTATAGACATTAATTCATACACCAAAATACACTAAATCATGCCTCTATTGATGAACAGTTAAGCGGTTTCAAATTTTTCAATGGATAGCCTTTAATATGTCTTTTTTCTCCTATGTAACTATTTCTATAAGATTGATTCCTATCTTGCCGAGTTATAATATATGTGCACTCAAATATCTTATATGTATCCTGCCCTATTATCCTCTAAAAGGATATTCTGAATTTATATACTCCCATTGACAATTTATGAGTCTGTTTTTGCACCCTTTTACTCTTATGGAATACTGTTAATATTTTTAAATCTGTAAATTTTATGAGCAAAATGTGCTACTTTATTTTAATTTATAATTCTCTAATTATTTATTTATTTGTTCATTGAAATTGACCCAGGCTTTTTGTAGACATTTACTGTGTTTTCCTTCCCCCAATCCAAACATTTATCTGAAAATGTTGCCAAAAAGTGTGAACAAGGCACTGCACAATGCCCAGCTGATAGGATAATCACTATTCTGGGTATCTCCTTCCTTGTGTTACAGCCAAGAAGGTTGGAAAAAAAGAGAGAAGTTTTCCATTAGAGAAGTTACATCCTTATTCTCTTTATTTATTTCTTTTGTGTTCTTTCAATAGTTTGACTTGGAAATCCAACATTTGAAATTGGGACTATTCTAATACTATCTTATGAACAGTTTGCTTAATTACATGGGGAAAATCAAAACCCAAATGCTCTTACCATGGCAAATTTCCTTAACGATCTCAGCATCAACACTCAGTGCTAATGGGAACGTGAAGAAAGGGATATTCTCATACCCGCCTGGTAGAAATCCATTGTGCTGCAGTCTGTAAGGGAAGCAAGCTGTTAAGGCATCTGTTAAAATTAAAAGCATATATATCCCCTTTGCCCCAGAATTTTACTCCTTGAAATCTAACTATAGAAATGATAGCATTAATATGAAATGGCATATATACTAGGTCACTACTCAGTCTTCAATGTCAGTTTGAATTTCCTGGGGATTCAGTTCAGTAGGCTGGGATAGAACTTAAGATTCTGCTTATTGAAAAAGCTCCCAGGTGATGCTAATGCTGCTGGTACATGGACCACACCTGACTGGCTAGGATGTTAACTGTGGTATATTGTTCATTAACAGAGTAAATTAAAAAACAAAAACAATGAGTGAATACTCATCAGGAGGCCCAGGAAATCATTAAATATCCACATCATTGAGTATTATGCAGGGATTTAAGGTAATGAAGTAAAGGTTTACTGCTTGATTTGGAGGGCCTTTTGTGTGTGTGCATGCTTGTGTGTATGATTTTATTATACAGAAAATATGAGAGAATATTAGGTTGTTAGCCACCTGTGGAGGGGATAAAAGTAATATGGCAGGAAGAAGATAAGCAGAAAAAAAAGGGAAGGGAAAAATCCAAAAGTTTATTTACTGAAAATAGCATATTTGTAATCATATATATATATGTATTTTTTTTTGAGATGGAGTATTGCTCTTGTTGCCTAGGCTGGAGTGCAGTGGCACAATCTCTGCTCACCGCAACCTCTGCCCCCCGGGTTCAAGTGATTCTCCTGCCTCAGTCCCCCAAGTAGCTGGGACTACAGGCATGCACCACCTCACCCAGCTAATTTTGTATTTTTAGTAGAGACGGGGTTTCTCCATGTTGGTCAGGCTGGTCTCGAACCCCGGACCTCAGGTGATCCGCCTGCCTCTGCCTCCCAAAGTGCTGGGGTTACAGGCATGAGCCCACCGTGCCCGGCCTCTAATCATATTTAATGGACACTAACATATATATGTAAGTATACGTGTCAGTAAATTTTAAATGCTTAATACAAAAAAGTTAAAGAAATAAAAAGTAAATGTGATAAAATTAAACCAGATCAAAATCTAGGTACCGATCCATGCTACAGGAAATCTTGAAAACATTTTACTAAGCAAAAGAAGCCAGTCACAAAGGACCACGAATTGGATGATGCCATTTATGTGAAATGTCCAAACTTAGGCAAATCTGTATATATAGTAAGTAGATTGTTCCTTGCCTACGGCTGGGGCAGGCGAGAGCAGGGATGAGGAGGTTAGGGGAGGAGGTGGTGGCTAAGAGGTGCAGAATTTCTCTTGAGGGAGATGAAAATGTTCTAAAATTGATTGTGGTAATGGTTGCACATATCTGTGAATACTAAAAACCACTGAACTGTACATTTTAGGTGGCTGAACTGAACAATATGTGAATTATATCTCCATAAAGCTATTTAAAACTTCTGTGGATGAAAACAATTTTTCTAATGTGAAAGAGCAACTAACTCCTTCTATTTCTTGAGATTGCTTTTCCTAATTGTTGACTTAATAATTTTTCTTCTTCAAAAGGCAAAAATCCTAACTTCAACTTTATCAGGAATTTTTACTCATTATTGACATAGTTTCTGGTGCACATGCCAATGTAAAAAGTATATAATGCCTTCACTATAAACTTATGCTCACCAATCTGAAATGGACCCTAGAAATCACACCATGTCTCACTTGCCCATTCTCCGGGAAACCCTCTCCAAGCCTTCTTCACTTCCTTCTATCCTTGTACCCCAATGCAATGGAAAGAAAGAAAAGCCATCAGTGGGCTATCATGTAAACTGTCTACATCTGTTCCTGTCCTACTTTTGTTTCTTCTGACCTAGAAATAATCCCCTCTTCTGTGCTTTGGGCCCCATTCTCTGCCATTTCTTAGATTCCTAACACTAACAATAATCCTTTCTTACTCCCACAGATTTTATTAATGCCCACTCTGCTTCATTTATATCTACCTGGTTTCCACAGTCATTGAAGCTTACAATGCTTGCCTTATGTTATAATAATAGTGTTGTATATATCTTTGCATACTTTTTTCCACTTACATAATATAAATATATTTAGCAGAAAGCTCTTCATATTGTGTTTTACAAAATAAAAGGGACTATAGAGTTAAAATATTCTTTATATCCATTCATCTGCTGATGGACACTTAGGTTGCTTCCAAATCTTGGCTATTGGGAATACTGTTGCAATAAACATGGAAGTGCAGATACATCTTCTATATACTTACTTCTTTTCTTTTGGATATATACCTAGCAGCAGGATTGCTGGATTATAAGGTAGCTCTGTTTTTAGATTTTGAGGAACCTCCAAACTGTTCTCCATGGTGGTTACACTAATTTACATTCCCACCAACAATGTATGAGGGTTCCCCTTTCTCTACATCCTTGCCAGCACTTATTGTCTGTCTTTTTGATATAAACAATTTTAACTGGGGTGAGATGATATTTCATTGCAGTTTTGATGTGCAGTTCTCTGATGAAGGACGCTAAGCACTTTTTTACATACCGTTGGCCCTTTGCACAGGTTCTTTTGTGAAATGTCTATTCAGATCTTTTGCTCATTTTTAAATCAGATTATTAGGTTTTTTCCCTATAAAGTTGTTTGAGCTCCTTGTGTTTTTTGGTTATTAATCCTTTGTCAGAAGGGTAGTTTGCAAATATTTTTTCCCATTCTGTGGGTTGTCTCTTCACTTTGTTGTTTCATTTCCTGTGCAAGAGCTTTTTAACTTGATGTGATCCCATTTGTCCATTTTTGCTTTGGTTGCCTATGCTTGGGGGGTATTCCTCAAGAAATCTTTGCCCAGGCCGATATCCTGGAGAGTTTGCCCAGTGTTTTTTTTTTTGGTTTTTTTGTTTGTTTGTTTGTTTTAGTAGTTTCGTAGTTTCTGGTCTCAGACTGAAGTCCTCAATCCATTTTGATTTCATTTTTGTATACGGTAGGAGATAGGTGTTTAGCTTCATTCTTCTACCTATGGATGTCCAATTTTCCCAGCACCACTTATTGAAGAGACTATCCTTTCCCCTCTGTATATTCTTGGCACATTTGTCAAAAATCAGTTCACAATAGATGTATGAAATTATTTCTGGGTTCTTTATTCTCTTCCATTGGTCTATTTATCTGCTTTATTTGTCAGTATATTGCTGTTTTGGTTACTATAGCTCTATAGTATAATTTGAGGTCAGGTAATGTAATTCTTCCAGTTTTGTGTTGATCTGCTTTGTTTTGGCATTGGCTATTCTGGTTTTGTTTTGTGTATGTGTGTGTGTGTGTGTGTGTGTGTGTGGTTCCATATAATTTTTAGAATTTTTTACTCTATTTCTGTGAAGAATGTTCATTGGCATTTATTTACTTATTTTTCTGTGTCTATCTTATTTCTTTTTTCTTTTTAATTTTTGTAGGTACACAGTAGGTATATATATTTATGGGTTACATGAAATACTTTGGTACAGGTATGCAAAGCATAATAGTCATATCAGGGTAGATAGAGTATCCATCACTTCAAGCACTTATCTTTTGTGTTACAAACAATCCAATTATATTCCTTTAGTTATTTTTAAGTGAACAATTAAATTATTTTTTACTATATTTTCCCTGTTGTGCTAGCAAATACTGGGCATTATTTATTCTTTCTAATTTTTTTTTTGTACCCATTAACCATTCCCCTCTTCCCTCCCATCCCACCACACTACACTTCCCAGCTTCTGGTAATCATCATTCTAATCTTTATCTCCATGACTTCAATTGTTTTAATTTTTAGCTCCCATAGATAAGTGAAACATGCAATGTTTGTCTTTCTGTGCCTGGCTTATTTCACTTAACATAATGATCTGTAGATCAACCCATGTTGTTGCAAATGACAGGATCTCATTCTTTTTTATGGCTGACTAGTATTCTATTGTGTATATGTACCACATTTCCTTTATTCATTTGTCTGCTGATGGACACTTAGGTTGCTTCCAAAGTTTGGCTATTGTGAATACTGCTGCAATAATCATGGAAGTGCAGGTACTTCTTTGATATACTTATTTCCTTTCTTTTGGGTAGGAGTAGGATTGGTGGATCATATGGTAGCTCTATTTTTTATTTTTTTGAGGAACCTCCAAACTTTTCTCCACAGAGGTTGTACTAATTTACATTCCCACCAACAGTGTACAAGCGTTCCCTTTTCTCTACATCCTTGCCACCATTTATTATTGCCTGTCTTTTGGATAAAAGCCATTTTAATTGGGGTGAGATGATATCCCTTTGTAGTTTTCTTTCGCATTTCTCTGATAATCAGTGATGCTGAGCACTTTTTCCTATACCTGTCTGCCCTTTGTATGTCTTCTTTTGAGAAATGTCTACTCAGATATTTTGCCCATTTTTAAATTGGATTATTAGATTTTTTTCCTATACAGTTGTTTGAGCTCCTTATATATTCTGGTTATTAATTCCTTGTCAGATGGGTAGTTTACAAATACTTTCTCCCATTCTGTGGGTTGTCTCATCACTTTGTTGTTTCCTTTGCTGTGCAGAAGCTTTTTAACTTGATGTGATCCCATTTGTTCATTTTTGCTTTGGTTGTCTGTGTCCATGGGGCATTGCTCAAGAAATCTTTGCCCATTCCAATGTCCTGGAGAGTTTTACCCAGTGTTTTCTTTTATTAGTCTCATAGTTTGAGGTCTTAGATGTAAGTCTTGAATAGGAAAATTGGAAGTTCCTCTACACACTATTAACACTGCACATATTGCCACTGTTACATATTTCTTAATCATTTGCATTTTATCCCCTATGAATTGCCAGTTCATATGTTTTGCCCACTTTTAAATTGGACTGATTTTTATATCATTTTATAAAATGTTTTTGTACATTACAGATACAAACCCTTCTTCTAACAAATGAGTTCCAAATGTATTTCCTTTTGGTCACTGAAGTTTTGATTTTTGTTATGGTATCTTCTCAACAGAAGTTTTGAATATTTATGTTGTCAGATCAATAATTTTCCTTCATTTTTTCTGGGGTTCTTGTCTTGCTTAAGGAATTTTCTTTGATTTCAAAGTTATATAAATGTTCCTCTGGATTATCTTCCAATATTGTAATGATGTTATAAAAACATCATTTTATACATGCAGATTTTTAATTCATCTAGAGTTTGTTTATATATCGTATAAACTAGGTAAAGACCTAATTTTATTGCCTGATTCAAATCCTAACTCTACTATTTAATAGCTGTGTGACTTTGGACCAGTTACTAAATCTCCCTGTGTTTTAGTGTTTTCATTTGTGAATTGGAATAATAATAGTATCTATCTCAAAGGGCTGCTATGAAGATTGAATTAATACATGAAAAGCCCTTAGAATAGTACCTGGCATATAGTGAGTGCTAACTAAATGCTAGCTATTAGCTGACCCAATCCTGATACCATTTATTAAACAATTTTTTCTATCAGTAATGCCCCTTTTAGCAACATAAAGTTAGCATATATACCTAGATCTGTTCCAGACTCTGTTGTATTCCACTGATGTATATATGAATACCACACTGTTTTATTATTAGCTTTATAGCACACTTTAAAATCTAAGGGGAAAAATCCCTCTCCCTAATCCTTTTTCAAAACTTTCTTGGCAATTTCTCATCTATATAAGCTTTAAAATAATCTTACCCCATAATATTCATCTATATAAACTTTAAATAACTTAAAAATAATTTTGGATGGAGGAAGAGAAATAAATTATCAGCTCCACCTTGTCCAAAGGGAGCAAGTGCCAAACTTAGTACACTCTTCCATTACAGAAATCTAAAAGTTTACACTGTGAGAGGGCACACAGGCAAAACGAGCCACTTAGAGGCAACTATTTCACCAGATTGCTCTTAATCTGGAAAAGTGTTAGCTTCTCCCTACACTCTACCCATGGGGTACAACACAAGGATCCTTGTGTGTTTACTTTAAACTGTGTTTGGCACATATGCTTTCTAGGATAAAATAGTTTATCTGGATTTGCAAAATCATTTCCTGTCGTTCCAAGATCAAGCACCATCTTGACTTGTAAACATGTACTCTTCTGTCCGCCCAAGCAGCTTAGAGGGCACCAATTCAGGTTTCCCTTCCAATCGTGACCAGGAAGAAGCCCAATAAATATTTCAAACATAAAAGGATTGTTATAACAAAGGGGTCTTAAAATCCTCCTGGGTTATCTGAACAGCTTTCCGTTTCATTTTGTTTTCACCTCTATCCCCTTGAAATTAGAAGAGATTTTTTTCTCTGAATGAAATACAAGTTTATGCACACAAAGACTGACATTAGAAAAGAAAACAAACAACAACAGCAACCAAAAAAAAAGTGGGGCTCTCATAAATGAAGGTATAGATATTAAGGGGGAGAGAAATGTTATGTCAGGAAGACAATCTGACCACAGGCCAGTTTTGGTAATCCTATTCAGGATGGTACTCCTGATAGCAAGCAATTCCTGCCTCAGTGACAACTCCATATATATGTGTTATAAACACAAACCTATCAGAGCACGCATTACATACACCTTACCATGACATGGCAGATGGTGGCTGGCTTCCAAGATAAGCTTTATGGAGAGTGAAGAAGAAGGGACAAAAGAAGGTGAGAGGCCCAGAAAAAAAAAAAAACACACTTCCTTTAATCTTTTGATGTTACCAAAGTGATCCTTGATGAAAGAAGCATCAGTCTTACTTTTCTCCCTTTCCATAGATTGAAATCGGAGGCTAAATATCATCAAAAGATGGCTCCCTTGGAGGATACAGCTTCCTAGAAGCCTCAAGCCAAAACCCAAAACAAACAACAGTGGTTACATTGGCTAGACATAATTGCAAGGCATTTGTCCAGCTTTATTTCTTCAAAGTCACTCACAATGAATGCCACACCGAATGATCTCGAAGAGACTTTATTCTTTGACTGTCACATAGATTAAAGAAGGCAAGTGATAACCCCCTGGAAATTGTTACAGAAGCCTGGCAGCCCAAGGTAATGTATAAGAAGTTTAAATTCACAAAAAGTACAACTCCACAGTGGAGTATTTAGCTAACTTAGGGATAACAGTATCCGACCCAAATGCAGCAAATTACATTACAATAAAAGCAACGGAACAATTAATCAAGTCATCAAGTCAAAAGTATATATCATGAACAACTTTGGGCTCGGTTCTGTGAAAGGCACTGGGTGGAGAAGTACAAGAATAAGACCCACAACCTCACCCCTCTATGACTGTCTTTCTAGTTACAATAATACACAGGCAATAAATTCAAGTAATATGAGGCAATATATGATTACACTTTTACAACTATGCAGAGACCATGCATGCAATTAGATTTCCAGTAAAAGAGAAAATGTTCTTTGAATTTCATTGTGATGAACTATAATGTAGAACTCAAGCTATAGGGTCAGTTCTTTAAATCTATAAATTACTCTAATTAAATATTTCTTTTTTGTTTTTTTGGAAATACAACTTGGGGCTTTTTCCTCCTCCTAGCTCTATGATGTAGTTGTTTGGGGAGGAATTTTCTCTTTAGAGTTCTCAAGTTTATGTACATATTGAATATATTTAACTTTATTTAACTATTTGAAAATAATCTGACCTCAAATAAAGTAAATAATAAAATCAGATTTTCCCTGCTGAATAAAGTTAGTCTTACCTTGAACTATGAAACACCCTATTAAACTGTTTAGTAATGTTTAATTACAGCTCTAAATAATAATGTATTAGGTGTAGGACATAACATGGAAACAAAGCCAATTCATCATAACACAGATGGGTTTTTCATCATAAAAAATGGAAGGTTGACAGGCAATCACAAAGAAAATGAAGTGAACCACTGAAGATGTGTCAGTAATATATCCCCAAACCTCTCAAAGCTATTGATAAAATTAGATAGGAGGTTCATGTTATTCAGATCAGTTGTCTACACTGATTAAATCAGACAACTCCTTGCAATAGGAATCATTCAATACATTATTAATGAAATTGTGCTAAATAATTATTCAACTCTCTATTTTGGATATACTATAAATTATGAGCAGGTGGAGGAATAAATTTGAAATTCATTTAATAATTGCTAATGTTTATACCATATTTGATCATACGTAAAGAACTCTCACTCATAGAAATTGCCTCATTTGGCCGGGTGAGGTGGCTCACACCTGTAATCCTAACACTTTGGGAGGCTGAGGCGGGCGGATCATCTGAGGTCAGGAGTTCGAGACCACCCTGGCCAATATGGAGAAACTTGGTCTCTACTAAAAATACAAAAATTAGCTGGGCATGATGGCACAGGCCTGTAATCCCAGCTATTTGGGAGGTTGAGGCAGGAGAATCGCTTGAACCTGGGAGGCAGAGATTGCAGTGAGCCAAGATCACACCATTGCACTCCAGCCTGGATGACAGAGCGAGACTCTGTCTCAAAAAAAAAAAAAAAAAAGAAATTGCCTCATTTGCCTCTAAGACTCTGGGAGGTAGCTAAGGGGTTACTGTCATCCTTACTTTATTTTTTTTTTCTTTTCTTCTTCTATTTTTTTTTTCTGTGTACTCTCCTATAAGCATCTTCACTTTAAAGAGGAAGAAACTGTCTCAAAGAGATTAAACGACTCTACTCATCTGAGCTAACCCAACAACCGAGTCCGGCTGTCGTGACACTACCAAGAACTCTGCCTAAGTGAGTCGCAAAAGCAACCCTTAGATTTCACACGTTGTGCATGGGTAATGGTTGAGTGAAGGATCTCAGTGGATCCGTAGTGCGTATGCATGAAACGTTTGTTCTTCAAATAACTGCTACCAATTGCTTTGTAGACAGCCTCCCTCCACCTTTCCAGCCGGAAAGAGTCTCCACTTAATCACTTCTCAGAATGATTCTGTAACTTCCCATTACTTTTTGGTTAATAAAATCTAATTTCAGTTAGCTCCCTTCCTTCCTAGAGCAGGCAGTCTGGGATGGCCCTGGGTTTGGAGTTGGGTAGCGCGGCCAGGTGACGGTCTCCTTCCCTGGGCCGTCAGGGCTGCAGGCGGCTGTGACACTCCGGAGGCCTCGACAGAGGGGTCCCAGGCGCAGCGTACCCGGGCTCCTCTTGCCTCAGCGGAGCGTCCCACGGCAGTCCCGGACCCGCGCCTCTCCCGCCCGGCTCCTGCACGCCCAGCGAGCCTGCAGCCTGGGATCCTCCGCTCCTGCATCCCGGCTCGGGATGGGTCCCGGCTCCCCACCTCACGCCGGCGGGGCCACCCTTTCACTCCGCCTCCATCTGCTCTGTGGTCCGCGCTCGCTCCTGAAGTTAGGCGTATACACCACCTTCCAACTGGGACAGAAGATATCAGTCTCGCTTTCTCTCAGACGCCCACGAAGTTGAGACTGCATTCTTCTGAAGATTCACTACTCCCTCGTTTAGGGAGAAGTACCAGCTAGTGCGCCCGTCTCCCACCGCCTTTCCTGCCCCCACTGCGTCCTTGACCCAGGTAGGCATCTGTGTCATATCTGGGGCCCGCCCTGGGGCTCCATGTCTTACCTGCATCACTTTTGAACCCAATGCCGATCTCCATTTCCCGCACACCCCAGCACTACCGGGTAACCTCTGAGAGTAGGAAAAAAAAAAAAAAAACCCTCAAAGTGTCTGCAGGCCAACCACATGGCAGCATGTGTGAATATGGACGTTGGCTTAGTTAGAGGGCTTACTTTTGCCATTTATTATTTTAGCTTTGTTTCTTGGTCTAGGAATGTGCATTGCACAAAAGAGGCTCTCAAGAAATTGTTGTTTTTTTTCTAGTAAACCCAATTCTCTTTTAGGTCAGTTTTGTATAGCCTGTTTTTAAAGAATGTGACATAATTGCAATCTCTCTCTTTTTTTAATCCTACATTTTTTTAGACCTTTCACTGTGGATTTAAAGCAGCCCTTAAAATAGTAGGTAAGTGTTTCCAACTTTATAAGGTAAAAATTAATTGCATCAGATATTATTAACGTTAAGATAACGTAAACCACAAGTTCCGGGGTGTGGATACAGTTATTGTTGTTGTTTTAATTTTTTGTAGAGATAGGGTCTTGCTCACTATGTTGCCCAAGCTATTCTTGAATTCCTGGCCTCAGGTGATCCTCCCACCTCAGCCTCCCAAAGTGTTGAGATTACCAGCTTGAGCCACCATGCCCTACTAGATACAGTCTTACTCAAGTGACAAAGTCATAAGAGCTATTAAAACATATTGCAATAATAGTATCATAACCTTCCACCCACCCCCATAGTCCTTACTGTGTGCCAGGCTCTGTTCTAAATGTTGTAAGAATGTTAACTGAGTTATACAGGTTATCTCAAGCAGGATTTGACTCCAGGATGAGTGCTCTTAACCACCGCATAATATTGTCTCTCTGACTTTGTTTCTGGAGAATATGAAAATAATACCTTACATAAATTTCTGTGATTTCAATCATAGAATTACCAGCATTTTTTAAAGCATTACCTTTTGTACAGCCACTGTGTAACAGCTTTGAGAGCATTACGTCATTTTATCTCAAATTCTATCACTCCCGCCCACCCAAGAGGCAGACATGGAAATTGCAGCTCCATTTTACAGATGTGAACACTGCAACTCAGAGACATTAAGTTTCTTGGCCAAAGTCATGACATTAGTAAGTGGCAAAGCCAGGCTACAAATTCAGGTAAACCTGACACCAAAGTCTGTGCTCTAAACCAAAACACTCTGGGTTCTGTTCAAAGTGAACTAAATTAGGTCTAAATACAACCCCATATTTAGTCACCTGGCACAATCATGATGCTATATCAAATCAGAGGTTGCAAACTGATGACTCCTATTCCTGGGCTTCCAGCCTTTCTGCAAAGCGCTGAAGATCTGGCAGCACAGGGCCCATGCTGCACCAGCAGGCACAATTGCCTCAGCTGGGGCTGGACAGTGCCAGCTCATTTCTGGCATGCAGGCACTCAGGTCCCAACCAGTCCACTTCACCCAACTGTGTCAGTGGCCCCCACAGGCATTTGAGTTTTTGCTCCCTATCCTAGAAATGTTCAGACCAGTGCTGCATCTCCTCTGACCATTGCAAACTGGTACAGATTTTGAAATCAATTTATGCCAGTTGAGCAGGGGTTTCCTACAGTGTAAAGCTAGACATCTGGAGTTGGGGAATTCCAATTTCAATGCCCTTCTGGCTTTAGACCAACTGTAGATTTTACAATCCCACATCAAGGTCTATGATATGGCTCCCGGTGACAGATGTGTGGCACTAGCTCTGCTCACTGGGGAAAATAATCTGTCTGACACAGGGCTAAAGTCAACCTCTGTTTGCCATTCACGGTCTCAGCAATCTCATTTCTCTCTGTGTTGATTACCACTGCATATCTAAGCCTTTCAAGTTTTCTCTTTCCCTCAGGACCTAGAGGGTCCCTGGAGGGTAAAGACAGTTTGCAAAGTCAGTGTGATTCATGTTTTAGTTTCTGAAAAGAGAAATTTGGCATCCATAGAGCTGCAGATAAGAAACGGGATGTGTAGTGTGAAGACAAAAGAGGCAGAAGGGACACCTAGTCTTCACAAAACAGAGATACAGCTGAACATAATAAGGTTGGACAGGTAGAGGATTTGCACAGAAACATTGGCTATCTAAACACTATGTGGTTGTCATAAATACATTTGGGAAGGAAGAGAAGGAATAATATGATTTCTCTTCCTAACATACCTTGGAAACCAGCCAGTAAGGAAACAGTCTCATCACTGAGATATTTTTCTTTCTTCAACACCATGAAAATTAATGAAATATTATAACATTTTATTTATCTAGGCTATAAATTTGTGTATTGATAGATTCTTCTTTCCTGGTGATATGGTTTGAATTTTGTCCCCTCCAAATCTCATGTTGAAATGGGATTCCCAGTGGTAGAGGTGGGGCCTGGTGGGAGGTGATTGGATCATGAGGGTGGATTCCTCATGAATGGTTTAGCTCCGTCTCTTTGGTGATAAGTGAGTTCTCACTTGGTTAGCTCACACAAGATCTGGTTGTTTAAAAGGGTCTAGGACCTCCCCCTTCTCTCTCTCTCTTGCTCTGTCTCTTGCCATGCAATGCACTGACTTCCCCTTTGCCTTCCACCATGATTCTAAGCTTCCTGAGCCTCACTGGAAGCAGACACTGGCACCACACTTCCTCTGCGCCCTGCAGAACCATGAGCTAATTAAACCTCTTTTCTTTATAAGTGACCCAAACTCAGATATTTCTTTAAAGCAGTGCAAGAATGGACTGACACATCTGGGTATAGAATACTTAGATTTTAGATTACTGGAGATTAAAAAGCTCAAACTGGCTTGAACAAAAAAAAATGAGGCATTGTATTCATATAAGAGACATCCAATTTAGCTTCAGGTGTGGCTGCAACCGGATATTCATATGGAGTCGCCAGGGGTTAGTATCCATCTCCTGGCTCTTTTTTCCTATACATTGGCTTTGTTCTCTGGCAGGCTATCTTGTGGTGGCAAGGTGGTCTTCAGCAGCCCTAGATATACATTCTGCCAGGTTATCAATGCCAACAGAAAGAAATGATCTCTCAGAAGAATTTGAGCAAAATCCCCAGGACTGTCTCTGTTTGATCTGGCATTGGTCATGGGCTCACCCCAGAATTCGTTACTGTGGCCAGAGGTATGTGGTGATGTGGTGTTCTCATTGATTGGTGCTGAGTCCCCACCAAAGGCAAGGGGTAGGGCCATCTCCATCCAAACCATAATATCAATGTCAAAGAGGTGTGATTTTCAAGACGGAAAGAGAGAGAGAGAGGGCGGGGGGATTCTGTGTGCAGAAGGGCAATGGGCAGGCCAAACCGCAGATGGTCACTAACATTCTTCACTCTGACCTTGAGGCAGGCGGGGAGGATGAGCTTTCATTAAATGATTTTTTCCTAGTCCTTTTGAAAAAGGACTCAGTATTGAGTTCCTTAGCTTCTGGGTCCAACCCACAAATAAACCAGCAGAGTAAAAATTATTATTTTCATTGGATCACTGCACAAAATACAATCAAACAGGAACCAATATATCAGCAAAGGAATTCTTTTCATGAAATATCCTAGTTATCCTTAGTGACCCAACAGTTATCTCCAGGTAATATTAAGCATCAAAATGTTATTCACCCAAACTCCTACATATTAATTCTGAGGCTCCCATATTATTGGTATAGAGCCAACTCTTAATTATTGGCAGACGCAGAATATGGAAATTATGGATCAAGCCTAAGGTCTCGTTTTAGCAAAGCGATTCAGACTCTTCCAGATAAACTTTTACCCCAGCTGCAGCAAGCAACAACACTGACTAATTTGACTTTCACATCTGGCAAAACGGCTCCCACACATACCTAGATAGATATGTGGGTCATACACTCCTCAACCCACTTCACAGAGTCTGATGAAATCATATCAACTCATACCAAATGCAAAAGGGGAGCATTTTTATCATTTTGGCAAAAAGATTCAATTAACCAAGAACTCAAAAAGCCAGTGGTGAAAATCGAATCCAAAGTTGATATTTTCGACTTAATTCCTTCCTGCCCTACCCCCATCTAAAAGGTAGCCAAGACCCTCAACCATCTTCCCCACCAAAACATAAAATTTCTTTTCTCATATATTCTTAATTATTCTACGACTTTCTGTAACTACTTAAGCATAAATCTTCAGGGATAAACAGTAGATGAGAAATGGAAAAAGTTGAAGATAGAACCTTGAAGGCAGGAGGGGTAAAGGAATCAGCCTAGGAAAACAAGGAGTGATCAGAGAAGCCATGGGAGACATGGAGGGGTTTTTACAATGGAGGCCAACTTAGAAGGGGATGGCCAGTGGTGTCCTGCTTAGGGGTCAGTTTTATTTAATCTTAAACTCTTCTCACTCCATCCACTCCAACTGCTGAATAACTTTCTTTTACTCACTGGAAGCTTGCTCCATGCTCTCTTTTGGAAATCTTCATATGGACCACACCTTGGGTCCAGCTTGATCACTAGCTACATGTCCAGTCTTGAAGGTGGCTTGTGCCACTGCCAACACTACCTGCTAATGTGTATCCAGGCCTCCTGTGTGCCAGGTATAGTATCAAACGCCATGCATGAACTATTTGGTTTAATTTTAAAAATAATTCCACAGAATAGGACACTTTTATTATCCCAATTTTCCAGATGAGGAAATTTGGCTTAAAATGATAAAGTATCTTGCTCAAGGTTAACCATTAGTAAGTAGCAGAGCAATAGCATGTCAAAAAAATGGAGGAAAGAAAGAAGATACCTAGGAAATCTACACATTTGTCTATTCTATTATTGCATGACCAGACTGTGTTTATATTTAAGTAAGGCTATGATTCCTTTTTTAGAATATTCACCAAGCAAATGCTTGATGAGAAGATATAGATTGTATTCTTTGATGTAAAGCATGCTAAAACATGAGAAATAATTAGAATTATGGAAATCATTTTTCAGGATCAACACATTCTAGTAACACTGAGCTCCAAGGAATACTCGGGTTTGGTTTTGTTTTGTTTTGTTTTGTTTTGTTTTGTTTTGTTTTGTTTTCCCTAGGAGCATAAATCCCTCTTTTGATGAGACAGAGCCCTATGGCGGTGACTTTCTTGGTGGTTTAGTCTTAATTCTGGCTCCCAAGAATAAAACACACAAAAGAAAACCCGTGGTGATTACAGAACTAATAGCTAGCATGCGGTAGAATTCACACAGGACGTGGAGTCAGGCTGAGTTGGGATTTTATGTACCGATTAGCTGTGGGATTCAAGACAGGTCCTTAACCTCTACAGGTTATGAGGACGATCACAATACATATGCTCACGGGATTATCTCCTTTATATAAATGTGTAGGAATTTTAGTTAAACTAATTTCTAGGATAATATTTGAGGAGCCATGAAAGTTAAATATGATGGTAAATAGGAATATAGGTCTGACACCTAGGAAATACTCAAAAAGGAAATTTAATTGAAATTTTAAATACACCTATTCTTTGACCCAGCAATCCCACTTCTAGGAAATAACTACTCAGAAAGGAAACCACAAGTAAATAAATGTACACGTACAAAGACGTTCATTAAGCATTGAAATAGCAAAGAAGGAAAAATTAGAAAGGCTGACTAAACAGTGGTCCACACATGGCAGTGGCTGACAGTGTGGGTAATGGCAACCAATTGTGTGGGCAGTGGAGCTAAACTGTGTGAGCCACAGAGCCAAATGACCTCAGTTGGGATCCAGGCTGCATTAATGTTGTATGATTCTGGGCTAATTACTTAACCTCTCAAGGCGTCAGTCTCTTACTTCTGTAAAATGCAAATGATAAAAGTGATTACCACACAGGTCATTGTGAAGATAAAAATGACTTCATACTTGTAACGTACTTAGAAGAATAAGTAGAACATAATAAACTTCGCCGACTGTCAGCAATCTTGTAACCATTTTTAATTTTAATTCTTAATTTTTTAACTGAAGTTTTTGTTTCATCAAGGTATAATTTACATATTCACCAACTCTAGGTGTACAGTTTGACGAATTTTGGTAAATTCTACAACCAGCACGATCAAGAATTTTTCTATCACCCTGAAAAGTTTCCTCATGCCCTTTTGCAGAATATTTCCTCCTCCATTCTCAGGGAACCATTGATCTGCTTGTAGTTTTGGCTTTCCTTTTCTTTTTTCTTTTTTTTTTTTTTTATTATACTTTAAGTTATAGGGTACATGTGCACAATGTGCAGGTTTGTTACATAGGCATACATGTGCCATGTTGGTTTGTTGCACTCATCAGCTAGTCATTTACATTAGGTATTTCTCCTAATGCTTTCCCTCCCCCAGCCCCCAACCCCCTGATAGGCCCCAGTGTGTGATGTTCCCCACCCAGGGTCCATGTGTTCTCATTGTTCAACTCCCACCTATGAGTGACAACATGCGGTGTTTGGTTTTCTGTCCTTGTGATATTTTGCTGAGAATGATGGTTCACAGTTTCATCCATGTCCCTAGAAAGGACATGAACTCATCGTTTTTTATGGCTGCATAGTATTCTATGGTGTATATATGCCACATTTTCTTAATCCAGTCTGTCATTGATGGACATTTGGGTTGGTTCCAAGTCTTTGCTCTTGTGAATAGTGCTGCATTAAACATACGTGTGCATGTGTCTTTATAGAAGCATGATTTATAATCCTTTGGGTATATACCCAGTAATGGGATCGCTGGGTCTAATGGTATTTCTAGTTCCAGATCCTTGAGGAATCACCACACTGTCTTCCACAATGGTTGAACTAATTTACACTCCCACCAACAGTGTAAAGGCATTCCTGTTTCTCCACATCCTCTCCAGCACCTGTTGTTTCCTGACTTTTTAATGATTGCCATTCTAACTGGTGTGAGATGGTATCTCATTGTGGTTTTGATTTGCATTTCTCTGATGACCAGTGATGATGAGCATTTTCTCATGTGTCTGTTGGCTGCATAAATGTCTTCTTTTGAGAAGTGTCTGTTCATATCCGTTGCCCACTTTTTGATGGGGTTGTTTTTTTCTTGTAAATTTGTTTAAGTTCTTTGTAGAGCCTGGATATCAGCCCTTTGTCAGATGGGTAGATTGCAAAGATTTTCTCTTATTCTGTAGGTTGCCTGTTCACTCTGATGGTAGTTTCTTTTGCTGTGCAGAAGCTCTTCAGTTTAATTAGATCCCATTTGTCTATTTTGGCTTTTGTTGCCACTGCTTTTGGTGTTTAGTCATGAAGTTCTTGCCCATGCCTATGTCCTGAATGGTATTGCCTAGGTTTTCTTCTAGGGTTTTTATGGTGTTAGGTCTTACATTTAAGTCTTTAATCCATCTTGAGTTAATTTTTGTATATGGTGTAAGGAAGGGATCCACTTTCAGCTTTCTACATATGGCTAGCCAGTTTTCCCAGCACCATTTATTAAATAGGGAATCCTTTCCCCATTTCTTGTTTTTGTCAGGTTTGTCAAACACCAGATGGTTGTAGATGTGTGGTGTTATTTCTGAGGCCTCTGTTCTGTTCCATTGGTCTATGTATCTATTTTGTTACCAGTACCATGCTGTTTTCGTTACTGTAGTCTTGTGCTATAGTTTGAAGTCAGGTAATGTGATACCTCCAGCTTTGTTCTTTTGGCTTAGGATTGTCTTGGCTGCGCAGATTCTTTTTGGGTTCCATATGAACCTTAAAGTCGTTTTTTCCAATTCTGTGAAGAAAGTCAGTGGAAGCTTGATGGGGATGGCATTGAATCTATAAATTCCCTTGGGTAGTATGGCCATTTTCATTATATTGATTCTTCCTATCCATGAGCATGGAATGTTCTTCCATTGTTTGTGTCCTCTTTTATTTCATTGAGCAGTGGTTTATAGCTCTCCTTGAAGAGGTCCTTCACATCCCTTGTAAGTTGGATTCCTAGGTATTTTATTCTCTTTGTAGTAATTGTGAATGAGAGTTCACTCATGATTTGGCTCTCTGTTTGTCTATTATTGGTGTATCAGAATGCTTGTGATTTTTGCACATTGATTTTGTATCCTGAGACTTTGCTGAAGTTGATTCTCAGCTTAAGGAGATGTTGGGCTGAGACAATGGGATTTTCTAAATATACAATCATGTCATCTGCAAACAGAGACAATTTGACATCCTCTTTTCCTCATTGAATACCCTTTATTTCTTTCTCTTACCTGATTGCCCTAGCCAGAATTTCCAACACTATGTTGAATAGGAGGGGTGAGAAAGGGCATCCTTGTCTTGTGCCGGTTTTCTAAGGGAACACTTCCAGTTTTTGCCCATTCAGTGTGATATTGCTGTGGATTTCTCCTAAATAGCTCTTATTATTTTAGGATACGTTGCTGGATTTGGTTTGCCAGCACTTTATTGAGGATTTTTGCATCAATGTTCATCAGAGATATTGGCCTAAAATTCTCTTTTTTTGTTGTGTCTCTACCATGCTTTGGTATCAGGATGAGGCTAGCCTCATAAAATGAGTTAGGGAGGATTCCCTTTTTTTCTATTGATTGAGATAGTTTCAGAAGGAATGGTACCAGCTCCTCTTTGTACCTCTGGTAGAATTTGGCTGTGAATCTTTCTGGTCCTGGGCTTTTTTTTTTGGTTGGTATGCTATTAATTATTGCCTCAATTTCAGAACTTGTTTTTGGTCTATTCAGGGATTCCACTTTTTCCTAGTTTAGTCTTGGGAGGGTGCATGTGTCCAGGAATTTATCCATTTCTTCTAGATTTTCTAGTTTATTTGCATAGAAGTGTTTATAGTATTCTCTGATGGTAGTTTGTATTTCTGTGGGAGCGGTGGTGATATCCCCTTTATCATTTTTTTATTGCATCTATTTGATTCTTCTCTCATTTCTTCTTTATTAGTCTTGCTAGTGGTCTATTTTGTTGATCTTTTCAAAAAACCTGCTCCTGGATTCATTGATTTTTGTCTCTGACAAAAGGGGATTGTGTCTCTGACAAAAGGGGATTGTGTCTCTATCCCCTTCAGTTCTGCTCTGATCTTAGTTATTTCTTGCCTTCTGCTACCTTTGAATTTATTTGCTTTTGATTCTCTAATTATTTCAGTTGTGATGTTAGGGTGTCAATTTTAGATCTTTCCTGCTTTCTCTTGTGGGCATTTAGTGCTATAAATTTCCCTCTACACACTGCTTTAAGTGTTTCCCAGAGATTCTGATTCGTTGTGTCTTTGTTCTCATTGGTTTCAAAGAATATCTTTATTTCTGCCTTAATTTCTTTATGTACCCAGTAGTCATTCAGGAGCAGCTTGTTCAGTTTCCATGTAGTTGAGCGGTTTTGAGTGAGTTTACTAATCCTGAGTTCTAATTTGATTGCACCATAGTCTGAGAGACAGTTTATTGTGATTTTTGTTCTTTTCCATTTGCTGAGGAGTATTTTACTACCAATTATGTGGTCAGTTTTAGAATAAGTGCAATGTGGTGCTGAGAAGAATGTATATTCTGTTGATTTGGGGTGGAGAGTTCTGTAGATAGATGTCTATTAGGTCCACTTGGTTCAGAGCTGAGCTCAAGTCCTGGATATCCTTGTTAACCTTCTGCCTCATTGATCTGTCTAATATTGACAATGGGGTGTTAAAGTATCCCATTATTATTGTGTGGGAGTTTAAGTCTCTTTGTAGGTCTCTACGGACTTGCTTTATGAATCTGGGTGCTCCTGTATTGGGTGCATATATATTTAGGATAGTTAGCTCTTCCTGGTGAATTGATCCCTTTACCATTATGTAGTGGCCTTCTTTGTCTCTTTTGATCTTTGTTGGTTTAAAGTCTGTTTTATCAGAGACTAGGATTGCAACCCCTGTTTTTTTTTTTTTTTTTTTTTTTTACCATCCATTTGCTTGGTAGATATTCCTCCATCCCTTTATTTTGAGCCTATGTGCATCTTTGCATGTGAGATGGGTGTCCTGAATATAGCATACTGATGGGTCTTGACTCTTTATCCAATTTGCCAGTCTGTGTCTTTTAATTGGGGCATTTAGCCCATTTACATTTAAGGTTAATATAGTTATGTTTGAATTTGATCCTGTCATTATGATTTTAGCTGGTTATTTTGCCCATTAATTGAGGTATTTCTTCACAGCGTCAATGCTGTTTACCATTTGGCATATTTTTGCAGTGGCTGGTACCGGTTGCTCCCTTCCATGTTTAGTGCTTCCTTCAGCAGCTCTTGTAGGGCAGGCCTGGTGGTGACAAAATCTCTCAGCATTTGCTTTTCTGTAAAGGATTTTATTTGTCCTTCACTTATGAAGCTTAGTTTAGCTGGATATGTGATTCAGAGTTGAAAATTCTTTTCTTTAAGAATGTCGAATATTGGCCCCCACTCTTTTCTGGCTTGTAGGGTTTCTGCCGAGAGATCTGCTGTTAGTCTGATGGGCTTCCCTTTGTGGATAACCCGACCTTTCTCTCTGGCCACCCTTAAAATTTTTTCCTGCCTTTCAACCTTGGTGAATCTGACAATTATGTGTGTTGGGGTTGCTCTTCTCGAGGAGTATCTTTGTGGTGTTCTCTGTATTTCCTGAATTTGAATGTTGGCCTGCCTTGCTAGCTTAGGGATGTTCTCCTGGATAATATCCTGAAGAGTGTTTTCTAACTTGTTTCCATTCTCCCCATCACTTTCTAGTACACCAATTAGATGTAGATTTGGTCTTTTCACATAGTCCCATATTTCTTGGAGGCTTTATTTCTTTTTACTCTTTTTTTCTCTGATCTTGTCTTCTCACTTTATTTCATTAATTTGATCTTCAATCACTGATATTCTTTCTTCCACTTGATCGAATCGACTATTGAAGCTTGTGCATGCGTCACGAAGTTCTTGTGCCACGGTTTTCAGCTCCATCAGGTCATTAAGGTCTTCTCTACACTGTTTATTCCAGTTCGTCATTCATGTAACATTTTTTCAAGGTTTTTAGCTTCCTTGCAATGGGTTAGAATATGCTCCTTTAGCTAGGAGAAGTTTTTTATTACCAACGTTCTGAAGCTTACTTCTGTCAACTCGTCAAACTCATTCTCTGTCCAGTTTTGTTCTCTTGCTGGCGAGGAGCTGTGATCTTTTGGAGGAGAAGAGGTGTTCTGTTTTTTGGAATTTTCAGCTTTTCTGCTCTAGTTTCTCCCCATCTTTGCGATTTTATCTACCTTTGGTCTTTGAGGTTGGTGACCTACAGGTGGGGTTTTGGTGTGGATGCCCTTTTTGTTGATGTTGATGCTATTCCTTTCTGTTTGTTAGTTTTCCTTCTAACAGTCAGACCTCTGAGCTGCAGGTCTGCTGGAATTTGCTGGAGGTCCATTCCAGACCCTATTTGCCTGGTTATCACCAGTGGAGGCTGCAGAACAGCAAATATTGCTGCCTGAACCTTCCTCTGGAAGGTTCTTCCCAGAAGGGAACCCACCTGTTTGAGATGTCTGTCGGCCCCTACTGGTAGGTGTTTCCCAGTCAGACTACATGGGGGTCAGGGACCCGCTTAAGGAGGCAGTGTGTCTGTTCTCAGAGCTCGGACACCATGCTGAGAGATCCACTGCTCTCTTCAGAGCTGTCAGACAGGGACTTTTAAGTCTGCAGAAGCTGTCTGCTCCCTTTTGTTCTACTATGCCCTGCCCCAGAGGTGGAATCTATAGAGGCGGTAGGCCTTGCTGAGCTGTGGTGGGCTCCGCCCAGTTCGTGCTTCCCAGCCTCTTTGTTTACGCTGTGAGCTACTCAAGATTCAGCAATGTCATATGCCCCTCCCCGCATCAAGCTGCAGTGTCACAGGTTGATCTCAGACTGCAGCGCTAGCAGTGAGGAAGGCTCCGTGGTCATGGTACTGCCGAGCCAGGCATGGGAGGGTATCTTCTCGTTGCTAAGACTGCAGATAAAGTGCAGTATGTGGTCAGGGGTGTACCGTTTCTCCAGGTACAGTCTGTTATGGCTTCCCTTGACTAGGAAAGGGAAATCCCCCAACCCCTTGTGCTTCCCAGGTGAGGTGACGCCCCACCCTGCTTCAGCTCACCTTCCGTGGGCTGCACCCACTGTCCAACCAGTCCCAGTGAGTCGGTACCTCAGCTGGAAATGCAGAAATCACCCATCTTCTGTGTCGATCTCGCTGGGAGCTGCAGACCAGAGCTGTTCCTATTTGGCCACCTTGGAAGTGACCCCGAGTTTTGGCTTTTCTAGGTATAGATGGAATCATACATACATAGACTTTTGTGTTTGAGTTCCATTGCACATAGTTTTTTTTGTTTTGTTTTTTGTTTTTTGTTTTTAAGATACAGTCTCACTGTGTTGCTCAAGCTGGAGTACAATGGCACGATCTTGGCTCACTGCAACCTCTTCCTCCTGGGTTCAAATGATTCTCGTGCCTCAGCCTCCTGAGTAGCTGGGAATATAGGTGAGTGCCACCACACCCAGCCACTGCACACAGCTTTTGAGTCATCGATGTCATTATGTGTATTTATGCTTTGTTCCTTTTAATTGCTGAGTAGTACGACATCACATGAATATACCACAATTTGTTTTTCCATTCATGAGTTCATAAACATTCGAGTTGTTTTCATTTTTTTGCTCTGAATATTCACGTACATGGCTTTTGTGTGGGCATGTTTTCATTTCTTTGGGATAAACAGCTAGAAGTGGGATTGGTGGGTCATATGTTAAGTGTCTGTTTAATTTTATAGTAAACTGCTAATGTTTTCCAAAGTGGCTGTACCATTTCACATTTGCGTATATCTCATTATAACTATTTTTAAAAAGGAAAAACTGGCCAGGCGCACTGGCTCATGCCTGTAATCCCAGCACTTTGGGAGGCTGAGGCAGGTGGATCACAAGGTCAGGGGATCGAGATCATCCTGGCTAACACAGTGAAACCCTGTCTCTACTAAAAATACAAAAAAAAAAAAAAATTAGCCGGGCGTGGTGGCAGGTGCCTGTAGTCCCAGCTATGCAGGAGGCTGAGGCAGGAGAATGGCGTGAACCTGGGAGGTGGTGCGGTGAGCCGAGGTGCAGTGAGCCGAGGTGCAGTGACCTCAGTGCAGTGAGATGAGATCACACCACTGCACTCCAGCCTGGGCAACTGAGCGAGACTCTGTCTCAAAAAATAAATAAATAAATAAAAATAAAAAGGAAAAACTGGGGGCCAGGTGCAGTGGCTTATACCTGTAATCCTAGCACTTTGGAAGGCCAAGGAGGATGTATCGATTGAGCTCAGGAATTTAAGACCAGCATGGGAAACATGGTGAAACCCTGTCTCTATAAAAAATACAAAAGAATTAGCCGGACATGGTGGCACCCAGCCTGTGGTCCCAGCTATTCGGGAGGCTGAAGTGGGAGGATCACTTGAGCCCAGGAGGTGAAGGTTGCAGTGAGCAGAGATCACGCCACTATACTCCAGCATGGGTGATGGAGTGAGACCCTGTCTCAAGAAAAAAAAAAAACAGCAAATTTCATCCCATTTGAATAAAGTAGATGTAAATATAATTGCACAGCTAAGGAAAGAAATGGGGGTCGGGCACGGTGGCTCACGCCTATAATCCCAGCACTTTGGGAGGCCAAGGCGGGTGGATCACAAGGTCAGGAGTTCGAGACCAGCCTGACCAACATGGTGAAACCCCATCTCTACTAGAAATACAAAAATTAGACAGGCGTGAAGGTGCGCACCTGTAATCCCAGATACTCAGGAGGCTGAGGCAGGAGAATCGCTTGAACCCGGGAGGCGGAGGTTGCAGTGAGCCGAGATCATGCCATTGCCTTCCAGGCTGGGTGACAAAGCGAGACTCCATCTCAAAAAAAAAAAAAAAAAAAAAAAGAAATGAGAATAATACACACCTTTTTTTTTTTTAATAGCAGTTACCTCTGCAGCGTGGCATGAGAGGGACCAACAGAGGCACTCTTCTCATATTTGTCTAAGTGGCTAGAGTTATGAATCTTTTTCTTCTCATCTTTAAGTGATTTTCAAATAAATTAAAACATTAATTTTACTTGAATCTGACACTGTATTGGAAAGGGACTTCCTTCTTTCCTAGGGCCCCCTACAAAACAGATGTTGAGGCTCCAAGTCCCCTGAAGAGTCTGGAGAGACATTACTGGTGCTGCAGAAGGACTTTTCAACATTCCACAAAGCCTAGGAGAAATGATGGGTTTGCTGGTAATAAGGCTGCTTAGAAGAGCTAAGACAACTTGTGTTCCACTTGTAGCTAGAATTACATCAATTCAGTGTGGTAACCTTGAGTACCTCAGGCTGATAAGACATTCAGAAGAGTAGTTTTATTTTTCTACAAATTATGATTAATAATTTTTAAAGAAAGAAAACAACTCTTGGCTTAATAATTGTGCTTTGGCGTACAAAGCCTTTCAAAACACAAACACAGCATTCAGTGGATTAATAAAACGGGGACCAACAGGTCAACAAGTGGTCACTGTCTGGTGGTAGTGCTGCCATTTTTAAGCTTTCAAAAACCCCTAGGATGTTCCCTTTATCAAAGGAAATGAAGGCAACTCCTCTTGGCTGTTCCTGCCTGATACTACAAACTTTTTAAAGGCTTCAAGTCAGGTAGCAGTTTTTGCCAATTAATGACTTGATAATCTCCAGGTCTAATGTAACCTTGCCATGATCTCTCTTTTATTTTCACCAGATAGAGAGTAATAAATAATACATGTAACCTAACCTATTGGCTTTGTCCACTCTCATAAGTAATCCTGGCTCCTTCTCCCTGCTGCGGCCCCTGGTCTTGGCCCCTGCCTATTCAGCCCAGCATGTCTGAACATTTAGTCATCTCTTCAGAGCCACACTTCCAGGAAAAGGCTATTGTTCCTGCATTTCCTGATCGCTTACTTCCTGTCATTTTTTTCAAAAGAGAATCAAAACTGTTCTAAAATCACACAAAGGTTCTTCTCTACTTCACAGTTGTAGTTTATTATATTGTCATCATTTACTTGATTTGGGGGCCATTTAAATACACCATGACCTGCCTGACCTGATCAGCAGTGTCCCTGAGTCACAGGTAGTTTCTACATGAGCCCCAGTATGAACACTGCCTTGTTTTCAATCACACGTGCATGCAGCTTAAACTTGTTTTTCTCCAAGACCTCAAAGAAATTTCTAATAGTACCCACATTATTGACTTTACACCAATGACCCATCTGATGAAGAAAAAGATCAGGGACAGAGAGGGCGAGCATCTTCCTAAGCTGGGGAGGAAGTGGCAGGCAATGAAGACATGGAAATGTCTCCTCTCTGCTCCAGCCCTTCCTCAACTCACACAAAGAAAAGAACTGATCAAAATGAGTTTTGCTGCCCAGAAGAGACTGAGTCGCTAGAAGGGAGAAAATGACAGGGAGGGAGCTCAGGAAATAAAAAACCTGGGTTTTGACTGGCACACACATGTACAATACACATACAGGTGTGTATATACATGCACACACATACATACACATGCACATACATACATACATACACACCACACACACATACATATTTAAGAGCTTCCTTTGTGCCAGGCACTGTGCTAAGTATTTATATACAATATCCTGATTAATTTTGACACCTTCCCATGGGGTAGGTACCTTTATTCTCCACATATTACATGTCAATATTACATATGAATGAACTCATCCAAGTTCACACAGCTAGTACAACAGCTGAGCCACAGTTAACTCATGCTTTATCTAACAGCAAAGTTGTATAACTCACCCCTCTATTTGCTAGCTGTGTGATTTCTGATGAGTCACTTAACTGTTCTGAAGTTCAGTGTCCTCATCTATAAAACGGCAGTAACAAAGCCTACAAAATCTGCTTCCATATTGTGTTGAGAATTAAATGAATTTATGTGTATATTTACCACACACAAAGATATATTTCTCTTCTTTACCTCAGTTTTGGTTGGCTTTTGGTAAAATGCTTATTATGACTGGGTTATTGTAAAAATTAAAAGAGGAAACATGAAAACACTTTGGAAACCATAATTAATCATTGTTATTCTCAGATATGGTTTTTCTTTTTTGTGTGTGTGGTTATTTTGTGTGTGTGTGTGTGTGTGTGTGTGTGTGTGTGTGTGTGTGTGTGTGATGGAGTCTTACTCTGTTGCCCACACTGGGGTGCAGTGGCGCAATCTCAGCTCACTGCAACCTCCCCTCCTGGGTTCAAGTGATTCTCCTGCCTTAGCCTCCCAAGTAGCTGTGATTACAGGCACCTGCCACCCGCCCATCTAATTTTTGTATTTTTAGTAGAGACAGGGTTTCACCATGTTGGCCAGACTGGACTCAATCTCTCGACCTCAAGTGATCCACCCACCTCAGCCTCCCAAAGTGCTGGAATTACAGGCGTGAGCCACCACACCCAGCCTCAGATATGTGTTAAACAAAGATATATGACCAGGTAGTCTAGATTAACTATATATCATAATTTACCAGTTGTCAGATGGGCAAAGATAAAAATGTTTGAGAATATACTGTGTTAGAAAATGGAAGGGAAATGAGAACACTCATACATTGCTTATGGGTGTGTAAATTGTCACATCCTCTAAGGAGAGAAACTGGATTACATTTCTCAAGGTTAACCATGTAAATAATTTTTTTTTTAAATGGAATCTCGCTCTGTGGCCAGGCTGGAGTGCAGTGGTGCAATATCGGCTCACTGCAACCTCCAATTCCCTGGTCCAAGCGATTCTCCTACCTCAGCCTCCTGAGTAGCTGGGATTACAGGCACGAGCCACCACGGCCAGCTGATTTTTGCATTTTTAGTAGAGCCGGGGTTTCACCATGTTGGCCAGGATGGTCTCCAGCTCCTGACCTCATGATCCACCCACCTTGGCCTCCCAAAGTGCTGGGATTATAGGCATAAGCCCCCACACCCAGCCATAAATATTCTTTGACCCAGTTTTTCCAACTCCTTAAGTGTGAAAAAGACAAGTTTATTTATTATAGTATCGTGTAAAAATTTGGACGGAAAAGTTGGAAACAATCTGAAGGTCCAGCAACAAGAGCTGCTTCTATAAATGAAGTTTTTTACAACAAAATACCATAAATCACTACTTTTAAAAATCTCTTTATGTAGTGATGTAACACAATTGCCAAGACACATTGCTAAGTGGAAAAAAGGGTGCAGAACAGCGTTTCTATTATGCTATGGCACATGCCTGCGTTGCTCACGCACACACACACTCCCCTGTGTATGTGTATTCTTATTTATGTATAGACCAGGACTGTGTGATAGAAATATAATGCAAGCAACAAATGTAAGCCACATGTGTAATTTTAAATGCCCTAGTAGCACAAAGAAATTAAACAGATAAAATGCATTTAATGATATCCAAACTATTATCAACATGTCAACATGCAATCAATATAAGAATTATTTATGAGATGTTTTACATTCTTTCTTTCATAAGACTTTAATACGGTATGCGTTTTACACTTGTAGCACATCTCAATTCAGATTAGCCACATTTCAAGTGTTGTATGGCTACACACAAGTCAGCACACATGGCCACAGCTACCTTATTGGACGTTAAAGGCATAGTCGTCTCCACAAGAAAATGGTAACAGCAGTCACCTCTGGAGAGAAGAACCTCTCTGGATACCTGGGTAAGAGGAAGAACTGCTCTTCATTCTATGCCTTTTTGAGCTTTTCAAATTTCATGCCTTGTGCATTGCCTTTTCTGAATAAAATGAGTAAAACAGTTTTACAGCAATTCTTTACAGTAACTTCTTATTCACTCTGCCATACAAATAGGGACGGATGATTCATACAATGTGAGGACAATTATCAGCAACCAATGACTCTTTCTTACTCCCTGGAGTCTTGTCATTGCTTAGTAATTTAAGGAATCCGTCTCAGGGACAAGCAACAGTTTGCCACTGAGAGAATGGAGTCAGGTTGGGGACACATTCCCAAACTGGAAATTCATCAAATTAGAAACAGGGTTTTGTAACTAATTTATAGCTGAGAAAATGAAATACGAAAGGATCCTAGCTGGTGGGGATCCTCTCACACATCCCTACCATGAGCTCAGAGAAGCCTCCATGTCAGGACACAGCCGGAAACTGCAGGGGGCACGTGAAGGCAAAGACAGGAAGAAGAGGACAGGAAGGAGAGGTGAGGAAAGAGGAGGTTTCCATAAACAGGAAACCACCAGGTGGCCTTTTCACCTCTTAAATCTTGAGGGAGACAAGCGGAGAACCCCACTCCCAACCAAGAGAGAGGACCTACCGTTTCCCAATCAGCGGAATGTGGAAATGCTCAACAGGACTGAAGTGAGGTTAAACTCTCTTCCTCTAATTCTTCCCCGAGTGGCAAGGTGGGTTATCAGGAGGGAGAAAGAGCAGGGTGGATGGGTGGGTTGATGGGAAGGGACATGGGATGCATCCGTGGGATTTCACAGATGCTGGCAGGACATAGGATGGAGTGGGGCAGTAGTCAAGGCAAGAGCTGTGGCTGTGTAGAAATATCAGCGATCAGGACACTCATCAAGGCATTGTTCATGACCTGATCACACTGAAGACTGCCTCGATGCTTTCATTTGGAGGGTATTTGTGATGTAATTCAGGGTTAAAAGCAAATTTTAAAACAATAGGACACTGTAATTTCACTCGTAGAAATAAACACACACACACATATAACACCTACAGTCACATGACTGGACAGATATTTATTAAAACAAAAAGGGAAGTGATGGGACTAGAGATGTTTGCTGATTTTCCTTTTAGCTTACCTGTATTTTCCAGAGTTTTCACCAGTGAGCTCATATTCATTAGCAATAATGTGGAGGGGGTCACAGATTTCTCTCACAACCGTTGGACATACAGAAAAGAGGGAGTTTCCTTATTTGAACTGTAACTAACCCATTCTTCTTTACAATCCCCAGTTGTCAGAGGAGAAACATTAAGTTTTCATCCTGTCTACTTTAAAATATAGCTCAATCCAGTACACAAAATAGTCCATCTAGAATATGCACTGTCTGGTTTCACAGCCGCTAATGCCTCTTTAATTTTAAATGTGAACACTTAAAATTTAATTCCCCACACACTTATCCTATTTGACTTCCCTTTTATTTCTTAAAATAATTATCAAAAAAATGAGGTTTATTTTCACTGCTCTTTACTCAGAAATAGTTTAGCTCTCTTCCTAGATGTCCTTAGAAGTCGAATAATTAGAAGTTGATTTTTAACTTATATGTGTTCTATGATTTTTAAAATGTAAAAATAGATATACAAGGGAATTGTGACTCAGAGAATATACAAATAACTGTGTTAGCATGTAAGGATTAGGAGGGGTACTGTTTTTCTATTTTAAATTCTCTTTTAATGTTATTATATTATTTTTACAATTAAAAATGTTTAAAATAAAAAATAATAATAATTCCTATCACTGGGTACAGGTCTAGCGTTTCATAGCTACACACTACTCATGGCTACATATTATATATTCAGAATGTTTTTATCATCCCAGAATGCCCTATTGGATACAGCTGCTCCAAACAGTGCTGGATCTCAGATTTCTCCACCATCACCCTTGGCTGACTAGGTCTGGGTAAGGTCTGGATGTGTGGAGAATGAGTGTAGCTCCCCTTCCTCCCTTCCTTCTGGCTTTGGTGGGCAGGAACCCTGTGGTCTGGTGCTAGTCTTTAGTGAGGCCGGATGCCTCGACCTTGGAGCCCTTCCGTGGTCTTTGCTACCATACAAATATCCCTGTCTCAACTTCCTGGCTTCAGGGGTCTTACAGAGGCCCAGTCTGTATGTGTCCCATTGACATAGCTCCCTAGTCTCCTTAAGAAGGCCTGGGGCTTGCAGAAGGAAGTGAGCCAGGCTTGCTCACCTGACCACCTTCTGGGACCTACGCAATAGTCTGGGCCTGTGGGCTTCTCTGGACTCCCTGTCACCCCAGCCTCAGCATCTCCAGACACTGGGAACTCTATTCCCCCAGAAGCCTACCACAACCACGTCTGATTACATCTGCATACTACCACATTTTTCCCGAGTCTGATGCATTGAGGGACTCTAAAGAGACTACAATTTTCCCAGGCTGTGCCCAAGAAGTAGGGGCAAGGCCCCAGCCCTCAGACCCCCTGAGACTTCTCTGGCTGGTGGTGCGCATCTCCTCTTCCAGAAGTTTCAACGCAGTGGGGGACAGGCCCAGGTGCCCGCTTCTCACCTCTCTCCCTCTCCTTTTCTCTTAACTACTTTTCTTCTTCCCATAGCTCCTCAGAGATGAAACAGGATGGGATATTCATTGACTATTCAGTGTCATAACGGCAGAGCAACAAGACTGGTAACCAGGCTTTCTCATCCCTAGTTGAAAAAGCAAGGCCTTTTCCTTTGTGTATTTTAGAGGGAAATCAAGGAATTTTTAAAATTCCTCCTCAAAACAATGGCTGGCTTGTAAGGCCATTGTCTTCCCACAGAATGCGGTTTTATTTTCAGTGGAGGCGGGGATTATTACTTGCACCTTTGTCTTTGCATTCTATATGTAAGATTTCTAATCTCCACATCCTCCACTTGTGTTTTCCCACCCCACCCATGCAGGCAGAGGGAAGCCCTGGTCCCACGAAGGCACAAATCATTTCCTCAAAAAGATTAACCAGAAACAGCACATGAGCAAGTTTCAAATCGTCACACCCATTACAATAAGGAAGACACAATTTTCATTTTTACATTTTTTATGACAGCTGTTGGCTCAGGCTAATCAGAAACTATCTTTAGAGAGGAGGTATTTCCCAAGGTCACATGTTTTAATATAATTAGCGTGAGATCAAATGGATGTTAAGGAGTTGGCATCCAAAATCTCCACCACACTACTGGCCTTGTGACCAAAAAAATCCAAATTCCAAAACACTTTTGGTCCGAACACTTTCAGATAAGGGATACTCAGCCCTTAGTGACTCAGGAAATAACCCATGATAATAATATTACTATACTACTACTTACCAATAACAATGACAACATAAACAGAAGAAGTCTTAAATCAGAGGATAACAGTAATAGTAATAGCCTAGTTTTTGTTTCTAGGCCAAGGATTATGGTTTAAAATGGACATAAGCAGTACCATTAAGTGGTTTTATTTCATAGAATCTCTAAATGCAGTAGAATCACAGGGCTGACAGAAGCCTTAGAGACCACTTCCCCAACTCCCCATGCAACATTCATATGTCCTGACAGCAGTAACAAGCTCTTCTCCAAACTCTGCTTGAATATCTCCACAGAAGAGAAGCTCACCACTCCCACAGGTGATTTTTTTTCTTCTGAGTTCTGATGGTTCTAATTCTCTTCCTTACATTACGTATTACTTTCTCTCATTATAACTTTTTCCCATTTATTCATTTTTTAAAAAGTTGTTCATGACTAATCAAACACAGCAGTTTGTAAAGCATTACAAAGGTTTATAAAGTAAAAATTAAGGTTCCCCCACTACGTCCCACCAGATTCTATTCCCCAGAGGTGATCAGATTCTTTATACAATTAATTTTTTGTTTTTTTGTTTTTTGTTTTTTGTTTTTTTGGGACAGAGTCTCGCTCTTTCGCCCAGGCTGGAGTGCAGTGGCGTAATCTCGGCTCACTGCAACCTCCACCTCCTGGGTTCAAGTGAGCATGTCCGGCTAATTTTTGTATTTTTAGTAGAGATGGAGTTTCACCATGTTGGCCAGGCTGGTCTCGAGCTCCTGACCTCAAGTGATCCACCCACTTCGGCCTCTCAAAGTGCTGAGATTACAGACATGAGCCACCGCGCCCAGCCAGATACTTTATATACTTCTGACAACAGGGCTTGTTTCCTTTAGTATTGCATTGTAGACATAGTTCCATATCCTAGATTGATAGCTCTGAACGGACAGGCTACAATTCATCTAACACATTCCCCATAGGTAGGTCTCCAACTGGCCCCAGTTTGGCCTTTTAGTGTCACTTGGAAGAGTCTTAGTTTTTAAAACATTTAAAGTCAGCTATCATGTCGTCACTGAACTTTCTCCAGGCCAAACATCCTGCGTTCCTAACATCATTTCTCATATGATGTGGTTCTAGATTCCTCCATATATGCTGCACTTTTTCTGGGTCCCCAGACTCCAACAGCAGGTTCCAAGGCAGCAGCTTTGGCCATTGCAGAATGAGAGAGGCCGTGCCTCAGTTTCTGCCGGAAGACCTAAGGGACTGCTCATTTGCCAGGCAGCTGGGTTCCCTCATCATTTGCAGTTGGGTGACCAAATCATTTCTTTTCTAAACCTCAACACTTTTGAGAGTGGGAGGTATACAAGTTGAATGGGACATGGAGAACCCAGGACCTTCCAGGGTGAAATAGCCATTTTTCATGCAAAAGTTGAAGTCAGTTAAAACTTGAAGGAGTTTCTTTTTTACACCAACTGCTTTTAAACTAAGCTCTCAGGTTAGTTTAGCAACATACTCAATAGAGGCAAAAATGGCCTAATTTGAAGGTAGATTTGGTTTTTGAAAACAGTCAATCTTTATCACATAGAGGAAACATGAGAGACCAACTGCTCTAGCTTCCTTTATGGTGAAGAACAAGACCCAGAGAGGTAAAGGGTCATGGTTTAAGGTAATTCCATTGATTAGTGACATCTTTATTTAAGAGGGGAAAAAAGGTATTGAAGATATAGAACCAAAATTCAAACCAGCAGCTATGTGTATGATGTGCCTGTCACAATGCTAGGGTTTTTAAACATATTTTTATTAAATCAGTATTAATTGAGCACTTACTATATGCAAGCCACTGTGTAATATGCTTGGGAGGAAATCCCTGTCCTCAAACAGTTCACCAATGTCTTCACTCATGTAACCTATCAATAAACCAGCAGGGTCAATATTCACATTTCATTTTGGGATATATGTGAATGGATAGGAGGAAGGCACATGCATAAGAAGAAATGGAGACTCAGAAAAATGAACTTATTTGCCGAAAGTCACAAAACAAGTAAGTGGGAGAGCAGAATTCTGACTCCCTGCCTTACACTAGAAATCACACCACAGTCTGCTCCGTGCTAGCATCGAGTTTGGCCTTGGGAAACCTGGTGGAGCCTCAGGATTGCACCTTGATTGGTGCATGGGGTCTGTGAGTCACAGCAGAGGGGGTGGTGACCTCTATAAACTCTTGCTACCAATGACTACACCCCTCACAGAGGGATTGTCTACTAGTGAGAAAAACCATAGTCTGCTTTAGATTCCTGATGTTATTGTAAGTAGGGAAGACCATTACACACTGTACAAAGACATGTTTAACATAACAACAGCCAGCATTTGTAAAGGATCTTTGCAGATTTCTAAGTGTTTTCACATGCCTCATCGCGTTGAATCTTTACTACCCTAACAGATGTGCAGCCATCATTTTCCCCTACAGACCAGCCAGCGAGGCTGGAGGGTGAGGCAACCTGCCCAAAATTCCAGAAGTCGTGGACAAGAGCCAGTATACCAACCCAGGCCTTTTTCTCTATTGTAATTAATTAACTATCTCCAGCTATTTCATTAGCAACACAGTATGGAAGGTCCTTATAGAGGGACAGCATGGAATACCCTCATGTTATTGGTTGATTGTGGTTTATGGAAGTAATGCTATTCCTTCTTAAGATGCCTTCAGGATCGTTTCAACTGTAAGGGAATATTCAATCCTCCCATCCCAGGCTGAGTCGTCATCAGAGCGAACAAGCAGCCTGGCTCAAGTTTCCTTCCTTGGTGTTTTCTTATCTGTCTCCCACCAATGGCTTAGCCTGTATGGGTGAGTGGGGTCAGGAAGTGGCATACAGTCTCTGTTTTTATTCTCTGTTTGGAAATTTTCTAATTATAGGTCACACCAAGAGTTTCCATTCCTCCCCCAACAACCCTCCATGACACTTCACCTTGTTTATGTAACTTAATAAGCAAAGACCCAAGGCTTTTTTTTTTTTTTAAGACTTAAACCATGAAGCTTTTAATGAGGAATCAAACTCATTCCCTTATCTTTCTGGCTAGTAAATAGCTGCCTGTTATCTTCTTAGTGTGTAGCTGAACTTACCATCTCCTTTCTGGTCAGGGGTTTTATAGTCTGATTACGCCTTAGGCTTCCTGTGCAAGCCATCAGAAGAAGGACCATTCACACACACACACTACAAAAAAAGGAGATTTAAGGTAAAGTCCTTTAAAACCCCAGCCTTCATAGAATAAAGAGATGATATATCACAGAATCAAGAAACAGGAGTCACAGATTCAAGATAGATCTATCATGGCATCTGACACAATGAAGTTGCCTATTTAGGGTGTAAATGAGAGCGAGATTTTAGTCAATTGTCATGCTTTGGAGACTGAAAGCTAAGGGCCAACACTTAAATAATTTTATTCCAATTCTACCAAGATTTTTTCCCTAACTTAACTGACTAAAAAGATTATAAAATTTATGTCACCTTAGCCTAGGATCCTCTGGAAATACATTCAGTAATAGTAACTTTTAGACAAAATTTGACCAGTAGCCATAAACCAAATCCACAGAACAAAATGAAAAATATCCTACTTTTAAGAGGCAAAAAGACATTCTTAAGCCAAATGTTATTAAAGCAAAAAACAACTATGTAGGAAATATTCTGTGCTTTTCCCTACCAGCAGTGTTCAAGCAGAAATCACTTCTGCAGAACTACTGAACAATGAAGGCTGGAAAGGAAATATAAAAGAAGTGGTATTTTGGTAAAAAGATCCTGACCCTGAGGATTCGTACTAGTATTAAGTGTTATAAAATTAACCTTTCAACTGTCCTCTGGGGTCTGAAGAACGCAGCTAAATGAAGGAAAACTAATTCATGAAACAGGCTGCCAAGGAGGATCAAGGAAGGAGCTTGCTATTCAGGAAGCTCAAGAAACAGCACCCAAGCAGGGATGCAGGGCCCAGAAAGAAAAAATTTAACTGATTCCAGAAAAGTCATTGAGCTTTGCTAAAGAAGGAGTCGTGGCAGCCTCACTACCAAACATTTGTACCTACCTCCTCCTCCATGTGGTGAGGAGGATTTGAGGCCTGGCACGAAAGCAAGGCCATCACCATCACCATTATTGCTATTATCAGGGAATCCCCAAGCAATGTCCATTCAAGAGATGTTTGAAGCCTTACGCAGATATTTTCCAGCCTTTGAGTTTTTTGACCCCTTTTTTCTTTAACCTTTGTTCCATTTTGATACATGGAAAGATCCTACTCCACTGTCTCAGCTAGATTTCAGTAGGTTTTTCTGTGTGGGAATGTCTCTACATATCTCTGAGCAGTCTATCTTCTGTGTAGGTGCACCAGCAGGAAGAATTTGTTGATCTTTACTATTGTAAAATAAATATATATTTTTATTATTCAGTATAATACAGAATATTTTATGTATATAATATTATGTTGCTTTATATTTCATTGCTTAATATATTATTGTATTGAGTACATTATTTCCCAAGCATACACAACTTTCTCCTCTCCCCAAAATCCTTTACCACGCCCTTTATAAAAATCACTACTTTAGGACTTAGTCTAGGAGAATTATCTCATTTGTGATGTACATTGCAGGGTGATTTTCTAAAGGAAGCAGGACTTTGTGAGCTTGCTGCATTCCTGTGAAAAGAAGTAAAATAGGAACATAAGGCTAATGTAGAGAAAAGTTGGAGGAAGGGCTAATGAGATTAATTAGATAGACAGATAGATAGATTTATTTTAAACATAAATAAACATCACGCTCTTTAGTCCCTCAATACATAAAAGTGGTCACTTGAGCCACCAGAGCTACAATGAATGAATCCAATACACTTTAATGTAATCGCCATGTCTACCTCACAGTGCTTTTAGACAAATTAGCAAAGGGCACCCCTTCCTCAAGGCACTTTACTTTCATCTTCTGGAAATCATTGAAATATACTGATATTTTTTAAGAACAAGAAACTCCCATCTGCTTTAAAACTTGCATGTAAATTTGTACAAATCTATAATACTTATGATGCGAATCATACTCTGTAGAAAGTCCTCTGTTCAGTCCACAGCTTGCTCAGGGACACCCAGCTCCCCTGGCATCGCTTGTGTAATGCCCTTCACCACAACCATGAGGAGCTGTGTTTGTTTTACGCAAGGCTTCATCTAACTCAGTTCCTGGTACACAGTATGTTCTCCAGATAGCAATTGAATGATGGAATGAATGTGTGAAGAAAAAAATGAATGAATGAATGGCCCCTCTTTAACACAAAAATCTATTGCAAAAGTGAAAAATCAGTACAACTAATGTTTACTGAGCACCTACTATGCATCAGGCCCTGTGCTAAGCATATATGTGCATTCTCATTAAAATCCTGTGAGGTACAGATTTTTACTCTTCACAGAAGTTAAGTAACTTGCTACAGTCATTCAGCTGGTGACTCACAAACCACGGGACCAGATAATCACATTCCTAACCACTACACTGGCAAGTCGGCCTGTATCCTGTCGTGCTCCAAGGGGGAGCTACACCTTTTGGAAACACAGAGTTCCCTTGTGTGGCCAGGCCAAGGAAGAGAAGGCATCCGAGATCCCGTGGCCATGATGATTTCCTTTTCTGTCTGTAAAAACAAAGTTACTCTCTTCATGCAACTTAACCAGTAATGAGGTCAGATCACACAATATTCCTAGTCCTGGCCTGCATACCCAGCACTCACCTTTGAAATCAGTTAGCAGCGAGTCATTAAGCTACAGAATAAGAGCCCTCGCATCACCTGTGGGTGCAACACCTGGGCTAATAGCACCCTCTGAAATGTCCTGGCCACTAGATGGCACTGAAGCTCAAATGTCACAGAACTATACGAAACACGTCCCGCCATGTTTTAGGTAAGACAATAGCAACAATAACCAGAACAGCAACATTATTAAATACTTATGATAAGCTAGGTACTCTTCCAAGGTCTCTATTTGCATTATCACATTGAATCCTCACAACTCTATGGGGTGACTTCATTATTATCGCCATTTTGCAGACAAACAGATTTAGAAAGTCAAGTATCTTGGCCAAGGTCACACCGCTAGTAAGAGGCAGAGCAGAGATTTTAGCTCAGGCAACCTGACTCCAAAGCTCAACATTCCTAACACTCCACTGCCATTTCCTGCTACACTATCATTGTCCTTTCACTTAGCTGCTGAGCACATGTTCAGTATCCACCACAGATTATTTTTGAAACTCCTTTTGGAAAATCCTCTCTCATGAGGGAAAAAGAAAACCTGCATTCAGGCCACATAAGCACATCAGGCACAAGCCAAGATTCAGATGTACTGGAGCTATTTGCTCAAGGGCGCAACCTCAAAAGAATATCATCCTGGTGGTGAAGAAATGGGTCACAGCCTGTGGTGCAGCAAAGCAAAGTCAGCTGGATCCAGCTGCAAGGTCTCACATGTTAGAAAGAGCCCCTAGGAAGACGGCCAAGGGCAAGCCCTGGCTCCTCCTTACTCATCATGATATCTAGAGCATGACACTTAAGCATCTGGAGCCTCTGGTATTGTATCTGTTAAAAGGGGGGAAAATGCATGCCTTGTCTTCTCTACTGGGTAAAAGTAAAATGTATAAAGTGTTCACTGTGGTCATTTCAGAGTTAAGTATAATATCATTAAAAGCCTTCATTACCCCTTTTCACCTAGGCAACATCCTTTGCCTTCTTGCCCCATAATTCCTTTTATAACCCAAGTCTGTTTCCAGAGAACTGTTCTCAAAGCATAGATCTTACCAGATCTGCTCCCCCCAGCCCTGCCAATGACTCTATCTTCAATTCCAAACATAGCAGCTAAGGTCTTCCATCACCCACTTGCAACCTGCCTCTTCTTCCTCATCTCTCCCAACTTCGCCTTTCCTTCACCTTATGCACAACTGGACCAGATGCTTTGCTGTTCCCAAACATTCTTATTTCTCTGCCTCTGCATCTCTGCTCAGATATTCCTTCCACCTGTCCATGGTTTGTGCTGCCCAACGTCAGAGCTATTGGGCTTTTAATTAGAGCTTATGCTCTTCCTTTAAGGAATGACTCCCCTGGCATTGCATTGGCCAAGAGATGGGTATATGACCCAGGTAAGACCTCTCAGTCCCTCTTCCCTTGAAATTTGTACCTTAAGAGAAGTGACCCAACCCAAAAGCACTGGAGTTGACTCATCCTTATAGACCATACTCTGAAAAAAACATTGCCATCAATCCCTAGTACATCAATCTATAACATGTTTCCTTAAAGGTACAGCTTTTTACTTCAATTCAGGAGCTATCTCCACAATCCCCAACAGATTCCCCCTGGTGGTGGTGGTGTTTTTTTAATTTTTTTTTCTCTTCAATTAGCCAGAGTTCATATCTGCTTCTTGCAGCCACTAAATAATCCTTCAAGGTTCAGTTCAAATGGCAATTCTTCATAAAGCCTCATTTAGGCACATTTTATAGCAGTTATTTGTATACACTTCTGTTTTCCCTCTGCATTATTAGCTCCTTAAAGACAGGGATCAGGACTTGTTCATCTTCGTACCCCAACTGCCCCCAGTGGACCAGAAACGTGGTCATTTTTTGGTAAATATTTATTGACTTGAATGGCAAACCAGTTAAGAAGGAGAATTTAAAGTACTTTGTAGGATTCAGTGGTATTTTAATCCTGTGTTTTGTAGTGTTCATGCATGCTGTTATCTAATAAAATTTGTTTTTCTAGAGAAATCATCTATCCAAATTCTACAACCATTATCACATTTTCAAGACAGCCTGAGGCTTACAGTGAATTTGAGAGTTCTCCTCAGATCCAGAGTCTTCTAACTTTTGCCCTGCTTCCCCTCTCTGCTGAAATGTCAGGGCTCTGGCAGCTGCCATTATCAGATCCCAAACAAGCGTGTGAATAACAATGGGAAGTGTGACAATTCCCTAGGTTGTTTTTTTTTCTTTAAGCCTTCACAGGAAGAGCTTGACTATGGCGAATTCTATGTTTAGACTGTAGTCTTTTGTATTTAGTTTAGCAAACTGCATTTCAAGGCCCCTAGGATGCAAGTTATACTCATTATAATGCACGAATAATTTCCCCTTCAACATGATTTTCACATCAGAATGATAAAGGACAACCAAATGATGAGAATGAACTGTTGCAGTATGAAACTGACCCACAGCTTACGTAAAACTGTAAGTGAGCACAATTGAATGTTTATTGAAGCATATTTATAAATACTATCAAACCAAACATGATTCCTGTTATCTCTAATGAAAAAATTATACTTTTCCTTTTTCCTGACAAGGAATGAGGGGAAGGGATAGGGAGAAGGGAAGCTGACAGCAAGGTTTCTTACCCCACTGCTCCCTCTCCATCTAATTAAGAAGTCTGCTGATTGGGGCAGTCCCCACGGCAGCAGCCACCTAGCAGAAGTGCAGGGAAAGCCTTAGATCTGCTTACTTTCCACTATATTAGGCACCCCTGCTTTACATTCTATGAGTTGTCCACTCCCAATAATTACTTCTTTCTGAACACCCATCTTGACAAGAATGAAAAGCCATCACAAAAGGCTATTTTCCAAAAGAAAAAGTTCAAGTATCTTCTCTTTTCACATCCATACTTCCAAACATTGTCCTTTAACACAGCAAATGATAAGGTTAAACTTGGCCTATGCTCCAAGTATAAAAGCCAAGGACATTACCTACGCATAAAAATAAAATGAACTATCTGGGAAAATGAAGTAGACGTACTTTTCCCTATTCCTCCCACTAGCTACAACTAAAAACCCCAGACATTATGCATAAAGCAAATATAAAAAGACTGAAAGGTGGGGAGAAGAAGGCAGACTGGCTGGGGATCTTAGGACCCAAGGAAAGACATGGTGGTAAGTTGCCTTATGGATCCCAGACAAGAAGCTAAAGAGTTCAGCAATCCAGAAATGCAAATGAGTTCTGACTTTTAAATGCCTCAACAAAAGCCTGTTCTCACTAACCAAAAGACCAGGAAAGGGACAACCTAGCAAAACAGAAAACCTTTAGACAATAACCATTCTACTTCAACCAAACACCACAAACAAAACCTTACTCCCACACATACCAGCAAAGGCTGAGAGGGGAGCCTAGACTTCACCCTCAAGAGGCTATAACACAGTGGCTGCTATGGTTTGAATATTTGTGTCCCCTCCAAAATTCATATTGAAACAATCCCCATGGCAAAGTATTAAGAGATGGGACTTTTGAAAGGTAATTAAGCCCTAAGGGCTCTACTTTTTTTATCCCTTATAAAAGGGCCAGAGAGGTAGGTAGGCCCTTTTTGCTCTTCCATCTTTCTGCCATGTGAGGACACAGCATTTGTCCCTTCCATAGATGCAGCAATAAGATGCCATCTTGGAAGCACAGACGGACCTCTCTCTCGTGAGACATCAAACCTGCCAGCGCCTTGATCTTGGACTTTCAGCCTCCAGAACTGTGAAAAATAAATTTCTGTTCTCTACAAATTAGCCTGTTTGTGTTATTTTGTTATAGCTGCACAAGTGGACTAAGACATTGGCCCAATACCCACCAGGGTAGTATCACAGAAAGCCAATCAGGAAGCCAGGTTTCTATCCCTGCTGACTGACAGCAAGCCTCTGCCCCAACAGGGTCAGTGGAGGCCATGTGGGAGCTTGGATTTCCACCTCAGTCCAACAGTAATGAGAAAACCCTCTTCCTCTTTGCTATGTGGTATCAGAGAATGCCGAAAAAGGGGTCAAGACTTCAACCATCACCAAACAGCAATAAGCCAGTTGCACTGCATTGTCAGTGGAGACCATGTACAAAGGCAAAATTTCTACCCCTACTACTCAGCAGTAATGAGGAGTCTCCACCTCAGGTGTCAAAAGAGGCCAAGTGGGAAACTTAGATTTGTACCTCCACCTGGCAATAACAAAGCAGCTCCTCTCCTTCCCCTGCTGGACTTGTACCAGAAAAATCCAGGTAAAGCAGAAAACTTAAATAAGATCCAGAGTCTCATAACACAATATAAAAATATCTAAGTAACCCATGCCAACGCACATTATAATTAAACTTCTAAAAACTAAAGACAAAGAAAAAACATGAAAGCAGTCAGAGAAAAACCATACCCATAATGAAAAAAAAATTAGAGTGACAGTAAATTCCTCATCAGAAACTATAGAGGCCAAAAATAATTGGCACAATATTTTTCACGTGCTGAAAGAAAAGAACAGTCGACTCAGAATTGTGTACTCAGAAAAAATATCTTAGGGAATGAAAAAGAAATAAAGACATTCTCAGAGTCTCAAATGAAAGAAACCAAGAGAATTTGTCACCAGCAGGCCCATTCTAAAAGATTAGCTAAAGGAAGTTCTTCTAAATAGAAAGGAAACAATGAAAAAAGAAACTTTGGAGCATCAGACAGGAATAAAGAACATGATAAAGGAAAACATGGGTAAATACAGTGGGTCTTTCTTCCTCTCTTGAGTTCTCTAAATTATGCTTGTTAAATTAACTCAAGATGGATTAAAGACTTAAAAGTAAAACCCCAAACCATAAAAACCCTGGAGGACAACTTAGGCAATACCTAAGTTGTCATAGGCATGGGCAGAAATTTCATGGACATAGGCATGGGCAAAGATTTCATGATGAAGAAGCCAAAAGCAATTTCGACAAAAACAAAAATTGACAAATGGGATCTAATTACACTAAAGAGCTTCTGCAGAGCAAAAAACAAACAAACAAATTATCAAAAGCTAAACAGACAACCTACATAATGGGAGAAAATATCTGCAAACTATGCATCTAACAAATGTCTAATATTCCATATCTATAAGGAACTTAAACAAATTTACAAGCAGAAAACAAACAACCCTATTAAAGTGGGCAAGGGACATGAACAAACACTTTTCAAAAGAGGACATAAATGCAGCCAACAAGCATATGGAAAAAAACTCAACATCATTGATCATTAGAAAAATTCAAATCAAAACCATAATGAGATACCATCTCATACCAGTCAGAATGGCTTTTACTAAAAAGTCAAAAAATAACAGATGCTGGTGAGTTTACAGAGAAAAAGAGCACTTACACACTATTGGTGGGTGTATAAATTAGTTCAACCATTGTGAAAAACAGTGTGGCAATTCCTCAAAGACCTAAAAACAGCACTACCATTCTACTCAGCAATCCCACTACTGGTTATATACCCAACAGAATATAAGTCATTCTATCATAAAGACAAATCCATGTATATGTTCATTGCAGCACTGTTCACAATAACAAAGACATGGAATCAACTTTAATGCCCATCAATGGTAGACTGAATAAAGAAAATGTAGTATATATGCACCATGGAACACTATGCAGCCATAAAAAATAATGAGATCATGTCCTTTGCAGGAACATGGATGGAGCTGGAGGCCATTATTCTTAGCAAACTAACACAGAAACAGAAAACCAAATACCTCATGTTTTCACTTATAAGTGGGGGCTAAATAATGAGAACACATGGACACATAGAGGAGAATAACAGACACTGGGGCCTACCAGAGGGTGGAAAGTGGAAGGAAGGAGAAGATCAGGAAAAATAACTAATGAGTACTAGACTTAATACCTGGGTGATGAAATAATCTGTACAACAACCCCCCATGACACGAGTATACCTGTATAACAAATCTGCACATGTACCCCTGAACTTAAAATAAAAGTTAAAAAGCAATTTAAGGAATAAATCGGCTGGTTCTATTGTCAATAAAAAAATTTTTAATAAATTATGTTTGTTGAGGCAAAAAATTATAAAACTACCTGATATTGTTCGAAATGTATATAGAGAAAATATTTAAGACAATAATATTATAAATAGGGGAGGATAAAAGCAGATAAGATTTCTGTACTAGAATTGGTAAAATGATAATACCAGTAAACCTTGGTAAGTCTTGTATAAATAATGTAATACCTAGAGAAACCACTTAAAGAAAAAAGAATGAAAAGGAACAAACAAAGCCTCCAAGAAATATGGGACTACGTGAAAAGACCAAAGCTACGACTAATTGGTGTACCTGAAAGTGACAGGGAGAATGGAACCAAGTTGGAAAACACACTTCAGGATATTATCCAGGAGAACTTCCCCAACTGAGCAAGACATGCCAACATTCAAATTCAGGAAATACAGAGAACACCACTAAGATACTCCTCAAGAAGAGCAACCCCAAGACACATAATTGTCAGATTCTCCAAGGTTGAAACGAAGGAAACAATGTTAAGGGCAGCCAGAGAGAAAGGTCAGGTTACCTAAAAGGGAAGCCCATCAGACTAACAGTAGATATCTCTGCAGAAACCCTACAAGCCAGAAGAGAGTGGGGGCCAGTATTCCACATTCTTAAAGAAAATGATTTTCAACCCAGAATTTCATATCCACCCAAACCAAGCTTCACAAGCAAAGGAAAAATAAAATCCTTTCCAGACAAGCAAATGCTAAGGGATTTTTCACCACTAGGCCTGCCTTACAAGAGCTCCTGAAGGAAGCACTAAATATGGAAAGGAAAAACTGGTACCAGCCACTGCAAAAACACACCAAAATATAAAGACCAATGACACTATGAAGAAACTGCAACAACTAATGTGCAAAATAACCAGCTAGCGTCAAGACGTCAGGATCAAATTCACACATACCAATATTAACCTTAAATGTAAAAGGGATACATGCCCCAATTAAAAGACACAGACTGGCAAATTGGATAAAGAGTCAAGACCCATTGGTGTGTTGTATTCAGGAGACCCATCTCACGTGCAAAGACACACATAGGCTCAAAATAAAGGAATGGAAGAATATTTACCAAGCAAATGGAAAGCAAAAAAAAGCAGGGGTTGCAATCCACATCTGTGATAAAACAGACTTTAAACCAACAAAGATCAAAAAAGACAAAGAAGGGCATTACATAATGGTAAAGGGATCAATGCAATAAGAAGAGCTAACTATCCTAAATATATATGCAACCAATAAGGAGCACTCAGATTCATAAAACAAGTTCTTAGAGACCTACAAAGAGACTTAGACTCCCACACAATAATAGTGGGAGACCTTAACACCCCACTGACAATATTAGACAGATCAATGAGACAGAAAATTAACAAGGATATTCAGGATTTGAACTCAGCTCTGGACCAAGTGGACCTAATAAACATCTACAAAACTCTCCACCCCAAATCAACAGAATCACATTCTTCTCAGCACCAAATAGCACATATTCTAAAATCAGCCACATAATTAGAAGTAAAACACTCCTCAGCAAATGCAAAAGAATGGAAATAATAACAGTCTCTCAGACCACAGTGCAATCAAATTAGAACTCAGGATTAAGAAACTCATTCAAATGCACACAACTACATGGAAATTGAACAACCTGCTCCTGAATGACTACTGGGTAAATAACAAAATTAAGACAGAAATAAAGAAGTTCTTTGAAAGCAATGAAAACAAACAGACAACATACCAGAATCTCGGGGACACAGCTAAAGCGGGGCATGAGGGAAATTTATAGCACTAAATGCCCACAACAGACATCTGGAAAGATCTCAAATTGATACCCTAACCTCACAATTAAAAGAACTAGATAAGCAAGAGCAAATAAATTCAAAAGCTGGCAGAAAACAAGAAATAACTAAGATCAGAGCAGAACTAAAGGGGATAGAGACACAAAAAACCCTTCAAAAAAATCAATGAATCCAGGAGCTGGTTTTTTGAAAAGATTAACAAAATAGATAGACTGCTAGCCAGACTAATAAAGAAGACAAGAGAGAAGAATCAAATAGACATAATAAAAAATGATGAAGGGGATATTACCACCAATCCCACAGAAATACAAACTACCATCAGAGAATAGTATAAACATCTCTATGCAAATAAACTAAAAAATCTAGAAGAAATGGATAAATTCCTGGACACATGCACCCTCCCAAGACTAAACCAGGAATAAGTGGAATCCCTGAATAGACCAATAACAAGTTCTGAAATTGAGGCAGTAATTAATAGCGTACCAATCAAAAAAAGTCCAGGACCAGACGGATTCACAGCCGAATTCTTACAGAGGTACAAAGAGGAGCTGGTACCATTCCTTCTGAAACTATTCCAAACAATAGAAAAAGAGAGACTCCTCCCTAACTCATTTTATGAGGCCAGCATCATCCTGATACAAAAACCTGGCAGAGACACACACACAAAAAAAATTTCGGGCCAATATCCCTGATGAACATTAACGTGAAAATCCTCAATAAAATACTGGCAAGCAGCACATCAAAAAGCTTATCCACCACGATCAAGTTGGCTTCATCCCTGGGATGCAAGGTTGGTTCAACATACGCAAATCAATAAACGTAATCCACCACATAAACTGAACCAGTGACAAAAACCACATGATTATCTCAATAGATGCAGAAAAGGCCTTTGATAAATTCTAACACCCCTTCATGCTAAAAACTCTCAATAAACTAGGTATTGACGGAAGATATCTCAAAATACTAAGAGCTATCCATGACAAACCCATAGCCAATATCACACTGAATGGGCAAAAGCTGGAAGTATTCCCTTTGAAAACCAGCACAAGACAAGGATACCCTCTCTCACCACTCCTATTCAACATAGTACTGTAAGTTCTGGCCAGGGCAATCAGGCAAGGGAAAGAAACAAAGGGTATTCAAATGGAATAGAGGAAGTCAAATTGTCTCTGTTTGCAGATGACATGAATGCATATTTAGAAAGCCCCATCATCTCAGCCCCAAAACTCCTTAAGCTGGTAAGCAACTTCAGCAAAGTCTCAAGATTTTGCACAAAATCAATGTGCAAAAATCAAAAGCATTTCTATACACAAATAATAGACAAGCAGAGAGCCAAATCATGAGTGAACTCCCATTCACAATTGCTAAAAAGAGAATAGAATACCTAGGAATACAACTTACGAGGGACGTGAAGGACCTCTTCAAGGAGAACTACAAACCACTGCTCGAGGAAATAAGAGAGGACAAAAACAAATGAAAAAACATTCCGCGCTCCTGGATAGGAAGAATCAATATCATGAAAATGGACATACTGCCCAAAGTAATTTATAGATTCAATGCTATTCCCATCAAGCTACCATTGACTTCACAGAATTAGAAAAAAACTACTTTGAATTTCATATGGAACAAAAAGACCCTGTATAACCAAGACAATCCTAGGCAAAAAGAACAAAGATGGAGGCATCATGCTACCTGACTTCAAACTATACTGCAAGGCTACAGTAACCAAAACAGCATGGTACTGGTACCAAAACAGATATACAGACCAATGGAACAGAACATAGACCACAAAAAAACACCACACATCTACAACCATCTGATTTTTGACAAACCTGACAAAAACAAGCAATGGGGAAAGGATTCCCTATTCAATAAATGGTGCTGCGAAAACTAGCTATCCATATGTGGAAAACAGAAACTGGACCACTTCCTTACACCTTATACAAAAATTAACTCAAGATGGATTAAAGACTTAAATGTAAAACCCAAAACCATAAAAACTCTAGAAGAAAACCTAGGCAACACCATTCAGAACATAGGCATGGGCAAAGATTTCATGACTAAAACACCAAAAGCAATGGCAACAAAAGCCAAAATTGACAAATGGGATCTAATGAAACTAAAGAGCTTCTGCATAGTAAAAGAAACTATCATCAGAGTGAAAAGGCAACCTACAGAATGGGAGAAAATTTTTGCAATCTACCCATCTGACAAAGGTCAAATATCCAGAATCCACAAAGAACTTAAACGAATTTACAAGAAAAAGCAAACAACCCCATCAAAAAGTGGGCAAAGGATATGAACAAACACTTCTCAAAGAAGACATTTATGTGGCCAACAAACATGAAAAAAAGCTCATCATCACTGGTCATTAGAGAAATGCAAATCAAAACCACAATGAGATACCATCTCACGCCAGTTAGAATGGTGATTTTTTTATGTTATCATACTTTCAGTTTTACGGTACATGTGCACAACGTGCAGGTTTGTTACATAGGTATACATGTGCCATGTTGGTTTTCTGCACCCATCAACTTGTCATTTACATTAGGTATTTCTTCTAATGCTATCCCTCCCCCAGGCCCCCACCCCCCGACAGGCCCCAGTGTGTGATGTTCCCTGCCATGTGTCCACGTGTTTCTCGTTGTTCAACTCCCACCTGTGAGTGAGAACATGCAATGTTTGGTTTTCTGTCCTTGTGATATTTTGCTGAGAATGATGGTTTCCAGCTTCATCCATGTCCCTGCAAAGGACATGAACTCATCCTTTTTTATGGCTGCATAGTATTCCATGGTGTATATGTGCCACATTTTCTTAATCCAGTCTATCATTGATGGACATTTAGGTTGGTTCCAAGTCTTTGCTATTGTGAATAGCGCCACAATAAACATACGTGTGCATGTGTCTTTATAGTAGTATGATTTATAATCCTTTCGGTATATACCCAGTAATGAGATGGCTGGGTCAAATGGTATTACTGGTCCTAGATCCTTGAGGAATCACTGCACTGTCTTCCACAATGGTTCAATGTGGAAGAGAGTGTGGCAATTTCTCAAGGATCTAGAACTGGAAATACCATTTGACTCAGCAATCTCATTACTGGGTATATACCCAAAGGATTATGAATCATTCTACTATAAAGACGCATGCACACATATGTTTATTGTGGCACTATTCACAATAGCAAACACTTGGAACCAACCCAAATGCCCATCAATGATAGACAAGATAAAGAAAATGTGGCACAAAATGGGATAGTATGCAGCCATAAAAGGAATGAGTTCATGTCCTTTGCAGGGACATGGATGAATCTGGAAGCCATCATTCTCAGCAAACTAACACAGGAACAGAAAATCAAACACTGCATGTTCTCACCCATCAGTGTGAATTTAACAATAAGAACACATGGAGTCAGGGAGGGGAACACCATATACTGACGCCTGTCAGGGGGTGGGGGGAAGGGGAGGGAGAGCATTAGGACAAATACCTAATGCCTGCGGGGCTTAAAACCTAGATGATGGGTTGACAGGTGCAGCAAAGCACCATGGCACATGTATACCTATGTAACAAACCTGCACGTTCTGCACATGTATTCCAGAACTTAAAACAAACAAACAAAGCTATAGGAACAGACATAATCTAAAACATCATAGATAAATGAAAATGGAACTCAAAAACCTTTAAGTAACCCTTAAGAACATGAGAAAAAAATACAGAGGAACAAAAAATATTTTTAAAAACACAGAAACAAAAACTAAAATGGAAGACTGAGCCGTGTCAGATCAATAGTTACATTAAATGTAAATGATCTGAATACACCAATTAAAAGTGATAGCAGAATGGATTAATAAACATGTTTCAACTATATGTTGTTGACCAGAAATTCACTTCAAATATAATGATATAGGCAGGTTAAAAGTAGAAAGATGGAAAAAGTTATATTATGAATGGTGACTAAAGGAAATCAGGAGTGTCTATATTAATATCAGATAAAATAGATTTCAGAACATAAGCAGACAAGGACATTATATAATGATAAAAGGGTCAATTCACCAAGAAGATTTAGCAATTGTAAATGTGTTTGAACAAAGCAATAAAGCTGCAAAATATATGAAGCAAAACCTAATAGAAATGAAAACAGCAACTGACAAATTCACAATTACAGTTTGAGAATTCAACACTCTCTCTCAACAACTAATAGAACAACTGCACAGCAAATCATCAAGAATATAGAAGAAATCAACACCATCAGCCAACGAGATGTACTCAACATTTATAGAACACTCTAACAGTAGCAGGATGCATATTCTTTACAAATGTCCGCAAAACATCACTAAGATAGACCATATATTTGACCATTTTTTTAAAAATGCAACAAATTAAAAGAAATGCAATCATATAGTGTATGTTATCTTACCACAATAGAATCAAACTGGAAGCCAATAACATAAAGATAACAGGAAAACCTCCAAACACTTGGAAACTTAGCACCATACATCTAAATAATCCATGGGTCAAAGAGGTAGTCTCAGAGGAAATCAAAACTGAACTGAATGGAAATGAAAACACAGCATATCAAAATTTGTGAGACAAAAACTAAAGCAGTGCTAAGAGGGAAATATATAGCACTAAACGCACATATTAGAATAAAGAAAATGTCTCACATCAATATACTAAGCTTCTACCTTTAAAAAACTAGAAATAGTAGAGCAAAAATAAATCCAAAGCAAGAAGGAAAAATATAATAAAGATAAGATTAGAAATCAAGGAAATTGAATATAGAAAAATTATAAAGAAAATCAACAAAACAAAGAGCTGGTGCTTTGAAAAGATCAATAAAATTAACAAACTTCTAGCAAGACTGACAAACAAAAAAGATGGAGGACACAAATTGCCAATATAAGTATTAGAAATGATAAAGGAATACTATCACTACAGACCCTGCAGATGTTAAAGAAATAATAAAAGAATACTACTAAAAACGCTACACATATGTTTAATAACTTAAACAAAATGTATCAATTTCTTGTAAAACACAAACTATCACAATTCACACAATATGAAAGAGATAATTTGAATAGCCATATAATTATTTAAGAATATTGAGTTCACAAATCGTAGAAATCCCAACACTCCCACCTCTCCAGGCACAGATGGTTTCACTGGAGAATTCTACAAGACATTTAAAGAATTAAGAGCAATTCCACACAATCTCTTCCAGCAACATAAAAGAAGGGAATATTTTCTAATTCATTTTATAAAGCTCTGATACCTGACATCAAAATGAGAAAAAGACAGTACATTAAAAGAAAACCATAGGCCAGTAGCTTTCATGGATAAATGTAAAAATTCTCAACAAAATATTAGCAAATAGAATTCAGAAATATATTTAAAAATTTGTACATCATGACCAAGTGAGGTTTATTCCAATGATATAATCTGGTTCAATATTTGAAAATTCATCAGTGTAATCTACCATATTACAAGCTAAGGAAAAAAGGTTACATGATCATATCAATCAACAGAGAAAAAGCATTTGACAAAATTCAACACATTTGTGTTAAACACTTTCCGAAAAAAATAAGCATAGAGAGAGACTTTCTCAGCTTGGTAGCAAAACTTATGCACAAAACTTATGTGATGAAAACTACACAATACTGATGAAAGAAATCAAAGAAAATGTAAATAAAAGGATAGAAATAACATGCTCATGGATCAGAAGACTGAATATGGTAAAGATGCCAATTTTCCCAAATTGACATAATGGCTTAAAGAAATTCCTAGCAAAACCCCAACAAGATTGTTTTGTAGATACAAGACTATTTTAAAATTTATATCGAGAGACAAAAAGAATTAGAATAACCAGGCCGGGCGCAGTGGCTCACGCCTGTAATCCCAGCACTTTGGGAGGCCGAGGCAGGCGGATCACGAGGTCAGGAGATCGAGACCATCCTGGCTAACATGGTGAAACCCCGTCTCTGCTAAAAACTACAAAAAATTAGCCGGGCATGGTGGCAGGTGCCTGTAGTCCCAGCTACTCGGGAGACTGAGGCAGGAGAACGGCGTGAACCCGGGAGGCAGAGCTTGCAGTGAGCCGAGATCGTGCCACTGCACTCCAGCCTGGGGGACAGAGCGAGACTCTGTCTCAAAAAAAAAAAAAAAAAAAAAAAAAAGAGAGAGAGTTAGAATAACCAAAATAATTTTTCAAAAGAAGAATAAAGTAGAAGGCTCAGTCTACCCAATTTCAAGGCATTATATAGCTACAATAATAAAGATTGAGAGGTATTGGATAGGGATAGACACATAAATCAAGGGAACAGAACAGCAAACCCAGAAACAGACCCACAAATATGTCCAATTTGTTTTTGACAAAAGTGCAAAACAATTCAATGAAGGATAGGTAGCCTTTTCAAGAAATAATGTTTGATAAATTGGATATACAGAGACAAAAAAAAAAAGAAGAAAATCCTTCACTGAAGTCTAACAGGTTACATAAAAATTAACTCAAAATGGATCACAGACTTACACATAAAATATAACACTATAAAACTTAAAAAAAAAAAAGTTAGGGGGAATCTTTGGGATCTACAGTTACTCCAAGACGGGCTTGGGCCATGATACCTAAAGACTCAATCCAGAATGCCATGATCCTGAATGTTGAAATCTCTGAAGCTTAAAATTTATAAAGTCTGAAATCCCCAAAATCACAATTCTGAAAGATCAAAATTCTAAAAATATAATTCTGGAAAAAATAATTTTTAAAAATTCTTTAAAAGATATTTGTTTACACTTTTAAAGGGGGATTTGTTTGAGAAATATTTAAAAACACAACAGAACACTTCATAGGCCACTTTACACAAGAAAAAAGGCAATAATAACATGCATTTTTTGCAAACATATATGCTCAGAATACTAAAAAGACAGTTGCACATGTATAACAATTATGAGCAGATAGACCATATTCATAAAGGAATCACTTATATAACTGTGATCATGTGAAATACTGTGACAGACAAAAAAAACAGAAGAAAGGTCTCTCCCAGCTCTCAGAGAGAGATCAATTCACCTTCTGTATTTGTTATCTTCAGCCCCCTTGCTGATTGAATAGTGCTTGCCGAGATGGAGGGCAGATCTTCCTCACCTAGTCCACTGAGATTCACACTAATCTCTTCTGGAAACACACCCAAAATTTGCTTTACCAAGTGTATAGGTGACTCTTAGTCCAGTTAAGTTGGCAACTAAAATTAAGGCCATAAATTTACCCCTTGTCAGTTTGGCACTAACTGCATCTCCTTAAACCATAACTTCCAAATAAAGACAATAACAAAGTAATCGCTCTGCATAACATAATGCAACTAAAATGATACAACTATCCTGCAGACAATCTAAAATGCCCTAACTGCGATTTTCACGATTTAAAATTTTAGGGATTTTAGACGTTAGAGGTTTCAACTTTTGGAATTTTGATCTTTAAAGATATCAACATTCAGGATTATGGCATTCAAGACTGAGTTTTTTGGGATTACAATAGGCATCTCTCAAAGAGTTCTTAGACTTAACACAAAAAGCATGAGCCATGAAAGAAAAAAGTGATAAATCAGACTTTATAAAAATTAAAAACTTTTGCCCTATGAAAAGATCCTGTTAAGAGGATGAAAAGAGTAGCTATAGACCAGGAAAAAATGTTTGCAAACCACAAATTCATGAAAAATAAAAAAACTGGAATCTAGACTATATAAAGGACCCTCTAAACTCAACAGTAAACAAAAAAATTTTTAATCCACTATTCAAGAGACACTTCGCTGAAAAATATACATAGATGGCACTAAATACATGAAAAGATGTTTACCATAGAAAATTATGCTGAGTGGAAAAAGCCAATTCCAAAATGTTACATACTATATAGTTCCATTTATATAACATTCTTGAAATGACAAAATTTTAGAAATGTAGAACAGATTAGTGACTGCCAAGAGTTAACAAGGAAATGGAGGCAGGCGGGAATCAGTTGTAACTCTACAAAGGCAACATGAGGAATCCTTGTGGTGATGGAAATCTTCTATATCTCCACTATTATGTCAATATCCTGATAATAATATTGAGCTATGGTTTTGCAAGATATTACCATTGGGAGAAACTGGGTAAAGCATACACAGAATCATTAATATTATTGTTACTATTATTATTATTATTATCATTTTGAGACAGAGTCTCACTCTGTCACCCAAGCTGGAGTGCAGTCGCATGATCTTGGCTCAATGCAACCTCTGCCTCCCAGGTTCAAACAATTCTCCTGCCTCAGCCTCCCGAGTAGCTGGGACTATAGGCACCCGCCACCACACTGGGCTAATTTTTGTATTTTTAGTAGAGATGGGGTTTCACCATATTGGCCAGGCTGGTCTCGAACTCCTGACCTTGTGATCTGCCTGCCTGGGCCTCCCAAAGTGCTGGGATTACAGGCGTGAGCCACCACGCCTGGCCCAGAATCATTCTATATTATTTCTTACAACTGTATGTGAATCTACGAGATCACAATTTCAAGATCTTGAAATAAGAAGTTCAGTTAAAAATGTTTTTAAGTAAATAAATAAAATAAAGAGAATTGAAGAAAAACAAAAGAAGCTATCACAGATTAAATGTAGTTCCTGCTAACTATACTATATGGTTCCTACTCTATTTTCAAACTACTTAAACTTTTTTCTTCAGGATAACACTACAAAGCACAGTAAAAGGAAGATTTTTGAAGAGAGTTTCAGACTAATTGGTTAATTGTAACATGAAGAAGGTTGAAAGTTATAGTAGGATAGGATATAGACAAAGGTGAGAAAAAATATTCCACAAAGTCAGTGGAAGCGGGGACATCTCACTTAGCCGGTTACATTTGGCCAGTGAGCCTACAAGGCCTGTGAGTGATAGTTATCACAGACAAAAGAACAGAAAACAAATATTTTCAATTAGGAGATTAAAATGGAGATAGAACAGAGAAGCCAAATTTCAGATTGGCATTTTCAATTAAGAGATTAAAATGGAGATAGAACGAGAAACCAAATTTCAGATTGGCATTTGATTTTCAAAGTCTTTTCTATTCTTGGCCTTTACACTTTGTTGAGGATTATGATTTTGTGATTTGAACATCCCAGTTAATTCTCAAGATTATGGCAGACAAAAGTAACTGGCTCCAACTTCAGAAAGCTTGTTGCTTTCAAATAAATATTTAAAAATTTTTACAGTCAGCCTGGGAGAAAAAAATACTGTTGGTCTATGTGATGCTGTGATACTGTGTGTCAACTTGATTGGAATGAAGTATGCAAAGTACTGATCCTGGATGCGTCTGTGAGGGTGTTGCCAAAGGAGATCAACATTTGAGTCAGTGGGCTGGGAAAGGCGGACCCACCTTTAATCTGGGTGGGCACCATCTAGTCAGCTGCCAGTGCAGCTAGAATATAAAGCAGACAGAAAAATGTGAAAAGACTAGACTGGCCTACCTCCCAGCCTACATCTTTCTGTCGTGCTGGATGCTTCCTGCCTTTGAACATCGGACTCCAAGTTCTTCAGTTTTGGGACTGGGACTGGCTCTCCTTGCTCCTCAGCTTGCAGATGGCCTATTGTGGGACCTTGTGATCGTGTGCGTTAATACTTAATAAACTCCCCTTTATATATAGATCTATTCTATTAGTTCTGTCCCTCTAGAGAACCCTAACTAATACAGTCTGTTTTATAAAAACGTCACCAACTCTTTCCCAGTAATCCCATTTCAAATGTGATACATCTGAAAAAGTTTAGCTTAAACAGCTTATTAATCATTCATCACAAAGCAAGGTGACTAATTTATTCATTTGTGAGTTTTGGTAGTTTAACATGATTTCTCTTAGGCCATTGGTCCAGTATTCATTCACATCACAATTCATGTAGTGGGATTTTCTCTGGGAATCCAAACAAAAGCTGTTAACAACAGCATCTACAAATTGCTTCCAACAAACTTCATGAAAAATTATTAATAAAAGAAAAGCAAATATTTTCCTTAAAAGTAATAAAAATGTTCCCTGTCATAAATAGTACAATTAAGAACTCAACCATAGTAGGAAGACAAGATAAATGGAAAAAGAAAAAGAATATTCAGTGATGTTATTTTCAGTTTATAGAGATGAGACAGCCTAGCATACAACAGTTTAATTTCTAACCTTAATGTAATCTCTGAATAAAGCAAATAATTTTAATCAATCTTTGTTTGCTTTAAGCTTCATCAGAATTGTATTTCTATTTCATTTTATGATGTTCAACTACTTCAATTTTTCTATTTCAAATGAATTTAAAAATAAATACCTGAGTCTTAGTCTTAAAATAATTGTTCTATAAATGCAATCTATGATATTTTATGTGTTTTTAATACCTTACTTCATTTGTCATATATGTGAATCAGGTTAGATTTCTTACATGAATAAAGCATTTAATATCAATGAGGAGAAATTTCTCTTCATGTGGTAGTACCAGATAAACCTGAAAGATTCTGTTGGCCTGATTCATGGTCATTGATTATTATTAACAGATACTAGAGAACCCAGAGTTCCATGTCCCTTCACACATTTTAAAATAAATAGAGACTAATGAACAGGTGAAGAAAATGGAATCCACTTGGTCTTCTGCAGTGCATGGCTATTGTATGAAAAAAAAAGTCAGCCATGATTCAGGTAATTTTTTAAATGTTATTTTCTCAGTTAGTGTTATTTGGGACTGTATGTAACAAAAAATCTAGTGAAAAACTTATAAAAAAGTACAAATCTTCTTGTCTCCCACATAAAAAAAGTACAAAGGTAAGCAGTTTAAAGCTGGTGTGGAAGTATGACAGATATCAGAGATCCTGGTTTCTTACAACTTTCTGCTCCACTGTCCTTTGCACATGACTTTCATGGCTGTATTAATCAGAGATCTCCAGAGAAACTGAACCAATAAGATGTGTATCACACACAGTGGGCAAGGAGGGTGGGGGAGAGGACAGCCTGATTTATATTGAGAAATTGGATCACATGATTCCAAAAGATGGTAAGTCCAAAATCTGCGGGTAGGCCAGTGGGCTGGAGACCCAGGGAAGAGCTGACATTGCAGCTCAAGAGCAAAGGCAGACTGCTGGCAGAATTCTCTCTTCCTCAAGAGACATGAGTCTTTTTTTCTCACAAGACTTTCAACTGATTAGATGAGGCCAAATCACAACCAAAGCAGACTGTAGAGGGTAATCTGCTTTACTCAAATTCTACTGATTAAAATCTTAATCTCAGATTTTAAAAATACCTTCACAGTAACATCTATACTAGTGTTTAACCAAATATCTGGGTAATGTGACTTAGCCAAGTTGACGCATAGAATTGACTATCACAATGGCCTAATACACCAATATAGCTGCTGAAACTCAGCCATCATGCCTATTTCAAGAAGCAAGAAAAAGGTAGTGGGCAAAGATAAAGGGTGTACGACAGTGTCTATTTCTCTCCTGAGGAATTTTCCTGAAAATCCTAATTGACAACTTCTGCTTACATCTCAGTGGACACCTCTTATTGTCAAATAGCCTGAAAATTGTAATATTTAGTTAGATAAACTAACTGTCTGCCAAAGTAACTAATCCTGATAAACCAAGCCCCAAAGAAAATCTTTATATTTATCCTGCTTGGGGTCCATAGCACTTTTTGTATATGTGGCTTGATATATTTTCATCAGTTTCAGAATTCCTGGTCATTATTTAAATGTTGCATTGCCTTATTCTTTCTTTCCTCTCCTTATCTAATCACACACATTAGATCTTTTCATTATGTCCCTGTGTCTCTTATATTCTCTTTTATATTTTCCATAATTTCCTCTCAATGCTTCAGTTTGGATATTTTCTTTTGATCTATATTCCAGTTTCTTAATCTTATTTTTGGCTCTGTCTAATGTGCTCTTAAATCATCTATGGAGTTCTTCATTTCAATAATGTAATATTTGGTTGTAAAACTACTATTTAGCTTTCTTTCATAGTGTTCAGTTCTCTGCTCAAATTCTCCACCTTGCCATCTAATCTCTTGAACATATTGTTTTAAAGCCTGTGTCTGCTACCTCAAATATCAGAATATTTTGTTAGTCTGTATCTATTTGTTTTTTCTTGATTTTTGATCACTGGTTTTGTTTGCTGGCATGTCTGGTACATTTTTATTCCCATGCCATAAATTGAAGATAAAAAGCTATGGAAATAACTTGAGGCTCTGCATAGTGCTATAGTCTTTCTGAGATGATTGACTTTTGCTTCTGGCAAGTATTGAGTAAACAGATCACCTTAATCCAATCAAAGATGGAGCTGGCATGAAAAAAAGACTTTTTTTTTTGGTAAGGGCTGTCTACATGTGTTTCATCTTTGCTCCTAAAATGCAGTATTTTGCAGATCCCAAATGAAAGCCCAAGATGTTTTCCAGAGTCCCTCCTTCTTGGTAGACCCTAAATTCCAATATGATCCTTCAGCTATACAATATTAGTAAAAACTAAACTTAGATTTTAAGCCTCTCAGACAACCTTTTCTATTCAGCTTTTTTACATTTTATTCTCCATTTGTCAATCACCCAATGCCTCTAGAGAGAAAATGGCAACAAAAATTGGGTTCATTTTTGTGCTTCTCATTTCTCCAGGATTTCAGCCCCTCAACCACTCTCTGCTTTGATAACTCACAGATGCATTCAAAGACATGCTTTTTAAGTTTAGCCATCATTTCTTGTTGTTGTCAGTTGAAGAATTAACACAGGACTCAGCATAACCAGAAATATCTTGATTGATGATTTTTGAAGAATTGTCCTAGACTGAATTATAATCTCTCATAACCCTCACTTGTCAAATTGGCCTACTGATTGCCGGATCTTCACTTCATTGTGTGTTACTTGAATACCTGTCCCTGATGTTGTAAGGTGCTTAGGACATTCAGACTTTTTTTAAGTTAATACAGAACAAAAGATGCTACCTATACACTGTTGTTACAGCACATTAACCCACCTACATTCACTTGCAAGTAAATAATTTTATCTTGATTTTGAAATTTTATTTTGCTTTGTGTCTAAGAACTCCATTTTGCTCCAGAAACAGAAATACTTACATGTTAGCAATGTATGGAATATAAAACAGCTTGATACTTCCAAAATAACACTTTGATTGCTTTACTTATTTAAGAGTTCCTCTCTTGTGCAAGGCATATGTGCTTCGGGTTGTAAGAGATACAAAGATTATATAAATATAGACTTCCAGATCTGAAAGAATCTTAGAGACAATCAAACTAGATTCACTCATTTTACAGAAGAATTATTTGCTCCAAAACAAGAATTTTGGCTTCTTAACTCCTATTCAATGCTCTTTTCATGATGAAGTGTTGGTTCCAAGAAAAAGACTCTTGATGGGCAGTTCCAAGATGGCCAAATAGGAACAGCTACAGTCTACAGCTCCCAGCATGAGCGATGCAGAAGACAGGTGATTTCTGCATTTCCAACTGAGGTACCAGGTTCATCTCACTGGGGCTTGTTATACAGTGGGTGCAGCCCACAGAGTGTGAGTGGAAGCAGGGCGGGGCATCGCCTCACCCAGGAAGTACAAGGGATCGGGGAATTCCCTTTCCTAGCCAAGGGAAGCCATGAAAGACAGTACCTGGAAAATTTGGACAATGCCACCCTAATACTGCACTTTTACAATGGTCTTAGCAAATGGCACACCAGGAGATTATATCCTGTGCATGGCTCAGAGGGTCGTAAGCCCATGGAGCCTTGCTCACTGCTAGCACAGCAGTCTGAGATCGAACTGCAAGGTGGCAGCGAGGCTGGGGGAGGGGTGTCTGCCATTGCTGAGGCTTGAGTAGGTAAACAAAGCAGCCTGGAAGCTCGAACTGGGTAGAGCCCACCACACCTCAGGGAGGCCTTCCTGCCTCTGTAGACTCCACCTCTGAGGGCAGGGCATAGCTGAACAAAAGGCAGCAGAAACTTCTGCAGACTTAAATGTCCTTGTCTGACAGCTTTGAAGAGTGTAGTGGTTCTCTCAGCATGGAGTTTCAGATCTGAGAATGGACAGACTGCCTCTTCAAGTGGGTCCCTGACCCCCGAGTAGTCTAGCTGGGAGACATCTCCCAGTAGGGGCCTACTGACACCTCATACAACCGGGTGCCCCTCTGAGATGAAGCTTCCAGAGGAAGGATCAGGCAGCAACATTTGCTGTTCTGCAATATTTGCGGTTCTGCAGCCTCTGCTGGTGATACCCAGGCAAACAGGGTCCGGAGTGGACCTCCAGCAAACGCCAAAAGACATGCGGCTGAGGGTCCTGACTGTTAGAAGGAAAACTAACAAACAGAAAGGACATCCATACCTAAACCCCATCTGTAGGTCACCATCATCAAAGACTAAAGGTAGATAAAACCACAAAGATGGGGAGAAACCAGAGCAGAAAAGCTGAAAATTCTAAAAATCAGAGTGCCTCTTCTCCTCCAAAGGAACACAGCTCCTTGCCAGCAATGGAACAAAGCTGGATGGAGAATGACTTTGACAAGCTGACAAAAGTAGGCTTCAGATGATCAGTAATAACAATCTTCTCCAAGCTAAAGGAGAATGTTTGAACCCATCACAAAGGAGCTAAAAACCTTGAAAAAAGACTAGATGAATGGCTAACTAGAATAAACAGCATAGAGAAGAACTTAAATCACCTGATGGAGCTGAAAACCATGGCACAAGAACTACGTGATGCATGCACAAGCTTCAGTAGCCGATTCAATCAACTGGAAGAAAGGGTATCAGTGACTGAAGATCAAATGAATCAAATGAAACTAGAAAAGAAGTTTAGAGAAAAAAGAGTAAAAAGAAATGAACAAAGTCTCCAAGAAATGTGGGACTATGTGAAAAGACCACATCTATGTCTGATTGGTGTACCTGAAAGTGACAGGGAGAATGGAACCAAGTTAGAAAAGACTCTTCAGGATATTATCCAGGAGAACTTCCCCAACCTAGCAAGGCGGGCCAACATTCAAATTCAGGAAATACAGAGAATGCCACAAAGATACTCCTCAAAAAAGCAACTCCAAGACACATGATTGTCAGATTTGCCAGAAAGAAAAATCAGTTTACCCACAAAGGGAAGCCCATCAGACTAACAGTGGATCTCTTGGCAGAAACTCTACAAGTCAGAAGAAAGTGGGGCCAATATTCAACATTCTTAAAGGAAAGAACTTTCAATCCAGTATTTCATATTGAGCCAAACTAAGCTTTATAAGTGAAGGAGAAATAAAATCCTTTACAGACAAGCAAATGCTGAGAGATTTTGTCACCACCAGGCCTGCCTTACAAGAGCTCCTGAAGGAAGCACTAAACATGGAAAGGAACAACCGGTACCAGCTACTGCAAAAACATGCAAATTGTAAAGACCTTGATGCTAGGAAGAAACTGCATCAACTACTGAGCAAAATAACGAGCTAACATCATAAAGACAGGATTAAATTCATACACAACAAATTAATCTTAAATGTAAATGGACTAAATGCTCCAATTAAAAGACACAGACTGGGCCAGGCGCGGTGGCTCATGCCTGTAATCCCAGCACTCTGAGAGGCCGAGACAGGTGGATCACGAGGTCAGGAGATTGAGACCATCCTGGCTAACATGGTGAAACCCCATCTCTACTAAAAAATACAAAAAATTATCCGGGCATGGTGGTGGGTGCCTATAGTCCCAGCTACTTGGGAGGCTGAGGCAGGAGAATGGCGTGACCCCGGGAGGTGGAGCTTGCAGTGAGCCGAGATCATGCCTCTGCACTCCAGCCTGGGCAACAGAGCAAGACTCTGTCTCAAAAAAAAAAAAAAAAAAGACACAGACTGGCAAATTGGATAAAGAGTCAAGACCCATCAGTGTGCTGTGTTCAGGAGACCCATCTCATGTGCAGAGACACACATAGGCTCAAAATAAAGGGATGGAGGAAGATCTACCAAGCAAATGGAAAACAACAAAATGCAGGGGTTGCAATCCTAGTCTCTGATAAAACAGACTGTAAACCAACAAAGATCAGAAGAGACAAAAAAGGCCATTACATAATGGTAAAGGGATCAATTCAACAAGAAAAGCTAACTATTCTAAATACATATGCACCCAATACAGGAGCACCCAGATTCATAAAGCAAGTCCTTAGAGACCTAAAAACAGACGTATACTCCCACTCAATAATAATGGGAGACTTTAACACCCCACTGTCAATATTAAACAGATCAATAAGACAGAAGGTTAACAAGGATATCCAGGACACTATATCCAGGGCACTAAATGCCCACAAGAGAAAACAGGAAAGATCTAAAATTGACACCCTAACATCACAATTAAAGGAACTAGAGAAGCAAGGGCAAACACATTCAAAAGCTAGCAGAAGGCAAGAAATAACTAAGATCAGAGCAGAGCTGAAGGAGATAGAGACACAAAAAACCCTTCAAAAAATTAATGAATCCAGGAGCAGGTTTTTTGAAAAGAGCAACAAAATTGATAGACCGCTAGCAAAATTAATAAAGAAGAAAAGAGAGAAGTATCAAATAGACGCAATAAAAAATGATAAAGGGGATATCACCACTGATCCCACAGAAATACAAACTACCATCAGAGAATATTATAAACACCTCTATGCAAATAAACTAGAAAATCTAGAAGAAATGGATAAATTCCTTGACACATACACCCTCCCAAGACTAAACCAGGAAGAAGTTGAATCTCTGAATAGACCAATAACAGGCTCTGAAATGGAGGCAATAATTAAGAGTCTACCAACCATAAAAAGTCCAGGACTAGATGGAGTCACAGCCGAATTCTACCAGAGGTACAAGGAGGAGCTGGTACCATTCCTTCCGAAACTATTCCAATCAATAGAAAAAGAGAGACTCCTCCTTAACTCATTTTATGAGGCCAGGATCATCCTGATAGCAAAGCCTGGCAGAGACACAACAAAAAAAGAGAATTTTAGACCAATATCCCTGATGAACATCGATGTGAAAATCCTCAATAAAATAGGGCAAACCGAATCCAGCAGCACATCAAAAAGCTTATCCACCATGATCAGGTCGGCTTCATCCCTGGGATGCAAGGTTGGTTCAATATATGCAAATGAATAAATGTAATCCATCCTATAAACAGAAACAAAGACAAAAACCACATGATTATCTCAATAGATGTAGAAAAGGCCTCTGACAAAATTCAACAGCCCTTCCTGCTAAAAACTCTCAATAAACTAGGTATTGAAGGGAGATATCTCAAAATAATAAGAGCTATTTAAGACAAACCCACAGCCAATATCATATTGAATGGGCAAAATCTGGAAGCATTCTCTTTGAAAACTGGCACAAGACAAGGATGCCCTCTCTCACCACTCCTTTTCAACATAGTGTTGGAAGTTCTGGCTCGGGCAATCAGGCAAAAGAAAGAAATAAAGGGTATTCAATTAGGAAAAGAGGAAGTCAAATTGTCCCTGTTTGCAGATGACATGATTGTATATTTAGAACACACCATTGTCTCAGCCCAAAATCTCCTTAAGCTGATAAGCAACTTCAGCAAAGTCTCAGGATACAAAATCAATGTGCAAAAATCATAAGCATTCCTATAAACCAATAACAGACAAATAGCCAAATCATGAGTGAACTCCCATTCACAATTGCTTCAAAGAGAATAAAATACCTAGGAATCCAACTTACAAGGGATGTGAAGGACCTCTTCCAGGAGAACTACAAACCACTGCTCAACGAAACAAAAGAGGACACAAACTAATGGAAGAACATTCCATGTTCATGGATAGGAAGAATCAACATCATGAAAATGGCCATACTGCCCAAGGTAATTTATAGATTCAATGCCATCCCCATCAAGCTACAAATGACTTTCTTCACAGAATTGGAAAACCCTACTTTAAATTTCATATGGAACCAAAAAAGAGCCTGCAATTGCCAAGACAATCCTAAGCCAAAAGAACAAAGCTGGAGGCATCATGCTACCTGACTTCAAACTATACTACAAGGCTACAGTAACCAAAACAGCATGGTACTGGTACCAAAACAGAGATATAGATCAATGGAACAGAACAGAGCCCTCAGAAATAATACCACACATCTACAACCATCTGATCTTTGACAAACCTGATAAAAACAAGAAATGGGGAAAGGATTCCCTGTTTAATAAATGGTGCTGGGAAAACTGGCTAGCCATATGTAGAAAGCTGAAACTGGATCCCTTCCTTCTTATAGAAAAATTAATTCAAGATAGATTAAAGACTTAAATGTCAGACTTAAATCCAGAAAACCCTAGAAGAAAATCTAGGCAATACCATTCAGGACATAGGCATGGGCAAGAACTTCATGACTAAAACACCAAAAACTATGGCAACAAAAGCCAAAATAGACAAATGGGATCTAATTAAACTAAAGAGCTTCTGCACAGCAAAAGAAACTACGATCAGAGTGAACAGGCAACCTACAGAATGGGAGAAAAGTTTCACAATCTACCCATCTGACGAAGGGCTAATATCCAGAATCTACAAAGAACTTAAACAAATTTACAAGAAAAAATCAAACAACCCCATCAAAAAGTGGGCAAAGGATATGAACAGATACTTCTCAAAAGAAGACATTTATGCAGCCAACAGACATATGAAAAAATGCTCATCATCACTGGTCATCAGAGAAATGCAAATCAAAACCACAATGAGATACCATCTCACACCAGTTAGAATGGCGATCATTAAAAAGTCAGGAAACAACAGGTGCCAGAGAGGATTTGGAGAAATAGGAACACTTTTACACTGTTGGTGGGACTGTAAACCAGTTCAACCATTGTGGCAGACAGTATGGCAATTCCTCAAGGATCTAGAACTAGAAATACCATTTGACCCAGCCATCCCATTACTAGGTTTTGATTTGCATTTCTCTGATGACCAGTGATGATGAGCATTTTTTCATATGTCTGTTGGCTGCATAAATGTCTTCTTTTGAGAAGTATCTGTTCATATCCTTTGCCCACTTTTTGATGGGGTTGTTTGATTTTTTCTTGTAAATTTGTTTAAGTTCTTTGTAGATTCTGGATATTAGCCCTTCGTCAGATGGGTAGATTGTGAAACTTTTCTCCCATTCTGTAGGTTGCCTGTTCACTCTGATCGTAGTTTCTTTTGCTGTGCAGAAGCTCTTTAGTTTAATTAGATCCCATTTGTCTATTTTGGGTATATACCCACAGGATTATAAATCATGCTACTATAAAGATACATGCACATGTATGTTTATTGTGGCACTATTCACAATAGCAAAGACTTGGAACCAACCCAAATGTCCATGAATGATAGACTGGATTAAGAAAATGTGGCATATATACACCATGGAATACCATGCAGCCATAAAAAGGGATGAGTTCATGTCCTTTGTCGGGACATGGATGAAGCTGGAAACCATCATTCTGAGCAAACTATCACAAGGACAGAAAACCAAACACCACATGTTCTCACTCATAGGTGGGAATTGAACAATGAGAACACTTGGACACCGGGTGGGGAACATCACACACAGGGGCCTGTCATAGGGTGCGGGGAGAGAGGAGGGATAGCATTAGGAGATATACTTAATGTAAATGACGAGTTAATGGGTGCAGCACACCAACATGACACATGTATACAAATGTAACAAACCTGAACGTTGTGCACATGTACACTAGAACTTAAAGTATAATAAAAAAATAAAAATAAAAAAACTTTAAAAAACTACTTAAAAAAAAGGAGATCCTTATCTTTTCTCTCTGCTGTCTTCCACTACGGACCCAAAGTTTTGAACAACTTTATTAAATAAAATGTACTTGTGAAATGATAGTTTATGTGATCCTAACATAAGAAAAGTATATTTTTTCTACCAGCCTTTTAAAAATAATTAACATAACTCAAAAGAAGACACATTACTATTTTCAAGAAACTAGTAGTATTAGAAATTATCCCTCCTAACCAGAAGTTTACAATCTCTTTGTAGAAAAACATAAATGAATGATCATACTCTAAGGTAGTATATATTAGGTATATGATATATGATACACACAAACCACATGTAGTTTTTTGACATATTCATGTATATGATATATATTATTAAGTTTGTCCTGTATATCTGCCTCCCCTGATGAATTAGGAGCTCTTCATGAGCAAAAATTATAGCTTTTCATCATTAGTCTCAGCTTGGGGTTTTCAATATTAACAAACCATTAAATAAATGAGATTCTTTGAATCTACATAACTGGTCAAGATAATAAATGCATTAGGAATTCCCAGAGGATAGGCAGTTTGGGACTGAGATCACTGTGTAAACATGAAGATGCAGGTTGAAGTAGACTTTTATTAAAATTTGAGCTAAAGTGGATAAGGTTCAGATAGACTACAGTATGGGGTGGACACTGTATTAGTTTCCTGTGGTTGCTCTAACAATCTACCACACATTTATCAGCTTAAAAAAAACAGACATTTATTATCTTATAGCTCTGGAGGTCAGAAACTGAAATCAATCTCATGGTGCTAAAATCAATGTGTTGGTAGAACTGTGCTCTTTTTGGAGGCTCCCAGGGAGAATTCATTTCTTTGTCTTTTCCATCTTCTCAAGACTGCCTGAGTTTCTTGGTTTATGAGCCCTTCCTTCATCTTCAAAGTGCATCGCTCCAACCTCTGCTACTGCCATCACATCTCCTTTTCCTGCCTTTGAGCCACAGATTTCCCTCTTATAAGGACTCTTGTGATTATACTGGGCCTATCCATATAATCCAGAGTAATCTTCCCATCTCAAGATCCTTCACTTAATCACATGTGCAAAGTCCCTTTTCCCATGTTAGATAACATATACACATGTTCTGGGGATTGAGATGTGGGCAAATCGGGAGGGCCATTATTCTGCTTACCACAAATGTTTCAAGCAAAGGCCTCATGCAGTGATCCTTAAAGTATGGTCCCTGGACCAGCTGAATCTGCATCCCTTGGTCATTCCTTAGAAATCGAAATTCTCAGACCTCATCCCAGATCTACTGAATCAGAAGCTGTGGTGAGGCCCAGCAATCTGCAATGTAACAAGCCCTCCAGGTGATTCTGATACACACTAAAGTTTGAGAATCGCTGCCCCACAGTTTGGAAAAACGGCAGAGCAAGGTCAGAGGTCTGCAAGTCTATGGATTTCACAGGGACAGAGAGTTTCGAAGAGCATCAGAACACAGAACACAGAAAACACACAGAGTCAGAGCATAGAGAGTCTGGAATCTCAGGTTAAGTGCCACGTAAGAGTTAAATGTCTGGCTCCAAATGTGAATTTGGTAATCTTCTTACACATTTCACAAAATCAATGCTTAACTGAAAATCCTTACTGATTTTATGAGGCATAAAATTAATCTGTTCAAATTCACAAATTTAACAGATTGACCTAGAAAAATAATTTCTCTTGCTTTTAAAACTGTAAATCAAAAATTTATTATAAGAATTTCCAGATTAAAGACATGATCTTTTACATACTCAAAATATTCATTAATATTTTAATTTCTAAAAGTCTTCCTCAAAATAGCTACAGCAATAGCTGTAATTCATCAGCAATTTTACTATTTTCATTTTTTCCTCTAACAAGCAGCACAGCAAGGAATTCTTAACTAAGTGTTATCTCTAGAAGGCGAGGCATTATGAAGAAAAGAATTGCAGGTGACTTCCCATGAGTGTTGATTTAGAGCAGAGGACAATTTCCTTTCCAAGGCAGAAAAGTGGGGTCATTTAGAATTGTGCTCTCCTAGAGGCAAACAGGAAACAGGAAGCTCTCTGTCAGCCATTCTTACCCTGCCCCCAGGGCAGGAAAGGCATGAGGATGAGCCATATCAGTTACTTTGACCCAGCCTAGGAAATAAGATGGCTTATTCAGCCTGTAGACCTGGGCTGATGGGGAGGGCACAGACGGCATCCACAACCCACCGTAACTCTCCCTGACAACCAGATAACATCCAGTCAGCTTAACACTGAACACTGAGGAAATGAAAAGGAATGTATACCCAAAACACATTAATTAAGTTTTAAACAAAAGGGAGATAACAGTTTTGTCAGGAAGCAGTAAACAAGCAGAGGACAAGCTACCTTCCACCTCTAAGAGGCTTTTATTGGGCCCAAAACTCCTCTGGGTGAACATCACCCTAAGTTACCATAGCACTCAACTACAATAACTCAAAATGGGCATAAACAGTCAGATGAATTAGAGCAACCCCCAGCAAATTTAAGCAGATGATAAGAGCTAACCTATGCCCCTATACATACCATTGTACCTAGCCTCCTGAATTTGATAGAAGACTGCAATCACAGCTCAGAAATTCACGTTAGCATTTCTTCACAAAATTAACAATACTCCAGAATAAATCTGAGTTTGTTAAAGAAGATTCAAGTGCAGAATGTGCCAAAATATATAAATGTATAAATATCATCACAATGAAACATTTTGAAACTTCTCTTCAGGGCACTGAAAAGGATCTACATAGGATCTACATCAAACAGACATAGTATAAGGGCTTTATGCTATAAGACCATATTTGTAGAACAAAATGAACCAGAATTGAAGTCATGTATGAAGTGCTGTTAGTTAATGTAAATGCTAGTTCTGACTGCTGCCAGGTCAAGCCAACTGATCATGTGATTTAAGAAGGCTCCAAATGTGTTCTTCCTTCAACCTTCTCTATTAGCAACATCAGCAACCCAGTCACACAAAGAACACATAGAGCCATTGTCTTTATCCTCAGCGTTTCCCTCTACCCCACCCTCCACACAAACACATTTTCAATCACTTGAGACTCTTACTCATTCTACCTCTGAAAAGCCCTTACTTCTGTCTCTCTCCATTCCCACTGCCCTACTTTTGGCCCCAAACAACTCTTTAGACTACAAACACTGCCTCTTGACTCATGTCCAAATCCTCCAAATCTTGACCAGATGGCTCAAACCCCTTCAGCACACTAGGTCAGATGTCCCTCGTGTATGTATCTCATTCTCCCAGAAAAAATCTATGGTTACCTCACCAGAGTTACCATATCACTATTTTATTTTATCTTATTTTATTTTACTTATTTTTTTTTAGAGATGGGGTCTTGCTATATTGCCCAGTCTGTAGTACAGTGGCTATTCACAGGCTCAATCCCACTACTGATGAGCACAAGAGTTTTGACCTGCTCCATTTCTGACCTGGGCCGGTTCACCTCTCCTTAGGCAACTAGGTGATCCCCCACTCCCCAGAGGTCACCATATCAATGCCAAACTTAGTGTGGACACCCAATCAGCATAGTGCACTGCATCCCAGAACTCCTCGACTCAAGCCATCCTCCCACCTCAGCCTCCCAAGTAGCTGGGATTATAGACACCCACGGCACTGAGCTAGTTTATTTCATTTTTAATGTAATCATTGTATACAATTATTTTATGAAAATATGGCTTACATATTGCAAAAGGTACAAATTTTAAGTGTACAGCTTAATTTTCACATGTGCACACCTGTAACCACCACCCAAATCAAGATATCAAACACTCCCAGCATCTCACCAGACTTGTAATCAATACTCGGGCACCTAAAGGTAACCACTATTATAGCTTCCATCATGATAGATTAATTTGCCTGTTTTTAAGCTTTATATAGACGGAATTATACAGTATGTGCTCTTTTGTGTAGTATTCCATTTTATGAATATGCCACAATTTATTTCTCTATTCTCCTGTGAATAGACATTTGGGCTGTTCCCATTTGAAGATTATTATGAATAAAGCTGCTATGCACATTCTTGTAAATATCTTTTTTGTGAACATGTGCACTCAGTTCTGTTGGGGATATGTCCAGAAGAGGAACGGCTGGGTCGCAGGATAGATGTATGTTTTATGTTAGCATGTACTGCTAAACGTTTTTCCAAAGTGGTTTTTACCACTTTCTAAATATCCGAATTATTTTAATAGTTATGCTTTTCTTTTTTTTTGATATGATATCTCATTCTTTCGCCTAGGCTGGAGTACAGTGGCACCATCACAGCTCACTGCAGCTGCAAACTACTGGGCTCAAGCAATCCTCCTGCCTCAGCTTTCTGATTAGCTGGGACTACAGGCGCATGCAGCCATGCCTGGCTGTTTTTTTTGGGGGGAAACATGGAGTTCTCACTATGATTCCCAGGCTGGTCTTGAACTCCTGGTGTCAAGCAATTCTCCCACCTTGGCCTCCCAAAGTGCTGGAATTACAGGCATGAACCACCGCACGCAGTCAGTTATGCTATTTTATTGTGCATTTTTGTATGTGCCCATTCCACAACCACACTTGGGCTCCTGAAACACAGGTCCCTATGTTGTCTTACCCCACACACCCAGTATATAGATTATAATTACAATTAAATATTGATATTACATACAAGCAAAAGAGTAAATGCATTCATAGAGCATGGTGGGACAGGGGCTTAGGAATGTGGTGTTTACTCAAAGGAAAATCTATCACCTCTCTTCTGGACCAAGTCCAGGGATGACACATGCCTACCCCAGCCCTGCCTACACTTCAGTAGTCATCCAAAGTGTGGTGGAATATTCACATCAGCTGCCTACATTCCCCAGTCCCCACTGAGTTGCTCAAAAGCCCAATTAGGTCTATCTGCCCAGTGTTCCTGGGTTTTAAACTTGCTAATATGTATTTAGTCAATCATTAAACTGCTGGAAAATTTAATAAGCCAGAAAACCTTCAAAGCTCCACACTTTTTTTTCCCTGTAATTTTGTGCAGATTCATTTGAAATGCGCTAAGGAAACTGCACTCATTAACTATCCCATTCAGCCTTCTAAGGTGGAATCAATTAGTGACAGTCATCCACTCAACCCAGAGATACAAACTGTCTCCCAGAGAAACACCCCACCCCAAAGATGCGTGTCCCTTGATCTGTTTGCGCAGATGGTGGGGATTAGTTACACAAATACAGGGAGAGAAGAGGGGATTACGGAGGAAGTCCTCCAAAGTCCTCCAGCTCTCCCTGAAAGTGAATTTCTTGTCCTTCCTGTTTTTGCTTCTGAGTATTAAATTTTTCACTGCTCTTATATTTCTGCAAGTGCCACAGCATGAACTACTTTCTACTCCTTTTGCAGGGACTATTTTCTGCTTTTAATGTCGATTTTAATAAAACATAGGCTCCAGACAGTTTCAGCAAGTACATCCAACAGAAGCCCTCTGCAACCCTGAAACCATAACCCTCCCTGGGCTGGAAGTAAAATAAAACTCCCAGAGATAAAGTTTTATAAAAACTGTGTGAAAAGGAAAATATATATTGCTATTATTTTCTTTTACCCAAGAGGTAAAATTAAATTAAAATGTTCTTTTGGTTTTAAATAAGGGTTTCCTTTTAATTGAGAAAAGCTCCATCTGTCCAAATGACTTGCTATTGCTACCCTCCTCAACGAGAGAGGTCTTATGGGGAAAATTCTAATCTGGCAGCAGGCAGTCATTCTGTGAAATAGAGGCACCTCATCCTTCCGTTTTAAGAGATGCTTCTGAAATGAGTCCAACAAATAAGTGTTTCTGAACAACTTAAGGCTTTTCGCCAGCCTGTACCTCCGGTCTCCCTCCTCAAAATCAGGTAGTGAAATTACTGCTATTGGAATTCATTGAAACCTGGCAAATATTGCTACTCATCTGGGCCAGGGTCAAGTTACCATTGGCAGGGCAGGATGCACAGCGTAATAATCTGGCTGCTTCATTAGGAAAACCTCCGGCAGTTTAAATGTTTATTTGTCCTGTGACGTTTTCACAGGTTTTACAAATGTCCTCCTCAATCTCCCCTGCCAAGTCACTATGCCTCTCACCCCTCAGGATTGCCAGTAGAGATGGCATGTAATCTCCAACTGAAATACTCCTTTTTATGTAAATATCAAGAAATGGTGGCAAAGGAAATATAGATATTTGTAGAGATGATACAGTATCATTTAAAACAGTATATGCAATTCACAGCTGTCTAAATGTTTGCTACAGCTTATGGTTCAAGGAAACTTGCCCTCCTGAACTTCTCTTGTCTTAGACCTTGCATCCTCCACCTCTTCCTTTTGACCCTACCTGTATCTTTTCCTCTTCCTCCTTCCCCTCAACACACACTCAACCCTTTCCTGCCAATGGAATGCTAGTCCCAGGGTGCCACGACACCACATCTGACTGATGTTGCTGAACTGAACAACCTCAGGATATGTACCACCATGGCTCCATTTGCTCAAACTAACCCAACACTAAGCTTGTGAGTACGAGGCTGTACCAAGTGCATAGCACCTTTGCAGTTCTTTACATCTTCCTTCCAGGCCCATGGTATGCGGGGATAGCAGAGTTCACACTGTCATCAGCCATGGAACAATTACAATTCAACTGGGCACCATGTTTTTAAAAATAAATTTGACATAGGAAGGTTAAAGTAACAATAACAACATTAATAATAAGGCTAATAATGATAATTATAATAAATTATACACAATCCTACCCCGCTAATAGTAACTTTATTTTGCACATTTAATTTTACATAATTGTATACATAGCATACACATGTTAATTTTACATTCTGCCTTTTCCACTTAACACTATCTTAAACATTTTTCCACGTTTCCAGTCTGAATATGTCATTTTTATGATTGCCAAATGTTTTTACCTAAATTTGTCAACTGCATATCTTATCAATTCTCAGACTACACTACTAAGTTGCATAACTTAAGATATACAATTATTAAAACAGTATAAATGTGAAAACAGTTTCAGCCCCAGCAAAGGTGCACTGTTAAACCCTGTGAGCCCACACTTTTTAAAAAAGTGAAGAAATTAAGGCTTAAAGGCCTACAGTGTCAGCTGCATTAAGTGGATGGATTCAAACAGCCAGGCGACCTCTAGAATAGTACCTGGCCAGCGTGTATATTTAAGCCTGTATGCTCTATACAATCCACTACACAGGGGATGACATTGAAATTAAAGTGGTTGCAGATCTAGAACATGGTGGTAGAGTGCTTAGCATCCAAGCTACAATGGTAGGAGCAGGGTTGTGGTTGTATTGGACATAGATGAAGATGCATTGCAAATATTTAATAGGAATGTGGAAGAGTTTGACTTAGCAAATGTTGTCATGGTTTACTGTGATATGTGCTCATAATTTAGGAGAATGTCCAAGTCATTAGGTACAGTAATCATGAATCCTCACTTTGGGACCAAAAATAATAAAGTTATATTCAAAGATATAACTTCTCTGAAGACTGCTTCAGAAATGGCAAGGACAGTCATATATATTTTGCACAAATCCTCAACTACAAAACATGCTCAAAAGAAAGTTGCAGAATAGAAAATCGAGATAAATGTTATTACAGAGTTGAGATACGACCTGCCAGCATCATGCAATTGTCATAAAAAGAGATCAGTGGATGTTGAAGTGAACTAATTCGGTTTTCTTTTCCTCCAAAGGCAAAAGCAGCTTAAAACATAATTTAAATGAATTTTTAAAATTGTTTATTTTAAAAGCTGTGAAAACAATAAAAGTAAATATGTCAAAATATTAACAAGTGGTTGCTCTGGAAGATGGAACACTGAGTGATATTCTTTTTTCTGCTTTTGTACTTTTTAATTTTTCTATAATGAGCATGTATCTTTTTATTTTAAAACTTTATTTAATAATAAGAATAATAGCTCCATTTATCAACTATTTACTGTGTAGCAGAGAGTCTTCTAAGTCCATTATATAACTGCCAGCCATTTAGTCTGTATAACAGCCCTTAAAAGTAGATACTATTAGTGTCTCCATTTTACAGATGAGGAAACTGAGGCATGGAGCAATTAAGGTACTTGCACAAGGTTTTAGAATTAGTAAGTGGAATAGAAAAATTTTTAACTTAGGCACTCCAGCTCCAGAGTCTCTACACTCTTACCCTATTGGCTTAAAAAGATACAAGCTACATTTAAGCTATAACCATTTTTAAATAGTCCACTGCCTGGCTTCACAGTGCAATGGATGCCATTATGTTTTTGGTGATCTGAAACTGCTACATGGCCCAGTGTAGCACCATCACTATCATTCATCACCACCGTCACCATTATTCATCACCACCATCAATCCTAACACCACCATCATTTAAAAACTTCCATTAAGTTTTTAGTGTGGCCAGGCGTGGTGGCTCACTCCTGTAATCCCAGCACTCTTGGAGGCCGAGGCGGGCGGATCACCTGAGGTCAGGAGTTGGATATCAGCCTGGTGAAACCTCGTCTCTACTAAAAAAAATACAAAAATTAGCCGGGCATGGTGGCCCACACCTATAAATCCCAGCTACTCGGGAGGCTGAGGCAGGAGAATCACTTGAACCCAGGAGGCGGAGGTTGCAGTGAGCCGAGATCGTGTCACTGCACTCCAGCCTGGGCGACAGAGGGAGACTCCACCACAAAAAAAAAAAACAAAAACTTTTCATTGTGTACAGAACACTGTACCAGGCACTTGAAGAGATACAAAATATGTACAACACATCCTCTTTACTCTTGAGAATACCAGAGCTAGTCTGAGAACACCTTCAAAAGGAAAAGGCTGTAAGCATCCATGGGAATTGAGAATTTACATAAATACCTAGAAAGTATGGGCAAAAAAGAAAACTACTTCTAGCTGAACTACAAAGAAAATGGAAGGTAATGCATAATGGAGAGCTTTGATTTATGTAGGATAATAGCTTCAGATTCCCTTTCCACCCTAAATATGTAGACATAAAGTTTTACAGAGGAAAAAAAGTGAATATTGAAGTCAGCTGTATATTCTATGCTGTTTTCTTTATGATATTTTCAGCATGGGTCACATAATCCCCTAGTTCTTATGTCAAATTTAATATAACTATTGTCATATGTAATATATAATTGTGCTCAATGACTTTAGTGAAATAAGATTCTGATGTTTTATCTTTCAAAATATTCTGAACTATATTAGCAAAAGGAAGTTTCTAGTTCTAATCAGCAGATACTAATTGCAAATAAATGAAGCAGGTGGCAAGTCTAAAAATCAAGTAATGACTGCCAATTTATTCATATGAATGTCCTTTGCTCTAATAACCTTTTTTCATCTTTGAAATGTATCTAATTTACTTGGTATAATATACTAAAATACACATATATATTTGAATTTTATATACACATATATAAAAATCTACTACTTTGTTACTGAGAATATTTTGAAAGATTTCATATATGTAAATTTACCTTAAAATGTATACTAAAACCAAATTAATAAAATGAGGCTTCATAGATGTCCTTAGGAAAGTTTTAGCAGATCATAAAAATCATCTGTAGGCCGGACACGGAGACTCACACCTATAATCCCAGCATTTTGGGAGGCTGAGGCAGACGGATCACTTGAGGCCAGGAGTTCGAGACCAGCCTGACCAACATGGCAAGACCCCGTCTTTACTAAACATTAGCCGGGCATGGTTGTGCACGCCTGTAATCCCAACTACTTGGAGGCTGAGGCATGAGAATCTCTTGAACCCGGTAGGTAGAGGTTGCAGTGAGCCGAGATCAGGCCACTGCACTCCAGCCTGGGCAACAGAGCGAGACTCTGTCTTGAAAAAAAAAAAAGAGTCATCTGTAGAGAGTATATAAATTATATATAAGGTGTTTTTCTGAAACACATGGAGGCACTCAATTATGATTTGTGCTCCCAAGCACTTTAAATATCTTCACAACATCTTTTTTAGACTATTAAATTATTTGGTAGTCTTTTTTTCGTAGATAATCAAAAGTAAAATTCTGGGAATGTGAAACTCACAGTGTCCAAATCAGTGAAAATGACTTGAGATTAAAGTAAAATCCCAATTATATAAGGCTTTTCCATCATTTACAGCTATGACTTTGTAGATATTCTTGACCTTGATTCTAGTGAATCCTCCCTAAGGGGGGGCCCTTCTTTGGAGCTGATATATTTTCCTTTTATATTGAGTCAGTATTTGAGTCAAAAACTAGCATTGTAGTTTTTGCTGTGACTGTAATTATCACAAATCCATATAGCCAGCTTCTCATTTATTTGACTGATAAATCTTACCAAAATATTGTTTTTTTCTGTTTTATTATTATTTAAATATAGTGATGCCTTTAAGAGGTTTTCCTCATGTCAAAAACTGAAAACATTTTCACATATTCACTTATTTGTATAATAACCTAAGCTGCTTTTGTCTGAGGAGTACGATTTCTCCTGGAAAATAAAAACAAGAGCCTATGGGGTTTACAATGACCTCTCAGATACAGTCTATACTCCTTCATTTAGTATTCAAGTCTTTCCATAAGCTGATCTTCATTCTGCCTTCCTAATCTTACCTTCCACTCCTTCTCAAAACTATTCTCTTCAGTACTTAAGCTCAAGCCCATATTCCAGGGTCCTCATCTGTAAAATGGGTTAATAATCTTTATTTCTACTGTTGGTAAATTAAGCATGAACATGCCTAGCACAGAAGCTAGCACACAGTAGTTGTTCAAAAATGGGAGAAGGAATAAAAGTCATGAGAAGCTGGGCTTGAATCTGAGAAAACTGCTCATGGGAACATCATCAACCTCTCTGAACCTGTTTCCTCATCTGTAAAATTGTGTTGTGCTACCAGGCACAGTGTTCAACATAGAGTACCTAGCACAGATCCTGGCACAAAGAAGCTCGAAGTAGATACATGGTATGAATGAAAAAATGAATACTATTATTTTCCATGTAAAGAAAAACAAGTAGATGAGAGGTTCCCAGAGATCCACTGTAAATCCCACTGAGATCAGTTCACCTCTCCAAACCAGAGAACATGTGCTCTTGAAGGGCAGAAATGAAACAACTTCATTGGAATTGCCTTCCAACATTTATTCCAGAGCTTGGTTTTTTTGCTCAGAATAGCAGATCTGAAATCTGGCCACCTGTGAGTACTGGGTGTGAGCACAGTGGAAAAAATGGACAGGGAGGTACCGTGGCAAAAGCTAGCCTGGCCAATTATCCTGTAACAATAATCAAACACAGATTAATCCATTTATAAAGTTGACTAGGGCAATTTTTATCTCCAGCAGACACAGGGATGGACCTTTCTTCACTAGATCACCTCTCCAGGAAGAATGGGAGATGACAAGGCTAAATAAAATAAAAGATACCACCACGTTTCTGAAATTAATATGAAACATTGCATTCACCTGTCATTTAGAACTGGAAAACTAAGAATTTATATGATAAACACAACGGTGTTAAAATGGAAACGTCAGTTCCCTATTTGAATCAAAACAGACAGACATTTAGTATCAGGAAGCAGAGGAAAGGATAAACCAGAAGTCAGCTGTGGAAGGTAAAAAGGGAAGAGAAATCATCAACGGGGAAGAGAAAAAAGACCAAAGGAAACAGAGAAAAAGGCCGGGCGCAGTGGCTCACGCCAGTAATCCCAGCACTTTGGGAGGCCAAGGCGGGCGGATCACGAGGTTAGGAGATCGAGACCATCCTGGCTAAAAAGGTGAAACCCCGTCTCTGCTGAAAAAAAATACAAAAATTAGCTGGGCGTGGTGGCAGACGCCTGTAGTCCCAGCTACTCGGGAGGCTGAGGCAGGAGAATGGCATGAACCCGGGAGGCGGAACTTGTAGTGAGCCGAGATTGCACCACTGCACTCCAGCCTGGACAACAGAGCCAGACTCTCTCTTTAAAAGAAAAAAAAAAAAAAAAAAAAAAAAAGGAATAGTGCCATGGGACATCAAAAGAAATAATAAACTCATTTGAGAAAGTTGTGATGCTAATGAATCTGATCCACTAAGAGAGAAAATAAACCTAATTTATTGAGTCCCAGGGGCCCTGGGCTGGGCACATTCACATTTGTAGTTATTACCCCCATATTTCAGATGAGAAAAATAAACTTTACAGAGTGATCAGAACAAAAGTTCAGCCAAGTCTCTGACAGCAAAATAGAAAAATAATAATAATACAAATAAAATAACTCACTACCACTATTTCACTTCACATCCTCCCTCCATGATTTTTATTTCATCAGCAGTAGGACAATGAGAAGGTTTCTAATCAAATACAGATGTGGAAGTAAATACCTCTGCTCTCCCATTTATAGGAAAAAGCCAAGATAATTTCTTGCTCATCTTTTTACTCTAGAACAGTGGCTTGCACATAATAGATACACCACAAAAAAATAGTTGAATTTAATTGAATAAGATACACATTACTAAAGAATGTTCATATTCATATTCAATTTTATATGACAACAAAGACTTAAATCCTTGGATATGGCCACTGTGAACTTCCAAACCAGTCCTCTGAAAATATTCAACCTCCTCTCCTGCCTTTGGCTTCCTGCCTTGAGTTTTTGAAGCCATCAGGGTTAATAAAGCTAACATAATTCTTCTTATTTAAAAGAAAAAAAAAGGATTGAGGAAAACAACTCTCCTGGAGCATTTTCTTATCAAACCCCCTTATCATGTGTAGGGCGTGGTATACTTGGTTGTTTTCTTATGAGACTATGTCTGGTTCTTCAAACTTAACTGGAGCTTGTGAGGTCTTTTTTCTTCCACATAGGCCTCGCAAACTCTAGCTGTGCCATAAATGCCTCGTTGATACTAACAGTCTAACAGAGTTTAGAAATGCCCTTCTTATGTCTGCTTTTTAAAAATTAAATTGCTGCCCTCATTCTTTAAGTATTTCTGGAAATCATCTTTTTCTAAATTAAAGGAAAGGGGAGGCGGGTGAGAGTGGGGTGAGGGATGAAAAATTATTTAATGGGTATTATGTGCATTATTCAGGTGATGTTACACTAAAAGCCCAGACTGAACCACTAAGCAATATATCCATGTAACCAAACTGCACTTGTGCCCCTTAAATTTATACAAATAAAAAAAAGAAAGAATCAAGTTAATTAGGTTGTTAGAATCGGTTTTTTTTCTCTTCTATAACATGCATGTTTCTTATGCTTGCTCCTATCTATATAGACAGTGAATCTTCATGGCCACATGTTTTAAAGAGTAGAGAAGGGCTTACCCTGCAATTGGACTCTCCTTAAATTTAGCAGAAAAAAAAATTATAAGTGGCTCAGGATTTGATAAAATAGTCTTGAGTCTCCTTTTCCTTATCTCTTGTTTGGATAAGCTTCTTACTGGGTTTGTCTGCCCACAAATTCACCCATTCTTTACAGTGAAGCCAGAATGATGTTTGTAAAACATAATTCATTCAGGAGACTGCCCTCCTCAGAAAACTTCAATGGCTCTCCCTTGTGTAGAGAATTATGTTTCAATGCCCTTGGAATTAAATGCCTTCCAAAGTCCAACACCAGCCTACCTTTCCTATCTCAGCACCTTCAATCTATGTATATGCCCCATGTTCCAACCTCACCTGACCATAGCAGAAGATGCCATGCATTTTCCAGCCTCCGTATTATGTTCATTCTGTTTCTGAAATCTAGATGTCCCTTCTCCCCATTCTTCAACTATCAAAATACAACTCATCTTCTAAGACCCGAATTAAGTTTTACCTCATTATGAAACCATCTCAGAGGTTCTCCAGGTAGAATTAATTATTCCCTTTCTGGGTTCCCGTGTACTATATATTGCTAATAAATACCTATTTTCTATGTATTTCTATAATGCTTGATTGTTTCAATGTATGTTTTTGCTACTGGCCCAGAAGCTTCTTGTAAGTGAGGATCAGAAATGTACTATTTATATTTGTTTTCTTCACAGTATTGAGCCCAGGATCTTGCACTGAATGGGAGATCAATAAATAATGGATGAATGAATGAATGGCATAAAGTAGGCAATGAACCATCAGCAGCTTCTTAAATGGAGTGAAACACTTAGAAGTTTAAGAATTGGAAAACTTATCTCAGCCCCTTCAAAGCCAAGAGAGCAAATAGATGAGCTTAGGTGACAATAGACATTTTAAGGGAAAAGCTTCTCCTGGTAAAGATAATGGCTCATCCTTATGACCGGGCCCCTCAAATATTTTTTCCTCTTTTTTAAAGTTTAATTTTATTTTTAATTTATCAATAATAATTGTATCTATTTCTGGGGTAAAATGTGATGTTTTCATACATGAGTACATTAAGGAATGATCAAATCAGGCTAAATAACATAGCCATCAACCTCAAATATTTATCATTTCTTTGTGGTGAGAATATTTAAAATCCATTCTTTTAACTATTTTGAAATACACAATACAGTATTGTTAACTATACTCACCATGCTGTGTAATAGATCACTAAAACCTATGCCTCCTGTCTAACTGAAACTTGGTACCCTTTGACCAACATCTCTCATTTCCCTGTCCATGCCACCTGTCACCCCCACCCCCAGCCCCTGGTAACCACCATTCTAATCTCTACTTCTGTAAGTTCAACTTTCTTGGATTCCACATATAAGTGAGATCATGCAGTATTTGTTTCTCTGTGCCTGGCTTATTTCACTCAGCATAACGTCCATCCGTGTTGTTGCTAATGGCAGAATTTCCTACATTTTAAAGGCTGGATAGTATCCCACATTGTATATAAACCACATTTTTAAAATCTATTCATCTGTTGATGGGTACCTTGGTTATTTCCATATCTTAGCTACTGTGAACAATGCTGCAATGAACACAGGAGTACAGACATCTCTTCAAAATACTGATTTCAATTCCTTTGGAAATATATTCAGAAGTGGAATTGCTAGGTCATATGATAGTTCTATTTTTAGTTTCTTGAAGAAGCTCCACACTGTTTTACAAAATAACAATACTGCTTTACAATACCACCAACAGTGTATAAAGGTTCCCTTTCTCCACTTCCTTGCCAACATTTGTTAGCTTTCATCCTTTTTATAATAGCCAATCTAACATGTATGAGGTGATATCTCATTGTGGTTTTAATTTGCATTTTTCCAGTGACTGGAGATATTGAGCATTTTTTCATATATTTGATGCCCATTTGTGTGTTTGTATGCCTCCTTTTGAGAAATGTCTACTCAGGTCCTTTGCTCTTTTCTTTTTGTTTTTCTTTTTTTTCTTTTTTTTGATATGGGGTCTTGCTCTGTCACCCAGGCTGGAGTGCAGTGGTGTAATCATAGCTCACTGTAGCCTCAAACTCCTAGGCTAAAGCCATCCTTCTGCCACAGCCTCCCAAGTAGCTGGGACTACAGGCATGTGCCACGACTTCTGGCTAATTTTTGTGTTTTTTGGTAGTGACAGGGTCTCATTATGTTGACCAGCTGGTCTCGAACCCCTGGCCTCAAACAATCCTCCCACCTCAGCCTCCCAAAGTGCTGGGATTACAGACATGAACCACCTTGCCTGGCCTTTTGCCCATTTTTTTAATAGGGTTTTTTTTTCCTTGCTATTAATTAGTTTGAGTTCCTTATATATTTTGAATATTAACCCCTTATACAACATGCAATTTGTAAATATTTTCTTCAAATCTGTGGGTTGTCTCTTCACTATGTTAATTGCTTGCTTTGCTGTGCAGAGGCTTTTTAGTTTGATGCAATCCCATTTGTCTATTTTTTGCTTTGATTTTCTATGTTTTGGGGGTCATATCCAAGAAATCTCTGCCCATACCAATGTCATGGAGCTTTTCTCCTGCTTTCTTCTAGTACTTTTACAGTTTCAGGTCTTACATTTAAGTATTTGATCCATTTTGAGTTGATTCTTGTATAAGGGATGAAACAAGGGTCCATTTTTATTCTTTTGCACGTGAATATCCAATTTTCCCCATACCATTTATTGGAGAGACCGTCCTTTCCCCATTGTGCATTCTTAGCATCTTTGTCATAAATCAATTGACCATAGGTGTGAGGGTTGATTTCTGCGAACTCTATCCCATTCCATTTGTTGGTGTGTCTGCTTTTATACCAGTACCATGCTGTTTTGATTACTATGGCTTTCTAACATATTTTAAAATCCATTAGTGTGATGTCTCCAGGTTTGTTCTTTTTGCTCAAGGTTGCTTTGGATATTTGAGGTCTTTTATGGTTCCATACAAATTTTAAGGTAGTTTTTTCTATTTCTATAAATAATGACATTGGAATTTTGGGAGGGAAGGTATTTAATCTGCAGATTACTTTGGATAGTATGGATATTTTAACAATATTAATTTTTTAAGCCATGAAGATGGTGTCATTTATTTGTGTCATCTTCAATTTCTTTCATCAATGCTTTGTAGTTTTCACTATAAAGATTTGTCACCTCCTGTTTAAATTTACTCAAGTATTTTATTTTACTTTTATGCTATTGTAAATGGGACTGCTATCTTAATTTCTTTTTTTTTATTATACTTTAAGTTCTGGGGTACATGTGCACAACGTGCAGGTTTCTTACATATGTATACATGTGCCATGTTGGTGTGCTGCACCCATTAACTCATTATTTACATTAGGTATATGTCCTAATGCTATCCCTCCTGCCTCCCCCCACCCCACGACACGCCCCAGTGTCTGGTGTTCCCCACCCTGTGTCCAAGTGTTCTCATTGTTCAATTCCCACCTATGAGTGAGCACGTACAGTCTTTGGTTTTCTGTCCTTCTAATAGTTTGCTCAGAATGATGGTTTCCAGCTTCATCCATGTCCCTACAAAGGACATGATCTCATCCTTTTTTATGGCTGCATAGTATTCCATGGTGTATATGTGCCACATTTTCTTTTTTTTTTTTTTTGGCAATACAAATTCAACAACATAAATCATATTTTATTTTCTTCAAATAAGTAGTTTTCTCTGAAGTTTCATAATAATTCAGGTAATAGTTATTTTCTGTTTGGTTGGTTTTGTTTTGTTTTCCTCCCTCCAAGCCCAGAAAATCCACCAGTTGGAAGGGGAGGACTCTTTTCTTCCCATCCCACTCATGAGAACAGTGAAGGTAATGTCCGCAGGACATGTTCTTTACAGTCCCACCTCGTTGGACCCCACTCAGTAATTTGGAGTCTTGTGATCGTGATCTGGGAGAGAGGGCAACAGCTTTGCAGGTGAAGGCACAGGGAAGAGTTGTCTCCTTGGAGTCCAGGATGGGAGCCTGCTGCTTGCTGGGAATCTCAGCTGGTGAAAAGGATGCAGGGCAGGTAGTGGTTAAGCATGGTCATTTGAGCATCAAGGTGAAAAGCTGCTTCTAAATTATAGGGAACAGATCCACACAGCGATCTCTCCAATATGGGTGGAAAAGGATGTTCTTGGCCACATCGATCACACCTATCTCCAGAAATCCAGGCACCAGGAATTAAGCCAAACACCAGATGAGGGCTCCCCATGTGCTGTTGAGAACTGCAGCCTTCCTGCAGGAGCACCAGTAGACCGAAAAGGCCAGAAAACATCTTCCCGCAGTCCAAGCTACTTGACAGGCTGAGATAGGACAATAGCTTGAGCCCAGGAGTTGGAGGCTGCAGAGGGCCATGATTGCACCACTGCACTCTACCCTGGTGATAGAGCAGTACTCTCTTCTGTTGTGTCCACACAGAAGCCCAGGGAGTGATCTGAGGAAAGTTGGTCAGCTGATAGCTACTGGCTGGGCCCTGTAAAGGAAGTTTAATCCTCTGGACTCTACCCAGGAGTCACTCGATTGACCAGGAAGGCACTTCCCTCCCTGGCCGATCTGATAGGAACAGGGTGAGGTCTCCTGCTGCCTCTATCTCAGGCCATGAGGAATCCTTACTATGAATGATGACCAGGCTGAGCGCACGCTGGGCCCATCCTCAACACATCACCTTTGTTGTAACATTCCAAGAACTCTGAGAGGAAATTGTTCCTTAATGATTTCCATGTTAAGGAAGCCATTTTACTGGAGAGAATCTTGGGGCCCAATAAAGGAGTACAACTGACTCTGGGTGACCCAGCCTGAAAGTTCGACAGCCCAGTGCAAATGTCAGTAGGTCCCATCCCACAGTGTACTCATTCAGAACAGCTTCCTTGCCAACCCTAACCCGTTCCTCTAATCAGAAATACTTCAGCCACTGCCCAAGGTCCTGTGACTGCTCAGCCTGGTCCATCAAACTATAAGAAAGGAGCCTCAAGACCTGGGAGCCTAGCAACTTCTTCTTATCCCAAAGGTGAAGTTTCTCTACTGTCTTCCCAGTTCCTGTAATCATTCCTGAGGACGAGGTTGATCTGCCTCACATGAGTATGTAGGCACCACTAAATCACATCACATGTTGTCACCTGGCTTCCAGACACCTAGGTGTTCAAATGACAAGTCTCAGCACATGGAGCCTGAGACAGCATTGTGAAGTGGAGGTGCCGCTGGGGCAGGCCCACCACGCCAGAAGAAGAGCCTGGTGGCCCTAAGGGTCTGGTCCCCCTTGTAAGAAAGGCAAAGCTGAGGAATCACAGCCAGAGCTAACGATCTGTGGCTTCCACAGCTGAGCATCATCCAGCCCTATTCAGGACCCTGAAAACCGAGCATCCAGGGCACCAGACCCGCATGGGATCAGAGTTCTCTGGGCCCTGCTAGAGTCATCACTACACACGCTTCTCCCTCTAGTGAATCCTAAAAGTTCATTTTCTTAATCCAGTCTATCATTGATGGACACTTGGCTTGGTTCCAAGTCTTTGCTATTGTGAATAGTGCTGCAATAGACATACATATGCATGTGTCTTTATAGCAGCATGATTTATAATCCTTTGGGTATGTACCCAGTAATGGGATGGCTGGGTCAAATGGTATTTCTAGTTCTAGATCCTTGAGGAATCGCCACACTGTCTTCCACAATGGTTGAACTAGTTTACAGTCCCACCAACAGTGAAAAGTGTTCCTATTTCTCCACATCTTCTCCAGCACCTGTTGTTTCCTCACTTTTTAATGATCACCATTCTAACTGGTGTGAGATGGTATCTCATTGTGATTTTGATTTGCATTTCTCTGATGACCAGCGATGATGAGCATTTTTTCGTGTGTCTGTTGGCTGCATAAATGTCTTCTTTTGAGAAGTATCTGTTCATATCCTTTGCCCACTTTTTGATGGGGTTGTTTGATTTTTTCTTGTAAATTTGTTTAAGTTCTTTGTAGATTCTGGATATTAGCCCTTCGTCAGATGGGTAGATTGTGAAAGTTTTCTCCCATTCTGTAGGTTGCCTGTTCACTCTGATGGTAGTTTCTTTTGCTGTGCAGAAGCTCTTCAGTTTAATTAGATCCCATTTGTCTATTTTGGCTTTTGTTGCCGTTACTTGTGGTGTTTTAGACATGAAGTCCTTGCCCATGCCTATGTCCTGAATGGTATTGCCTAGGTTTTCTTCTAGGGTTTTTATGGTTTTAGGTCTAACATGTAAGTCTTTAATCCATCTTGAATTAATTTTTGTATAAGGTGTAAGGAAGGGATCCAGTTTCAGCTTTCTACATATGTCTAGCCAGTTTTCCCAGCACCATTTATTAAATAGGGAATCCTTTCCCCATTTCTTGTTTTTGTCAGGTTTGTCAAAGATCAGATGGTTGTAGATATGTGGTATTATTTCTGCATGTTCTGTTCTGTTCCATTGGTCTATATCTCTGTTTTGGTACCAGTACCATGCTGTTTTGGTTACTGTATCCTTGTAGTATAGTTTGAAGTCAGGTAGCGTGATGCTTGCAGCTTTGTTCTTTTGGCTTAGGATTGTCTTGGCAATGCGGGCTCTTTTTTGGTTCCATATGAACTTTAAAGTAGGTTTATCCAATTCTGTGAAGAAAGTCATTGGTAGCTTGATGGGGATGGCATTAAATCTATAAATTACCTTGGGTAGTATGGCCATTTTCACAATATTGATTCTTCCTACCCATGAGCGTGGAATGTTCTTCCTTTAGTTTGTATCCTCTTTTATTTCGTTGAGCAGTGGTTTGTAGTTCTCCTGGAAGAGGTCCTTCACATCCCTTGTAAGTTGGATTCCTAGGTATTTTATTCTCTTTGAAGCAATTGTGAATGGAGTTCACTCATGATTTGGCTCTCTATTTGTCTGTTATTGGTTTATAGGAATGCTTATGATTTTTGCACATTGATTTTGTATCCTGAGACTTTGCTGAAGTTGCTTATCAGCTTAAGGAGACTTTGGGCTGAGCCGATGGGGTTTTCTAAATATAAAGTCATGTCATCTGCAAACAGGGACAATTTGACTTCCTCTTTTCCTAATTGAATACCCTTTATTTCTTTCTCCTGCCTGAGTTCCCTGGCCAGAACTTCCAACACTATGTTGAATAGGTGTGGTGAGAGAGGGCATCCCTGTCTTGTGCCAGTTTTCAAAGGGAGTGCTTCCAGTTTTTGCCCATTCAATATGATATTGCCTGTGGGTGTGTCATAAATAGTTCTTATTATTTTGAGATACGTCCCATCAATACCTAATTTATTGACAGTGTTTAGCATGAAGGGCTGCTGAATTTTGTAGAAGGCCTTTTCTGTATCTATTGAGATAATCATGTGGTTTTTGTCTTTGGTTCTATTTATAGGATGGATTACATTTAGCGATTTCTGTATGTTGAACCAGCCTTGCATCCCAGGGATGAAGCCAACTTGATCGTGGTGGCTTTTGATGTGCTGCTGGATTTGGTTTGCTAGTATTTTATTAAGGATTTTCACATCGATGTTCATCAGGGATATTGGTCTAAAATTCTCTTTTTTTGTTGTGTCTCTGCCAGGCTTTGGTATCAGGATGATGCTGGCCTCATAAAATGAGTTAGGGAGGATTCCCTCTTTTTCTATTGATTGGAATAGTTTCAGAAGGAATGGTACCAGCTCCTCTTTATACCTCTGGTAGAATTCGGCTGTGACTCCATCTGGTCCTGGACTTTCTTTGGTTGGTAGGCTCTTAATTATTGCCTCCATTTCAGAGCCTGTTATTGGCCTATTCAGGGATTCAACTTCTTCCTGGTTTAGTCTTGGGAGGGGGTATGTGTCCAGGAATTTATCCATTTCTTCTAGATTTTCTAGTTTATTTGCATAGAGGTGTTTATAGTATTCTCTGATGGTAGTTTGTATCTCTGTGGGATCAGTGGTGATATCCCCTTTATCATTTTTTATTGCGTCTATTTGACTCTTCTTTCTTTTCTTCTTTATTAATCTTCTAGCAGTCTATCAATTTTGTTGATCTTTTCAAAAAACCTGCTCCTGGATTCATTGATTTTTTGAAGGGTTTTTTGTGTCTCTATTTCCTTCAGTTCTGCTCTGATCTTAGTTATTTCTTGCCTTCTGCTAGCTTTTGAATGTGTTTGCCCTTGCTTCTCTAGTTCCTTTAATTGTGATGTTAGGGTGTCAATTTTAGATCCTTCCTGCTTTCTCTTGTGGGCATTTAGTGCTATGAATTTCCCTCTACACACTGCTTTGAATGTGTCCCAGGGATTCTGATATGTTTTGTCTTTGTTCTCATTGGTTTCAAAGAGCATCTTTATTTATGCCTTCATTTTGTTATCTACCCAGTAGTCATTCAGGAGCAGCTTGCTCAGTTTCCATGTAGCTGAGCGGTTTTGAGTGAGTTTCTTAATCCTGAGTTCTAATTTGATTGCACTGTGGCCTGAGAGACAGTTTGTTATAATTTCTGTTCTTTTACATTTGCTGAGGAGTGCTTTACTTCCAACTATGTGGTCAATTTTGGAATAAGTGTGATGTGGTGCTGAGAAGAATGTATATTCTGTTGATTTGGGGTGGAGAGTTCTGTAGAAGTCTATTAGGTCTGCTTGTGCAGAGCTGAGTTCGATTCTTGGATATCCCTGTTAACTTTCTATCTAGTGGATCTGTCTAATGTTGAGAGTGGGGTGTTAAAGTCTCCCATTATTATTGAGTGGGAGTCTAAGTCTCTTTGTAGGTCTCTAAGGACTTGCTTTATGAATCTGGGTGCTCCTGTATTGGGTGCATATATATTTAGGATAGTTAGCTCTTCTTGTTGAATTGATCCCTTTACCATTATGTAATGGCCTTCTTTGTCTCTTCTGATCTTTGTTGGTTTAAAGTCTGTTTTATCTGAGACTAGGATTGCAACCCTTGCTTTTTTTTTTTCCATTTGTTTGGTAGATCTTCCTCCATCCCTTTATTTTGAGCCTATGTGTGTCTCTGCACATGAGATGGGTTTCCTGAATACAGCACACTGATGGGTCTTTACTCTTTATCCAATTTGCCAGTCTGTGTCTTTTAATTGGAGCATTTAGCCCATTCACATTTAAGGTTAATACTGTTATGTGTGAATTTGATCCTGTCATTATGATGTTAGCTGGTTATTTTGCTCATTAGTTGATGCAGTTTCTTCCTAGCCTCGATGGTCTTTACAATTTGGCATGTTTTTGCAGTGGCTGGTACTGGTTGTTCCTTTCCATGTTTAGTGCTACCTTCAGGAACTCTTGTAAGGCAGACCTGGTGGTGACAAAATCTCTCAGCATTTGCTTGTCTGTAAAGGATTTTAGTTCTCCTTCACTTATGAAGCTTGCTTTGGCTGGATATGAAATTCTGGGTTGAAAGTTCTTTTCTTTACGAATGTTGAGGGGGGCATATCCAAGATGGCCAAATAGGAACAGCTCCAGTCTACAGCTCCCAGCATGAGCAATGCAGAAGATGAATGATTTCTGCATTTCCAACTGAGGTACCACTTTCATCTCACTGGGGATTGTCAGACAGTGGGTGCAGGACAGTGGGTGCAGTGCACCAAGTGTGGGCAGAAGCAGAATGAGGCATCTTCTCACCCAGGAAGCACAAGGGGTTAGGGAATTACCTTTCCTAACCAAGGAAAGGGGTGACAGAGAGCATCTGGAAAATCAGGTCACTCCCACCCTAATACGGTGCTTTTCCAATGATCTTAGCAAATGTCACACCAGGAGGTTATGTCCTCCACCTGACTTGGAGGGTCCTACACCCATGGAGCCTCACTCATTGCTAGCACAGCAGTCTGAGATCAAAATGCAACGTGGCAGCAAGGCTGTGGGAGGGGCGCCTGCCATTGCTGAGGCTTAAGTAGGTAAAGAAAGAAGCTGGGAAGTTCAAACTGGATGGAACCCACCACAGCTCAAGGAGGCCTGCCTGCCCATATTGAATAGGCAATGCCTCACCCTGCTTCAGCTCATGGTCTGTGGGCTGCACCCACTGTCCTGTACCCACTGTCTGACAAGCCCCAGTGAGATGAACCCAGTACCTCAGTTGGAAATGCAGAAATCACCCATCTTCTGTGTTGCTCATGCTGGGAGCTGTAGCCTGGAGCTGTTCCTATTCAGCCATCTTGCAACCTCCCCAATTTCTTTTTTAGATAGTACGTCATTAGTACATAAAAATGCTACTGATTTTTATAAGTTGATTTTATATCCTGCAATTTTACTAAATTTATCTGTTCTAACAGTTTTTTTTTTGGTGAAGTTTATAGGGTCTTTCATTTATAAAATTAGGTCATCAGCAAAGAGAGATCATTTCACATTTTCCTTTCCTATTTGGATGCAGTTTATTTCTTTTTCTTACCTAATTCTCCTATCTAAGACTTTCACTCATATATTTAACAGAAGTAGTGACAGTGGGCATCAATATCTTGTTCCTTCCTGATATTAGAGGAAAACTCTTCAATTTTTCACCATTAAATATGATGGCAGCTGTGAGCTTGTTGTATATGGCTTTACTGTTTTAAGGAACATTCCTTCTATACCAAATTTGTTGAAAATTTTTATCATGAAAGGATGTTGAATTTTGTCAAATGCTTTTTCTGTGTCTATTGAGATGATCATACAGTTTTTGTCTTTCATTCTGTTAATAAGGTGAATCACATTTATTGATTTACATGTGTTGAACCATCCTTGCAACCCAAGGATAAATCCAACTTGATCATAGTGAATGATCCTTCTAAGGTACAATAGCATATGGCTTGCTAGTATTTTGTCGAAGATTTTTGGATCTATGTTCATCAGTAATATTGGCCTGTAGTTTTCTTTTCTGGTAGTGTCTTTTTCTGGCTTTTATATCAAGGTAATACTAGCCTCATAAAATCAGTTTGGATGTATCCCTTCCTCCTCAATTTTTTGAAACAGTTTGAGAACTATTGGTATTAGTTCTTCTTTAAATGCTTGGTAGAGTTTAGCCATGAAACCATCTAGTCCTGGCCTTTTTCTTGATGGGAGACATATGATTCCTAATTCAATCTCCTTGATTGTTATCCATCTGTTCAGATTTCTGATTTCTTTGTGATTCAATCTTGGTAGGTTATATGTTTCAAGGAATTCATCCATTCATTCTGGATTGTCAAATTTATTTGTGTTAATAGTAGTCTCTTACGATCCTTTGTATTTCTGTGGTATCAGTTGTAATGTCTCCTCTTTTATTTCTGATTTTGTTTATTTGAGTCTTTTCTCATTTTAAATTTAGCCTAGCTAAGAGTTTGTCTATTTTGTTTAGCTTTTCAAAATACCAGTCTTATCAAAAACCAATCTTTTTGAAAAACCAACTCAGTTTCATTGATCTTTTGTATTATTTTTCTAGTCTCTATTTCATTTGTTTCTGCTCACTTTGTTATTCCCTTTCTTCTGCTAACTTTGGGCTTAGTTTGTTCTTCTTTTATGAGTTCCTTAAGGTATAACGTTAGGGTGTTTATTCAAGATCTTTCTTTTTTCTTGATGGAAGTATTTAGTGCTGAGTTTTCCTCTCAGAACTGCTTTTGCCTGTATCCCATAGGTTTTGGTATATTGTTTCCATTTTTATTTAGCTCAGTATATTTTTTTAATTTCCCTTTTCATTTCTTCTTTGACCCAATAGTTGTTCAGAAGTATAATGTTTAATTTCCACATTTTTTTAATTTTTCTGATTCCTCCTATTATTGATTTCTAGTTTCATATTATTATGGTTAGAAGAAGTATTTAATATGATTTCAACATTCTTAAATTTGTTAAGACTTTTTTGTGGCCTAACATACGGTCTATCCTGGAGAATGTTCCAGATGCACTTGAGAAGAATGTGTATTCTATTGCTGTTGGATAAAATATTCCATATATGTCTGTTAAGTCCATTTAGTCTAAAATGTAGTTCAAGTCCAGTATTTCATCATTTCTGTCTTGATAATCTGTCTATAATTGAAAGTGGGGTATTAAATTCCCTATTATTGTGTTGAAGTCTGTCTACTTTCAGATCTCTTAATGTTTGCTTTATATATTTAGGTGCTTAGATATGAATTGGCTCCTTTATCAAAATATAATGACTTTCTTTGTCTCTTTTTGCTGTTTTTGACCAAAAGTGTATCCTGTCTGAAAGAAGTATAGCTATCACTGCTCTTTTTTGGTTTCCATTAGCATGGAATGTCTTTTTCCAACCCTTCACTTTCAAACTGTGAGTGTCCTCAAAAGTAAGATGAGTTTCTTGTAGGCGGCATTTAGTTGAGTCTTGTTTTTAGTTTTTTTTTTTTAATCCATTCAGGTGCTTTATGCCCTTTGATTAGATAATCGAATCATTTATGTTCAAAGTGTATTACATTATATTTAAAGTAATTGTTGACAGGTTAGGATTTGCTAGTGCCATCTTGTTAATTTTTTTTCCTGGTTATTTTGTAGATACTTTGTTCTGTTCTTCCTCTCTTGCATTCTTCCTTTGTGGTTTCATGGTTTTCCGTAATGGTATGCTTTGGATCTTATCTTTTTAGTGTTTGTGTGTCTATTATAGGTGTTTGCTCTGTGGTTACCCTGGGGTTTTCATAAAACATCTTATACTTAAAAGAGGCTATTTTAAGTTGATAACAACTTATTTTTGATTGCATAAACAAACTCTATACTTTTACTCCCTCTCATCTTATACTTTATGTTTTTGATATCACACTTTACATCTTTTTATAATTTGTAGTTTTAGTTGCTTTTAGTAGTTTTACCTTTTAACCTTTATGCTAAAGATGTAATTGATTTACTCACTGCCATTATAGTATTGCAGTGTTTTGGATTTAACAACATTCTTACTTTTACCAGTGAGTTTTATACTTCCATATGTTCATATGTTATTAATTAGTGTCCTTTTTCTTCAGCCTGAAGGACTCCCTTTGGTATTTCTTGTAAGGCAGCTCTAATGATGATAAACTCTTTCAGCTTTTGTCTCAGGTCTTTATCACTTCTTTTTTTGAAAGATGGGATTGCTGGGTATAGTATTCTTGGTTGACTATTTTCTTTTCTTTTCGAACTTTGAATATGTCATTCCATTCTTTTCTAGCCTGCAACATTACTGTTGAGAAATCTGCTGATATTCTTATGAAAGTTCTCTTTTATGTGACAGTTTGCTTTTCCCTTGTAGCTTTCAATATTCTTCCTGTCTTTAACTTTTGATATTTGTTATGATGTGTCTTGGTATGGGTCTTTTCGGATTCATCTTATTGTGTGTCCTTTGGGTTTTCTGGATTTGACTTTCTATTTCTTTATCTAAGCCTGTGAAGTTTTCTGTTATTATTTCTTTAAACATGTTTTCTGATCTTTGCTCTCTCTTCCCCTTCTGGAACACCAACAATGTGCCAGTTGTTCTGCTTTATGATGTCTTATAAGTATTTTAAGTTATCTTCACTTTTTGCATTCTTTGTTTCTTTTTGCTCCTCAGATTTGATGATCTCCAGTGACCTGTCTTCAAGTTCTCTGATCCTTTCTTCTGCTTGATCTAGTCTGCTGCTGAACTCTTCTATTGAATTTGCTTAGTTTAGTTACAGCATTATTCAGCTCTGTGATTCCTGTTTGGTACTCTTTTATACTTTTATCTCTTTGTTGAAGTTCTCAGTTTGTTCTCACATTGTTCTTTTGACCTCAGTATGCATGTTTATGACCACTATTTTGAATTCCCTGTCAGGTAAATCACATATCTCTAATTCACTCAGGTTGGTTTCTATAGATTTATATCTTGTCCTTTTATTTGGAATATATTTTCCTGCTTCTTCATTTTACTTGTCTCTGTGTTGGTTCTGTTCATTAAAGAAAACAATTGCCTCTTCCAGAATGGTCTTGTGAAGGAGAAGGATTTTACAAATTAAGTTAGAGATTTTAAGGTGCCTTTCAAATCTTTGCCCATACTACTGTCTCTGTTTTTGGTAGGCCCCTAGAGATTAGGATGTGCCATGTCCTGCAAGTACCCTATAATCATTAAAGTAGAAGCCAGATCCTCTAGATGTAATTGGGAAAGTTGAGGTTTGAATGCATGCTCCAGTTTCTTCTCAGTGTTGAAGCTGAGTATAGGTGTTTTTCTCCCACTTGCTCTGCAGTAAGTTTGAGAGTCTCTGTGGCAAATGCCTGTGCTTGCTTTCAGTCTGCACCCTCTGATACTGGAGAAATAGCTACTAGAAATCAGCCCATTATATGTCTTTGTTTTCTGTGGCCTAGAAAGTTTCAGGAATGCAAAGTCTCATTGATTCCCAGAGCTAGATAATAAAGGATACAATCCCTTGGGTAAGAGATATAGAAGTTGTGACATTTAGTGCATGGACAAACTCCTTCCAGGAAGAATGGGTAATCCTGGATTTATCACTGAATTGAGCCAGAGGAAAGGCTAAGGATGTGTTAAGTTTCTACTCAGACTGCCTGAACACTACCGTTTTTCTGCCCAATTAGCTCCCTAACACATGTTAGTTAGAGGCCAGATCATCAAGTAGCCACTAGAAGAATATGCAGCAAAGTCTTTCTGGAAAGAAAATAGGAGATGAACATTCCAGCCCCTTTTCTTCACTGTTCCCATGAAATGTAGCCCCAGAAATGTCTGTGAACCTGTTATAACTACCTCTTTCTTCTGTAATCTAAGAAGACTCACATATGCTTAGTCCTTTCTGCTCCAAGAGTTAGGAGGTTTGGGATGCAATCCCAAACTGGATGGGTGAACGCTGTAAAAGTTGGGATACTTAATGTATAGACAAACTCCTTCCAGGAGAAATTAGTAGACCTGGAGTTATTGCTGAAGTGAGTCACAGGAAAAAGCTCAAGAAGTGCTGAGCTGCTGCCCAGGCTGCCAGAGTGTTACTTCTTGACTGCCCCTTTTAAGTCCCAGTGCAAGTTAGTTAGAAACCGACTGTCTGTAGCCATTAAAAGAGTGTGCCATAAACTACTTCTGGGGAAACACAGAAAGCTTCATTTTTTAAGCACCTTCTTCACACCATTCCCAAAAGGTATAGCCCCTGAAAGTATTTGCATGCCCATTTAAAACCACCTCTTCGTTTAGTAATCTAGGAAGAGTTACACATGTCCATTCCCCTTTGCTGTCGAAGCTAGAAGATTTAAGATGCAGTCTTTTGGGTGGAAGCTGTAAAAGTTGGGGTGCTTAATATGTGAACAAACTCATTCCAGGAGGGCTTAATATACCTGGAGTTATCACTGAGATGAGTAACGGAGGAGGTTTGGCAAGTACTGATCTGCTTCTCAAGCTGCTAGATTATAACCAACAGTTGTCTACCCCTTTAACTCCCTGGTGCAAGTTAGTTAGAATCCCAGCCGTCAAGTAGCCACTGGAAGACTGTGTCATAAACCCTTCATGGGAGAAACAGTAAGCTGTATTTTCAAGCCCTTTCTCTACTCCAGGGGCCTAAAGCCCATGGAAGTGCTTGTGCACCTATATAAAACTGCTGCTTTTTTCCTGTGGTCTAGAGAGACTTGTGGATGCCTCATCCCCTCTGCTCCCAGAACTGGTGAATTAAGAGCCGAGCCATGGGGCACCTTAGAGCTAGAATGTTATACGTGAGGTCCAAACCCTTTTCTCCACAGGGAGAAGCTGGATATTGGGAATTCATTTTTCAATTTTTTAGCAAGGTACCTGGGACAGAGTCCATGCCCAAATGTGCCTCAGCTTTTCCTATTCATTCTATATGGATGTTTTCTCAATTGCCTGGTGGGTAGAAGTCTCTCACCTGGCCTCTGACTTTCTCTCAGTGGGAATTAATTCAGGAATAGATGCTCATTCTGAGAGGTGACAGCATGCTGGCAGCCCTCGCAGCCCTTGCTCATTCTTGGTGCCTCCTCAGCCTCAGCGCCCACTCTGGCTGCACTTGAGGAGCCCTTCAGCCCATGCTGCACTGTGGGAGCCCCTTCCTGGGATGGCAGAGACCAGAGCCAGCTCCCTCAGCTTGCAGGGAGGTGTGGAGGGAGAGGCACGGGCAGGAACCAGGGCTGTGCCCCGCACTTGCTGCCCAGCGCAAGTTCCGGGTGAGCGTGGGCTCCGCAGGCCCTGTGCTCAGAGGGCAGTGAGGGGCTTAGCCCCCGGGGCCAGCAGCTGCAGAGGGTGTGCCGGGTCCCTCAGCAGTGCTGGCCCACCGGCACTGTGCTCAATTTCTCATGGGGCCTTAGCAGCCACCCTCCCCCTCACTCCTGCCGCCCTCCTGCCCCTGCCATGGGCTCCTGCACCACTGGAGCCTCCCCAATGAGCACCGCCCCCTGCTCCACGGCACCCGGTCCCATCCACCACCCAAGGGCTGAGGAGTACCGGGGCAAGGCACAGGACTGGCAGGCAGCTCCACCTGCGGCCCAGTGTGGGATCCACTGGATGAAGCCAGCTGGGCTCCTGAGTCTAGTGGGGACTTGGAGAAACTTTATGTCTAGCTAAGGGATGGTAAACACCAATCAGCACCCTGTGTCTAGCTCAGGGTTTGTGGATGCACCAATCGGTACTCTGTATCTAACTAATCTGGTGGGGACTTGGAGAACCTTTATGTCTAGCTAAGGGATTGTGAATACACCAATCGGCACTCTGTATCTAGCTCAAGGTTTGTAAATGCACCAATCAGCACTCTGTGTCTAGCTCAGGGTTTGTAAATACACCAATCAGCACTCTGTATCTAGCTAATGTAGTGGGGAGTGGAGAACTTTTGTGTCTAGCTCAGGGATTGTAAACACACCAATCAGCACCCTGTCAAAACGGACCAATCAGCTCTCTGTAAAACAGACCAATCAGCTCTCTGTAAAATGGACCAATCAGCAGGATGTGGGTGGGGCCAGATAAGAGAATAAAAGCAGCAGGCTGCCCAAGCCTGCAGTGGCAACCCGCTGGGGTCTCCTTCCACACTGTGGAAGCTTTGTTCTTTTGCTCTTTGCAATAAATCTTGCTGCTGCTCACTCTTTGGGCCCACACTGCCTTCATGAGCTGTAACACTCACTGTGAAGGTCTGCAGCTTCACTCCTGAAGCCAGTGGACCATGAACCCACCAGAAGGAAGAAACTCTGAACACATCCAAACATCAGAAGGAACAAACTCCGGGCATGCCGTCTTTACTCACTGTGAGGGTCTGCGGCTTCATTCTTGAAGTCAGTGAGACCAAGAACCCACCAATTCCGGACACAATTCAATGGAGGAAGTCAAGAGCTTCCTCTTCTGACATGTGACTGGCATCACTTTGAGCCCCTTAAATATTTACAGAAGTGAGGCTGCTATTCCCTCTGGTGAGTCCTGGCAAGCTGAGGAGCTTGGAGCTCAGCTTCAATTAAGCCTTCCCTCCCTAGAGCCAAACACAGCTAAAGCCATGAAGGAAGAGAAGCTTGTTTTCAATGATACACCATACCTTCCTGGTAAGAACCCTGGTGAGCCAAAAAAGGAAGTTTAGGGAAAGGTTGGAGAAATAGAATGCCTTTATCTTCCTTATTGTATCAACATATTGTAATGCTTTTAATAGCATTAATTTTAGCAATTTTTAAATTGGCATGACACAAGAGAAGATTTCCAAGAGCACAATGCCAAGTATAATCGTGACCTTGTTACAATTGGGATGGCAAGGTATTCTAAACTGTATAGTGCCACAGATTAGAAGCTTAGCCTCTCTGTCCAGTTAACCTAAGCTGAATGTAAAAGGGAAAGTGTAATTCCTGTTCTACATTGTAGAATTTTGAGTATAAATAATTAAATTCACAATAAATAAACACCCATAAAACAGCACAGGACTCCCTGATTATGTAGGGAGTGGCCACTTCTGCTTCCTCAAAATAGGCCTGGAAAACCAATCCTCTGGGGCAGCAGAAAGGAAGACCCTTAACATAACTAATGATCAAAGTATCTGGCTGCCTGTGTGGGGAAGCTCTCCAGGCTGTGTTTACCAGTGCCCTGCCTTTCTTCCTCCTAAACACAGAAGAAAAACAAGGTGGAATCTTGAAGTGCATTTTAGAAAACCCCATGTAAATTTCAGGATTAAAATCAGGGACAATCAGGGCTATAGAAGCAATGGTTACAAAGTTAAGATGGATGCTGATATATAAGCACAGGAAATGTCAGAGACGAGATGCACAATGTGAGGAAAAGAAAAACAGGTATTTTAAATGTTAGTATTTTTTACTGAGTTTTCCCCAAACCTTTCAGAATTATAGTTACATATTTAGATGAGTGTTCCCCTTCTCATTAAGGAAGACAAGTCATTTATAAACATAACCATAGGAGACAACATGGGGAGAAGATAAGTTCTCTAAGATTTATATGCAATGCGTGTTTGATGCATCTAAGAGGGAGAGACTTTCCTGGCTGGGGGAGTGGGGACGACTTCATCGAGGGGAAGACATATGGACTGTGTCTTCAGGGGTTTTGACAAGCAGAGATGAGGATGAAGGGCATTCAAAGAGGAAGAGAGCAATATTAACAAAGGCGTAGAGGCAGTTCAGTTTGATTAATGGGTAAGATTCACGAATTATGAGAGTAATACAAAACTGGAATGAAAGAGTGAGCTGGGAACAAATTACGAAAGGCCTTGAATACAGTAACCAAGAAGCTCAGACTGTATTCAGTAAGCAATGTGGCATCATTGAAGGTTTACAGGTGGCAATGTGATCCACGCTCTGATTTTTTTGATTGGTTGATTATTTTCCAGGTGAAAGGCCAAGAAATAGATTAGCCCAGAGAGGAGAGTAAGGAAGAAAGACCATTTGGGAAACTTTTGCCATATCTGCTGAAAGGAGATAATGATTTAAACTAGTGAAATAGAGACTTCTAATGATGCTGCTACTGACATTGATGGTCCAGAATAAGCAAAAAAACCTTTAAAGGTGATTGAATGAAGCAGAACTGCCAGTATTAGCATCTCAAGCAGGTATGATAGTAAGACACAAAATGTTTTTGTAGTTCAGGGACCTAAAAGGCAAAGTATGCAATGCTTGGTTTTCTGAAAGACTGACAAAGCTATTAATGAAATAAACAAGTGCCTACTCACAATCAGAAAAAGTTACTCTGGAAGCCACAGGGCTGGGGCAGCATCTTCAAATATAAACAAATATAAACATCAAATGTACTTAGAAACAGATGATTAAATAAAGAACTGTTGTAGAGGCCAGGAGCAGCGGCTCATGCCTGTAATCCCAGCACTTTGGGAGTCCAAGGCAGACAGATCACTTGAGGTCAGGAGTTTGAGACCAGCCTGGACAACAGTGAAACCCTGTCTCTACCAAAAATACAAAAATTAGCCAGGCGTGATGGTGGGTGCCTGTAATCCCAGCTACTTGGGAGGCTGAAGCAAGAGAATTGCTTGGTCCCAGAGGCAGAGGTTGCCATGAGCCAGGATCACTCCACTACACTCCAGCTGGGGTGACAGAGGGAGACTCTGTCTAAAAAAAAAAAAAAAAACTTCTCTGGAATTCATAAAAGAAGAAATAACAATGACTCATATTACTTTTTTAAAATCTTCATTCTCACGAACAACAAAGAAAAGCAAATGAAAATGTAAAAGTTTTTACCTATTAATTTCACGAAGATTTTTTAAACTTTTAATATTCAAGTTGGTGAGAAAACAAAGCCATCTGGCAACATGTATCAAAATTCTTAAAACTGTTTATACTCTTTGGCCCAATAATCCCACTCCTAGAAAATTATTCTAAGGAAATAATCACTAATATTTGTAAACACTGATTTTGTTTATATCATTGAAAATTAGAGGTAACCCAAATAGTCTGTAATTGGGGATTTCTTGAAAAATTTTTGGTTCCTCCACTATGAAACAGTAGGTAGCCATTTAAAAGTATTAATTTTACAACTGATGTATAATGAAACAATTTTGAAATCACTGCAAACATAAAGTAGTGATTTCAAAATTGGTTTATTACTTATTAAGTGAAATATTAGTGATCAAAAGAATATATAAGATACAATCTCATTTTTAAAACATATATGTGATATGTGATTGAGAACTATACCATTCATTAAAGTTAACCATGCTTATCTCTGAAGGGTAAGGTAATAAGTGATAGTTATTTTTTTCTTGTTTATCTTTTTTTGTAAAGTTTATATAGCAAACATTTATTACCATATAAGAAAAATGGATATCCTTAAAACAGCTGGTCAATGGGCCTCATTAGTATAATTATTGTAATAAACATTTCTTGAGCACATACTGTGGGCCAGGCACTGATCTAGGTGCTGTGACAGCAGGCACTATTCCTCCTCTCATGAGACTTACCATTCAGAAGATTTACTTCTCTTGTTCAGTCACTTAAAATGGGAAATATACGTGCCTTTGTATCTGGACTCCTTTCATTGCAAATGACAACATCCAATTCAAAATAGCTTCTGCAAAAAAATAGAAAACAAAATATTTGGGAATTCATGAAACTGAAGTCCATGAGTAACTGACTTCACACATGGCTAGATCATTTGGAATCTTCAGAACTTGGCATCTCACAAAATTTCACCCTACTTGTCTTTGTGTTTGCTCCATTTTCAGGATCTCCTGATAATGTCAAGACGACTGTCAACAGCTCCAGACTTATATGCAATGTCCTCAACAGACAGCAAAAATACAGATACTTTCTTCCCAATTGTTTAAAAAAAAATGCTCAGATGGTTCTAATGGGGTCATGTGCCTGTCCCTGAACCATTGTCCATGACCTGAGAAATGTGATGCACTAATCAGTGAGTCTGAGTTCATATAGCCTACCTTAAATATGAACTGAGGTTGGAGGAGAGACTTTCCCCAAAGAAAATCATGAGGCAGGGACTGGATGCTGAGACTGCAAAATAAGAGATGTCCACTATGGTCTTATAGCAGAAGCATGGAGCAAGATGAGCAAGTTGGAGTCCGGGCTTCAAGTATAAAACTTAATTCAAAAAACCAAGTTGCATTTTCACAATATATTTAATATAAGTAGGTGACTTGAGTGTCACCAGGCAAATTTGCTTTTAGATTCACATCAACCTAATTGCAGAAAATATACTTACTTACATGTAAGAATTATGCTTATTTACATGTATGTTTTGACATATAAATTCTAGTCTCACACATATTACAGGCGAAAAGAGAATTATCCATGTTAGAAATCTGCTCCTTTGGCAGGTGATGTGAACGGGGCCCAAACAACACACATGGTAGACCCAGTGTCTTATACCACTTATCAGCAGGCCAGGGCTAGAGCCCTGACTCATCTCAACTCCCAGTGATGCTGCTGCACCTTAAAGACTCTCTACCCCATATAACTCCAGCCAACAATAAACTCTTCAGACTTTGAAGATTTCACTGTTTAAATGAAGCACACTTAAAACTTTAATAGATCAGCTCATAAACACCTCATTTTTGCTCTGGCGAACGATTAAACAGTGGCTATCTGCAGGAATAGCTAGCTAATTAGCAACATATGTCCCCCATTTATCCCCAAGGCTTATTTTAAGTAAGTTCTTCCTTATTAATTATTTTTCATAAGTATTTTAATATTTCAAAGCTCACACTTAAGACTAAGAAACCAAGCTTGCCAAATGTACTCATGGTAGAACATCTCTGTCATTCTGAACCTAGTTCCACCCTCTGCTAACCACATTACTCCATAACTGAGCCTTTTGATATTTTTTTCCCAACCCTGCACACACACATACACACACACACTCACTCACACTCTCACAGACTCAGATTTATCACAGGCCTACTCCTACTGATTACTTGGAGCAATGTGTTGAGAACTGTGAAGCTGGATTCAATGGGAAAGGAGCTATGATCAGTTAATGATGCCTGCCATGAGCACAGGAGGGGAACTTCGTATCATGTTCTCCTAGATTTCCAGTCCCATCCAGTATTTAATCATAATCTTAGACTTAAGAGACTCCAGGAGGTCCATCCAAGGGGACTCAGTGTCCAGTCTCTCCTCCCAGACAAGCAGGAGGCTGGGCCACTGGACACAGGTTACCCCAAGCCCAACTGGAATCTCCAGGGCCTGGGTAAGGAATAGGGAAAAGGCAGGGAAGGATTGGCCATGAGCTGCAGAACATATTATTAAAAGCCCAAGATGGAGCGAGGCAACCCAGGCAACCCAGTTATCAACCCAAAGGGAATAAGTAAAGAGGGAAAATCCAGATTCAAGGAAACAGGAAGGAACCAGGGAAACCAGACCAAAACAATAGGGTTCAAAGTAAAGAATGGGAGGCAGAACCTGGAGGAAGTCCCTGAGCCGTGAGCCGTAGAATCATAGACGCAGCTGCGTATAGGGTCTTTGACCAAGTGCACAGGTGGAAAGGAAGCTAATTTTTAAGGGCAGTGACTTTGACTGCCCTCAGCATCAAATCAGACTTACTGTTGGGCCAAATACTAGATCTTGACCTTATTTCCAAAATGCAGCCCCTCTGTGTAACCAAGTCCTGGAATACAGCATTAATCATGTTCCCAGCATCTGATTCCCTATCTCACCTTGCTTTTTGCCAACTCCTCACCCTTCACCACCCCAGGAGCAGGAATTCTACACCTGAAGCCCAGCTCTGCAGCTGGAACCTGCTAGCTTCTAACTATTAACTACACACCTTTGGTGTTCACAGCACACCTGGCTTCATTCATTTTTCCTACAAATTATTGACATACTGTGTTGAGTATTAGGAATACATTAGTAAGTGTTCTTGCCACTGTGGAGCTTTCAGGCTATTGGGATAATAGACATTAATCAAAGAACCATACAAATAAATGTGAAATTATAACTGTGAAAACATTATAAAAGGAAAGTGTATGATGCCTTTAACGGAGGCATCTACCTTAGTCAGAGAGGTCATGGAAGCCTCCCCTGAGGAAATAAGACTGAACTGAAGGAAGGTCAAGAATTCACTCATTCACTCAATTGTTCATTTATTCATTCATTCAACAGATACTAATTGAGCACCTGCTATGTTCCAGACACTGCTCTAGGTGCTAGGGATATGGCAATGGATGAAATAAGACCTCAGGCCTCGTGGAGCTTATAGTCTGAATACAGGGTGAGAAAAACAAATATATAAGTAATTAGTCAAAATAATCATGATCACAAGTCAGGTTCGGATTGTGCTGTAGTGAAAATAAAACGAGGTGATGTAGACAGATTCTGGGGAGGTCAGGGAAGACCTCTATGCAGGCAGAGTGACAAGAAGGCAGAGTTGGTCGCTGGTCTCCAGAAGATTTGGGGAAAGAAAATTTTAATGCACAGGAAGCAACAGATATAGAGGCCCTGAGGCAGGAATGAGCTTAGCATCTTTCAGGGATGCTAAAAAGGCCATTGGGAATGGAGCCCAGAGACAAAGCCATCATCAGCAAATAAATAATTGGCTTTAAACATGAAAGTGTCTTCAGAAAGCTAGCTTAAAAATGTGCAATTTTTCTTCCTGATTCAACTAGAACTGCGACGTAAATATGACGCATATTGCTACATGTTTGCGTGGGCACAAATCTTATTGGCAGTTCTGGTAAATAAACGTAGGACCAGTTGGGGTCTCCCTGACGCCTCTCACCACTGTGAACACAGTCTCTGATAACATTGTTTTGTCACTCTTCACTCCCACCAGCAATGAAGACAGATAAATGGCTTCCTGACAAATGGCCCCACTTTCCAAGGTCTGGGGCTCTGAAGGAAGGAGACGTGAGCCTTGAAGCACTTCTGGAGTGAACTCCTTGGAGGGTTTGTGGCCGTGAGCTCTCTGGGGCTGCTGCATAAGGAGCCACTGCATTATTTCTTCTGAAAAATTAGATTTTGCTTGCAACCCATTAAAATTTCCAAAGCTTCATGAAATGGATTCCAGACTATGTATCATTGTAATTTGCAACAGACAATGCCTGATCATAGAAACAATAGAGATTTAAAGTGAAATATGTTTTGCCTATGTCTAGCCACAATGCCCTAGAAAAGGTTGAAATATGTCCTTTCTGATGTATTCTCACCCAGGTAAAATTCCTTCCCAGAGATAACCACTGAATAGTGTCCCCCTAAAATTCACATCCATTTGGAATCTCACCATGTGACTTGATTTGGAAATAGAGTCTTTGCAGATGTAAGTAGTTAAGATGAGGTCATACTGGATTAGGGTGGGCCCTAAATCCAGGGACTGATATCTTTATGGGGAAAAGGAGAAGGAGATGCAGACACAGACGCACACACAGGGAGGAGCCATGTGGAGATGGAGGCGGCTACTGGAGTGCTGCAGCTGTGAGCCAAGAACTCCAAGGATTGATGGCAACCATCAGAAGCTAGGAAGAGTCTACAGCTGGACCACACTGAACGTGCCTGATCTCAAAAGAAGCTAGGAAGAGGCAAGAAAGGATTCTTGCCCAGGGCCTTCAGAGGGAGCACGGCCCAGCCAGTACCTTGATTTCAGACTTCCAGGCTCCAGAACACATTTCTGTTGTTTTAAGCCCCCCAGTTTGTGGTAATTTGTTACTGCAGCCCTGGGAAACTAATACAACAGCCATGAGTACCTATGACCTGGTACACAAGGAGAGAGGGAACCAGCCCAGGAAACTGCCAGATGATGAGAATCGATGGTACCTACTCTAGCAAAACAGAAATGAAGCAGTTGTTTGATGAATTTGACTACAGATAATTTGGGGAAAGGAACTTGAATTGCACAAAGATTAAAAGTTGGGGCTTTGCAGCAATCCCATTACTGGGTATATGCCCAAAGGAAAATAGATTATACCAAAAAGACACATACCCTCATATGTTCATCACCAAGCTGCCCATCAATGTTGGATTGGATAAAGAAAATGTAATACATCAACACTGTGGAATACTACATAGCCCAAAAAAAAACAATGAAATCATGTCCTTCACAGCAACATGAATGGAGCTGGAGGCCATAATTCTAAGCAAATTAATGCAGGAACAGAAAACCAAATACCCCCTGTTCTCATTTATAAGTAGGAGCTAAACACTGAACACATGTGGATATAAACATGGGAACAACAGACACTGCAGACTACCAGAAGTGGGAAGGAGCAGGAGACACAGCTTGAAAGACTACCTATTGGGTACTGTCCTCCTTACCTGGATGCTATATACCTATGCAACAAACCTGCACATGTACATCCTGTATCTAAAATGAAAGTTGAATTAAACAAAACAAGTACACATCCATGTGCTGGGAGGCTGACACACCCCAGCTCCATGAGGACAGAAGTTCCTGTCTCCAGACACTTCCAGACCTCACTCTATGTACCTCTTCATCTGGCTGTTCATCTGTATTCTTTCTCATAAACCAGTAAACACTAAAAAAAAAAAAAAAAATTGGGGTTTTGGAATCAGAAAATCTGGGCTGAGTCCCAAGCCTGTCATTTACCTTGTACAAGTTACTAGATCTCTCTAAGCCTCTGCTTTTCATGGATAAAAGGAGGACTTACCTCATAAGGCGGCTGTGAGAGGTAAGAGGGAAACCCCTAAAGAGCTTAGTGAGTGCCTGCCCCATAGTTAAGCCCCCAGTAAAGGGAAGCTGCTATTACCATTATTGCTATTACCATTATTATCACTCTTCCATCCTCAGAAAGGCTTCCTCTCCCCAGAAAAGGAATGACTGATTTTATTCAAATGTGCTTTTAGAATCTATTCATCATTGGCTTTTGTTCCACTACCACTTAGCAGGACCAGTCTGTAAGCTAAAAGCATTAAATGTTCAATTCTGAATAATAGATAATCTTGCTATGTTCATAGTGAGTCCAGATCCAAGAAAACATATTTTTGAACAATTTCTTGCCTATCCCAACATATAAATTCTTTTCCAAAAAATAAATTTTAAAGACCATAGTATTTTTTCAAAACAAAATGTATTGAGAGCCCACCCTCTGCCAGGTCCTTCCCAAATGTTATTTCATCTACGCCTTGCAACTCTGCAAATGAGACTACAGTAATCCTGTTTTACAGACGAGGAGGCTGAGGCTCAGAGCAGCTTCTGACTGAGGACTCTGGACTGACTCCAACTTAAAGCAGGAGATAAAAGCAGCACTGGGGAAAGGAATTAGGGAGGCAGGAATGTTGCTGCAAATGTTCGCTTCCCAAAAGGCAGAGTGAAATACTCACTCAGAGCCGTAACTGGGCATCAGGTGGCCTGTCTGAATTCTAGTCTGGGCTCCACTATCACCCAACTGGGCAAAGCACTGTCAGTCTCTGGGCCTCAGTTTTCCTAGCTGTGAAGCAAGGGATGTGGACTAAAGGATTCCTCACAACACTCTCATCTCCAAAATTGTATGAATATGTGGTATCCTTCCTTTTAGTTTTTTTAGGCAATTTAATGTGAAAAAAAAATTAAAGATGCTGAAGTTGATGTTTTCCAAATTCACAATATTTACAATACAGTATTGTAGTTTTCATAATATTTGCAACACAGTATTGTCATTTTAGTTTTCATCAAACTGATCCTACTCCTTTATTTCTGTAGTTAGCTCGTAGCAAAACAACATGGCAGCATTTTTCACTAAAACCGTGTATTTTTTTCTTCTTACACAGGAAAGTCTGAGTAATACCAAAAATAAAAAAAAATAATGCTTCACATTTAAACAGTATCTTTGATCTGAGGCCTTCCTGTATGGTATTTTTATAAGCTATGCATGTTATTATTTTTCGGTCACGTTAAAGCACTAGGATGTCTAGACCACTGATATTATGGGAGCTCTTCAAAGTAACACACGACATGTAATAATAAACTCAGCTTTTTGCTTCAGTGTACCTTACATCCAGGAAGTGCTGAACTTTTTAGTCTTAAGTAATGTTTCATCACCCTGTGCATTTTATAGATACGAAAACAGAATCGAAGCAGATTCTAAAGAAAAATCCATTTTGGCTTAATGTGATGTTTATTAGAAATAGTAGCTCATGCCTGTAATACCAACACTTTGGGAGGCTGAGGCAGGTGGATCATGAGGTCAGGAGTTCAAGACCACCCTGGCCAAGATGGTGAAACCCCATCTCTACTAAAAATACAAAAATTAGCTGGGCATGGTGGCAGGCGCCTGTAATCCCAGCTACTTGGGAGGCAGAGGCAGAGAACTGCTTGAACCCAGGAGGCGGAGGTTACGGTGAGCTGAGATCGCACCACTGCACTCCAGCCTGGGCAACAGGCGAGACTCTGTCTCAAAAAAGAAAAAAAGAAAGAAATAGTAGCAAGCATTTATTAGGTATTTATAGCTGAGTTTTATAGATGAGGAACTAAGGCACAGAGAAGGGGTAATCTGGTACAAGGAGTGGCTGATGATCACTCACAAAGCTGGGATCAACTCCAGAAGCCTGGCTCTAGAGTCCACAGTCATCACCACCACCTTGATGTGGGGAAACTGAGGCTGAGAATAGTGTAGTAACTTGAACATTTGCAAATAATCTGCATACACTCACTACCTTATGGTGAAATTCCATCAGCTTGCCCCCTTCAAGAAGAAATGATCACACTGTCGAAAGGCTCTACCGACTTGCATTGTTCTTCCCCCTTAGCAAGTACCATGCTGAAGACTTCACCAGACCGCATTCATCTCTGATGGTAACTGCTTCAGCTGTCACATACTTGATCCTCACATCTTATTAAAATATACAGCAAGAAAGAGCAAAGTTTATGCTAGTCTTTATTTCTGAGCAGATTGAGTTTCGCATCAAATATTTCATCTCCTTCCAATATATAAGACAACCTCTTCCAAAAATCCATTACTGTTTTCATTGTATATTCATGCATTGTAAGAAATATAAAAATAAAAAAAAAAACCCTGAAAAAGCCCTAAGTATTGGATCAAATTCATTCCGTGCTATTTTTTATTCCTTGAAATCACTCTAGGTCACCTTGGCGAAAATTGCTATCACCTGTGAAACATTTTAAATCCCTTGACTCAGAAGTGCAGTGGTCAAACTTGATTTTTACTGAGTTATTTTAGCAGACATTGCCTTATTTCTGTGATGTCGACTCTAGTTCAGGGGAAACAGAACTCATTTCTTTCCCAGAGGAAGATGGAATAAACTTTGAAGCTGCTGCAACTGCCACTAAGGAGTTGTGATAACGGCTGCTCTTTAATTAATAAGCTCTCGACCATTTAATTTTTAAAAAATTATTTGATCATGTATGTCTTTATTCTGTACCTGTTCCACAAAAGATTCAAACCTCATACTTTTTAAAAGATACGTTGCTTAAGAATTTTTGTCTTCCATGCGGCAGATTTATTCATGGCTACAGACAATGCCCTTCTCGTATTTCTGACTTTCCTCTGTTCTCATGTCAGGTAAGGTCTTAGATCTGGAGACAAGAATGTTCCTCCCAACAGAACCCCTCTCCAACCCACTCCCACCAATTTCCTAGGGACCTCTTTAAAGGAGCCCAGAAATTTAGAACTACCGGGCATAAGCACAAAAAACAAAAAGTGCATTATTTCGTGTGTGGAAATTGGTTTTATCTCCCATCCATTCGCTTCTGTTATTAAGGAACCCATGACCTCCATCTTCTCCCCATCTGCTAAAAAGGGCTGACCTCAGTTTGAGGCATTCAAAGTTATCAAGGGGAGCAAGTGAGGGGGATGGGCTGAGGGGGTGAGCATGCAAGCCTGGCAATGTCATAAGCATTCTTTCCAAAGGAAACCACGCTAAAAGGCTGATAAACCCCAATCTCTTTTCACAGCTGGCCTTCGGCGCCCCTTAATGTAACTCCCTCATTTGTTCATCAGCACTTTATGAGAAAATAAACAAAAACATGGCCTGTTTCCTCATTGTCAGCACATCAGACACTTCCTGCTCAGAGAGGCCACCATCCCACCCTAAGAGTCAGAAGCCCACTGCCTATTTTGCCTCAGCTTTTTAACAGCCATTTTCTAAGCTGCATTCCAAGGGCCTAATCAAATCCAAAGCCCCCTGTGGGTGGATGTCATAGACTCTAGTGCTCTGCAAGGCACAAGGCTCACTTCAGGCCGGCCGCTGTTGAAGAATAAGTGGGTGAGCTACACCGAAATCCTGAAAGTTGCTTCCCTTTTCTCCATTATCGGTTTACTTTAATAAATAAAATGAAATAAGCTGAGGAAAAGGAGAAACATTTAAAATTAACTTTTCACCAAATCACTAGTTCTATCTATAGGGTATGCAAATTCTGTAATTTTTGTAACATTCTCAAATCAATCCAATGATTCCAGGTTTTTCACTAAATCTTTAAAAAGAAGAAGAAAGAAATAGTGAGGGCAAATGTGAGAACTGAAGGGTTATGACCCCCATTTCTGGTTTTTGTTTTTAGAGAGAGGGTCTCACTCTGTCACCCTGGTTGGAGTACAGTGGTGCAATCATAGTTCACCATAACCTCAAACTCCTGGGCTCAAGCAATGCTTCCTCCTCAGCCTGCCAAGTAAGTGGAACTATAGGTGCATGCCACCACATGGCTAATTTTAAATTTTTTAAAAAATAAAAATGTAGAGAGAGTCTCCCTATGTTGCCCAGGTTGGTCTCAAACTCCTGCTCCCAATGCACTGGATCACAGGTGCAAGCCACCAGGCCTGGCCCATGACCATCATGTTTAAAATTCTCAATTGGCTCAATCATGCCCTGAGACAGGCTAGCATGGATATCTCCCTTCTTGAAAAGATTTGAAAGCTTAAAGAGAGAAGGCATGGATGCAGAGTCTGGCTGGGGGATGCAGTCAAGACTCTGGATGAATGTTGTAATGTTTCAGTGGCTCAGAGGTATGGTGGACACCCATGATGCCAACTTCTAGGAGTCTGGCTTTTAAAATACACAAGTGGTATGGAGCTGCAGTTAAGAGTACAGGCTCTGGTGCCTGACTTCTTGGGTTCACAGCATGACTCTGCTACATGCTATCTCTGAGAACTTCGACAAGTTACTTAAACTCTCTAAGCCTGAGTGTCTGCCTCACAGGACAATTATGATGACTGAGTGAGGTGGTATGTGCAAAGAGCAGAGGCCTGTGAGGTTGTGCTCAAAAAAAAGTTAACTGTTAAATATCAGATGACATGAATGAATTCCAATACTTTTTACACAATACAGATTATGGGCATGATCCTAAGGGTTGTTTTTAAAAAAATACATACATAAAAGAAAGAGAGAGAATACAGTCACACAGTGGAACTTTAACATAGTTGCTAAGGAGTAGAATTCCGTATAAGTTGCATCTGTCTTAGAACTTATGTAATGGAAGATTTATTATCACAAAACAAAGAGTCCTCATTTAGAAATAAAGGAAACTCCTGCCATGAGCCTGAGGCTCTAGCATACTTTGGAACCAAAATCCTAGGGAAATGGTGAACATTACCACTGACTGTGTGATTTGTGATCTTGGCCAAGTCATTTAACCTCCCAGTGTTCTCATGAGAACAAAAACAAAAACAAAAAAAAAAAAGGAATTCGACTGAAAGGCATCAAAAATCTCTTAGAAGTCCCATTTTACCCTAACATCCTATGATTTTACATAATGCTATGAACTGTTTGAAGTTGAGTCAAACCAGATAATGAGAGTAATAGCCCCCACATCTAGGATAGACAATTTAACACTGTGTCATTTAGACTTCAGCAAATAAACTATTGTTGAAAGTATTTTACTCTTGTCTCCCCAGCTACACACAAAAAAAAGCTCTTTGAAGACAGGGCCCATGTGTCATACTTATTCCCCATTGTCCTAAGCATAGCATTTAACACAGAGTAGCCACCAGTAATGTGTGAGGTAGAACCTAGTTCCATAAACCTTATATGTCCAACTATATCATGACTTTATAATTGTTCGAGGTACTTATTGATCAATCATAGCAAGCTAACCCAAAACAGACCAGCCAGGCATGTGACTCAATAAAGCATATTTCTAGCCTTTCATTTATTCACAAATATTTCTTCAATAACTACGATGTGCTGGTTGTCAGGGACGCTCTGTGCCACCATCACAACTGAAGGTCCTCATGCACACAAATGGGTACCAATGGAGCATAACTAGAAACTGACTTGGCTCATCAACCCTTTTTCTCCCAAACCATGCTTCCCCTCACCAATGAAGGGACTCTGCAGCTCATCCCTGGAGTTTTACTGGTATTTTATCTTATTAGCAGGTGTGACGTTACTACATTTAAAAAACAACAACAACGTGCATGCATGCATAGGGCTTCCTACAGATCTAAAACCTAGAGTGTTTATGAAATAATATTTCAGCCTTTCTTAAAACAGAAATATTACACTGTAGGCTGGTGACTGCTATTCCTAGAAGCCTTCTGAGCTTAACATTTCCTGCTGCTCTGTTTCTGGTCTTAAGTACATCAGCAAAATACTCTGTGGTCTGTAGATTATCTGTAAACCAACTGACAGGTATCCAATGCAGACCATGTGCAGACGTTTCTTTCCCCTCTATCACTGCCCTCAGATGATGCCGTGAAAAGTAAAAGTTCATCAGATGCTGACGGGGTTCGTGATAGAGCTGCACTGTGAATTCCTAAGGCTGAGGGCTGTTTGTGATTTATCACTGCTCCTGCTTATCTGCCATGGAGTGACTTTCCTCCACTTAAATAGCAGCCTGCTTCCCTCCTGTGGCTCCATCTCGGTTGCCAAGGTTCTCTAAATGCTAATCAGGAGATAGAGGACATTCTGTGATCTTGTGAAGTGCTCACCCAGCAATTCGGTAAAAACAGAGTGCAAACATCATGCCTGGGTACCTGTCTTTGTTGGTCAAGGTTCAGTTCAGAAATGACCACCACCGAGGCTGTGTCTGCCATTGCAAAGAGAAATTAAATATTCAAACACTTTTCTAGAAATCTCAGATGTATTTAAAATAATAATAATAAGGCTAATACACCATAAAAAAGGATGAGTTCATGTCCTTTGCAGGGACATGGATGAAGCTGGAAACCATCATTCTCAGCAAACTAACACAAAAACAGAAAACCAAACACCGCATGTTCTCATTCATAAGTGGGAGTTGAACAATGAGAACACATGGACACAGGGAGGGGAACGTCACACACCAGGGCCTGTCGGGGTGTGGGAGGCGAGGGATAGCATTAGGAGAAATACCTAATGTAGATGACGAGTTGATGGGTGCAGCAAACCACCATGGCACGTGCATACCTATGTAACAAACCTGCACGTTCTGCACGTGTATCCCAGAATTTAAAGTATAATTAAAAACAGAAAAAAATAAGGCTAATATGCTTACACCAATGGCTATTTGTAGCACACACAAAAAAAGAGGAGACAATTAAGATTATAAAGCTCACAGACCTAAGGCTAATATGCAGAGACAGAACCTGGTTCTAAGGAAAATATTTGAGATAGAAATATATAAAAGTTTCCAAGCAACGTGAATAATGGTATCTAGGTTCTTGTTTAGCAAATAAGACAATCGCCAATACTATGTTTGACAGTCTTTTTAGTAAGTTGCTGTAATTTAGTGTGTAGAAGAATCAGTTCGTTCTTCAGATGTCATTGTTTCATTCAGTAAGTATTTGTTGCGGGCCTTCTTAGCATCACTACAAATACAATGAGTGAATAAGATAAAGTCATACTCCCTCCCTACATGTTACTTTTTTCAAGTTGTCAGTGAAGAGATCCAGTATCCACCTCTTTTAAAGGCTCTGAATCATCAGTAGTATTTATAAGAAGTATAAAAGATAATCCACCAACAGATCTTTTCACTTGAAGGCTAGTAAAGAGTTCTATCTGATGACTTTTTAAAAGAATCACGTGCTAATTTTAAATGTATTCAGTGTGTCACAGAATCTCAGAGCTGGAAGCATCCTCAAGGGGTCACCACATGAAGTAAAATTTGGAAAACATCCATATATACATAAATCAACTGAGACAGAACAATGAATGTTCAGCATTAGTCAAGTAGGGACTCACGAGGGACTTGAAACTGTGCAGGAATCAAGATGAGATGGTTCCCTGAAGGAAACAACAAAGATAAGACATTGAGCCAGGATTACAGAATCAAAGTTAACCTCAAAACCTTCAGAGAAATCTATCCTCTTGGAAGTGGTGGTAATTTCAATTCAGCACAACTTCTTTTGAATTTTTATTCATTAATGTCAGGCCTGGTTTTAATATTAATTGCTCCGGGTCAAGTTCAGATGCAAAAAGCACAAGCGTGCAAGTAGATACAACCTGATGTGTTTATCTTTTCAGTGCACACTTTCTGCTGCAGGCGTGTGCCAGATGTAGCAGCAGCTGTAGGAAGTTGTTTATCTACCCTCTTAACCTTTGTAAAGTGTTAAGAGATGGCAAAAATCATGTTTTTAAATCATAGGCATCACCATCCAAACTAGTATCTTCTTAGTATTAGTCAAAACACATCAATAAAGGCATAAGAAGGTCAAGAAGATTTGATTGTGCCCCAATGATATCTGTTAAAACATACTTCTGCCATGATTTACATGCCCCAATAGCTCTCTGCTTATTTCCAAATGCACTTCACCCATTCAACATTCAGAAAATATTTCTTGAACTCCCACTGTGCACAGGCCACAGTTGAAAGGTACTGGTTAGGTAACGCTAATACCTGTAACATTTGTGTCTTGCCTAACGTTTTACAAATGTCAGTTGTTCTTTGTAAATTTATCCTTTAAAATTTTCAAAATATATTAATAGTCCCAGAATGAGAGATAGTTGAAAATCTTTAGGCATTCTTGTTAAGAAAACATTATTTTGGGGGCTCATAGCCAAATATCAAAATTTCAGCATCATGTGACATTTTTCTTGCAGAGAAGAGAGCTTCAGCCAAGCTTCAGAGCCATGCAGCTTCTGTACTGATGGGCTTCCCACTCACACCTGCAGGGATTATGCTAAATGCAAGTGGGATTGATCTATCAACCTAATCACTCATGAGAAATAATAACAATGTCATTAACTAAGTTTCCAAAACAACCCAGTTCCTGCTTGAAAGTCAATCCTTCAGAAGCATGCTAAGCCTTACTTTTGTTTTGACATTTGGATGAAGTCGCAAAGTTTCCTTTGGCCTTTCTCTGTCAACGTCAATGTCCTCTAGGGAAACCAGTGTGACGATATCAAAAGACAAAGAGAAACAAGTCAGGGTCTCCAAAGAGAAAGATGCAAACAATAATTATTTTTAAGAAATCCAGTTAGTTTCTCATTTTAGTTCAGAAATAATTAGAAAATATATTTCTTTTCCCAAAAGCCCCACTTGCAATCAAAATCAAAATGTATTCTCATACATCTTTGCTGTGTTTACTGATTTGCCAGACTTCTAACGTAATAAAATATTTGTAAACTTGGACATTCACAGTGAGCTATATTTAGACATATTTACTATGTGTATAAAATTCAATTATAGAGGAATAGATGGATTTTTTGGAACTCTAAAAGAACTGACAAAAAATTATTTCTCTTTGAGATGTATGTTTCTTCATTATGTATGTTTGTGCAAATGTGTGTTTGCACGTGTGTGTGTGTATTTGCTGGGAATACCAGTATTGACACATGTGGCCCTTGCCTTCAGGGAGCTCTTAATCTAGTAGTTGCATTGTTAGCTCATGACGTTAGAGTTTGACATGATTTTCTCTGGAAATCTTTGTTTGTATGATAAAAGTCCATTTGTGCATCGGGCAGGGAGATGGTATAAGATTTAAAATGTTCAGCTTCCACAGCTAGCTTTCCTATTTTCCAGTCAGTGTGTAACCTGAAGTTACCCTTTAAACTCTCTGGGCCTGGGTTTTTCACTATCACATCAGCTTGCCCTAGGGAACCGACCTGAGAAACCTTTCAAAATAACAGTGACCAAGCATTCAGTTTTGCAACAACAAAACCAAGGGATTTTCCAGCCATGAAAATTGCATATACACAGAAACTGAGGAATTGACTGCAGTAGGACTAAAAGAAACATAAAAATATTCTGAAAATATTTGCAGATTCTAAAGAACAAGACAATCATTCAAACATCCAATAAATATGTCCTAGATATCTACTTGGTGCTAGCAGTTATGACAGGAAGTTGCTTCCAAATGTCCTCCTCACTCACTTCAGGGCCATGGCGAATGATGAGGACCAAGGCTTGGTTTTGATCATAGAAAAATAGTCCAAATCTTTCCTAAGACATTCTTGTTAGAGTTCCTGTGAGAGTATGTTGATGGGGAAAGTGTTGAGTGTTGCTGAAGACAAAAATATGTATATTATTAGAATGATATATGGACTATTTATATGGTGTGATATACATAAATATAGCATAATTTTAGGGAAAAAAAAACCATATCCCAGACAAGGTGACATGTAAAATTAAGCATTACAGTAATGATTATTATTACAGTAATAATAAAGATTTTCTTTTAAACAAACAACTGTGTTTGTATATGTGAATTTTCTTTTTTCTCATTATTTTTTTCTTTTTTTAGAAACAGGTTCTGACTGTCACCCATGGCTGGAGTGCAGTGGCTCAATCACAGCTCACTGCAGCCTTGAACTCCTGCATTCAAGCAATCCTCTTGCCTCAGCCTCCCAAGCAGCTGGGACCACAGGTAAGTGCCACCACATCTGACTAATTTTTTTATGTGTTGCAGAGACGAAGTCTTGCTGTGTTGCCCAGACTGGTTTTGAACTCCTGGGCTCAAGCAATCTGCCCACGTAGGCCTCCCAAAGTGCTGGGATTACAGGCATAAGTTACCACACCTAGCCTGTATAAGTGAATTTTCTAATTACAAGTATTCACCTTGGGAAGGTACACACTTATTCCATTGATGCATTCTTTGTTCCGTTTTGCAAAGTCTCTTTTAATATCAGCCACAGTGCTAGTAACTAAGCAAAAAAAGTAAATCTCTTCACTTATTGTGACTTTTTAAAACAAGCCAAAAGGATAGTATTTGGTTATTGAATCACGTCACTGAAGTAACTTTGTTCCAAAGACTTTGCGGCTGTTTGTAAAAGTCAAGCACTTTCAAAGTTGAAAAGGTACCACCTTTGAGAATCTTTAAAAGCATGTGTCACTAAAAACCATTGCAAAGGAATTATTTCAAAAACTTTTCCAAATACTAGCATCACTGAATTTAGTGTAACATTTCCAAAGGTAAAATCTTCAAAAAGCTGTCTACACTCTTCTAGATGTGTAAGCACTAACTGTTTATGGTTCAACCTTAGAGCTAAGTTGTACCTATGAAGTTGTACTATTGGAAATTTCAACGTGAAGGAATTGTATAATGATAAACATAGAAGATCTCAATCACATTGTTCATGATAGGGAAAAAATGTCTACAGGAATCTGAGTAAATAGATGATAGTATTAATTTAAATATTGGATGGAATACTGTGCAGCTGTCCATAATGGTACAAGCAGGGACAGGAAATATATGGACAATTTTCAGGCAGTGAAACTCCTAAAATTCCTATGGAACATTATATATGCACATTCATTTTTCTAAGGAGAGAGACCGTAACTTTGATACGATGTGTCATAACCCAAAGAGAGTTAAGAAGCTGTGTACCAGAATAATATTTAATGCAATGGAAAAATGTTCAAGTTATATTTCTGAGTGAAAAAGGCAAAATATAAAAGAGCAGGGACAGTATGCTGTACTTAAAGTATTTTTATGCATGCTTAGTAAATAACACTGGAAAAATATACACCAAAATAGCAGGAATAATCTCTGAGTAGCAGGATTCCAAGTAATTTTTTTATTGTCTAATTTTGTTTTGCTGCTGGCTTTTTGATATTTTCTCATTTTTTATAGTGTTACGTGTTGCTTTTACAAAAAAAGAAAAAAATAAAAATTTAAGAAGCAAATGGAATACTGGAGAAGGATCTGTTAATGTGTTATCAGCACAGTTCAGGGTACACAAGTCCTGATTTTAGTCAACTGGTCCCTGTTTGTATGTATGTATGTATGTATGTATGTATGTATGTATTTGAGACAAGGTCTGGCTCTATTGCCCAGGCTGTAGTGGGATTGCGTGATCCTGGCTCACTGCAACCTGTGCCTCCCAGGCTCAAGCCATCCTCCCACCTCAGCCTTCTGAGTAGCTAGAACTACAGGCACACACCACCACACCTGGCTACTTTTTGTATTTTTTGTACAGATAGGGTTTCTTCATGTTGCACAGGCTGGTCTCAAACTTGGGAGCTCAAGTGCGCCACCCACCTCAGCCTCCCAAAGTGCTGGGATTACAGATGTGACTCACCGCAACTGGCCCCTGTTTGTTTTTAATGTGGTAGCTGTAACAGTAATAGTAATTATAATGGTAATGATAATAAACCACTTTACAACAGCCTATGTGAGTGTTTTCCTTATTAATTTATTGAGCGTGATATATGTCTCATTATAAATCAATTAACTGGAATTTTGATTTATATATTAGTTTAGTGTGAATTTAGTTGACATGAATCAATCTCCATTGGTCAGTTCATTCATGGATGGGAAGAAAATCAAGTTTCTAAACTTGAAAAAAATCCCATATAGTTGTATCTGGGGTTCTTTTATCATGATCCCTCAAGTTTGACAAAGATCTGTGATACCTACACAAAACAATCAAAGTTTCATTACCCAAAATGTTAGGTTTGTGAATAGATTATCTCCATTTTTAAAGTGTTTTTCTTTCTATAACCTTTTCTGAAAATGTTGGTATTGATTATCATCTATCTGCTAGCAAATGTTGGCAGCTGCAAAATGAATCATAAAATAGCAAATAAATATGAATCAACAATACTTAGTCCAATAGTTTGTTGTTTTCTTATAGATAATTTGAGCTGTGTTTTGGCTTGTGCATCACCCAACAGGTGCTGAGGCAGAATTGGAAATATGATAGATTGGGGAAAATGCTTATGAAGGACAAAGGAGAAAGGGAGCAGGAGCTAACACAGAGAGCCTTCAACCCGCGTTTCTGGTCTGACACCGGTGAAAGGAGACAGGGAAGGACAAAGACAGAAGCAAGAGCCTCAGACTGCAGTGAGCTGTGTAGAAGTCTTAGCCAGGCTAATGGGAAGCCTCAGAGTAAAGACGGCCCATTGAAAAGCTTCACATTGGACAGAAGTGGCCCAGCTGTAGCACTTTGTCATGCCCAGTCACTGACTGCGAGCAGTCTGGGGAAAAGGCCTGAGTGTGAATGCCAAGACAGAACTCCAAAGGTGCAACACCTGCTGGGTAACAGGCAACTTACTCCCTTCTATAATGCACGTCTTCTCTTGAAGGGAGATCTGAGCAGCATATCTGCATCATTGCCACAGGTTGATTTTTAAATTTCATACATGGAGATTTATTTTTTGCTACTAACATTGCTCTTGGTCATATGTTGGAATTAAATATACCATTCTTTCCCCATGTTCCAGAAAGAGCATAGTATTCCCAATTGCAATCTACAAAGAAGACCATGATTTCCAGGTATGTTACCACTTTAACAATTCTGAGATTCCTTTCTGATTTAGAGTCAGAAGATTTGGATTCAGATCGTAGCTTTGTCACTTTCCACCTACATCGTCTGGAGCAAGATACCTGACCTCACTAAATCTCAGTTTCTTTATCTGTAAAGCAGGAATATCCATGCCTTACCCCTAGAGGATTGTTTTGAAGATTACATCAAATAACATATGAGAAAATCCCTGGCACATAGAAAATACTTAATAAATATTTGTTTTTAAAATGGAAAATCACAATCCTAATAGGTACTGCCCATCTAGCTTGTCAACATTAGTTTACTCTACCTGGACAAGTTATGTAACCTCTTATAAGCCTCAGTTTTCTCATCTATAAAACAGAGTAATCTTATCCCCCATGGCACTGACTTACTAAAACAATTGGATGAAATTATGCAATCAGAGCATTCATCCCAGTACCCGACATAAAATAAGTCCTTGGCAAATGTTATCAATCAGGATCCCTTGCTTTATGAACACTAGTTCATTTTAATGTTGATATTCATGGAAACTACATTTATTGCACATTATATTACAATCTTAATCTCATAGGAACTGATAATATTTCAATTGTTATTGTGTCCAACTTGAAATCTCGTTTGTAGTAAGTGTGCATCCTCTACTTACCAAGGATGATCACATCCCAGTACAGTCCGATAACAACTAGACTTAGATTCACAAGCACTTTATATTATTGATCATCAGTTTCCACATTTATTCCTTTGAAAGAAATACATCCTTGGATTTTTCTGTACATATTTTGACATTTGTTACTGACAAACTATTTTTATCATCATTAAAAATAATAATAACAATGATATATTTTTTACCTGAAAGCCTCCATTTCTTTTAGGTATTTTTCTTCATTTTGGAGCTTCAGGTCGACATTTTAAATGTGAAATGGATTTATTTTTTCCTTCGGTTCATCCTCTAATTTTACTCCTGCCTGTTTATGTCTTAAAACTTGATAGAGTTAGGCCGGGCACAGTGGCTCATGCCTGTAATCCCAGCACTTTGGGAGGCCGAGACGGGCAGATCACCTGAGGTCGGGAGTTCAAGACCAGTCTGACCAACATGGAGAAACCCCATCCCTACTAAATATACAAAATTAGCCAGGCGTGGTGGCACATGCCTGTAATTCCAGCTACTCAGGAGACTGAGGCAAGAGAATCACTTGAACCCGGGAGGTGGAGGTTGTGGTTAGCCGAGATCGCCCATTGCACTCCAGCCTGGGCAACAAGAGTGAAACTCTGTCTCAAAAGAAAAAAAAAAAAAAAAAAAAACTTCATAGAGTTAAGAATTGGGGAATATTGGTGGGCTGTGGGGGAGAAATGGTTTAAGATAAAGAAAAACTGTTGAAATACACAGAAAATAGGGAGCCAGTATATTATATAATAACTTGAAAGTGGGATGGAAATAGAGCAGGAGATAGCAGTGGAAGCTTCCAAAGGCAAAACTACAGATTTTCACCTTGCCATTGAGTATAGAAGTATGAAAGGCAGTCATACAAAAGCCAAGCTTTTATTCCATACATTTCACAGATTAACAGTTCCAGACTTCACAAGGGTAGACCAAATTTGGCTAGTCTCTGGACTTGAGGTGGGAAACCTTCCTTTCAAACTTGAAAAAGCAAAGGAAAATCTCATTATGTTCAGTCTTTAAGCCCTGGGGTAAAATTGTCACTCAAACGATGCTTGTTTCTCTAAGAAAATCAATTTGATGAGAAGTGTACTAAGACCACGAGCTCATTTCTTCTAGAGCCAGTAAGTAGTCATGCTCAGAGTGAAATAATTTTTTACACTAATCAATAAGGCTCAATTACAGCAACATAAACATGTCTTTTATTAAATTAGTTATTAATCCAAGAATCTACTACTACGAATCTATACCTGCAAAAATTGTATTCGAATATCTAATTTTCTACCATCACAGATCACCAAGAATTCAAAAACATTGATCCCCCTTGACAAAGACGCAACTGAATCATATTAATACCAAGCAGAGGCCAGGCGTGGGTGGTTTATGCCTATAATCCCAACAATTTTGGAGGCTGAGGCAGGAAGATCGCTTGAGCCCAGGAGTTCAAGTCCAATCTGGGCAACACAGTGAGGTCTCATCTCTACAAAAAAAAATTTGTTTTAATTAGCTAGGCATGGTGGCATGTGCCTGTAGTCCTAGCTGATCAGGAGGCTGAGGTGAGAGTATTGCTTGAGCCTGGGAGTTTAAGGCTGCAGTGAACTATGATCCCCCCACTACACTCCAGCCTGGGCGACAAAAAGAAATCCCATCTCGAAAAAATAAATAAATAAATACCAAGCATAAATAATTTTTCACAACTAAGAGTCAGGACTCAGCTTTCATTTCAGGCCACAATCCCTGAAATTCAGTTTACCTGGCCCTTTCTCACAGATAGAAAGGCAACTCACAAGATAAGAAGAGTGGACTTGGTCTCCCCAAAGTAGAAAGGAAAGGAGATGTCAAAACCACAGAGGTCGATACAATTTTCAAAAATGCAGACAAACAAAACTCTTAGTAGAAGTCCACTTCATAGGCAGAAGAAGCCACAAATGGTTTGAGCAATTAGCAGATGTATATCATTCTTTCATTCCATTATGAAGCATTTGTGTGTGCCTACTATATGCCAAGCTCATCTGGGCTGAGCAGGTGTAATCATACTCCAGGTTCAGGCAACCCAAAAAAACCCACCCTACAAGCAACCAGTGTGGTGTGAATTTCAGGTTTGATTCATAATAACTCAGTCCCCTGTATGAAAATGGGATTCTTCTGCTGTAAAGTCACTCAGAAAATAAATCATCTTCCCCTAATGTCTCAGATACTAAAATTTACTTCGTTATTTCTCTGATGTGTCTAAAAACATAACAATTATACTCATTGACACAGAGAGTTAGAAAGATGGTTACCAAGGGCTGGGAAGGGTAGTGGGTACAAAAAAAAATGGAAAGAATGAATAAGACCTACTATTCAATAGCACAACAGGGTGATTATAGTCAATAATAATTCAATTTTACATTTTAAAATAACTAAAAGAGTTTAATTGGATTGTTTGTAACACAAAGGATAAGTGCATGAGGGCATAGATGCCCCACTCTTCATGATGTGACGATTACACATTGCATGCCTGTGTCAAAACATCTTGGTACTCCATAAATATATACAACTACCATGTACCCACAAAAAATTAAAATTAAAAATTAAAAAAGGGGATTTCCATGGTTTAAATTTCTTTCTAGTACAAATCAAAGACCTAAACCAGATATGTTTGTATTAAGTCCAAAAAGAAAAAAAGCAAAATAAAATGTAGGAAAATTTCTCCCTTTCCACCTCACCCACACATATTGGTTCCTAGTGTGCATAAAACTTCCAAACATACGTCCTTAACATCTCTTCTAAAACATGTCCCGGCTAAAAAGAAAGAGAGCAAATATTGAGAAAGGGGTTAGATGTGCAGTACACTGATCAGAGGGCTAAGGTTTTAATGCAATTTTGTTATTGAGGTTTGGAATCTAAAATATGAGCATGGGGGGAGGAGATAGGATTCAGGGTGGTCTTGGGATACCCTACGTCCTAGTTCACTCTGTCCAGCATTAACGTAATCACAGGAGTCGTAAAGCCATAGAAAAATGTTTGCTATTCTGAAAAGCTTCATTCATTCTGGCATTTCAGCAAACCCCAGTATATGTTTGGTTCCCTGTTATGAGAAACAGTATAATGCTCTGAGCCACAACAAGTCATTAAGAAACATTAAGAGGACAATTTAAGTGTCAGTTTTCATTTTCATCCCAGTGACCCTTGTTCTTGTCATCTTTATTAAGACATCAATTTCCCACTCCGTTCCCTCTACCCTTCAAGTAAGGAAAAGCAATTCCCTGGAGAAGACTAAAGGAAAAGAAAAACTGATAGGGCATTTGAAGAAGAGATAAAAATGGATGAATAGAAGGTTCATAGTCCCTTAGCCCAAAAAAAATAACCAGGTCTACTTAGAAAATCTGCCCTAAAGTGGAAACCTGTAGCAGAATAGAACAAGGCAGTTTTGTCCTGGAAGGTTAGGATTGGTGGAAAGGAGACTAAAACAAACATAAAGAAAAATATGAATAAATTATTGTGTTTTAGGAGAAACTTTGCTTGGTTCCATAAAACCACTACTTTCAATAATTATTATCATAGTTGACATTTAATCAGTGCTTAGTAAATGCCAGGCACCATACTAAGCCCACAGGTCATCATATTTAATTCTCACAAAAATCCTATGAGGAATGAACTATTATTATCCCCGTCTTAACAGATGAGGACACTGAGATACACTGAGGTGGAGGAATTTTCACAGGGTCAAGAAACTAGTAAGTTATAGACTCTAATTCCAAAGCCCTACTTGTCAACTCTAGCCTAGAAGTTTGGCTTCTTGTCCCAGAGTAATTTTTCCTGTTATCTGTTGTTGGTAACAAACCACCCCACAACTTTGTGGCTTAAAGCTGTCATTTGCTCTTCCCTCTCGTGGTTCTGTGGGTTGAGTGAGCTCAGTGAGGCAGTTCTTGGAGTCTCTCATGTGGCTAAAGTCAGATGATGGCTGGGCCGAACCTTTTCCAGGGTTTGACTGGGCTGGGTGTCCAAGATGGTGCACTCACACAGCTGCCAGACAAAGTGAATTAGGCTCCTCAGAGTATGGCATTGGGTTCTGAAAAGAAGTGTGCTGAGGACGAAGCACCCTGAGAGTGAGTATTCCATGAAACCCAAGCAGAAACTGCAAGGCTTCTTATCTAGCCTTGGGGGTGAACCCCCCATTTATATGGAGGCTACCCCTTCCCCAGAGAAAGTTCTGGAGGCATGGATCACTGGTGGGAACAAAGGAAAACACAGCTCCCTCTCTAAGGAAGCCCTCAGTATTAGAGACATACAGAGGTAGGTGAACAACATCTCTAGAATTCCCACCACATCAACTGTACAGAGACTCCCATACAGCAGCAGAAAGATCCAGGTAACATCAGACCCAACCCAAAGGACAACCAGGGATTCCTTCCCACAGCTGACTCAGACCAGAAATCTAAGGAGATCTTGCTCCTGCATCTTTTCTCCTGGCTCCAGCCCAGAAAGGTTCTAGTAGTTCCCAATCAGGGCAGCACAGCCCCCTTAAGAGGTGTTTGGGATAGTCGGGGAAAAGGGTGCTTGTCATAAAGACTGGAGGGGGCTGGGCATGGTGGCTCACATCTGTAATCCCAACACTTTGGGAGGCCAAGGCAGTCAAATCACCTAAGATCAGGAGTTCGAGACCAGCCTGGCCAACATGGCGAAACCGGGTCTCTACTCAAAATACAAAAATTAGCCAGGTGTGGTGGCGGGCACCTATAGTCCCAGCTGCTTGGGAGGCTGAGACAGAAGAATTGCTTGAACCTGGGAGGCAGAGGTTGCAGTGAGCCGAGATTGTGTCACTGCACGCCAGTCTAGGCAGCAGAACAAGACTCCATCTCAAAAAAAAAATAAAAAACAAGGCAGAGGTTGCAGTGAGCCGAGATTGTGTCATTGCACACCAGTCTAGGTGGCAGAACAAGACTCCATCTCAAAAAAAAAAACAAAAAAAAAACAAGACTGAGGGTACTTAGGAATTTGTGTTGGGGGAGGAGGGGGGCAATATTAAATATTCTGAAATGTGCAGATCAGTTCCACCCTAAGCTTTGACCCAACCAAAATGAAAACAGTACACCCACACTCCACCAAAAAAAACCACTGGTAGACCCAGGAGAGGGAGGAGGTGTATATCTCAGGGCAGACTATTTCTCCTCCATCCTCCCATCCCCACCCACACCCAACTCCTGCCTGTCACCACCCTCTTGATTCCAAGGCGCTAGATTGGAGGAAGAGTGAAAAGCCTCCCACCTTAGATCTCCCAGGCCTCAAGTCAAACCTGCAGGAAGATGGACGAGATTAGACTTAAATTGCATCTGAGATTGATGCTTTAAACCAAAATGGACTGAAATGTTTATAACTGAAAAAGAGCAGAAAGTTGGGGAATCTGCCAAAGGTGCTAAAAGGCGGGAAACGGGCATTCAACTGAACATCATAGAAATCAATAATTGGAAAAAATACCAACATTTCATGTTTATCCCCCACTTAGTTAAAACTCCTCAGTTCACTCTGCCATAAAGGGGAGCAGGGTCATGGTTTTCAAACATGCCAAGGAAGGAAGGTCACTGAGAATGTTTCTGTCTGCCTTACTGACCACTGTAGATAAGCAGCCACTGCTCGACCCGCTTGGAAACATTACATCCTGTTTCCACCAAGGGTCCTGGGTGGAGCTCCAGAGCCTGCCGTCTAGGGCTGTGGCAGTTGGATGGGAAGCTCATTGGAAGCCTAGCAGGGGTGCTGGACCCTAGGCACAGCTGCTGCATCCCTGCTAAAGAACAATGGGTAAGTCATCATCGTGAGATGGGTTTTCCTCTCTCCCTGCTGTGGACAGGTGCTTGATAGCAGAGCCCACTGCCAAGTGACCCCAATTTTCCCCCAGAGGGGAAAAATGCCCAGGTCAGAGCAAGCTAGACTGGGATAAGCAGGCCTAGAGAGCATGTGCCTCTGACACAAATCAGAATTTACACTGAGCTTCCATCCATCCAGCTCAGGGCTGCCTTGGCTCATGCAAAATGCATGATGAGTCTAACCCCATGTTTCCTTAGTATTTTTCCAGTCTCCCTTTCTTCCAATCCTTTTATCCACATTCAGAAAAACAAATCATTGGGAAGTGATTATTAACACCACATTAACCCACGTTAACCACATTAACACCACATCAAAAATATCCCACTTAATAAAAAATGCCAATTGATATAGATTTTGGAGGACAATTTGACAATATCTATTAAAATTTTAAATGTGCTTTTACTCTGACCCAGCAATTCTCCCAAACCCAGATATTTCCAGCAGCTTTATTCATAATTGCCAAAACGCAGAAGCAGCCAAGATGTCCTTCAGTAGATGAGTGAATACATAAACTTTGGTACATCTAGACAATGAGATAGTATTCAGTGTTAAAAAGAAATGAGCTATCAAGCCATAAAAAGTCATGGAGGAGCTTTAAATGCTTATTACAGTCCTAAGTGAAGGAAGCCCATATGATATCAACTACAAGACATTCTGGAAAAGACAAAACTATGGAGACAGTCATTGACAGAGCGTGGGGACAGAGAAGAGAGAAGTAGGCAGAGCACAGAGGATTTTTAGGGCAGTGAAAATACTCTGCATGATACTAAAAGGGCAGGTACATGTCATTACACATTTGTCTAAACCCATAGAATGCACAGCATCAAGGGTGAATCCTAATGTAAACTGTGAACTTTGGATGGTTATGATGTGCCAGTGTAGTTTAACCTATTGTAAAAAATGCACCACTCTGATGGGCATGTTGTTTATGAGAGAGGCTATGCATGTTCAAGGGCAAGGAACATATGGGACATCTCTGTACCTCCCACTTAATTGTGCTATGAGCCTAAAACTGCTCTAAAAGAGAGTCAAAAAAAAACTAACCAAAAAATACCAATTAGTTACAGATTTTTTGGAGGACAATTTGACAATATATATTAAAATTATTTGAAGTGCTTACCCTCTGACCCAGCAATTCTTCTAGGTATTTATCATGTAATTCACAGCGGTATTCCCAGTGCCTAGAGCCCTAGATCAGTGGTACATAGCAGGTGCTTAATAAAAATGTGTGATGAATATACAATTTTAAAAGATAAATTGGCAAGAAGACCAACACATTAAGTTATGATTTTATTTAGGTTTATTTAAAATGCACAATTTTTTTGAGACAGGGTCTCACTCTGTCACCAGGCTGCTACTGCAGGCTCGACATCCTAGGCTCAGTGATCCTCCCACTACAGTCCCCTACTGAGCTGGGACTACAGGTGCACACCACCATACCTGACTAATTTTTTGTACTTTTTGTAGAGACAAGATTTCACCATGTAGCCCAAGCTGGTCTTGAACTCCTGGACTCAAGCAATCCACCCACCTTAGCCTCCCAAAGTGCTGGAATCACAGACATGAGACACCACACCCAGCTGCACAGATTTTTTTTCTGCTATTTAAAAAGAACTTGTAAGTTTTTCCAGTTCACAGGTCATGCTTGGAGGTATAGAAGTTGGCACACTATCTGTACAAGGTAGCATGCTTCTTCTCCCCCTTCACATTCTTCAAATTCCCACTTTTGTTTTCTGCCCATTTTAATGTTTACAATATATGTCCTCCCGACTGTATGTAATACAGAAAGATAAATAATGTTTTTCTGTATGTTTGTATTTTACATCAGTGATTTGCATATAACTGCTTGCATTCAATTTCTTGCTGTTTTCACTATGTAAAGATCAATCTGTGTTAACTTGTGGGCACATTTATTAGGTTGGTGCAAAAGTAATTGCGGTTTTTGCCATTAAATTGTTTTTGCCTTAAAAGTAATGCCAAAAACTGCAATTACTTTTGCACCAATCTAATAGTTCATTGAATTGTGACTGCTATATGGAACTCCATACTAGATATCCACCATCATTTACTTATCTATCCTCTTGGTGATGAACAAGTTCCTTCCAACTCTCTGCCACCACAAATGATACACCAAAAAATGCTCTCCTATGTGATACGTTACAGTCCCATTCTAGAGTGTCTCTGGGGCCAATGGCTAGGAAAGAGATCGTGGGTCAGATGGAATGTGCATTATTTCCCATTTCACTAAGAAATGCAGGATTGCTCACCAGAATGGCTGCACCAGCTCACACTCGCACCAGCAGCGGATGAAGGTTTCACATTCCCCAGGAAATATTCTAAACAGGACAAAGCACAGCAGGTCTATTACCTCCTATGATCTCTCCATAATTCTATTCATGCAAACTAAGGAGGCCTTCCCTTCTTAGCAGCACCAGCTGCCTGATGGCTCACTGAACTTGTGGCCGGCTAAATCCCCTGGCTTTTTTCACATGAACGGTTGCTTATACCTGTGGAATTAATTGGCGCGGGGTGGGGGGCCGTTTAGACAGTTTAGAATGCAAAATGAAATCAAAAGCTGTGGTTCAACCTACGCTTCAAATGCTCTCACCCAATTTAATTAATTTAACTCATGATTTTTCTCCCTTATTGCTCCCATTCAGCTGCTATATGATTGATCAGACTTCAGAACTAGGTAGATCTGAGTTCAACTCCCACCTCTGCCTCTTACTAATTCTGTGACCTTGGAAAAATTATTTATTCACTCTAAATTTTTGTTGCTTTGATTTCCTTGGAAATAATAACATTGACTTCATAGTAACGTGAAGTAAGTGTAATGAAGATTACTTGAGATGCATGTTATAAAATACCCGACATATAGCAGCCCCTTAGCATGCTCGTTCCCTTCTCCTGACTGTTTTCCTTTCCTGCCTAGACCTCAAAAGGAAAAAAAACACCCAATTTATTCCAGATAAGTCTAGACCCCTGATTCCCACAATAAAATCTACCTGTCTCCTTTCATATTCTGAACTTTCTGCTCTCTGGCACAAAACATATCAACTGATCTAAGATAATGCAGTGAGAAATCACAGTGGATCAAGGTGTTCCTCTTCCAGGTGACATTTGGAACTTTACAGAAGTTTCCCAGACTCTCAATGCCTTAATGCTTGTGGGATCAAAGGTTTGACATTGGCACAATGTGGCTGTGATATGCATCAGTAGGAGTGGCAGAGATGTGGGCATCAGACTGAGGAGCCACCCTAGTCCAATGGGACCATAGTGGTGAAAAGCTTTGCGGGGTGTGGGGGGACCCAGAGGCTTTAGCACCTGACATTGCTGCACACAGCTCCAGCCACATGTTTGCAATCACGCACAAGGTCCCCCTGCACATTATCAGAAATCACTGAGGCGAAGATTGAGGTGTGCAGCAAATCATTTTTTATCCCCTTCTTCCCACTCCCATCAGCCCACCTGATTTTAGCTCTGCTATGGTGGGCAGTTCTGCTTCTGAGTGCAGTGCCAGATTCCCAAACTCAAGCTTCTACCAAAGACTCTCCAGCTTTTCTGCTCAGGGACTGTCTCCAAAACCAGGGAAAGCCACTGAGATGGCATATAGCCACACCCTGGAAAAGAAAGAGAATTAATACCCCCAGACGCTACCATCAACCAACAGAGTACAAGAGTCCATAGATAAGTGCCCCAGCTTTCTGTCATTGGAAGAATAATTCTGAGATGCCTTTTCCAACATTCTTCAAAATATCCCCAGTGGGACGGAGCCCCATTTTTTCACTGAAACAACCAGCTCAATAAAGCAACTTTATTGGATTTTCTCCCTTCCCTGTCTCATCCTCCCTACTTTCTCGCTGCTTCCTGGGATGGTCTCCCCAAAACTACCTGCACCCTTGTCTGTATCCTAGATTGTCTCTGGAGATACTGATGGCAGTGGAAGGGGGTTGTTCCTGTTAATATAACACTGCTTTATCTTCAGACAGATATGGCCTGAGAGATGTAGAAACTTCTTGAATGTTACTGGAGACACTTGGTTATTTTCTAACTCCCTTTCTACTGCCAATAGAATAAATTGTTCTTTCTTCTGTGATATTTAGTGTCTTATACGAGCTTTTATTACATCACTTCTAACATTGCAACATAATTATTTGTTAAACATGTCTCCCTCTAGATTTTGAAAATCTATGTCTGATTCAATTTTGTATCTTTTCTGCCAATACTTCAATAAGTATTGGTGAATTAATAAATTCCCAAAGGGAGTGAAGGAGTTTCCAGTTCAATCTGATAGGCTGAGAATATTTATTTCCTCTCCCTCCTGGGCTCTATTAAAATGATAGGGGGAGAAAAGCATTCAAATGATGTAAAACTCACAATAACTAAAGAACGCTTCTGGGATCATGAGTACTCAAGAGAGTTCAGCAAATTCGTGGAAGATGAAAAATACATGAAAGTCTGGTAATGGGTAAATGAGAAAAAAGCTTACAATGTACACTTCTCCAGGGATGGGATCCGTCTATCTAGAGGAATTCCAATGAGACTCTGAAATCAAAGACGGCAGGTGTCAGGGAGATGGAAGTGAGAAGTGTCAGTGAAAGTGGGCTATAACCAAAGATCTAGATACAGAACAAGTACATCCTGCTCTTCTCCTACCCCTTCGCAAAAAAACTGCCTATAGAGTAGGCATTTAATCCAGGAAAAACTCAGAAGGTTCTTGTTCAAGGAAATTGAACATAATGTCAGAAAAGTAAGGTGACTGAGACAAGTATTAGTGCTCCAGAAAAAAGTCTTCCCAAATCTAGCATCTACCCTCCTCTCCTGTGTTGGCTTAGCTCTCTAGCGACTCACACTAAAGCAAAGTCTGCCTGTCAAGAAGCCATACTAATATAAAAGGAGCTCCTAAACAACCCTTCTGTCCACATGCGTGAGAAAACCTGCAACATGAAAGTGAAATATTAAGACAGAGAGCTAGAGAGTGAGAAAGAGAAAAAAAGAAGAGAAAGAGGAGGGAGGAGCAGAAGGAGGAAGAGGAGGGGAAGAGGAAAAGACCCTTTTTAAAATGTTGACAGATTATAGAGTTGAGAAGATTGTCTTTAAACAAAAACAAGATGGTGGTTTAATGAAAAAAAAAAAGAAAAAATCATATAATCAGGGAAGCAGTAGAATCCAAAGCTAAAAATATAATTGTCATTATAAAAAGTTTAATGGAAGAGTTGGGAGGTGAAGTTGAAGAAAACTCTCAAAAGGTATACAAATATACATATGCATGTGGACACACACACACACTCATACGAAAATAGGAAATATGAAGACGATCAAGCCGATATATTCTAATACAAACTAATACAAGCTTCAGGGACAAAAACAGAGAATACGCATGGGAGATAATCATTAAATAACTAATTGAAGAGAACCACCTGTAAGTCAAGAAAGATGCGAGTCTTCAGAATGAAAGGACTAGCATGTTCTGAGTAGGATAAATTTAAAAAGACTGCCAACTAGATGTATGCACATAAAATCTTAAAACAATAAAGATAAAAAATATTTAAAGAGGAAAAAGCAGGTCATCTATAAAGGAATGAGAATCAAATCAGCATCAGATTTCTCATCAGCAGCACTGGATACTAGAAAACAATACAACAAAGCCTTCAAATTTCTTTTTTGTTGTTCTTACATAGAAACTTATTAAACTTATTCGGGGTTAATTTAGTTTAACAATCATTCGATTTGTCAACCTTAGGAGTTACATGATTAAAAATATTAGTAACAAAAAAATCCAATGCGATGATAAGGTAGCAAATGTAAATTATCTAAAAGTCAGTACATGTGGATTCTTTTAACCAGCTTTATTAAGGTATAATTGACAAATAAGAATTGTATATATTTAAGGTGTATAACATGATGTTTGATATTCATATACATTGTGAAATGACCACAATGAAGCTGACTAACATATCCATCACCACACAGTCACCATTTTGATTTTTTGTGGTGAGAACATTTTACTGTTTAAATGCTAAGATCTATTCTCTTAGCAAATTTCAAGTATACAATACAATATTATTAGCTATAATACCATGCTGTACATTAGATCTCCAGAATGTATTTATTCTGAATAACTGAAACGATGTGCCCTTTAAACAATGTCTCCCACTTTCTCCACCCTAAGCCCCTAGTAACCATCATTCTATGCTCTGCTTTTATGAGTTCAAATTTTTTAGACTCCGTATATGAGATCATGCAGTATTTGTCATTCTGTATGTGGCTTGTATCACTTAACAACGTTCTTCAGGTTTATTCGTGTTGTCACAAATGGCAAGATTGTCTTCTTTTTAAGACTGAATATTTTATATATACAAAAATTATATATAATATATAATTATATAAATATATGTTAAATATATTATATAAATATTGAATTATATATATAATTATATAAATATTGAATTATATATAATTATATAAATATTGAATTATATATAATTATATAAATATTGAATTATATATAATTATATAAATATTGAATTATATATAAGTATACATTTATATAATTATATAAATATATTATAATTATATATAATTAAATATACTATGTTATATTTTTATGGAAATGAAATAAGTTTCTTGATGAGATATCTGCATTATCATATTCATTGAAGCATTGGTCAATATCGCCAACATATGGAAACAACCCATCTCTTGATGAACGAAGAAAACATTATATATAGTAGATTATATGTATTTATATATTTACACAATATATAATAATTATATATTTATATAAGTATATATAATCATAATATATTTATATTATGTAATTAATAAGTATATTAATTAATATACTTATAATTCATTATATTAATTTATACTTATATAAATTAATTTCTATAAATATATTAAATATGTTAATTAATATATAATTATATATGTTATATCTAATATATAAATATATAATCTATATATAATTATGTAATCTATTCTATATATAATGTTTTCTTTATCCATTCATCCATCAACAGCCACTTACCTTGTTTCCATATCTTGGCTCTATTGAATAATGTTGCAACGAACATGAGAATGCAGATATCTCATTAAGAAACTGATTTCTTTTCCTTTGGATATATATCCAGAAGTGGGATTACTAGATCACATGGTAGTTTTATTTCTAAATTTTTAAGGAACTTCCGTATTGCTTTCCATAATAGTTGTAACGATTTACATTCCCACCAAGAGTATACAAGGGTTCTCCTCTTATCTACATCCTCGCCAATCTTTTGTCTTTTTTGTAATACTCATTCTAACAGGTGTGAAGTGATATCTCATTTAGTTTTGATGTCCATTTCTCTGATGATTAATGATGTTGAGCACCCATTCATATACCTGTTGGTTATTTGTGTGTCTTCTGAGAAACGTCTATTCAGGTCCTTTGCCCATTTTTCAATTGGGTCATTTGGATTTTGCTATTGAATTGCTTGAGTTTCTTATATACTTTGAATACTAACCCCTTATCAGATGAATATCCAAATCCATAGGTTGTCTCTTCACTCTATTGATACTTTTCTTCGCTATACAGAAGCTTTTTAGTTTGATGCAATTAAGTTGATGGCTGATGTGATATCTCGATTCTTGTCTTCTTAGTTTAAACATATTTAAACAAGAGACATACAGCAAAGGAGAAGCAGCACAGAGTAATTGTACTGCAAAGGAAAAATAATATTTTGAAAGTTAGGTGCAGAATAGGCAGTACACCCTGAGAGAGAGAGAATTTCAGGGTGGACTGCTTGTAAGAATGATATAGCAAAGACTGGCTCTAAGGAGACTCCCTTTATGGGGGTCTTACATGATTATTTATAAGGAGGTGGAAAGAGGGTTACTAGTAAGCACGTTCTGGGTGGTCCTCTGGGTGCACATGTGCAGTAGCTGTACATACTTGTTCATACATCACATGTCTTATTAGCATCTTAAATCTCCACCCAGGGGTGTGTTTTTTACTATTATAATGAGCAAAGGGTAAGTTTGAGAACAGGTAAAATCAAAATGCACCATGCTCTCTAGAGGGGAAAGTCCCTACTGAAGATAGCTTTGCCCTAATGAACTCAATTGCAATGTGAATGCTGATGCTGAGGTTTATTGTGTTGACTTATTGTGTTGACTGCAGGGTCACCAAGAACTTGGTCACTTCCTTGACTACCAATTCCGCCTCAATTCCACTTGTTTATTTTTACTTTTATTGCCTGTGCATTTGGGTTCATAGCAAAAAAAAAAAAAAATCATTGCCCAAAGCAATGTCATGGGGCCTTTTCTCTGTTTTCTTCTAATAGGTTTACCATTTCAGGTCTTATGTTCAAGTCTTTAAACCATTTTGAGTTGATTTTTGTATACCGTGTGAGATAAGGTTCTAAATTCATTCTTCTGCTGATCTCTTCAATAAATGGTGCATTTTGCAGCGCCATTTATTGAAGAGATCAGCAAAGCCATGCAGAGGGTGGAGGTGGCTGCCTGAGGCCTTGGGGGCCCAAACCCACCACAGTGTGTCCAGGAAGTGCCATATGGAGTCAAAAGAGATTATTCTCTAGCTTTAAAATGTAATGTCTGCCCTGCTAGGTTTCCGACTTGCCTGGAGTCTGTTACTCCTTTCTTTTGCCTATTTCTCCCTTTTAGAATGGGAATGTCTGTTTTATGCCTGCACCATTACTGTGTCTTAGAAGTAGATAAGCTGTTTTGATTTCACAGGCTCACAGGTGAGACTCTGGACTTGGGACTTCAGATTTGATGCTGCACTGAGTTAAGACTTTGGAGCTGTGAGGTTGGAATAAATGTATTCATTGAGGCACTGCCCTCATGAATGGATTAATCCATTTGTGGATTAATGGATTATCATGGGAGTGGGACTGGTGGGTTTATAAGAAGAAGAAGAGAGACCTGAGCTAGCCCACTCAGCTCCTCACCATGTGATACCCTGAGCCACCTCAACACTCAAGACTCCCCACTAGCAAGAAGATCCTCACTAGATGCAGCCCCTCAGCCTTGGACTTCTCAGCCTCCATAACTATAAGAAATAGATTACTTTTCTTTATAAATTACTCAGTTGCAGGTATTCTGATATAAGCAATAGAAAACAAACTAGGACAGATTATGTTATCTGCAAACAAAAACAATTTCACTTCTTCCTTTCCAATTTGGATGACTTTTCTTTATTTTCTTGCCTAATTGCTCTGACTAGGATTTTCAGCACTATGTTAAATAGAAGTGATGTGAGTGGGCACCCTTGTCTTGTTCCTGATCTTAGGGGAAAAGCTTTCAGCTTTTCACAGTTGAGTATGACGTTAGCTGCAGGTTTGTCTTATATGGCCTTTATTATGTTGAGGTAAATTCCTTCTATGCCTAATTTGTTAAGAGTTTTCATCATGAAAGTATGTTGAATCTTGTCGAATAGTTTTTCTAGAGAAATGATTTTGTGATTTTTTTTCATTATTCCATTGATGTGGTGTATTGCATTTATTGATTTGAGTATGTTGAATCGTCCTTGCATCCCAGGGATAAATGCCACTTGATCATGATGTATGATCCTCTTAATGTGCTGTTGAATTCAGCTTGCTAGTGTTTCGTTGAGGACTTCTGCATCTAAGTTCATCAGGGACATTGACCTGAAATTTTTTCTTGTGTTTCCTTGTCTGGTTTCGGTATCAGGATAATTCTGGCCTTGTAAAATCAGTTTGGAAGTGTTCTCTCCTTTTCAGTTTTTTGGAAAGGTTTGGGAAGGATTGGTATTAATTCCCTTTTTAAATGTTTGGTAGAATTTACCAGGGTAATCATCTAATCTTGGGCTTTTCTTTGTTGGGAGGTTTTTGACTACTGATTCAATCTCTTTACTCATTATTGGTCTGTTCAGATTTTCCATTTCTTCATAATTCAGTCTTAGTAGATCATATGTGTTGTGGGAAGTCAGGGACCCCAAACGGAGGGACCAGCTGAAGCTTTCATGCGAGTCCGTGTGAAGAGACCACCAAACAGGCTTTGTGTGAGCAGTAAAGCTTCTAATCACCTGGGTGCAGGCGGGCTGAGTCCTAAAAGAGAGTCAGTGAAGGGAGATAAGGGTGGGGCCGTTTTATAGGATTTGGGTAGGTAAAGGAAAATTACAGTCAAAGGGGGTTTGTTCTCTGGCGGGCAGGAGTGGGGGTCACAAGGTGCTCAGTGGGGATGCTTTTTGAGCCAGGATGAGCCAGGAAAAGGACTTTCACAAGGTAATGTCATCGGTTCAGGCAAGGACCGGCCATTTACACTTCTTTTGTGGTGGAATGTCATCAGTTAAGGTGGGGCAGGGCATATTCACTTCTTTTGTGATTCGTCAGTTACTTCAGGCCATCTGGGCATATATGTGCAAGTCACAGGGGATGCGATGGCTTGGCTTGGGCTCAGAGGCCTGACAGAAGCCATAACAGAAGAACGTGGACTGTGAAGATTTTATGGACATGTATTAGTTCCCCAAATTTATACTTTTGTAATTTCTTATGCCTGTCTTTACTGCAATCTCTAAACATAAATTGTAAAGATTTCATGGACACTTATCACTTCCCCAATCAATACCCTTGTGATTTCCTGTGCCTGTCAGCCGAGGAGGATGTATGTCACCTCAGGACTATGTGATAATTGCATTAACTGCACACAAATTGTACAGCATGTGTGTTTGTGCAATATGAAATCTGAGCACCTTGAAAAAAGAACAGGATAACAGCAATTGTTCGGGGAATAAGAAAGATAACCTTAAACTCTGACCGCCAGTGAGCCGGGCAGAACAGAGCCATATTTCTCTTCTTTCAAAAGCAAATGGGAGAAATATCGCTGAATTCTTCTTCTCAGCATGGAACAACCCTGAGAAAGAGAATGCGCACCTAGGGGTAGGTCTCTGAACTGGCCCCCCAGGGGCATACCTGTCTCTTATGGTCGAGATTGCAGAGATGAGATAGACTCCAGTCTCCCATAGCGCTCCCAGGCTTATTAGGAAGAGGAAATTCCCTCCTAATAAATTTTGGTCAGACCGGTTGATCTCAAATCCTTGTCTCCTGATAAGATGATATCAATGACAATGGTGCCCGAAACTTCATTAGCAATTTTAATTTTGCTTCAGTCCTGTGGTGTGATCTCGCCCTGCCTCCACTTGCCTTGTGATATTCTATTACCCTGTTAAGTACTTGATGTCTGTCACCCACACCTATTTGCCCACTCCCTCCCCTTTTGAAAATCCCAAATAAAAACTTGCTGGTTTTTGTGGCTTGTGGGGCATCACGGATCCTACCAACGTGTGATGTCTTCCCCGGACGCCCAGCTTTAAAATTTCTCTCTTTTGTACTCTGTCCCTTTATTTCTCAAGCCAGCCAATGCTTAGGGAAACTAGAAAAGAACCTACATGATTTTCAGGGCAGGTTCCCGGATACGTTGTTTCTAGGATTTTTATTTTACTTATTTCTTCTAGGTTATCCTATTAATTGGGATGTAATTGTTTATAGTAGTCTCTTATGCTCTTTTCTATTTCTGTGTTATCCATTATAATGTCTCCTGTTTCATTCATTGTTTTATTTATTTGAATCTTCTCTTGCTTTTATTTGGTTGGCCTAAATAAAGATTTGTCAATTTTGTTTATCTTTTCAAAAAACCAACTCTGTTTCATTGATGTTTTCTGTTGTTTTTCTAGTCTGTATTTCATTTTTTTCTTCTCTAATCATTATTATTTCCTTCTTTCTGCTAACCTTTTTTTTTTTTTTAAAAAAGACAGAGTCTTGCTCTGTCACCCAGGCTGGAGTGCAGTGCACGATCTCAGCTCACTGAAACCTCCACCTCCCAGGTTGAAGCGATTCTCCTGCCTCAGCCTCCTGAGTAGCTGGGATTACATGTGCCACCACACTAGGCTAATTTTTGTGTTTTTAGCAGAGATGGGGTTTCACCATGTTGGCCGGGCTGGTCTTGAACTCCTGGCCTCAAGTTATCTGCCTGCCTCCAGCCTCCCAAAGTGCTGGGATTACAGACATGAGCCACCACGCCCAGCCTTTTCTGCTAACTTTGGACTTAGTTTGTTCTTCTTTTTCTAGTTCCTCGAGGTGTAAAGTTAGGTGGTTTATTTAAGATTTCTTCATTTTTAATGTAGACTTTTGTCATGATAAGCTTCCCTCTTAGAACTGCTTTTGCTGTATCTCATGTTTTGGTATATTCCATTTTTAACTCAAGGTATTTTTTGATTTCCCTTTTGATTTCTTCTTTGATCCATTGGTTGTTCAGGAGTGTGTTATTTAATGGACACATATTCATGAATTTTCTAATTTTCCTTTTGTTATTGATGTCTAGTTTTATACCATTGTGATTAGAAAATATGCTTGATATAATTCCAGTCTTCTCAAATGTATTTATACTTGTTTTGTGGTCAAACGTATGATCTGTCCTGGAGAAAATTGTGTGTGTGCTTAACAAGAATGAGTATTTTTCTGCTGTTGGATGGAATGTTCAGTATATGTCTGTTAGGGCCATTTGGTCTACAGTATGATTTAAGTCCACTGTTTTCTCATTGATTTTCTGTCTAGATTATCTATTAATTGTTGAAATGGGGGTACTGAAGTTCCCTATTATTACTCTATTTCTCCCTTCAAATCTGTTAACATGTGCTTTATATGTTTATGTGCTCCAGTGTTGGGTGATATATTTTATAATTGCTACATCCTCTTAATGAATTTATCCCTTTGCCATTATATAATGACCTCCTTTGCATCTTGTGTCAGTTTTTGATTTAAAGTCTATTTTGTCTAATGTAAGTATGGTCATTCATGCTTTCTTTTGGTTATCATTTGCATGGAATGTCTTTTCCATCCCTTCATTTTAATCCTATCTGTATCCTTAAAGCTAAAATGTATCTCTTGTAGACAGCATTTTGTTCAATCTTGTTTTTTATCCATTCAGCCACTCCAGCTCTTTTATTAGAGAATAATTCATCTACATTTCAAATAATTATTGATAGGTAAGGACTTACTATTACCATTTTGGTCATTGTTTTATGACTTTTGTTGTTCCTTTTTTCCTCTCTTGCTGTCTTGCTTTATGGTTTGTTTATTTTTGTGGTAGTATCCTTTGATTCCTTTCTTGTTATCTTTTGTGTCTCTACTAGAGGTTTTTCCTTTATGGTTACCATAAGGCTTGCATAAGACACCATATAATTATAATGATCTACTCTAAGTTAATAACAATTTCAATTGCACAGAAAACTATACACTGTTACTTCTACATACACGCATTTTATGTTATTGATGTCACAATTTACATCTTCTATTGTGTACCCATTAACAAATTATTTTAGCTATAGTTATTTTTAATACTTTTGTCAATTTTTGTTCTAGAATTAAAAGTTATTTACACACCACCATTATAGTATTTTAGTATTCTGAAGTTTACTATATGCCTACCTTTACCAGTGAGTTTTATGCTTTAATATATTTTCATATTACTAATTAGCATTCTTTCATTTCAACTTAAAGAACTTCCTTTATCATTCCTCATAAGGCAGGTCTAGTAGTGATGAATTCCCTCAGCTTCTGTTTGTCTGGGAAAATAGCTCTCCTTTATTTCTGAAGGACAGCTATGCCAGGTATAGTGTTCTTGGTTGGCAATTTTTTTCTTTCAGCACTTTGAATATATCATCCCACTCTTACTTGGCCTGCAAGGTTTCTGCCAATAAATTTGCTTATAGCCTTATGGAGGGGGGTTTACTCATATGTTACAAGTTGTTTTTTCTCTTTCTGCTTTCAAGATTATCTTTTTGTCTTTAACTTTTGACAACTTTATTATAATATGTCTTGGTGTAATCTTCTTTGGGTTGATTCTACTGGGGACACTGGAGCTTCATGAACCTGGGTGTTCATATCGCTCCTAAAATTTGGAAAGTTTTAGCCTTCATTTCTTTAAATAAGCCTTCTGCCCTCTTTCCTGCTTCTTTTTTCTGGGACTTCCTAATTGTATATATTGGTTCACTTGATGGTGTCCCATAAATTTGCAGAATTTCTTCACTCTTTTTCATTTCTTTTTTCCCCCCTTCTGACTGGGTAATTTCAAATGACCTACCTTGAAGTTTACAAATTCTTTCTTCTGTTTGATCAAGTCTGCTGTTGAAGCTCTCTATTGCTCTTTTCATTTCACTCATTGTATTTTTCAGCTCCAGAATTTAATTTTTTTTTTTTACATTTCTCTTTGCTCATCTTCTAGCTTTGTTCGTGTATTGTTTTCCTGAATTTACTGAGTTTTCTGTTTTATTTTGTAGTTTGCTGAGCTTCCTTAAAACAAGTATTTTGAATTCTTCATCAGGTAATGTCTAGATATCCATTTATTTGGGGTTGGTTACTGAAAAATTACTGTGCTGTTTGGTGATGTCGTGCTTCCTTGATTTTTTGTTTTTGTGTTTCTTGAAGTCTTACATTGCTCTCTTTACATGTGAAGAAGCAGTGACATCCTTCAGTCTTTGCTGGCTGACTTCAGGATAGAAGGACCTGCACCAGTCAGCCCAGCTAGGAATTCTGGGGTCACTCAGACCTTTTTTATGGATGTACCTGCTTCACTTCTCTTGCCCCTATTTGGTTGGTGGGGTGGGGGGTGGGTCTTAGAATTGTATGTCTTCTTTTGGTCCCACAAAGGCAGGCCAGGTGCAGTGAGCCTCCCATTTATTTTCCCTGGGGCAGTTCCCTGAAGTGTTTAAGATCAAACACCTTTACACCTTCTGCCAATCCTGCAGAGTTGATCTGGCTGTCTGCATGTGTTTGTGCATAATTTGCAGAGACTCACATGCACCATCTGTAAGGGCATGCATGAGATGCCAGCTACAGGAGTGGGGGGCTTGGAGTGCTGGGGATGCATGTTGGCCAGTTAGGGGAGCTGCAGGTGATGTGTTCTATGAGGTTTGTGGGCAGTCCTCTTAGTGAAGTTCTTGAGGCAGTTAGTAGAAACCATGGCCCTTTGTTGAATTCCACTCCCCACTTGTTGTGAGCCCCCACCTTTTTCCTCTGCTCCTTGCTATCCCATGATTATTCAGCTATGCTGATATTCCCAGTGATCTGAGTGGAACAAGACGGAAGTGTGGCCCTGAGCATCATCCTGCATGGTTGGGGAAGCCAGTTCTCACTATGCTGTCACATTCCCCTGTTGGAGAAATTGCAGGCTGAAGGAGTTTCTCTTGGCACCAAGGTGTGCCACATTGGATAGATGATGTGGGTAAAGTGTTCAAAACTGTTTTTCTTAGCCTCTTCAATACATCTATTCTTGATTTTTTGTTTGTTTGTTCCAACAGGCACAGGGATTTCTCCATTGGACTCCTCTACTGGACTCTTGAGTACTCTCATCCACGGGTGATTGTCAGAATAAGTGTTTCTATGGGGAGCATGACGGCTGAAAACTCCTATTCCTATCTTACTTGTATTACCTCAAAGCCTTCCAATTTTAGAGAAAAAAATATTTTCAACCTAGAATTTTATACCTAGTCAAATAATCAATCAGAAAAGAAAAAATAAAAGCCTTATTTGATCATCCAAAAATATATCAAGGAAAAGAGTCACTTTTTCTTAAGAAGTTACAGGAAGACATCCTCCAGCCCAAAAAAGGAATAAAAAAGAAACGAAGGTTTAAATTTGTTTTTGAAATTGAATATAGAGATACAACTGTATCTAGAGGAGAATAAGGGTGGATGAGGTAAGAATATGAGTGAGCTAAATTATCAACAGAAAATGTCTAAATTGGATAAATTAAGAACTAATTCTGTAAATACATTTTCTAGATTTATGGATAGATATCCCAAAAGAACACAAGGAAACTGTTGAAATTGATTGCTTCTGGAGAATGAATGTGGAGTAGAGATCAGTGGAGCTAGGGACTATGACTTTTTATTACAAGCTCCTTGTTCTACTTTGTTTTTAAGCACATATATCAATTACTTTCATTTAATTATTTTTGTTTTAAATACTTTTAAAGATTTAACAATACCTCAAATTATGAACGTCATTTATCAATGTGCAGACACATGATTGAAGTACAAGTTAATAAGTCATTAATATAATTAGAATGTCTCAGTTTTTTTAACTCTAAAATGAAGATATTAATGCCTACATCATGGGAATGTTATGATAATGTATGAATAGAAATTAGCATAATGCCTGACACATCATCAGGTCTCCAAGAATGATAGTTATTGTTACTGGAAGACAGAAGATATGCTTGGTGATTCAGAGCCTAGCTCTGCCACTTACTACAAGCTGTGCAAGCTTGAATAAATCTTATTTTCCTCACCTGTAACTTGAGAATAATAGTAGCCTTGCCTTTAAATAAGTTAAAGCATATAAAATGCTTATCACATCTCCTGTACTTAGTAAATACTTAATAAATGGTAGATATTATTATTAAATAAATTGTAATTGTAATTGTTTTATTTTGATAGTTTTCCTGATTAGATATGTCTTAAGTGACAGGGCACATACAGATTCATTCAGATCCACCAGAAAGGAACTCCTGTCTAGATTTTCTTTACACCCTACTCTACTTTTTAGTGTGGCTAAAAGTGTGGCTCCTGAGCATCATCCTGTATGGTTGGGGAAACTTTTAATATTCTATTTATGAGTGTTTCTAATCCCAAATTTAACAATGAACCAAAGAGAAAACCAAGTAAATTCTTTCCTGAGTACCCCTGTGGGCCCCAGAGGTGAAGAGGAGGAGGAAGGAAGAAAAAAAAGAATCTATATTGCAACTTCTGTTATCAAGGATAGAAAAGCGGGATTGTAATAGGTAAAAAGTGCTTTTTTTTAAGTGCATTAGTGTTTAGTGGGAAATACTGCTCAAATACATGTTATACAAAGTTATTTCATAAATAATACCAGAGAATGTATTATTAATAGAGTCCAAGATAACTTGCAAAAAAATCAGTGGACATTTTTCCTTATCTTCAGAGCAGGGTTTTTCCTGAGTGATCCAAAACGAGAAACATTTATCCTCTGTGAGAGAAGCATGCATAGGATTATTAACCAAAGGCAAGAGAATAAGGGCACAGACATTGTATGCGTGTTCTGTGCCAGACACATATAGTTAACTCATTGAGTGCTCACAAAAAAAACCCTTGATGGGCGTATGTTTGACCAATGAGGTAAATAAGGCTCAGAGACATCAAGTAACTTGTCCAAATGTATGCGGCTGGTAAAGGGTAGGGCAGAGATTTGAACCCATGACTCCAAAGTCTGTGCTCTTTCCATCAGACCTCCCTGGATGTCAGCCAGTCCACCACTGCCTGCTAGAGTGCCCTGGTTGGGGAATCTGGAGACGAAGGTTTAATTCCTGGTTTGACCACTGAATAATTTAGGCCAATTTACCCTTTTAAGGGTTTTACTGACTCTACTCAAAATATAAGAAAGAATAAATTCATGTTTATAATGTACTATGTAAAGCCTAAATATACTTTTCTTTTTAAAATATTCTTATACACAAATAAAAATTATACTCTCAAAAAGGAGTTTAGGAGCCCAAATTAAGGTCAGATTTCAATGTCTCCATTTCTTAACTAACCAGACACCAAATAATGTCTTTCCAAACAGCATAGATAATATTTTCTTGGAGCCTGGAAAATAAATGTCAATACTTGTGGTAGTTTCTGAAAATTTAAAAGTGCTAGCCCCAGTAAATATATACTGGGGAAGAAGGCAATATAACCCAGGCCAATAAATATTCATCAAAAATGCTCACAGAGAAAATATGTGGGAATATGAATGTTTTGATTCAGAAGAAGAAAGTAACTTGATGCTAAGATCAAGCTGGGATAAGACTTTAGCTTAGGCCTTGCCTGGCTGCCTATGATGGCTGGTGCTGCTCACTATTACCTGAGAAGTCTGGGTCAGGCACAAAACTCATATACTTCTAGTGGGATGGAAATGCACTCCACAGATCTAAAACAGCCTTCTTTTTACTACCATAATAAATTGGAGGCCAGACATGGTGGCCCAGCCCTGTAATCCTAGCACTGTGGGATGCCAAGGCAGAAGGATTGCTTGAGGCCCAGAGTTCAAGACCCAGCCTAGGTAACATAGTAAGATAGATCTCTAAAAAAAAACTTTTAAAAAAGAATTAGCCAGCCACAGTGGTGTGCACCTGTGGTCCCAGCTGTTTGGGAGGCTGAGGTGGGAAGATCACTCGAGCCCAGGAGTTTACCGCTTCAGTGAGCCATGATTGCACCACTATACCCCAGCCTGGGCAACAAAGTGAGAACCTGTCTCTAAAAATAAGTAGATAAATAAAAATAGGTCTGGGCAAAGATTTCTTGAGTAATACCCCACAAACACAAGCAACCAAAGTAAATATGGACAAATGGGATCACACCAAGTTAAAAAGCTTCTGCATAACAAAGGAAACAACGAAGTAAAAAGACAACCCACAGAACTAGAGAAAATATTTGTGAACTACCCATCTGACAAGTGTAACCACAATATATGGAGTTCAAACAACTCTACAGGAAAAAAACAAATCATCTGATTTTAAAATGGGCAAAAGATTTGAATAGACATTTCTCAAAAGAAGGCATACAAATGGTAAACAGACACATGAAAAGGTACTCAACATCATTGATCATCAGAGAAATGCAAATCAAAACTACAATAAAATATTATCTCATCCCAGTTAAAATGGCTTTTATCCAAAAGACAGGCAATAACAAATGCTGGCAAGGATGTGGAGAAAAAGGAACCCTCATACACTGTTGGTGGGAATGTAAATTAGTACAATCACCATGAAGAACAGTTTGGAGGTCCCTCAAAAAAGCTAAAAATAGAGCTGCCATATTATCCAGCTATCCTACTCATAGGTATACACCCAAAAGAAAGGAAATCAGTGTATCAAAGAGATATCCACACTTCCATGATTATTGCAGTGAGCCAGGGTCTCACTCTGTCACCCAGGCTGGAGTGCAGTGGCATGATCTTGGCTCACTGAAACCTCCCCTTCCCGGGTTTAAGCCATTCTCCTGCCTCAGCCTCCCGAGTAGCTGGGATTACAGGCGCGCCACCACCATGCCTGGCAAATTTTTGTATTTTTGATAGAGACCAGGTTTTGCCATGTTGGCCAGGCTGGTCTCGAACTCCTGACCTAGGTGATCCACCTGCCTCAGCCTCCCAAAGTACTGGGATTACAGGCGTGAGCCACTGCACCCGGCCTAGATATATTGTTCTAAAGATGATCAGCATTGATAATCCAAGGCTAAAATTTTCCAAATTCATCAAGGAATGATTCACACTTCAATGCCTGCTTCCACAAAGGCTACTACAGTGGGAGCTCAGCACTTGCCACCTACGAGGCTCATTGAAGTCCCTATTTCTGAGCCCTAGTGTGATGATTAATTAATTTTATGGATCAACTTGGCCAAGCCACAGTATCTACATATTTGGTCAAACATTATTCTAGATGTTTCTCTGAAGCTATTTTTTAGATGAGGTTAACATTTAAATTAGTAGACTTTGAGTAAAGCAGACTGTTCTCCATAATGCAGTGGGCTTCATCCACTCAGCTGAAGACATTAGTAGAAAAGACTGCCCTCCCTGGGAGAAGGTGGATTTCGGACCAAAGTTCAATTCTTCCCTGCATCTCCAGCCTGCCAGCCCACCCCTGCAGATTTTAGACTTGCTGGCTTCCACAGTCACATAAGTCAATTCCTTAAAATAATGTCTCTCTGTCCCTGTGTTTCTCTCTTTCTCTTTCTCAAGATATAGATCTAGATTAGATATAGATATAGATTAGATATATAGATACACGCATTTACAACAGGATGAATATACATATACATACATATACATCCTGTTGATTCTGTTTCTCTGAAGGACCATGACTAATAGACCTAGTTAGAATTACAGAACTGACATTGACACCAAAGGACCTAAAAGAGCATCTGCAAAGCTGCATGCAGGCTGTCTTTCTAGGCCTGCGAAATTTAACCACAGGCATTTCACAGGTATCTGCAATACAACAGGTACCAAACCAAGAGACAAAAATTCAAATTCTGCCTGTGCCACTTGTTAGCTGTGTGGCTTCAGGAGGTTATCTTACCTGCCTGTGCCTTGGTGTCCTCATCTGTCAAAGAATAATGGTATCCGCCGCATAAGGTTATCATATGGATGAAATAAGTTACTACACGGAAGGTATTTAGAGGTATGCCTGCCACCAAGTAAGTCTTCATTAGAGGTTGTCATAATCCTCTCAAACACCATCTGCTTCTGCTTTCCCTTGTACTCCTGTAGGAATGTTCCAACCATATAGATATAATACCTAAAACCTCATTTTATCTTCATCTTCTTCCTTCCCCTCACCAACCCCCTTACACTCACAACCTATGGATTCATTGATTCTACATTCCCAATGTCTTCTTTATTTGTGCTTTATTTACCCAGTCTTCTATACTTCCCGACCACTTATTCTGGGCCTGACACTGGGTTTGGAAGTATTGTGGATACAAAAATAAGTAAATACTGGAAAGTGGAGGGGACTTTGCGGTCCTATTGCCCTGGCTTTGGTCATCTTCAATGCTATCCCTTGGATTATTGATGGAGCTTTTTAAGCAGTTTTCCAACTCTCCCCCTCAATCCATCCTTCATAGTGATGCTTCCCCAAACTCAGGTCAAATTGCTTCTCTTGGCCTCTAGAATAAAGTCCATGACTGTCCCCAAACAATCTTTATTTTCTTGTCTCCCAGTGTTATTCTCCACAGCGGGCCTCTGACCACTCCCCAGGAACACTGTGCTCCTCTGTGCCCCGTGACTGTGCTCCTGCAGCTGGTGCATTCCTCTGATCACCTGCCCGATGTCTTCCTTGACCTTCCCAGTCAGGAGTAACTGTTTTTCTCTCTCATAGTTCTTGTCCTTCCATTTGACATCCCAGCTGTCATTGTTTATGTAGCTGAACCCTGGCTTGAGCCCAGGCTGCCTTCACTCCAGGATCCAGGCAGGACCTGGCCAAGTCTGGAGGGCTCCCAGGGTGGGTCTGCCAAGGTTCTACTTACATGAGGGTCTGAGAAGCCTCTTGGGAAATGAACTCATCCTGAGGGAAGAGAGGGCCAAGTCACACTAACACGTTCCAAGGAAAGTCAGCCAGTGTCAGAAGAAGGGATAATTTCTAGTACGGCATGGTGTCTGCCACTCAGCTTGTCCTTGGCCACGTTCACAGGGATGCATGCCTGAGTCATGGAGTCATCCATTTGCATTTAACAAAATATTTATTGAGTGACTAATATGGACCAGGCTCTGCACTGGACATAGGCAGCAGCAGATGAAATAAGAGAGACCCAGTCCCTGACCTCAGGGAGCTTAACTTAAAGTCTAGTGGAAGTTCCAAAAAAAAAAAAAAAGAGGAGTTGCAATATAAAAAGTGAATGAGTTTTGTTTTTATTTGTCTACTTTTTTTTTTTTTACAATTTTAAGTTTTACAATTTATAATTTGAAGCATTCCTATAAAGCAGGGAAAACACAAAGTACCTCTGCTTTGTAATCAATGTGTGAGAGTATAACAGAGTTAGGGATAATGGATGCTTTTTCCTCTTGTGAAAGTGGAGGAAAGCTGTGGGAATAAATGGCTCAAATGAGCAGTGAGCTGGACCATACAGAGAAAGAGCCGGAGACGGCAGCATTTTCCAGGGTCAGAACATCCGGATGACCAGCAACCTACCACTGCACAGAGGCAGACACTATGGGGCTGGCAAAGCACTACTGGGAAGAGATGTGCCTAGAAGCCCCACAATTCTGTGTGTGTCACAATCCTGTTTCTGCCTCCAGAGAATCTTTAGAAAACCAACGTTTTTTTCATTTCTCATCACAAATTTGTCAGCTCTATGAGGACGGACACTGTGTCTCATTGTTTGGAGAATCAACCAGGAAAAAGCCAAAAGTAGGCATGAAACAAAGTTTTAGTAAATTAAAATGAATATAAAGAACTTTTCCTTTAAGTAAAATAGACAATGTATACAAGTGAATAGAGGAAGAAATGTAAAGATTGCTTATAATTGAGTGTGTTTTTTTTCTCCCTTATTATAAAGCAAATTTGGCATTCATTCTTCATTCCACTTTGGAGGCTTAAGTTACAATTAGAGTAGAGTTGGCAGGGCACAATAGCTCACTCCTGTAATCCCAGCACTTTGGGAGGCCAAAAAGGGAGGATCACTTGAGCCCAGGAGTTCAAGACCAGCCTGGGCAATATAGTGTGACCTTGTCTCTACAAAAACCTTAAAAAATTAGCCGAAAGTAGTGGCATACAAAAGTGGTCTCAGCTACTACGGAGGCTGAGGTGGGAAGATCGCTTGAGCCCGGGAGGCAGAGGTTGCAGTGAACCAAGATCGTGCCACTGCACTCTAGCCTGGTTAACACAGTGAGACCCTCTCTCAAAAATAGTAATAATAACAATAATAGAGCAGAGTTAATTTGTTGCAGGCCATTTTATATAAAAATAATACATTCTAGGCCAGGCGCAGTGGCTCACACCTGTAATCCCAGCATTTTGGGAGGCCGAGGCAGGAAGATCACCTGAGGTCAGGAGTTTGAGACCAGGCTAGCCAACATGGTGAAACCCTGTCTCTACTAAAAATACAAAAATTAGCCAGGCATGGTGGCAGGTGCCTGTAATCCCAGCTACTTGGAAGGCTGAGGCAGGAGAATTGCTTGAAGCCGGGAGGCGGAGGTTGCAATGAGCCAAGATCGTGCCATTGCACTACAGCCTGGGCGACAAGAGTAAAACTCTAGTCTCAAAAAAATAAAAATAATACATCCTCATGCTGAAAAAAATAACACCTGGTGAAGGATGGAGAGGGGAAAGTAAAAGTGAATATCACACAAACACATGGTGGAATGTTCCATGGCAGGATGGAAGTAAATTACATCATTTGGAAGTTTCAAAATAATCTTTCTTTTCCTACGTCACTATACTTCAAGCAGCATATAATAATTTCCCATAGCCTGGAAGAGAGATGGAAATAAGAACAGAGCAATAATGTGACATTCTCACGGTCATACAAGCCAGTAGGCTTCCATAATCCAGACTCATGTACGAGTCAGCCGGATTTCCAGACAAAACGATTTGATCACTGGTCCATCAACCAGAGCCTTGGCCCCTCTGAAGTTGCTCATCACAATCACCACCTTAGCACACTAGAATTTGTAAGTGAGAAGGAAGGTGGTAGCAATAGCCAGTCAACAGGGACTACAAGTTCATTTCACATTTGTTTTCTGAGAAAGCAACAAAAGAAAAATTTCAATTATGAAGATAGAGGATGTTGGTTTTTATTCATTGTCTGCTTGTACAATCACAGAGAAACAGGGCGCTGTGGGGAAAGGAAACAGAAGTGCTAAACCTGCTTCACTGCTTAGTAGCTGGATGACCTACAGCCAATCATTTTGCTTTCTGAGCTGCGGTTTTCAGCCAAAAAATAAATAATAATGATAATTCCTACCCCGCCTGGCTCACAAAACTGTTTCTGTTTTTGAAAATTCTAAACAGTGATAGACATGGATGGTATGAAGCCTACATGACTCTGCAGTATTTTACCAAAGGGTCTCAGACATTTTCTCACTGTAGTTCTCCCGACAGCCTCTCGAACATGCCACAACCTAAACTTAACCCCCACTGCTTCATACTGTCACATCATCCTTCCTCCAGCAGGATTCTCTTATGGCTGGGAAAACTGCTGAATACCCACAGATCACTCAGCACAAGGTCGAGGGCTGACTGTCAGCAAGAAGGAAAGGCAGACTGAAGAAATGAAGACCACATGAAAGGAAAGCACTTTGCTTTCATGGCTCTGCCTATAAAGTCCACATGAAGGTCAGTATGACAAAAAAAGCTCTGGCTGCTAGAGCAAGGATGGTGGAAGATGCAGAATATTTGCTAGTGTAACACACAGAGGAGAAGTGGTCCCAAGAAAAATCCAGGTGAGTGTAATGTCCTGGAGCTAGGCCACAAGCGTCCCTAGATGTGACCTCGAGCAAATCGGTCTTTCTATGCCTCAATTTCCTCATCTGCAAAGAGAAGTTTATGATAACGGCACCTACTCCATAGGCTGTTGTGAGGATTCCATGAATAAACATGGATAGAGTGCTCACTTTGGCAGCACATATACTAAAATTGGAATGATAAGAGAAGATGATTAGCATGGCCCCTGCTGAAGGATGACACACAAGTTCATGAAGCATTACATATTTTTTACCAAAAAAAAAATGTTTAAATGAAAATAAAAATATTAAATATGGATGGAGTACTTAGCACAGGGGTGGTGGTGATTTTGATCATATCTGCCAATGCTCCTGCATAAAGCTAAGAGATAGAATGGGACAGAGAAAAATATGCCCCAGGAAAAGGCAGCAGAACTCTGCTTTCTGCAGAAGGCACAATAAAGGAAGTCAGGCTTCTTCAAGGTCAGGCAACACAGAGGTCTTACAATAGCAAATTAAAAACACCAAGAGTCCAGCTTATTGAAATAGGATCATCCTTAGACTGTGAACTTTGTACAATTTCATTCAGATAGACTGAGAAGTCCTAGCAATTTCTATTAAAATTCTCATAAAGGAAAGAACCCATTCCAGTGCACACAAGGATGGGATTCAGAGGAGTGAGGCATTGACAAGAGGCTTTGAGACAATGCAATGCTAGGGCCAAAAAAGAAAATTTATCAGGGTAGATGGAGCCAGGGCAGAATGAATCCTTCTGGCCTCTCTCCACTGAAGGGCTTACTGATTTCACAGTGAGGAAAAACAAGTTAATAGTAGACCAATGTTCTTCACAGGCTTATATTACTACATTTGCCTAAGCTGACTGTCTAGTAAAGTACTCATAGCTCATTCTATACTGTGGGTTCATCAATGAATTCTTCTCTTTCTTTTTTTTTTTTTTGAGACAGAGTCTCACTCTGTCACCCAGGCTGGAGTTCAGTGGTGCAGTCTGGGCTCACTGCAACCTCTGCCCCCCAGGCTCAAGTGATTCTCGTGCCTCAGCCTCCAGAAGTAGCTGGGATTACAGGCATGTGCCACCACACCCAGCTAATTTTTGTATTTGTAGTAGAGACGAGATTTCACCATGTTAGCCAGGCTGGTCTCAAATTCCTGGCCTCAAGTGATGCTTTCGCCTCGGTCTCCCAAAGTGCTGAGATTACAGGCATGAGCCACCGCATCTGGCCTGAATTCTTTTCATTCATTAATTCATTCATCAGATATTTATGGATTGCTACAGAACACCATGTCCTGTGCTCAGGAATGAGAATCCAGTGCTCACAACTTACTGGGGGAGATAGAATGTAAGCAACTGTTACACTGCAGACTCAAGTTCGACAGAAGTGATAAGTTCCCAAGGATCCCAAGGATAGAGGACCACTGGATTGGCTAGAGGGATAGATTGTAAAGGGCCTTAAAGCCTTGTTAAGAAGTTTGGATTTTATTTTGAGGGCAATGGAAGGCCATAGAAAGATATACTGACTTAAATGCTCTACTGGTATTGTTATAAACGATCGCTCTGGGTGAACCCTGAAAATCTCATCCTGACACTGGCACCCAGAATGAACTGAATTAAAATCTCCCCTTGGAAAATCATTAACATCCAAAGATGATTCCTTTTGAGTACGGCTCTAAGTTACACTCTCCTCACCCAAAAGCTGTACAGAGGTAGCCAACAGCCTCTCTGCAGTTCAGGAAAGAAATAAAACAGTGACCCAGAAATCCTCAATCTTAAAAATATATATATTGGAATCATATTTAGGCAAGCAATGTTTTCATTCACTGTAAGATGTCTAAGATTATTCAAGATCAGAGGTGCCCAAGTCCAGTCAACTACTAAAATTTTAATGGCAAAAGGAAGGAATTTGAGTCATTTTGTGGTAAAAAATAAAAATACAGCATGCTGGATAGAGGCCAGCCCCTCATTGTAACAATCAGGGCACTGCTCTTCCTACATTTGAGGAATAGTGTCAAAATTCATGCCGGAATGTTTATTTTATTTTCTAAAACTGTTTTTAGAATGCTTTCTCTGTGTTAGCCATAAAGTCTCTACAAGGACACGGTTTAGCGGCAGCAACCCGGTTGGAAGAGATTTGTCATGAAGCTGCCTTTGGATAGCTAGTAGCCTGTATTCAGATTACATGTGTATTTGTAGTGGTGTGGAGATTATAGAGAGGAAACTAAAATACTCCTATAATGCTTGTGACATGCCACCTCTACCCCAACAAGAAATGTGATATATTTCACTCAGGGTAATAAACCTACGAGGGTGATAAAGATTACTGATGGGAGCCTTGAAGAAGTTACAGAAGATGGATCTTTGTCCCTCTAGAACCTTTAGGATTAAGGGTTCCCTTGTAACAGGGAGGGGGGAAATATGTCAGAGGTGTTTGAACCAGAGTGACTATAGAACTGGGTAAAATAAGGCTGAGCCCTACTGGGCTGCATTCCCAGAAAGTTTAGGCATTCTAAGTCACAGGATGAGACAGGAGGTCACTAAAACCTTGCTGATAAAACAGGTTGCAGTAAAGAAGTTGCCTAAAACCCACCAAAACCAAGATGGTGACAAAAATGGCCTCTGGTCGTCCTCACTGCTCATTATACACTAGACACTCTCAATAGTGCCATGACAGCTTACAAATGCCATGGCAATGTCACGAAGTTACCCTATATGGTCTAAAAAGTGGAGGAACCCTCAGTTCTTGGAATTGCCCTCCCCTTTCCAGGAAAACTCACGAACAATCCACACCTTGTTTAGTATATAATCAAGAAATAACTGGCTTCCAAGATGGCCAAATAGGAGCAGCTCCAGTGTGCAGCTCCCAGTAAGATCCACAGAAGACGGATGATTTCTGCATTTCCAACTGAGGTAACTGGTTCATCTCACTGGGATTAGTTGGACAGTGGGTGCAGCCCACAGAGGGTGAGCCGAAGCAGGGCGGGGCATCACCTCACCCAGGAAGTGCAAGGGTCAGGGGATTTCCCTTTCCTAGCCAAGGGAAGCCGTGACAGACTGTACCTGGAGAAACAGTACACTTCTGACCAAATACTGTGCTTTCCCTGCAGTCTTAGCAACCGGAAGACCAGGAGATACCTTCCCGTGCCTGGTTTGATGGGTCCCACACCCACGGAGCCTTGCTCACTGCTAGCACAGCAGTCTGAGATCAACCTACGACACTGCAGATTGGCAGGAGAAGGGGCGTCCACCATTGCTGAGGCTTGAGTAACTCACAGTGTAAACAAAGAGGCGGGAAGCGTGAACTGGGCGGGGCCCACCACAGCTCAGCAAGGCCTACCACCTCTATAGATTCCACCTCTGGGGGCAGGGCATAGTAGAATAAAAAGCTTCTGCAGACTTAAATGTCCGTGTCTGACGCATCTGAAGAGAGCAGTGGTTCTCTCGGCAGGGCATTCAAGCTCCAAGAACAGACAGACTGCCTCCTCAAGCAAGTCCCTGACCCCCATGTAGCCTGACTGGGAAACACCTCCCAGTAGGGGCCAACAGACTCCTCAAACAGGCGGGTGCCCCTCTGGGACAAAGCCTCCAGAGGAAGGATCAGGCAGCAATATTTGCTGTTCTGCAGCCTCCGCTGGTGATACCCAGGGAAACAGGGTCTGGAGTGGACCTCCAGCAAACTCCAACAGACCTGCAGCTCAGGGGGTTGACTGTTAGAAGGAAAACTAACAAACAGAAAGGAATAGCATCAACATCAACAGAAAGGACATCCACACCAAAACCCCATCTGTAGGTGAGCAACATCAAAGACCAAAGGTAGATAAAACCACAAAGATGGGGAGAAACCAGAGCAGAAAAGCTGAAAATTCCAAAAAACAGATCTCCTCCAAAGGATCACAGCTCCTCACCAGCAAGGGAACAGAACTGGATGGAGAATGAGTTTGACAAGTTGACAGAAGTAGGCTTCAGAAGCTCAGTAATAACAAACTTCTCCAAGCTAAAGGATCATGTTCTAACCCATCGCGAGGAAGCTAAAAACCTTGAAAAAAGGTTAGACGAATGGCTAACTGAATAAACAATGTACAGAAGACCTTAAATGACCTGATGGAGCTGAAAACCATGGCATGAGAACTACGTGATGCATGCACAAGCTTCAATAGCTGATTTGATCAAGTGGAAGAAAGGATATCAGTGATTGAAGATCAAATTAATGAAATAAAGCGAGAAGACAAGATTAGAGAAAAAAGAGTAAAAAGAAATGAACAAAGCCTCCAAGAAATATGGGACCATGTGAAAAGACCAAACATACGTTTGATTGGTGTACCTGAAAGTGACTGGGAGAATGGAACCAAGTTAGAAAACACTCTTCAGGGTATTATCCAGGAAAACTTCCCTAACCTAGCAAGGCAGGCCAACATTCAAATTCAGGAATGACAGAGAACACCACAGAGACACTCCTCGAGAAGACCAACCCCAACACACATAACTGTCAGATTCACTAAGGTTGAAAGGCAGGAAAAAATGTTAAGGGCAGCCAGAGAGGAAGGTCAGGTTAACCACAGAGGCAAGCCCATCGGACTAACAGCGGATCTCATGGCAGAAACCCTACAAGCCAGAAGAGAGTGGGGGCCAACATTGAACATTCTTGAAGAAAAGAATTTTCAACCCCAAATCTCATATCCAGCCAAATTAAACTTCATAAGTGAAGGACAAATAAAATCCTTTACAGACAAGCAAATGCTGAGAGATTTTGTCACCACCATGCCTGCCCTACAAGAGCTCCTGAAGGAAGCGCTAAACATGGAAAGGAACAACTGTACCAGCCACTGCAAAAACATGCCAAATTGTAAAGACCATCAACACTATGAAGAAACTGCATCGATAAATGGGCAAAATAACCAGCTAACATCAAAATGACAAGATCAAATTCAAACATAACAATATTATCCTTAAACATAAAAGGGCTAAATGCTCCAGTTAAAAGACACAGACTGGCAAATTGGATAAAGAGTCAAGACCCATTGGTGTGCTGTATTCAGGAGACCCATTTCATGTGCAAAGACGCACATAGGCTCAAAATAAAGGGATGAAGGAAGAGCTACCAAGCAAGTGGAAAGCAAAAAAAAAGCAAGGATTGCAATCCTAGTCTCTCATCAAACAGACTTTAAACCAACAAAGATAAGAAGAGACAAAGAAGGCCAGGCCACTACATAATGGTAAAGGGATCAATTCAACAAGAAGAGCTAACTATCCTAAATATATATGCACCCAATACAGGACCACCCAGATTCATAAAGCAAGGCCTTAGAAACCTACAAGAGACTTAGACTCCCACACAATAATAATGGCAGACTTTAATACCCCACTGTCAATATTAGACAGATCAACAAGACAGAAGGTTAACAAGGATATCCAGGACTTGAACTCAGCTCTGCACCAAGCAGACCTAATAGACATCTACAGAACTATCCACCTCAAATCAAAAGAATATACACTCTTCTCAGCACCACATCACACTTATTCTAGAACTGACCACATACTTGGTAGTAAAACACTCCTCAGCAAATGGAAAAGAACAGAAATAACAACAAACTCTCTCAGACCACAGTGCAATCAAATTAGAACTCAGGATTAATAAACTCACTCAAAACTGCACAACTACATGGAAACTGAACGACCACTCCTGAATGACTGACTACTGGGTAAATAATGAAATGAAGGCAGAAATAAAGATGTTCTTTGAAACCAATGAGAACAAAGACACAATGTACCAGAATCTCTGGGACACATTTAAAGCAGTGTATAGAGGGAAATTTATAGCACAAAATACCCACAAGAGAAAGCAGGAAAGGTCTAAAATTGACACCCTAACATCACAATTAAAAGAACTAAAGAAGCAAGAGCAAACACATTCAAAAGCTAGCAAAAAGCAAGAAATAAATAAGATCAGAGAAGAATTGAAGGAGATAGAGACACAAAAATCCCTTCAAAAAATCAGTGAATCCAGGAGCTGGTTTTTTGAAAAGATCAACAAAACTGATAGACCGCTAGCAAGACTAATAAAGAAGAAAGGAGAGAAGAATCAAATAGACGCAATAAAAAATGATAAAGGGGATATCACCACCAATACCACAGAAATACAAACTCCCATCAGAGAATACTATAAACACCTCTACACAAATAAACTAGAAAATCTAGAAGAAATGGATAAATTCTGGACACATACACCCTCCCAAGACTAAATCAGGAAGAAGCTGAATCTCTGAATAGATCAATAACAGGTTCTGAAATTGAGTCAATAATGAATAGCCTACCACCCAAAAAAAGTCCAGGACCAGATGGATTCACAACCAAATTCTACCAGAAGTACAAAGAGGAGCTGGTACCATTCCTTCTGAAACTATTTCAATTAATAGAAAAAGAGGGAATCCTCCCTAACTCATTTTATGAGGCCAACATCATCCTGATACCAAAGCCTGATAGAGACACAACAAAAAAAGAGAATTTTAGACCAATATCCCTGATGAACATCGATGCAAAAATCCTCAATAAAATACTGGCAAACTGAATCCAGCAGCACATCAAAAAGCTTATCCACCACAATCAGCTCGGCTTCATCCCTGGGAGGCAAAGCTGGTTCAATGTATGCAAATCAATAAACATAATCCATCACATAAACCGAACCAATGACAAAAACCGCATGATTATCTCAATAGATGCAGAAAAGGCCTTTGACAAAATTCAATAGCCCTTCATGCAAAGAACTGTCAATAAACTAGGTATTGATGGGACATATCTCAAAATAATGACAGCTATTTATGACAAACCCACAGCCAATATCATACCGAATGAACAAAAACTGGAAGCATTCCCTTTGAAAACTGGCACAAGACAAGGATGCCCTCTCTCACCACTTCTATTCAACATAGTGTTGGAAGTTCTGGCTAGGGCAATCAAGCAAGAGAAAGAAATAAAGGGTATTCAATTAGGAAAAGAGGAAGTCAAATTGTCCCTGTTTGCAGATACATGGTTGTATATTTAGAAAACCCCATCGGCTCAGCCCAAAATCTCCTTAAGCTGAGGATCAACTTCAGCAAAGTCTCAGGATACAAAATCAATGTGCAAAAATCACAAGCATTCCTATACACCAATAATAGAAAAACAGAGAGACAAATCATGAGTGAACTCCCATTAGCAATTACTACAAAGAGAATAAAATATCTAGGAATCCAACTTACAAGGGATGTGAAGGACCTCTTCAAGGAGAACTACAAACCACTGCTCAATGAAATAAAAGAGGACACAAACAAACGGAAGAACATTCCATCCTCATGGATAGGAAGAATCAATATCATGAAAATGGCCACACTGCCCAAGGTAATTTATAGATTCAATGCTATCCCCATGAAGCTACCAATGACTTTCTTCACAGAATTGGAAAAAACTACTTTAAAGTTCATATGGAACCAAAAAAGAGCCTGCAATTGCCAAGACAATCCTAAGCCTAAAGAACAAAGCTGGAGGCATCATGCTACCTAGCTTTAAGCTATACTACAAGGCTACAGTAACCAAAACAGCATGGTACTGGTACCAAAACAGGTATATAGATCAATGGAACAGAACAGAGCCCTCAGAAATAACACCACACATCTACAACCATCTGATCTTTGACAAACCTGACAAAAACAAGCAATGGGGAAAGGATTCCCTATTTAATAAAAGGTGCTGGGAAAACTGGCTAGCCATATGTAGAAAGCTGAAACTGGATCCCTTCCTTACACCATATACAAAAATTAACTCAAGATGGATTAAAGACTTAAATGTGAGACCTAACACCATGAAAACCCTAGAAGAAAACCTAGGCAATACCATTCAGGACATAGGCATGGGCAAAGACTTCATGACTAAAGCACCAAGAGCAATGGCAACAAAAGCCAAAATAGACAAATGGGATCTAATTAAACTAAAGAGCTTCTGCACAGCAAAAGAAACTACCATCAGAGTGAAGAGGCAGCCTACAGAATGGGAGAAAATTTTTGCAATCTACCCATCTGACAAAGAGGTAATATCCAGAATCTACAAAGAACTTAAATAAATTTACAAGAAAAAAAACAAACAACCCCATCAAAAAGTGGGCAAAGGATATGAACAGATACTTCTCAAAAGAAGACATTTATGCAGCCAACAGACATATGAAAAAATGCCCATCATCACTGGTCATCAGAGAAATGCAAATCAAAACCACAATGAGATACCATCTCACACCAGTTAGAATGGCAATCATTAAAAAGTCAGGAAACAACAGATGCTGGAGAGGATGTGGAGAAATACACTGTTGGTGGAAGTGTTAATTAGTTCAACCACTGTGGAAGACAGTGTGGTGATTCCTCAAGGATCTAGAACTAGAAATACCATTTGACCCAGTGATTCCATTACTGGGTATATACCCAAAGTATTATAAATCTTTCTACGATAAAGACACATGCACACGTATGTTTATTACAGCACTATTCAAAATAGCAAAGACTTGGAACCAACCCAAATGTCCATCAATGATAAACTGAATTAAGAAAACCTGGCACATATATACCATGGAATACTATGCAGCCATAAAAAAGGGTGAGTTCATATCCTTTGCAAGGACATGGATGAAGCTGGAAACCATCATTCTAAGCAAACTATCACAAGGACAGAAAACCAAACACCGCATGTTCTCACTCATAGGTGGGAGTTGAACAACAAGAACACATGGACACAGGGCAGGGATCATCACACACCAGCGCCTGTTGGGGCGTGAGGGGCTGGGGGAGGGATAGCATTCAAGGAAATACCTAATGTAATTGACAAGTTGATGTGTGCAGCAAACCAACATGGCACATGTATACCTATGTAAAAAACCTGCATGTTGTGTACATGTACCCTAGAACTTAAAGTATAATGAAAAAGAAAAGAGATTGTTCACACCTCATTCAACAATAATTTTTCTGACTAACAACCATTTTTCTCACTATGTCTCAGCAACAAGTCCTATGGCTTTCCTTTAGTAATTTTTGTTTGTTATATGTTTTTAATAAAATTTTATGTTTCCAAAAAAAAAAAAAGTAACTATAAGTATACACAATTGAGCAGCCCATGTCACTGCTCTACCTATGGAGTAGCCATTCTTTATTCCTTTGCTTTCTTAATAAACTTGCTTTCATTTAAAATATGTGCATATATATATATAACTGAAGGGGAAATTAAGGCCTAGGTACTGAAAGGAAATGTAACTGTACTTAAGTCATTTTGCCCATTGATACCTTCTTCTAATTCTCTGGGGGTAATTTCTGCAACTTGGAATGAAATGAAAGAATAAATGCCATGGCAATGTCAGGAAGTTAACCCATCATACCCGTTACCTATAGGTATGACATATTGTTTGAACCAAATATGAGGTATAATTTCAGGAGCACTGAGAGACCTCACTTCATCTGTCTCCACCCTCCAAGTCCTGCCAGGGTGCTAAAAATTGCCACATTTTTTCACTCTTTTGAGATAAGTCTTTAAACTACTATGAAATGCATATTTCATCTGGGAGGGGCAGCACTCTGAGTCATTAATAATAACAATTACTCGAATGACTTCATCGAGTTATCTGGCCTGTTTCTGGGCAGTCTCCAGGGTAGTAGTGAGGGTGCTTTTGATCCTGGAGAAAAAGCCAGAGGACGTCTGAAAGACAGACTCTGGGTGTGGACCCAGGAAGACAGTGAAAGGACCTTGCTACTTCCCCATTTTTCTAAGACTGGCCTGGTCTCATTGTTTGAGAGGTGTAGGATGAGATCATGAGAATTATTCTGGCTACAGCTAATTGCTTTATTGTAAACTTCAGGCTGTATGAAGAGGCTGGATTAAGTGTTGTGGTTACACACTCACCAACTATGTGAATTTGTATGTCTTACTTAAATTCTTGGATCCTCAGTTTCCCACCTGTTATGTAGGAATAAAAACACATGCTTCACTTAACTCAGAGAGCTCCTGTGAAAATTGGGTAAATTAATGAATGTGAAAGTATATTGCAAATAAAAGAGGGTTATGCAAAGGACCATGCTTGACCCAGCACTACTCCTTGGTATTTACTCAAAGGAGTTGAAAGCTTATTTCGACCCAAAAACCTGCACATGCACATATGTAGCAGCTTTATCCATAATTGCCAACATGTGGAAACAACTAAGATGTCCTTCAATAGAAGAATGCATAAACAAACTGTGATACATCCATATAGTGGAATATTTCTCAGCGATAAAAAGAAATGATCTCTCAAGCCATAAAAAGACACGAAGGAAACTTAAATGCATATTACTGAGTGAAAGAAGCCAATCTGAAAAGGCTACATACTGTATTATTCCAACTATATGTCATTCTGGTAAAGGCAAAAACTTGGGAGAGAGCAAAAAGACCATTGGTTGCCGAGGGCTTGAGGGGATGGAATAACTAGGTAGAGAACAAGGGATTTTTAGGGCAGTCAAACTTTTTTTTTTTTTTTTTTTGAGACGGAGTCTCACTCTGTCTCGCAGGCTGGAGTGCAATGGCATGATCTCAACTCACTGCCATCTCCGCCTCCTGGGTTCAAGCCACTCTCCTAACTCAGCCTCTTGAGTAGCTGGGATTACAGGCACATGCCACCACACCCAGCTAATTTTTGTATTTTTAGTAGAGATGGGGTTTTGCCATGTTGGCCAGGCTGGCCTCAAACTCCTGACCTCATGTGACCCACCCCCCTTGGCCTCCCAAAGTGCTGGGATTACAGGCATGGTCCACCATGCCCAGCCAGTTAAACTATTCTGTATGAAGTATAAGGGTGGATACATGCTGTTACCCATTTTTCAAAACCCATAGAATGTACAACATATACAGTGAAGCCTCGTGTGGACTTCAATTAGTAATAATATGTCAAAGAACCATGTTATTCCTGATTTAAACCCTCCAGTGGCACCCTCTTGCCCACCAAATAAAGTCCACACTCTGCCCAGTAGCATCCAAAGCTCTCATCACCTGGTCTCTTGCTCTATCCATCCTGGATTACTAGAAGCTCCCTAAGCAGACTGTCATGTTCATCTGTCGTTCTTGCCTGCCCAACATCTGCTTTTCCTTCTTCTGCAGATATCACCCATTTCCCTTCAGGAAACAGCAGCCAATGCACCTTCAGTTTCTGTGGTTTGCTTAGGGCTGCCTGGCCATACTCACTTTCAGGACTGGGCATAGGATTCAAGTCAGTTCAATCAGAGATAACTAGAAGCTTTAACCTGAACCATTAGAAGAAAATAAACTATCATTCTGCTGGGGCATCTCAGAGCCTACATTTAATATTGAGTGTTTGTGGCCATCCCCACTACCTCCTGGGAAGAACATGCCTAAATGAAGTCAACAGAGTAGAAAGTAGTGTTAAGAGAAGGCAAGAAATTTGGGCCAAACAACATCCATGGAATGCTTGAATCCAGCTGAATCTGTATTTCCCACCCTCTCTGATTTTTGAGTTATAGGATCCAATAAATTCACTCTTTATGCACAAGCCGAGTTAAATTGGTCTTCTATTATCTTCTAACTGTCACACACAGGGAGGATGCTTTTCTATGCTTCATTCTGTTTCTTCCCCTCACTATGCCCTAGCAGTGTGACGAGCACGTTCTCACTCTTCAAGATCCAGTTTTCGTACTAATACCACCTCTCTATGAAACCTTTCTACATCATTCTTCAATTTCATCCTACTTAGAAAAGGACCCACTTTCCCTGGAGCCCCCACAATACTCTGCACAGGCTTCCATCAGAGTATGAGCCATCCTAATTGTACTTCATTGTCTATGTGTCTGTCTCAGCCACCAGACTGTAAGCTCCTCGATAAGGGTGTAACTTAGCATCTCCTGCACTTTCCTAGTTTTTTGGGGCAGGGAAGACAGGGTCTCACTCTGTCACCCAGGCTGGAGTGCAAAGGCACAATCACGGCTCACTGTAGCCTTGACCTCCTAGGCTCAAGGGATCCTCCTGCCTCAGCCTCCTAAATAGTTGGGACTACAGGTGCATGCCACTGCCTCCAGCTAATTTTTCTCTTTTCTTGTAGAGAGAAAAGGGAGGACCTAGGTTGGTCTGGAGCTCCTGAGCTCAAGCAATGCTCCCTCAACAGCCTTCCAAAGTCCTGGAATTACAGATGTGAACCACTGTACCTGGCCCCAAATTCTTGTTGAATGAAAAAGACATCAAAACAGAAGGGCGTAGTGGGTAGAGGAATGATACCAACAAGTAGGCAAGAAAGCACAGGCGGAACTGGGGGCAAGTATCTAGTTTGGAACAGAACTGAGCCAAAGTAAGATGGAGGAAGGGTGATACCCAGGCAAATGCGATGCACACTCCAGACACTTGCACTGCTCTAGAAGCCGTCCTTTCTCTCTCTCACATCTCCTTCATCCACCACCTTGGATCTTTGCAGGTTCACTTTTTGTATTAAAACCCCCATGTGGCAGAGACAGCTAGTCATGCTTCAGTATCTGTTCTCTTCTCCTATGGAACTAGAACCCCTGATAAAGCTACATTTCCCAGTCTCCCATGCAGCTTGGTGTGGCCATAGGACCATTTTGTAACCAATGTAATTTGAGCTGAAGTGGAGCTAATGTAGTTTGAATATATGTCCCCACCAAGTCTCATGCAGAACTGTAATCCACAAGGTTGGAAGTGGAGCCTGGTGGGAGGTGTTTGGGTCAGGGGGGTGGATCCCTCATGGCTTAGTGCTGTCCTTGAGATAGTCAGTGAGTTCTCACAGATCTGGTTGTTTAAGCATGTGGCACCTTCCCCCACCACCCTCTCTCTCTCTTGCCCCCATCGTGTGAGATACCTGGTCCTTCTTCAACTTCCACCATGATTGTAAATTTCCTGAGGCCTCCCCCAAAGCGGATGCCAGCGCTAGGCTTCCTGTACAGACTGCAGAACCAAGAGCCAATTAAACCTCTTTTCTTATAAGTTACCCGGTCTCAGGTATTTCCTTATAGTAAGGCAAGAACAGCTTAATACAGATGCCTACAACTTCCTGAAGAGCAGACAATTGTCTTTTTTTTTTTTTTTTTTTTTTTTGAGATGGAGTCTTGTTCTGTCGCCCAGGCTGCAGTGCAGTGGCACCATCTTGGCTCACTGCCTCTGGGGTTGAAGCAATTCTCCTGCCTCAACCTCCTGAGTAGCTGGGATTACAGGTGCATGCTACCACGCCCAGATAATTTTTGTATTTTTAGTAGAGATGGGGTTTCGCCATGTTGGCCAGGCTGGTCTCGAACTCCTGACCTCAAGTGATCTGCCTGCCTCGGCCTCCCAAAGTGCTGGGATTACAGGCATGAGCCACCGCGCCCGGCCTATAACTGTCTTCTTTCTCATTTTCCCCTTCCCACCAGCCAGATGAGTGAGCCATCCTGGACTATGTCGATGAGGACAAAATGAAAGGAGCCTGGTCCCTGAGGCCACCAAACAAGTGCTGGACTATTACACTGGAACAGTTACAGGAGACAAAAAGTAAACTAACTTATTGAAGCCACTATTATTTGGGGCTGTCTGTTTCACCTGGCAAATGCTTATCCTTCTATAACCAAGGTGCCCCTCTTCTGGGTCTCTCTTATGTTTTATTTTGTTTTTTCCTCCTGTTGCTTTCAGTTGAAACTATCAGAATTGGGAGTTTCCAGTAGCCAAAAGGAGTAGTTACAAGTAAAATTCACAGTGGTTTTCCATCTTCTAGTCTTTCAACTATCTTCAAGCAATCACATATATCCACAAAAATCCCCCATTGCTCTGCATAAACAGATGGGGTCCTAAAGCATATTTGCCTAAAATATATTAATGAGATTATCTAATCTGAGTTCTAACAAACCAACAAATCCAAAGTTGTGTATGACATCATTCATTTATAGTACAGTCATGTGTCGTTTAACAACGGGAATATTTTCTGAGAAATTCATCATTAGGCAGTTTCATCATTGTGCAAACATCATAGAGGGTACTTACACAAACTTAGATGGTATAGCCTACTACACAGCTAGCCTGTTTGGTATAGCCTAATGCTCCTGGGCTACAAACCTGTACAGCATGTTACTGTACTGAATACTGTAGGCAACTGTAACACAATGGCAAATATTTATATATTTAAACATAGAAAAAATACAGTAGCCAGGCGCGATGGCTCATGCCTGTAATTCCAGCACTTTGGGAGGCCGAGGTGGGCAGATTGCCTAAATTCAGGAGTTTGAGACCAGCTTGGCCAGCATGGTGAAACCCCATCTCTACTAAAAATACAAAAATTAGCCAGCCATGTGGCAGGCACCTGTAATCCCAGCTACTCGGGAGGCTAAGGCAGGAGAATCACTTGAACCTGGGAAGCGGAGGCTGCAGTGAACCGAGATCATGCCACTGCACTCCAGCCTGGGCAACAAGAGCAAGACTTCATCTCAAAAAAAAAAAAAAAAGAAAAAGTATGGTAAAAGTACAGTATAAAAGTTTTCTTTTTAATACATAAATTTTCTATAAGAGTACACTTATATAGGGCACTTACCATGAATGGAGCTTGCAAGAGGGGAAGCTGCTTTGAGCAACTCAGTGAGTGGCAACTGGATGTGAAGGCCTAGGACACTACTGTAGATTACCATAGACTTTTTATAACACTCTGCACTTAGGCTACACTAAATATTAAAAAAAAATTCCATCTTCAATAATAATAAATTAACCTTAACTTATTGTAACTTTTTTACTTTATAAACTTAAATTTTTTAACTTTTTGACTATTTTGTAATAACACTTAGCTTGAAAGATAAACTCATTATACAATGGAACAAAAATATTTTCTTCTTTTATATTATTATTCTATAAGCTTGTTTCTATTTTTACATTTTATTTTTTACTTTTAAATTTTTTTGTTGAAAACAAAGACACAAACAAACACACACATTAGCCAGGCCTACACATGGTTGGGATCATCACTATCACTGTCTTCCATTTCCACATCTTATCCCACTGGAAGTCTTTGAGGTAAATAACACACAAGGAGCTGTAGTCATCTTCTATGATAACAATACCTTTTTCTGAGTACCTCCTGAAGGAGCTGCCTTAGGCTATTTTACAGTTAACTTTTTTCTTAGAAGGAATATACTCAAAAATAAAAATATCCCTGGTAGTCTAGTGTTTAGGACTTTTTAAAAGGCCAGGCACAGTGGCTCACACTTTTAATCCCAACACTTTGGGAGCCTGAGGCAGAAGGATCACTTGAACCCAAGAGTTCAAGACCAGCTGGGCAACATAGCAAGACCTCCATCCCTACCAAAAAAAAAAAAAATTAGCTGGGCATGGTAGCCCGCACCTGTGGTCCCATCTACTTGGGAGGCTGAGATAGGAGGATAGTTTGAGCCCAGGAAGTAGACGCTGCAGTGAGCTATGATTGTGCCACTGCACTCCAGCCTGGGTGACAGAGTGAGACCCTGTCTCAGAAAAAAAAGAAAAGAAAAATAAAATAACCATAAAAAGCATAGTAAATACATGAACCAGCAACATAGTCATTTATTATCATTATCAAGTATTATGTACTGTACATAATAGTATATGCTATGCTTCATATGGCTGGCAGCATAGTAGGTTTGTTTACACCAGCATCACCGCAAACATAGGAGTAATGCATTATGCTTTGACACTAAGAAGGCTATGAGGTCACTAGGTGATAGGAATTTTTCAGCTCCATTATAACCTTATTGGACCGCTGTCATATATGCAATCCCTCATTGACAAAAATGTGGTATGCAGCACATGACTGTAGTTAAAAATTGAAAACACTCAATATCTAACAACAGGAGAATGGTCCAGTAAATTTGAGTGTATCTGCTGTGTTTCATATAATGTAGCCATTGAAACTAATGCTAATAAAAAGTACAACATAACATGGGGAATTAGTACAGTGAAAAGAGAAAAAAGCAGGATACAAAATCATAAACACAGTATCTCAAGGATGCAAACACAATTGGAAAGAGAACAATAGTCATGACCAAACACTATCATGTATTAAGCACTTACTGAATGTCAGGCATGCACTGTACGTTCATTTTCTCATTTAATCCACAAGAACCCTATGAAGTAAATACAATGATTATTTCAATGCTATTAATGAGAAGACAGACTCACAGAGATTAAGCATCATTCCCAAAATTTCATGGAACACTAACTCAGCTGTATCTGACACTCACTAGGCTATGCTGCCAGCCAACTTTTTCATGAGGTTTTTGAATGATCTTTGCAGAAACCACGTTCTATTTTTCTTTAGTTTCTAATTTTTCTAAAAGTAGCATGATTATCTTTCTAATTAAAAACATAAACACAAAATAAGTCTTTTTTAAAAAAAGAAAGAACAAGTACCGCGCGCACACACACACACATACAAACACACGCACACAACATGTTTTGCTTTTTCCTAAGATGTTGTATCAGAGCAGCACCACAGAGCCTCAGAAAAGAGATGGTAGAAGTAAGCTGACAACTGAGTGGGATTAGAATTCTCACATTTCTTCATTCACCTTTCAACAAAGTCCCACTGGAAACACTATGGGTCAGTAGCACTTAACCTTTGGTGGGGTCATGATTCCCTTGAGAATTTGTGGAAAATCATGGACCCTCTTCCCAGGACGATGCAAGAAGCATGTCATGGATACACACACACACACACACACACACACACACACACACACACATTTTGCATACTATTTCAGAAGATTAAACAGATGCAATCACGCCTATCAATGTGTCCCAGGTAAAAGGCCCTGACATAAAATAATATAAGAAGTCAACTTTTGTCTGATTTACTGAAGCTTGACTAAAGCTCTGAAACTGCTGTCTACCTAATACATCATAGCTGGCAGGTTGTTCGCTATGATGCCTTACCATCAGCAGGGATGTGCTCTGAGGTATTTCTTGGTGGAAAGATGGATTGCAGGAGATTTATCCACATTCTTGACTGATTCCTGATGGCCAACAGTGTCTGGGGATGGTCAGAGGGAAACTAATAGGCCTACATGAATATGAACTTAAGAGGAAAGTCATGAAAACAACTCAAGTGTAACTCCTAGGAGTGTATCCCTTTACGGTTTACAAAGCATTTTCATACCCTTGATCTCAATTGACCCCTCACAACCCTATGAAGAGAGAGCATTGGCTCTATTTTACATGTAACCCAGGTCTGCACTCCCAGCTTCATCTACAAGAGCTGACTCTATTTTGGCCAACCCCCAAACTTGATGCAAATTCAACCCCTTCATTATTTTAATGAGAAATTAATTTGTTTAATTAAGCATATTGTAATTTTTCTAGATTTTATTTAATATTCACGGAAGCCCATGGAAGGGTCATCTCACATGGAACACAGCTTTACAAAATCTCAATTAAACCCTTCTCAAGTAAGTCTCTCCTCCTGCCCCACTCACCAGATACCCTCTTCCCACTGCAATCCTGCATTACATAGAGTTGCTTCCTTCTTCTGTATGAGCAGGAGCCTTATTAAAGCATCTTATCAACAAGGCTGATGTTGTGGACATTTGTGGGTTTGTTGTTTCAATTTGTTTTTGTTTCTTTATCTTGTCACCCGGCATCCACTTCCCTTTCTTGTAGTAACAACCCACACACCTCCCCCACTCCCAGTCCATGTGATTAGATGATGAAGAAGAGCTGATGTCACGATCATATGACTCAGGCCATGTCAATCACAACCTTAGATTCCCCCGGCTACTGGGATCAGTTTGGGAACAGATGGGTGACTCCTGAGATGTAAGGAAGCCCCATGAAACTCTCACTGAGGCATCTGGGAGAGAAGATTTGCTTCAACCAGATTTGAAGCTGAGAGTATATAAAATCTAGAGCCGTTGCCACCACTGTACAATAAATGGAGACTGAACTCAAAGCCACACACCAGAAGATAGTTGAAAAATAATGTGAAACAAAGTGCTGATGACATAATTTGGGTCTGATCCAGCATGTCTCAAGCCAGCTGCAGTGAGCTGAATGGTGGCCACAAAGATAGGTCTACATCCTAATCCCTGGAACTTACAAATGTTACCTTAAATAGAAAAAGTGAATATTATACGGCAAAAGATGGGATTGAGTTGATGGTCTTGTGGGGAGGAGCTTATCCTGGATTATCCAAGCCCTAAATGCAATCCCATGCTTCCTTATAAGCCAGAGATTACACACAGACAGACAGAAAGGCAATGTGAAGATGGAGACAGAGTTTGGGACACAGCCACAAACACTCCAATTTTGGTTCCAATGAACTCAAATGTTGAGCAGAAGCTAAACAGGCAAATTCCTTCAGAGCCTCCAGAGGGAGCACTACCCTGCCAGTACCTTGACTTCAGACATCTGGCCTCCAGAACTGTGACAGCACACATTGCTATTGTTTTAAGCCACCAAGGTTTTGGTAATTTGTTACAGCAGCCCTAGCAAGCTAGTGCACCTGCTGTGTCCCTGGACTTTTCATTTACTGAATTCCCCTTTTTTTGTAGGCCATTTTAAGTTGAGCTTTTTTTGGTTACTTGTTACAGAAAAACTTTTATTTTATTTTTAATTTATAAAAGAAAAGTTGAATAGCCTATAAAATATTAATCTCTGTGAAAGTAGTAAGACAAATGCATGAACATTACTTTAGAGCTTCTTTTCCATAGATGTTGACCTACTGGAACAAGAGCAAAACCTACATGAAATGAATGGTCGTAAGCTTCTCCCTAGGTTGGTGTCCAGTAATAATGCCTTTTAAGGCCATTGGAGACTTCTGTAAGACACATGCGTTTGTCACCACAAATGGCTCCACATCCACATTGTCTGTTTTTAGACGCCCCATTTGAATTAAGTCTGAATATGCCATGCATATAGCCCTAACAAATGTGTTTTTTTCCCCAAAGGTAGATATTAGAGAATGATATGGTTTGGCTGTGTCCCCAACCAAATCTCATCATAAATTGTAGCTCCCATAATTTTCACATGTTGTGGGAGGGACCCGGTGGGAGATAATTAAATCATGAGGGTGGTTTCCCCCAAACTGTTCTCATGGCAGTGAATAAGTCTCATGAGATCTGATGGTTTTATAAGGGGTTTCCGTTTTCACTTGGATCTCATTTTCTCTCTTGCCTGCCACCATGTAAGATGTGCCTTTTGCCTTCCACCATGATTGTGAGGCCTCCCTAGCCACATGGACTGTGAATTCATTAAACTCCTTTTCCTTTATAAATTATCCAGTCTCATTTGTGTATTTATCAGCAGCATGAAAACGAACTAATACAGAGAATGTGGAATTTGTTTTCATTGATTGTTAAAGTGCAACAAGTTCTCCATCCATGTTTTTGCTGACTGCTGACAACACTTTAAGACTCCTCATGTGTGAAGTAAGAGTTTCACTGAGATAGTGCCTACATTTTCTATTCTGTTAAAAGACATCTATTATTTCCAGGGTAGTATTGCTTTTCAGTATGACAGCAAAATACACCATCCCATCATGAGTTATTTTATTGCAGCCAACGTCAAGGTAGTGTAGGCTACTGTTCAGATGCAGGGCATCACAGCTCCTAAGGCAGGGGATTTCAGAAAGCACTTTCTATATAATAGCAGGAAACCATCTGTTCTGAAGCAACCCATTTCAATCACTGCTTAATATTCAGAGTCAATTATATAAACTGTGGATTAGAAAAGGAAACAAGTAGTAGCCAACAAATAATTTTCATAATAGAACAGAAATGATTCCAAACATTTAATTCAACATGTCTCTTAATCAACTGTGAAAAATTATGCAGCCTTGTGCATTTATCTTCACCATGATAAACAATATTCTTTTGCACTTATTGAAGAAAATCTTTCTCCAGGAATTTGGTGTGCAAAATGAACAGCCAATTGCCTCTCCCATTGGCTGCATTAGAGAGTGGGAAGCAAGAAGTTGTCTTTGTCTCCTCAGTTGGCACAACCTAGGAGCTTAGTAAATGCAGCCAAGACACTGGGCAGGCACAGGCTCGTGTTTAACTTGGAGCCACTGCTTCCCTACATTCAATCTGGTCCGTGTTGCTAGACTTTTTCCCAGGCATCAGGGCACATCTATGTTTTTCAACACCAGCTGAGGAAGGGTCGCATATTCTTTCCAGTTGGGATTCCTGGGCCTCATGCAAATAAGGGGTTATCCCCTGAGAGTGCTTTAAGACAATTGTAAAGTTCTCCTATCCCTCTAGGGAAGTTTAAGAGGCTTGTCTACTCCTAGGACATGTGGCACCTCTGGGTCTGAAGTCCAGTTCAGCCAAGATAGTTTCACAGATTATTGAGCTTTTCAAAGCTTGTGTGAGAATCGGAATGAGCAAAGCACAAACACACTCATAAACAACCTAATAGGGGAAATAAGAAAATTACCTTCCTGAATGTTTAAAAAATGGTTATAGCAGGCACTTGTAAAATCTAGATAAAAGGTAGATATGCTTGCACCTGAAACTGTGTTTTCCTCAAAACATCTATTTTCATCTTAACAATGGTTAAGATGAGACAATGGTTGCCTGTACATGGAAGATAGCTTTCTACTTCTTTAACTTTTCAAGTTTTAAATAATGTACACTTAGTACTTTCATAATCACAAAACTTTTCTGTTTTGTTAAAATTCCACAGTGTACTTTGGGAGGCCGAGGAGGGTGGATCATGAGGTCAAGAGATTGAGACCATCCTGGCCAACATGGTGAAACCCCGTCTCTACTAAAAATACAAAAATTAGCCGGGCATGGTGGCAGGTGGCTGTAGTTCCAGCTACTCGGGAGGCTGAGGCAGGAGAATGGTGTGAACCCAGGAGGTGGAGCTTGCAGTGAGCCGAGATCGCACCACTGCACTCCAGCCTGGGCAATAGAGTGAGACTCCATCTCAAAAAAAAAAAAAAAATTCCACAGTGTAGGTCCTCAATTTAAACACAATTGGCATATCTGGCATAACATACAGTATGTATAAATAGGAAAACAAGGGGAGAGCTGGCATGTGATCATTTTACAGCATTTCTAAACATATCCTAATATTCTAGAGCTGGATCATGGATAGGCAAGCTATCAGAAGTTGCAAAATAGGAGCTGAGCCCTGGGGGAGAGGTGTGCACATGTGGAGCTCCAGACCTCCGCACTGTTCCAGGCATCTTCTCCAGCCCACACCCAGGGGTGCTGGGATAGAACAGATCTGGGGATGGACTCCCCACTGCTTGATAAGGACATAAGAACTCCCTAATGAGGACATTTTTGCCTAAGAAGAAAAGCAGAATAAAGATGCAAATTAAACCAACAATGAAATTTGTTGTTGTTGTTCTTGTTGTTGTTTTGAGATGGAGTCTCACTCTGTAGCCCAGGCTGGAGTGCAGTGGCACGATCTTGGCTCACTGCCACCTCTGCCTCCCAGGTTCAAGCAGTTCTCCTGCCACAGCCTCCTGAGTAGCTGGAATTACAGGCGTGCACCATCATGCCCAGCTAATTTTTGTATTTTTGGTAGAGATAGGGTTTCACCATGTTGGCCAGGCTGGTCTCGCACTCCTGACTTCAAGTGATCGCTCTGCCTTGGCCTTCCAAAGTGCTGGGATTACAGGTGTGAGCCACTGCACCCGTCCATGAAATGTTATTTTTCTTCATTCCATTAGATTGGCAAAATGTGTAATGTCGAAAAATATCAGATGTTGGGGAGGACTTGAGGAAATGAGTTTTCTTGACAGTGTTGGCAGGAGCATATGTTGGTATAGCCACTTTGGAGGGCAATTCGGACTATACTATTAATCTATAAACTATACACACATGCCCCTCAACCATGTCAAGTGCAGGGTTGATTATTCTAAGAGTAATGCAAACCATATTTTTTAATCTGTACTGTCACAAAAGCACAAAAGTAAAGATCATGAAAATTATAATGTATACAACTGACAATTTGCTGAAATTAGAAAACCCCAACAGATCATGGTAACTCCCTTTTGAGAACAGAGGTTAAGTGGTGGATGGGAGCCAACCAACCAGTATTATAGCATCCACCTTAGAGAAACACCCACATATGTGTATAAGTTTTTCATTGGAGCACTGTTTACAATAGAATGAAAACCGCCTTTAAAAGTTCATCAGTAAGGCCAGGAGCGGTGGCTCATGCCTGTAATCCCAGCACTTTGGGAGGCCAAGGTGGGCGGATCACAAGGTCAAGAGATTGAAACATCTTGGCCAACATGGTGAAATGCTGTCTCTACTAAAAATACAAAAATTAGCTGGGCGTGGTGGCACATGCCTGTAATACCAGCTACTCGGGAGGCTGAGGCAGAAGAATCACTTAAACCTGGGAGGCGGAGGTTGCAGTGAGCCAAGATCACACCACTGCACTCCAGCCTGGTGACAGAGTGAGACTCCGTCTTAAAAAAAAAAAAAAAAAAAAAAAGGTTCATCAGTAGGGAAATGCTTAAATTACAATGGCTTCACACTATGTGTCAGTAAAAGAATGAAGCAGATGTTTGTGTCCAGATGTGGGAATATCTCCAAATTATGTTATTGAATAAATATTTTTCAACAAACTATAGAATGATAAGTACAATTGATACATATACAATTGATATATATATTTATCTAGATCTAGATAAATGTGTATAAACTAATTTTTAAAGTTCTAAAAACATACATACTAAAATGACAGCAACCTCTGGGGAAGGGACTGAGAAAAAGGAGGTCAAAAGGGATGTTAACTTTACCTGTAATGTTCAATTTTAAAATTTACAATGAAAATGTATTCATGTATTTTTATGCAATTTATATGAACAACATTTTTAAAAGAAAGAAGCTCTTACAGAGAAAGTCACAAACCCATGTGGGATATGCTCACCAAGAAACTCCATGTATTCACAGGTTCACTTCTTTGGTGCTCTCCTCAGGATACTTGAAAAGCCATATTTAGCAAAGAGTTTCAACTTTTGCTCACCTGTCTGTTCTTAACTTTTATTTTAGTTTCAAGGATATATGTACAAGTTTGTTATATAGGTAAATTATGTCTTGTGGGTGTTTGGCATATAGATTATTTCATCACCCAGGTCATGAGCATGGTACCCAACAGGTAGTTTTTCAACCCTCTCCTTCCTCCCACTCTTCACTCTCAGGTAAGCTCCAGTGGCTCTTGTTCTCTTCTCTGTCTCCATGTGTACTCAATGTTTAGCTTCCACTTATAAGTGAGAACATGTGGTATTTGGTTTTCTGTTCCTGTGTTAGTTTGCTTAGGATAATGGCCTCCAGCTCCATCCATGTTGCTGCCAAGGTCATGATCTTGCTCTTTTTATGGCTGCATAGTATTCCATGATGTATATGTGCCATAGTTTCTTTACCTAGCCTACCACTGATGGATATTAGATTGATTTCATGTCTTTGCTATCGTGAATAGTACTGCAATGAACATACATGTGCATGTGTCTTTACAGTTGAACGATTTCTATTCCTTTGGGTATGCACCCCATAATGGGATTGCTGGGTCGAATAGTAATTCTGTTTTAAGTTTTTTGAGAAATTGCCAAACTGCTTTCCACAGGCTCGCCTGTGTTTTAATCCTTTTAAACTTCTCCTGCTTCTTTGGTGAAGAAAGCTTCATATCACGAGAAAGAGAAGCAGGGGGAAAGAGGAAGAGAGGGAGCAGGAGGGAAGAGGGCAAGGAGGAAGAGGAAGGAGAAGGGGAAGGTAAGGCAGGGAAAACCATACCTCTATATTCCCCATGAGAAAAAAGGGTCCTTATCTTAGAATCCTGGCCCTATAACTTAATAGCTGTGTGAACTTGAGTGAGTATCTTCATTTTTGGATTCTCAGTTTTCTCTCCTGTAAAGCAGAGAGTTCATAAGAAAGCCTAGGTAAGTTGTCTAGCGTGTGGCTTGGGTGGGGACTGCACTGTGTACTTTTCACAATATAGATATGTAGAGAGTAAGAGCTGAGGCCCTGAGAGCAAGGTGCTGGCTGGCTCTTCTACATTGGAATATGACTAATTCCGTCTGATGGAGGCTGACCAAGTCCTCCCATCTGTTATTTAACAAAGAAAAGGAAACAAGATTTCATCAGTGAGCCAAACCTCAGATCTGCAGAAATCCATCGATGCAAGATGAATTAATTCTGTATGTTATTATTATCATTAGACTTTATATTTATAGCACTCAACCATTTACAAAGCACTTTCCTTTCCATTACCTAATATGATTCTCACCACAACTTAAGGTTATCAAGGCAGATGATGTTTGCATTTCCATAGGAGGAAATTAAGGCTGAAAAGTTAAGGGGTTTTCCAGGGTCACTTAGGAGTTGAGCAGAGATTCAAACTCAGTTTCGTTCAGTACAAAGCCTATACTCCTTCCACTGCACCTCTGTGCCTTACCCTAACCATTGGTCCCTCAATGATATGAGCAAATCTGTGCAGGTGGAGTGGGTGTGGGACAGGCAGGAGAGTAGGTGAGGAGAGTAAAGGGCAATTGTCTCTCCTTCTCCTTCTCCTCCTCCTCCTTCTCTTTCTCCTTCCATAATCATTTCTTGATTCCCCCTCCCACTACCAGTTTAACACAGGAAACAGTCTGCTTTATAGTTACTCTATAGAAAGGACCGCAAATACCAACTTCCTTTATGGGAAAATTCTCTCAACTCAACCTTTTATATAATCCAAAACCATTAGGCTTGAATCATCCTTCTCTGCTGCATTAAGATATCATTCATGTCAGGTCCTTGTCTGCCTTTTTCCCTGATAAAGTTGCCCCTCCATCTCCAGCTCTCTGCTCCTTTTACGAACATGAGAAACAGGGGCATTTTTATACTCTATATTGGTTTGGGGTCCTTCTGAGCCCTGAGGGAATATTCTGAGATCATGCTTTCCCTGTGAATCTATTGAAATCGATTTTCCTTCTTCCTACATGTGAGGTGAACTGTGATTTCTTGGCCTAGGTGGCTTTGTTCCTGGCCAAAAATAAAAGAGGAAATTTGATCAGGAAAAATCATTTGGGCTGGTTTTCAAGAACCTGGTGAAAAGTTTCAGAATTTGCATGTTCTCAGATGGAGTCACACACAGACTAAGAAGAAAAAGGAGGAGGGAGAGAATGAAGAGGAGGAGGAGAGATAAAAAGAAGAAAAGAAACCAAAAAAAAGAAACACTTTTATATCAGGAAATGTTGACATTTTTAAAACAACATATTTTTTCCTGCCTGTGAACCTTAAGCTATGCTTCCAAATCAAGACCTAGAAAAGTCAGCCCAGAATCATGTTTTCGTAGTATCTCCTGCATCAATAATATATTAAAGTAATGTAAATCCTCTGTCTGAAATATGGGAAGGAAAGACAAAAAATTTTCATCCAGGTGACTTGGATAAGATCGGGAACCAAATACCACAATGTCTTTACAAGCCCCTTTCCACGATATTACTAAGAAAAGTGGCTTTCACTGCCAAAGCAAAGAACTGAAGTAGTTTGCTGCATAATTTAGATTCACTTGGCCTAAATTCATCAAGGAATTGAGAATTTGGGGGCGTTGGAGGCAGTAGACTTTCTTTGCCTGGGGAATAGTCTCACTTTTCACCTTCATTTGTCACTAGATATAAAATTCCTCTAAAAGCTCAAGTAAGCAGGCATACAAGTAGCTTACTGATATTTCTGTATTATTATTGCTCTGTAAAATTAACATTTATTGAAGATTAACTATGTGCTACAGACTTCACATATATCATCTCATTTCATTCTCATGAAACATCCTCAGGAAAAAAAATATATCTCAACCATGATTTTCAGTTAAGGAAACTGGTATTCCAAGAGAGAATCAGTAAGCTGCCCAAGATGACAGAGCCAGTAGGTGGAAAAGAAAGGATGTGAATTCACCTCTATCTCATACACACACACACATACACACACTTACACACACACCATTTTGTTTGGATTCATCAAAAAGGGAGCACATGAAAAAACTGCTGGGAAATCTATGTGTGATAAAATATAGTGAGTTTGCTTTTACAATGATTACTGGGAGGAATTTATATTTGTAAAGTGAGTTGTCATGAAATCAGGTGATGAATTCGATCTATACATTCATGAAAGAGATTTCTTATTCATTCTGTTTTATACACTTAGAAAATGAGTTTAGTCAGGAGATCAAGACCATCCTGGCTAACAGAGTGAAACCCCATCTCTACCAAAAATACAAAAAATTAGCTGGGTGTGGTGGCATGCATCTGTAATCCTAGCTACTCAGGAGGTTGAGGCAGGAGAATCCCTTGAACCAGCGAGGCGGAGGTTGCAGTGTGACAAGATCGGGCCACTGCACTCCAGCCTGGGTAACAGAGCAAGACTCCGTCTCGAAACAAAATGAGTTTAGGTGACTTGGCTTAGGGAGTCATTAGTTAAATGAGAACTATGACAAAAGGTACCTGAGCTTTTGGCTCTCTGGCCTTGTTTAAAGCATGTTATGGGTTATCATTATAAAAGACAACCCTCGCCCCATCATGGATATGTAGACTTGGATATTGTAGATTGTGGTTTTGGTGACTGTTTTGTTGACTGATTGTTAAATTTAGCTTAAGATAGAGGAAGAGAGCTTCCTCAATGCAGTGTAGTAGTTAAGAGAACAAACCTTGGGATCAAACAGACTGAATATGAATTCACATTCTACCTCTTAATGGTTATGTGCCCAGGACAAGTTATTTAATACCTAGAGCACCCATTTTCTCATTCGAAATGTGGGAATGAGAAAAGTATCTACCTCACTGGTTTACTGTGGAGGTGAGTTAACTCATGTAACCCACTTGTTCACAAAACCTAACATATTTTAGTTATCATTAGAGGCACACTCAGGCAAAAGAAATATCAGGCTTTTGAAAAATGCACAGTGGGCATACCTTCTTAAAACTAAGTGTGAGTATTAAAATCATTTTTCCAGAAAAAAGTAATCTCTCAGGTATAGTATCCCTGGTGTATTGGCGAAATTACAGTTGATGTTGAGGTTACTTTTTATATTCATCATTTCCCTTTCAGAAAACTCAACGCACAAGCCACCAATACAAAGCACCAGTCATCCTGCGTTAGATAAAATTGAAGATGGAGAAATGTTTTCCTCCTTCTCATAAACAATCATGTCACAAATGTATTTAAATCTGACCTACACTAGTCAGCAATTTTACTGTTTCCACTGTGGCTCTATTAAATACCTGGTCACCATCCTATATCTAAAAATATTATATAATCAGAAATCAATCTCATACAGCTCCCTATCAAGAATGGATAACAATGACGTTAAGTATTCCTTCCATGATTTACTTTGGCATAATTAATAATAACTTTATTAGACATTAGTTATTAGACAAGCTTACAGAGAATATAATATACTTACCGTCAGTAGATTCTAGACTCAAAAATTATTAAATAAATGAAGGAAGAAAGGAATAAATGAGTAAATAAATAAATAATATAAGAATGGCAGAATTCTCCCCTATCCAAAAACATGTTTTCAGGGACAAAACAAAGAACATTAGCGCCACCTCGAGGCAGAAGTCTATTTGAAACGTAAGATAGACCTGAATCTTAGGAGAAGATTAGCACTAAAAGGAGTAGCAGAGATGGTCATTAGGGCCCTGTGTGGCTATAAATAGTAGCACATAGGTGGCGACTGAGCACTTGAAATTTGGATAGTCCAAATTGAGATGTACCGTGAGTGTAAAATACACACCAGATTTTGAAGATGGAAAAAAGAATGTAAAACATCTCATTCCTAATTTTTATCTTGATGACAGAAAAATTATTTTTGATTATATAATGTTAAGTACAATATTTATTATTATAATTATTATTAATTTTACCTAGTTATTTTTATCTTTTTAATGTGGCGGCTAGAAATTTAAAATTAAATCTGTAGCTCCGTTATCTTTCTATTGGACAATACTAATCTCACCCTTACTGCTCAGAATGTGGGCCAGGGACCAGCAGCATGGTTATTTATTACCTGGGAGCTTGTTAGAAATGCAGAATCCCTGGCCTTATCCCCAGCCTTCTGAATCAGTTTTGCATTTCAGCAAAATCCCCAGGTAACTAGTATGTATATTAAGTTTGAAACTTGCTGATGTAATCCAATCCCCTTGTTTTACAAATGCGCAAACTAAGACCCGTGTTGGCGGCATGGCTCATTCTTGGTTATCTACCTGGTGACCCTAAAACCCCGGTGATCTTGAAACTACTAAATATCCACTTTATAATACATCCTCCTAAGGACCCATCTATTGCTTAGAGTAAAAATAAAGTAAGACTACTGCTTCATTGGCAAACAAAACACATTATTGTAAATATACAAGAAAATGTGATGTACTTAGGGATCCTTGTAACAGAATTGTAGGGTATTCAGTGTTTGTGTAAGTCAGTGACTACACTTAGAAAACCTCTGCTGTCTAAGCTATTACTACAAATAACATACTTCGGCCATGAAAAAAGGCCAGAGTGCAGAATCAATAATGCACATTCCAATCACTGAGTCAGTAAAATCAATTTAAAGAAGACTGATTCCTTTATGCTAAGTAAGAAGGAATTATAGTTTTGTAACTGAGTTCCTTGTGGGAAAGTCTTATTCATTCTTCCAATGTCCAGCTCCCCACAATATATTTAGCACATACAAGATTTTGAATAACTATTTGTTGAATGAAAACATTCGTTTCTGTTTATTGGGTCTATACCTCAGGAAACATCCCCTTCTTTACATTGTCTAGTAACAATGTAAAGAAACTAAGGAAAACACTTAAGTAGGAACCACAGCTAAAATTAGTAGTGATTTTATGCCAAAATCTCTTTGTAACTAAGCACATTGTTAAGAGAAAATTCAAATAGATGTTAGCTTTGGTTGTGAAAATAAAATCCATTGCATAGAAAGGTGAGGTTCCAATTAAAATAATATTGGCAGGTAACTCCAAGGAGCAAAAGTGGTTAAAATATTTTCACTCATCTTTGTAAAGATTGTTATAAGACAGATTAATCAAGCCTAATCAATTCCCAGTGTGCTGTGCATATGAATCAAATGTTCCTCTCACAAGAGAGCATTTTTTTGAATACCAAATGGAAAATGTAGATTTAACTTAGGAAATGAAGTTTTGTGTTATAGAAATTGAATATACTAAGTAGAATAGGAAGAACCTTAATGAAATGATTTTTTTATGATGTAAGTCATATAGGAAGGAAAGTTTAACTCCCACTCTCTTCCTTTCAATTGTCCCATTTCCTCATGTTTTATCCATTACTCATGTCATGTTTTGTCATTAACCTAAATAAAATAATGGGACATCAATCCTACTTGTTATACATAATAATGAACAGATTACTGTCACATATAATTATTGAAATGGTAATAATGGTAATAATAATAATAAATAGCAAACCCAAATATTAATTTATATATCATTAATTTGGCAATACCTTACAGCATTTCCTCTATCACTGTCTTGAATGTATATTGAATAATTCATTCATTGAATAATATATATTGAGAACTTATATGCCAGGCACTGACACAGTCACTAGAAATACAGCAGGGAATAAAATAGTCTTTCCCTCCTGGAGTCTGTGCATAAATGATGAAATGCACAGCATATCAGTATGTAGTAAGTGACATGGAGAACACTAAGGGGGAAATGCCAAGGAGGCAGAGGAGCTGTTTTACTCGGATTGGTCTTCCTTAAGGGGAATTTTGAGTAGGGACTTGAAAGAAGCAAGGGAGGAGGCCATGCAGATATATGGGGGTGAGCTGCTAATAGAACAGAAGGACAGAGGCCCCAAGGCAAGAGCATACCTAGCAGGTTGAGGAAAAACGTAGAGGGAGGACTGGAGTGGACACAGCCAGAGAGGTAGCAGGGCCCAGATCAGCCAGGCCCTTGCAGCCACTGTAAGGACTTTGGATTTTCCTCTAAAGTAAGAGAGAAAGCCACTAACTAGAGGGTTTAGCAGAGACGTCCATGATCTATCAATAACATCTTTGGAGGGAATCACTTAACTGCTGTGTTGGAAATAAATCTTAGGGGCCTCAGCAGAAGAGGGAGGTGAGTTAGAAGATTGTTATAATAATCCAGGCAGGAGAAGATGATGACTTGGACCAGGATGGTAGTAGTGAAGATAATGAGATGGTATCAAATCCTAGATGTATTTTGAAGGTCAAACTAGCAGGATTTGAAGATGGTTTGGATGTGGTATATAAGAAGACAAGAGGAAATGTCAAGCTTTTTGAGCAATTTGAAGAATAGAGATACCAGTTCCCAGGAAAATAGACATGAGTAGATTTGGGTGAGGGGAGGAGGAGAATGATCAGAGATTGCTTTTGGAGATAAATTTAAAATGGCTTTTACTTATTCTTTTTTTTAATTGAATACATAAGATCAGGATTCAAGGGAGAAGTTGAGGATGGAGTCCTTGGTGTTATTTCAATCCTGAGACTGGATGAGATCACCAAAGGAGTGTAGATGGAACCAAGCAGGTTTTTCACAACTGAGTCTTGGAATATCCAACACCACAAGGAATTGGCTATTGTTTAACTGTTCAGATGCTTCGTGTTGCTGTTCCTCAATCAAAATGTCAGATCTTTGAGGCTACAGCCCATGCCCTTGTTGTATTCACTAGGCACTTTGCCCATGGTAGTTACTAAGTAAATATTTAGTGAATGAGTGAATAAATGGGTGTACCAGGCAATGCTTGAAGGGGTTACCAAGATGAAGGAAGAAAAAGTATGGGAAGCCAGGCATGGTGGCTCACGCCTGTAACCACAGCACTTTGGGAGGCAAAGACAGGAGGATCGCTTGCATTCAAGAGTTCAAGACTAGCCTGGGCAACATAAGGAGACCCTGTCTCTAGAAAAAATAAAAAATTAGCTGGGTATGATGGTGCGCACCTGTAGTCCTGTCTACTCAGGAGGCTGAGATGAGAGGATTGCTTGAGCCTGGGAGGTTGAGGTTGCAATGAGCCTCACTGCACTTCAGCCTAGGTGACAGAGTGAGACCCTGTCGAAAGAAAAGACAAAGAGAGAGAAAGAAAGAAAAAGAAAGAAGGAAGGAAGGAAGGAAGGAAGGAAGGAAGGAAGGAAGGAAGGAAAGAAGGAAGGAAGGGAGGGAGGGAGACAAAAAAGGAAAAAGTATGGGAGACTGGTCTTTGTTCAGTCCCCATCACTTACTTCCCCACCTGTTTAATGAATGAATTTGAGAAAGGAAATTGAAACCATAAGGCTCAGTAGATTCTGGGCTGTTGCTTTTACAGGAAAGGCTGGAGTTCTAAGTGAGATAGCCATTTCTGGGCCAGGAGAGGGACAGGGGAGTGATAAATTACCCTCTCTCAGACCTCAGTGTGTCGTTATGTGGTCTTTCGTGGCTGGCTTCTTTCACTTAGCATAAGGTTTTTGAGGGTCATCCATGTTGGAGCATGTATCCACCCTTCCTTCCTTCTTATGGTCAAGAAATATTCTATTGTATGGAATACCACATTTTGTTTACTTATTCATCAGCTGATAGGCATTTAGATTGTTTCCACCTTTAGCTATGATGAATAAAGCCGCTATAAACATTCAGGCACAAGTTCTTGTGTAGACATATGTTTTTAATTCTTTGGGGTGTGAAACTAGGAGTGGAATTGCTAGATCAAATGGTATCTCTGTGTTTAACTTTTTGGGGAACTTTCTGACTGATTTCCAAGGTGGACGCACCATTTTTCATTCCCACAATGTATGAAGTTTCAAGTTTCCCCAAATCCTGGCCAACACTTATTATAGTCGTGCTAGTAGATAGGTCTTTCACTGAGGTTCTGATTGTTGCATTTCCCTGGTGGATAGCAATGTTGAGGATCTTTTTAATTTAATTTAATTTATTTTGAGACAGAGCCTCACTCTGTCATCCACGCTGGAGTGCAGTGGCGCTATCTCAGCTCACTACAACCTCCACCTCCTGGGTTCAAGTGATTCTTATGCCTCAGCCTCCCAAGAAGCTGGGATTACAGGCATCCGCCCCCACACCAGGCTAATTTTTGTATTTTTAGTAGAGACGGGGTTTCACCATGTTGCCCAGGCTGGTCTCCAACTCCTAAGCTCAAGCCTACCTCGGCCTCCCAAAGTGCTAAGATTATAGGCATGAGCCCATAATCTTTTGATAATCTTTTGATGTGCTTCTTGGCCATTTCTATATTTTTCTTTATTCCTTCCCTCACCACACACAGACTGGTTTGGATCCTATTTCTATTACAATGGTCCTTACCTTTTTAACATAAACTTGAGGCTTTAAGTCAAACATAATATTAATAGTTTATTCTTCTCCCAAACACAGAGCTCTTAAAAGAATTTATCACTTTATCCCATCTTAATGATTATTTAGTATTTTATTCCAACTTTATTTTTCACATTCTAAAAGTTTTGTCATTTTTTACAGTATTTACTTAGTAACTTAACTAAATACTCATTTGCCAATTACATTGTTTACCATTGCTCACTACACCTCACTATTTTTTTTGGTTTCAACTTCCTTCTTCCTGAAGGACAAGCAACAGCATTTTTCCAGCAAGACCCTATAAGTGATGAATTGTGTTTGTTCTATCAATTTAAAAAAACTTTGTCATCATTCTTGAATGATAGTTTCTTTTGTATAGATTCTAACTGACACTTTGCTTTAGTATTTCAAAACATTATTCCATTTATTTCTGGTTCCTAATATTGCTGTTGTAAGTCTGATTACTGCTCCTCTAGGTAATTTGCCCTTTTTCTCTGGGTGCTTTTAAGATTTTTTGTGTGCTTTGTTTCTAATATTCGTTTTTACTTCTGCGTCTAGATACCTGTATTTATATATTCTGCTCATTTCATTGTGTGTCTTAAGTATGAAGTTGTTTTTTTTTTGAGACAGGGTCTCGCTCTGTCACTCAGGCTGCAGTGCAGTGGCACAATCAGAGCTAACTGCAGCTTCATCCTCCAAGGCTCAAGAGATCCTCCTGACTTAGTGTCCTAAGTAGCTGGGACCACAGGCACATGCCACCACATCCAGCTAATGTTTTTTATCTTTAGTAGAGATGAGGCCTCACTGTCTTACTCAGGCTGGTCTTCAACTCTTGAGCTCAAGCAATTCTCCCACCTTGGCCTCCCAGTGCTGGAATTACAGGCATGACCCACCATGTCCAGGCAAGATTCACATTTTTTTTGTGAATCTTGTTCTAGTTCTGTCACCCAGGCTGGAGTGCAGTGGCGCGATCTCAGCTCACTGCAACCTCTGCCTCCCAGGTTCAAGCAATTCTCCTGCCTCAGCCTCCCAAGTAGCTGGGATTACAGGTGCCCACCACTGCGCCCAGCTAATTTTTGTATTTTTAGTAGAGACGGGGTTTCACTGCGTTGGCCAGGCTGGTCTCGAACTCCTGACCTCATGATCTACCCACCTCAGCCTCCCAAAGTGCTGGGATTACAGGCGTGAGCCACCGCACCCGGCTGAGATTCACATTTTTTATCAATTTGGAAATTTTCAAACATTACCCTTTCAAACTTTACCTGTTCTTCATTTTCTTTTTTTCTTCTGGCATCATACTGTTTGGCTCTCTCCCTTTTCTCCTCCATGTTTCTTATCTTCTTTCATTTTCCATCTCTGTTAATCTCTGCTGCTTTCTGGGTATCTACCAGAAGATTTAGCTTCTAGAGCGCTAGTTCTCTAGGTATCCCTAATTAGCTATTCAATCACCACTCATGTTTTACTTTCTAATTTTGTTGTTTTTTTTCCTGATGTGTTCTTACTTTGTCGCCCAGGCTGGAGTGCACTGGCATGATCATAACTCACCGCAGGAACTCCCCCCAATAAAGCTAAAACTCACCTGAGTTGTAAAAAACTCCAGCTGACATAAAATAAACTACGAAAGTGGCTTTAACGTATCTGAACACACAATAGCTAAGACCCAAACTGGGATTAGATACCGCACTATGGGCTCAAGCAATCCTCCCTTCTCAGGCTCCCAAGTAGCTAGGATTATAAGCAAGCACCACTGCAATCAGCTAATTTTTAAACTTCTTGTAGAGATAAGGTCTCGCCATCTTGCCTAGGCTGGTCTCAAACTGCTGGCCTCAAGCGATCCTCCCATCTTGACCTCCCAACATGTGAGGATTATAAGCATAAGCCACAGCACCTTGCCCAGCTATTTCTTTTTTGGAAGTTCTATTTGAGGCCAGGCGCAGTAGCTCACGCCTGTAATCCCAGCACTTTGGGAGGCCCAGGACGGGAAGATCACCTGAGGTCAGGAGTTTGAGACCAGCCTGGCCAACATGGCGAAACCCTGTCTCTACTAAAAATACAAAATTAGCTGGGTGCGGTGGTGGGCACCCATAATTCCATCTACTCAGGAGGCTGAGGCAGGAGAATTGCTTGAACCTGGAAGGTGAAGGCTGTAGTCAAGAAGTGAAGGTGAGTCAAGACCGCGCCACAGCACTTCAGCCTGGGTGGCAGAGCGAGACTCTGTCTCAAAAACAACAAAAAAAGAAGTTATATTTGGATCTATAAAACCTGCTTGGTCTTTTCTTAATAGTGCATTCTTTGCTAGGGTTTTAAATTCTGCTAGTGTGCCTTTGATCATTTTGAACATATTTATTTTATACTCTTTCCCACTGTCATTCAGTTATCTCAGTTTCTTAGTGTTCTGTATTCTTGATTTTTATCACTCATAGCATATCACTTCCCCATGAGTTCTGTGCCTTTTTAGGAACTCATCTTTAATGTGAGTTTTTTTTTTCTCTCTCTGACCATCTTTTCCAAGTGGTTTGGTATTTGTTTGTGCTAGACAGAACTATCAAAAGCTTAGACTGATATTCATGTTACCTTCTCACCTGAGAAAGATGACTAATGACAGAACCGGTAACCAGGAAATTAGATCTGAGGTAAACAACTAGAGAGCAGACAGGTTGATATTTTTCCCCTTCCCAAAGTCCAAGCTTCTACAGACAAGCCATTTTTTAAATCTACCTCTGCCAGTGAATAGAGTTTTTTTTTTTTTGACTCATATTTATACATTTTTTAAATCAGAAGGCTCCAGATAAATCTTATAAACTACGCATTATTGGTTTAAGATATAGATGATAGCAGCAGGTTAACACTCCTGCCGTAAGAAAGAAATAGAAAAAAACATGCCAGACACGGTGGCTCATGCCTGTAATCCCAGCACTTTGGGAGGCCAAGGTGGGTGGATCACGAGGTCAGGAGTTCGAGACCAGCCTGGCCCTTATGGTGAAACCCCATCTCTACTAAAAATACAAAAATTAGCCAGGCATGGTAGCAGGTGCCTGTAGTCCCAGCTACTCAGGAGGCTGAGGCAGAAGAATCGCTTGAACCTGGGAGGCAGAGGTTGCTGTGAGCCAAGATTGCGCCACTACACTCCAGCCTGGGCAACAGGGTGAGACTCCATCTCAAAAAAAAAAGAAGAAGAGAAAAACATAAGCAAAAACAAAAACCATATTTTAAGACACTGAAAAAACTACAGAAACAAAATCTAGAGAAATTAAATTCCAGAGAGGGAGAAGTCCTTCCTAGGAAATTGGCAGTCACTTCTATTCTGTTGCTCTATGTGCAACAAGAGTAAGAGTAAAGGGTGGAGTCTCTCTGAGGGAAAACACTGACTTCAATCTCTATGGTCCTTTTATACATAATGTCTGACATATAATGAAAAAGTATGAAATGTGAAGCACAAAAAATTGTGACCTATAATCAAAGGAAAAACAGACACTAGAAGCAGATACACAGATAACTCAATTAAATAGACAGATATTAAAGATATTGATCTTTAATGCTTATGCACCTCATAACATAGCTTCAAAATACACAAAGCAAACTGACAGAAATAAAACGAAAGACAGACAAATCCATAATCATTGCATATATTAATATATCTCCCTTAGAAAATGGTAGACTAAGCAGACAAGAATATCAGTAAGGATAAAACCGTCCCTATGAACTTTATAAAATAAATCAGGAAATAAGGGAGAGGCGGGAACAAAAATAAACCGAGCTTGCAACACATTTAGCATTTAATCATTAGATCAGCTTCCTCTCTGACCCACTTCCTCATAGTTGTCTGCCTATTGTCTTAGACTCATGTAGGCCCTAGATTATAGTTCTCTTTAACTGCTCTATAAACAAAACTTATTAAACATTATGCAACATTAAGTTTTCCTTTTGAGATATGGTTTCAGGTCCTGAATACCGGTGAAACTACTGACATCAGCTGGTCTGAAGGACCCCACAAGGAGGTGACTCTCCAAAGAATGCAGTGTCTACATCCTGATGATTTCATCCCCCTTACCCCAACCAATCAATGACACCAATTTTGCAGTCCCTTCCCCTTCATTGTCCCCTTAAAATCTCCAGCCCAGAACTCCTTGGGGAGATAAATTTGAGGGTCTCCTCCTATCTCCTCACTTAGTACCCTGTGATCATTAAACTCTCTGCTGCAAACCCTGATGTCTCAGTGTATTTGTATGTTACTGTGCAGTAGGCATATAAACCTGTTGATCTTTTAACAGGATATAAAATATTTGAGTACTACTAACCAACTTGATTCCATTGAAATTTACAAAATACTATACTCAAATATTATAGAACACACTTTCTTTTCAAGTACATGTAAATATTTACAAAATACACCACATTCTGGAACATAAAGCAAGTCTCAATACATTTCAAAGCATTGAAATCATATAAAAATATTTATTGACCAGTGTAATTGAACTAGAAATCAGTAACAGAAAGATAACTAAAGAATTCAAAAATGGTGGAAATTGAGAGAGGAAGTCACAATGGAAATTGTAAATTTTATTTAACTAAACAATAATAAAAAATTTTCGGCTGGCACGGTGGCTCACGCCTATAATCCCAGCACTTTGGGAGGCCAAGGCAGGCGGATCATGAGGCCAGAAGATTGAGACTGTCCTGGCTAACATGGTGAAACCCCATATCTACTAAAAATACAAAAAAAAAATTAGCCAAGCGTGGTGGCGGACACCTGTAGTCTCAACTACCAGGGAAGCTGAGGCAGGAGAATGCCATGAACCCAGAAGGTGGAGCTTGCAGTGAGCCAAGATCATGCCACTGCACTCCAGCCTGGGCGACAGAGTGAGACTCCATCTCAAAATAATAATAATAATAATAATAATAATAATAATAAATTTTCTATCAAAATTTGTGAGATGCAGTTAAATCAATGCCTAGAGGAAAAACAATAGTTAAAATGCTCATTAGAAAAAAATATATTTTATTTCAATCATCTAAGCTTCCATCTCAAGAAGCTAGAGGCCTTGTAAAGTAGCTCACTCCTGTAATCCTAGCACTTTGGGAGGCCAAGGCAGGAGAACTGCTTGAGGCCAGGAGTTCAAGACCAGCCTGGGCAACGTAGGAAGACCCTGTCTCTCAAAAAAATTTTTTTTAATTAGCTAGGCCTGGTAGCACAAAAAACCTGTAGTCCCAGCCACTCAGGAGGCTGAGGTGGGAGAATTACTTGAGCCTGGGAGGTGGAGGTTACAGTGATCCATGATCACACCACTGCACTCCAACCTGTATGATAGAGTGAGCTCCTGTCTCAAAAAAAGAAGCCAGAAAAAAGTGGCAGATTACACTCAAGAAATTAGAAAGAAGGGAATACAAATCAGAGCAAAAAAAAAAAAAAAAATTCAACGAAATCAAAGACAAATATAAATAGGGGAAAAAAATCAACAAATCCAACAGTTTGTTCTCAGAAAAGATTAATAAAATTTTATAAAACTCTAGCAAGACTGGTAAGAAAGAAAATACAAATTATCAATGTCAGAAAAGAAAAATGGGACATAACTTGAGATCTCTACTGACATTTAAAAGGATACAAGATTATTCTGTATAACTAGATATTAACAACTTAGAAGAAATGGATAAAATGCTTGAAAAAAACACAACTTTCCTAAACTGATACAAAAACAAAAAGTGAATAGTCCTATATCTGTTTTTTAAAATTGAATCCATAATTTAAAACCTTCCTACAAAAACATCCTCAAGCTCAGGTGGCCTCACTGGTAAATTCTACTAGCATTTAATGAAAAATTAAGCTATTCATATATAAACTCTTTCAAAGACAAGAACAAGAAGGAACAATTCCCAGCTTGTTTTATGAACTCATATGACCCTGGTACCAAAACCTGACAAGGACATTACGAGAAAATAAGTCTTCAAACCAATATTCCTCATAAGCAAAGATACAAATAATCCTCATCAAAATATTAACAAGTCAAACCCAAAAATATATTTAAAAGTATATTAAATAATGACCAAGTGGGGTTTATCCCAAGAATGCAGGTTGGTATAATTTCTGTAAATCAATGAAATTAATCACATTAAGAGAATGAAAGGAACAATGTGGTTGTCGCAATAAACACATCAAAGTATATAATAAAATTCAGCATCTTTCATGATTAAAAAAAAATCAACAAACTCGAAATAAAAAAAAAAAACTTCTTCAACCTAATAAATGGTATCTGTGAAAAACCTGCAGCTAACATTATACTTAATGATGAAAGACTGAATGCTTTGCCCTTAAAATCAGGAACAATGCAAGAATATCTGCTCTCATCACTTCTATTCATCATTGTACTAGAAGTTTCACTCAGTACATAAGGCAATCAAAATAAATAAATGCCATTCAGATGGTAAAGGAAGACAGTTTTAGCCCTTATTCACAGATGACATGATTCTAAATATAGAAATCATAAGGTAGTCACAACCTCTTAGAACCAATAACTACATTTTGCAGGATCACAATCCACAAGGTCAATATTTTAAAAAGCAATTGTTTTTCTACATACAACCTACAAAGAGTTGGAAATGACATTATTAAATATCTTTGTCATAAACATCAAATACCTAGAAATAAATTTAAAATGTGTAAGGGTTCTACACTGAAATTTTAAAAATATTGCTAGGAAAAATAAAGAATAAAGAGACAGATCACGTTCATGTTTTGGAAGATTTAATATTGTCGAGATGATCATTGTTCCCATATTGATCAAATTATTCAATGTAACTGAAATGAAAATCCCAGCAAGAATTTTTTGGAAACTGACAAGCTGAATCTCAAGTATATATGGAAAACAAAGGGCCTAAAATAGCCCAAGATAATGTTGAAAAAAACCATGCTGAAGGATTTACATTATCATATTTCAAGACTTGATATCAAACCATACTAATTAAGAGAATGTGGCATTAGTGTTAGGATACATAGATATATGGAATAAAAATGATTCCATAAATAGACCAACACATATTGGTTACTTGATTTATGGTGAAGATCCATGCAATTCTGTAGGGAGAAAGATAGTCTTTTCAACAGAAGGTGCTGAAGCAATTGAGTATCAACAGAGAAAAAACATACATATTTTTGGCCCTCATCTAATACCACACACAAAATTTAATTGAGATAGTTCATAGATCGTAGATTTCAATGTAAAAGATAAAAGAACAAAACTTCTAGAAGGCCAGGCATGGTGGTTCAAGCCTATAATCCCGCCACTTTGGGAGGCCGAGGAGGGAAGATCATTTGAGCCCAAGAGTTCAACACCAGCCTGAGCAACATGGTGAGACTCCATCTCTACAAAAAATTTTTAAATTATCCGGGCGTGGTGGCTTAGATCTGTAGTCCCATCTACTCAGGAGGTAAGGCAGAAAGATTACTTAGCCCAGGAGTTCAAGGCTGCAGTGAGCTATGATAGTACCACTGCACTCCAGCCTTGGTGACAGAGCAAAACTCTGTCTAAAAAAGGGAAACAAACAAAAAACTTTTAGAAGAGAACGTAGAAGACTATCTTCATGATCCTAGGATAAGAAAAGATTTCTTAAATATGAATTAAAAGCACTAACCATAAAAAAAAGACTGTTAAATTGGACATCATCAAATTTAAAACTCCTAGATATCAAAAGATACCATTAGGAAAGCAAAAAGGCAACAAAGGATTTTTATCCAGAATATATTATTGGTCCTACAGACCAATAAGAGACAAAACAATTTCAAAATGGGCAAATTCAGACACTTTATAAGAAGATAGCCAAATAACCAATAAGTATATGGAAAGGTGCTAACTCTATTATTCATCAAGGAAATGCAAATGAAACTACAATGAGATACCTTTACAAACTCACTAGAATGAATACAATTTTTAAAGATTAATAATTTATCCAGTTGGCCAGGATATGGAGCAAATGAAACTACTGATAGACATAGAAAATGGTACAATGGCCTTGGAAAACTGCTTTGCAGTTTCTTCTAAAGCTAAACATATGCTTACTCTATAACCAGAAACTTTTCTTAAAAATGCATACCCAAAATAAATGAGTACTTATGTCCAAAATGATTATACAAGAATGTTCTTGGCAGGTTTACTCATAATAGATTTAAACTGGAAATGATACTAATACCCCAAAACAGGAGAAGGCATCAATTGCAGTATATTCTTCACTGCAATAAAAAGAATGAATTATTGTTACATATAACATGAGTGAATTTCCCAGATATTATGTCGCATGAAAGAAGCCAGGCATAAAGAATATATACTGAATGATTCCGTTTACATGAAGTTCAGGAAACAATTCTATGAGGATAGAAATCAGGATGGCAGTTACTGCTGGGGACACATATAACCTAAGAAAGATCACAGGTAACTTTTAGGTGTAATAAATGTTTTCTATCTTAATCTGAGTGTTGGTTACATGAGTGTATGGGTGGATGAAAAACTCAATTAGTGCACCTGACATACTTTATTATATCATGCCTCAATAAAAAACTACTTAGCATTGGCTGGGCGCGGTGGCTCAAGCCTGTAATCCCAGCACTTTGGGAGACCAAGGCGGGCAGATCACGAGGTCAGGAGATCGAGACCATCCTGGCTAACACGGTGAAACCCCGTCTCTACTAAAAATACAAAAAATTAGCCGAGCGTGGTGGCGGGCGTTTGTAATCCCAGCTACTTGGGAGGCTGAGGCAGGAGAATAGCGTGAACCTGGGAGGTGGAGCTTGCAATGAGCCGAGATGGCACCACTGCACTCCAGCCTGGACGACAGAGCGAGACTCCGTCTCAAAAAATAAAATAAATAAAATAAATAAATAAACTACTTAGCATTAACACTTGTATTTTAATCAAACATAGACCTAAATGTGAAAGGCAAAATAGTAAAACTTCTAGAAGAAAACACTGAGACTATCTTCATGATCTTGGGATAAGTGAAGATTTTTAAATATGACTCAAAAATACTAACCATAAAAAAAACAAGAGATTGCAATAAAGAATACCAGAGAGTCTATTAGTCTATCACCTTAACACATTTATCTACAATTTATCCTGTGAACTTTTGAGGGTCCCAGCCTTGTATAGAAAGAAAAGATCAGTTCCAATCCCCTCCATCACAAGGCCCCACGACCTTCTCTCAGTCTTCATGTGAATGCTAAAACCCCAAGTCCTTAAGTCAACAACTCCCACACACATTTCCCTAATTTTTTCTCCCTCCCCAATTCAGGTCATCAGCCTTACCTAATGTCTGATGCTAGGGGAAGAGAAATGTTCAACAAGCATTCCTCCTCATCTTTGCCTAAATCTTTTTTGTTTGTTTGTTTGTTTTTGTTTCCCAGGCTGAGAGCAGTGGCGTAATCTCAGCTCACTGTAACCTCCACCTCCCGGGTTCAAGCAATTCTCCTGCCTCAGCCTTGGATATAGTAGCTGGGATTACAGGCACACGCCACCAAGCCCGGCTAATTTTTTTATTTTTAGTAGAGATGGGGTTTCATCATGTTGGCCAAGCTGGTCTCGAACTCCTGACCTCAGGTGATCCACCCGCTTCCGCCCCCCAAAGTGCTGGGATTACAGGTGTGAGCCACCACGCCCACCTTTGCCTAAATGTAAACATTTGAGGTTAAGCCAAAAAGAAGTGACATCTTTATTCTCTAGCTCTTTTATGACACTTCTCCCCACCCCCCCGCCCACTGGGTTATCCTGTGCGTGATCTTCCAACTCAAACAGGAAAGATTAACAGCTGCAGGGAAAACGTCAGTTAACCACATTGTACCACATTTTATTCCATTACATTTGAGAAGCAAAATGGGTAATATTCAGTGTTTAAAGTGGGAAAAGAAGTCCAGGCTCTTGGTGCATACACTTCTTCATGTGATCTTTTTCATAGTTCTCCTGTCAGTGGGCTATTCTCTCCCAACAGAATAACTGCCCCCTGCCCGTGACGCCGGAAAACAAATAGGAATGAATTCTATGACCACTGTGATAACTGAAAAATGTGGGAAAATAGTGAAGCAGCGTCGTTGTCAGGGGTAAATACCTGAAGTTCGTTGTCTCACACCAAGGGAATCAAGGACACTGACATAAGAAGTGAGTTTAAGACCAGAGGTTTAACAGGCGAAGGAAGAAAAGAGAACAGCTCTCTCTCCCGCAGAGTAAGAGAGGCGCCCAAGGGTATCTTCCGGTTTTGTAGAGAAATGCACTGGGTTTTATAGGCGTGCTTAAGGAGGCGGTGTATGATTTACATAGGGCCCAAAGATTGGCTGGAGCAGGAGTTCTCTTTGCATAGCACGGGAAGAAGCTGGCCACCCCACCCTAATCTTTCGTTTTGCAGATGGGGTCTCTACATGGCTGGAGCCATGTTGTCTGTTCCTTATTGTACACGTGGTTAGCCAAGAAAAGGGAGGAGGCTCACGCCTGTAATCCCAGCACTTTGGGAGGCCAAGGCGGGCGAATCACAAGATCAGGAGTTCAAATCCAGCCTGGCCAATATGGTGAAACCCTGTCTCTACTAAAAATACAAAAATTAGCCAGGGGTGGTGACGGGTGCCTGTAATCCCAGCTACTCGGGAGGCCGAAGCAGGAGAACCGCTTGAACCTGGAAGGTGCTGGTTGTCGTGAGTCGAGATCACGACACTGCACTCCAGCCTGGCGACAGAGCGAGACTCTGTTTCAAAAAAAAATCATAGCTAACTGCAGCCTCAAACTCCTGGGCTCGAGCCATCCACTAGCCTCAGCCTCCCCAAAGTGGTGGGATTACAGGAATGAGCCACTGCGCCTGGCCTTCTATGGTATCTTTTGATGAAGAGAGGATTTTAATTTTAATGTTGCAGAATGTTTGGATATTTTCCTCTAGTTGCTTTTCATATATTGAATAAGAACACCTTCCTTACCATGAAGCCATGAAAATAGTCTCCTAGGCCAGGTGCAGTGGCTCACACCTGTAATCCCAGAACTTTGGGAGGCTGAGGCAGGTGGTTCATCTGATGTCAGGAGTTCGAGACCAGCCTGGCCAACATGGTGAAACCCCGTCTCTACCAAAGATACAAAAATTAGCTGGGCATGGGGCCGACGCCTGTAATCGCAGCTACTGGGGAGGCTGAGGCAGGAGAATCTCTTGAACCCGGGAAGCGGAGTTTGCAGTGAGCCGAGACCGAGCCACTGCACTCCAGCCTGGATGACAAGAGCAAAACTCTGTCTCAAAAAAAAAAAAAAAGCAGAAAATAGTCTCCTATATTACCTTCTAAAAGATTTCATTTTACCTGTTACATAGGTCTTTAGCCCACCTAGAATTATTTTGATAAATGGAGTAAGGAAGGGGTCTCATTTCTTTCTATCTCTATCTCTTTCATCTCTGTCTTCATCTCTGTCTCTCAGAGTTTGCTGATTTGTCCTAGCCTCATTTATTGTAAACTTCATCCTTTCCCCACTGACACATCATGCAACCTCAAACTTACATCCAGGGTTGACACATGTGGGTGTCTTTTTCTGGACTCTCCATTATGTTCCATTGTTTATTTGTCTGTTCCTGCTTCCTTTACCACACTGACATAATTACACATAGTAACACTCTGTATTAGCCTTGATGTCTCATAGAGTAAGACATCTAACATTTTTCTTCACCTTCAAGAGTGCCTTGGCCACCATGAGCCCTTCTTATTTTCATATAAAGTTTAAAATCAGCTTAAGTTCCTCAAAAGATTGGGGTTTGATTGGGATTATATTTATTACAAAAATCAGTTTAGGAAGAATTGTCATCTTAACTATATGGAGTCTTCTAATTTGTAGGATTAATATACCTCTTCTGTTAAACACATTTTCTTTAATATCAGTAACATTTTATTATTTTATTTGAAGAAGTCTTACGTAGAAAGCAAAAAGTTTCCTCTTCAAAGTTTTCCTTCTTGTTAAAGAATAAATCACAAGTGTTAGAAATAATAGTTTATTTTAAAGACTTTCTTCAAGCCTCCTTGCTTTGTGCTAATAACTTTGTTAAGCCCTATCCTATGTAACTGTTGGACGTCATCACAGACACATTCCAGCTCACAGCGTATGCCCCTTCCTTATTTGGAAATGTTATTGCTTCCTTAAACCTTTCGTAAGCAACTTCTTGTTGTTCTTCTCTGCACTTAACTATTTAGGAAAGTTGCAGGTTATTAGTAAACTGGGTATCAGTTTAAGATTGTGAGGTCCCACTCCAGTCAATGGATGCAGGACACAGCAGTAAGGATGACTCAAATGCGTTAAGGGATAAATATGTCTGCTTTTCCTTTGTTCAAGGATGCTCTCGCCATTGTTCCATCTGCAATTGAGCACCCTTTCTGCAGAAAGTAAAGATGGCCTTGCTGAGAGATCTTTTGTCACTGTGATGACTTTTCTTTGTGGCACCAATGATCTATTTCTAACAATTTTGGTATTTCTAACAATTTTGGTAGCAATTGTACGGGTATACATTCTCCTCCGGGGCATCTCTAGTCCTCTCTCATGAGGCGCCATGCCGCCTCTTGTGGTGGCCTTAGGGGTAAGGGGCTGAGACCCACCCGGTGTGATGAATAAATCTGGACTCTCAGCAACACGGAAAGAAACTGGCCACTAACCTGGGGTAAAGGATCCTCATCTACCATGGCGACGACTCTGTGCACAGACCAACGAAGGAGAAGCCACGGGAGTCGATAAAGTACTTCCTTGATGGTGAAATTCCGGAGGGCTGAATGTGTATGTGTGTGAATGATCACAGACAACCCTGTTTGCAGTGTTGTTTGTGTGGATGGTGACAAGTCCTGCTGCTGGACGGAGTTAGTGGGTCCTCTCCGCGGTCCCCTAGCTACCTCATATGGCTTAGGGCGGATCCTGCGTTGGGATTTATACCGGCATGCCAACACTAAGAGGGGCCTAATTCTCCCTCGGGGAAGCGGCCAGAGTGGGAAGTGTGCAAGGGACCTTCAGAGAAGGAAAGGGAGGAAACAGGTCAACCTCCCAGGGCAGGCAAGGCAAGACATACATCCCTGGTTTGAGGGGTTGAGCCTTCTGGGGCAGGCAAAGCACCCCCTGGTTTGAGGGGTTGCACCTTCCAGGACAGGCAAGGCAAGACATCCCTGGTTTGAGGGGTTGAGCTTTCCGCTAATTTCAGGAGACTGAACCTTACCAGTAAGCAACATGGGAAACGTTTCTAGTAAAATGAGGACAAGGAGTAAAGCTGACTCAGGGAGAGGTGAAGGTGATCAGATTCCTTCTGGTAGTCCTTTAGGGTGTATGTTAAAATATTAGAAGGATAAGGAAAGGACCAAAAACACGTAAAAGCAGCTGCTGTCCCAGCTTTACCCTCCTTAAGCAGCCATTCCACCTTGTTGTCAGTGTAAACAAGGGCGTAGCCTTAGAAATACCCTAATCAAAAATCCTTAACACAGTAACCCGCGGATGGCCCAAATGCATTCAGTCTGTAGCGGCAACTGCTTTGCTAACAGAAGAAAGTAGAAAAATAACTTTTAGAGGAAACCTCATTATGAGCACACCTCACCAGGTCAGAACTATCCTAAGTCAAAAAAAAAAAAAAAAAAAAAAAAAAAGCAAAAAGGGAGCTTATTGACTCAAGAACCTTAAAGTATGGGGCTAGTCTCTTAGAAAAAGATGATTTAACATTAACCACTGATAATTCCCTTAACCCAGCAGGTTTTCTAAGGCGGGGGAGAGCAGGGATCTAAATCTTAATTAATTACTGTACAAAGGTCCGACCAGACCTAGAAGGAACTCCCTTCAGGACAGGACAATAGATGTTTCCTCCCGGGTGATTGAGGGAAAAAGACAATGGGTATTCAGTAAGTAATAGGGAAACTCCTGTAGAAGTAGAGTTAGGAAAATTGCCTAATAGTTGGTGAGTTGTTTGCACTCAGCCAAGCCTTAAAATACTTACAGAATCAGGAAGGAGTCATCTATATCAATTCTAAGTTAAATTTGGACTAAATGAGGTCTTATTAATCACAAAGGATAATTGAAATCCCAAACTTACAAGGTTTTCAACAAAAGTAAAGTTTCCTAAAAGTTAAGTGTCACATGTATTATCCTAACTTCTAATCTTGTGGCCTTAGGCAGTCTAGTCCACAGACATGAAGAAAGTTTGCTTTAGAAAAGAATGGTTATCATCTTAGAGAGAGAGAAAAAAATTTGTTTTAAAGGTTTAAGCAAGTTTTGAAACATTAATTGTAAGGGGAATTCTGTGTGTAAACATTGGCTAAAGTTAAAGGGGTATCATCCAGTTTTTCTGTGAACTGGACATTAAAATAAAAGCACAACAGGTTTTTCTTAAAGCACTAACCTGCTCTTTAACAACAATTTAAAAGGTTAAAAAGAGTCTATAAAAATCTTACCTTATGGTCAGACATTAAAATTGGATAAATATGTCCATAAAGTTTTATTAAAATTAAGTTTAACATTAATAACACACTAATATAAAGGTAAAATTCAGCTTATCTGGTATAAAATCATGCAGGAAGCATTGTCAAATATAAAATGGTGTTTGGCTTTCTTTGGCCTAAAAACTAATAAAAATAGGTGCTAACGGAAATTTCTCAGCAAGAAGACACTAAGGACTGTAAAATCCACTGCTGATATCCCCACATTTAAAACAAAAAATCAATTTCTTGGAAATTATATACTTGGTTTCTCTTCCACCTTCTCTTCCCTTAAAACAAAAGGTCTTTTAGCACAGGCGCCGCCCTTGGAGTTTCCAGTACACCAGCACCACCCTGGGGATCACGTTCCCATCAAAGGGTAGAAAGAAGGGAAACTCAAGCCAGCCTGGGAAGGACCCTGCCTTGTGCTGCTACCCACCAAGACTGCTGTTCCTACAGCAGAACGGGGATGGACACAGCACACCCGAGTCAAGCAAGCGCCATTATCATAAGAATCATGGGCCACTGTTCCTGGATCAAGCCCTACCAAATAAAAGCTAAGAAAAGCTTAGTCTATCTCTCTTTTCCTTTCCTAACCCAGTGCCTATATCCATTACTATTCCTACCACTAGCAACTCTAACCCCACTTTAAAGCGTTTCTGTGGTCTAGGAGCAGAGGTCACTGGAAAGGATCCATAGGCTTCTTTAAGATGCGCTTTGTTCTCCCTCCTCCACCTCCTACAACTGCCCCTTTCCTAAACCTACGAAATCAAACTATGCCTCGCCTCATGCCAAATGACAAAAGCAAGGTCTCAGTAGTAGAACTAGGAGACCTAAGGTAAACCACAGCCATTGAAACAGGGTATAAAGATGTAAATGCCTGGTTAAAATGGATTAAATATTCCGTTCGCACTTCAAACAAAAGCGACTGTTAGGCTTTTGCGTACAGTAGGCCAAAGGCCCAGGTTGTTCCCTTTCCACTGGGATGGTCCTCAAATCAAGCGGACATAGAGTGCATGGTACCTCTTTTTCAAGATTCCACTGCCTGGAATAACAAATTGTACCAAGCTCTTTCTCTGCTATTTCCTGAAGCTCAACACCCTGTGGGTCAGCCCCCGAGTGCCATCCAGCCTCCATCTTCCAAAACCAATTTTACCTCTAGTCTCTAATGACAAGAGGAAAATTTTGGCATTCCTTGGAGACTTAACAGGATGCAGTGAAGTCAGGCACTTCCAAGAGCTGACCCATCAGTCTGCCCTTATTCATCCCCGAGCGGACGTATGGTGGTATTATGGAGGACCTTTACTGGACACTCTGCCAAATAATTAGAGTGGTACTTATGCTCTAGTTCAATTGGCTATCCCTTTTACCTTGGCATTTCATCAACAGAAAAAGAAAAAATCCATAGCCTGAATTCTTACCTCTTTAACAACTATAATAAGTATACTCCTTCTTCTTAGGTATTATGTTGTACCATACGTCCAGGAGTTAATCAAAACAACTAAGCCAAGACATGTTAAGCAAGTTTGAAGAGGAAAACTAAAAGAGGAGGGATTGTAGAAAGTAAAAATTTCCTCTTCAAAGTTTTCCTTCTTGTTAAAGAATAAGTCATAAGTGTTAGACATAATAGTTTTTTTTAAAGACTTTCTTCCAGCCTCCTTGCTTTTTGCTAATAACTCTCCGTTAAGCCCTATCCTATGTAACTGTTGGACATGCTCACAGGCAGGTTCCAGCTCATAGCCTATGCCCCTTCCTTATTTGGAAATGTTATTTCTTCCTTAAACCTTTCATAAGCAACTTATTTGTTCTCCCCTGCACTTACCTATTTAGGAAAGTTTCAGGTTATTAGCAAATCAGGTATCAGTTTAAGATTGTGAGGTTCTAGCCTGATCAACATGGAGGAACCCCATCTCTACTAAAAATACACAATTAGCTGGACGTGGTGGCACATGCCTGTCATCCCAGCTACTAGGGTGGCTGAGGCAGGAGAATTGCTTGAACCTGGGAGGTGGAGGTTGTGGTGAGCCGAGATCGTGCCACTGCACTCCAGCCTGGGCAAAAAGAGTGAAACTCCGTCCCAAAAAAAAAAAAAAAAAAAAAAAAAAAAAAAAAAAAAAAGATGGTGAGGTCCCAATACAGCCAATGGATGCAGGACACAGCAATAAGGACAACCCAAATGCGTAAGGGATAAATATGTCTCATTTTCCTTTGTTCAAGTTTGCTCTCGACATTGTTCCATCTGCGAATGAGCACCCTTTCTGCAGAAAGTAAAGATGGCCTTGCTGAGAGATCTTTTGTCTCTGTGCTGACTTTTCTTCATGGCACCGATTATCTATTTCTAACAGTTTTGGTATTTCTAACATCTTACATATCCTTATTAGATTTATTCCTAGACATATATTTTATGCCATTGTGAATTGTACCTTTGAAACATACAAATTTTTGTTCGTTGATGAGAAATAAAAATGTACAATTTCCTGTTTGTTGCTGGGAAATAGAAATAATATTTATGAACAGATTTTTATCTCCAGCAACCTCCCCAAACTGCCTACTAGTTCTGATACCTTATCTGTGGATGCCATTGGAGTTTCTATTATTGGAGTTTCATATAATCATCAAATAATGACAGCGTTATTTCTTACTTAGCAGTCCTTATATGTTTTATTTCTTTTTCTGATTTATTGAGATGGCTAGGGACTTAAAGCACTGACTCTAAGGATAATTGAATTTAGATTCATATTTTGAAGGTAGAGCCAACAGGATTTGCTGACAGATTGCATTTAGGCTATGAGAGAAAGACAGGAATCAAGGTTGAGTTTAGGGTTTTTGGCCTGAGCAACTGGAAAAATGGCTTTGCCGTTTACTGCAGGCAATACCAGTAGTTTGTTGAACATATAGTGCAGTTAATTAAATGAAGAAAGACAAAAATGCTCACTGATATTTATTAGCAATGATCTTTCTAACAGATGTTAGCCTGGTATTCCACTTTTGAACTAACTCACTCCAGTAAGGATTTACATTTACAAATACTCCCAGGAGGGTTTAACTTACGGCTTTCTGTTCAGCCACTGCCATCTACAGGGGGCTTCTCTGAATATAAACTGTGCATGCTGATTAAAATCTAAAAAATAGCCAGGCAGGGTGGCTCACGCCTGTAATCTCAGCACTTTGGGAGGCCGAGGCAAGCGGATCACCTGAGGTCGGGAGTTTGAGACCAGCCTGACCAACATGGAGAAACCCCGTCTCTACTAATAATACAAAATTAGCCTGGTGTGGTGTCACATGCCTGTAATCCCAGCTACTCGGGAGGCTGAGGCAGAATAGCTTGAACCCAGGAGGCAGAGGTCACGGTGAGCCAAGATCGTGCCATTGCACTCCAGCCCGGGCAACAAGAGTGAAACTCGGTCTCAAAAAAAAAAATCTAAAAAATATATGGGATGATTTTCCCCTCCAGCCTCCTCAACCCTTCCTGTTTCCACTACACACACACTCACACATACACACACACTTATCTTGTTTTCAATCTTGCCCCAGGTCAGACAACTGTAAGAGAAACTCCTACCCAGGAAACTGAGTCCCTGCAATGCACTTACAAGTAGCTTCTCTGAAAAGAAAAAGATCATGGACAGACCAGCTGCATTTACAGAGAGTTAACCTAAGAAAAATAAAGAAACAGTGAAGGGGTGCCAGGAGCATTGGCTCATGCTTGTAATCCCAGCACTTTGGGAGGCCGAGGCAGATGGATCACGAGGTCAGGAGATCAAGACCATCCTGGCTAACACAGTGAAACCCCATCTCCACTAAAAATACAAAAAAAAAAAAAAAAAAAAAGCCAGGCGTGGTTGGGGGGGCACCTGTAGTCCCAGCTATTCGGGAGGCTGAGGTAGGAGAATGGTGTGAACCTGGGAGGCAGAGCTTGCAGTGAGCAGAGATCAGGCCACTGCACTCCAGCCTGGGCGACAAAGCGAGACTCCATCTCAAAAAAAAAAAAAAGAAAAGAAAGAAACAGTGAAAGGGTGACTCCCGCAAAAGAGATCCAGGATCACTCAATAAGGCCTCATTGTCCTAGCTAGAATGCCAATTTAACCATCCTTAATCACCTGGCTGTCAAAGGACGGGTAAAGCCTTAGGTGTCTTTTGCACAAAGAAGAAAACTTTAAAAGCTTGCTCATTTAACAGTCCAAAGTCCCACTAACCTACCCACCCTGATGTTTATTCAACACACATATCGGGTATCTCATTGGGGTAAGGGTGATGAGTTGGCTACCTCTCCCCTCTTCCACTTCTCACCCACCACCCAATCTCAAAAATGTAAGCTCCAAATAAGCAGTGACAATTATCTTGTAAACCCCTCTGTCCTCAGTATCCAAAATGATGCCTGTCATACAGTAGGCATACAATACTTCAGAATTAACATTTTAAAGACTTTTAAATACTTAAAAGAGCTAGATTTTCACTTATAGTAAATAAAATCAGTGTTGTTTAAAATCAGTGAGTCAATAAATAGCATTGTCACTACCTGAGATAAATGTTACAGGAAACAGCTGATGGAATTTAAAAACTTTGCTTCTAAGGATTGGAACCCTATTGGTAAGCGACTGCTGTTTTTTAAACACAGTTTTTACCACTATGATTTTTATTATTATGTGCAATTACTTGTCTACATGTTTACATTATACACATATCCAACACATTTCCAGCATCCTAACATAATTATTCATTTTTGGGTGTGATCTGCCTTCTTTATCCATATATACACACATTCATATTAATATAGTTGTTTGCAATCATAGCTATGTATTTTTATGGTTGGTTTTGTTTTTCACTTCACATATTGTTTCCTAAACAGCTTTCCCTGTTTCTACACTCGTCATAATAATTCTCAATGACTGCATGATATTCTAACATGTCAGTGTATCATAATTTAGCTAAATAAACTAAAATGCAACATGTAAGGTTTCCATTTTTTGCTTTGGAGATAATGTTGATAAGAGTGGCAGACACGTGGTCTCGTCTGTTTTGCGTCTTTGCTTCTGATGAATCATATTCTGGAGCTCCATCTAAGAATCCCCATGCCCAGATTAGGGACTGCGAGCGACCACCCAGCGCCAGCGCGACCAGGACCAAGGACCTCCGCGGCTGAGCGGCGAGTCCGGGAGGGGCTCTGCGCGTCCCCGCCCCGCGCCGCGTCACCGACGTCCCGCTAGGCTGAGACCGGTGCGCCGCGCGCTAGTGGCCGCTCTTCCGCGGGCTAGCGGGCGGTGGGGGCGCCAGCAGCGCGGAAGGCGGGCACGCGGGCCATGGCTCCCTGGGCGGAGGCCGAGCACTCGGCGCTGAACCCGCTGCGCGCGGTGTGGCTCACGCTGACCGCCGCCTTCCTGCTGACCCTACTGCTGCAGCTCCTGCCGCCCGGCCTGCTCCCGGGCTGCGCGATCTTCCAGGACCTGATCCGCTATGGGAAAACCAAGTGTGGGGAGCCGTCGCGCCCCGCCGCCTGCCGAGCCTTTGATGTCCCCAAGAGGTAACCGCGCCCCGGTCCCGAGCCGCGGTGGTCAAGGCGCTGAGAGTTCGGGGCGCCCCGGCTCGCGGGCAGCCAGCAGGGGGCAGCAGAGGCGGGACCCGGCCTGGGAGGCCCTGGCGGGTTCCCGGGCGCAGCACGGCGCTCCCTCGGCCTGGCCCCGGCCATGCCCCGGCTGCTGCGTGGCTCCGGGGAGCAGTGCCCGGGTGTCCGCGGACGCCGAGGGAGAGCGGAGCCGCTTGCACTCAGCTGGAGGAATGTGAACTGGTAGCCGCACGGAGCCTTTCCCTGTGGGAAATGGCAACGCATCCGAATTTAGGCCTGGTCATGCGAATTTAGGCGGCAAATTGAAGTGCCCCTTGCCCCAAATTCTCCTTTTTCCCGTACCCTGCACTCCAGTGGCTCATACTCTAACTTGAGGTCACCGGGAATCATTTGTGGAAATGAAGTTAGGCCGGCTCTTCGGCCTCGGCTTCCCCCGTTTCTCTTCCCAACCCTTGCAGTGGGGACAAAGGACTGAGTCGCCCTAACCTGCACCTTGGCAGGTGCCCCTGGGGAAGGTGGCCCAAGGTGCAGGTCATAGGCAGGCCCGTCCCGAAGCTCCATTTGACTTTCGAAAAATTCTGTAACCCAGTTCAGCGAAGGATTAAATCGTCAGGTTTTAAATAGAGACCTGTTATAATTTTCTTCTTCTCCTTTTTCCACTTTAAATTCAGGACATAGCTGGAAAGAGTTGGCCAAATACTATTCGAGATGGTAGAAATAGAACAGTGCCCCTTAAGATGCATCTTAGGCCGGGCGCAGTGGCTCACGCCTGTAATCCCAGCACTTTAGGAGGCTGAGGCAGGCGGATCGCTTGAGTTCAGGAGTTCGAGACCAGGCTGGGAAATATAGTGAGACTCCGTCTCTCCTGAAAATACAAAAAATTGGCAGGGCTTGGTGGCGTGTGCCTGTAGTGCCAGCTACTTGGAATGAAGGCAGGAAGATCATCTGAGATCAGGCATTGGAGACTGCAGTGGGCTATAATCATGGCACTGCACTCTAGCCTGGGCAACAGAGAAATACCTTGTATTTAAAAAAAATTTTTTTTTAAAGGTTAAAAACATCTGGGTTGTCGCTTGAAACACTCATAGGCAGTGCCCCAGGTCCGCAGGCAACAAAGGGACAAGTATAATTTGGCTTCTAAAACTTGGATAATCTGCGAATTTTGACTGTCAGAGAAAGATGTGTCATGTGTTAACACAGAGAAGGGAGAACTAGGTCATTCTGAGGCACCCTAAAGGGAAGAAGTAGAAGTACATGAAACAAATTGATCAAACCTCCTGTTTCCTAGAGGCTCTTTTTAAGCAAAAATTACCTGTTATCCCATTTGTAATCAGGGTTGAATCCTTTTATACTTCACAGCAATTTATTTTCTGAGTTTTGAGAAAGGTACTAGTCTAGTGTACCTGGATTAAATGGCACATGTAAAATCATCCCCTGAACTTGCATACACCCCAGCTGTTGCAACTCAAGTCTGTTATTACATGACAGCCAAGAAAGAGACTTGGTACCTTTTCCTTATTCATTACTGTAACAGTTGGTTCTGTTTGGACTTCCTGTAATTTCTACTCTATTGTGAAATAATTTACACCTTTTTCTTCTTCCAGAATTCTACAGTAGAACCTCCCATAGTGTTCAAGTGCCCTTCCCCTCCTTCTCTAAATTTAAACAGACATTTCTTTTAGTACTGGAGAAGGTACAAAACATCCAGACCAATAATGAAAGGCATTTTTATTGTGACAAAAAAAAGATAACTTGCATCAAAACTGGCAGTGTCTCCAAAAAATTAATACATGTATTACTCTCTTTTTAAATTTTATACCCCTGTTTATATGAAATAGGCAGATAATTAGAGTTGGGTGGAGGTAAGAGTCTATGGCCTCTTTTTTATACGTCTCTGTATTTTCCAAAATGTCTTCATTCACAAGATGCTTATCACTTTTATCATTTAAAAAAATGTGCTAATGGCTAAGGAGCATGTGGGAGAGATTTTACTGGTTTATAAATAGTAACCACCATTGACTAAATGTTTACATATATGATTATGTGATGACTACTAAGGAGTACGTGCCTTTCCTCATTTAATCCTCACAGTGGACCTGTGAGGGAGATGTTATTGTCATTATTCCCATTTACACACATGCAGACTCAAGCTTAGAAGATAGCAGTTGTGCAGTGATGCTAGTACTAGCAAGGGTGGTACCTGAACCCTGCCTGTTGGAATTTAAATCCCAAGCTCTTATCCTCTGGTATACTTCGTGGGAAATATCTTGTACCATGTGAAGCTCAATCTGTGTGAAAGATTAAGTGAGAATGGATTTATCCCAGATGGTAGCATTTAGTAAATATCTTGGTTAATCCAAATTTAAAATCATTTGGTAACGTTAACCTTGATACTTATATGTGAATATTTTTCCTGTGCAAAATCTAGTAGTACTCTTTTGTTTTGTTTTTTTGAGATGGAGTCTCGCTCTGTCGCCCAGGCTGGAACGTAGTGGCTCAGTCTTAGCTCACTGCAACCTCTGCCTCCTGGGTTCAAGCAATTCTCCTCCCTCAGTCTCCTGAGTAGCTGGGACTAGAGGTGCACACCACCATGCCTGGCTAATTTTTGTATTTTTTAGTGGAGACGGGGTTTCAACATTTTGGCTAGGCTGGTCTTGAACTCGTGACCTCAAGTGATCCACCCACCTTGGCCTCCCAAAATGCTGGGATTACAGGCATGAGCCACTGCACCCGGCCCTCTAGCAGTACTCTTAAAAATGAAAATAAGTTCATAATTGCTACAGTTAGAAATAGGCAGTTGTAAATCCCATTTCTGCAAATAAGGCAGTATGTAGGTAATTTTGTTTGGGATTATTTTTTTCTTTCCTACGGAGGCAAGAGTAAAACCTGAAATTGGTTCTTGGAATGTTTGTTTCCATGACTCCTGTCTGGTAGATTTTTTTTTTTTTTAAATAAGGTGATGGTTGCTTTTTTTTGTTTTCCTTTTGGTTCCTAGAGTTTTGATTTCCCAGGAACTCTGAATAAACAGGTGACCTCGAACATGTATCATGATGCTCTGGGTTGCATAGTGAATGTAGAAGAACTTCTTAAATTTCAAAATGATTCCAAATGGTATCGAAGCTTTGGAATTGAATTGGGCTCTAGAGGCAAAAAGAGCTGCCCAGACTTTCCCCACTGAAGTCCAGGGAGCATTAACTGGAGGTTCAGAGGATCTGTGGATAGAATTCAGGGCAAACTTGGATTGAAAGAAAGTTATGTCTTTATTTTCACTAACCTCTAGCTGAAATTTAGCATTGCCTTAATTATGAATATAATCTACAAACTACGGTAGAATTAGCAGTATCTGTAACTCTGTGATAGTTTTTTTATATTACATTAAGAATATTGATGATACCTCAAAATATTACTGTTTTCCTTGTTATGAGAACACTGTAGTCTTTCATCACTAGATCTTGTTAGTAGACACATTAAGAAGTATACATATTACAGGCTGGGTGCAGTGGCTCACACCTGTAATCCCAGCACTTTGGGAGGCTGAGGCGGGTGGATCACCTGAGGTCCGGAGTTGGAGACCAGCCTGGCCGAAATGGTGAAACCCCATCTCTACTAAAAATACAAAAATTAGCTGGGCATGGTGGCGAGCACCGGTAATTCCAGCTACTTGGGAGGCTGAGGTAGGAGAATAGCTTGAACCTGGGAGGTGTAGGTTGAAGTGAGCCAAGATCGCGCCACTGCACTCCAGCCTGGGTGACAAGATTGAAACTCCTCTCAAAAAGAAAGAAATATACGTATTACTATATTGCAAATTTGTTTTTTAGTAGTTGCATTACTTGTATGTCACTATAATTGGTTTCCTTTGTAAGCCTGCTGCATTTTACTTTATGCTTGTATAATTTTTTTTTGTAAATTGACAGTTTATCATTGTATAAATTTATAGGTTACAAAGTGATGTCATAAATTGTGAATGCAATGTGGAATAATTAAATCAAGCTAGTTAACATATCCAATACTTCAAATACACTTCTGTGATGAGAACATCAATTTTGAAATGTATAACACTCTATTATTAAGTATATGCAACACACTGTATAACGTAAATCAAAAAAAGCATAAAACATATTCTTCCTGTCTGAGATTTCGTACCTTTTGACCATCATTAAATTTTTTTTTTTTTTTTTTTTTTGAGACAGTCTTACTCTGTCACCCAGGCTGGAATGCTGTGGTGCAGTCTCCGCTCACTGCAACTTCCACCTCCTGGGTTCAAGCGATTCTCCTGCCTCAGCACCCCCAGTAGCTGGGATTACAGGCATGTGACACCACACCCAGCTAATTTTTTTTGTTTTTTTAGTAGAGATGGGGTTTCGCCATGTTGTACAAGCTGGCCTGGAACTCCTGACCTCAGATGATCCGCCCACCTTGGCTTCCCAAAGTGTTGGGATTATAGGCGTGAGTCACCATGTGCCTGGCCTAAATTTTTTTTTTTTTTTCTTGAGACAGGGTTTCACTCTTGTTGCCCAGGCCAGAGTGCAATGGCGCAATATCGGCTCACTGCAACCTCCACCTCCCGGGTTCAAGCGATTCTCCTGCCTAAGCCCCCCAGCAGCAGGGAACACAGGTACGTGCCACCATGCCCGGCCAGTTTTTGCATTTTTAGTAGAAACGGAGTTTCACCATGTTGGCCAGGCTGGTCTTGAACTCCTGACCTCAGATGATCCACCCACCTCGGCCTCCCAAAGCGCCAGGACCACAGGCATGAGCCACCGTGTCTGGCCTGGCCTAACATTTTTATGAGACAAAATATCAATTTCAAAACAGCATCAAAAAGTGAGCAGGGCAAGCACAGTGGCTCACACCTGCAATCCCAGCACCGTGGGAGGCTGAGGCATATTTTTCTGTACTAAAAATACGTAAAATACAAAAAATACAAAAAAAAAAATTAGCTGGCCACTCGGGAGGCTGAGGCAGGACAATCGCCAGAACCTGTGAGGCAGAGGCTGCAGTGAGCCGAGACTGTGCCACTGCACTCCAGCCTGGGCAACAACAGCGAAACTTCATCTCAAAAAAAAAAAGGGGTGAGCATATTTAACCATCCTCAGCTCATAATAGAGCAAATAGGTCAACAGAATAATAATTCATGCTCTTGCATGTGTAATGAACTGGCAGCAAGAGAAAGCTGGTTGAAGAAAGGCAGAGGAACTGTGTCTTATGAGAATTAGAATCAAGGGGCTCCATAATCATCTGGCATTCATTCAATGTTGTATCTATGGTTAGAAATGTACATGACAGGAACTCCAGGAATCTTAGGGATTCTTCTTTTAAGGTCCTGGTCAACTGTGGCCACAATATAAAACTTATGCTGAATTACTCTCTGTACTAAGAGTCATCTGCTTAGGTTCCTTTGTGTGTACATGGTAATCCTTCAAATCTTGGATCCTTGGTGATCCTTAGAGCCACTCCATACTTCTGCTCCAATTTCTCAATTTCAGGCATTACACAATCAGTTATACAAGGAATACACTTGGTATACAGACAGTCCATCATTGACTGCACTAAGTCTGGTTTGGCTTTTATGGAAAAGTTGATAAAGGTTGGTATCAATGAGGATGTGGTAAGGTGGGCCCAGCTGTGTATTATATTGGAAAAATAAGCAGGTAGGGTGTTGGGGAATTTCTCTTTCCTTTAACACGCTGGGATCCTTCTTTTCTTTCTTTTTAGGTTTTAATTTATCCTTTTCTGTAAGCCTCTGATCCCTGAGACTAAGCATTCACTTCATGGTCGCATACTTCCTTGTTTTCTTTTGCTTCCCCATGGTCACACCACACTCCTGTGCTTGTATAATATTTTCAGAAGGGCTGTAGCCTTCACGAAACTGCCGAAGGGGTCCATGATGGAGAAATGGTGAGAACCCCTGCTCTAGACTGTAAACATTTCATGAGTTTATATTTGTCTTGTTTGCTACCATATCCCTAGCTTAACACCTGACTGGTAATAAGGACCTCGGTCAGTGTGTTTTGAATGAATGAGAAAAAGTGGTTTGAGGTTTAATTTGTTTGTTGATTAACTGGATGCCTACTCTGAGAGTAACTTTGGAAGAGATGCTTACCTTCTCTCATTCATTTATTTAACCAGTGTTTATAGATACCTACTGTGTGCCAGGAATCATTCTAGGCTCCTTAGAGCTTATCTTCTAGGAAGGCAGACAGTAACATGTCAATAAATATTGTAAAACCAGCCAGATAATTTCAGATGACTGTAAGTGCTTTAGAGGAAATCCAGCAGGGTTATTTGATCATGAGCAAGACTGAAGTGGGCGTGAGTGACAACATAGAAGGATGGATGGGGTGGGGGAAACAGTAGCTCGCCAGGGCCTTGCAGCCTATGCTAGAATTTGAATGTTATTTTGAGTGAGTGGAAGCTACTGAGGGCTTTGTGTGGGAGGGGGAGGCATTGCATTGTGTGATTTATGTTTTAAAGGATGATTGGCCATCATGTGGAAAAGACTGGATAAGAGGCTACTGTGGTGGTCCAGGCAAGAGATGGTGATGGTGTGCATTAGAGTATTAGCATAATAGTGAGAAGTGAAGCCAGCTGGACTTCCTGGGTGGAGTGGGGACTTAGGGAACTTTTCTGTCTAGCTAAAGGTTTGTAAATGCACCAATCAGCACTCTGTAAAAACACACAAATCAGCGCTCTGTGTCTAGCTAAAGGTTTGTAAACGTACCAATAGTACTCTGTAAAAATGCACCAATCAGCGCTCTGTGTCTAGCTAAAAGTTTGTAAATGCACCAATCAGCACTTGGTAAAAACGGACCAATCAGCACTCTGTAAAATGGACCAATCAGCACTCTGTAAAATGGACCAATCAGCAGGATGTGGGCGGGGCCAAATAAGGGAATAAAAGCTGGCCACCCGAGCCAGCAGCGCCAAGTCACTGGGGGTCCCCTTCTACCCTGTGGAGGCTGTATTCTTTTGCTCTTCACGGTAAGTCTTGCTGCTGCTCACTCTTTGGGTCTGCACTACCTTTATGAGCTGTAACACTCACTGCGAAGGTCTGCGGCTTCACTCCTGAAGTCAGCGAGACCACGAACCCACCTGGAGGAACAAACAACTCTGGAGGCGCCACCTTTAAGAGCTGTAACACTCACTGCCGAGGTCTGCGGCTTCACTCCTGAAGTCAAGCGCAACACAAACCCACTGGAAGGAAGAAACTCCAGACACATCTGAACATCTGAAGGAACAAACTCTGGACACACCATTTTTAAGAACCGTAACACTCACTGCGAGAGTCCACAGCTTCATTCTTGAAGTCAGCAAGACCAAGAACCCACCAGAAGGAACCAATTCTGGACACAATAGCACCTGCTGGTCTCATTGGTGGTGACATTAAAGCATTTAGCACAGGGCCAGGGATCTAGCCAGAACTCAGTAAACATTAATTCCCCTTCTTAACCCCATAACACCTGGGGCCTGGAGTCTGTTCCAGCAGTCAGCAAATAGTTTTTGTTTGTTTGTTTTGAGATGGAGTCTTGCTCTGTTGCCCAGGCTGGAGTGCAGTGGCGCAATGTGGGCTCACTGCAGCCTCCCATCTCCTGGGTTCAAGTGATTCTCGTGTCTCAGCCTCCCAAGGAGCTGGGACTACAGGGGTGTGCCACCATACCTGGCTAATTTTTGTATATTTAGTAGAGATGGGGTTTTACCATGTTGGCCAGGCTGGTCTTGAACTCCTGACCTCAGGTGATCTGCCCTCAGCCTTTCAGAGTGCCGGGATTACAGGCCTGACGCACCGCGCTCGGCCAGCAAATATGTATTAATATTAAAAATAGATTGTGTTTTAGGCCCCAAACCATAGAGTAGCTTCTAACTCACAGTAAAAGCCCAAGACCTCATGGTCTCATTCCCACTACCTTACTGACTTTGTCTCTAGTTTGCCCCATCTGGTTCTATTCCAGGTTTGAGGGCCTCTCTGCTAGTTCTCTCTCTTACCTGCACTGCCTGTTTCACTCTACCTGGAAAGGCCTTTCCCCAGATAGCCACATGGTTTATCCCCTCACTTGCTGTAATTCTACTCAAATATTACCTTCTCAGTGAGGCCCCTCCCTGTCTATTGTGTTTGATATTATAATTCTGCCATCCCAGCATTCCTCCTTCCTCTTTTCTGCATTAGTTTTCTCAGTAGCAGTTATCACCTGACATGCTATAAAATTTACTGTGTGTGTGTGCGCGCGTGCGTGCGCGCGTACGCATGTGTAAGCTCCATGAAGGCAGGAATTGTCTGTTGTGTTTGCTGTTGTATCCCCAGAGCCTGGAGCAGCTGTGATTTAAAGTAAGCACTCAAATGTTTGTTAAGCAAGGGAGTGCTCATTCAGCACCTTGTATTATCCTATAAGGATCACCTTACCCCTGCTTACAAGGGCTTGGACAACAGTGCTACAAGTAAGCAAAGTGCCAAAGGAGGAAAAAAGGAGAGTGTCCAAAACAGAACGCAGTGAAGATTTTAGATTGGCTTTTGGAGGCTCAAGCTGGGTCTTTAAAAACAAACAAGAGCTATGACTTGTTCTAAAGAATCGAAAATGTATAGGCCGGGTGCGGTGGCTCACGCCTGTAATCCCAGCACTTTGGGAGGCCGAGGCGGGTGGATCATGAGGTTAGGAGATCGAGACCATCCTGGCTAACACGGTGAAACCCCGTCTCTACTAAAAATACAAAAAATTAGCTGGGCGTGGTGGCGGGCGCCTATAGTTCCAGCTACTCGGGGGGCTGAGGCAGGAGAATGGCGTGAACCCAGGAGGAAGAGTTTGCAATGAACCAAGATCGTGCCACTGCACTCCAGCCTGGGCAACAGAGCGAGACTCCGTCTGAAAAAAAAAAAAAAGAATAGAAAATGTATAGAGGGAAATCAGGCAAGCAAAACAAAATGTGGGAATGAAAAGCAACACAATGTGCCTGTGAATGAAAGACACCATGACACAAGTAGAGCGCAGCACGGTGTAGCTTAGCAACTTACACAAAACCCACTTGAGTGATATGCTTGACTTTAGGCTTGATATAAATTGGTACGTGTAACATAAGGCTGGAAAAGCAAGTTCAGGCACGCCTAGGTTGCATGAAAGCACAATAGTATGATTTTAACTTCACAGTCAGCAGGGCTGTCACTTACTGTGTGACATTGAATAAGTAACTTAACCTCTCTGAGTCTTGGGTTTCTCATCTGCCACACAAAGATAACCACATAAGCTTCATAAGATTGTTATGAAGATGAACTAAATAATCTTAACTTTTGCCATGCTCTACCTGGCACCCCTTACCCGCACAACTAGACTGTTCTCTACCTCGTTACCAGAGGGATATTTTTTCACTTAAATAATAATGAAATATATGACCAATGCTTTCTTTTGCCTCCATTTTTTTTTTTTTTTTTTTTTTTTTTGATGCAAAGTCTTGCTCAGTCTTCGAGGCTGGAGTGCAGTGGTGCAATCTTGGCTCACTACAACCTCTGCCTCCTGGGTTTAAGCTATTCTCCTATCTCAGCCTCCCAAGTAGCTAGGATTACAGGCGTGTGCCAGCATGCCTGGCTAATTTTTGTATTTTTAGTAGAAACAGGGTTTCACCATGTTGGCCAGGCTGGTTTCGAACTCCCGACCTCAGGTAATCCGCCCACCTCAGCCTCCTAAAGTGCTGGGATTACAGGCCTGAGCCACTGCACCCGGCCTCTTTTGCTGCCTTTTAAAATGTTTTTATTGTGGTAAAATACACGTAACTTAAATTTTACCTTTTTAATGTTTTTTAAATAGTTAAGTAGCTTTAAATACATTCATCTTGTTATCCAACTATCACCACCACCTATCTCCAGAACTTGTCCATCAGCCAGAGAGATTTTTAGGGTTTTGTTTGTTTGTTTGTTTTGAGACAGAATCTCGCTTTGTCACCCAGGCTGGAGTGCTGTGGCGGCATGATCACCACTTACTGCAGCCTCAGCCTGAGCCTCCCGAGTAGCTGGAACTACAGGCATGCATCATCACACCCAGCTAATTTTTTTATTTCTTTTCTTTTCTTTTTTAGTAGAGATGGGGCCTCATTATGTTGCTCAGGCTAGAGGGATTTTTTATTTATTTATTTATTTATTTATTTGAGATGGAGTCTCGCTCTGTTGCCCAGGCTGGAGTGCAATGGCGCGATCTTGGCTCACTGCAACCTCCGCCTCCTGGGTAGCCTAGAGGGATTTTTAAAACATAAATTACTACCTCACGTCACTCATCTGCCCAAATGGCTCCCCATTATAAAAGCTAGTGGCCTTACAAGGCTTCATGTCCTCTCCCCACTCCTGCCTCACCTTCTACCCTCGCCCTTGGCCATGCCAATGTACAGATGTCTTTTAATGTTCCTTGAACACCCCTAGTATACACCCACCTCATTGCCTTTGCAGTTGTTATTTCTTCTGCCTAGAAAGTTCTTCCCCTAGAAATCCACAGGGATGACTCATTCTAGCCAAATGTTACTTCCAGAGAAGCCACCCTTGACCATCCATCCAGAACAGCCTCCCCTCTGCACCCTCTGTCCCCTGACCCAGCATTATGCTAGATGTCTGCAGGTTTAGTTGTTGACCGTCTGACTCCCCACTCTAAGGTAAACTCCCATTAAGGCGGAGACCTAGTCTGTTTACTCCCTGCTGAGTCCCCAGCTTCTAGAATATTGCCCAACACATTCGAAGTGCTCAGTAAATATTTGTGAAAAAATTAAGTACGTAAAGTGGCTGGTCCAGAAATTGTCCTTCAGAAGCTATCCCTCCTGCCTTTTCCTGGGAGCCTGCAGAACAGCATGTTCTTGACCTTCCACTGTGCTCCACGAGGCTCAGACCATAACCTGGGGTCAGTTGTGGGAAGTGTGTCTTAAGGAAGACCCTGTGGTATAACCAAAGATCAGTAGCCACAGGTGGCGATTGGCCTTGATGCATGAACTTCTGTGAAAAGTAGGCTCTTGAAGCCTGGAGAAGATCCCAATTGGGAATCACAGGATGGCTCTCTTCAAATAGTTTAAGAGATGTTGTGTGGAATTAAAATTCTTGTTCTGTGTGGCCAGAGATGGCAAATCCAGTGATAGAATTTTATTTATTTATTTATTTGTTAAGACACAGGGTCTTGCTCTATTGCCCAGGCTGGAGTTGCAGAGGCAGAATCATAGCTCACTATAACCTCAAACTCCTGGCCTCAAGGGATCCTCTCACCTTGGCCTCCCAAAGCCCTGGGATTACAGGCATGCATCACCATGCCTGGCCAGTGATAGAATTTGCTAACAGTAATTGGCAGAGTGGAGTGGGTTGCCATGGAATGATCAGGTTGGATCAGAGTTTATCAGACTGAGTTTGTAGGCATGATCTCAGGGGCTGTGCATTCTCTTACAAGCACATTCTGGATCATCTGGAGGAGCCCCTGCGATTATGTTTAATCCTCTTTTGGCTCTAGGTTGTCTTTTATTGTCACAGACTAATGAGAAAAAGAAAAGAAGGAGTGGGATTTAATATATGCACGATGCATTGAAGACCAGGGAAAGCCAGATGACCGCCAGGCACTCAATAGAGTCAGAAAGGTTTCAGACTGAATAGAAAAAAATAGAAAAGTATACATAAACAGACCTCAAAAGAACCTATGAGGGGCTGGACATGGTGGCTCACACCTGTAATCTCAGCACTTTGGGAAGCCAAGGTGGGAGGGATCTCTTGAGCCCAGGAGTTTGAGACCAGCCTGGGCAGCATAGGGAGATCACATCTCTATAAAAAGTTTAAGAATTAGCCAGGCATGGTGGACTACTACAAGCCTGTGGTCCCAGCTACTTGGAAAGCTGCGGTGCGAGGATCACTTGAGCCTGGGAGGTCAATGTTGCAGTGAGTGGTGATCACAACACTGCACTCCAGCCTGGACAACACAGCAAGACCCTGTCTCAAAAAAAAAAAAAAAAAAAAAAGAAGAAGAAGAACCTGCTAGGCCCTAGGCCCTTGTGCCATATTAGGTGATTTTTTTTGTTTCAGCAAATCAACATCATCTTTTGCATTAAATTAACATCGCTAATTTCAATTGCATTGGTTTTGTGGTCCTATTTGTATTTAGTTTGTAGATGTGTTGATTGCAAAATAGGCCCTGTAGTTGTCTGAGAATTATAACCATAAGGAGTTAATACCTAGTTTTATGATTGTAGTATTAGTCATGTTATAATAAAAGTAATTTAGGTCAACCCAATTTGGAAAAACACTGAGTCATGCCTGAAGATCTTTTACTTCCTCTAGCCCCAAGTGTCTGCGATTATGCAAATCATGTGTAACAGTTGTGTGGCTATTACTGCAATATTGTTTGGGATATAGAAATCAAAATCTTTCACAGATTTAGCTTGTTTTAGCACAGTCTAGGTTCTCTTTGCAAGGGCCTGCAGCCTCCGTTTTGGGAACTTGAGTCCAATTCTGTTACCCAGCAATCAGAGAGATTGCTAACTAAACTTTATTCTAAGTTTAACACAGTTGGTTGTGTTCTTGTTAACCTCAGAGAGGCCTCTTTTTCCTGAAAGTTAACTGGTCCCGTTATTTGAAAGGAAATTTTAAGAACCTGAACACCTATAGGATTCAGATTCTATTAAAAAGCAAAGGTATACTTTGGGAATGGAGGGGTGGGGAAAGACAGAGAAACTAAAAATAATCTTCCCGTATAAGAGCTTGAAGTGGATCTACCCTAATTATTGCCTCGCTTGTTTTCCTTTTGCAGATATTTTTCCCACTTTTATATCATCTCAGTGCTGTGGAATGGCTTCCTGCTTTGGTGCCTTACTCAATCTCTGTTCCTGGGAGCACCTTTTCCAAGCTGGCTTCATGGTTTGCTCAGAATTCTCGGGGCGGCACAGTTCCAGGGTAAGGACTCCCTGGGCTTATGACAACGCTGCATCCCGTTTCTGTTGTTCCTGTCTGCAAGGGAGCAGTTTTTGGCATTTTGTCTCCTCTCTCGGCACCTCCTCAGAAGGGCCTGGGAAGTGGAGGATGAGGGCAAAAAAGAGCTTTGCACGGTTCATTGCCGGATGGCCAAAAGGATGTCCCTAAGCCCTTCCCTGAGAAGGAGACAGAGCCAAGAGTTAGCGCTCCTGACTTCCCAGCAAGTGCTGTGTTGTGTGCAGAACTGGCTGCCCTCCCTCTGGTATTTTTAGTACTGTTGATAAATTTATGAAGAAGTCTTTACACAAAAGGGGGAAAGCTTTTAGGATCTGTCAGGTTTGTCTGGAAACATTTATCATTTATACTGTTCCAACCAAACTCATGACTTAGAACTCCAGAAATGTGATTTAAAAATTACTTTTTCTGTCGGGTGCGGTGGCTCACGCCTGTAATCCCAGCACTTTGGGAGGCCAAGGCGGGCAGATCACAAGGTCAGGAGATCGAGACCATCCTGGCTAACACGGTGAAACCCTGTCTCTACTAAAAATACAAAAAAAAGTTAGCTGGGCATGGTGGCGGGCACCTGTAGCCCCAGCTACTCGGGAGGCTGAGGCAGGAGAATGGCATGAACCCGAGAGGCGGAGCTTGCAGTGAGCTGAGATCGGGCCACTGCACTCCAGCCTGGGCAACAGAGCGAGACTGTGTTTCAAAAAAAAAAAAAATTACTTTTTAATTCATACCTGTAATCCCAGCACTTTGGGAGGCCAAGGCAGGCAGATCACTTGAGATCAGGAGTTCAAGACCAGCCTGGCCAATGTGGTGAAACCCCAACTCTACTAAAAATACAAAAATAGCTGGGTGTGGTGGCAGGCGCTTGTAATCCCAGCTACTCGGGAGGCTGAGGCAGGAGAATCGCTTGAACCTGGGAGGCGGAGGTTGCCATGAGCTAAGATTGAGCTACTGCACTCCACGCCTGGGCAACAGAGGGAGACTTTGTCTCAAAAAAATAAATAAATAAATGAATAAAATAAATAAAAATTACTTTTTGATAAACATGGAAAAAAAGTTATGCTGTGAGGCTTTGGTAGTATAATAAAATTGACTAAACAGTTGTTGAACAGACGATTACAAAATAGCCTTTAAGTTTGCCATCCTCAGCATCAGGATGAAGAATATGGAACGTTTTTTTTTTTTTTTCTGAGATGGAGTTTCGCTCTTATTGCCCGGGCTGGAGTGCAATGGTGCAATCTTGGCTCACTGCAACCTCTGCCTCCCAGGTTCAAGCGATTCTCCTGCCTCAGCCTCCCAAGTAGCTGGGATTACAGCCATGTGCCACCACGCCCAGCTAATTTTGTATTTTTGGTAGAGAGATGGTGTTTCTCCATGTTGGTCAGGCTGGTCTCGAATTCCTGACCTCAGGTGATCCACCCGCATTGGCCTCCCAAAGCGCTGGGATTACAGGTGTGAGCCACCGCGCCCGGCCAGAACAGTTTTTAAAATAAAGAATTGAAGGTGAAAACTATGAAATGTCCTCAATTAAGGTCAGGCAGAGTGTGAGGGGCAGAATTAGAAACAAATTGTTCTAGTCTCATCTCTGTCCTTTGTTCCAGTGGCCAAACCACCTAGAAACAATCCTTTTCTGTATAACCAGATAAACTGGTTGCAAAAGATGACAATCAGAAGAGCAAACCCCGGCCGGGTGTGGTGGTTCATGCCTCTCATCCCAGCACTTCAGGAGGCTGAGGTGAGCAGATCACTTGAGGTCAAGAATTCAAGACCACCTTGGCCAACATGGTGAAATCCCGTTTTTACTAAAAATACAAAACTTAGCTGGGTGTGCTGGCACATGCCTGTAACCCCAGCTACTCGGTAGGCTGAGGAGAGAGAATTGCTTGAACCCAAGAGGCAGAGGTTGCAGTGAGCCAAGATTGTAACGTTGCACTCTAGCCTAAGAGGACAGAGCAAGACTCCGTCTCAAAAAAAAAAAAAAAAAAAAGAGCAAACCCTGCCGGGAACAGTGGGCAGTGACTCATACCTATAACCCCAGCACTTTGGGAGGCTGAAGCAGGTGGATCACTTGAGGTCAGGAGTTCAAGACCAGCCTGGCCAACATGGTGAAACCCCCGTCTCTACTAAAAATACAAAAAATTAGCGGGACGTGGTGGCGCGTGCCTGTAATCCCACTTACTCAGGAGGCTGAGGCAGGAGAATGGCTTGAACCCAGGAAGCAAAGGTTGCAGTAAGCTGAGATCATGCCACTGCACTCCAGCCTGTGCCACAGAGTGAGACTCCATCTAAAAAAAAAGAGCAAACCCGTGGACATCCTCTTTGGAAGGGTAGGCTACATCAGCGGATCTCACTCCACTCGTTAAAACTTCATCTCTTCGTTTGTTTACTGTGAGACTGACTGGGGTGTTTTGGTATTTGGAGGGTTGGTTGTGAGGATATGAGGAATTCTATTTGTTTGCTTTAACTTGTTCCTAAGGAGTTAAAACTAAGTTTTAGTTCATTTAAAATACAAAAACAGTCAAAGCTAATCTGTGCTGATAGGGGTTGTTCCCCATGGGAAGTTTGGGGGAGGGGTCGTGCCTACACTAGGGGGTGCTGTTCGTGTTCTGTTTCTTCTTTTTTTTTTTTTTGAGATGGAGCCTTGCTCTGTTGCCCAGGCTGGAGTGCAGTGGCCTGATCTCAGCTCACCACAACCTACCCCTCCCGGGTTCAAGCGATTCTCCTGCCTCAGCCTCCTGAGTAGCTGGGACTACAGGCATGCGCCACCATGCCCGGCTAATTTTTGTATTTTTAGTAGAGACAGGGTTTCACTCTGTTGGCCAGGCTGGTCTTGAACTCCTGACCTTGTGATCCGCCTGCCTCAGCCTCTCAAAGTGCTGGGATTACAGGCATGAGCCACCGCATCCAGCCTGTTTCTTTTGTTTGTTTCATTTTTTTCTTTCTTTTTCTTTTTTTAAGAGAGAGGGTCTCACTCTGTTGTACAGGCTGGAGTGCCGTGGCATGATCATAGCTCACTGCAGCCTTTAACTCCTGGGCTCGAGCAGTCCTCCCTCCTCCACCTCTTGAGTAGTTGGGACTACAGGTGCACGCCACTATGCCCAGCTAATTTTTTTTTTAATGTTTTTAGAGATGGGGTACCTGCTGTGTTGCCCAGGCTGGTCTCAAACTCCTGGTCTCAAGCGATCCTCCAACCTCAGCTTCCTAAAGTGTTCTGTTTCTGGATCTGGGTGCTGTTACATGGGTGGGATTGGTTGGCTTAATTTGTAAAAGTTAATTAAGTTGCATCTTTATGGTGTGCATGCGTGTGTGTGTGTTTGTGTGTGAGACTTTTTTTTTTTTTTTTTTAATGGAGACAGAGTCTTGCTCTATCTCCCAGGCTGATTGCAGTGGCCCAATCTTGGCTCACTGCAACCTCCACCTCCCAGGTTCAAGCAGTTCTACTACCTCAGCCTGCCAAGTAGCTGGTTCTACAGGCGCACACCACCATGCCTGGCTAATTTTTTGTATTTTTAGTAGAGACAGGGTTTCACCATGTTGCCCAGGCTGGTCTCGAACTCCTGAGCTCAGGCAATCCACCCGCCTCCAACTCCCAAAGTGGTAGGATTACAGGCATGAGCCATCGCCCCCGGCCGTGACTCATTTCTTTTTTAAGTGACTGGGCGTGGTATCTCACACCTAAAATCCCAGCACTTTGGGAGGCTGAGGCTGGAGGATGGCTTGAGGCCCGGAGTTCGAGACCAGCCTGGGCAACAAAAAAAATTTTTTTTTAATTAGTCAGGTGTGGTGGCACATGACTATAGTTCTAGCCACTCAGGAAGCTGAGACAGAGGATCACTTGAGCTCAGGAGTTCAAAGCTGCAGTGAGGCCTGACTGTGCCACTGCACTCTAGCCTGGGTGACAGAGCAAGACCCTGTCTCAAAAATAAAGAAGTTGACACATAAAATTAACCAAAAAATAAAAAACAAAAAAGAAAAAAAGAGAAACTAAGTGTGTGTTTTTTTAAAGCCAGCTTTTCTTCAGATTTTTTGGTGGGCAGGTCGTGAAAGACAGGTGAGGAAGTAGATCTTGGGCTCAGCATGCCTCTAAAAGTATAATTTCTTTTTTTTAATGTGGAAAGAAATGCATAACTCTGTTTCTGTTCCTGTCCCCCTCTCTGCCTCTGTGATGCCTGAGATACTGGGGATCCCACAGCTGGGGCCACTCAGAGGCTACCAGGAACGCTTCCAGTTTGCATCTGGCTGTTAGTGCCAGGACCAGAAACCCACAGACCTCTTCACAGACCTCCTGACCGTGATGTCCCTGAAGCCTGGAAGGCTGTCACACAATGAAGCAGAATTGAGTGATGGGTGTTTGTGAACCCAGTGAACTGTGTAACACAGTGAACTGTGTAATTTGAGTGAAGTCAAATTCCTTGACTTCATTTGGCCCATTTCTTCCTTACTACCAAAAAGAAAGATGTTAGATGGGATTTAATACTTTGCTTAACAGTACAGAAAAACAAAACTTTGGATTAATCCCAGAAGAGAAATGCTGACCCTGTTGCCTTCTGAATTGTAGGAGGGGAGCTGGCACTGTCTGCATTCTTAGTGCTAGTATTTCTGTGGCTGCACAGCTTACGAAGACTCTTCGAGTGCCTCTACGTCAGTGTCTTCTCCAATGTCATGATTCACGTCGTGCAGTACTGTTTTGGACTTGTCTATTATGTCCTTGTTGGCCTAACTGTGCTGAGCCAAGTGCCAATGGATGGCAGGAATGGTGAGTGGATCCAGCCCTGCCAGGAGCTCCCCACCCCAGGGTGTATGATGCGCTCTCGGGGCTTGTGCTGTGCTAAGCATTATGAGACATGCAGAAGTAAGAGACAGGCCCAATGCATTTTGCATTTCAGGAGATGAGACTCAAGTCGATTTTAAAAGGCCGGGCGTGGTCGCTTACACCTGTAATCCCACCACTTTGGGAGGCTGAGGCAGGTGGATCACTTGAGGCCAGGAGTTCGAGACCAGCCTGGCCAACATGGTGAAACTCTGTCTCTACTAAAAATTAAAAAAAAAAATTAGCCAGGCGTGGTGGCACACGCCTGTAGTCCCAGCTACTGGGGAGGCTGAGGCAGGAGAATTGCTTGAAACCAGAAGGTGGAGGTTGCAGTGAGCCGAGATCGCGCTACTGCACTCCAGCCTGGGCAACAGAGCGAGACTCCATCTCAAAAAAAAAGAAAAGAAAATGAGGGAAGGGAGAGTGCTTGCATGGAGTTGGGATTTGCAGAGGGGGTGGGGAGCCATTTTGTTGCCGCTTAGTTCCTGTGATTGTTCCCATCACAATAGAGCTTTTCTTCAAGTGACGCTGCCTGAGAGGAGAGGACAAAGAGTACTGTGGTAGTGAAAATTGTGTTTTAGTCTCTAAGCTCTCACTAGCCAGGAAGAGGGGAGCCAAACCATGACCTTGTTTACGAGAAGGAAATGAAATGGATTTTTTGTTTTATGGGGGGAGGAGGGGACATTACCTAACACATATGACTACCATTTTTGTAAAAACAATGCATGATTATAAAGAATTCAAGTCGCTTGGGGTGATGGGAATGAGTTTATAGTGCTGAGGTTAACCTGACCTTGCAGCCTTAGTATCTGTCAGTCTAGACCCCGTAGGTCTGTAATGACCATTGTCTCTAAACCCAGGGCTCCATGTTTTCAGCTGCCCTGTCCATCCTTGTAAACTCAGGCTGAGGTCTAGCGATTTCCAACAATCTGTGAGTGAGCTTCCTCCTCAGGTTAGATTTTGGTATGAGTGCCCCGTGAAAGTCGTCTCTCTGTTGCTGTAGCTCAACCTAAGGCCTCTGACTAGAGGAGTGATTTTAAAGGATTTATTGACGATCTTTCTCAATTCATGAATTATTGATTGGCTCCAGCCACTTAGCTAGCATCTCTCTGATTCCTCTGAACTTATTCCTCCCAGGCATGTCTGTGGTGGCATTCTGCCAGCCAGTACCATGGAAGGGGCTGTCATTCCTGGTGGGCAGTGCTGGTTCTCCCCCTAAAGGAACTTTGCAGAGCGCTTGGTGACTGCTAGCTTTTAGCGTGTTCTTGTTTGTTGGCGTTACCTGCCTCTCCCGGAGTTTCCTCTACTGGCTGCGTCTCAACTTCTGCCTTCCCTCCTGCGTAGATAGTCAAGGAAGAGGAGCCCACAAAAATAGCTTTCTAAGCACTCCTTTCTGAAGCTGTTTTCTGTTTCACCTCCTTGTCCTTCAAGGGTCATCTGGGATCATTTAGGACAATATGGGGAAAGTTGGTTTCAGTAATTCATTGAGAGAAAACACATTGGGGCATTTGCCAACCAAAGGGCGTGATAGAAATAACATGGGCTCCAGAGTCTTGATGGGCCTGCATCTGGCTCATTGAGCTTCTCTGAGCCTCACAGCCTTCATTAGTAATTATTGACACATACTGATTTCACAGGGTTCTTCTTAAAGTGAAAAGAAGACTATCTGTAAACTAGGATGTAAGCTCTATAAGGACTGGGATCTTGCCTGACTTATTCCCTGCTTTATCCTTTGTGCCTTCAGCAGGGCCAGGCTTAGGAGGCACTCCTTAAGTAACTAATGAATAAACAAATAATTAAATACTGAGTAGAACTGAGGAAATGTGAGCCTTCCACCTGCCTCCCTTTTCCTGCATTATAATTCTGGCGTTACCCTTAACAAATCCTTTTTCCTGTAGGTAAACTCTCTGCATTTAGCATAAGGGACTTAGTGATTTGAACTTCCAGACACTGTAACTTTTCATCCTGTTGACTTGCTCTTGAAGCCTGTCAGATTTAAAACTGTATTTTTAATATTTTGCTTATTTCATTTTTGTAGAGACAGGTTCTCGCTATGTTGGCAGGCTGGTCTCAAACCCCTGGCCTCAAGTGATCCTCCTGCCTTGGCCCCCGCAAAGTGCTGGGATTACAGGTGTGAGCCACTGTACCCAGCCTGTTTTGAACTTATAAAAATATAACCTAGTAGTTAAATGGCTAAACTTGTAAACACTAAAAGACTATAGTAGATTGATTATATAAAACAAGCTTTTAAAATAAACTGACACAGGTAGACCGGTGGATTTTCATCAGTCCTTTACTATCATTAACGGATTCCTGCTTCGAGGTGGCCATGTGGAATTGCATGATCCTTGGTTCTCTTACTTGAATCAGCTTTTTAGGGTTCCCCCTTGGCTCCAGAGCCTCAGGCTCTTGCCCATTATCAGTGGATACATTTGTTTCTTCAGTCAAGCCTCCGACTAGGCTAACTGCTTCCTGCTGCGCAGAGGGAAGTCCCTGTTTGCTTTTCTGAAGCCAGTGGTTTGCTCCGCAGGTCCTCAGAAGGTCTGTGTTTTTCCCTTCTTCCTAGCAGCCGGAGAAGAAAGTGGAAGATGATGCTTTGAGTGTTTCCACTCCTGAAACTCAGTCTCTCGACTGTTCTTTCTCATCCAGACCTGGATGGCATTGAGTTGTTCATCTTGCAGTTTACTGTCCCTCTCTTTTGAGAAAGCCCCCTGGTAGCCTTTCCACTGGTGATTTCTTTCATTGACCAGAGCTAGTCAAGTCAGCATTCTGCTTTCAGGCTCTCCCTAGCAGGATGGTAGCTCAGAGAGAGATTTCCTTAGAAAGTGTTTTTCTTCACTGTAAAACATAAGAAAGAAGACTTAAAACTGGACTTAGCAAGGGAAACACAAAGGAATCTTACCATTCGAAAGTAGATCACAGTAGGGGAGCTGAACTTTGTGCTTGAACTGTTTAGAGAAGAAGCAAGAGAATGTGTCTGTGTGGAATTCTCTTGCCAGGGGAACTGAAGCTGCCCATAGCTGAGGAACGTATCTCCTTTGTCCAGAGAGACAGGGCTTTTCCCTCTGTATTGGGAAATTACATCAGGAAATTACATCGGGATATTGAGGAACAGGTTCCCCTCTTTGTACTTGGGAAATTATATTAGGATATTGAGGAACGGAATAAGTGGATAATTGTGTTTCTGCTGACTAAATGATTTGTTTAATTCCCTGAGCCTGTGAAATTGTTTAGTGTTGGCTAACAATTCTCATTCCTATAGCCTACATAACAGGGAAAAATCTATTGATGCAAGCACGGTGGTTCCATATTCTTGGGATGATGATGTTCATCTGGTCATCTGCCCATCAGTATAAGTGCCATGTTATTCTCGGCAATCTCAGGAAAAATAAAGCAGGTGAGACCTCTTTTAGAGCCTCTGCATATGGATTTTAACCCTCAGAAGTTAGTTCTCCATGGTCCTGCATGCTTTTCCTTCCTGCCCTAGTTAGTTGACTGTATCAAATATTGATTTTTGGCAAGACACTTCTCTGGGCCTTGATCTTCCCATCTGTGAAAATGAGAGCCTTACATTGAAAGACCTCTCTAGACCCAAGTAGCCCTGACATTCTGTGATTCTACGTTTTGTGTCTGATCAGCATGTGAGAGCTAGTGTTACCATGGAGTTAGTACCAGCCACAGCATAAAAACTTGACCTTTAAGTTAGCTTGTGTTGACTTATCACAGGTATAGTTTCCATTAGGTTTTTTGAAATATTAAAAATTGAATAGGCCAGGCGCAGTGGCTCACGCCTGTAATTCCAGCACTTTGGGAAGCCAAGGTAGGAGGATCACTTGAGGTCAGGAGTTCAAGACCAGCCTGACCAACATGGCAAAACCCCGTCTCTTCTAAAAATACAAAACTTAGCTGGGTGCGGTGGTGCAGGTGCCTGTAGTCCCAGCTACTTGGGAGGCTGAGGCACTAGAATCACTTGAACCTGGGAGGCGGAGGTTGCAGTGAGCTGAGATCACGCCACTGCGCTCCAGCTTGGGTGACAGAGCTAGACTGTCTCAAAAAAAAAAATTGAATAGTTTTATTTATTTATTTATTTATTTATTTATTTATTTATTTAATTTTTGAGATGGAGTCTTGCTCTGTTACCCAAGCTGTAGTGCAGTGGCACAATCTCGGCTCACTGCAACCTCCGCCTCCAGGGTTCAAGTGATTCTCCCGCCTCAGCCTCTCAAGTAGCTGGGACTACAGGTGCGCACCACTATGCCCAGCTAATTTTTGTATTTTTTAGTACAGACAAGGTTTTGCCATGTTAGCCAGGGTGGTCTCGAAATCCTGACCTCAGGTGATCCACCCACCTCGGCCTCCCAAAGTGCTGGGATTACAGGCGTGCACCACTACACCCGGCCTATTATTTATTTATTTTATTTATTTATTTTTGAGACAGAGTCTCACTCTGTCACCCAGGCTGGAGTGCAGTGGCACCATCTCAGCTCACTGCAACCTCCGCTTCCTGGATCCAAGCAATTCTCATGCCTCAGCCTCCCAAGTAGTTGGGATTACAGGCGTGTGCCACCACATCTGGCTAATTTTTATATTTTTAGTAGAGCTGGGGTTTCACCATGTTGGCCAGGCTGGTTTTGAACTCCTGACCTCAGGTGATCCGCCCACCTCAGTCTCCCAAAGTGCTAGGATTACAAGCATAAGCTACCGCGCCCAGCCAAAAAACTGAATAGTTTTAATATTTATCAAGTACTTATTTTGTCCCAGGCCCTGTTCTGAGTGCTTTACATATAGCTTCACAATGCCGACATGAGATGACTACAGTCCGGTCTTCATTTTACAGATGAGGAAACTAAGGCACAAAGAGGTTAAGCAACTTATCTAAAGTTACACAGCTAGTAAGTGGGAGAGCCAGGATTTAAACTTGTGCAGTCTGACTCTGGAGTAGTCTGAGCTCTTAATTACTAGCTTGGAGGATTGCTGGAGTAACTGGCTTTTCTCTTGTGCTATGGACAGTTGACAATTTAACCTAAGCATATAACTTTTCAATATGTAATTGACAGTAGAAGTGTGACAGGATGGTGGTTTACACACATGTATGATACTCTTTTCTAAATAAGAGTTTCTGGGCTGGGCAGGTTGGCTCACACTGGTAATCCCAGCACTTTAGGAGGCTGAGGTGGGAGGATCACTTGAGCCCAGCAGTTTGAGACCAACCTGGGCAACATAGGCAGACCCTGTCTCTACAAAAAATTCAAAAAATGAGCCAGGCATGGTGATGCATACCTGTGGTACTAGCCACTGGGCAGTTTGAGATGGGAGGATTGCCTGGGCCTGGAAGGTTGAGACTACAGTGAGCCATGACTGCACGACTGCACTCCAGCCTGGACAACAGAGCAAGACTTTGCCTCAAAAAAAAAAAAAAAAATTCTGTAAATGATTTGCGAGTGAAGTGGTGAAACTTTCTTTTCAAACCTTTAAATGCTTATGAGATCTTCTTTTACCCTTTCAGGAGTGGTCATTCACTGTAACCACAGGATCCCATTTGGAGACTGGTTTGAATATGTTTCTTCCCCTAACTACTTAGCAGAGCTGATGATCTACGTTTCCATGGCCGTCACCTTTGGGTTCCACAACTTAACTTGGTGGCTAGTGGTGACAAATGTCTTCTTTAATCAGGCCCTGTCTGCCTTTCTCAGCCACCAATTCTACAAAAGCAAATTTGTCTCTTACCCGAAGCATAGGAAAGCTTTCCTACCATTTTTGTTTTAAGTTAACCTCAGTCATGAAGAATGCAAACCAGGTGATGGTTTCAATGCCTAAGGACAGTGAAGTCTGGAGCCCAAAGTACAGTTTCAGCAAAGCTGTTTGAAACTCTCCATTCCATTTCTATACCCCACAAGTTTTCACTGAATGAGCATGGCAGTGCCACTCAAGAAAATGAATCTCCAAAGTATCTTCAAAGAATAAATACTAATGGCAGATCTGCGATTTCTGGGTCCACTTTCTGAGATGCTTTCTAAAACCAACCAACTGATAAAAAGTAGATGAGACTTCTCCAAGCTGCTTCACAAGCAAACTAACCGAAAAACCGAAAATATACAAACAGCTTCACACACACACACACACACACACACACACACACACACACACAAAGGAAGATCATCAATGGCTGCGGTAGCCTAGTAGGAATGGACTATATAATAATATAGCAGGTGCTCAATAACTGTTTGTTGCATTTCAGTAAAAGCAGAATAACCTTTCAAAATAATAACAGGCTGGGTGCAATGGCTCACACCTGTTAATCCCAGCACTTCGGGAGGCCAAGGTGGGCAGTTCGCTTGGGCCCAAGAGTTCGAGACCAGCCTGGGCAACATGGTGAAACCCTATCTCCGTGAAAAAATATGAAAATTAGCCAAGAGTGGTGGCACATGCCTGTAGTCCCAGATACTTGGGAGTGGGCTGAGATGGGAGAATCGCTTGAGCCCAGGAGGTCAAGGGTACAGTGAGCCGAGGTCATGCCACTGCACTCCAGCCTGGCCTGGGCAACAGAGCAAGACCCTGTCTCAAAATAATAATAATATATAATTTTACACCAAAAGTTTCAGGAAAAAACGAGTTTGTTGGAGTTAGTTTATACTTTCACATATCACCACAAAGATCTCCAGTTAAATAACTATCAATATCCATTTCCATTCATCTCCCCCTCAAATCATAGCCTAACAGAACACTTTGAAAGCTCTTTTATTTAATATTTTTTTACATCCTTTGAAGGGAGTGCTTCAAAAATGAAAGCATCAGAAGATAAAATATTTTTATATTTATGCATAGCAAGCCTTCGTGAACGGAAGTGACACACTCTGGATTGAATAATACTGTAGCCTCATTCATATGTAGTTATTCAAATTGGATTAATGTCTGTGTGAGTTTATTTGAACTAGCAGAAAGTATCTGAAGATATTCAGGAATAAAGTTTATACTTAAAATAGCTTATGTTAAAGAAAATACCTGTGATTAATTCAGAGGGAAATAAATGCATGGTATAAAAGAAAACCAAAAACTTAAAAAATAATACTATAGCCTGAGCAACACATTAAAACTGCACACTTGTGCAGCGTAAGATTCTCTGGCTTATTGGCTGAGGTGTTAAGTTTATTCCTTTTATGAAGATGTCCTATTACAGTCAGCTAAGCACTAAAGCTTTGCATTTATATGTACTTTGCTATGGGGGAAAGAACCTTATGATTAATAAGACACATATCAAATGCATAGTCAATCATTCCCACCCCCATCCCTGGAGCTGTAACCCAAAACTGTTAAACTAAGATTCCTTTGTTTTTTTTGTTTTTTTGAGATGGAGTCTCACTCTGTCGCCCAGACTGGAGTGCAGTGGTGGGATCCTGGCTCACTGCAACCTCCGCCTTCTGGGTTCCAGCGATTCTCCTCTGCCTCAGCCTCCCAAGTAGCTGGGATTACAGGCACATGCCACCATGCCCAGGTAATTGTTGTATTTTTAGTAGAGATAGAGTTTCACCATGTTGGCCAGGCTGGTCTCAAACTCCTGACCTCAGGTGATCCACCTGCTTCGGCCTCCCAAAGTGCTGGGATTACAGGTGTAAGTCACTGCTCCCGGATGCATGTCAAGCACATTGGAAAGTTCTTACAACAATTCTGATGGAGGATTTTCTCTCCCATCAACCAAACACCACTTAAGATTAACCTGTGGCTCAGTCTACTTAAATAAATGCCATATTTATTTTACTTATCATTTAGAATTTGCCATTCTCAGGAACAAAACTTTTTGTACATTGGAAATGGAAAACATTGCAGTTTGGTCTTAATTTCCACATGAATATCAAGTGTAATTTTTAATAAATTATTTGGAGAAAAATGTATTTTATTTTAGCATGCAATTTTATGCCCAGGTTAGACTAGAGATTTGGCTGATGTTCTGGAATCTCATTGTACTCTTAAGTAAAATAACGAGCATCCCATGACGCACCCTGTCAGGGGTTGTGAGAAAGCTGCAGTGTCCAGTTTCCCACCCCTGTTTCCTGCTGTCTCTCTCCCACTCATCCCTGTTTCTTACTCATCCCTTTTCCTTCTTTGCCCAAACATCATATTTCTAGGCAAAGATAAGAGAGGAGATAGTGATGTCCTGAAAGGGGTTCAGAACAACGTAGCATGGCCTTTGGTGAAAGCGTCACCGATGGGAAATAATTGAGAATTGTGCAGTGCTTGCAGCGTCAGAATCAGCACTGTTTTTTGTGTTGGTGAAAATATTCCATGTGCGTAAAGGGAGAGCATCAGGGACTTTGCAAATTCTTCACAAGGACCCAGAAATAGCTTAAAGATTCATGGTTTTCCTGTTGGCTTAAATAGCCTTAATCTTTCATTTTCTACTACCATTAAGTCGGGGAAATGACATTGAACTACCTCATTAGCAGCCTTCCCTTGATTAACTACTGACTAAAAGTGTGCTGAAAATGGCCTTTGTTTTTGTGAAGCTCATCCTATACACTAACATTTGCTTAACCATGGATTATTTTGTCTCTACAAAGCTGTGCCCTGTATTCGATTTTTACTTCAATGAGTGGTTATTGCTAGAATTCCTACAAAAAAAAAAAAAACCGTTGCAGATATTTTTGTATGTAGCTTAATAGATATTTAGTTTAAGGAGACTGCAACATTTGCATAAGGTGCCTAAAAACTCAAGAACCATTGATAAGTGAGATCACTCAAAATGAGCTGATATATTAAAGAAGACCTTAAAACAGTAAATGAGCAAGTCGAATTTCTTTACCCCTGTAACCTGTCTAAGCAACTTCTGCCCACTCTTTCACATTACTTATTGGGGGGAAAAAAAACAACATTCAACTGGTTTTTCATAAATACATTAGTCTAATCTAAGATTTTCCTGATAAATAGATAAGAAACAGTGGAGAGGCCAGTGATCCATAAATAATGCATATGATACCTCATCTTTTTCTCAAATAGCAGTGATCTCCTAGAAAGCCAAGTATTGGTTTTGGGAGAAGAAAAACCTAATTATCCAAATGAAACTATACGTCAAGAGCTACTTTATGCATATAATTGAGAAAGTATAATATCGGGTCTCTTCCTTCAAAAAGACTGAATGCTTGAAGCAATTTGAGGATACCAGTCCACAAGGGGTTTTACAACAAAAGGGCACATCTTGCTCAAGTTCAGCCCTCTGGCTTAAACCCCATGGTGCATATGCAGTCTTTATCAGAGCTCCCTGGCCTACACAGCACCTTTCTGGGAAGTAGAAAAGGCATGACCCAAGGAACAGCCCCATGGTGGCAGGGCATGAGCCTTTGTGGGCCAAAAAAGTCAGCTGGTGATGGGGCCACAGTCAGTGAGCAGAGCTCGGGATGGATCTCAGCCCAGTGTCCCAGTGTACAAACTGCACAACCTTCCACAGAGACCCTGCTCATCATGCTGCCTGCCTGTCTGCAGATTTTGTTCACTCTTGGGAAAAAAAAAACAAAAACAAACAAACAAAAAAAAAACCTTGATTGCATGGAATCATCACATTGAGAGAGACCAGGAGGAAGAAGTAAGCACTCCATGGAAAACACCTGTCCTACACACAGAAAGGGGAGTGTGGTGGTTAGCAGGTAAGTGATCCTCGAACAATAGAATGTCTGTTCAGATGCTAGAATGCTGACCCCAAACAGAAATAGTGTTTTCTTCCTTTCTGACTACTAACACCTGCCTTTCCAGCTCATTGTTTTAGTACTGCAACTCCAACAATCTCTCAACTCTACTGGGATCTCTAGTCTTTTGATCTCATCACATTTTCACTGGCATTCATTTCTCATGAGTCTTCTCTTACCTCCTTACCTGGATTAAATTCCTAGTAAATCATTATAATCAGTCCTTTATATATATCCCCAACTCTCTTGCCTCCTTACATTGCTTTTGCCTACTCACTTAGCAAAGCCAAAATCCTGGTTAAATTCAATCCTCCCTCCTTTGTGTGTGCACCTATGCAGTTGAACTGTGCCTGGAGAAATTCAGTCCATTAACAGCTCACTTTAAATTCATGACCACTAACCTCAAATGGCTTTTTTTTTTTTTTTTTGGAGACAGTCTCCCTCTGTCACCCAGGCTGGAGTGCAGTGGTGGGATCTCAGCTCACTGCAGCCTCTGCCTCCAAGGTTCAAGCAGTTCTCCTGCCTCAGCCTCCCAAGTAGTTAGGATTACAGGTGAGCGTCACAATGCCTGGCTAATTTTTGTATTTTTAGTAGAGACGGGTTCCACCATGTTGGCCAGACTGGTCTCAAACTCCTGACCTTAGGTGATCCGCCCGCCTCGGCCTCCCATAGTGCTGGGATTACAGGCATGAGCCACTTTGCCTGGCCTCAAGTGGCATTTAATGCTGCAGTCATAATAAAATTCTCTAGTCCATTTGCCACTCTCCTATTTTACATCTTTTCTTTTCTCAGAAAAGTGAAGCTATTGGAAAGAACTTGGACCGGTTGGCACCACCACTTCCACCCACCTAAGCATCTGTGTGTGCATTACCTTCCCTTGTGTTATTATTGTTGAAGTTGAAGGATCCTTTTTTTTTTTTAGTAGAATCAAGGTCTTGCTGTGTTGCCCAGGCTGGTCTTGCACTCCTGGCCTCAAGCGATCTTCCCATCTCAGTCTCCCAAAGTGCTGGGATTACATGCACTGCACCTGGCCTCTTTAAAAAAAAAAGAAAAAGTTTCTCATATAAATTCTCATATAAATATAAAATGAACATGTGCCAAAGATTTTACTTAACTCACTAATAAAGGAACCACTAAGATGTTGGAACCAGTTCAAAAAATAATCCTAAAAACAGATACATATACAGATATGAGGCATGTCAAAATGAATTTGCTTAATAGATGCACAACTGGCCTCTATAATGGGGGAGGGGAATCAACTGTGCCTCCACTGGGCAAAATTCACTTGTATGTCTATGGAAAAGAATTATTTGCATTTCTTTCAGTTGTCTGCCATTTACAGAGTTGTAAAATACCTCAAGACAATTAAAGACACAGATAATAACTTGAAGAGACTACTATATAAGACACGAGTAATATTTCTTGTTCATTTCAGCCGTTTACATTTTTTTTCCTGAAACTGTAAACAAATTTTGAATTTCTACCCAAAACTCAGCCCTCTTGAGCACTAGATTGGATTCCCTTTCACCTACCTAAGGACATTGGCCATTCTTCCCTCTATTATATCAATTTTTTGCCCTTTTCTCAACATTCCTGCTTTCTCATCAGAAGACAAATCTCTTTTTGAGGCAGGGTCCCCTTCTGTCACCCAGGCTAGAGTGCAGTGGCATGATCACGACTCACTGCAGCCTTGACCTCTCTGGGTTCAGGTGATCCTCCTGCTTCACCTTCCTGAGTGGCTGGAATTACAGGTGCGCACCATCATGTCCGGCTAATTTTTGTATTTTTTGTAGAGACGGGGTTTCACCATGTTGCTCAGGCTGGTCTTGAATTCCTGGGCTCAAGCAATTGGGCCGCCTTGGCCTCCCAAAGTGCTGGGATTACAGGTATGAGCCACTGCGCCTGGCCCAAATATGTTTTTTTTTTTTTTTTTGAGATGGAGTTTTGTTCTTGTTGCCCAAGCTGGAGTGCAATGGCACGATCTTGACTCACTGCAACCTCTGCCTCCTGGGTTCAAGCGATTCTTCTGCCTCAGCCTCCCAAGTAGCTGGGATTACAGGCATGTGCCACCATGCCCAGCTAATTTTGTATTTTTAGTAGAGACGGGGTTTCTCCATGTTGGTCAGGCTGGTCTCGAACTCCCGACCTCAGGTGATCTGTCCGCCTCGGCCTCCCAAAGTGCTGGGATTACAGTTGTGAGCCACCACACCAGGCCCAAATATCTTTATATTTATTTTACTTATTTATTTTTTTGAGAGAGAGTCTCATTATGTCACCCAGGCTGGAGTGCAGTGGTGTGATCTCGGCTTACTGCAACCTCCACTCCCAGGTTCAAGCGATTCTCTTGCCTCAGCCTCCCCACTAACTGAGATTACAGGCATGTGCCACCATGCCCAGCTAATTTTCGTATTTTTAGTAGAGACGGGGTTTCACCATGTTTGCACCATGTTGGTCTCAAACTCCTGACCTCAAGTAATCCACCTGCCTTGGCCTCCCAAAGTGCTGGGATTACAGGCATGAGCCACTGCGCCTGACCCCAAATATCTTTTTAAAACGTAACTCCATTTCCCTCACCAGATACCACCTGATTTCGCTGATTCTTTGGCAGCAAAGCTCCTAGAAAGATTAGTCTATTCTTACTAACATCAGTCCTTTCCCTCCCACCGCTAAATACCCTATAGTCACTTTTTTTATTTTTATTTTATTTTTTTTAGCTCTCAGAACTTTACTAAACTGCTCTTGAAAAGGTCTCCAACGACCATGCTGCTAAACCCGACAGTTGTTTCTCAGTGTTCATCCCAGCATGGTAGCAGTTGGTTACCTCATTTGAGATGCATTCTTTAATTGGTTCTGAGACACTACACTGTGGATTTTCCTCCTACCTCCCTGGCTGTTCCTTCCCAGGTTCCTCTGCTGATCTCTTCTGTTTCCTGATGTCTGAATGTTGAATTGCCCCAGTTCTCAGTCCTGGGTCCCTTTCTTTATCAATACTTGGTGATCTCATCCAGTCTCATAACTTTAAATACTATTTATATGCTGACAACTTCTAAATTTATATATTCAGCCCAGACATCACCCTGACCTCTAGACTCATATATCTAGTTGCCTACTTAACAGCTCTACTTGACTTGAAAAGCACTAGCTGTTCTCAAGTTTGACATGATTAAAGGTAAATTTCTGATTTTCCTCTTCCCCACACCTGATCCACCTACATTCTTCCTGTTTTTTCACTTACTCAAACCAAAAGCCATGGAGTCTTCCTTGACTCTTCTTTTTCTTTCACAATCCAGAAATCAGTGGGTCTACAGTTAGAGCATGTCCAGAATCTACCTCTGTTATCATCTTTCTACAAACTGCCATCGTGATTTTCATTCATTTTTTGCCTAGATTATTGCAACTGACTAAGTGAGCTCCCTGCTTTCCCCCTTATACCTTACAGACAATTCTCAACACAAGCTAGAGTGATCTTTCACAAACATAAATGAGATCATGCCACTACTGTCCCAAACCCTGCAACACAGCTGCCAATTTCTCTTGGAGTAAGGCTGAAGTTCTTCTACTAACCCACTAGGCCCAGTATGTTGTGGCTCCCAGTCACACACATTACCTCGTCTGCTATTCTCCTCAGTGGACTGTAGATGATCATGTATATGATGCTCCTTATACACATCAGTCATGCCCTGCTTCAGTGTCTCTGCACTGGCTTTTCCTCTGCCTGGAATGCACTTCTCCAAGATATCTGCATGGCCTTCTCACTCAGCTTCTTCAAGTCTTTGTTCAAACATCACTGTATTAGTTATTTACTGCTGTGTAACAAAGTACTCCAAGTCTTAGGAGCTAAAAACAAACATCTATTATCTCATTGTTTCTGGGGTCAGAATTCCAGATACAACTTAGCTGGGTGCCTCTGCCTCAAGGATTCTCTGCAGTCAAGATGTCCCCAGGGCTGTTGTCTCATCTTTAAGCTCTACTGAGGGAGGACCCACCTTCAAGCGCACTCACATGGTTGTTAGCAGGATTCAGTTCCCCATGGGCTCTTGAACTAAAGGCCCTAGTTCCAGGCCAGGCACAGTGGCTCACACCTGTAATTTCAGCACTTTCGGAGACCAAGGCAGGTGGATTGCCTGAGCTCAGGAGTTCAAGACCAGCCTGGGCAACATGGCAAAACCCCATCTCTACAAAAAATACAAAAATTAGTCGGGTGTGGTTGCTTGCACCTGTAGTCCCAACTACTTGGGAGGCTGAGGTGGGAGGATCTCTTGAGCCCAGGAGGTAGAGGTTGCAGTGAGCCAAGATTGTGCCACTGCACTCCCGCCTGCGTAACAGAGGGAGACCCTGTCTCAAAAAAAAAAAAAAAAAAAAAAGAAAGAAAGAAAAAGAAGAAAAAAAAAAGGCCCCTCATTGGCTGGGGCCTCCTTCAGTTCCTTGCCTCTATGGAAGGACTTCTCCATAAAGCATCTCACAACGTGGTACCCAGCTTCCATCAGAGCAAGCAAGCAAGGGCATCCACAAAGGAAGACAATCTCATTATAACTTAATCTTGGAAATTTTGTCTTGTCACTTTTGCCATATTCTCTTTGTTAGAAAGGAGTTACTAGGTCCAGCCTTATACTCAAAGAAAGAGGATACTCAAGGAAGTCCAGGAAATTCAGACTATTGGGGACCATCAAAGAGGCTGCATACCACAGCTGCCCTCTCAATAAGGTGATCCCCTTATTTAAAATTGCAACCCAACCCCCTTGTACCTCTCCTTCTCTCTTCCTCGTTCTCTCTCTATCATACACACATTTCCATTTTCCTTTCCCTTTGCTCTGGTGAGCAATAATAAATACTTATTGTTTTGAGTCACCTGGTTTTGAGGTGGTTTGTTCTGTAGAAATAAACCTCTACAATGTACTTTTTCACTTATGTGACTGACTGCCACTGCTACTGCTTGAGACCGTCATTACAAGACTGAAGGAAGGGACGGACGCAGAAATGTAAACTTAAGACAAAAGAAACTATTTTAAAGGAAGGGGAATCAGGAAAGAAGAAGAGAACTCCCCGCTTCTAGTGAGCAAAGGCAGCCCCCGAGTTTCCACAGCCTTTCTTATTTATTGGGTAGAAAGAGCAGGGAGGAGGAGGTAACGATTGGTCAGCTGCTTAATCGATCACAGGTTCATATTACTACTAACAGGCTTCAGAAGTACCTAATCACAAGAAACACTGCGCTTGGGGCGTGACTGCCCTCAGCATTCCTTCTGGTGGCAGACGCAGTTTGTCAGTTTGCCAACATTCTGCGTTTATGAGAACAGTTTGCTGTTTACTCATATAGCCTCCAGTGGTATACTGAGTTGATCACTACCCTCAATCTTTCGGCCTCCAACACACTTAGGTACATTATTTTTTGCCTGTGTTTCCTCAATGTAATGTGAGCTACATGAGGGCAAAAATTTTTGGGTTTGTTTTTATTGCTTTGTTTGCAGATATATCCCCAGCACTAGTAAAGTGCCTGATATATAGTAGACACTCAACATTTATTAAATGTATGACTCTGTTACTGTTATCTGCATAAGTAAATAGGTCTCCTGGCTTACTTTACTCTGTTGCAGAATTGCAATAATATCTTTCTTTCAAAGATTGAATGCAGTTTATATTGACGTGTGAAATGCATCTAATTGTGCATTTATATTACCAAGAATCTGGTAACAATTCTCATAAGGAAGAAGTAAAATGAAAGGCAAAATAAACGTTTAGGAATCCATAAACTGTTACAATCTTATCCACATCTTTTTGTCAGGTTTTTCGATTTTTGTTTTGTTTTTTCTTTGAGACAGGGTCTCACTCTGTCACCCAGGCTGGAGTGCAATGGCATGATTACGGCTCACACCAGCCTCGACCTCCTGGGCTCAAGCTATCCTCCCACTTCAGCCTCCCGAGTAGCTAGGACTATAGGCACAAGCCACCACACCCAGCCTTTTTCAGGTTTTATTAGAGAAATGCAGCATTTGTGGGAATTGGAATAAATATATTTACTCTTCAAAATATTAAGATTAAGACCTGTTGGTGAAGAGGACAGTGATTAGTCTTTAACTTAGAGACTTAGATCTTTAATATTTGTTCTTCCTATAAACTTAAAAAAAAAATCAGCACTTGGAGATTTCTTGCTTCCTCACATCTAGACCTATAATCCTGTGATCTGCTATTAACTAATAGCATGACTAGTGATCATGAATTTTTTTTTTTTTCCCAAGACAGAGTTTCACTCTGTTGCCCAGACTGGAGTGCAGTGGTGCGTTCTTGGCTCAGTGCAACCTCCGTCTCCCGGGTTCAAGAGATTCTTCTGCCTCAGCCTCCCAAGTAACTGAGATTAACAGGCACTTGCCACCGTGCCCGGCTAATTTTTATATTAGTAGAGACAGGGTTTCACCGTGTTGGCCAGGCTGGCCTCAAACTCCTGACCTCAGGTGATCCGCTTGCCTCGGCCTCCCAAAGTGCTGGCATTACTGGCGTGAGCCACCACGCCCAGCCAATCATGAATGTTTGACATGTAGATTGTGTAAAATCTTTGAGGTTAAAAAAAATTCATGCTACAGGAACCATGTAATCCAGTAAATGGGAAATAACTCATTCCTCTATAATGTTATCCCTCCTTTCTGTCCTTATGCAGTGAACGTAAATAATGTTCAGTGCAAAATGTAGCCCATAGTAATAGATGAAAAAGGATGGACTTTAGCTTATTAGGTTAATAAGTTACTTCTTACTACTTTAAGTACTTTAGCTTATTAGGTTAATAAGTTTCATCACCCTTTCCCACCTAATTGTCATGGCCAAATTGAACTTCCAGTCCTTTCTTCTTCTCCATCTGAAATTGTCCATAGAGTTTCCTTCTATGATTTTGCTTTTAAGACATGGAAACAAAAGGGAAAAAATGAAATCCATCACGTGATTCTCTGTATGTGCAAGCAAAACCAGAAGGATTCTCCTTTACCAAACTCAGGAAGTTTATACAGGGCACATTTGTGGAAAGAACACGGAAAACACAATGCTTACTAATGATATTTCTCCTCCTGGATCAGACAAGAAGATCAGATTTTTTATACCAGTTTTGATCAGTTTAATGCCTTATAAAAGGCAAAAAATATAATATATTATATATAATGCCTTATATAATGCCTTATATATAAAAGGACCTTATATAAAAGGACCTGTTTCCAACTCTTTACACGTTACCCTTCTGAAACAGAAGAATAGCAATTTATGTGTTCAACCTAACGTACTTAACATCTGCTATATGGAAGGCACAGAGGTAGGTCCCATGGGGAATACAGGGCTGCATAAGACAAGATTCTTGCTCTCAAAGAGCATTCATTTCAGTATGAAGATGATGTAGATTTATCAACAACCTATTGCTTTAAGTTAAGATCATGGAGGAAATCTGTCAGTGCCCATCATTTCCTCACCACCTTATCCTCTCTTCTACACAAAGCCCAAATCCTGACACCTAATAGACTATCTATAGGACCATATGCTGTGCAGTTGCACTCTCAGAAGGGGCACATGCTTGGTTTAATCCTCTGCTGTTGCTGTCTTGGAATTCTTAGTGATTTTATCTTCGAATTTGTGTTTGGTAAGTGAAGCCAGTGAGACAATGAAGCATGCACATGAGCAGTGGAAACACCCCAGCGGGGAACGCATGCATGTGTGCATGATTCAGGGCAGTCCAGAGTGCAGCTGAGCCAGTACCTGGGCCCAGTTGCAGTGGTGATGGTGGCGGGCAGCAGGAGTAACAGTCAGGACAGCAATGGCTGCGGCTCCAAAGACAGGAAAGGGCTCTGCATATGGACATTGCCAGGACCACCAGTGGGAGACCAGCTCGCCTGTCCCTTGCCAGAGCTTAGCCCCGCATCATCTGCACAAATAGTAACTCTCCATCCTGAGTACTGGGACAGGAACTCATTCTGCTAACTTCTCAGTAAATTAGTACAACATGTATACAATAAAAGTGTATACATGAATATTGTCATAGCATAGCAGGGGGTTATTAGAATTCTTAAAGGATCTAAAATGTCTAGTTTTGAAAACTACTACAACATGGCAAAGCAAATAACCTCAGGCTTAGAAACAGAAATTAAGTTTAAAGATTGTCACATTCTACAGAAAAGAATGCTATTTTCCTAGGAAGTACAAACCAATTGTTTGGCAGAAAGATAATTAAACATGTTTTTTTTCTTATAATTGAAGAGTCAGTGACAGAATACATAAACAGGCCTTATGAATTATATACAAATTATGAAGCCACTTTCAGTTTCTTGTAAGACCTCCACAAGTTTCAGGAAATATTTCCTTATGTCTGCAGAAACATTAAAATATCATTGTGTAAATTTATACTTAAAATTAAATTCAGACTTTTACAGAAAACTGAGTTGTCTAAGGAGTTAAGTCCCTTTAGAAAAATTATTCCACAAGAACCAACAACTCTAGAAGTATTAAAATTTATATTTCAAAATAATTTATCAGAAATTTACCTTAGTGTTGTCACAGTTTATGAAACACTCTTAACAGCTGCATCAGCAGAAAGATCCTTTACGAAATGAAAAATTATCAAAATTTATTTGTGACTTTATATTTCCCAAGACTGGCTGGTGTTGCTTTCAGTCTTATCTATTGGTAAAGAAATTGTATGACATAAATTTCATATCTATTGAAAATGAAAGTGAAATGAAAAGAATAAATTTTGATGAATTTGCAGAAAAGTGAGCCAGAAAAATATAATAGGACATCACATTAATGAATGATTATTGTTTACTGTATTATATAAAATTATGACATCACAATTATTAGTTTAGCAATGTTTAAGTTCATGTAGTTACTCCAGTATCACTATTATCCCATTACATTAGTATCTTTAACTGTACTTTTTTCCTGTTTTTTACAGAGGAGGTCCCATATTTTCGTTTGGCACCAGGCTCAGCGAATTACATAGCCAGCAATGACCACAAGTAAGAGTGTTACAGATTTTTGTTATAAGCCATCATAGTAGACAATGCTTGCCTATGAATGCTTAAGGAGAGTAGAAAAAGAGCAAGAAATGCAAGAAAATGCATGTTCTTAATGTGTGCCATATAAAATCTATCAGGTAATAGGCATTTAATCTATGTTAAGAGTAAAGAAATATAGCCAGGCGCAGTGGCTCACACCTGTAATCCCAGCACTTTGGGAGGCCAAGGCAGGAGGATCACGAGGTCAGGAGTTCAAGACCAGCCTGACCAATATGATGAAACCCTGTCTCTACTAAAAATACAAAAATTACCTGGTCGTGGTGGCACACGCCTGTAGTCCCAGCTACTTGGGAAGCTGAGGCAGGAGAATCACTTGAACCTGGGAGGCAGAGGTTGCAGTGAGCCAGGATTGCACCACTGCACTCTACCCTGGGCGACAGAGAGAGACTCCGTCTCAAAAAAAAAAAAAGAAAGAAAGAAAAAAAGAGTAAATAATACTGTGGGCTATAGTGCAGAATTTGTCATAAGGAAAAATCTGTTTGCATTTAATCCAGGACTGATGTCACAAAGCAATTGGGGACAATGCCTTCAATTGATGCCATTCTCATTAAAATTAGGAGTTTTGGCTGGACACAGTGGCTCATGGCTGTAATCCCAGCATGTGGGGAGGCCAAGGCAGGAGGATTGCTTGAATCCAGGAGTTCAAGACCAGCCTTGGCAATGTAGTGAGACCCTCATCTCTACAAAAAACAGAAAAAAATTAGCTGGGTATGGTGGCACGTACCTATAGTCCCAGCTACTTGGGAGGCTGAGGTAGGAGGATAGCTTGAGCCCGGGAGGTCGAGGCTGATGTGAGCTGTAATCATGCTGCTGCACTCCAGCCTGGGCAACAAGAGGGGACTCTGTTTCAAAAATAATAATAACAATTTAAAAATTATGTGTTTTGCTGTCCAGAGCATAAGTTTGACAGGGATAAACATCCATTCAAATGGGAGTCAAATTCAGGTATCTTATAAATAGCAAGCCTGTTAGATTGTCCTTCTATGAGCATTCTTTGTTTTCAAATATGGAGAACTATTTTTCTAAAGATCAGAGAAATGGCCACCACAATATGGGCCCACCTCATCTATTTTTGGTTTCTTCAAAAATGATGACTCCAATGAACTTTGCAGTAAAAACAAAATGACAATAAAGATGACTTACTTGTGAAAAATAAACAGCAGGGAAAAGCACTGAAGCCAGATAAACCAAATCTGCTTCCCATAAAGTGAAAAAAGATCCACTGAATTATAATTGTTTTTATTTTCATATGATGATTGTTGCATAAAACTAATTTGTTGCTGAATTAAGAAACATAAGACACATATTTACCCTAAATAATTTTAGTTCATCTCCTGGCTTTTAGTGAAATTATCGATTTCTAGGTGATATAATTTGTGTGCCGGCTGGGCAAAGTGGCTCACACCCGTAATCCTAACACTTTGGGAGGTGAAGGCAGGAAGATCACTTGAACCCAGGAGTTCAACACCAGCCTGGGCAATAGGGTGAGACTGTGTCTCTACAAGGAATTTAAAAATTAGCGGGGCATGGTGGTGCACGTGTGTAGTCTCAGCTACTCGGGAGGCTGAGGCAGGAGGATCACTTGACCCTGGGAGTGAGCTGTGATCACGCCACTGCCCTCCAGCCTGCATGAAAGTGTGTCAATGCTTTTTTTTCCTCCTTCTTTTTATTTTTATTTTTTCTTCACTCTGTCACCTAGGCTGGAGGGCAGTGGTGCAATTATACCTCGCTGCAGCCTCTATCTCCTGGGCTTAGGTGATCTTCCTGCCTCAGCCTCCCGAGTAGCAGAGACTACAGGCACATGCCACCATACTCAGCTATTTTTTTTTTAATATTTTGTGGAGATGGAATTTCACCATGTTGCCCAGGCTGATCTCAAATTCCTGAGCTCAAGCAATCTGCCCACCTCAGCCTCCCAAAGTGCCGGGATTGCAGGCATGAGCCACTGTGCCTGGCCCAATGCTTTTAATGGGCCCATTTTAGCCACATTTCTAGTACTTATATTATTCAAATAGACTCAGAAAAGCTGTAAGCCTGTACAGAATTACAGTGTAAGACATCATAAACAATGTTTTAAAAATTAGAAAAACCAATTGCAATACATGTAAGAAAGAAAAAATAAATATTCACAATATATAAACCGCTCTTACAAATCAGTGAAAACACAACTTTACAGCATGACAACTTTGAAAGAGGAACACCAGATAAGAACTGTCTGGGGCGAGCATAGAAGAGTCTCATTCCTCTGTCTGAGTGGTACTGGGTGAGTGGAATGGTTGGTGATTATAGGCTGACAAAGCCCTAGGCTTTTTCTTAGCCCCAGCTCCCTGCCTTCTCCCCTCACTGCCCCCTCCTGTGGGGGCACTACCTAGCAACTGAGGTTTGGGTTTTACAGTGAAAATAATTTTATGAGTCAGAAAGGAGTGAGAAAAGTGTGTTATCAGATAGCATTCCACAGTGGTAAAAGCAAAACAAACAAAAAACAGGACTATTTCTCTACATACTGTCTGGGACTTTGGGACCTTCACTGCAGACCTCTTGTGGCAGTGTATGTGTGATTCCAGTCGTATGGTGGGTATGTGGTTAGGGTATTATTACATCGTAGGTCTATAAAGGGCCAAGCCCCTTGCTCCGACATGCAAAGAAAGGATTGCAAACTGGCAGGCTGCAGGTCATACCGTGCTCATAGACAGCTACTGTTTTGTATGCACAGTTTTTAAAATTGTGAATTAGTGTAATGGTTAATTATATGTGTCAACTTGGTTAGGCTACGGGGCTCAGTTTTTTGTTACAACACTAATAACAATGTGGCTGTGAAGATATTTTGCAGATATAGTTAATATCTACAACCAGTTGACTTTAAGTAAAGGAGTCTACTTTCAATAATGTGGGTAGGCCTCATCTAATTAGTTAAAAGCCTTAAGAGCAAAATCGGAGATTTCCTGGAGAAGGACTTCTGCCCCAGGATTGTAACATAAAAATCTGGCTTGAGTTTCCAGCCTGCTGGTGTTTTCTAAGATTTCAGACTTGTTGTATGCCTCCTACTGGTTCTGTTTCTCTGGAGAACCCTGACTGATATAGTTACTATGACACAGACTATTAATTGCTGACCCCAAGAGCCTTTCTCCCTTTATTCCCTATAGTAAGTGCCTCTGAAATAGAGACTACATTTCCCAGCTTCCCTTGCAATTAGCTGTCACCATGCAGCTAAGTTCTAGCCAATAAGATGTAAGCAGATGTGGTTTGTGGCAGCTCCCTTGAAACATACCTGATGCATACCCTGTGTCTCCTTGTTTTTCCAGCCAGTCCTCCATCCTTCTGCTGGGAACTTGGATGCTAGAGCTCTTGCAGTCACACTGGGCCATGAAGATAAAGGTCACCCCCTAGGAATGATAGAGCAGAAAGCTGGAAGGAACCTGGGTCCCTGATCTCTGTGGAGCCACTGAACTGCCTCTAATGAAGGAAAACATTTCTCTCATTTATGCTGCATGTTCTTTTCGATTTTATGTTATATTTAGTGGAGTATAATCCTAATTTGATACAATTGCCAACTTTTAAAAATCAGGAAATTTCACACAAATATTCAGCTCTCTGGCTTTTCTCTTGAAAATTTGGTACATCTGACAAAACATGAAGTCATGCTTCCCATTGCAGCAACTGACCTGGGCAGGATAATGGATGCCTGCTTCAGACAGGGATGGAGACCTCACCAATTTTTTTTCCTTCATTTTAATTGGGAAGTGGGGCAAGATGGAAAAATTGTGGATGCCAACTTTGTAACTTTGTCTTTCTCCCTGCATCATTTTTAGCAAGAACATTTCGACACTGGTGTAGTCCACAAGGGAAGATACTGAGAGAGGAGAAAGGAAGAAACCTTTCAGGCATCAGTTAGGGTGGGTCCTTGGTTAAATTCTTTCAAACAAAAGAACAGCCTGAAAAATCAAGCTGCAGGCACAGATAAGGGGATCTGCACAGGTGGCCTTGACTAAGACATTCCCACAGCCACACAGATATGAAAGCCTACCCAGATGACTTGCCCAGATACTTCTGCAGTGGAAAATTCCATCCCCTGACACATGCGCAGTAAGGGGAAAAAAGCAATATGGAATAAAACTTAAGCTAAGGGCCCACATGCACACTAGAAGGATGAGGTGGAGCTACCAGAAATTCATGCCTTATGCAAATGAGATGCCCAGCCCTCACCGGTTCTTATAAAAGCCTTTGCAGTCACCTGTAAAAGCAGCAACCCTCCTCCAGGTCCCCTCTCCACTGTGGAGAGCTTTCTTCTTTTGCTTATTAAACTTTCGCTGCAACTTCATCCTTTGCATCCACGCTCCTTAATTTTCTTGGTCATGAGACGAAGAACTCCAGGTGATACCTCACCTGCTACATTATGGAGAGACTGCTACATTATGGTGCACTGGTGAAAATATAACATTTCTGATGGTGGTGGAAGCAGAGGCCATCCTTTGCTGTTTCATGCCCAATTCTGTAGGCCTGCCTCAGAGAGAAGGGGAGCACAGGTCTCAGCATCCACAGACTTTTCATGGCGGTGAAGCTCTACTATCAACACTTGGAAAGAGGGAATCAGAGGGTCTTCTACTCCATGGCTGCAACTTTTTCTCATTTTAAAGATCCTCCTCTAGTCTAATGGATTTATATTTCTCTGGCTGACGTAATTTTGACCCTACTTCTTGGTAATACCCGAGCCTTAATTTGATGAAAGAGTATCACTCCCACCTAATTTCCAACCACCTCTCTGCCCTGAGTAGCTTCATCAAAATTCACACCTTGCTTGACAATGGAGAGAAGATTTCGCCTAACCTGGGGGAGGATGGAGGGGATGGAGGGTATAGCCTCAGTTGCTGTCAGACCTAAACCAGACTTGGCAATAATTGGGGGAGGTGGAGTGCCCTGGGTTGAAGGAGTCTTGGTGAGTTAAACACCCATTATTGTCTTTGGCTGTAAATGAACTCAAGGTCACTAGGAAGTGAGTGGAAAGTCAGATGAACTCTGTCTCTCAGAGGCAGGCCAAGGGCAAAGAAGGCACAGAAGCCACTTCAAAACTTTCAGGCCTTTTGGGAGGAAAGGGTGGGTATGGAATGAGGCTGACTTTCAAAGATGAAGCTGTGACAGATCAGAAATCTGTATTTTTGAGCCAGACTATGTCTGTGTCTAGGTTTGCCTTTGTCTTTTTGTTGTCAGAATTTCATTAAACTAATTATTCATTCATGTATGAGTGTCTTCTACAGCCAGGAACTCTTTAGACAAGATTCTGGCCCTGATGACACTTACGTTTTAGTTGCCAATACAGATAATAAATATAAGAAGTAAACAAAGGCCGGGCATGCTGGCTCACACCTGTAATCCCAGCACTTTAGGAGGCTGAGGAGGTCAGATCATTTGAGGTCAGGAGTTCAAGACCAGCCTGGCCAGTATGGTGAAATCCTGTCTTTACTAAAAATACAAAAAAAAAAAAAAAAAAAAAAGAGCTGGCATGATGGCACATGCCTGTAATCCCAGCTACTCGGGAGGCTGAGGCATGAGAATTGCTTGAACCCAGCAGGCAGAGGTTGCAGTAAGCTGAGATTGCACCATTGCACTCCAGCCTGGGTGACAGAATGCGACCCTGTCTCAAAAAACAAAAAACAGGCTGGGCACAGTGGCTCATGCCTGTAATCCCAGCACTTTGGGAGGCCGAGGTGGGCGGATCACTTGAGGCCAGGAGTTCAAGACCAGCCTGGCCAACATGGTGAAACCCCGTCTCTACTAAAAATACAAAAGTTAGCTGGGCACAGTGGTGCGTGCCTGTAATCCCAGCTACTCGGGAGGCTGAGGGAGGAGAACTGCTCAACTGGGACTTGGGAGGCAGAGGTTGCAGTGAGTGGAGATCACGACACTGCACTCCAGCCTGGGCTACAGAGTGAGACTCTGTCTTGAAAAACAAAACAAAACAAAAAAAGAAGTAAACAATTAGATAATCAGCCTGGGCTACAGAGTGAGACTGTCTTGAAAAACAAAACAAAACAAAAAAAGAAGTAAACAATTAGATAATCAAGATGGCCAGGTGTGGTGGCTCACACCTTTATCCCAGCACTTCAGGAGGCCAAGATGGGCAGATCACTTGAGGTCAAGAGTTTGAGACTGGCCTGGCCAACATGGCGAAACCCTGTCTCTATTAAAAATACAAAAATTAGCCAGGCGTGGTGGCATATGCCTGTAGTCCCAGCTACTCAGGAGGCTGAGGCAGGAGAATCGCTTGAACCCAGGAGGAAGAGGTTGCAGTGAGCCGAGATCGTACCACTGCACTCCAGCCTGGGCAACAGAGCAAGACTCTGTCTCAAAAAAAAAAAAAAAAAAGATAATTTCAGATAGTGATAAGTGCTATGAAAAAACTTTCAAAAATCCCCAAACTTAAAAAGAACCAACAATGAGACAGAGTGACAAGGGTGAATGGAAGAGTCTATTTTAGATGGGTGGTCTGGGAAGGCTGCTCTTGAGGAAGTGAACTTTAACCTAAATGACCAGAATAAGACCTAAAAAAAAAAAAAAAAAAAAAAAAGAGTGTTCTCAGAAGAGAAAACCAGAAGTATGAAGAGTCTGAGGTGGAAATAAGCTCTTGGTTGGGCATGGCACATGAGGTGGAGAAAGCCAAGAGACAAGGTCACACAGGGAGGCAGGGGTAGCTCACATTAAACTTTCTTTTCTTTTTTTTTTTTTTGTTTTGAGACAGAGTTTCACTCTTGACACCCAGGCTGGAATGCAATGGCGTAATCTTGGCTCACTGCAACCTCTGCCTCCTGGGTTCAAGCGATTCTCCTGCATCAGCCTCCCGAGTAACTGGGATTACAGGCGCCTGCCACCACACCCAGCTAATTTTTGTATTTTTAGTAGAGATGGGTTTTTGCCATGTTGGCCAGGCTGGTCTCGAACTCCTGAGCTCAGGTTATCCACCTGCCTCAGCCTCCCAAAGTGCTGGGATTACAGGTGTGAGCCAACGCACCCAGCCGAGCTCACATTAAACTTTCATTCAGAGATTGTTTTATCTTTATTCTCTGCCCATTTAGAAGTCATTACTTTTAAGCAGTGGAATGAAATTATTTTAATTTTGAAAGCTCATTCTGGCTGCTGGTTAGATTCTAGATTGGCAGAGGCAGGGAGACCAATTAGGAGCCCATTTAATTGTCCAGGTGAGAAATGACACCTGGTTTGTACAAGGTGGTAACAGTGGAGATAGAGGTGAACAGATTCAGATAGATTTTAAAATTAGAGACAAAATTTGCTGGTGGATTGGATGTGGGGTATGGGGAATCTAATGGAGTAATCTAATATGGTGGATGTTGGTTCCATTTACTAAGATGGAAAGCCTGAAGGAGGAACAGGTTTTTGGAGGGACATCAAAAGACCTGTTTTGCCCTTGCTCTGTTGGAAATGCCTGTGAAACATCCAGAAGGTGATGCAAGGAAAGAGTTGGATAAATGAACCTGGAGCATGTATTTAGCATTCTTTTTGGAATTTTCAGCCTGCTTGTGGAAACCTAGGAAAGCCCAAGAATGTAGGGAAACAGCTGCCCTCCCTTTCCCCTGCACCAGCAGAGTTCGCATACAAGGGTCCAGATCCCCATCATTTAAAGGGGTTTAGCAAGCTGATGGGTAGCAGTGTGCTTCGTTTCATGAGCTTTAAAGAGTTGAGAAGGTCAAGCAAGTTGCATATTGCTATTCGTCATTCACTTACATTTGCTGAGTGCTTTAATTTTTTTTTTTTTTTTTGAGACAGAGTCTTGCTCTGTTGCCCAGGCTGGAGTGCAGTGGTGTGATCTCAGTTCACTGCAACCTCCACCTCCCGGGTTCAAGCCATCTCCTGCCTCAGCCTCCCAAGTAGCAGGGACCACAGGCACACGGCACCACACCCAGCTAATTTTTGTATGTTCAGTAGAGATAGGGTTTCACCACATTGGTCAGGCTGGTCTCAAACTGCTGACCTCAGGTGATCCAGCTGCCTCGGCCTCCCAAAGTGCTGGGATTACAGGTGTGAGCCACCGTGCCCAGCCTGAGTGCTTTAAATTTGAATGATCTTCAGTTGACTCTTAGCGTGAAGTTTCTGGTTTTTGCTTCTCCTCTTTCCTCATATCTCCCTGCCCTGGCTTCTTTAACCAACCTTTGCTCTGTGGACTATTTAAGGAAAAAACTTTAATCGGCCCTTTGCTGATTATGGGGAAGGAGGGTTCTCCAGCAGAGCTCAGGAAATAGCTCACTTCTCCCTATTTCTGAAACATTGAGGATGAAAACAGAGAGTGACACAGACAGGAGGCCGGGTTGGAAGGAATAGTTTTAGGTCTGGTGGCCAGGTGGACTGGGCTAATACTGAACTCCAGAATCAAGAGCTGTTGAGTTGCAGGCTGCACTGGGCTAGGGGCAAGCCCTGGAGAGAACAGCAGATAATGTTTTTCCCTTAGGGGTCTGTCTCCCCAGAGGAAGAAGGCAATGAAGCTGAGCCCAATATGCTCAGTTACCCTGCTCAGATGGACTCTACATTATCAGAGGGGAATGACGAAGGCACTGAAAGAGGCCAGGAAATAGTCCTTTTCTTTTTCTTTTTTTTTTTTTTTTGAGACAGAGCATCTCTCTGTCGCCCAGGCAGGAGTGTAGTAGCGCGGTCTTGGCTCACTGCAACTTCCAATTCCCGGATTCAAGCGATTCTTCTGCCTCAGCCTCCCAAGTGGCTGGGACTACAGGCACACACTACTACGCCTGGCTAACTTTTGTATTTTTAGTAGAGACGAGGTTTCACTACATTGGCTAGGCTGGTCTCAAACTCCTGACCTCATGATCCGCCCGCCTCGGCCTCCCAAAGTGCTGGGATTACAGGCATGAGCCACCGCACCCAGCAGGAAATAGTCCTTTTCAATAGAACCCTAGAGTGGAGAAACAGCATTCTCTAACAGTTAATGAAAATGTTCACCATTAATTAATTGGCTGGTCTTATATATTTAAATTTTCATAAAGTAGATTTTCAGTAAGTGGAGCATAGGTGAATTCAACAAACAGGTATGAGGCATAATTCTGCTACTTACTAGCTGTGTAATTTGAGGAAAGTTCCTTGACCTAAGTCTCAGATTTCTCATTTGCAAAAAGGAGGATAGAAATAATTCATGTAACACACTTAGTGCTCTGACTGGATCAGAATAGCATTCAATAAAGTTTTACTACTACTTTAATGATAACTATTCCCATTACCTTCTTATATAATCTACTAGGTGCTAGAAATATAAAGATAAAAGGCATAACCTTACCATCTAGAAGCTTAAGGCTTAGTAAGGGTGTTGGAATAAAAGACATTAAAATACAGTGCAGGCCCGGCTCAGTGGCTCACACCTGCAATCCCAGCACTTTGGGAGGCCGAGGTGGATGGATTACTTGAGGTCAGGAGTTCGAGACCTGCCTTGCTAACATGGTGAAACCCTGTCTCTACTAAAAATACAAAAATTAGCCAGGCATGGTGGCGGGCGCCTATAGTCCCAGCTACTTTGGAGGCTGCGGCAGGAGAATCGCTTGAACCTGGGAGGTAGAGGTTGCAGTGAGCTGAGATCGCACCACTGCACTCCAGCCTGGGTGACAGAGCGAGACTCCATCTCTACATAAATAAATAAAAAATAAAATATAGGTCAGGCACAGTGGCTCATGCCTATAATCCCAGCACTTTTGGGAGGCCAAGGCGGACGGATCACGAGGTCAGGAGATCAAGACCATCCTGGCTAACATGGTAAACCCGTCTCTACTAAAAATACAAAAAATTAGTGGGGCGTGTAGCACATGCCTGTAATCCCAGCTACTCAGGAGGCTGAGGCAGGAGAATTGCTTGAACCCGGGAGGCGGAGGCTGCAGTGAGCCGAGATCTTGCCACTGCATTCCAGCCTGGGCAACAGAGCGAGACTCCACCTCAAAAATAAATAAATAAATTAATTAAATAAAATACAATGTAATGCACATGTAGTAGGGTTTCTTTCCATAGGATGCCTGACAGTGGTTACATTTTAGTAAGACTATATCGGTGTAGGCTATGATTAAAAAATATATCATCTTGGAATTGTTGCGCCACCCACATCCTTATTGGGTAGGGGGTTAAATAAGTAGCTTCAGTTGTCCTTCAAGAAAGGTATCAGGAAAGCTCCTATAGTTTTTTAATTGCTTTTTTTAAGGGAGTTAGTCACCAATGAGGACTAGAAGGATGATGGCTCTAAACCCTCAAGGTGGTGAAAACTGGAGCCAGCCTCGATTTAGCACGCCTGAGCACGGATCCCAGGAGGTAGATGTGTGTGGAAACAGAAATACCAGATCCCATGAGAATCAGACACCTAGAGCCTAGCCTGGCAGCACCTGAAGGCCCTTGGATCAGGGTGACACTGGGGCAGGCTAGAAAGGTCTCACTCTGGCCCAGATTCTGATGCTTTGCTGACACCACTGTGCCAGTTCGCCAATGCTCTATCTCCATTTATGTTACATCTTCTGCCAAATAGCTTTGCTGCCTTGCCCCTGAACCACTGCATGCTCAGCAGCTGGTGCTTCAGCATCCTGCAGCTGTAGCCCAGAAGTCCTCACTGCCTCATATGTTGAGATGACTGAATTTGGCCAGGAGTCCTTCCTGTGAGAAAGCCCTGGAGTGTGGGCAGCCCATCCTAGAAAATAAACAAAGCAGCTTTCAGCAATGAGGGACACACAGCCAGTTTTGCTACATTCACCCTTCTGGCTCTGTCTTCAGCCTAAGCTGCTCCTTTCAGGTCCCTCCCTTGGGACCTCAAGCCTCCCTTTCAGGCCCCTTTTAAGCACAGCAAATCCTGTATGCATTAAGGGGAGGTAGTTGAAGTTTGGGCTTCTGGGTTTTATGTTATTACTGGCTTCTGAAAGCTCAAACATTTGCACTCCAGGGATGATAGTTGCATCTGTTAAATTTAGTGTAAAGCTGCCTCCTTACATATTTTAAGTTAGGCCTAAAGGTTTCCCCATACATGGTGAACTGTAGCCTAATTGGGTATGTAAACAGACTGTAACCTATTCTTGTACCAATCACAGAGTTCTGGCCAATCACAAGTGGCCAACTGTTCAAACCGTGTTCAAATAGGGCAAACCTGAGCTACAACCAATCCAGCTGTTTCTGTCCCTCAATTATGTTTTCTGTAAGTCACTTTATTTTTTCCGACCACTCGGCAAGACTGGAGCCTCTCTGAACTTACTTTGATTTGGGGTCTTTTTGATTTGCAGATCATTCTTTGGGTTCTTTGCTTGATTAAACGCTGTTAAGTTTAATTTGTCTAAGGTTTTTCTTTTAACACACCCCAAACTGTAAGTGGAGGCATCCTACTTACACAGTAATAGAAGAATGCATAAAGCAATAACATGAAGGAACAAGTGACAAATTCTGTAACGCCATGTGTTGGGGAAAAGTTCTGAGAGTGGAAGCTTGAATAGGTTTTGGAAGTATGAGTAGGAGTTTACAAGGAGAGAATGGAAGAAGGGGAATTACGGACAGAATAACATGGACGGAGGCCGGCCGCGGTGGCTCACACCTGTAATCCCAGCACTTTGAGAGGACGAGGCCGGCAGATCACCTGAGGTCTGGAGTTCGAGACCAGCCTGACCAACATGGAGAAACCCCATCTCTACTAAAATTACAAAGTTAGCCGCGTATGGTGGAGCATGCCTGTAATCCCAGCTACTCGGGAAGCTGAGGCAGGAGAATCTCTTGTACCCGGGAGGAGGAGGTTGCAGTGGGCCGAGATCTCACCATTGCACTCCATCCTGAGCAACAAGCGCGAAACTCCGTCTCAAAAACAAAAACAAAGAAAACAACAAAACAAAAAAACAGACGGAAATTTTATTATCCTGTGACAAACACTGTATCTTTGGTGAACTCAAAGTAGGTTTGCCCACTTTCCCACAGATTGTTTTGGTGGATTAATTTTTTGTTTCAGTTAGTGATAAACTTCCTTAGCTCTTTACTGAGTACAGGTTTACTGTATGTAAATATGTATAATATTAGATTAGTGCCTGGCACATGGTTAGCACTATCGATTTTTATTAGGGACTAGGTCTCAAACTTATGGTAATTAAGTAGCTCACTTTTTCTTTTGGGAAGACGTAAAAATATTCTCAAGCCTAACTCAAGACCATCCTTTCCTGTCTTCTAGTCTTGCCCACTCAAAGCTCCATCCTGCAAAAGTCTTAAACAGTCCATTTCAAAAGCCCAGCATTTTTAAAGGGTCTAAGGAATAGCACAAAACAAGATGCACCCAAAACGTCAAGGCCATACTGGACAAGGGCAACGTTAGCCATTTTTGGTCTGGGGTAATTATAGGCAGTATCTTAAAACAAGGCTTGAAAAATGTCATGTTATTTCCAAATCCCATTTCAGAACTTTAAAAAAAAAATAGCATTTTGAGCTCCTAAGAACGTTTTTGGCGGTAGGTGGCCACATGGAGGGTGGCACAGAGGCTCGGCGGGGGAGAGCGGAACAGAGCTGGGCGTGGCAGTGCCTGCGAGTCAGCGCCACGTAACCAGAGGCGCTCGCACTAATTTGACCTCTAAGAGAGACTAAGCGCAGGGAACAGCGGGTGCGGACATTACGGCGGAAGGCTCTGGAGGAAGCAGAAGTGAAGGACCTCGCAGTCCTGGGACGGTGGGGCACAGAGAGAGAAAGGGAGCCCCGGGCGCGGCGCGGTGAGGATGCGAGCAGAGGAAGGACACGCGGCGCCGGGTACCTGCCGGGAGCGCCGGATCCAATGGGAGGAGGGCCCGCGCCGCACCTCAACCTGGCAGAGGACGTCACGACGCCAAGGCGGTCGCCGGGCCAATGGGAGGCCGTCGCGGGCAGGGACGGGGCCGGGAGGAGTCGGGGCTGGGCCGCGCCGAGGCAGCTGGCTGACTCCAGTTTAGCCGCCGCCGGAGAGGACGGGCGCCGAGCCGGGGCTGCGGACTTCGGCCTGCCCCTCACCTCACTCCCGCTGCTTGCACCTCCCGGATGGTGCTGACTGCTCCCTAAGCGGCGGCGGCGGCGAGTCGTGAGGACGCGCCGCGGAGGCTGTTCGGGGTCGAGGCTTCCCGTCGCCGGCACTTCCTCTTGCGGCGCCCGTGCGCGGCCGGCCCGGCAGGCGGGATGGCGGCCGCGGCTCCAGGGAACGGCCGCGCATCGGCGCCCCGGCTGCTTCTGCTCTTTCTGGTTCCGCTGCTGTGGGCCCCGGCTGCGGTCCGGGCCGGCCCAGATGAAGACCTTAGCCACCGGAACAAAGAACCGCCGGCGCCGGCCCAGCAGCTGCAGCCGCAGCCTGTGGCTGTGCAGGGCCCCGAGCCGGCCCGGGTCGAGGTGAGCGGGCCGGGATGGGGCGAGCGAGGCTGCAGGGCCGGCTGCGCCGAGTACCAGGCTCCAGGCCTTTGAAAGCGCCGCACTCCGCCGGCCTCGGCTGGGGGAGGGGAGCCCGGCCCCTGCTCCCGGGGTGGAGGGCGGTCGGCTGCGCTGTTTTCCGGTGAGGCCTGGTCTTGCCCGCTCCTTTAGGGAAAGGGAGAGGGAGAGTCCAAGAGGAGCCCGCTATAAACGTTGATCTCCGGAGGGCCAAGATGCTGCTCCGGGATGGGCGTTTTATTGATCAGATGTGTCTTAGAGTAGCTAGAAAGACTCATCCCTACCAAAAAGTTTTTAACAGAAGGCTGCTAGGAGGCTTTTTGTATTCCCTGAGGATCATCACATCGGCCATTTCATTGTTGAAATAGCTTATGCCAAACTGCTTACCCAAATTCAACTTGGCACTGCCTGTGCTTTTTGCCAAATATGGATTATGAACCATGACTCTCACTTTTTAAAAATGTGCTTTGGCTAGCAGGAAGTAGCCTTTAGGAACGCAGAGGAATTAGTCTCCGGCAGTACAGCGTGCTGCAGCGATGTGGGATGCCAAAACTACATTTATAAGTAAAACAGAATCCTGTATTTTGTCCTTCCCTGAATAGATACTAGAAATCAACTTTTTAATCTGTTAATAGAATTAGTCCTTAGTCACTTGGCAGCGTTTTAACATTTCTCCCTTCTCCCAGTCGTGGGCTTTGTCGTCATTTCCAGTATCTGCTCCCTGAATCCCGGCCAGTGTGGCACTCAAACCCCCACTCCCACCCAGGCCACATCCAGCCCATCTCCACGTAACTAATCTTCCCGAACATTGAATTCTGCCATCTTGTCAGAAGTCGTCGGTGAGTTGCCTCCACTAATTTCAGTCCAGCCTTTTTAGGAGAGTGATGTTCAGGTTTCTTCTGATCTGGCTCCAGCTCACCTCCAGGCTTTTTAGCCACCGCTTTCTTGCTCATATGCTAAAGGGATATGCTCATCTGCAAAAAAGAATGTGCTTCAAGAGCCCTTTGGGACAGGCTTTGTGCTCTCTTGCCAGTTCCTCCCTAACACAAGACCTTTTCAAAGAAAAAAAAAAAAAGACCTGGAGTTTGAAGCCACGGATCAACTCTTCCCACCTTGGAGAACCAGCAGATACCTACTCTCTGTGAAGACTTCCCTAAAATTTCTTGGTTAAGGGTGATTTATCTGACCCTTTCCTTTCCTTTCCTTTCCTCTCCTTTCTCCTTTTTCCTTTCCTCTCCTTTCTCCTTTTTCCTTTCCATTCCTTTCATTTCTCCTTTCCTTTCCTTTTTCCTTTCCTTTCTCCCTTCCTTTCCTTTTTCCTTTTTCTTTGTTGAGACAGGGTCTCGCTCTGTCGCCCAGGCTGGAGTGCAGTGGCCCCGTCTTGGCTCACTGCAACCTCTAATTGATCCTCCCACCTCAGCCTCCTGAGTGGCTGGGACTGCATGCGTGTGCTGACACGCCCGGCTAATTTTTGTTTATTTTTTTTTTTTTTGAGAGAGGAGGTCTCACTATGTTGCCGAGTCTAGTCTCAAACTCCTGGGCTCAAGCGCTTCTCCGGCCTTGGCCTCCCAAGTGCTGGTGAGCTCTCACACCGGTGCATTGTTTTCGTGTTTCATGTTTTCGTTACATGTTACTTTCTTAGGCTTTTCCAATTTTCTGTTGTTTTTCTGTGTAAGACCGTAGGATAGAACTTTCTGAGAGACTGATCTTGGTTTCACTAAGCAAGAACATTTGTAAGAATCAGTGCTGTCCCAGATGTAGTAATCGCTATTGAGAAATAATGAAGTTCCCCTTACTGGAAGTACTCAGGAAGAAGTTGAATAACTAACTGCCTATGAGGAGATTCTGATATGGGAGGGAATCTGGGAGATAAAGTTACTGGGAAGTGAAGATTCTGGGAGCCGATTTAATCCTCACAACAGCACGTTAAACAGGTAGAGGAGGTTTGTAAGGAATAGTGGTTTAATATCACAGAGCTAGAAGCTAGTTTCAGCAGAACCAGAATTAGAATCTGGACTTCTGTGCCTTACTAAGTTTTATTAGCATTCATTGTGTCTTACTCTTTTGACTTATTTAATTCACTAATGGATTTTAATGGTTTATTGGATTGTATGCTGGTGCAGTTCTTTGATCTTGAGCCTAGCTTTCTCTTTCTCCTTTTTTGGGAACTTTATTGTGTATGTTGTGGCATGTTTACACACACATCTTGCTGCCTTGGGTTCTTGCAAGTTGTGTGCGTGTTTTATCTGCCCCTACTAGCTTTTAGGTGTCTTGAGAGCATGACTCTGGCTTACTCATCTGTCTATTCCAGAAGACCTTGTCTGTTCTTGGCATTTATTAACTAATTTTCTAAGACTGGGTTGAAGTAGTTGCATGTCAAGTTTATATCAGCTGTTAAATACCTTTCTGGAAAAACTGGCTGTAAAATAAACTCAACCAGGAAAAAAAAAAAAAAACAACAACCCGATTTTTAATAGTGTCTATCCAACCTTTTTTTTTTAAGTTGCAAGGGATCCACCAGATGGAATTAAGAGAACTAAGCTTTTATCATCTGCTGGATATAATGTGATTTTGTAACCATTATTGGATTGGTGTTGGTTTAGACAGTTTATTTTCAGCTGACTATATAGTTAATTCCGGGACTCTTATAAAGTTTTTTTTAAAAAGAGAAAAAGAGAAGATCAAAAGCACTGGAACTCAACGAGTAAATAACCCATGGTAACAGAGAGATATAATGCAGTGATGTCAGAGGTGTACAAGAAGTGTGAATCATTTAACATGTGAAGCCAGGGTCTTTAGTCCACTTGGGGAGAGCAAAGAGGTGAGTGGGCTTCTCCATCTTTTTCCTTCTGCCTGCCCTGCTACCCCCAGCCATATGCTTAGGAGTGGGGTTCCCATTTACACTGCCCTGCTTGTCGCTCCTGGCTCAGCTGACCCTGCTTGACATGTCCACTTCAGTAATTGAACTGAAACGCTGATTGATGAACTTAATTCTTAGTGTTCATCTTTTAGCCCTGTCATTTACCCCAGTATCACATTTATTTTAAAACAATAACTATTTTGGATTAAGTTAATTGTGTGAGTGAGAGATTATGAATATGTAACTTTGCAGGTATTTTGTTGAAGTTTTAGTCATATTGGAATTTTTAAGATAGAAATGATGGTAGGTGTAGAGCTACTAATATCCTTTTTAAGAAGCTAGGAAAAATCTAGCCATGCAGAATGCCACAGTGGTAGAAACAGTGTCCAGTAAACATATTAAATGGTCTTAAGGATTCTTGTCTTTTAAAGTTTTATTTAATTTTTTTTATAGAGACAAGGTCTTCTTATAGCTCATAACTCATTGCAGCCTCCAGCTCCTGGACTCAGGCCATCCTCCTGCCTCAGCCTTCTGAGTAGCTGGGAAGGGATCCTTGTCTTTAAAACTAGGGGTATGGAGGGAAGGGTGGGTATAATATAATATGATTTTTCCGTTTAATATTTTCATATATTCTTGGTGATTCATTTTAGTTAGGCATTTATTTATTATTGTTTATTCTAATTTTGTATTATAATAGAATATAATTGTCTTCTTTTCTTCCTTTTTTTTTTTTTTAGAGACAGGGTCTCACTATGTTGCTCAGCCTGCCCTCAAACTCCTGGGCTCAAGGGATCTTCCCCTCTTGGCCTGCCAAAGTGGTGGGATTACAGGCATGAGCCATCATGCCTGGCCTTGTCTTGTTTTTATTTTATATATATAATATATATAAAAAATAATATATAAATATATAATTTATATTTATATTATATATTAATATATTAATGTAATTAATATTATATTATATTAATATATAATATATAATATAATATTATATATTATATATAATATTATATATAATATTAATACTGTATTATATATAATATAATATTAATTATATTATATTAATATAATTAATTATATTAATATAATAATAATAAATAATATTAATATAATTAATATATTTATATTAAAATATAAAAATATAATATATATAATATATATATATTTTTTTGTCTCACTCTGTCGCCCAGGCTGGAGTGCAGTGGCGTGATCTTGGCTCACTGCAAGGTCTGCCTTCCAGGCTCACGCCATTCTCCTGCCTCAGCCTCCAGCATAGCTGGGACTACAGGCGCCCGCCACCATGCCCGCCTAATTTTTTGTATTTTTAGTAGAGACGAGGTTTTACCGTGTTAGCCAGGAGGTCTCCATCTCCTGACCTGGTGATCCGCCTGCCTCGGCCTCCCAAAGTGCTGGGATTACAGGAGTGAGCCACCACGCCTGGCCTTAATTATATTTTTATGTAACTTTTTGATACTACTCAAGTATTTTTTCCTCTACGGTACTCACTATGCTGAAAGATTTTTCTTTCACATGTTTTCTAAACTATGTAATATAAGTGTCATTGGCTATTTTTGTCCACCTGATGGAGGTAAGAAATGATCAAAGTACAGTTTAACAGCAGTATTAGCAAGAGTTGAGCCTTGCTGAATATGTAAGTTTCAACGGATTTGCTTTGCAACTACATGCAGTAGATGTTTTAAGAGGGTAGGTAGGATATTTAAATTTAACCTTTTTGTGCCACTGTGTGAGAGTGGGCTTCTGAAAATGGAGGGGGGAAGCATCTCTCCTTGGTTAGTAGGCATTCAAGTGGAAGATATGTTATAAAAACCTAGTTGTATCTTATAGGATGCTAAAAGCAAGGTGACTGAACTTCTAACAGGGCATTCTACATTGAGTATGTGCTTTTCTCTATAATTAGGCTAAAAAAAGGTTGGTAAGTAATATGAACTTAAAATCAAGATTAACCCCCAATTTACAAACCCATGATAAAAAGTGTTGTTGATTACTTGGATCCTATCTTTTCTGCAGTTTATGTTTCTAGTGACTTACTCAATAGTTTTTTCTTACTCTTTCCCTGGACAGAATATGTAATATAAGAAACATAAGTCCTTTGAGTTGAGGGAGATCAGATAGATTTAATAAAAGTCATTTAGACTTTATTGCATATTCTGGAAGTCCAAAGAAGAATGACTCTGGTTGCATAGCACTTCTAATAAAGCCACAAAATCATTACCTGACTCAGTGCCTGTTCTTGTTATCATATTTTTACTTTATGTTTTGGTATTTCATTTATTTATTACGTTTCAGCTGTGAGAGTACCTTCTACAAAACATTTTAAACTTTTTTCTATTTTCATTAAGTTGCAGTCCCACTCCACCCAGTCCAGCCTCCTAATTCTAGCCTTTATACAGCTAAGATTGAGGCAATCAGTTATAAGGACGCCTGCTCATAATTACCTTCTCAGAAGGTAATTATATTAATACTGAATTTATTTAGTGGTATGCTGTCATCAAAAAAATTCATTAAAAATAAAATCAATGAAGGCCGGGCGCAGTGGCTCACGCTTGTAATCCCTCCACTTTGGGAGGCCGAGGTGGGTGGATCACCTGAGGTCAAGAGTTCTAGACCAGCCTGGCCAACATGATGAAACCCCATCTCTACTGAAAATACAAAAAATTAGCTGGGCGTGGTGGCACACACCTGTAATCCCAGCTACTCAGGAGGCTGAGGCAGGAGAATCGCTTGAGCCCGGGAGGTGGAGGTTGCAGTGAACCAAGATCGTGCCACTGCCCTCCAGCCTGGGCAACAAGAGCAAAACTCTGTCTCCAAAAAAAAAAAAGAAACTAAACACATTTAATAAATTTCAAGTGCATAAATACATTACAAAACAACATTCATAAAAATAAACATTCATTAAAACAAAAAATAATTTTATTACAAAATATTACATATAAATTCTAATATAAATTAACAAGTAACAATAAAGTATTTAAAAATAGTGAAACCATTCACAAAAATACGTAATGAAAATTAAAATACTTTAATGTTATCTTTCGAAATCAGGTTTATCTGTGGTGTCATTGTTTAAGTGCGTGCGTGTGTGTGTGTGTGTATATATATATATATATATATATATATATATTTTTTTTTTTTTTTTTTTTTTTTTTTTTTTTTTGAGACAGAGTCTCACTGTCACCCAGGCTGGAGTGCAGTGGTGAGATCTTGGTTCACTTCAACCTCTGTCTCCGGGGTTCATGCAATTCTCATGCCTCAGCCTCCAGAGTGGCTGAGACTACAGGTGCATGCCACCACGCCCAGCTGATTTTTGTATTTTTAGTAGAGATGGGGTTTTGCCACGTTGGCCAGGCTGGTCTCAAGCTCCCAACCTCGAGTGATCCACCTACCACGCCTCCCAAGTTGCTAGGATTACAGGCATGAGCCACCATGCCCGGCCTAAGTGCATATATATTTTTGGGCACATTTTTACAACTTTTAAAAAAAGCTTTTTTTTTTTTTTGAGACGGAGTCTTGCTCTGTCGCCCAGGCTGGAGTGCAGTGGCGTGATCTCGGCTCACTGCAAGCTCTGCCTCCCGGGTTCACGCCATTCTCCTGCGTCAGCCTCCCAAGTAGCTGGGACTACAGGTGCCCGCCACACGCCCAGCTAATTTTTTGTATTTTTAGTAGAGATGGGGTTTCACCATGTTAGCCAGGATGGTCTCAATCTCCTGACCTCGTGATCCGCCCGCCTGGGCCTCCCAAAGTGCTGGGATTACAGGCATGAGCCACCACACCCGGCCCCTAAAAAAAGCTTTTTTGACTTAGTAGTGCCCAGGAGACAGTTCTAAGCAAATTGTAAGCATTTTCTTCTGACTCCTTTGTCTTCAGATAATCTCACCTCTTGTTTGATAACTTATTGAGCAACTTTGTTTCTGTTTTTTTGCAGGGACATCAGTTTTTTTCTTGGTAGCAAGCTGTAGATTTTGTTTCAAGGAAAGCATCTTCATCTTCTCTAGTTTCATCATGTATAGATGGAGATTCCGATGCAGGTATCTGTATCAATTTCAATACAGTCACATTTGTGTTTATTTGAACTCTAGAACTAGAAAAGGAATTACTTTTTTCTTTGATTTTCTTTTTCTTCCTTCTCTTGAGGATCATGAAAGTATAAAAGAATACTTTCTAAATGAGGGTGCCTTTTTCTTTTTCTTTTTTTTTTTTTTACAATTTTTACATTTGGAATTAAAATTTTAACTAGAAAAGAGTTTTTATTAAGCAAGTTTTTTTAAAAAAATCTTAAGTTGTTAATCCTGCTCTCAAGATGTAAGTAAGGTGTGTTTCAGACATTATTAAAATACTGAAATAGTGGTATTTGTACCAAAACACTAGTATCTCATTACTTACCATGATATATAACACTGTATAACTGAATAGTGGAATACCAAAATTGAAATTGCACACTGCATCTAATCCTGTATGCATCCAAGTATATTCTTCTGTGCCTGTACTGTCTGCCTTTTTCATGTTTTGGACAAAACTGTCATCCTTTGTGTACCTCCTCTCTGTGTCCACGTTCCTATTCTCCTCCCTCAGTGCCTTTATTCTCTCCCTTCCCATTGCTTCCTTTGTATCTGCTTACACATGTTCATATGTTTCTCTTATTTTGGAAAAGAAAGAAAAAGGTCATTCATTTAATCTTAACTTGACTATTAGTTTCGTTTTCTTTCCTTCCTTCCTTCCTTCCTTCTTTCTTTCCTTTTTTTTTTTTTTTTTGACAGTGTCTTGCTCTGTTGCCCAGCCTGGAGTGCAGTGGGCACAATCTTGGCACACTGCAACCTCAGCCTTCCGAGTGGCTAGGACTACAGGTGTGCGCCACCACGCCTGGCTATTTTTTTTTTTTGTACTTTTAGTAGAGATGGGGTTTCATCATGTTTGCCAGGCAGCTCTTGAATTCCTGACCTCAGATCTGTCCACCTCGGCCTCCCAAAGTGCTGGGATGACAGGCGTGAGCCACCATGCCCAGCCATATTAGTTTCTTCAGTTTTATAAACCAAACTTCTAACTAGGGGATTTGCTGCTTTTTCACTTTACTTTAGTATGTTGTTATCTGGCTTCAGTCCTTGCCTTTTCCTTGAAATTCTTTTTTTAATTTTAAAGATAGGGTCTTGCTCTGTCGCCCTGGCTGGAGTTCAGTGGCACAATCATAGCTTACTGCAGCCTGGAACTAGTGGGCTCAAGTGATCCTCCCACCTCAGCCTCCCAAGTAGCTGGGACTACAGGTGCATGCCACCACACCTGGCTAATTTTATTTATTTTATTTTTTTTTTTTGTGGAGATGAGGTCTCACTATGTTGCCCAGGCTGGCCTCGAACTCTTGGCCTCAAGCAGTCCTCCTGCATCGGCCTCCCAAAGTGCTGGGATTATAGGCATGAGCCACCACAAATTCCATTTTTTGAAAGAATCTTGTAAGTTAGCAAATTGCTAAATCCAGGGATCTTTTTCAGTTCTCATTTGACACTGTTAATTCTCTACTGTTTAAGAATCCATCTCAGGTGTATGAACTTGGCAGAATAATGAAGCCCGTTTGACCTCAGTTTTCCTGTATTAAAACTTAAAACAGCTCCTAAGTTTTTTTGAGTATCAAATGCAACAATGTGTCTGAAAATATCTCGCATCTAGTTAGTAGCGCACCCCAACCTGACGGTCTGTGATGCTTTAGTTGCTGCCTGGCTCGAAATATCTAAGATAGTTTTTTTTCCTATTTTTTTTCCTCCCTCCACCTTCTTTGAATAAAGACATTCTCTAAGGCGCATTCTTTGAACTTTATCTCTTTGCCTTATCTGTTGGAAATCTCATCTACTTGCAGAGCTTTAGCTGATAAATTTGGGCTGCCAGCAACCAGATAGAGTACGTCCTCACTTAATGTTATTAATAGATTCTTGGAAATGGTCACTTTAAGTGAAATGACATCAATGATGTCATTTTAATTCAGTGTTGTTTCATTATAACATTGATGAGAAAAGAAAGTTGGTTTTCTTTTACATCATTTCACTTAAAGTTGCAGTTTCCAAGAGCCTATTGAGGACACGAAGGCTGTCAACCTTGAGGCTACATACCTTGAGGCTGTCCTAGGCTAAACTCTGGTGATCCATTTCTGATAACCTCTTTCAAACCTTCATTTGAAATGCTTTTTATCACCCCAAGTGGAATGTATATGAAACCAAACCCCTTGTTTTTATTCCCCTTTCCGACATACCTTTTAAGAGTACTAAATACATAATAGCGTTTTAAGAGTACTAATATTTCTGCCAACCAGAAAACCTCACCACCATCTTTGATTCCCCCCATCCCGCCTACCTTTTTTTAAAGGTCTAGTGATTTTTCTTTCCATTGTGTGCAGAATTTTTTCCTTCTCTTATTTGTCTTAACACGGGTTTCATGCAGCTGACCTCCTGATTGATCCAGTGGCTGATACTCCCCACTCTGCCCTGATAATTGGTCACAGTGCCTTGATGGTGTTTATGTGTTACACAAAAATATGTAATGACTTCCCTCTTGCCTCTGAGCTTGTCCACAAACATAAAGAATTTCAGGCCCAGTTTATCTTTCTCATCTTGCCCCAACCATTCTTCTGATGGTTTACTTCTTGTTCTCAGAACATGCCTATATTCTTTCACATTGTCAGTACAGAAAAGAGGTATATGCAGAAAAGGAGTGATGTATTTTCAAGTTAGCCACTCCATGAGTGACTAGTACTGAATCCCACTGAAATCCCACTGAAACTTCCCAGGAGGCTTATGAAATGAATCTTAGAACCAGCTTCCATATTGGTAGCCCTACAGCTATTAACTTCCCATACTTCCAGGTAGTGAATGAGTAAATACAGAGCAGTGCTTTTTGGTTGGACCTGCCTGAAGTCAGTCACAGCTTACAAGAAATTGATCCTCCATAGCTGGCATAAGATGTTGGGTCAGGAAGTTTTTGAAATGGTACATAGCATGTGTCTATAATGGTGTGAAAGTTAAAAATTCCAGAAGATACAGAAGAATGTAGAATGAGAAGTTACGTCTCTTTTCCTTTTTTGTATTCTAGAAAAAGTTTGCCAACCCCTGTTCTAGTCATTCTGGTTCCTTTCCTGGAAACATTCATCATTAACCTGTTTCTTGAGACGTGGTGTGTATTTATGATACTTACACCATCCACATGTACACATACTTAGTATATACTTTTTCTCAACTTCAAAATATCTTAATGATTTTCTATATTAGTGTATAGAACATTCTTATTATTCTTTTAGCTCTATAATATTCCGTTATGTGGATCTACCATTTATTTAACTAGTTTTCTATCAATGGACATTTAGTTGTTTTTTTCTTTCTCTTTGTTTTGAGACAGGGTCTCACTCTGTTGCCCAGGCTGGAGTGCAGTGATGTCATCTCTGCTCACTGCAACTTGTACCTCCTGGGCTCAAGCGATCCTCTCACCTCACAGCCTCCCAAATAGCTGGAAACTACAGGTGTGTGCCACCACACCCAGCTACTTTTGTATTTTTTGTAGAGACAGGGTCTCACTTTGTTGCCCAGGCTGGTCTTGAACTCCTGGGCTCAAGGGCTCCACCCATCTCCCAAAGTGCTGGGATTACAGGCATGAGCCACTGAGCCCAGCCGACATTTAGTTATTTTGTCTCTTTATTACAAATGATAGCATTACATTTATACATATTTGTAATCCGAAAAGGTCAATTCCTTGAGTGTTTCTGTCTTGAACTTTTTTCTGTAATAGGCCTCCCATACTCATTGCCCACAGTTTGCATTCAGTTTTATTGTAGTGGGTCAGGATCATTAAGAGCTGGAGTTGCTGGGATAGGCCTTTCTCAAGAGGTTCTACTTGAGTTGGACCTTGAGGAATCTGGATGAAGAGGGGGATAACGAAAAGGAGGTGGGAAGGGAAAAAGGACTGTGTGGCTGAAGGCTTGTGGTTAGCAAAAGCCTGTCATGCTTTCGAGCTGCACTGCCCAGCACTGTAACCATGAGCCATGAGTATGTGTGGCTGTGAGCACTTGATATGTGGCTAATCCAGAGTTGAGGTGTGCGGTGAGTAAATACCTACCAGGGTCTGAAGATTTAATATGAAAAAAAGAATGTTAAAATATCTCAGTAGTTTTAAAAATATTGCTTATAATTTAAATAGTAGCATTTTGGATATATTGGGTTAAGTAAAATGTTATTAAAATTTTTACCTGGTTTTACTTTTAAATATATGGCTACCAGAAAATGTAAAATTGTATTATGTGGCCTACCTTTGTGGCTGCATGATTTTTTGTTAGACTCTGCTCTGGCTCATCCTTCAGGATGGAGAAGCAGGTTCATTTGGGGAACCTGGTATGTGCTTCAGTGAGAACTGTTGGATAGTTACCAGAATCAAGTATTTGGTATGAAAAGACCATTACGTTTCTTAAAACAGTGAAGTAACATGAAATTAGTTTCAGGAAGATTCAACTGTTCATATTTTGTGGCACTACAAAAACTAATTGAGCACTTACTGTGTACTGAGCACTGTCCTAAAGGGCTTTATTCATTTAATCCTCACAGCAACCCTTTGAGACATAGGTAGCCCTTATGTTACAGATGAACTTGAGTCACAGGGGGGTGTACCTATTGGCCCAAGGTCACGCCGTAACTGATAATGCCTTGGCTATGAACTGGCAGTCTGATTCCAGAGCCTATACACTTAACCACTACACTGTGTCCCTGTGAAGGTGAATTAGACAAAGAAGATGATCCTTGCACATAGCAGTGAAGGAATGGTAATGGATCACTTTTTAATCCTGTTAATATTTTAATTAAAAAAGATCTTCTATCTTCACGGTACCCCGATACTTTTCGTTTTAAGTTCTTGTCACCATGATTGGTTGTATGATTTTGGCCACCCAGGACCAGCTTAGTATGTAACAAGCTTTATGTTTATTTTTCTTGTGTTTTGTGTGTAGGAAGGTTTTAAGAATATGTAGCATCGCTTAATGATGGGGATGTGTTCTGAGAAACTCATTATCAGGCAATTTCATTGTGCAGACGTCCTAGAGTGTACTCAACACAAACCTAGATGTATAACCTGCTATACACCTAGGCTAAATGGTATAGCCTATGGCTTTTAGGCTACAAATCTGTACAGCGTGTTACTATATTAAATACTGTAGGCAGTTGTAACATTTTATATATATAAAAAAACATAGAAAAGGTAAAGTAAAAAATTTGGTACTGTAATCTTATGGGACTACTGCTGCATATTCGGCCCATCATTGATCAAATTGTCATCATGTGGTGCATGTCTGTACTCTTAAAGCAAATTTTATTTTATCCCTACATTTTACAGAGGAACAGAGATTAAATAATGTGGCTGAAGTTTCATGGCTGGGAATTATAAAACCATGAGACTGTGTAGCTTTGATCACTATTGTGTTTGATTTAAAAAGTAAACATTTTGTGTTTGAGCTTAGAGCTAAGTGATCATAAATGGTGTATATTTATTCCTAAAATTTTTCTGGGATTTCAGATCCTGAAATTTTATACAAACCTTTAAAAAGCATTTTCAGGAGGAAAATGTGTCAGAGCCAAGTTGAAATTTGAAATGCCCTTTTTTTTTTTTTTAATATAAGGATTCTTAATATTGGAAGAGAAAGGAAGTTGTTGTTTTGAGAAGGGGGCTTGCTCCATCACCCAGGCTGGAGTGCAATGGTGCCATTACAGCTCACTGCAGGAAGCTCGTTTTTAAAGGACCGTCAACGTAGGTGGAACCAAAATAATGGAGAGAAAGCAAGAAGCCCTTAAAATGATACTTGCTTAATTAATTAAACTCAATTCATTGAGAGCCAGCTGTCAAGGCAACAAATACTTTCCATTTTGTTAAATTTCTCCAGTATTTAGCTCAGAGGTCTAGTCTTAATGGTAATGCCTAAATTTTTCTGATCTTTACTGTGGAATTTTATAATCTTTATGTTATGTGTTAAGGAATGACATGCACACTAAGAATTTATGATTTTATTCTTACCTGTGACTAGGGCCTTTGTAATAAATCTGTTTTTACGCTGTCCAAAATTACTATGTTCTTGGGTTTCTTTTTCTTTATCTCTTGGGTTTCTAGAGATTCATAAGCTTAAAAAATTAAAAATAAGTTATTAGGATTGGAAGAGACCTTTGGAAGTGGTTTATCTAGCCCAGGGCGTCTCAGTCTGGGAACTGTTGACATTTTGGATATATAATTCTTGGTTGTGGAAGGGCTGTCCTGTGCATTGTAGGATGTTTAGCAGCGTTTCTGGCCTCTACCCACTAGATGCCAGTAGTTCCCCTTTGATTGTAACTAAAAATGTCCGCAAGCATTGTCAGATGTCCCCTGGGAGACAAAATCGCCCTGGTTGAGAACCGCTTGTCTAGCCCATTTCCTGGGAGTGGTGGTTCCCTTCTCTGGAACTCAGACGTTGAGAAGAGAAGGGTATTTACCACCTCCTCTAGCAGTCTGTTCCAACTTTGGGTGCGTCTTTGGAGACAGAAATCTCTCCTCTCTGTTAAGCTAAAACCTGCCATCTCTAACTTTTTAGTTCTGCCTCTTAGGACCGTATGGATTGGATAGATTCACTTAAAAACTTTCCCAATTATTGGAACATGATACCCCGTCCTTCCTGGTCCCTCACGGGATTGTTTTAGAGCCAAGTCAGCAAACTTCTTGTAGTTGCCATGTATTTGCAGGCTACCAATCTCTGATGCATAATCTTCCTTTCCTTCCCTCCCTCCTCCTTGCCTCCCACCAGCCTTCCCTCCTTTTCTCTTTCTTCTTATTTCTTGTAACTTCTTAAAAATGTAAAAAACCTTTTTTTGCTCTTATAGGCTGGGTTTTGGTTCAGTAACTTGCCATCCCTGGTTTTAGAGTCTGACATCTGCTAATCTTCAGAGGGCAGTGCAGTGCTTTAGAACTGTATATAGAACTTTGGGGAAGGTCTGAGCAGCATAGAATAACGTTGGACTTGTCATTAACTCCTTCATGCGAAGAGCTTACTGCTTTTTTGAAGCTTTGTCACATTTACAGCGTAATGACAGCCAAGACACTGGTTTGTCTTTTTCATTAGGCCACTTTACCTTCTTTTTTTTTGAGACAGAGTTTCACTCATTGCCCATTGTGCAATGGGCGCAGTCTCAGCTCACTGCAACCTCCGCCTCCCAGGTTGAAGCAATTCTCCCGTCTCAGCCTCCCAAGTAACTGGGATTATAGGCTTCCGCCACCATGCCACTTTACCTTCTAAGATATTTTTAGACTTCAGCGTAGGACGATCTGTGTTAACAGCTGTATTAAACTTGTCTTAGCTGGAACCAACTCTCTATACCCTGCTGAGGTTTGTGGGTCTTACTCTGTCCTTCAGAGTGTTAATGAAATTTTTCTTAGCTTCCCGTCGTTCAAATGTTTTTTAAACATACCTGGGTCTTTCATGCAAGTTACTAATACAAATTTGAATGAGATGTAGCTAAGAACTAAATCTGAAATCACAAATGCCTAACAAATAAGGTAATTTTGGCCAAGCGTGGTGGCTCACGCCTGTAATCTCAGCACTTTGGGAGGCTGAGGTGGGTGGATCACTTGAGGTCAGGAGTTTGAGACCAGCCTGGCCAACATGATGAGAAACCCTGTCTTGACTAAAAATACAAAAATTAGCTGGGCTTGGTGGTGCATACCTATAATCCCAGCTACTTGTGAGGCTGAGGCAGGAGAATCGCTTGAACCTGGGAGGTGGAGGTTGCAGTGAGCCAAGATCACACCACTGCACTCCAGCCTGAGTGACAGAGTGAGATTTTGTCTCAAAAAAAAAAAAAAAAAGGGAATTTTAATGCATGGATATAGCAGGTCTGTACTCTGTTCTTAAAATTGTTTTGGAGAATTATATGTAAATCTGCATTATACATGTTTAGTATCCTCAATCTAAAATCCACAGTGCTCCAAAATCTGAAACTTGAGCACTGACATACATGAAATGCTCAATGGAACATTTTGGATTTCTGGATTAGGGGTACTCAGCTATGATATAAATATTCCAAAATCTAAAAAAATCCAAAATTCCAACTACTTCTGGTCCCATACATTTCAGGTAAGGGATACTCAAATTGTAGCAACCATCGTCAGAGGTTACCGTCGTTACTGATGGCTTTCAGAGTGATTAGACAGTAAATAAGTGTAATGACCATGACAAGAAAATTTTCAAAAAAACTAAATCTTATTTACGTGCAAAATAAAATAATTTTGAATAATGATTTTAAGAAGTAACTGATTTTTTTTTTCCAGAAAATATTTACACCAGCAGCTCCAGTTCATACCAATAAAGAAGATCCTGCTACCCAAACTAATTTGGGATTTATCCATGCATTTGTCGCTGCCATATCAGTTATTATTGTATCTGAATTGGGTGATAAGACATTTTTTATAGCAGCCATCATGGCAATGCGCTATAACCGCCTGACCGTGCTGGCTGGTGCAATGCTTGCCTTGGGACTAATGACATGCTTGTCAGGTGAGTGTGCTTTTCCCTCTCATGAGTTCGCTGAATTAAAGGGAAAGCGTGTTGTGTGACATGGAGTCACTGAGTCATTAACCTAGTCTTATGGGAATTTGGCTTACACCTTATTTGTGGTCTTCCAACCTTTTCCTTGTGTATCCTTTCCTTGTGTATCCTCTAAAATAATTTTGTACCCCCTCTCGCATAGTTGTCTGAAATTTTTCATCTTCAATTTAAGGAATTGCAAAGATCTAATTTCTGTTATATTGTGTAAAGTAAGACAGTTAGGGCTGGGCACAGTCACTCACGCCTGTAATCCCAGCACTTTGGGAGGCCGAAGTGGACAGATCACGAGGTCAGGAGTTCCGAGATCAGCCTGACCAATGTGGTGAAACCGCATCTCTACTGAAAATACAAAAATTAGCTGGGCATGGTAATGTGCACCTGTAATCCCAGCAACTCAGGAGGCTGAGGCAGGAGAATCGCTTGAACCCAGGAGGCAGAGGTTGCAGTGAGCTGAGATCGCGCCACTACACTCCAGCCTGGGTGATAGAGTGAGACTCCATCTCAAAAAAAAAAAAAAAAAAAAAAAAGGGAGACTGTTAGGGTGTTTTTAAAATCTACCCAGTGACTCTAAATACCATTAGTAATTTGATACCCACTATCACCATCATTCCTTTAAAACAAATGTGAATATACTTTTTTAACAGTTGGAAATTTACATTTTTTTCTTCCTATAATTTATATTTTCATTTACTTCCCTTAATTTTACTCTAATGATTATAAATTTTTGCTTCAAAATTTATTACAAAGCTGGTCCAAGTGCAATGGTGTATACAACTAATCGATGACAAACCAGTTACAGATTTCTTTCTTCCTTGTCCACCCCCACTGCTTCACTTTATGAGCCTAAAGAAATATATATATGGATCACCCCATCATATCTACCTGCAATAAAAATATGCATTTAATATCATTGAATTTTCAAAGATATTGTAAATTTCTCCTAGTAAATCTCTTAAGTGTTAACTCTATGAATTGAGTTGTTATAGTTATTAGTACTCAAAGAAAATATATTATAAATTTAAATAATCATTTTAAAAAATTGGAAATACATCTCTTAATGAGATGATAGGGCTATTTTTTATTTATTTATTTATTTATTTTTTTTTAGAGACTGAGTCTTGCTCTATCACTCAGGCTGGAGTGCAGTGGCATGATCATAGCTCACTGAGACCTGGAACTCCTGGGCTCAAGTGATCCTTCCACCTCAGCCTCCTGAGTAGCTGGGACCATAGGCTCATGCCACCATGCCCAGCTAAATTTTTTGTTTTTTGTAGAGACAGGGTCTGGTTGTGTTGCCCAGGCTGATCTTGAACTCCTGGGCTCAAGCTATCTTTCCACCTTAGCCTCCCAGTGTACTGATATTATAGGTATGTGTGCCTGCCCATCCTTTTACCTTGTATTTATTTTTTAAATTTTTATTTATTTATCTTTTTATTTATTTTGAGACAGACTCTTGCTCTGTCACCCAGGCCGGAGTGCAGTGGCATGATCCCGACTCACTTAAACCTCCATCTCCCAGGCTCAGGCGATTTTCCTGCCTCAGCCTCCCAAGTAGCTGAGACTACAGGCACATGCCATCACGCCTGGATACTTATTGTATGTTTTGGTAGAGATAGAGTTTTACCATGTTGGCCAGGCTGGTCTCAAACTCCTGACCTCAAATGATCGCCCGCCTTGGCCTCCCAAAGTGCTGCGATTACAGGCGTGAGCTACCACGCCTGGCCCCTGGCCCATCATTTTACAATTTTTAAACATTTTATAGAAATAATTTTAAGTTTACAAAGCAGCAAAAATAAAATAGTATGAAGAACACTTATATAACTTTTGCCTAGATTCACCTGTTGTTAACATTTTATCCCATTTGTTTTAGCATTTGTACTCTTATCTAAATAAAATTGTAAATGTGTATATATACACGTTGTTTACATACCTGTCTATAGTGTGTACATATACATACATTATTTATAAGCTATATAATGCACACATATAATCACAACATTTAATATATATTATGTATTGATACAGTACTTGAATCTGTCATCCATATTTTAATTTTGGATGACCTAATGTCCTTTCTTGTTTTTTGAAAGGACATAGGCTGGGCGCGGTGGCTCACGCCTGTGATCCCAGCACTTTGGGAGGCTGAGGCAGGCGGATCACGAGGTCAGGAGATCGAGGCCATCCTGGCTAACACGGTGAAACCCCGTCTCTACTAAAAAAATCCAAAAAACTAGCCAGGCTTGGTGGCGGGCATCTGTAGTCCTAGCTACTTGGGAGACTGAGGCAGGAGAATGGCGTCAACCCGGGAGGCAGAGCTTGTAGTGAGCCGAGATTGTGCCACTGCACTCCAGCCTGGGCGACAGAGTGAGACTCCGTCTCAAAAAAAAAAAAAAGGACATGAAATTTTTAAATATTTCACTTGTGTTATCAGTTTTATGTAATTTAAGTGGGTTTAACAGTCTTTATATTATTTTGCCTCAACTGTTAAATCATATGTGTTTATTTCTACATCTTCTCTTTTATAGCTTTATTTAGTTTTATAGATTTAACCACTTTTTTTTTATACTTTATGTTCTGGGATACATGTGCAGAACGTGCAGGTTTGTTACACAGGTATACATGTGCCATGGTGATTTGTTGCACTCATCAACCCGTCATCTAGGTTTTAAGCCCTGCATGCACTAGGTATTGGTCCTAATGCTCTCCCTCCCCTTGCCCCTGACCCCTCAATAATGTCCTTTATATCAGTGTTTTTCCCTTCGGTCTAGGTCAGATATTGCATTTAGTTATTTATTATCTTTTTAGTCTTTTAATCTGAAATATATCCATAGCCTTTTTTTAAAATGTTTTCTGACATCAACCTTTTTGGGAGAATTACAGTGTATCCCTCCTCCCTCCACCCCAGGAATGGGCTGTTCCCCATTTTTTGTTTGTCTGATGTTTCCTGATGGTTAGATTGAGGTAGGCATTCCTGACTAGAAAACTGCATAGGTGATACTTTGTCTCTCCAAGAATGTCTCATCTGGAAGCACATGGTGTCCATTTATTCCTCATTGGTGACATTAATTTTGGTGACCCAGTCAATATTTCTTTTCTGTGTTGTCTTCCCTTGCAACTACTATCTAATCTGTAGGGATATACTTAAAGACAGTACAAATACCCTCTTCCTCATCAAAATTTCTCCAAAGATTTTGCATCAATTGATGATTCTTGCATAATTAGATCTTTCATTGATGCTTGCAAAATGATGCTTTTAATTCTAATACTTCTTGCATATTCACCAGTGAGCCTTGGTATTCTACTGCCAGCAAGAGCTCTCCTTCCTTTCCCATTTGTTTGTCTTTTTACTAGCAGTACAAACTTATGGATTCCTTTTTTCAATGGTTTATAATTAATTATTTAACTATTTTGCTGCTTAAATTATCCGATGTTAGGCCAGTGAGAGCCTCTCCAAACTGTGTCCTGTGTCTTTGTGGCATGCTCCCATTTGATTTTGCTCCTCACTTTCTAGTACAACAAGATATTACAGGTTCATCATGCACCTGCTCTGCCCAGTCCTGGAACTGGCCATTTCTCGGCGGAGCTTTGAGGAGCTTTTTAGGGGAGAATGGTATTAGAACCCAAGATCTAGGTGCAAGGTTACTGAGCTCCTTGTTACTGAGATGTCTTTGCCTCTTGTCTTTTTCAGTGGACAGAGCTAGAAAATATATGCTTGTATCCTGTGTGTACACATACATATATACAAATATACATCCATACATATATACACACACAATAATTTAAATACAGATGTGCACACAAACATAGGTTTGCTGCATTTCTAACCATGATTTTAAGATCTTTTCAGTTTTGTAATGTAGGGAATTATTTACATACAGGTTATACATTTACAGGCAGATTTGTAAGTGTTGCACCCGTTTTATAAAAAGAGCTGGTGAATTAAAGAGTAATTGTATTTTTCTTTCTTTCTTTTTTTTTTTCTGAGATGGGATCTCACTCTGTTGCCCAAGCTGGGATGCAGTGGCATGATCGCAGCTCACTGCAGCTTTGACCTCCTGGGCTCAAGTGATCCTCCTATCTCAGCCCCTCAAGTAGGCTGGGACCAAGGCGTGTGTCACCCCGTCAGGCTAATTTTTGTATTTTTTTTGTAGAGACAGGATTTCGCCATGTTGACCAGTGGTCTCAAGCTCCTGGGCTCAAGTAATCCGCCCGACTCGGTCTCCCAAAGTGCTGGGATTACAGGCATGAGCCACCGTGCCTGGCCAGAGTAATTGTATTTATTATATGTATGGTCGTGTCCTCTGTTCCTTACATAGTTGTTTTTGTTTGTTTATGAGACAGGGTGTCACTATGTTTCCCAGGCTGGTTTTGAACTTCTAGGCTCAAGCAATCCTTCCACCGTGGCCTCCCAGAGTGCTGGGATTATGCCACTTTGCCCAGCCAAATTTTTAAGTTTTAATTACTGAATGAGTATTACTGATATACTTGTGTTTCACCATTAGGATTTGAGTTCTTGATATAGTTCCAAGCATCATTTTTTATATAACTTACACAGATGTCTTTCCTTATCAGTGGGAAAGAGTGGAACTGAATGTTTGAGCCTGTTGTAACATTATTTTAATATAATAAGAAATTTTTAGATTTTTTTCATAAAACGTACTTATTTTAAATAGTTACAAGGGAGCAGAGTTTAAATCTTGCTATGTGAGACTTTTGTCATGATTCTTCACTAGAAGTTTGTGATTTAAAGATTTGTGATGAAGAAATTCCACTATGCAAGTGGCATGGCTTCCCAGTTATAAAATCTCAGCTCTTGAGAGGGCCTCAGAGCTAACTTCTACCCCAGGTACTGTGCCTTGCACAACATAAGGCAAGCCAGCCTCTGACTGAACATGCCTGGAAAGGAGTTCAATATCTTACTTAACATCTCTCAGGAAGATGTGCCATCTTCAACTGGACCATTGGCTTCTGAGTAAGCTGTGTTAGGCCTGGGCTAGACCTAATGGTTTATTATTGGTGGAGAGAAAGATCTGGAAATACTTGAGGTTATTACATACTAGATTAGCTTCTAATGTGAACCATTTTTCTTTTAACAGTGATAAATTATTATTTCCGAAGTTAACTGTTCCCTTGGTCGTGATACACACTCGATTAACAAACATACTGTTGTATTTTTTCCAGTTTTGTTTGGCTATGCCACCACAGTCATCCCCAGGGTCTATACATACTATGTTTCAACTGTATTATTTGCCATTTTTGGCATTAGAATGCTTCGGGAAGGCTTAAAGATGAGCCCTGATGAGGGTCAAGAGGAACTGGAAGAAGTTCAAGCTGAATTAAAGAAGAAAGATGAAGAAGTAAGCCATGGCACTGTTGATCTGGACCAAAAAGGCACTCAACTAGGAATAAACACTCTACAGAGGTTTCTCAGTGGCCCCATCTGTGTGATATGCGGGGCTACACAAAAATAGCTTCTTTTGCTTTGTTCTGTTCTTATACCTGTCTGTGATCTGACTTGGGGTTGGTGTGAATGTAGTAGAGAAAGGAAGCTGACAGATGAATACTGAACACAGGTAATCAGTTTCCTTAATTAGGTTGATTATAAGCTCCTGAAAAGCAGGAACTGTATTTTATAATTTTACCTGTTTCTCCCGTGGTGTCTAGGATAGTAAGTGAGCAGAGCAGTAAATACTGTTTGGTTTGTTCAGCTGAGGAGAAACGGAAGAATTGAGACTATAGCATTTGTTGCTGTGTGAGACCAGTGGTTCAGAGGGGAGGTTTGGGGGTCACATAAATGTAGTTTTTTTGGAGCATATTTCATAGAATTTAAACACTTAGAAAAGTCAAGTGATTTGTGTGCTATTTTGATTTGCTTCCTGTGCTTACTTTCATTTGTTTATTATTTATTTTAGTTTCAACGAACCAAACTTTTAAATGGACCGGGAGATGTTGAAACGGGTACAAGCATAACAGTACCTCAGAAAAAGTGGTTGCATTTTATTTCACCCATTTTTGTTCAAGCTCTTACATTAACATTCTTAGCAGAATGGGGTGATCGCTCTCAACTAACTACAATTGTATTGGCAGCTAGAGAGGTGAGTGATATTTGAGAGGAGACTGTTTAAAATGAAACGTAATTATTATTACTTTGTTCCAGAAAACACTGGACACACTGAAGTGGGCCACAGCATTCCTTCATATGCAAGACTGTTTTACATCTGATAATTCAGCTGCTCTCTAAAATTGGCCTTCTCCCAGTTCCTGCTACCTGCAGGTGAAATTCTTGTAACCAAGCTCAGTTGGGCTCTTTTTACTCATCCTTTTCCCTTTGGTTTTGCCAAAATGATGCCGTGGTACTTGTCATCTTAGCTTGGTTTTCTTATCATAGAACTTTCTTTTTTATAGTTGTTGAGAATATAAATCAGTATAATATTATTGAAGGCCATTTTGGTGTTTAATACCTAAAGCCTTAAAAATGTGTAGCTAGCCGGGCTTGGTGGTATGCACCTGTAGTCCCAGCTACTCAGGAGGGTTGAGGTGGGAGGATTGCTTGAGCCTGGGAGGTTGAGGCTCCAGTGAGCTGTGTTCGCGCCACTGCACTCCAGCCTTGGTGACAGGGAGACCCAGTCTGAAAAAAAAAAAAAAGTGTATAGCTTTTCGTTCATGTGTTACACTAAAGAAATTGACTGTTGCACAGACTACTTATAATTATTGTAACTTAGTAAAAATTTAGAAACAGCCTAATAATCCAGCAGAAAATTGGTTCAGCTGTTTACAAATCTCTGTGTAGCTCTTAGAATATTCACTCTTCAACATCATTTCAGTGACATGGAAAAATTTTAAAAGGAGGTTTACTTTTAAAATATAAAAAGAAGGCCGGGTGCCGTCCCTCACGCCTGTAATCCCAGCACTTTAGGAGGCCAAGGTGGGCGGATCACCTGAGGTCAGGAGTTTGAGACCAGCCTGACCAGCATGGAGAAACCCCTACTACTAAAAATACAAAAATTAGCCGGGCAAGGTGGCTCATGCCTGTAATCTTAGCTACTCAGGAGACTGAGGCAGGAGAATTGATTGAACCGGGGAGGCAGAGGTTGCAGTGAGCCTAGATTGCACCACTGCACTCCAGCCTGGGCAGCAGAGTGAGATGCTATCTCAAAAAATTAAATAAATAATATATAAAAAGAACAAAAAAGACTTAAGGAAATAAAAACATTATTTTTATTTCAGTGCTTATCTATCGTTGCGTACTGCTATTATGGGTAATTTATTTATTTACTTTTTGGTAGGGGTGGGGTCTCACCATGTTGTCCAGCCAGTTTTGAACCCCTGGCCTGAAACTTCCTGCCTCAGCCTCGCAAATAATCCTTCTGGGATTATAGGCGAGAGTCACTGCTCTGGCCTAGGTGACTTGTTTGTTTCTGTGTAGGAACTTTTTGTTCAAAAAGTCTTAGCCCAAGAATCCTAAGTTCTGGAGTGGGAAGCTAGAGACCTCAGCTCATCTTGTAGCTTTTACTCTTCAGATGAAGAACCTGACCCCCAGAGAGATCGGGTGACTTGTGTGAGGGAGTAAGCTGGCTGGCTGTGGCCTTCTTCACAGTTGTTCAATGCCACTTATTTAAAACATGCCCATTGGTTTTTTATTTTTTAATTTTTCTTTTGATGGGAATAGCAAGGTTTTATATGAGGCGCCTGTCATTGTTCACACAGATTTATTAAGATTTCATGTGGAGACGGTTGTGGAATGGAATACTGCTGCCACTTTTCAACCTCTTTTTCATCTTAACTGATACTATTTCTTATCTGTGTTTATATCAGATTCTCTTTTTATAAGAGTAAAATTGTTTCTAATTCCTTGGAACTATCATAAAAGAACAAGTTCTTTAATTATAGGCTGTGGTTTAAAATACAAGACAGTTGAAGGCCAGGACTAAGATAGATGGGAAAGGCTATTTTGTCAGGGAAGCCTCAAAAATGCTGTATTTTGGGGAAAAAAAATGGAACTCTGATTTTCATTTGATTCTCATAAAACAAACTTTCTTTAAAAATATCACTTTAATTAGCTGGGCGTGGTAGCGGGTGCCTGTAATCCTAGCTGCTAGAGAGGCTGAGGCAGGAGAATCACTTGAAACCGGGAGGCAGAGGTTGCAGTGAGCCGAGATGGTGCCACTGCTCTCCAGCCTAGGTGACAGAGTGAGACACTATCTTAAGAAAAAAAAATATATATATATATACATATATATTTATTTATTTATTTATTTTATTTATTTATTTAATGGCTGTACCCTATATTCTTCTTGATTTCTAGCCTTTTATTGGCTCTCAGATTGCCAGAGTTGGGACTCAATAGTAAGTAACCATTTTGTTGAGGTGGTAGTGATTCTACCAGGGTGAGTTATCATGACAGCAGAATCACTGCGTTTTTCTCTCTACTCTGTGGCATAGACTCTATGCCATAGAGTGACGTGTGAAAGGCTTGAGGCTCCCTACCTACGAGACACCCTGGTCCATTCTAGCAGTATGGCACGTGCTGACTGGGTTTTGAGTCTCTTGCTGTAAAATCACATTACTGCACTTCCCTGCATTTTCTCATCCAAAAATGGGGATTACCTGCTTTGTGGATCGGTTTGCAGATGAAATAACACACGCAGGGTATCTAGCATGGTCCCCCACATGGCACATTCAGTGTTAGCCACACTTCCATACTAACTGCCCTGCGGGGATATTTAATGAGCTCTTAAATGGCAGAAATGTTGTGTCTTTTCCTGTTCCCTTAGTATTCCTATTTTTGTTGGTAATTTTTCTTATGAACCATGCAGTTGTCTAGTTCAGGCCATTTTAGTATGCAGTTTTATCTTTGCTTCCAACATGATTTAATGTTCCCAAATTGGATTTCACATAATCCTAGTGTCCTTTGAGACTTGAATTGGTTCTAGGCCAAAAAAGGGTGAGGGGGAAGGAAGAAATTCAGAGTCAAATTTGGCAAATAATATATCCCTGTCGTTTTGTTTTTTCTTTTTAAGACTTGGGCCAGGTGTGGTGGCTCACGCGTTTAATCCCAGCACTTTGGGAGGCTGAGGCAGGCAAATCACCTGAGGTCAGGAGCTCGAGACCAGCCTGGCCAACATGGTGAAAAATACAAAAATTATCCAGGCATGGTGGCCCACGCCTGTAGTCCCAGCTACTCGGGAGGCTGAGACAGGAGAATCTCTTGAACCCGGGTGAGCCGAGATCGCGCCACTGCACTCCACTCTGGTCGACAGAGCTAGATTCCATCTCAAAAAAAAAAAAAAAAAAAAAAGACGACTCAGTATACAAATAAAGACTGGAAAGTCCTATATTAAAGGAACTAGTTAAATACTAGTTTATTTTACTTAATCTAGTGAATTTTTAAATATTTTCTTTCTTTCTTTTTTTTTTTTTTTTTTTTTGAGACAGGGTCTGGCTCTGTCAACCAGGCTGGAGTGCAGTGGCACAATCTCAGCTCACCTCAACCTCCACCTCCTGGGCTCAAGCCATCCTCCCACCTCAGCCTTCTGAGTCTGGGACTACAGGTTCCCACCACCATGCCTGGCTAATTTTGTATTTTTTGTAGAGACAGGGTTTTGCCATGTTGCAGAGGCTGGTCTCGAACTCCTGAGTTCATGCAATCTGACCACCTTGGCCTCCCAAAGTGCTGAGATTACGCCCGGCCTAAATATTACTTTCAAATAGAACCATCTTCATGGGTAGCAGTTTATAATACACAAGTAGAATTTGGGAAATGTAGTCCCAGTCTTCCATTCTTCACAGTGGATGCTTCAGCCAGTTTCCTGTCTCTGCACACACACTGCCCGACAGCGGGCTTTCCCTTCTCCTTCAGAGCAGTAGCAGTTCCCTTTCTTCATTCCCACCCATCACAGTGGCAGCCCCCTCTGCCCTCCTGTATTCTGAATCCCACCCTTATAATATGCTTAGATTTTGCCTTTCTCCCAGCCGTTTTGTGAGCATTGTTCGTGTGTACCAATTTTTTCTCATCCTTTAAAAAGAAAAAAAAAAAGCCCCTTTTCTCAATTGTACATCGCAAATCCAACTCTTGCCCTCCTGCAGTGTCAGAGGACTTGGCTGTGATGGGAATAAGCCTTGGCTCTGTTCTCCTTGCATACTTAGCCCATGGGAACCCAGTTTCTGGCCTCACCAGGAATGTTGTTGTGCTTTGAGCTCCCTGTGGCCTTGCATGATGCCTCCGTTGGTCCTTACAGGAGGTGATTGGCTGGCCACCTCACTTGCTTTCTCCTGTGGACCCTTCTTTCTCTGTCCTTCCTTGAATGCTGCCTTTGTCCCTCATGATTATGCTATCAACATTCTTCTCTTTCTGCTTTCTCTGTAACAGGTTTATTGACTCTTTTTTTTGAGAGTCTTGCTCTGTCACCCAGGCTGGAGTACAGTGGCACAATCTTGGCTTGCTGCAACCTCTGCTTCCTGGGTCCAAGCGATTCTTCTGCCTCAGCCTCCCGAGTAGCTAGGATTAGAGACATGTGCCACCAAGTCTGGCTAGTTTTTGTATTTTTAGTAAAGATGGGGTTTCACCATGTTGTCCAGGTTGGTCTCAAACTCCCAACCTCAGGTGATCTGCCTGCCTCGGCCTCCCAAAGTGGTGAGATTACATGTGTGAACCATCCACCCACCCTGATTCAACTGACTCTTAACTTTAAAAATCACATTGGTCTTACCATACATAGTTCATCAATTGTGGGAGAGAAACTTGGGTGTCATGCTTTATTTATTTATTTTTTTTTTGAGATGGAGTCTCACTCTGTCACCCAGGGTGGAGTGCAGTGGCACGATCTCAGCTCACTGCAACCTCAGCCTCCTGGATTCAAGCCAATTCTCCTGCCTCAGCCTGCCCAGTAGTTGGGACTACAGGTGCCTGCCACCACACCCGGCTAATTTTTTGTATTTTTAGTAGAGACAGCATTTCACCATGTTTCAGTCTCCTGACCTCGTGATCCACCCTCCTCGGCCTCCCAAAGTGCTGGCATTACAGGCGTGAGCCACTGCACCCAGCCTATTTTTCTTTTTTTAATAAGAGATGGAGTCTTGCTTTGTCACCCAGGATGGAATTTGTAGCATAGTAGTGTGATCATAACTCACTGTAGCTTCAAACTCAGGCTCAAGTGATCCTCTCACCTCAGCCTCCTGAATAGCTGGAACTACATGCATGAACCACTGCACCATTATTTTATTTTTAAGAGACGGGATCTCGCTGTACTGCTCAGGCTAGCCTTGAACTCCTGGCCTCAAGTGATCCTTCTGCCTTAGCCTCCTGAGTGGCTGGCTCCACTCTGCTTGGCTCTGATATTTTTCCATAAAGCCTATCATTCATTTATCATGGAGGTATGTTAATTTTGCCTTCTTAATTTCTCTCAAATTCACCTGCTCTTTGCCTACAGTCATCTGCCCCGATCTGGGGCAACGCAGTTTCTTCCCAGGGCTGTTGCCATAGCATCGCAGTGGATCACCCTTCCTTCAGTCTTGTTCCCCTCTGGTTCTTTCTCTCCACTAGACTTTAAAAAATTTTTGAGATAGGGTCTTGCTCTGTTGCCCAGGATGGAGAACAATCATAGCTCACTGCAGCCACGACCTCCTGGGCTCAAATGATCCTCCCACCTCAGCCTCCCGAGTAGCTGGGACCACTTGTGCTTGCTAGGATGCCTGGCTAATTTTTAATTTTTTTGTAGAGACAAGGTCTCACTGTGTTGCCTAGGCTAGTCTCAAACTGCCAGGCTCAAGCAATCCTCTTGCTTCAGCCTCCCAAAGTGTTGGGATTACAGGCATGAGCCACTGCACCTGGCCTAGCGGATTTCTGAAGCATTAATCTGTTCTGTTACTTTCCAGCTAAAAACCAACAAGTGTCTGAGGACACAGTTTAAACTCCAAGATGATAGGGTCCTCCCTCACCTGGACTCCCACCTACCCTCATGACCTCCTTTTGTGAAATGCTGAAGGGCTCTGCAGCTGGTTGTCTGGTACTGCTGGCCTTTGCTTTCTATTTAGCATGTTCCTTCTCCCACAAAACAAAATCACATTCTCACTATGCCCTGTTCATTCTTCAGGACTATCTTCTGGGAAACTTTTACTACATACCCCTCTCCCCCTAATCTGAGTGTCTGCTTTGCTCAGGTAACATGTGTTCACTGGATAAATCCTTGATTCCTGGCACTGAGGCAGGGTTTCTGTTCCCAGGAAGCAGAGGCATACTATTCTGTGAAGGATTGACTGAGTTTCTCCTAATACCAAGCAGTATCTGAGGGAACAGATGTCTAGCTTAAAATCCTCCCTAGCACTTGTCATAGCAGTGCTACGTATTGCCTGTGAAGGAAGTTTAATAACTGCTGAAAGGTTCGATTAGCTTTATTTCATCAGGATTTGTTTGACTTTACAAATTGATTTGGGTTATTTCAACTTTTAGGTCTAGTCTTAAGTATAACTGGTACATATTCCTTCAAGCAGCCATTACACCTCTCATAAATTTATTATACACCTGCATTTTTATAACTATTATGCTTTTTAATTGTTGGCCACCATTTTTAGTGCTTCTGAATTGTTATGGTTCTCAAGCAGCAGTTGTCACCTTGGTTTTGAATTAATGCTGTGACGCTTGCTTCCAGGACCCCTATGGTGTAGCCGTGGGTGGAACTGTGGGGCACTGCCTGTGCACGGGATTGGCAGTAATTGGAGGAAGAATGATAGCACAGAAAATCTCTGTCAGAACTGGTAAGTCTTGAAAATTACAAATCAGATAACATTTTAGAATCACTGAGAGATTAAAGGGTGTTAGCTTTGATTATTTAAATTTCTGCTGCTGAAGTATACTTGGTTTTTCTAATTACCTACCATCTCTTATAGAGGTATTAATCCTGGTATTGCAAATACGGACTTTTTTCACCTGTGTAGAAGTTAGCAAAATACAAAGTCATTTTTATCGAATTCATAGTAGCTTCTTGTTAACATATTATCTTAGTAAAACAATTGTCATTTGGAAGTATGAGAAGTTTTTGGCTCTAAAAATGTGTCTTACAAGACTGGAATCATGTGGAGACCATATGTACTGATTCTGCTGAATATGTCCTGTGAAGCCACAGTTAGGTCTAGAGATGGAAGAATCGTCTCTTTGCTAGTCAGAAGACCTGAACATTTTCTTTTATAACTGGATTTTAAGATGAGTTATAGTTCTACTGTTGCTTGCCAGCACTGTCTGGATTTAATACAATCCTGTCATTTCTCAAAACAGTGCTGGAGAAAACCTGATTCTTAGTGTTCACAGTCAAGCATGTTAAGTATTGTTCCTTGTTATGTAAAAGGGGTTGAAGTGATTCTAATTTGTTTTCAAGGTTAGTTTAATAGATTGGAAGAATAATTGGCCGCCTCATCGGCTCCCTTTTCATTTTGTACAGTATCAAGGTATAGGAATTTTACTGTATTTGACTTTTTTTCTCTCTCTTCCAGTGACAATCATAGGAGGCATCGTTTTTTTGGCGTTTGCATTTTCTGCACTATTTATAAGCCCTGATTCTGGTTTTTAACAAGCTGTTTGTTCATCTATATTTAGTTTAAAATAGGTAGTATTATCTTTCTGTACATAGTGTACATTACAACTAAAAGTGATGGAAAAATACTGTATTTTGTAGCACTGATTTTGTGAGTTTGACCCATTATTATGTCTGAGATATAATCATTGATTCTATTTGTAACAAGGAGTTTTAAAAGAAACCTGACTTCTAAGTGTGGGTTTTTCTTCTCTCCAACATAATTATGTTAATATGGTCCTCATTTTTCTTTTGGTGCAGAACCGTTGTGCAGTGGGGTCTACCATGCAATTTTCTTTCAGCACTGACCCCTTTTTAAGGAATACAAATTTTCTCCTTCATCACTTAGGTGTTTTAAGATGTTTACCTTAAAGTTTTTCTTGGGGAAAGAATGAATTAATTTCTATTTCTTAAAACATTTCCCTGAGCCAGTAAACAGTAGTTTAATCATTGGTCTTTTCAAAACTAGGTGTTTAAAAAAAGAGACATATATGATATTGCTGTTATATCAATAACATGGCACAACAAGAACTGTCTGCCAGGTCATTCTTCCTCTTTTTTTTTTAATTGGGTAGGACACCCAATATAAAAACAGTCAATATTTGACAATGTGGAATTACCAAATTAAAAGAGAATACTATGAATGTATTCATATTTTTTCTATATTGAATAAACAATGTAACATAGATAACAATATAAATAAAAGTGGTATGACCAGTGCTTGTTTTTCCTTGTGTGTCATATAAAATTATCAGTATTGATAGGCCAATTTCTAAAGCTGATGTAAAAACACTAACATATTAAATATTTGAGATATGCCTAAAGTAGCTAAACAGGAGCCAGGCATTGTTCGAAAGCATTGTCACCCTTACAGTTCTGTGAGGTAGTAGGTACTAATATAAGGTTAAAAAAGAAAAAAACTAACTCACCCAAGGTTACATGGTAGAGTCACACCAGGCGGTTTAATTCCAGAGCCTAATGTCATTCATTATGCTAAGACTACCTCATTTTTTCATGGCAACTTCAGTCGTCACCCTCGTTTGAGTATATTTTGATTTGACTACTACTTCACCCAAGTAGCATAACAGCTGCTTTCTCTCAGCCTTTTATATTCTAGAATCATATGCAGTAACATTCCCATTAATAGCCTCACTAAATTGAAGGACAATTCTACAGAAACATCCATGTTATTTGTGTGAGGTATAATAGGAGACCCAGAGCAATTCAGGTTTATGAGCTACTACAAAGGTCCACAATGTAGTCTGCAATTTGAAGAGATTGTGAAAGAACCCAGTTAATCATCCAGCACTGTAGGATGCAGCAATTGTCCTACATGGTAACTCTGTGAGGAAGATGATAGCTACTACTGTGGAGATCTTAAGAGGAGTTTTCAGCTTAAATGCCAAGTTAGAAGTAGCACATGTTGGTAAAAAAGGTCATATTTGTAGTTTTCTGCTATAGGAAGTATCAAAGGGTAGAAAACAATGTCTGTGGATTAAGATAAACTCTGTGGTTAGACAGTCTATATTGCCTTAGATTGTTTGTTTGTTATAAAGAAAGAGTGAGGAATTCTCACTAGTATTTTTTTTTTTTTTTTTGAGAGAGTCTCACTCTGTCGCCCAGGCTGGAGTGCAGTGGTGTGATCTTGGCTCACTGCAACCTCCACCGCCCGGGTTCAAGCAGTTCTCCTGCCTCAGCCTCCCGAGTAGCTGGGATTACAGGCGTGCACTACCACGCCTGGCTAATTTTTTGTATTTTTAGTAGAGATGATGGAGTTTCGCCATGCTGGCCAGGCTGGTCTCGAACTCCTGACCTTATGATCCGCCCACCTCAGCCTCCCAAAGCGCTGGGATTACAGGCGTGAGCCACCATGCTTGGCCTACTAATACGTTTTGTTTGTTTGGAGACAATCTATCTCACTCTGTCACCTGGGCTGGAATGCAGTGGCGCAATCTCGGCTCACTGCAACCTCTGCCTCCTGAGTTCAAGCAGTTCTCCTGCCTCAGCCTCCCAAGTTGCAGGGATTATAGGTGCCCGCCACCACGCCTGGCTAATTTTTTTGTATTTTCAGTAGAGACAGGGTTTTACCATGTTGGCCAGGCTGGTCTTGAACTCATGACCTTAGGTGATCCACCCACCTCAGCCTCCCAAAGTGCTAGGATTACAGGCGTGAGCCACCGCACCCAACCGTTTTTTCTAATAACAACAGAAAAGACAATTCCTCGTAGGGAGTAGCTGGCACCATCATCGTGTAACCTCAGTTCAGGTAGCTTGGTCCCATTACTAGCTTCATATGCGAATAAGAACAGCATCGCATTCTGAGGCACCACAATCTTGTAGCAGGACATAATTCCTCTGAGAATTTTTGGTAAGTCAGACCTAAGCTATAAGGTAAAAATCGCTACTGCAATAGGCTCCATTGTTGAATAAAAGAAAGGGAAATGTCATTGATAGTGATCTTAAAATATTTAATAGTCTTTCTTTAAAATCCAAAATGTGATTCTTACAAGTTATGTGCCACATGAAGCAGGTGTTATTTTTTGAGAAATGCAGGTGATAACTGAAAAACATAGCACTGAGGTATTTTTTATTTTTAAAATTGAAGGAAACAAAGTCTGGATCTAATTATTTTTACATTTACAAAAACTGCTACTGCTTGGCTCTTTTGCTATAAGTTTAGGTTCTGAATACATGACAAGAGTATGGGAAAGAGCAGAATAATAGTACACGCAGTTTTAAAAGCTATGCACATCATAACCTGGAATAATGATTACACAGCAAGAGGCCTGAGTGGAGGTAGGCTAACAACACATTTTGACTTTCTCCTCAAAGGATAGCTTTGAAAAACAAGTGTAACCAATTGTTACACCAAATTAAAATGGCAATATTAAATCGGTAACAAAACGATCCACATTTTATACAATATTGTATTTCCAAACATACATAGGTCATGAAAATCAGAGAACCTAATATAGCACCGTTGAAACCATTCATTATCCTTCATGTGTGTATGCAATTCAGAATTTCGGCAGAAGACAACAAATGGAAAATGCCTTTCGTTTCTATAAATCATTTTGGATTTCAATTAAATCTTTGCCTTAGTAAAGGGTATTCTTATCTCAAGATCAATTAGCCGTTTTTAGCTCCACCGTTTTGGAAGTAAAAATGATGAGCTACATCTACTTTTTAATTTAAAACCAAGAACCAAGCAGTAAGGACAGCAATGTCAAGAATATCACATTGAGAACCACACAGAACATTATAAAGAATTTGGTGCATGTTTTAACAACTACCAACTGATGTTAACAATGAAAAATTTACAAAGGTAAAACTTTTTTTTTTTTTTTGCACTGACTGGTTTCAATACAGCACTGAATTTAACTCATCTTTGGGCTTCAATCTTTACATAGAGTGAATATGAAAATGCCATACTGAGGCCTTCCCCAACTTAAACCATAGTAAAGATTTCAAAATCATTCCAGTATGGTCTGAATGGTAACTGTTCTGGCTGACACATCTTTTTTTTTTTTTTTTTTTTTAAAAAGACATTTCCTGGCCAATTTTTTTGCTTGAAGATGATTGTCTGGTTATACAAGACATCAATCTGAAGGTAACAACTTATTTTAACTTAACTACTGGCATAACCATTGCCAGCAGTGAACTTGCACTAGTCCAAGCCAACTCAAAAACACACATTATAAACATTTGAATGTCATTTTTAAAAGCGATGTCACAGTTTGTTTCCTAAGAAATTTAAAAGCTTTTATTTGAAAACGTATCTTCAGTTTAACCCTCAGAGTTAAGAAATATTTTTTAGATCATTAAATTCAATTGTGGTTGACGTGCTTTAACTACCGTTCTCTAAGTTGTGTGCTATACCTAGCCTGTGGGACTCCATAGCTTCTCTGAGTCCTAAAGTGGAGGATTCTGTTCCAATGCTTGTGAGCAAGAAGGATCCTCAAATGTCTAGGTTTCCAATATTCCAACACTGCTTTACTGGGCAGTGCTGTGTATGGAAGTTTTGTTTTGTTTTCAAAGGACCAAGTAACTTGACACCATATTAAAGACAGCAAACATTTTTTGTAGAAGTTTACAGCCTGTATACATTATTCCGCCAAATTTAAGAACTTTAAATGGATTTTAATATGGATATGATAATGACAGCCATTAAAAGATGCTATTTCTTTTACTAACATTTCCCCAAATGGGCAAAATAGAGGCATCATGTGCCATTGGTTCTGTCATACTGGCCTTTGACTGTGTTGGGGAAGTAATCACACAAAAAGTGCCCATAAAACAAAGAAGGCAGCAAGTGAAACTAGAAAAAGGTTGGAACTGTATGAATCAGATTTGAAAGGAGTTATTTCTAAAATTCTTTCTTAGATGACTTGAGGAGGGAAGTGCAGGGGCATCTGGAGTTGGCCCCTCCACTGCCGTCCTGAAGTAAAGTAGATTCAGACTGTCCGTAAAGATTATCATGAGAGTTGGTGACTGCACCCCAAATCAGAGCCAGTTCCCTAAGAAGAATATGGTGCAAAACAAAACAAACCACACATTAAATACATGACACCGAAATCACTTTGATGAGAAAACAGAACACACAGGTATTTTAAAATATAAATAAATACATTTAGCCATTTTTATTCAAGAACCCCAGAGAACTGCTTTAAAAGCAATTGCTTCTTTGAACCCCTTTCTAAATTCTTTCATAAATACTTACTAGTTTGATTGTCACTTAATGCAGCACCTCAGTGTTTGCTGGTGGTGGTGATGGAATTTCACTTAGTTGTCTCTCCATAAACTATATCCTATTCCACTAAATAATGTTTCCCTGAGGAAACCCAGGCAGCTTACAAAATACTGTTATAAACACTCACAACAAAACCTGCAGAGTATTTTATTTAAGAAAAACAAGGAATGTAGTGTTATGACATAGGGGGAAAAAACTATGCAAAACAGTCACATGGAAAGAAAGTATTTTAATTTTTAAAATCCAAGTTTGCTTAATTTCTTGTGAACTGTTCAACACTGTTTTAAATATCCTGAATAACTGTGCCAACAAAATTCATCCCCAGTGTTTCCACAGGAGACATTAAAATTAAAGACCAAATTATACTATTTTTTTCCTTTAACCAAAGTATTCTTTTTCTCAGTCCTTTTTGTGCAAAAATATTACAAGAGCAATTCAAATGGAAATGCTGAAATGACATGCCAACATTTCAGGGCACATTTAAAACACTCAGAATAATTCTTGAAATTATTATATTCTAAAATGTTACTAGCAATCACTTTTAGATTAGTTCTGTACATCTACTCACACGGATGCAATTTTCCTAGACCTCTGAAAAATAAACAGGCTCATTGGTCTCTTTTGGTGTCCACACAATAGGCAAGATAGGTTTACAATAGTGTTTAAATCAAACTAGGCATCTACAATCTCTTGACTCCACCACATTCAAAACAAAAATCAAAGTTCATTTGGCTATCTTGAAATCACTCCCATAAACCAACTACGGTTCACTGGACCTAAACATTTCTCAGAAATGTGTCATTTTATATAATTTCACCTAAGTAAGTGATGATTTGGGGATCCTTTAGAAATGGTTAACGCCTAAGAATAAACTTTATCAAAATGAGTAATTGCAATAAAGTGCTTGTTACATTTCAAAATGATGCTTTTAGACTGTGGTATGTTGTTTTAAAAGTGTGTGCTATTCCTTCCGTAAAGGATCCCCAGGCATGAGAGTTGGGTCTTCTCACCTGTCTCATAAAGCAGCAGCACTATCTTTTGGTAGGCTGACAATAGGCACATTACCCATGCGGATGAGGCTATACTAGTGCTATGGCAAAAGGGGAAGTAAATTAGAAAAGTGGGAGGCATGTAGAGGGTTCCTATTATAGTTATATACAAATATATTAAATATACTATAAAAATAGTCGATTCTATTCCTTTGCAATTACTTCAGAAGCTCCTTTTAGAAGAAAGCTCACCCAATCCAAACTTAAAAGGTTCTCTTTCTCCAAACACTTAAAATGGCAAGTGCCTTTGTGCTGTTTCTTCTCTACCATTCAAAAATTCCAATCAGCTTGTCCTGGCTAGAAAGACTCACTCAGCAACATTAATATCCAGTGTTTACCCCCTTCCAACAGGGACTCCTGTGGGACTAAGGGCCACAGGTAATTGGAAAGGTTATAGACTTGAATGCGTTTTACACAAATATTCATCAACAAACTTTCAATTACCAAAGAAACAGAAAGAAAAAAGCAGAAATACTAAAGTAAAATGCTATTTGCATTCCACTTTTAAAAAGTTTGCCTCAATGTAGTGGAAACATCTGAAAACATGTTGAGTAATATCCAGTTTAAAAGAATTTTCACTTGTCTGCGTAGAGTACTATTTTAAGGATCCCTTTCTAAGGCTTCCTGAACAAGGGTTCTTCTCCCTTCAACAGTGCTCTTGATGGAGCTGGACTGCTTCAGTGCTCCTAGCGTCAAGCAGACTGCTTTAAGGCAATGACCAACAACTACAGCACTTCTGAAGACCAAACATTTTCACTATTTTGCACTGAATGTTCTATAACAAACTATTCCAAATCACTGGCATCTTGTTATTACTATTCCATTCCTAAGCCAGATATAAATGACAAAGGAGAGCACAGCACTGTCAAGTTACCCCCGGAATTTGGGATGCTCGAAGGCTAGACCGTAGTATTTACTCACATGCTACCTGCATCTCCCATACTTTTCTCCAATATTTTCCATTCAAAAAATGAAGTACTTTTTAAGTGTCTCGGTTCTGGTTTGACACCACTCTAAGGAGCAACTTTATTAACCCTTCTAGTTCTCACTTGCATTTGTTAAACAATACTGACTCTCCCAAAACTATGATAACTGCAAGTCCAAAGCACGGTAACTGCAGAGTAGCTAGCATTTTTCCTGAAACTCAGTAGTTTCTTACCTAAAAAGTACCACCCAGAATAAGTGTTTTTAAGAAAGTGAGAATAAAGCAGAGGGAAGACTTTTTTTTTTTTTTTTTTAAAGCTGGAAGGTGTTTCTATTTGGTATCTTTAAATGCTATAGATTTGGGATTTTAACTAACAGCTTTGGCTATAGAAATGAAGAACAGACACTGCTGAATCTTCATTTGAATGCTCAAGTTTCATGGGGCAGGGTGGGGGGCGGGATAGCTTTGCAACCCAAATTTAAGAGAATCAGGAGGAAAACAAAGCAGCAAAGAGGCAGCTGGTGCTTACTACCTCTTCCACTACTACGCTTCAGACTGACAGAAAAGCAGCTAGCTGCTCCTTTAAATTAGCAATGGTTAATTCTAAGCAGGAAAAGATGAGCTGCGAAGAACAGTAAGAATCATAAAGGAAAATTTTAATTTTTTCCCCCGACTATTTGTGGAGATGGGAAATAATTGAAGGGGCTGGAGTAGGACAATGTGAGTAAACAGTTTAGACGTTTACCTGGGGCTTGTCTTATGCTTTGTTGCTGTCAACCTAAGTAGTACTCACAGTTCACCATCTTTTAAGTGTGGTATGTAGAGGACAGGCCTCAATATAATAGTTCTTCATATCTTTTGTTAGCTAAATCCGTATCACTAGGTATTGCCAATAAATAAATGAGGCACAACTCAGATATATATGGAATGGCATAAGGTCAAGAAAGGCAATTTGAAAGGGGAGAAGAACAATGCTATTGCCATATTCCACAACATCCCCCTTGTCTGTGTACATATGCTCAGGTACATACATATTCTGACAACTATTCTTGATATTCATGGGAATGTGGGAAATCTCTACTGGATGGTCATTTAGCTAGAAGAGCTCCTTGATATGTTAATTACTGATTGATATCTAGTCACACTTCTTTTGTAGAAGGGTAAGTACCAATTTTCTTTGGTTGTTTTCTTTTTCAACATTAATGTTCAAAGTAATTGTAGCCAGGTAGAATTTTCTGCAGAAAGACAAAGTATATGCCTTAAGGATAACAGCAAAGCAGAGGACAGAGAAGTCTTAAGAACTGGCTTAGCATTCCCCTGACCTCTTTACCTAGCAATTCTGCATTAGGTTAATCTTCATTATTCAGAACCTTTTCTGTTTTAACAACCTCAACTCTGTTACACATTTTCTTTTGAGGTCAATTTTGATTTATTACACTTGTCCTCTCCTCCCTTTCCTCAGTAATAACATTTTTTATATTCTAATAATGTATTTTCTACTAATCCTCTTTTGTTCTATCACTGTAAATTTCATTAGTACCATAAAATCTGTAAAATGTTTTTTAAATGTATGTAACTTGTATTGGAATTTATTACTTTTAGAATATGATATTGCCAAAGGAAATCTTAGTTCACGTTTAGAAGGCATGTGAGTTACAATATTCTAATGTTGTAGTGAAGGCATAGCCAAATCCCTACCCCTTCTTTTTTCTTTGTAGGAATATCAAGATCATATTGAGCAAATATTTCTGGTAAATTCTTAAATGACTAAAGAAAAATGCTGATTTAGGAAACAATTTTAGGATCACATTAATAACTATGATAGTGTTAGGTTATCATCTTTTATTTCTAAATTATTTGTACCTCCAGTCCAAGAGACTGATAGCAGTCTTCAGAGGAACTTATTAGGAGACTAATAATGACACTGACACCCACATGCTGTTAAAAAGGTACTAAGGTTTCAAAACTGCTACGGAAACCGGACAATGACTTCAAGATGGTGAGTTATCACCTGAATTAAAATCAAGGCACTATGGGGTTTTTTCCCCTCAAATAACCCTGAATCATTTCTGACTAAAAGAAGCATTGAAATTGTGAAGGATAATAAAAAAGATTTCAACAAATCCCAAAAGTTAAAATTCCCATGATTGAGAATGTTAAAAAGTGCCTAAGATGTTTTGTGTGCAAATTTTACCTCTATAACTGAAACATTCTTGAAATTACTTTCAGGCTTGTTGAAAACCATTTACGCAAATATTTCCAACTATGAACTATAACAAAATATGCAATCAAAACTCCCAGCCACCTAAAATAAAGCAGTGCAAATCCTATTTTCAAACATAATTGAAAAATAATGAAATGAGGGATATTTCTGAATAACTTGAAAATCCTGTTGTATCAATAATTTAACCTGAAAAAAAAAATCCATTCCCAGCAGCACATCATACCTCACTGAACAAACTGTGACATCACAGCCAAAGTATGAACAAAAAAACTTGTGCCCCGGAAAAGTGAACAGAACACTACTGTGTTGTAAACAAAAGGAAAAACAGGATGGATCAGTTTGCACATGGTGTCAGAATTTCAGGAAAGGTGCTCACACCTGTAAGGAAGAGATAACGCTTTCATGCAGCATACAAAATGTTTTGCTTTCTCTCCTTTTATCTAGACATATACATATTTTTACATCATCTGTACATAGAGAATTTGAACCCACACAACATTCTGAAAGTAATTACTGTTCCATCATTATCTGAAAAGGGAGAGGGGTTGGGGGAGGGGGTCGCTACCAAGTCTACTGGACTGTCTTCATGGCATCACTGTAAGCAAACCCCTGACATGGCAGTGGTATGTCCTCTGTAACACTTGATAAGAGGCACAGAACCACTAAAAGTTACTAACATCATTAGTGCCTTTCTGATTCCCTGGAGGTCATTTCATAGCTGAGCTTCTTAATATTTGGCAATATATTCTTTTTCCATCAAAAAATATCCAGGCACCTAAAACACTGTCAGAACTGGCTATGCCCCTATGATCACCTCCTGCTGGCTGGTATTTAATGTACATCTGTAGCACTAGGCAGCATTTTCTCTGCCAACTAATTCCAGGAACTAGAACACTCAATACTGCATCTCATGAAACTGCTGGAACTTTCCCTCCTTTCCTCAGGTCATCTGAGTAACTCTTAATGGGCCATCCCCTTCCTCCCTTGATGTCAAGAGAGGAAGCACGTGTGCTACTGTGGTTGAACCTTGGAAGGGTCGGGCAAGCTGTCAGTCCTGTGCCGGCTGAGTTGCTGCTGTTGCTGAGACTGATGTTGCTGGTGATGTGACTGAGGGAAGGTGCTCTGTTGTAGAGGAAATGCAGCAGAGAGAATGAGTTGAGTTGAGGGATTCCCATGGAGCAACCTAGAAGTCTAAAAAACAAATGGATTATGCAGCATTGCTTTACTCCCTTTATGGCACCCACATAATAGTTACTCACACTCTCCCCTGTCCATAGGGACAAAATCCTTAAAATTCTACATAATGCATATCACTTTCACTCTCTGGTTTAAAAATTCTAATTTGGAAAATGCTTATGAGGCCTTCCCTCTTTCTGAAAGTATGAGAGAGTTTCATTTTTTAAAGGAATCTGAGCTACAGATTTTATGGTATAGAAAGCAATCTATATCTTGAGCCAAATCACACACGTTCTTTCACTTTATGTCCTAAAGACCCATATTTTAAATTACAAAATTTGAGCATAGTTATGACTATATGAAAAACAAATACTCTGAGGCCAGACAGACAATGCCTTCTGCACACAGGTTCGCTCAGCTGGTTAGAGCGGCACAGTTAAGTGGCCAGGAGCGTGGTGGGCCCTGAGGTAGACTGAATGGTTCAAACTTGGGCTGCCCTACTTACCACATGTGTGACTTGGTCAAGCTGTTTACTTCTCTGGGCCTCAGTTTCTTTCTTTAGAAAATAGGAATAACAGTGCCTACCACATTGGGTTCTTAATAAAGATTAAATATTAATATTATTTAAAAGCATCATAAATATGAAGGCAAAGTTGCAGCCTTAGGTCCGATAAGCAGCAGTGTGGTATAAAGACAGACAAACAAAACAAAATGAAAAAAGGCACAGGATTTGCAGACAGAAGCCCTGCATTTGAGTTTTGCTCTGCCATTTACATAAGTAAGCTGTGTGACTCTGGGCAAGACTCAAATAGATGAGCCTCTGTTCCTTTCACCAAATTTGTACTTCTGACATGCTGTTCATTAATGTAAAACTCTCAGATACAAAAAAATGTTAACAGAAAGAAAGTGAATTTTTACAATGAAAGTCCTTTCCCCATTACTGACAGTACAACTTGATGCAGGGTTCTTAATTTCAAAATGGAGCTGTGGTGGGCAATTTTTGCAAATGTATATGAAAGAAACATGCACAAACACACACACAAAAGAGCAAATCCCTGACAAACCTTAAAGACTACTACACTTTGTCAAGGATCTTCAGAGTTTTCTTTCTCTCTTTGTTATTAGGAAAAGCTGTGTAAGGCAAAGACTTGATACTTATGAGCCTTATAAGATTACAACAGGAGCATGTTTTAAAACTAGGTATTACATAATTTAGAAAAGCCAAATTGTGTATTTATTACCTACATACAAGTGTATTTATGAGGGGTATTGCCTATCTTATTTCTTTGTGGGTCCTATGTCTTTGGGATGCCTTTTTTTTTTTTTTTTTTTTGAGAATGTTTATTCTTTTAAGGGCCTTTGTTCCTTGACATACTTAGAAGACTGAGATGTTAAGGCAGGTCCTCTCCTTTTTTTAGCTTATGCTTAATTCTCATTGGATACATTTTCCCTACATAATAATTTAGAACTTGTTTTAAATTGTTGTTATTTCTTTATTTGTAATAGTAGCTACCCCAGTTATGTCTGCAGCATAGGCTTAAGGTCTAAAAGACTGTATGACTCTCAGATATTTAGGCAACTAGCCTGTTTTAGTTTTCTACATCACAAAGACAAGGATTATATTTGGACCAGGACACAAAGGGTGACAAATTAAGACTATATTTATGCCTGAATATAGAGTACAATAATCACATCACATGTTATATAACCCAGAAATTGATGATAAGTGCCCAGCCTAGATGAAGTGGTCTCTAGTACACATACAGACTAGCCTACATTCAAAATTGCTCCAGCTAGGCCAGAAGGGGAAAAGGTAGATTTCTAGTGAGGATCCTGAGGTCCAGATAAGGGTTTTGTACATTTCTCTGCTGAGGATCTTGCCTAGTGACTTTCTTCTGTATCCTATAGATAAGGAGAGCCTGTCTGATTCACTAAATGATATCTGTGTCTATATTTTGGCTAATCCAAGTGTCTATTACATTTGTCAATATAGCGGTCACAAATAACAGCTAGCCATGTGCCTTGTCTTATATTCAGTGATTTACAAGCACTATTAATCCATGAGGTATCAATTATTATGACCTCCACTTTACACGTGACGTTTACCAAGAGTAAGCAACCTGCCAAAGGTCACGCAGTACGTGGTGCAGCAGTGACTCAACCCCAAGGCAGCTAGACTTTACAGCCCAAGTTCTTAGCTATACATATACTTAGCTCATAGATATACTACACCTCCATGGTATTTCTCCTCTGATATTAATTTACAACTGAAAAATTATAATAAGATTGAATTCAACAAAATAATTTAAGGTAACACCTATACTAGTAAAAAGAAATCCCTGCTCTGTACAGAGCAGAGTTTATGGTTGGCTAGAAAAAGGAGGAAAGAGGTGCTTGCTTAAGTTCCAGAAACTCTAGCCAGAGACTAAGAAAACAGGTGGGCAGGAAGTAGGCCACTCACTCTGTCCAGCAGTTCTGATAACTGGGTATGCCCAATGGCACGTCTAAAGTCTTCCAACGACTGAGCAAGGGAAGAAAAAAAATCGCCAACCAGAACAAGCTTTCTATCTTTGTAGAGATTTAAACTGTACAATAAGCTTTTGTGAATTTTTCACATCACTCACAAATCTGTTCACTTAATGCTTAATTTCATTACATGAAAGTAAATGAGTTTGAAGCAGCTTCCCCATGGGGAGAATTACCTGTAAAAATTGTTGCGGTGGCTGGGTCAGCTGAGCCTGAGATGGTTGCTGAACTGAAGTGAGCTGCTGCTCCTGGGAGCTCTGCTGCTGCTGCTGCTGCGTTACTGACAATGTCTGTGACTGTTGCTGTTGTGTAGCAAAAGTAGGATATGCAGTCACCACCTGGCCCATAAGCATAGTACTAGGTACCATGACTGCCCCACAAGCTACAGGAGCAGTCACTAATTTGGTCACAAGTTGTTGACCTTGAGAAAATCTGTTAGAAGAAAGAAGGAAAAAAATTGGAGTCCAAAGTACAAGGTATACATCATAAAACGCAGTGGAGTAAATACTTACCTAAGATAATACCCAATGACATTGCCAGTTTGTTTTTCAAGGTCTGTATATTCCTACTTTGTTTCATTTTAAAAGATTCCCTTTGGTGTAACAGTAAAACAAAAAATTCATACAGCAAGATCAATGTGTAACAAAAATACAAAACGTCTTTGGATATCCACATTCAAAAGAATAAAGTTAGATCCTTACCTCACATCACAGACAAAGATTAACTTGAAATGGACCAAAGACCAAAACATAAGAGCTAATGCTATAAAACTCTTAGAAGAAAACATAGGGGAAAAGCTTCATGACATTGGATTTAGCAATAGTTAGCAGCTGGAATTAGCAATAATTTCTTGGATATGATACCAAAAGTACAGGCAACAAAAGAACAGATAAACAGATAAACTGGACTGTATCAAATTAAAAATCTTGTGAATCAAAGGGCACTATCAACAGAGTAAAAAGGTAACTGTCCCATCCCACAGATGGGAGAAAATATCTGCATATCATCCTTCTGATAAGGGATTAGTAACCAGAATGTCTAAGAGCTCCTTCAACTCAACAACAATCAACCCAATTAAAAAAATGGGCAAAGGTCAAACTTGAACAAACACTTCTCCAAAGAAGATACACAAATGGCTAATAAGCACATGAAAAGGTGCTCCACATCACTAATCATTAGGGAAATACAAATCAAAACCACAACAAGAGGCTACTTTATACCCATCAGGATGGCTATTATAAAAAACAAACAACAATAGAAAATGACCAGTGTTGGCAAGCAAGTAGAGAAACCTTGTGCAGTGCTGGTGGGAATGTAAAAATGGTGCAGCCACTATGGAAAACAGTATGCAGTTCCTCAAAAAATTCACTATAGGATTACTATATGAAGGAATTCCACTTCTGCTTATATAACCCCCCAAAATGAAAGCAGGGACTCAAAGAGATATTTGTACACCCATAATCATAAGCAGCATTATTCACAGGAGCCAAAAAGTGGAAGTAACCCAAGACTCCATTGACAGACGGAATGAATAAGCAAAACATAGTAGAGTAGAATATTACTTAGCCTTAAAAAGGAAAGAAATTCTGACAATTGCTGTAACATGGATGAACCCTGAGAACATTATCCTAAGTAAAATAAGCCATTCACAAAAGGACAAATACTGTATGATTCCATTTATATGAGGTACTTAGACTAGTCCAATTTACAGGGACAGAAAGTAGAATGGTGGTTGGGGAGAGAAGAATGGGGACTTGTATAATGGGTATGGAGTTTCTGTTTGGGAAGATGAAAAAAGTTCTGGAAATGGTTAGGGGAGATGGTAACAATCGTACTCAGTGACAATGAACTGTATATTTTAAAACGGTTAACATGGTAACTTTTATGTCATTTGTATTTTTCCACAATAAAAATTTTTTTTAATCTATAAAAAAAAACCTTTTTCTTTTTATAAAATTACTAGGTACTAGGGGTGTCAGATATATGTGGCACATGATTCATCTGCTACACTGGCACACAGTTCATGAATAAACAAAGCTATTATAATGTATTTTTTAAACTCTAGGTTTATAGAAGAAATTTACACAAAATTGTAGCTTACAAATTTAATTCAAAACCAAATGACATTCTAACAGTGAATAAAAACTCCTCTCAATTTATAAATTCATCAACGCAGCATAGCGTCCTCTGTGCTAGAATTCATTAATTTTTCCCTCTTTCCCTGCTTCCTTTTGCTTTTTGAAATGAAAGAACAATAACCCCAAAAAAATGATGCTTCTTTGTGGAACAATATTATTTCCATTTGCCTTTTCTGTGAGATGAAGTTTATAACATTGGTCATTACAGTGAGATATGACACTAACATAGATGTGGCATGACATAACTGTATTTACAAACTGTTTATGTAACAATATTACACTTAGTACAGATCTTGACAATAAAATACTCTATTTTATACACTACACAACCAAATACTTTAATGCAAAACAAAAAAGAATTAAAATTGTCCATATTAAGAAAGTCCAAAGAAATAAGTAATATTTACAAAGTACACTTAGTCACAGAAGTACTAAGTGCTGATTTCTCCATAATCTTAAATTAATACCTGAATTAGCCCATGGCTCACTGGTAAATGTGATAAGAATATTTTCTTTAATCTGCTTTCGTGTAACTCACACTTCTGCAGCTTTGTATACTCTGGGCTCCCTCTGCCCAGAATGCCTCCCTAGACTCCATGCCACACCCACATCCAAAGCCAAGCTCAAGTCTTGAAGAGTCAGGGCAAGTATCTCTGCCTTGGTGAAGCTTTCCTGACCACACCTTTATTCACCTGCTTGCCTCAACCCATGAAACTGCTTACAAAAACAAAACAAAACAAAACACAACACAACAAAAAACTGCTCACTTCCTCCTTTCTAAAGACCTCTGAAGTATTCATCACCCCAAACAATACCGATTTATCTTTCTATTGCTTTTACTAGTTTGGTCTTTCCCTTGGGGAAGGAACGATGCCATACTCATCTAGGTAGGCCTTCAAATGTTTGCTAAGATGTGGTTTCTGTCCCCCTCAAAAGATAGATGTTCAGGGAAACTCAACTTAAAACCACAATTAAATATCACCTTACCCAGCCAGACTGGCCATTACTAAAAAGTCAAAAAACAATAATGTTGGCACAGATGTGGTGAAAACACTTACACACTGCTGGTGGGAACGTGAGATTTCTCAAAGAACTAAAAGTAGATCTACCATTTGATCCAGCAATCCCACTACTGGGTATCTACCCAAAGGAAAAGAAGTCACTGTATCAAAAAGACACCTGCATACATATGGCTATCGCAGTACAGTTCACAATTCCAAAGATATGGAATCAACCTAAGTGCCCATCAACCAATGAGTGGAGAAAGAAAATGTGGTATGTATACACCATGGCCTACTACTCAGCCATAAAAAAAGAAAAAATAATGCATTTTGCAGCAACTTGGATGGAGCTGGAGGCCATTATTCTAAGTGAAGTAACTCAGGAATGGAAAACCAAACACCATATATTCTCACTTGTAAGTGGGAGCTAAGCTATGGGTACAGCAAAGGCATACAGAGTGATATAATAGACTTTGGAGGAGGATGGTGGGGGTGAGGGATAAAAAACTACATATTGGATAGAATGTGCACTACTCAGGTGATCAGTGCACTAAAATAAGTTATAGATGGTTGTTTTTCCAGAGCAGTCCACAAAACCTTCCTGTAATATATGCTTAAGCACTCAAGCACTGAAATGAAGACACCAAGGTCTGTGTTCAGAGTTCCCTTCCTCATCACCTTAACTAGCTATAGATCCCTTGGCTAATTACTGAAAACTCACTTTTTTCTTATCTGGGAAATAAAAGGAGGCCCTCACATACATTTTCTTTTAATAAATGACTATTTGAGATAATATATTTTGAGCATTTAACAAACTTAAAAAAGGTAAGCTACCCTAACCACTGTTACTACATGGAAATTCTCTAGCATCTATATTGAAAAGACAAAAGCTTCACAGTGACACAGAGCCTGTCATAAACCTTTTCTAACAGTGTGCTGCAGAATTTGTATTCTATAATATTTTGTAGCATATTTTTGGACAAGAAAAAAAATTTGTTGTTACCCTTTAATTATGAAGTCTTTAAACAATGAATACATTCAGTGTTTTTATTTCAAATTTAAGAACATTGGCTGCAGTGAGCATCTCATTAAAATCACATTAAAAAATTTGATTAAGAAATCAAATTATTGTTTTCTAATCAATCGGTTTACAATTTTAAAAATAACAAATGAAATATGACAACTACCTTATCTGCCTGTCCTGAGTGAATGTAGTTACTGCAGCACTCTGGGTGCTGTTTTGTGGCATACTAGATGGAATCTGGACCATGCTTCCGGCTGCAGGCTGAGAAATCACCATAGTGTTATACAGTGGGGCTGTAAGAGTGCTCTGTGTCTGACTGGGTAGAGATGTTTGCTGACTGTGCCCACTCAGTACATTTTGTTGACTCTGTTAAAAATAAAGAGATTTTATAGACAGATTAACTGAAAATAATTATTTGGGAAGTATGCTAGAATTCATCATTCTAACAATATGACAATATGACAGAGAAAGAAGTGGCAGGATATATTACTCTGGGGGAAATATAACCACAAAGGAATGACTCGTGGTAACTGAGAATGAATTAGTCTTGAATATCTTGCTGGAAGGCAAGCTATGACTTTAGAAAGGAGTGTGATTGTAATAGAGATGATATAAAATATACTCAAAGAATTTCTGTTAAATGCCCAAAGTGAATGACTAATTAGTGGGCATTTTTCTATTTTTCATTTAAATCCTTGGGATTTACAGTCACAGATCTACAGTAATTACCAACATTTTCTGGAATATTCAATAAACCATTATGCCCCCTCCCCCAACAGTCTATTCTGCACATATGGGAACAGGCTTCCTGGTCAGCCTCTTGAGCAAGTCATACCTTTTAAACACAGAAATAGTCTAAGTTACAAGAACTTGGTATAACTACTAGACTACATCTTTAAACAGATTGTGACATATTTTAAAGCTCAGCCAGGCGCAGTGGCTCACACCTGTAATCCCAGCACTTTGGGAGGCTGAGGTGGGCGATCACCTGAGGTCAGGAGTTTGAGATCAGCCAGGCCAACATGGTGAAACCCCATCTCTACTAAAAATATGAAAATCAGCCTGGCATGGTGGTGGGTGCCTATAATCCCAGCTACTCGGGAGGTTGGGGCAGGAGAATCGCTTCAACCCAGGAGGCGGAGGTTGCAGTAATCTAAGGTCACGCCATTGCACTCCAGCCTGGGCAACAGGAGCAAAACTCCGTCTCAAAAAAAAAAAAAGAAAAAAAAAAGCTGAAAATATTTGATACTAACATGATTTGCACAAAATATTTTAATAATCACTCTCAATACTATACTTTCTAAATACTATTAAATTTTGAAATGATATTTTATCATTAGAGCTTTATTTCTGCTTCAGCAATAGTGTGCCTTCCAACCACTGATCACTCCATAGCCCGCTGTGCTCAGTAACATTACCTGAGTTGATGTACTCTGTAAAGTCTGTTGTTGTATCATGTGCTGAGTTGTGCCAATGTGTCCAGTATTCATTCCACTTTGAATCTGGTTAGTAGGAACAACTTGGCCTTGCATATTTATAGGTGCAAGTTGCTGGATATTAGATGAATTTCCAGAAGAAAGTTGAACGGAACCAAAATTCAACCCAGGATTTGATTGTTGCAAAAACATCTTTAAAAATAAAGATTATGTTAAAATGAGCTTTGTAGATTGAAAAGAAGAATGAGCATTAAAAAGAAGGCAAAATCAAGCTACAAAGTATGTTTAAAAAGCAAGTAACAAGGCTAAGTCACTTTGAAGAATTAGCAATAAATAAGTAGTGAATAAAATATGAAACTTTATATTCAATCTTTCAGTTATCTTGTTTCCAATTGTTAGAAAAAGTGTAACTAGTGTTAGTCTGTGGATTGACAGCTCTGTATCACTTATCATTTATAATTTATAACATCACACAGAAGTAGTTTTCACTCCAAGTTTCCCTTTACCAAAGTCATAGTCTCCTAGAGTGGTCCTGCTGGTTGGTCATATAAGACTAATTTGAATCATACATACTGGTATCTTAATAAAAATATTACTGATGATTGATTTATAAATTCTGTACCCAAGATGTACCTAAAACTTTATGTAAAATATAATTTTTATATTATGGATTCAAACTTACTAAAATTTGGACTGGTAAAAAAAGATGACTGGAGAAACAAGGATGTTGACAGAAATACCCTCAGAAACAAATTATCTTTAGAGACTGTAAGTATAATCATACTGAGTAGGTAACCAGTGAATATTTATTGAACTGAATTGATAAAACGTATCTCTTGCATCTCACTTTTAATTAAGAAAAGTTAATTTTCCTAGAAATCCAAAATGTGAATGGGATGCTTTGTTTGTATTCAAATATAACAATTACCTGCAGCCCCTGACCATGGACCATCTGAAGTTGTTCTTGAATTTTTCTTAGTTCTTCTTGTTGCCGATGAATATTTGCTTCTATCATGCGTGTCCGTTGTTCCAATTGGTCTTTCAGATGTTGCATGGCTCCTAATTGAGCTGAAAACTGAAACTGAAGTACCATGTACGGAAAAAGTGTAATATATTTTAGAATTACTTACTCCTTATAATTGCACAACATGAAAAGTAAGCAGTATAACATGAGTGAAGGATGATAACATCCTTCACTAGTTATGTCCCTTAGTTTCTAATCCACCCATCTTTGCTCTGCTTTGTAATATTGGACCTGGACCTTCAAAATATTTCTCCTTTGCCAGCAGGCACAAAGTTATCCACATCAGTAGGTGGTGCTGGAGGGACACTGCCAAGAAAGTGCTCAACTCCTGGTTCTGGTGCTTCTTGCTCTTATGTCAGGGTGCCAACGGGAAGCTTTTAATATTTTCTCAACCACGTTTAACATATGATATGGTCTGGTTATTGTTAATTTCTGAAATCAAAGTTGTGTGCCCTGAAATGTAATTTAGTATCCCAAATACAAACTATTGAAGATAGAGTTAAAAAGCTTTGGATGGGAAGGACATTTCTCACTTTTACATACACCTGCCCCGGCAGGTGGCTTTCCAGCAAGTCTCAATGACATCCTAGTGGGCAGCTTCCCTGCAAGCTTTACCAGTACCCCAGCTGATGGCTTCCAGCTCTCTACCTCTAATCTGTGGCATGTCAGTGAACTTCTCTATTATCCAGTTGCTATAGCCACATTTGCCCCAAGAAGATCTGCATCTTAGCCTGGCATGGGGGAAGAGGAGGTTAGGAGCTTGTGGGGAGTCTTCTAAGTATGTTCCTTCCTTGGGTACTCTCCATCTACCTTACAGCTAGTGGTTGCTCTCTGCATCTGCTATTTCTATATTCTTTTTTTTTTTTTTTTTTTTTTTTTTGAGACAGGATCTCACTCTGTCACCCAGGCTGGAAAGCAGTGGTGCGATCATGGCTCTCTACAGCCTTAACTTTCTGGGTTCAAGAGCTCCTCCCATCTCAGCCTCCCCAGTGGCTGGGACTACAGGCATGCACCACCACACCTGGCTAACATAAAAATGTATTTTCTTGTAAAAATAGGGTCTTGCTATGTTGCCCATGCTGGTCTTGAACTCATTGGCTCAAGAAGTCCTCCTACTTCGGCCTTCCAAAGTGCTAAGAATACAGGCATGAGCCACCACACCCAGCTTTATTCCTATATTCTTTAGGTTCTCTTTACTTCTTTTAGGAGTTAATCCGTGTTACCAGTTAATAATTTTTTATATTATTCCTGTTCAAATTTCTGGTATGCTTCTGGCTTCTGACTGGATACTTGACTGATTACACATACACCCTGGATTTACAAGACCTGAGCTCATATTGTGGCTACCACTTACTGGAAAAAAATTTAACTTCTTTTTTTTTTTTTTTTTTTTGAGACAGAGTCACCCAAGCTGGAATGCAGTGGTGTGATCACAGCTTATTGCAGCCTCAACCACCCAGGCTCAAGCAATCCTCCCACTTCAGCCTCTCAAGTGGCTGGGACTACAGGCATATGCCACCATGCCCGGCTAATGTTTTTTTTAAGAGATGGGGTCTCACTATGTTGCCTAGTCTGTTGTAGAACTCCTGAGCTCAGGCAATCCTCCCACAAGCCACCATGCCCAGCCTTATTTAACTTCTTAGCTTCATTTTTACCCCTTAACAAAGGAAAAAGTAGTCTGCACCTGGAGTTAATTTGTATCAATTTCTGTCATCCCTAGAATGCCCTCTATGTGTACATGAGTAGAATTACCCAAAGTTGCAAAAATCTGACAGATAACCAATAATATTTTCACTTTTATCTTCAATGGAAACTATCCTCAGATAAGTATAGAACATGGGCTTTTAAAGACTAGGCAAGTATGAATGAATAAACGCATACATGAATGAAAATAAAATTATATTTTCAATCTTATTTCTCTGTTTTACTTGAGTCATGAGCAGCTCCTATTTTCTTCTGCTTATAATTTACCCACATTTGGTGATTCATCTCTTAAGTCTATACAGGCTCTTTAATTATTCCCATGAATTTTCAGTATATGATACAGTATAAGAGCAGAAAGAGTTTCACTTTATTGGAAGGAAATCTGTCTTAAAGTAGCCTCTTACAGTGAACTGTATGTAAAAGTGAGAAATGTCCTCCCCATCCAAAGCTTTTTAACTCTATCTTCAATAGTTTGTATTTGGGATACTAAATTACATTTCAGGGCACACAACTTTGATTTCAGAAATTAACAATAACCAGACCATATCATATGTTAAACGTGGTTGAGAAAATATTAAAAATTTAGTACCTCAACTCCCTCAAGTTTTTTTTTTTGTTTTTTTTTAAATATTAGTCAAAATGTTATAATTATGGCCGGGCATGGTGGCTCACAGCTGTAATCCCAGGACTTTGGGAGGCCGAGGTGGGCAGAATGCTTGAGTCCAGGAGTTTGAGACCAGCCTGGGCAACATGGCAAAACCCTGTCTCTACTAAAAATATAAAAACTAGCCGGGTGTGGTGGCATGTGCCTGTAGTCCCAGCTACTCGGGAGACTGAGGCGGGATCGCCTGAGCTCAGGAAGCAGAGGTTGCAGTAAGCCGAGATTGCGCCACTGCACTCCAGCCTGGGTGACAGGGTGAGGCGTCGTCTCAAAAAAAAATTAAAAAGTTACATTTATGTCATACAAATGTTATTTTATTATAACTAAAGTTATTTGTACCTTTGGACAAGCATTATATTGATAGCAATATAGCACTTAAAGGATTTCTATCAAGTACAAAAGAAAATAGTAACAAACACAGAAGGTAGGATAACAGGAAGTAAAACCACAGACCTAAGAGGCAAAGCATTTGGCTTTATTGGTGAACAAAATGTGAGACATGAATGCTTACTAACATTTTTGACATAGTAGGTATCCTTTATTTCATGAAAATATCCCCATAACATGTTAAGAAATGCTTTAGAATCCTGAGATTAAAAAACTAATAATATAGAAAGTATGTATCTCCTATCATATATGTATGACTTAAATTAAATAACCATATAAGATGGAGCTATTTTTAAAAATATTGTTTTCACCTATTATTAATGATCATTCCTTGAAATCAAGACCTGCTAAGTTAAGGTATATTTAATGCCAAACAAAACAGAAAAGTTGAAGAAAAATACTACTTCTCCATAGTATTTTTAATGTGTTTGAGGCACTGAATGAGTACAGAGTCATAAATTACAAGTTGGGAAGTTAGGCTCTAAAGTAACAGCATCACTCTTGGAATTACTCCCCCTTTTTTTTGGCTACTTTCCACATTCAGGCCTCCTTCTGGACTTAGGCCAAGAAACAATTCTCCTAGAAAGTTTTCCTTCACTTCCTCAGGTTGCATTAAGGATTCACACAATCTGCTTACATATCAACTTACATACTTTCAGCACAGGCAATATAGCATGGTATTGTAGGCATCTGTCATTCCCTCTAGATGTAATGGTTTTTTAGTTCATATATTTGTACTGTCGGCATCTGCAATGCCTGTTACACACAAAGAACTCAATAAATATCAAAAGAATGAGTATACAAATAAAGTTACTCAATTCTTCCAATATTCATAGGAGGAACAAAATGAACAGCTACATTTCATCCTTAATATCTTTATGTCTACAGTGTTCCTCAATGAGGGAGTGTTATGGCATATTAGGCAGGACAATTCTTTGTTGTGCAAGACTCTTATGCATCCTGAAAGATATTTAGTATTCCTGGACCATGCTCACTAAGGGCCAGTGATACCCCACAATCATTACAACAATCAAAAATGTCCCCAGATATCCTAAATGACCCCAGTTAAGATTCACTGCATCTGTAACTATAATTATATATGTGCGCGCGCGCACGCGCGCGTGTGTGTGTGTGTGTGTGTGTGTGTGTGTGTGTGTGTGTGTGCTCCTACCTCAGCCTCCCAAGTAGCTGTGGCTACAGGTGCTTGCCAGCAAGCCTGGATTTTTAAAAAAATTACATTAGCTTAAAAGCAATTTATCATATTCAAATACGCAACTGAAACAAAAACCAAAAAGTACCTGGGACATGCCTTGTGGAATTGGTAAATTTGTAGCTTGAGACATCACTGGCTGTGTTAATGATGAACCAACAGACTGGGAATTTATGGACTAGAGCAAAATAAAAAATAACACTGAAGTGATTCTCATTCCCATACATGAGTACTTCCAGCAGAAATATCAATATGATATTCGTATTAATAAACTTACCATTTGCCTCATACTTTTGTTAGCTGAATACAGCTATGTCTTCTCATCTATATTGGAAAGGCCTGTTCCCTATTTATCTTTTATTTTCCAAGGAACTTCCTACAGTACCTTGAACAAGCTCTCAATAAAAGTTGGCCAGACTTAAGACAATTGGTATTTGAACTTAGACATAAAACAGCTATCAATTTTGAGCTTTCCACAATTAAAAAAAAAAAAACTAACATTTTACTTGAAAAATAATTAGAAGGACCAATACATATGACAACCACTTCATACAAGAAAAGGAAGTCTTAAGTAAGTGTCACATATCAGTAACTATTTTGATCTTTACAAAGAGGGGTGACAAATAGATGAATTTCTGAAGATTTAGATCATTTTTCCCCTCTTAATAAATCTTTATTCAGAAGAATATCCACTAAAGAGCTTACCTGACTACTAAATGATGACCTTCTTTGCACCATCTTCTCATGAGCTGGTAAATGCTGCCTGGGTGGAGTGCTCGTATCCGTCGGGATCTTGGTTGGTGTTGCTGAAGTCAACAAAATCAGAAGAGCATTAGTACTTTATAAAATATAGTTTTTAAAGATTAATCTCAAAATGTATTTCAGTTAATAAAAATGGCTTTTGAATTATTTTTCCAAACCATTCAATGAAAGTGAAGTCCATGACAGATGATTCAATGTAGTTACTTCTATCTTTTTATGAGCACAAAGAAAATAGTTGAAATAGGAAAATTTTAAATACAAAAAGTCACTAATTTAATGACAATTATACAAGTCTTCAAAAAGAGAAGACAATAAAAAACTTTCAAAAAGCAAACCTAAGAACACTTACTGGCCCTACAGTAAAAAAACACAATAAATAGTTGCCTTTCTTTTTGAGGGATGATTAAAAACATCACCATCACCATTACCACCTACACATTTTAATAGGCTACTTGAAGAACTTAATTCTTTGCTGAAAGTGGGCAATGTCCCTTTAACTCACTGGAAAGGTTACTACATTTCAGAAATGTAAAAACTTATAATTTTAAAGAAGCGTTTGATGAGAAATGCTGATATAAGTAACTAAAAGTTTAGTTAGTTACTTTAAAGGAAGTCTGCTTTGAAGCAAGGGTACTCACAGGAAGGGTCTGAGACGGCCGTGTGAGATGATTTTCTTGAACTCCGAGAAGAGGCAGAAGGGGTTGGGCTGTGATCAAACCTTTCCAATGCTTCCTTGAGACTGACTGTGTTTATACGATTATCTGACCCAGAATCTTGGCTCTATGGAGACAGAGTAAAATAAATGTTTTCTTGTGGTTCAGTTCAGAGATCTCAAATTCACAATACTGTTAACAACAACAAAAAAATCAGTTTTTGTCTATAACAAGGCAAAAGTACCTGTATGTACATACACATGTAAAGAAATGAAAATTTATGTGTTATAGCCAGAAAGTTTTGGCTTCATTTTCTATTTAAAGAAAGAGAAGAAGAATGAAGTTGGAATCTCTTACACCATATACAAAAATTAACTCAAGACCAGGTGTGGTGGCTTACACCTGTAATCCCAGCACTTTGGGAAGCTGAAGCAGGCAGATCACCTGAGGTCAGGAGTTTGAGACCAGCCTGGCCAACAGGGTGAAACCCCGTCTCTACCAAAAATACAAAATTTAGCCAGGCATGATGGCAGATGCCTTGTGATCCCAGCTACTCCGGCGGCTGAGGCAGGAGAATTCCCTGAACTGAGGAGGCGGAGGATGTAGTGAGCCGAGATCCTGCCACTGCATTCCAGCCTGGGCAAAAGAGCGAGACTCCATCTCAAAAAAAAAAAAACATTAACTCAAAATGAATCACAGACCTAAATTTTAACAGCTAAAACTACATAACTCTTACAAGAAAACATAGGGGAGAAAGCCAGGTGAATGCCTGCGGTGCCAACTACCCAGGAAGCTGAGAAGAGAATTGCTTAAGCCCAGGAGCTAGAGTTTCATAGTTTCATACAGCGACACTAATCTTTCCCTTCACCAATGTTTCTTTCTCCATCAGCTCATTCTCATCAGTATACAAACATGCTGTTATTTCTCTCAACTTAAAAAAAAAAAAGGCAAAAAATTCCTTTAAGCCCACTTTCCCTTCCTACCACTGCCCCATTTCTCTTCTCTTTGTAGCAAAACCCCTCCCTATTCACTGTCCCTAATTCCCCCATCCTGGAAAACTGTCTTTTAAACCAACTCTAATCATGCTTTCACCCACACTGCTACTCCACAAAATCTGTTCTTATTGATCACCAATGAATTAAATGTTAAAGTTAATGCTCAGTTCTCAACACTCATCTAAAATTTAACTTATTTCAGCTGAATCTGATACAGCTGATCATTCACTCCTCACTGATACTCTTGTCTTCTAAGTAACTTCCTGGTTTTATTCCTAACTTACTAGCTATTACCCCCCTGTTGTTGATTCTTCCTTGTCTCCATCACCTCTTAATATTGGAGTGCTCCAAGACACACCCATCCCTTTGGTGATCCCATCAAAATTCATGATTTTGAAACCATCCACACATTGAAGTTTCTCAAAAATATCTCAGAAGGACCTCGTCCCTAAACCCCAGGGGGATCATGATGCTGGCAGTAAATATGGTGGGAAAGTAGACATAGCTGGTGTGTATTTTGGAAACAGGGCTAATTTAGGATTTACTAGGATTGAATCTTTGCATAAGGGAAAAAGAAGGATAATTAATCTCTGTATTACTTCAGTTTTCATAATGGTCCCCTAATCAAGGAACCCTAGATTTTAAGAACTTTTCTCAGAAAATAATGTCTTCTACCAAAACATACTATGTCCTCTTCTTCTAAACATACAAAACCTCTTTGGAAAAGTTCTTTCACGTGGGATCCATGAAAGCAGGGAAGTTGTTTGCATTATTCAGTGCTGTATTCTTAGCATCTAGATCCATGCCGGGTAGAAGGTACTTTATAACATTTGTTGAATGACTGAATGACATCTACCATATTGTCCCCTGGAATGCTGCCTATTTAACTCAAGTTTTATATAGATTTTTGACTCTTTTCATTCTACTTATTTTCTGCAGGTCCAAAAATACTGTGGTAGGCAATTTCTGACATGGCTCACAATTCCTGCCTCCTGATATTCATGCCCTTGCATAATCCTCCCATCTTGAGTGTGGGCTGGATCTACTGATTTCCTTATATAATGCATAGAATAGACAAAAGTGGTGAGGTATCAATCCTGTGATTAGGTTACAAAAGACTGTGACTTCCATCTTGCAGGTAGTTTCTCTCCCTGGCTCATCTTGCATGCTTGCTCTGATGGAAAAGGTCACCTGGAAAGGAACTGAGGATAGCCTTCAGCCAGCAAGAAACCAAGGCCCTCAGTCCAACTGCCCATGAGGAACTGAAGTGTGCCAGCAACCACTAAGTGAGGTGGAAACAGATGCCACCTCAGTTGAACTTTGAGATGACTGTGGCTCCCACCAACACCTTGATTACAGCCTCATGAAAGAATCTGAAGTAGAGGGTCCAGCTAAACTGTGCCTGGACTCTTGACTCACCAAACTAGGAGATAACAAGTGTGTTGTTTTATATCACTAAATTTTGGAGTAAGTTGTTACACAGCTATAGATAACTAATATACTATACTTCTGACCTGATATAACAAAAAAGAAACCAGAGTTCCAATTCTGACTATAATTTCCCAGCCAGTGTCTTTAGGGAAGATTTTTTTTTCCCCTCTTGAAACCCCAATTTCAGTATTTTCAAAGTGGGGATATTACCTACCCGATAAAAATATCTGATGTGTAAATTATATTTCATAATTCATATAAATAACCTAGCCAGAGACTAGTACATCACTGGGAATAAATGGTAGTTTTGAGATCAGACACATCTCTCATCCAATTTTCTTTTTAGAGGCAGGTGAGACTCTAAAATATTAAATTAAAAATAAGTAGTAAAGTATAATCACATCCCCGTTATAAGTGAGGAAATAAAGTATTTTTGAAAAATAGTTTTCCTATTAATTATTGAGTTTCATCTTTTATTGGGGAGAAATTAAAAATAATTTTTTTTAATTATAAGAAACATACTTTGTCAGCAGCTGTCTCAGGAAGAGACTCTTCAATGCCAAGTTCTCGTCGTCTTTCAGCCCTAACTTCTGCATAACTACAAATGGAAAAAATAATCAAATTTTAGTGTCTGGTCATTCGTTTAAAATACTGCACAGCTGTAACTATTCAGTGTTGTTACGTGTCTCATCTGTTCATCTAGACTATTTGCTATGTGCTACACAAACCTAAAATATACCTATAATGTCTTAATTTAACTTGCATTTTTCTAGGTATCTTAAAGTTTCATACACTGCTGTAAACGATCCATAACCACACAATACTTAAATTAAGAAAAATAAATAAAGGAAGTGTATGCTTATCTACCTACAGTTTTCCTTTTACATGACTGACATTACTACATAAATGACAGTAACAACTTCTGCTGTAAAGCACAAAATTTATATCAAGACTTATATATCTATATCATTCCTATATTTATATATAATGCCTATAAGTAAATTTAATAATATATTGAAAGGATCTATCAGCAATTGAGAAAAGAGCACTTTGTAGCTCTTTAACAACTTACGCATAAAAGTTACAATGCCAAAATCATCATAGGATGTTACAGTAATTCAGAAATTCTCTAAAAGAATTATTACCTTACTACAGTGTGAGTACAAACAATAAACTCTGGCCTTGAATTCCACTGATGGTAAGTGATATAATAATGAGTCTGAAGCCAAATCCACTGTTGCCCCTTAGTCAGGAACCTATAATAACATGATTTGCCTTTCCCATATTGCATTACTAAAAGGAAAATAGAGAAATATTTTTTCTTTAATTCATATTATATAAAGATTGTTTTTTAACCAAAAGCTATCATTTACATTTAAGTTTACACATACTATTATTTTTCTGGCCTTTTGATAACATATATGTCAATATGAAAATGTTATTCTTTAGAGCTAGTTTAAGGTCCCAAGCAATTATCAGATCTACAGTGCCCAATTCACAGCTAGTCACTGCTGATCTTACAATCTTTCCATACACAATTAATACTTAAGAATTCACACTGCTGACTTCCTCCTGCCTAGATATACAGAGGGTAATAACAATAAATAATCACCCCTGAGTTTTTTCTCCTAACTACTCTGGCAGGCACAGAATCTTTGAAGCATTTAATTTTAAACCTTAACTAACCAAAATCAAAGTAACTGAGTCTGAAGTAACTGAGTGCAGTAACTGCCAAAACATGTGCTGTGGATTTTAAGTTCTGAAGCGTTTTAACAGATATTAAACAAAAAAATGGGTTTTGGGCCAGGTGTGGTGGCTCACGCCTGTAATCTCAGTACTTTAGGAAGCAGAGGTGGGAGGATCACTTGAGGTCAGGAGTTTGAGACCACCCTGGCTCACATAGTGAAACCCCATCTCTACTGAAAATACAAAAATTAGCCAGGCATGGTGGTACGTGCCTGTAATCCCAGCTACTCACGAGGCTGAGGCAAGAGAATCACTTGAACCCGGGAGGTGGAGGCTGCAGTGAGCTGAGACACGCCACTGCACTCCAGCCTGGGTGACAAAGCAGGACTCCATCCCAAAAAAAAAAAAAAAAAAAAAAAAAGGGTTTGTAGTTAAATTAATTTGGGAAACTTTTTGTTAAATAGGTGTCTTCAGTTTTCTCAAAACCTAGAGTATGCTAATGCATGTGCAGATTCTCTGAGGGATTATGAAGTGTTTCCCCATCTTCCTTGACTATAAAGTCTTTTTTTATGGACCAACATTCGGTGGAACAAACCTTAGAAAATGCTAGTCAAGAATCTCTCAATCTGTCCCCCCACCCCCCAACCCCGCCGCCACCGCCTCTCACTCTCTAAGGAGGAAATCAAGGTCTACAAACAAACTTGCTGTCCAAAGTTACCCAGCTAGTTAATAGAGGTATCAGCTCTTTAGACAACATCATGGTGCTTAATGCCCACATCTTTTGTGCTGAAATGACTTTACTCTGAAAATTTTCCATAGAGTTAATGCTATTATACAACCTGCTTCATTTTCATACAGTGAGGTTTATAACAGCAGCATAAAACGTCATGAAAAGGTCTAAAATATCTAGTTAAGCTTTAGTGAACACTCAAGATGGTAAGCATCTGGGAGGAGGATCAGAGAAGCAAATAAAACATATCATTAAGGCAAACCTCATCATTAAAACAAACTTCTAAAATAAATACATGTGATAAAAAGAGTAGGCCTAGGCTCCAATCCTGTCTCTGCCACCAATGAGCTATGAAATTATGGGTGAATTACTTAGCCTTACTGTGTTCTCAGCTTACTCATGAAGATAATAATAGCATCTACCTTTTAGAACTGTGATGGAGAATAATGAAGATAATAGATGTAAAGTGTTTAGAACAGTGCCTGGCACAAAGGATGATAATGCTCCTGCTCTAACAACAATAATAAGCAGATAACACCAAGCACTTACTATGAGCTTTCTAAGACAGATTTTCCAGACATGTACCTAGCTCCTGAAAAGATTCACATGCCTCAAAATCAAAATTTAGGAAACAATACTCCAAAAGTTTGAAGTATTACAATTTTCAAAGGAATCTACTTCTCTTACTCCAGATATAGAGCTCACGTGCTTCAGAACAAGGTGTATTAGATGCAATATTATAAAATTCTACTTATTATAAAAATAGGAACAAGTTTAAACTTGATCTATGATTCCTACTACATTGGTTATATACATAAAGCAAAATCTTTTAGCATATTTCAAAAATATGAAAATGATTATAAATCTGTGTCTTACTACCTATCATTTCAGGACAGGACTTCTGCTTATAAAACAGTTATTATCACCAGAAATGTTAAAATCTACTTACAGTGCTCATGACATTTTGCCAAATTTTCTAGGTCATCCACATGATAGTAATCATAGCCTGATGTTCCCAGAACTTCAAATGGCAAATACCCTATTATGGGTGGTGCCCTAAATTACACAGAAAACAATCATTATTATAAGTTTTTCCATAATAAGAAATATTTCAACTAGAAATAAACTTTGGGGGGGGGGCTTTATTTTTCAAAAAATGGGAACAGGTTTCAAAGTCCTAATTTAAAAAAAAGTTTGCCCTTGATCCATTAATTTCAAGAATTATATAACATGACTATTACCTTTTCATGGAATTTAAAAATGGAATTACCTGTGATCTAGAAACAGAAACTTCCATTCTAAACTATGTCTAGATGTAAACTCTTCATTGGGTTCTTCAACAGTGCACATTTCCTACAAATAAATAATTAAAATTTATAAATACTTTGTGTCCTTAAGAATATTAAATATTGCTACATATAAAAATAAGTCATGGCCAGGTGCAGTGGCTCACACCTGTAATCCCAGCACTTTGGGAGGCTGAGGTGGGCAAATCACTTAGGTCAGGAGTTTGAGACCAGCCTGGCCAACATGGTGAAACCCGATTTCTACTAAAAATACAAAAAATAGCAGGGCACGGTGGCGGGCACCTGTAATCCCAGCTATTCGGCAGGCTGAGGCAGCAGGATCACTTGAACCCAGGAGGTGGAGGTTAAATAAATACATAAATAAATAGTCATTACTAGATAAACTTTTCCTAAACAAGTTAGTTGTTTCTATGTATGTATATATTTACCTATTTCTTTGTTTGACACAGGGTCTCACTCTGTCACTCAGCCTGAAGTACAGTGGTGTGATCTCAGTTCACTGCAGCCTCAACATCCTAGGCTCAAGCGATCCTCCTGCCTCAGCTTCCCAAGTAGCTGGGACTATAGGGATGCACCACCACGCCCGGCTAATTTTTGTATTTTTATTTGTAGAGGTGGGGGGTCTATGTTGTCTAGGCTGGTCTTCAACTCCTGGGCTCAAGCAACCTGCCCACCACAGCCTCCCAAAGTGCTGGGATTCTAGGCATAAGCCAAAATGCAGGCCCTTCTAAACAAGTTAATATATTTTAATTTTCCAGTACTAAAGAATGTGGTAATAAATAACCTTTAGATGCAAGCTTTTGGGTGGGTACTTCTCACTCTACACATTTTCCATTCACACATGCCTATAAACGCTTATTCAAAATTCAGACCTCTCTCCTGAATTACAGTTCCATATTTCCAAATATCTGAATGTCCTCATACATCTCAAATTCAATATGTCCTAAAATAAACTAACTGCTTTACTCCTCACACCCAATCACACAATTTTCCGTATTATTCTATACATGTGTAGTGGCCAGTGTCTAGAAATCTGATAGTTAAAAAAACATACTCTTTCATTTTTACCTTTCATCATCTAAGTGGCCATTACTAAATCTTTTCCATTTCATCTAAGTATTTTAAAAATCAATTCTATCTCATCCATCTTGAGTGCATTGGTTTAGACCCCTGCCATCACTGATTTGCTACAGTGTTCACCAGTCTCCCTGTCCTTCAACTCATCTTCTCTTCTAGGGCCACAATTACCTTACCAATACTCAAATATTATATGACTTCCCTGCTAAAAAACCTTCAGTGGTTCCTTGTGCTAAACTCTCTTCAGCATGGAGAAATAAACAAGAAAGAAACAAATTTTATTTCTGGTTTCTGATTACTTTTCTAGCCTTACCTCCCACTATCTCTTCCCCCTCCACACACTAACCCTAGACTCTAGTCATACTAAACAATGTATTCCATCCTGCCTCTGTGTCCCTGAATGACCTGCAGCACTCTGTAATAGTTGAGAGCTTGGGCTTTGAGAAAAAAACAATTATTAATTAATAGAATCAAGTCCCAGTTTCATCACTAATAGCTGAGACTTTGGGCAAGTCACTTAACTTCCCTAAGCCTGTTTCCTTATAATGTAAAATGAGGGATCGTAATGGCATCTAACTTATAGGGTTGTCATAAGAATTAATGAGATAATGCATATAAAATACACAGCATGTAGTAAGCACTCAAATGTTAACAACTATTATTTCATAAGATCAAAACAAACCAAGCAAGACTGGCTTAAGATCTTCTATTAATTCAGTACTTTGTCCTATACTATGATGTCCCCCCAAATTTATTTGAGACAGAGTCAGACTCTGTCTCAAAATAAAATGCAAACACAGTTCACTGCAGCCTCGACCTCCTGGGCTCAAATGATCCTCCTGCCTCAGCCTCCTGAGTAACTGAGACCACAGGTGTGTAACACCATGCCTGGCTAATTTTTTGTATTTTTTGTAGAGATGGGGTCTTGTCACGTTGCCCAGGCTGGTCTCAAACTACTGGGCTCAGGCAATCCTCTCGCCTTGCTCTCCCAAAGTGCTGGGATTACAGGCATGAGTCACCTCGCCTGGCCCCGCCGAAATTTTAAATCTTAGCCTGGCTGCCTCTTTCCAGTCAGTTTCTAGTGGTTAACTCTTTCACTTTCCCACTTCCCTACTTGTCATCTGTTTGTTGGGTCCAGGAAATAAAAATAAAATACCTAATTTTACATTTGAAAAGGTAAGTTATATGTGGCAAAGAGCCACTTGTACATTTCAAATAAAAATTTAAAAGTTACCTTCTAAAAATAAAGATTCCAAAAACCTAGATTTTTGGACTTTCCCTTTTAATAGAGATAATGAACAACACACAAAAGGATCCTAAAATCTTCCACAAAAGTAGGGCAATATTGATATATAATAATCACTGGTTAACTGCAAAGGATATATACTAAAAAATTAGTTATACAATTTAATGAGTGTCTTGATAACTCATCGTTTCAAAAATATTATCATGCATATTTAATGACTCATAGCCATTCCACCTCAATGTCTGCAGGAAGTTTCAGGCAGCTCTCAGCATATGAACTGAAATCCCCTTTGGGAAATAAAATTAAAAACATACCTTGATGAACTGAGGTGTAGCTAACCTGACAGTAGCTACAAAACAAACTCTATCTTCATAAGATGGCCTATGTGTGCGTTGTATAGTTCCTTCAAAACCATTGTGTGCTGAAGAGGATACTAAAACAATAGGGAAATATGTATCATCAGTTATGCCAGCAAAACCTAATTGTCACTGATATTCAAACATCTATGTCTTTAAGAGCACAGAAAAATAACAAGTTAAAACACATTGTGAGAGAAGCATTTTAACTCACCACTGTTTAAAGATTTGAAATTTCCTATAAATTTTACATATTCATAGGTAGATGGCTCCTTTGGGTCTATTGTTCCTCGCAGCATGTGACAACAGAATTCTAACTGATTTTTTGCTGAAATAAAAGAGATTTTAAAAATCACATATTTCTGATATAAAACAATGATTGATATACCACATAAAGTAAGATCATAAAAGTTGTGTAAGTTTACAACCATTATTTTCCCCAACAGAAGTCGTCAATGACATTTAGTTCATAAAAGTAGAGCACCTTCAGGAGAGGATCTCACTTTGTCTTTAATAGAAAAAATAGATTTTCTGGTGCAAACAACTTAATGTTTCCCTATTTTTAGCTACTCATCCTTTTCATTCTTTACTCACTTTCAAAGGAAAGTTTTGCTTCACATTCTAAAGCTAATCCTTCCATCTCTACCATTTATAGTCTTTCCTATTTTCTCTAGGACCCGGGCCACATCACTGTTCCTTATTCCTTTAGCATCTACACCTTTGGGTCCTTACTTTCTTCTTTTTTTTGAGACAGGGTCTTGATTTGTCACCCAGGCTGGAGTGCAGTGGCATGATCACTGCTCACTGTGGCATTGAACTCCTGGGCTCAAGTGAGCCCCCTGCCTCAGCCTCCCAAGTACGCAAGACTACAGGTGTGAGCCACCATGCCTGGCTAATTTTTAATTTTTTATAGAAATGGGGTCTCACTATGTTGCCCAGGCTGGTTGCAAGCTTCTAGGCTCAAGCAATCCTCCTGCCTCAAAGTGGAGGGATTATAGGCGAGAGCCACTGCACCTGGCCAAGGGTCCTTACTATCTACTTTTAAATTTGCTCACGTCTTCCATCTGAAATAAAGGAGTTTCACTAATTATTTGGTATTATAGATCTCCTTCCTTTTCATTATGGGCTCCATCTTCCATATATTCATTTCCCTTAACTTCACACACTGTGACTTACACCTCTACAGCAATTATTCTTCTCAAGATTACTAACATTTGTATCGTTAACTTCAATGATTTTTCATTTCCACTTCTTAAAAGTCATCCTTTGTCATTCCCACAGCATAAACTTACCTTCCCACCTTACTGACTATTCCTATCTCTTCTGCTAATCCATTTTCATACTAGGGGTTTTCACAAAGGTTCTTCTGATCCTAAATCTCTCTCTCCAACTCTAGCATTTTACGTGAGACAAAGTTACCTATCATTTGCTTTCAGGACATTCGAACTTGATTGTCCCATTAGTAACTTAAATTCAAAATACTTGAAAGTGAATTTATCTTTCTTTCAAGCTCCCTTCGTCTATGTATGCTTATTTCCCAAGTTAGAAACCGTTAACAATTTGGTCTCTTCTCTTCCCATCACAAGTCCCAAACCTAATCTGTCATGAAGACCTGCTACTTATTTCACCAAGGAAGCCTGCCAATTTAGTGCAGTTGCAAATTACCTTGCATCTAGGTAACCGAAATATGTATTCATTATGCCTCCACATTCTGCCACTCTGATTCAGTCTTGTCTATTACTCTTAGACTTGTAATTACTTTCATGGTATTATTTCCGCACTCAAGGACTAGTAACACCTTTCTTTGCTCACTACTTCAAGCTTATATTCTTCGGTTATTATCATCATAGATGGCTTTATCATCTAACCTAATCAGTAAAAATCTATCTATCTTCAACCTTCCCCACTGATGATTCTTAGTCACTTGGTCACCTGAGCCTACCACATCAAGTCCTATTGAGTTTACACACTTAACAGTCATATACTTTCCTCTCCTTTTTTTTTTTTTGAGACAAAGTCTCATTCTGTCACCCAGCCTGGACTACAGTGACATGATCTCAGCTCACTGCAACCTCTGCCTCCTGGGCTCAAGTGATCCTCCAGCTCAGCCTCGAGTAGCAGGAACTACAGACATGTGCCACCACACCCCAGCCAACTTTTCTATTTCTCTTTATTGTATAGACGGTGTTTCACCATGTTGCCCATGCTGGTCTTGAACTCCTGGGCTCAAGCGATCTGCCTGCCTTGGCCTCCCAAAGTGCTGAGATTATAGGCGTGAACAACTGTGCTCAGCCCATCCTTACTTTTATTGCTAGGATTATATGGTTTTCCTTTTTGTCTCCCAGTCTGGTCCTTTTCAAAATTTTCTACCTGAGTGATTTTTTTTAATCTCCCAAACCAGATGACGAAAGTGGCAGCAACTTTTATAAGCAAGGTACTGCTGCTCTTTCTAGGCCAGAGATGCTGGTGAAAGATGCTTTCATTGCAATGAAGACCTGGACCTCCATGAGGCAAAACAGCTGTTACAGGAAAAGTAGTCATAGCTACTGTACCAGGCAGGATGGCCAGCTTGATCATCAGAATGGTCTGATCCATAAGATCTCTGGTTGTGTTTAACTGAACCCTAGGAATGAAACTGAGGAGTAACTCCATAAAGCTATCACTTGATTTGTATAGTAGGAAATCTGCAGGTCAGGTGAGCACAGCCTGAGTTGAGCCACTATGATGAGAAATCCAGGGCTCTTATTCAGCTCTCAGACTCAGGGTCTCTTTATGAAGCAGAAGCCAGGTAAGCCTGGGGTAGGCAACCCACTGCTGCAAGTCTTCTTCCTAGCCTTCTCCAAATGAACTTTCCACTATTTACCTGATTTTGTTTTTCCTTTTTTTGCAGATAACAAAACTACCCAAATCTCCTTCACTGGCTCTCTACTCTGTAAAAAATAAAACTCAAATTCCTTAGCCCCTTTATAATTCTGTCCTTATTCTTTCTCTAGACACAAATTTTACCACCTGTACAACCTCAACTTCATTATGGCCAAAATGACCTACCAAATTTTCTAAGCAATTTTCTCTGTGTTTTAACTTGTGTTTATTCTTTTGGCATGAAACTTTCTTTTTTCTGGGGCAAGAACTCTTTTGTATATCACTTGTTTAACTAGGAGATCAGCAAGCCATTTAATTAAGACTTTTCTTAAGTATTCTTGCCATTTTCATTTCTGTTCTTGGAAGCAGAAGCCTAAGCTCTTTCTGCCAAAGGCTTTTATTTAGTTCTCCAGTCGATTTTATTCTTAGTAGGGTCTTCAAAGCAAACGCCTTCTCCTTTGTCTTCCTATTGCTATCTCCAAAGGGTTCCACCTTTCTTTCTTTTTTTTGAGACAGAGTCTCGCTCTATCGCCCAGGCTGGAATGCAGTGGTGTGATCTTGACTCATTGCAAACTCAGCCTCCGGGGTTCAAGCAATTATCCTACCTTAGTCTCCCAAGTAGCTGGGACTACAGGCATGCACCACCATGCTCAGCTAATTTTTGGTAGAGATGGGGTTTCGCCATGTTGGCCAGGCTGGTCTCAAACTCGTAGCCTCAAGTGGTCTGCCCACCTCAGCCTCCCAAAGTGCTGGGATTACAGGCATGAGCTACCGGGCCTGGCTGGCTTCCACCTTTCTAATTTTTCTCTCCTTGTTCTACGTATTTACCTCAAGCAATCCATTCCATCCATGGCTTCAAATACTAATTGTAGGTATCTATTATATACAGCCTAAATCTTTCTAAGTACCAGACTAGAGTGGCCTAATGGTCAATGTCATATGAACTTGGTTTTAAAACAAGGCTTGAAATGAATTCTCCAACTCTAGTTTTTCTCAACTCTCGCTGAAAGGCCATCCACTCTTACCAAAGTTATAGATACACACAGATTTGTGTGAGTGTGTGTGTGTGTGTATCTCAATTTTTAGACAGTATGCTATAGAATTTGAGGATTCAAATACAAAGAATCTTTAAGATAATGTCAGTATTAGCAGATGAGACACATTTAAAAATAATGAAAAAGGTGATTAAACAAGGTATCTAATAGCTAATGGTGAAATGTACTGCTGTAACAATTCTGGATTTTATACAGGGTAATATATGAAGAAAATGAGGTACTCCGGTCAAATAAATTTGTCAATGGACCTAGTAGAAATGTCTGATTCTACCATAATATGTTGTGTATCTTGATGGTGATAACTATTTTCACTATTGTTGATATTTTTATGATACAGCACAAGTACCTAGCAAATTAGATACATCTAACAAATGACTGTTTAATTGTTTAATAAAGTAGATAATTTATCTTTATATTTAATAATTTTAAAAGAAACATAGAAATTTTTTCCAGTTTGAGTGTCCAATTGGTTAACAATGGTGAAAATTAGAATGTTTAATTTTCCCTTATTAAATACAGTAAAGTTTTATTTATAAATTAATAACTATATATTGCCAGGTCTCACTTTTGCATAAAATACAGCTTTATGGCATAATGGGAGTCCAGGATTTATTATAACAAATAAGATGGGATTTCAATATACACTGAAATAGATTACAGATTTTTAATATGGTCACAATTTCATTTTATATATATTTTAATATTGAAAAAGGACCTAATAGGGCATATGGAGTAATGCTGTATTTAAAGAAGTCTGTATTTTTCATAAACTTGCAAAAGGATAGTGCTACTGAATACAACATTTGACTTTTTTGCTTAACAGCTACTACTTACATTTTAAATATTCTGGGGTTAATGAATCACTTTCCAGCAGATGAGTAGAGAGTATTTTATAAACCTCTGAATGTTCCCCTTCTGGGATAAAATTAAATATACTTTGATCCACAAGATCAGACTGAAAAGAAAATTGTTAAAAGTAAAATAACTTCAATGATTCAAGAGACAATTGCTTTAAAAGTACATAATCGCTATTAAACACAGCAGTTAACTTTCAATTATCTGTGAAAACCAACAAATGTCAAGTTATAGACCAAATCTCAAAAAATAAGATTGAGATCATACTAACGTCATCCAATCCATGACCAATATGACCTTGAAAGCCTGATAAATTATTTGCAAAGCTGTGTTTCACCAAAATGTTCTGAACATTTCAAAATACAACGGGACCAAGAGAGTTAATAAGAAAAATCTCTGGCGACAAGTCATAGCCTTACCATATACTCAAACCTATGGTAAACAATGGTGGTATATCCTACTATAAAGGACTATGCACAAGCTAAATAAAGAGGAGATTTTGTTTTGGTGTGATTTCAATTGTCCAATGTGTCCTTTATTTCATCTTTTCCTGGCATTTATCCTGCATCCCATTGTACAAAAGCCTTGTGTTTAGTTATCCCCCCTCAAAAGGACAACTAATATGTTAAGCATTAGAATTCTTGTTAATACACAGCTTTAATCGTGATTAATCAATAGCAATTTGACAAACATCAGGTTGGCTACAATGTGCCACGGCTGTGGAATCAAAGATGAATAAGATAGTTTCTATACTTAAGTACCACTGATAACAAAACTTCCATGACTTTACATTTGCCACTACGCATTCTACCTGGTTTCCTGCGTTTCAAACTGCTCTGTGGAATCCTAGGGATGCTGAGACAGTATCTCAAGGCCTGTAAAGGTAGGACTAGAGGGTGGGGAAGTAAAAAGGAGCTGAGAAGCAGGGCCCAGGGTCCTGCCCCTGCATTAAACTAAAGCAGTTATACTTTTTGTTTTTATTTTATGCATCTGTGAAGATTTTGTTTGAAGAGCTCCACTGCTTAAAAACAAAAAACATACAACAACAAACAGAGGCAGTAAGAATGGTGAGAGGGGAGAAAGGGGTGTTGTATTAGGTTGGTGCCATACTTTTAATAACAAAAACCGCAATCACTTTTGCACCAACCTAATACTATTCTTCATATAGGCCACACATTCCCATCATTTCTTCTGTCTTTTCTCCAGCCCTCCAAGCCCACTCCATGAAGTGAGATGACCTTCCCCCCTCTCTACATATCTGTATCTTTCCCCTTTCAAAGACCAGTTCAAATTACTTCTTTCAAGAAAGCATTCCCTTAACACCATAATCCACATTAAAAATAAAATTCTTTTATTATTTATTACTTGTATTATTCATTTCCCATTTAGCAGAATTCAGCCAACCATGGATCAAAACTATTCAGGAAAAACAAAAAACAGATGGTTGTGTCTGTACTGAATACGTGCATTTTTCTAATCGTTCCCTAAACACTATAGTATAACACATATTTACATTGTATTAGTTATTATAAATAATCTAGAAATGATTTAATGTATGTAAATGGGAAGATGTGTGTAAGTTACATGTAAATACAACACCATTTTATCTATGCGGCTTGATGATCCATGGATTTTGGTATCTGCAGCGGGTCCTGGAACCAACCAATTCCCCCATGGATACCAAAGGATGACTATATTTTAATGTCTATGTCCTGTTGCCCTATAGCTGAATAAAAGGGGCCTATCTCTTACACCTTTATCTTTCTCACTTCCAATCAGGGCACATTAACACCGTGCCTTGTGTTTAACAGTTATTAGTAAAATAAATGATTTTAGACTAAGGAGGTATTTGATAATGGCTTAAGGGATAACCACACCAAAAATATATCTGTATTTCAGTAAAGGATTTTTCTGGAAGTCTGAAAAGCCTCTACAACTAAAGGAGTGAACTAAAAATTCAGGGATGGCTGGGTGCAGTGGTCATGCCTGTAATCCCAGCACTTTGGGAGGCTGAGGCAGGTGGACTGTCTGAGGTCATCAGTTCAAGACCAGCCTGGCTAACATGGAGAAACCTTGTCTCTACGAAAAACACAAAAATTAGCTGGGCATGGTGGTGTGCACCTATAATCACAGCTACTCAGGAGGCTGAGGCAGGAGAATCGCTTGAATCCAGGAGGCAGAGGCTGCAGTGAGCTGATATCCTACCACTACACTCAAGCCTGGGTGACAGAATAAGACTCTGTCTCAAAAAATAATAACAATAAATAGGCCTGAATAACACAAATGCTAGAAAGTTGCCTTCTACTGACAAAATAAAGAATCAAAATATAGTATATGATATTGATGCAAAAAATAATCTGATATGGTTTGGCTGTGTCCCCACCCAAATCTCATCTTGTTGTTCCCATAATCCCCATGTGTCATGGGAGGGGCTGAGTGGGAGGTGATTGAATCATGGGGGAAGTTACCTCCATGCTGATGTTCTCGTGATAGTGAGTGAGTTTTCCCAAGTTCTGATGGTTTTGTAAGGGGCTTTTCCCCTTTTGGCTCAGCACTTCTGCTTCCTGCTGCCATGTGAAGAGGGACGTGTTTGCTTCCCCTTCCGCCATGACTGTAAGTTTCCTGAGGCCTCCCCAGCCATGCCAAACTGTGAGTCAATTAAACCTCTTTCCTTTATAAACTACCCAGTCTTGGGGAGTCCTTTATAGCAGTGTGACAACAGACTAATACATCATCTTAATAGAAAAACATGCCACCAACTTGAAATATTAATAGGAACTAAAATTTTCATTTTTGAGAATGATTATAGTTTTCTACTATTATTTGTTACTAACAATTTCTTCTACTACTATTTGGTAAATTATGATGTGACCTATCTTATCCTTGTTTTTTCATCTATAACTTCATAGGATGTTTCATATTCATAGAGAAAAGAAAATGAATGCCTGTATCAAGAGTAGTATGATCACAAGCAATGCCTGCCCCAACAATTCTGCCTCTCCTGCCACTTTAATAGGTGTCAAACTTTCCATTAACCACTACACTTAAAATCTCTAAATGAGGCTGACCATACTTTATGTGACCATACATACACTCAGTTCTCAAACACAATCAAACGTAAGAAAAGAAAATGGTAACTACTTGGATCTTTTTATCTCCCTTACTCGTTTCATGAAAAGGAAATATAAGTTCTGCTGATTTACTTATATGACATAAATCAGTAGCCTTTGTTTTTTCTACATTAGGTCAACGTTACCATTTAGTGATTGGATGACACAAACAATTTTTTAAAATCTAGAAGATGTTAATAACAGAGGAAACTGGGTATAGTGCACATGGGAATTCTCTGTACTACCTTGTCCATTTTTCTGTACATCTAAAAATGGTTCTAAAATTAAAAATATTTTTTAAAATGTCCAGAAGAAAATGGGAAGGTGACAGGGTTTTTATTGAGGGAAGTGTTAATCAAACACTTCAATTCCAATGAGATCTATCACATGTTGTCTATTTCAAAGGGCAATTAAACTCACTAAAGATTAGAAAGGGATTTTTTTAAAACAGTCAAATCAAGTAGCACACTCATTTTCATACATTCAACAAATAATCACTGAGTGACGCTCCAAGGAACTAGCTAGCTCCTCTGGATGCAGAGATAAAGTTCCTGCCTTTAAGAAGCTACAACTACCATAACTATCCAAATAAACAGAAAATTATAATTCTCTGTATCATGACAGTAGTACATACAAGGTAACAGTAGAACAGAGATGAAGGGCATCGAATTTTGAATGGAATTCAAGCAAGTGCCAAGAAGCAGGCTTTGAGAAAGTGTGAACACATTGCAAATGATGCTCTATGACTAGATTATATAGTTTCTGTAAACATGACAAAACCTAATACAGTTATATATGGTTTAAAAGCATACAATTATACTTATTTTAAATTACTTAGACATTATCTTAATCCTATAATGGGATTCTTTCCCTGGGTTTTCTTGCTATGAAAACAAATTTTTTTAAGTTGTCCAGAAAACTCAGTTAATCAGTCTGTCCTTTTTTCTGCCTATGCTAGTTTACTTATGCATTGCTAATATCTCATGTTTTACTCTCAAACATGTTTTTAAATGTTGGGCTTATCCTACTATTTGAGCTTACTAGAAAATAAAGCCCCAGAAGAGCAGTAAAGTCAAAGTTATTTTCTGTATGAACCAAAGAAATTAGCAAATTATGTACTGCATGGCTTTCAACTTTAAAAAATGCCCCCTTGAGAGCCTGGACTTTTAAGTGCTAAAATCCATTGATTCTCTTTATAAGGTATGAAGTATCAGAGTAATCAGAGGGAGAGAAATACCACTTTTCAGTATCTCTTGAAAGAGACACTTACAAGCAGAATTACTTTACCCTGTTATAGAGATAAGCTATTTTTTTAATTTTTTTGTAGAGACAGGATGCTTCACTGTGCTGCCCAGGCTGGTCTTGAATTCCTGGCCTCAAGCAATCCTCCCACCACAGCCTCTGAAAGCATTAGCATTAAAGGTGTGAGCCACTGCACCCAGAGAGAGGCATTATAAGAGTAGTTTATAAGTAACTTTAGAATATTTATACCATGAGCTCCATCTTCAATAACATCATTACATATTAAAAACTGAAAACTCCCCCCAAAAGCCTATCAGCTGTGGCACAGCACCTAGCATGGTGTCTGGCACAGAGCAGATATTAATAAATACACATTAGAAAAAAAGTAAGCACATAAACCAGGTATTCACCATCCTAATGAAACAAAATATACTTTTCTAATTCTCTATCCTTCTGGTCATATAGATAATGAATTAAAATATGGCCAATATGACATTATCAGTTCAAAGTCACATAGCATAAAAAGTTCTGTATCTACTATTTTTAGAGTGTTTTTTATAAGTAATTCTATTGAGAAAAATATTTACAAGTTGCCCTAATTGCAACAAGTATCTCAGCAGAAATTTAGTTATTCTCAAGACATTCTCAGTGATTTAACATTTTCAACAGGCTGATTAAAATGGAAACGCTAAAAAGTTAGCATTAGAATAAAGAAGACAGGAAGAAGAGGGGTCAGATAAAGTGGTAAGACCTTGCACTGCATAACAATGTTTTGGTCAACATTGGACTGCATATATGACCACCGGTGGCCCTAAGATTACAGTGGAGCTGAAACATTCCTACTGTCTAGTGATGTCATATCTGTTGTAATGTCATAGATCAATGCATTAGTCATCCTTTGCACTTGTGCTTGTGGTGATGCTTGTGTAAACAAACCTACTGTGCCACCAATCATATAAAAGTTTAGCACATAAAATTATATACAGTACACATGTACATGATAATAAACAATCATCTTACTAGTTTATGTATTTACTATACTTTTAATGATTTAGAGTATTCTCTATTTACATTTTTTTTTTTTTGAGATGGAGTTTCGCTCTTGTTGCCCAGGCTGGAGTGCAATGGCTCGATCTCGGCTCACCGCAACCTCTGCCTCCCAGGTTCAGGCGATTCTACAGGCATGTGCCACCACGCCCGGCTAATTTTGTATTTTTAGTAGACACAGGGTCTCTCCATGTTGGTCAGGCTGGTCTCAAACTCTCAACCTCAGGTGATCTGCATGCCTCGGCCTCCCAAAAGTGCAGGGATTACAGGCATTAGCCACCACACCCAGACTTATATATATATTTTTAAGTTAACTCTAAAACAGCCTCAGGCTGGTCCTTTAGGAGGTATTTCAAAAGGGCACTGTTATTACAGGAGATGACTCCATGCCTATTGTTTCTCCTGAAGACCCTCCAATGGGACAAGATGTGGAGGTGGAGGACAGTGATGTTGATGATCCTGACCCCGCGTAGGCCTAGGCTAATGTGTGTATGTTTGTGTCTTAGTTTTACAAATGTTTAAAAAGTTAAAAAAAGTTTTTTAAATAGAAAAAAGCTTTTGAAATAAAGACATAAAGAAAGGAAATATTTTTGTACAGCTATATGATATATTTGTGTTTCTGAGGCAGGGTCTTGCTCTGTCACCCAGGCTGGAGTGCAGTGGCACCATCACGGCCCACTGTAGCCTTGGCCTCCTAGGCTCAATGCAATCCTCCTACTAGAGCCTCCGGATTAACTGGGACCACAGGTGCATACCACGACACTTGGCTAATTTTTATGTTTTTTTAAAGACAGGGTTTCACCATGTTGCCCAGGCTGGTCTCAAATGCCTGAGCTCAAGCAATCTGCCAGCCTTGGCTTCCCAAAGTATTAAGCTAAGTGTTACTACAAGAGTAAAAAAGTTAAAAAAAAATTTTAAGTTTACACAGTAAAAAAGTTATAATAAGCTAAGGCTAATTATTATTGAAGAAAACATTTTTATATAAAGTAGCCTAAGTGTACAGTGTTTATAAAGTCTATAAAGGTGTACAGTACTGTCTTAGTCCTTCACATTCACTTATCACTCACTCACTGACTCACCCAAAGCAACTTCCAGTCCTGCAAGTTTCATTCATGGTGAGTGCCCTATACAGGTATACCATTTTTTACCTTTGAGACTGTACTTTTTATTGTACCTTTTCTATGTTTAGGTATTTTTAAACATATAAATACTGTGTTACAACTGCCTATAGTAGTATTCAGTACAGCGGCATGCTGTACAGATTGTAGTCTAAGAGCAACAGGCTATATATACCATATAGCCTAAGTGCGTAGTAGGTTACACATCGAGGTTTTTATAAGTATACTCTATGATGTTCACACAGTGACAAAAGTGCCTCAGAACATATTCCCATTATTTAGTGATGCATAACTATAGTTGAATATTAAGTTACTACAGATTAGTTATGACTGAGCTGAGAAAACACATGCTGAAACAAAGACATACTTAGAGCTCTGATTCCTACCCCTTTAACGACTGTTGTACACTGCTCTCAAAGTCCACTTCCCAGTGCTTTAGAATATTTAAAATAGGCATTTTAATACGAAGTAGATTGTAGGATCTTTATACTTACTGGTAAATGTTCAAGTAATGAAGTTACACTCTCAGACACATATATTATGCTTCCATCTGTCATGATTGCTAAAAAAAAACCATCAAGAGCCTGAAATTAAACATAATGATATGTTAAATGAAAAGAAAAAAGTATTTTGCAGGACAGAAATAAAAATTTGAGATAAATGACAAAGGATTTAATATGGAAATATCCAAAGTTCTGTCAAAATATAATACTAGCTTTCCCCCTTTACAATACCTTGGTATGTATCTTTGTTCATTTTTAAATGCTTCTGGAGAAAAAAAGTCTCTCTCTGGCCATCTATTGGACAACTGGTCTCTAAAAGATAGAGACAATGTTCTACCTTCATCACTAGGTATATTACATGATCCAATCATGTATATACAGTATTATGGCTTATTTGAAGATGCTAATGTCTCCAAAGCATACAAGACATCAACAATGTTTTGTAGGCACACAAAGGAATACTTTGTTATTATCATGGATATGTTAACACAGAGGTGTACATCTGAAGTTTAAGGAGATATATGAAGAATAAAATAAAAGGGAGTAGCAGGAAATTAAGGTGAAAAATTAGGCTGAGTTCATATCATAAAAGGCTTTGAATATAAGGTTAAGACATAAGAATTTTATTCCGTATACAATGGTAAGCCAACAGAAGATTTTAGGGCAGGGGGCTGTGCTTCAATAAGAGTAGTGTGGAAGCAGGGTGTAAAATGGATTTAGAGGGAAAAGAAAATTCAGTTAGGAAAATCATAGTGGCTTTTGGACTAATTAAGGAAGTTAATGGGAATCTGAATGAAATCAGTAGTATTAGGAATAAAGAAAAGTACTTCGAGCAAGCATTGAGAAATGTGAAGTTCGATTTCAGAAGAGAAGTCAGAGCAGGGAGTACAAGACTTAATAAAAATGCAATTTTGTATTTTATACACTACAATGTATTTTCATTTGAGAATCCTAGGCACAGAAGTGACAGCTGAAGAAATGAGATCTACAAAAGACAAATCCTGGAAGAATTATCTACATATAAGGGATGAGGAAGAGAAAAAGGCCAGAGAAAATGACAGAGAAGCCTGCGTGCAGTGGCTTACGCCTGTGATGGTAGCAATTTGGGAAGCCAAGGCGGGAAGATCACTTGAACCCAGGAGTTTGAGACCAGCCTGAGCAACATGGCGAAACCTTGTCTCTGAAAAAAAATTAAAAAATTAGCCAGGTGTGGTGGCACATGCCTATGGTCCCAGCTGCTTGGGAGGCTGAGGCGAGATCACTTGAGCCCAGGAAGTTGAGGCTGCAATGAGCCACGACCATGTCACTGCACTCCAGCCTGAGCAACAGAGTGAGACCCTGTCTCAAAATAGTAATAAAAATTGAAATTACAAAAAAGAAAATGATAGAGAAGACAGAATACACTGTCGTCAAGGAATCAATGGAAGAAAGAATGACAAAGTGAAGAGGAGAGGAATGGTTTGGTATAAAATGAGATAAAGAATAAGAAAATGAGAAATGAATTTTGGTGATTTTCAAAAAGTTATGTTAACAGGAAGGCAAGTCGGACTACAATGAGTTTAAAAATGAGTACAAAATCAGAAGGCTATTACAAGTCACTCATTCATGAACTTTAGAAGGGAAGAAAAAGGCAAACAGTTCTAAGGGGGTGAAGTATCAAGAGAAGGCATTTGAAAAAAGAGCAAGTATATTTGTAGTCTAAGGGAAAGGAAGATCCAGTGGAGAAGAAGTAGAAGATACACAGCACAAAAGATACTATAAAAGGGATTCTTCTATTAAAATGGTCAATACACTAAATTCTAATTTCTTGTTTACTTAAATGGCTCTCGAAAAGGATAGTGACCTCTGATAGGAACCATGTATATCTTATTAATCCTTGTATCTGCAGCACTAGTGTAGCGCAAGTAAAAATACTTGCAGTATATAATTTATAGAGCTGGGAGTTAGAGTAACCTTTCCTAACTCTATGTAATTGACGAATATATAGAAAATGGTCCCCTCCCCCTTGTCCCCCCCCTTCTTTTGGGAAAGAGATCTGGATATCACAAAGAACTTATTTTAAGTAGATGCCTATCTTCTAGAATGGCTCAAACAAACCCAGTCTTTGCTAATATAGAAGTAGAAATCTTGTCATTCGAGCAAACTCATGAATTATTTTTTTAAATCCTTTAGTACAATAATGCCAGTATTATTATTTCATAATAGGGTCAAAAGTAGACAACTGTTCGCCAGGCTTACACCTGTAATCCCAGCACTTTGGGAGGCCAAGGTTGGTGGATCACCTGAGGCTGAGTTTGAGACCAGCCTGACCAACATGGTGAAAGCTCGTCTCTACTAAAAATAAAAAAAATTAGCTCGGCGTGGTGACACATGCCTGTAATCCCAGTTACTTGGGAGGCTAAAGCGGAAGAATCACTTGAATCTGGGAGGCAGAGGTTGCAGTGGGCAGATTGTGCCACTGCACTCCAGCCTGGGCGACTAAGCAAGACTCCGTCTCCCAAAAAAAAAAAAAGAAGACAAGTGTTCCTCAATTTCCCCATCTGAAAGCAAGAAACAGATACTATTGTCTACTTCATAATACCAGCTATTATGACACACAGATACTAGTGTTTACTTCATAAGAGTATTGTAAGGATTCAGTGAGTTAATATATAAAAATTATTCACTTATTTTTCTGATTTAAAGTACAGGTTTAAATGTTTATAATATATTTATACTCTAACAAATTTTCGTATGGTAACATTTCTGCTGAATACATAAAGAATTAATCACACAATTAATTGTCCCATCTAAAATACAAACAGAAAAATAACTCAATTTGCAAAATACTCTACCTTGCTTCAGACTTGAGACGTGGCTATAATCTATTTATACAGGCATACCTTGTTTTATTGTGCTTCGCTTTATTGAACTTCAGTTACTGGGTTTTGTTTTGCTTTTTGTTTTTTCACAAAGTGAAGGTTTGTAGCAACCCTGGGTCAAGCAAGTCTATCAGCATCATTTTTTTTAATAGTATGTGTTCACTTTGTGTCTCTTGTGTCACATTTTGGTAATTCTTGCAATATTTCAAACTTTTTCCATTATTATTATATCTGTAATGGTGATTCGCCCACATAAGGTGGCGAATTTAAATGTTGTGTGTGCTCTGACTGCTCCACCAACTCACTGGCCATTCCCCCATCCCTCTCCCTCTCCTTGGAGCTCCCCATTCCCTGAGACATACAACAATACTGAAATTAGGCCAATTAATAACTCTACAATGGCCTTTAAGTATTCAAGTGAAAGGAAGAGTCCCTCATCTCTGACTTTAAATCAAAAGCTAGATGTGATTAAGCTTAGTGAGGAAGGCATGTCGAAAACTGAGACAGGCCAAAAGCTAGACCTCTTGCAACCAAACAAGTAGCAAAGTTGTGAATGAAAAAGAAAAGTTTTAGTGAACACATGTATGATAAGAAAGTGAAAACAGCCTTATTCCTGATATGGAGAAAGTTTGAGTGGTCTGTACAGAAGATCAAACCAGCCACAACATCCCCTTAAGCCAAAGCCTAATCCAGAGGCCTTAATGCTCTTCAATTCTGTGAAGGCAGAGAGAGTTAAGGAAACTACAGAAGAAAAGTTAGAAGAGAACAGAGGTAGGTTCATGAGGTATAAGGAAAGAGGCCATCTCCATAACATAAAAGTGCAAGGTGAAGCAGCAAGTGCTGATGTAGAAGCTAGAGCAAGTGATCCGGGAGACCTGGGTAAGATCATTGATGAAGGTCGCTACACTAGATACCAGAGTTTCAGTGCAGATGAAACAGCCTTCTATTGGGAGAAGATGCCATCTAGAACTTTCGTAGTTAGAAAGGAGAAGCCAAAGCTGGCTTCAAAGCTTCAAAAGACAAGCTAACTCTCTTGTCAGGGGCAAATGCAGCTGGTGACTTTTAAGTTGAAGCCAATGTTCATTTGCCATTCTGAAAGTCCCAAAGCCCTTAAGAAGTATGCCCTATAAATAGAGCAACAAACCCTGGATGACAGGACATCTGATGACAGCACATCTGTTGACAACATGGCTTACTGAATATTTAAAGCCCACTGTTGAGACCTACTGGTCAGAAAAATAGATTTCTTTCAAAATACTATTGCTCGCTGACAATGTACTTGGTAGCCCAAGAGTGCTGATGGAGATGTACAAGGAGATTAATGTTGTTTTCATGCCTGCTAACACAATACCCATTCTGCAGCCCATGGGTCAAGGAATAATTTTGACTTTCAAGTCTTATTTAAGAAATACACTTCATAAGGCTACAGTTCCCATAGATAGTGATTCATGTGATGGATCTGGGCAAAGTCAACTGAAAACCTTCTGGAAAGAATTCACCCGTCTAGATGGCATGAGAAGATTTCTGATTCATGGGAGAAGGTCAAAATATCAACATTACCAAGAGTTAAGAAGAAGTTGATTACTTGTGGATAACTTTGAGGGGTTCAAGATGTCAGTGAAGGAAGTAACTGCAGATGTGGTAGAAACGGCAAGAGAATTAGAATTAAAAGTGGAGTCTGAAGATGTGACTGATTGCTGCAATCTGCTAATAAACCCGAACTGATGAGGAGTTGCTCCACTGATGAGTAAACAAAGTGATTTCTTGAGATCGACTCTACTCCTGAAGAAGATGTGAATACTGTTGACATGACAGCAAAGGATACAGAATATTACATAAATTTAGTTGATAGAGCAGCAGCAGGGTTTGAGAGTACTGACTGTAATTTTGAAAGAAGTTCTACTCTGGGTAAAATGCTATCAAACAGCACTGCATGTTACAGAGAAATCTTGAAAGGAAGAGTGAATCAGTGTGGCAAACTTCATTGCTGACTCATTTTAAGAAATTGCCGTAGCCACCCCAACCTTCAGCAACCACCACCCTAATCAGTTAGTAGCCACTGACACTGAGGCAATACCTTCCACCAGCAAAAAGATTAAGACTTGCTGAAGGCTCAGATGATTGTTAGCATTTTTTAGCAATAAAGTATTTTTAAATTTAGGTATGATCAGTATTTTTTATATAATGTTATTACACACCTAATAGACTACAGGGAAACAAAACAATTCATGTGACTCATTTTACTGAAATATTAGCTTTATTGCAGTGGTCTGGAACTCAACTCGCAATATCGCCAAGGTACACCTGGATATTAAGTCACCCTGTGATTTCTTTTTTGAGGAAAATAAAACTTTCAAAAATTAAATCTGGACATACCTCTAACATTAATTGTGTAAACTCTTCATTACTAAGGAATGTAGGTTTCCAGTCCTGTCGAATTTCACTAGCATCTGACTGTGCAGTGATTTCTGTAAACAGATTGACATATTAGTGGCATACTCCAACCACCGGAGGAGTACAAAAGCCCTACAAGTTATCTTGTCTCTTCCCATTCTAATTAAAGATGACAACCGTAGGCATTAACATTTATTGGGTAGATATCAAGAGGTCCAGGTTTTGGTATGATGAAATATTTGAGATAACATGGCAAGTTATCTCCTTGGATTTGGTCTCTTGGTAATACCAGTCTCTTCGGTTTTTCTCTTGGTACTCTGATAGTTATGTTGCTGATGGGCCTGAGATTGCTTCCTATTTGACACAATGACCAAAGAAGATTTTTGCTCCAAGAATTTTGAAGCAATTCTTTTTTTCCTTTTCCTTCCCTTGCCATTCAAATAGCAATGTCTAGAGCAGCACTAGGGAAATTAGCTGAAAAAGGCCAAAGAGGTCACTAGGTTTGCTTTCAACAAAGAATGCCTTAGGCCTGCCTACTGCTGGGCAAAAAGCTTCTTCCCAACATTAAGTGCTCTATCTTAATTAATCAAAGAGACTAAATTAATATTTTATGCAAAAACTTTACTACAGTAATATTCCCACAGTGATTTTTCTTAGTGTCCTCCTTGTACAACAGTAGAGAGATGGTGAAAAATTTGGAGATCCCTGCTGTGGGACATATGTTTGTCACAATTATTACCATTTTATTTCACTACATACTTCTAATAGATTTAGTTATGAAAAAGCTATTCATAAATGATGAAACCTAGTAACAAATGTTTTTCTATTTTTTAATGTAGACATATTAAAACAAGCAGGCAGAATAAAAATCTATGTCATAGACTATATTCTACAAAATATACTCTAATTTGTAGTAAGAAGTATAAACTAAATTCTGATTTTATCATCAGATAGAGAAATACAGCATACTGTCCCTCATCAAAAGTTAGCATATTAGAAATGCCTGTAGTGGAATATGAAGAGTAACTAAGAAGTAGAGCTACTAAATGTGCGGAATACAGTTGTGTTTTTCAAATTCACATCAATTATATACATTTGGGAAAAGGATTTAAATCCACAAACAAATCCAATCAAGTTTCATTAAACATAGGCCTATTTTAGGATGATACATATATAAAATCCTTTTACCTTAACAGAAATACTATTTTTGTGAGAATTATGTATCTGATTTTGAAAAAAAAAATTACCTAATGCCACAATTCATCCTCTATTGACGGGGAAATATATGCATTTCATTTCATTCAACAACCATTTATTGAACTCCTAGTATCTTTGGACTGGTTTCAATGAGTGTGCCATTTAACAATAGGCACTGAGGTTAGTGAGATACTATCTGTAGAGGTAAAATGTAATAATAGTGGTGGCAATAAATATTGACACATTTACGAAAGAATCAACAGAATTTGGCAACTGTGATATGGTGCTAAGGAAGCTGAAAAAAAATCCTAAAATTTTTTCAGGTTTAAGTCTTAGGTGACTAAAAGGATGGTGGTATAAAAATGAAAAAAGGCAAGTTAAGAGAAAGAGGTAACTTGACAAAATGAAAATAAATTCAATTTTAGATGCACTGAGTTTGAGGACATGCAAAAGAAAGATCTAGAAGTTATCTGGAAATACATGGCTAAAATGTTTGCATCTAAAAATAGAAATCTGGTAGGTTAATAGAGACACAATAGCTGAAGCTATGGAATGAGATAAGCAAGAGAAAGAGTGTACAGAAAGCAAGAGAACAAGGATAAGACTTAGGAATGTCACATTTAGAGGGTAGAAAGAGAGGAAAGAAGTTAGTTTCAGTTAGAAAAGGGGAGGAGAAAGTACAATATAAGGGAAGCCAAGGGAGGAGGGATAAAAATTTCCAGTGCTGTACAGATGCAGAAGAAGATGCGGTATAAGAAAAAGCTATTGCTTTATTGAGGGATAGGAAGGTAATGTCATTAGTGAAATTAACAAAAACACTTTCAACGAGTGGTGGAGCATAAACCAGTCCTGTAAGGCATTACCAACTGAGCTAGGCAGAAGTAAAACAGAGGCACTAATTACTAACTGTCCTGAGTTTTACAGTTTCATTTGCATTTGAAAAAGGAAATTTCCTTTTACAGGTTTTTTTTAAATCTATTATTATCTGTTACCAAAATACTTAATATTCTTTAAATTTTCTTTCCATGACTCATTTGTCAAGATGATTTTCTTCTATTAACAAATACTTTATTTTATAGTGTTGATTTACTAGATATACATTGAAACCTTTTAAAATGACACATAAGAACTTTATACTATCCAGCTTTTTCCTTTCTTTCAAATACACCCATAATTTTCCAACACAAACATGCTTCAGTGACAATGAAGTCTCCCTGCCTCTCTGCTTTTGCACATATTCCCTTTGTGTGACATGCTGTCTTCCTTAATCTAAAAGACTCAGTTGAAAAATCAACTATTTTAAAAGTCTCCCTGACATACTCTTTCCTGTGTTTTTGCTGCAAACAGTTTACAAGCACTACTCACATTTGTAATTATGTGCTTACATGTTTGTCTGCCCTGGCTTGACTTAACTTCAAATCCAGGACTGTTACCCTGCATCATGAGGATTTAGCATGTAGTAGGCACGGAATAAATGTTTGTTGAATGAAAGAATGAACATATTAGGAAACCTTTTAAAATGCAATTGATTTCTCTCTCTTAAAAAAGCCAAGGAAGCATCCAATCTTAAGCATCTCTGCCAAGATTCTAACTAATGCTTTGAGAGTCTGTTCCATTTTACAGAGTTAAAAATTTACCTTTATGTTTTCGTAAAAAATCAATGCTTTTCTGCAGAACAGTAGATTTGTCCATCTTTCTAGCATTACCAGGAAGCATGGATCCCAGTTCTTTAATGAGAACATTAAATTGATCTCTACGTTTCTTTTCAGATTTGTTTCTAGATACTCTGATGAAATGAAAAATATGCATTTTTTAAACAATCCATTTAATTACACAAGTAGTTTAATACAATGTTAATTTAGACATGACACAGCATGTACTTCTATCAACATAGATGGTAACAAATATCTTCCAGGTTACCAATATACAGTTAATTTGGGCAATAATTTTTCAGCTCAGTTTATTACTAAAGAAAATTTTACAAATCATACATTTGACAAACATGTTTTTATGAAAATGCCAATAAGAAAAACTGCATTCAAATCACAAGTTTTATTCAATCTAATACTTCCAGTGATTGTTAACTTACATGGTTATTATAAATATATGTACTAAATGAATAAAGACGCTATTCTATGTGAAGCAGTAACCAGTAAACAAACAGCTATTGAGAAAAACTTGATTATTTATAAAACAATCATTTTATGATACCTGTAATTATCTGCTTTGAAGTCAGATTTTCTAATTCAGTTTCTGTTTAAGCAAAGCATAATACTTTTCCAAAAGGTCAGAAGATATTTAATTTATAAACTACATACCAATATTCTAAGTTCTTCCACCTTGCTAATATATCTAAACTCCTAAAGCACATAGCTTTTGGAAATCATTTATTCACTATTTATTTACCATTATATTTATCTATTATTCATTCATTTACTATTTTATATCTCTAATCAAACTACCTTTTCGCTTTGTCCTTGTCATCTTCTTCCACCAACCCATCAAAAATACTACTGTCATCTCTAAAAGAAAGCGGATAGAGAAAGTAAGAGCAGACTCACTAAGCAACAGCAATACTAAAGTGACATGTAAATCAACTCAGTTATGCCCTATGATTTTTGTAAAGTTAATGAGTTATAACATTCAAACTACTAACCTATTTCCTAGTAAACATTCAAAAATCAAAATTCAGTAATAATTATATTTTTAAGCTTATTACATAAATTGTAAAAGTATTTATACTTAGCTATATTATGAACACATCATGCTAAACAAGAATTTAACCAGTTTAAATATCTTGTTTCAAACTTTTAGTAACGGTAAAAACGTATAGAAAGTCAGTGTTTGCCATTATATAAAATTATTTTTAACTATAACAGCATAATTTAAATTTTTTCTTAGATATTTACTTTCTAAAACCACAATTACTCGTAAACATCACAATGTAATGCATTAACTTATATTAATACATTTCATTCATTTACTAATTCATTTGACAAATATGTATTAGCACTCATGTGCTCTGTTCTGGACATGTTTAGTAAGCAATGAATAAGACATTTAGCTGCTTTCCTACAGTTTTTCCTTCTTTTTCCTTTTTTTCTGGAGACAGGGTCTTACTCTGCTGCCCAGACTGGAGTGCAGTTGCACAAACATGGCTCACTGCAGCCTCAACCTCCTGGGTTCAAGAAGTCCTCTTGCCTCAGCCTGCTGAGTAGCTGGGACCACAGGTACATGCCACCATGACTGGCTAGTTTTTTTATATTTTTGTAGAGATGGGGTCTTGCTATGTTGACCAGGCTGGTCTTGAACTCCTGGGCTCAAATGACCTTCCTATCTCAGCCTCCTAAAGTGTTGGGATTACAGGTGTGAGCTGCCGTACCCAGCCTCATTTTCTAGTAGATAGAAACAAGTATAAAAATGGGAGATGAGGCTAGGCGCAGTGGCTCACGCCTGTAATCCCAGCATTTTGGGAGGCCGAGGCGGGCGGATCACGAGGTCCAGGAGATCGAGACCATCCTGGCTAACACAGTGAAACCCAGTCTCTACTAAAGATACAAAAACTTAGCCGGGCGTGGTGATGGGCAACTGTAGTCCCAGCTACTCAGGAGGCTGAGGCAGGAGAATGGCGTGAACCCAGGAGGTGGAGCTTGCAGTGAGCCGAGATCGTACCACTGCACTCCAGCCTGGCCAACAGAGTGAGACTCTGTCTCAAAAAAAAAAAAGAGATGAGTTTTAATTTTTTTTAAAGGGGTGATGTTTTAGTAACTGCAGTCTGAGCGGTTAGTGGGGGACACGTGAGCTAGGATCTAAGTGACAAGAAGGGGCTGGCTATGGGAAGATGTAAGGAAAGACCATTCCTAAAAAATAAAATCAAGAGCATTGGTGGCTAACTCAACCCTAGGAGCAATATTAAAGTTTCTGCTGATTTATGAAGTTTTACATAAATTCCCTATTCACTCCTTTAGCCACACCTTTCTATGGCCTATAAAGGCCTATATGCTATAAAATGGAGTCACTATTGAGATCACCTGTAACACTCATATCATGGTGGAGGTGCATGTATGAACTTGGGGATTCCATGTAGGCCCTGAAATTTATAAAAAATTGTTATATGTATATGAATTTTCCGAGAACAGAGTTCATAACTTCCATGACATTCAGAGATAAGGAACCCATATTAATAATCACTGCTTTATGTCTGAAAATACAAATGTCATCCCTAGGTGTCATACTATCTAGAATGGGAAAAGCATAATGCCAAATTCATATTTTATCCATCAAAGGCAGTGAAGAAATATCTTTTCCAAGAAAAAGACTATCATTAATTCCGCCTGTAACTATGGCACAGTTCAAAGCTATTGACATGGTGCAGGCAGGCTTCTTTAAGGAAGTTTCTTGCTCCTCACATCTTAAGTTCTGGTGGAGTATACATCTTTACTATCTAGCTCATAAAAAGGGAGAAGAGCTGTCCCCAGATGTCAAAAGTCACTTCTGTGTACAAGTCTAGCTGCAAAACTCTTAAAGAATCCCAATGGATGGAGCACACCGAACAGTGCAATAAACGCATTAACAACTTTAATGTCAGACAAACCAACACAAGTAAAAATTCCAGATCATATCTTACTAGCTATGTGACTTTAAACAAGTTATTTAACCTCTCTGACCTACAGTTTTCTCATTTGTAAAATCTTGCAGAATTATTGAGGTTAAATAACATGTAAAAAAGTATTCTGTACATTTGCTGTCAGAGTAGATGCTTTAAAAATGTTGTTGGATTATATCAAATTTAAGATATTATTGACTGTTAAGATCACCACTATTTTATGTGCCCTTAAGAAAGAAAAAAAGAGTGCTACCAATTAAATTATGATAAGAGATGCTAAAATGTAAAAAACAAAGACAACTTAAAGTCTTTTCTTTTCTACTTTTACTTTAGGTTCAGGGGTACCTGTGTAGGTTTTTCATGCGGGTAGACTACGTGTCGCTGAGGTTTGGTGTACCAATGATCTCACCACCCAAGTAGTGAGCACAGTACCCAATAGTTTTTTAACCCTCACTGCCCCCTTCCACCCTCCTCCAAAAATTTCAAGTATTAAAATCAAAGGAATATGGAGATTTACCCTTTTCCCAAGAGTATGATGTAAAGATTACAATTTTAACTAATGAAATCCTAATTATAGTTACTTCTTATCAGTCACAAATGCTAAGATGCTTGAAGGGATGAAGTTAGATAAGAAGAAAAAGGACTCCAGAAGGTTCCAAGGAAACATTTGCAACTGTCAGAATTTCCTTCAGAGCAGCTATGACCAAATCACTAAAAATTACAAGTCAGGACTCATTTAAAACACACAAGCCATATGCTGCTGACTTTGCCTCTGGAAAATACTGATATACCTTACTTATTTTTTTATACTATATTTGTTTAATACAGAAACTGAATGCAATAGTAATTATGTTTAGGCATAAAATTCCTTCTATCAATTTCATATAGACCATTATTCTAATAGTGCATTTTAAAATAATTATATATAACTTAAAATAAGTCTTCAAAAACATACCTGTCAACAATCGAGCTCATTTTACTACAGCTTACGGTAAACAACATAACATACTACGTTTTCGTCTTGTAGTAGACATTTGTACTTCTCCTTAGGTGAAAAGAAAAATAAATGGTCATTAGTTTTCTAAAAATGTTACTTCCACAAACTTATCTTGAGAAATACTATATGTTATCACAGAGACTTCAAAACGTTTTGTTTGTACTGAAGATCAGAACATTATTTTCAAGCAAATACCTATGGCTGAGGTACATTTGAGGCTTCTTTTCCCCTCCTAAAAAACACCTACAAGAAAAAAAGTAATTCAGGCTCATATTAACTTTCTCTTTACTATCAATCAAAATAAAATGGACATTCTCAATATTCAGTATATATTTGACTATATAACTACAAATAGTCTGTAATAACACCATCTATTCAGCAATAAATATTTGTTGAAAGCCTATTTTCTGCTAAACAGTACAGCAGGCTTTGGGCACATAACAGTGAAAGACACAGTCCCTGTAGGAAAAATTTGCAATTGAGCAGGAAGATAGATATCTAAATAATTATAATAAGAGGTATAATGAAGGTATATACTGTGTAATGCTATCACTGGGCAAGGAACAATTATGTCTACCCGTGGGAATTAGAGAGGGGAAACGAGGAAATATTCTTGATGACAGTAAGTCTGTCAGGGAGTCAAAATTCTTTTTTAATGCAAATATGGTGCAGGGATGGGCAGCATCACCATCCTCTGAGAGCTTGTTTTCAAAGGCAAAATCTTAATGAACCAGAATCTACATTTTCACAAGGGCTCCACGTGATAATGTATGACCACTTAAGTTTGAGAAGCAACAGGCTGGAGGACAGAAACAGATAATAGGTGAAAGAATTTTAAGCGACAGGAATGGCAATTTGTAAAGGCACAGGCCTTAGTGAGACAAAAGAATATCGTATTTGAGAAACTAAGAGGTTTAGCATTTTCCTTATGAAAAACCTGGGATGTTACAATTTAAAGTTATAATTACTAGACCATAAAGTTTGAGAATACAAGTGGTAAACTGGCAAAGGCAAGTCAAGTACAGGAGAGTCTTACTATAAAGAGTCTCATACCCAAATTGAAGGAAGTAAAACTTACTGCTTTAAAGCTGGATCACAAGCCTAAAATTTGTCTCTCTATATTCTATAGGTTGAGTATCCCTAATCTGAAAACCTGAAATCCAAAATACTCCAAAATCTGAAAGCTTTTGAGCATCAACATAATGTTCAACATTCAAAGGAAATGCTCAACGGAGCATTTCTAAACCAGAGAAGATTAAAGATATTACAAGAACGTGAGATTCTAAACATTCAGTCACTGTTTTCAAATGCACCTTCATGAAAGGAAAGGAGAATAACCCTGGCAACATTGCTGCATTGCCTGTATGGTTATGGCTGCAGAAGTAGAACTGTGAGGGGCTCAGAATATTTTTTTTTCTTTTTGTTTTTGAGATGGGGTCTTACTCTGTTGCCCAGGGTGGAGTGCTGTGGCATGATCATAGCTCACTGCTGCCTTGAAATCCTGGCCTCAAGCAATCCTGCCACTTCAGCCTCCTGAGTAGCTGGGATTACAGGTGCTCGCTACCATACCCAGGGCTAAGAGTTCTTAAAAGAAAATGAGTGACAGAGTCAAAGATAGAAATAATAAAATAAAAAGGACTAACACCAGGATGAAAAGTTGTGATTTTAAGTGTCTGAGGTAGTATCAGCAGATGGAACACAGAACTACAGAATTTTAGAGGTAGAAGAGAATTTAAAGACCACCTAAGTACATTTCTCTGGTCCAACAGACATATTTATCTTCATGGTAAGAAGTGAGGCTGATTCTATCACTAGAAGAGGAAGAACAGTATAAAAGTAATAGGGCAAATTTCAGTGAATTCAAAAAGAATTGTTAAGAGTAAAAAGTTCAAAAGGCCAGATCTGAGCCTTATAAGGCACCCAGTAAGTATGGCTTAATTATCAAAAGGTAGAAAATAAGACAAACTACCAAAAAAAGGGCAGGGGGTGGTGGCGGGGACTAGGCAACGCCAAGAATTAAGGGTTATACTACAGGAAAAGCCTTGCTGACTACTAGAAGGGTGAATCCAATATAGTTTAGAAGATGCAGGCTGATGCTTTATTAGGCTGTTTTACTATTGTTGTTAACAATATTCTTCCAAAAATTATTTGTCGTCCAGCTAATAGAACAACGTAAGATCTCTCTCTCTCTCTCTTTTTTTGAGACAGGGTCTCCCTCTGTGGCCCAGGCTGGAGTGCAGTGGCACGATCTCATCTCATTGCAACCTCCGCCTCCCAGGTTCAGGTGATTCTCCTGCCTCAGCCTCCTGAGTAGCTGGGATTACAGGCCCAGACCACCACAAGCCAGCTAATTTATCTATTTTTAGTAGAGATGGGGTTTCACCATATTGGTCAGGCTGGTCTCGAACTCCTCAACTCTGGTGATCCGCCTGCCTCAGCCTCCCAAAGTGCTGGGATTACAGGTGTGAGCCACCATGACCGGTCAGATATAACTCTTAACAGTCTAGCACAAGATCTTCATCTTTCCAGCCAATTGACATACACATTTTACTTAAGGGAAAGGAGTAAGTAAAATAGGCTGGACATGCACCCTAGAGCAAATGTTAGAAGATTTCCCTAAACTTTTAAAAATGGTGTCAAATTAACTTTAACAAGACAAACTGGTAAGGTGGAACAGCCAAAATACTTTGTTTGCAGACTACTGCAAGTCCCACGCTTTCAATTCAGAAAGAGACTAGCTAGAGTCACACTTGTCCATGCTGTGGAGTCTAAGGATACAGATGCCATGCCACTTCCCTACACAAGCTGAAGTGGAATGTCAAACATATAATCTAATATAGAATACATTTCATTATTTTTTAAGTTCGACATTAGACCACAAAGATATGCAATGTCTTCAAAAGGATCAGTTGCAGTTACTGGAATCCAAAATTCACCAGTTTTATTTAAAAAAACTAAAATAGTATAATTGGATTGTTTATAACACAAAGGATAAATGCTTGAGGGGATGACATCCCATTTTACATGGCATAATTATTACATATTGCATGCCTTTATCAAAACATCTCATGTACCCCATAAATAAATATATATACTAGGTACCCACACAAATTAAAATTAAAATTAAAAATTCCAAAAAACAAAGTTCCCCAACTATAAAGGATCAAGTTACAGCTAGGAATCAAATGCTCCTTTACTTAAGCAACTTGAGATCAGAGTCATCTGGTGATATGACTTCCCAGCTCAACATGTATCACATTACTATTTTATTCATACACATGCACATTTCCCCAATTTCTCAATATCATAATTTTGGTTAGGTGGTTATATTTGGAGTTAACATCATTATGACTCCGTAAATGCCAATTCACAGCTAAGCCATATAGTATACTATAATTACTTTTCCTTTTGAGCAGTTTTTCCTAGAGTTACCATTTTGTTGTTTACCTAGTTTTGTTTATACTTACTACCAACTTAACTACAAATTCTTCCCTGTCTGTATCTACTATTTCTTCAAACACATTACACATTCTACCAATTTCACCTTCTCACAGTAGTATCTCTAGAAATCTTCCAACCTGTTTCTATTGGGACTGGAAACTATCTACTAACCTGAGGACAAGCTGTCTTCTTGTGATCATTATTCATCATCATCCTGGTGATTCCCTGGGTCTCTAGTTAGGTCATATTCCCTGTTACTTGTATCCTATGCCTTCATCTTTTTTAGTTTACTTCTTTATTTTTGTTGAGTAATTCCTCCAATAACTGCCTAAGAAAGGGGACATGACAGGTAAATTTTTTAAGGCTTCGTAAGTCTAAAACTGTCATTAGTCTATCCTTAATCAACAGTTTAGTTGGATACTGAATACCTGGTTGAAAATCACTTTTCCTTCTGAATGCTGAAGACTCCACTATCTTCTAGCTTCCAGTGTGGTGTCAAGAAGTGCAAAGCCATTCTGATTACTGATCCTTTAGATGTGACCTGTTATTTATTTCACTCTGGAAACTCCCTTGTTTTCTAAAATTGAACAGTGATGTGCCCTGTTTTGGCTTTTTATATCTGTACTGGTCACTCAACAGGCTTTTCCTAACTGGTAACTCATGTCCTCTAATTCTGGAGAGTTTTCTCGAGTTGTTCTCTATTCTTTGTTTTTCCCCTCTGTTTCCTCTCTCTCCTTCTGGAGCACTTATTTGAACATTGGAGATCCTGGACAGTTGTAATTTTCTTATTTTTTCTCTACCATTTTCCATTTCTTTGGCTCTTTGCTCTACTTTCAATAGATTTTATTTTTCAACCTTTCCAATGAATTTTTCATTTCTAATTTCATTTCTTACTGTTTCTCGTTCATACTTCATGGATATAGCATCCCTCTTACCTTTATGTAAGGTTTGTGTTTAATTTTCGCCCACCTAACTGCTCTCCATTTCCCCTAACTTGGTGTTTTACCTTTTGGTTTGGCCTTTGTCTTGCACATAAGAGGTTTTTCCTCAGCTGTCTACTGATCTCTGAACATGAGCTCACATTTAAGGGTAAGCGCTAAAAAAACTGAAGCTCTGTGTGATACAGCTTGCTGACTGTTAACTTTACTGTAGGGCTATCAGGTTGAAATATTTCTTTGGGGAATTCTCAATGTCAGAATCTTTAGATCTTTTAAGATGATTATAATTCAGAGAAAATAATTATGTATCTTCTCAACTCTTGCCTGAAGAGTATAAAAACCTGGTACCCTGGGTTCTTAACCCTTCTATTTTTAACATGTCACCCCCATTCTCAGCCATGTTTGTGGCTCCTTTATTTTATCCTTACTAGGGAATAAATCTCCAGACTTCTGCTAAGATAGGAAAAAGGTGGCTGCCTTGGTTCCAAAGTTAAGAAAAGGATCCATGGAATATAATTACCCCTTAAACAGATTTGCAACAAATCATCCTGTTTTAGTTCCACCATCACTCCTATTTCCAGAAATAGTTTTCAATTCATGAAAATTATAGAGGTTCTACAGTGCCAAGAAGTTTGTTTCAGCTTTCCCACAGCAGGCTTAGGATCCTGGGATTTGCAAGAAAGTTACTATGCTCCCTTTTGCAGTCCCAAATTTTGTTGCTACTGTTTCTTCTCCATTCTCTCTGTCCTGTTATGTCTTTCGTAAAAATCTTCTTACTTTAGCTTCAGTGAGGTTTCAAGAGAAAATAAAATTTAATTGTATTGTTTGCCATCTCTAGCAGTTTCCCATATTCTTTCATCACTCTTAATTAGGCTTTCATCCCCACCACTCCACTCAAATTGCTCACTCTTATTAGTTATCCCAAATCTCCATATTGCCAAGTCTAATGGCTGTTTTATTCTCTATTTGACCGTTAAGCAATATGTGATGTAGACGACCACTTCTGCATTTATTAAATACCTTCTTTTCTTGATTCCAGTGACAGAATATTCTCCTGCTTTTGTACTCATCTTGCTGGCTGCTCCTTCTCCTCTAATTAATACTGGCATGTGCCAGGGCTGAATCCTTCTAAATCTGTATACACTTCCTAGATAAATCACACTTCTACATGCCAATGACTCCCAAATCCACACCCCTAGAATAGATTGTCAAATGCAGTCAGATATCCAACTGCTTTTTAGACATTTCTACAGATTTTAAAGGTGTCCAAAATGTCATATACTTAAAACAGAACACTTAACTTTCTTCTGTAAATTTGCTTCTCTCCCAGTTTTTTCCCCCAACCTGATCTCCATATATTCTCCCCATCATTTACTGTATTCCAGTCACATTATGCTCTTTATGTTCCTCAAACATTTCATTGTCTTTCTTGTTCTCACTATCTATAAAGCTCTTCTCTCAGATCTTCACACAGCTGGCTCCTTTTGCCATTCCGATCTCAATTAAAATTCCCCTTTTTCAATTAGGCTATCTCTGACTGCCTAATGAAAGCAGTCACCAGTCTCTACCACATTATCCTTTTTTTTGTACACGTAAGACAAGGTCTCACTCTGTCTCCCAGGCTGGAATGCAGTGACACAATCACAGCTCACTGTAGCGTCAACCTCCTAGGCTCAAGTCCTCCTGCCTCAGCCTCCCAAGTAGCTGGGATCACAGGCATACGTCATCATGCCCAGCTAATTTCTAAATTTTTGGTGGAGATGGGGTCTCACTATGTTGCCCAGGCTGGTATCAAACTTCTAGGCTTACACAATCCTCCCACCTCAGCCTCCCAAACTGCTAGGATTACAGGCACAAGCCTTACAGTGCCCAGCCTTACACTATCCATTTATCCATTTTAATTCTCTGCACAGTACAAACCACAAATTTCTCACTTGTGTATTATTTGTGTTTCTCACTTGTGTATTATTCTTCTTCTAGAAGGCGGTTCTCATGACAGCAGGGACAGCTTCTGTCTTGTTCATCACTGAATCCCCAGTATCTAAAGTAATTATCGGAACATAGCTGGTACTACGTTTGGTGGTAAATTAACACACAAAAATTTTTTTAAATTAAACTTTCCTTAAATTAGTGTGTCAAAATAGTTGATGAATTCTTTTATTTTTCTGGAAAAATATCATTTTACGATGCATTCTAAGATGCACCTTTCTTTACCTTTTGTACTCCTTGGATCTTTTAAACTGATTCTTCAGGAAACTATAGGTTCAAGGTACTCTTCTATATGACCAACCATAAGTCTCAGAATTCTGTTTAAACAAGAAAAAATGTTAGATTTATTCAACTTACATAGAAGTTTATCATTAAAAGGGTTTTAAAATAATTTTTAAAAATAAAATTTAGAACTGTCACAAAAATGTATATAACCAATTTTAAATTCTATAAATTGTTTCTAAAAGAAAACAAAATAACTTAAAACATGAATAAACTAAAACAATCACTTAATTCTGGTACAGAAGTTAAAAGATAAAAGTATTAAAAAACTGTAACTATAAAAATGTTAATGAGTATACAACATAAAAGGATAACATTGTGACATCAATAACAAGGGAAGAGTAAGAAAGTTACATTTTTATATGCAATTGAAGTTAGATTGTTATACGCTTAAGACAGACTGTTTTAACTATAAGGTGTTTTTATATATAAGCCCCATGGTAATCACATGTGAGGACTGACACAAGAAAATGAGAGGGGAGTCAAAGCACAACTACAAAAAATAAAGAAAGAAAGAAAGAAACACAGAGAAAAACAGGAGGAAAGGAAAAGAGGGACAACAGCACTACAAGAAAGACAGCAAGCCCTTCTCTATCAGTAATCACTTTAAACGTAAATGGATTAAACTCCTCAATCAAAATACATGGAGTGGCTGAATGGATTTAAAAAAAAAAAGAAAGATCCAACTGCATGTTGTCTCCAAGATTCACCTCAGATTTAAGAACAGAAGCTGAAAGTGAAAGAATGGAAAAATATATCCCATGCAAATGGCAGCCTAAAGAGTATAAGTGACCATACTTAGATAAAATAGATGTAAAGTCAAATACAAGAGACAAAGAAGGACATTATATAGTAATAAGAGTCAATTCATTAGGAAAATATAGCAATTATAAATATATATATATATACACCCAACATCAGAGGACCCAAATATATTAAGCAAACATCAATAGAACTGAAGGGAGAAACAGCAGATACAATAGTAGCAGGAGATGTCAATACCCCACTTTCAATAATGGACAGATAATCCAAGAGAAATCAAGAAGGAAAGCATAGATTTAAACAGTGTATCAGTACAGTCATCCTTTGTTATCTGACATGGACTGGTTCCAGGACCCCCCACCAAATATTAATACCAAAATCTGCAGATGCTTAAGTCCCTTATATAAAATGATGTAGTATTTGCCTATAACCTATGTGCCTCCTCCCCTATACTTTAAATCATCTCTAGATTACTTATAATGCATAATACAATGTAAATGTGATGTAAATAGGTGTTATACTATATTGGTTTCTTAAATTTGTATTATTTGTAAATGGTTTTATTCTCTGAATATTTTTATCCACAGTTGGTTGAATCCACAGACGTGGAACCTTCAGATGCAGAAGGCCAACTGTATAGACCAAATGGACCTAACAGACATACACAAAACATTCCACCCAACAACAGCAGAATACACATTATTCTCAAGTACACAGAGAACGTTCTCTAGGACAGATCACCTAATAGGGCACAGAACAAGTTTTAACAAATTTAAGGTTGAATTATACTAAATATCTTCTCTGATCACAGTGAAATGTCAGAAGGAAAACTAGAAAATTCATAAGCAGATGAAATTTAAACACACTGTTGAATAACCAAAGAGTCAAGGAAGACATCAAAAGAGAAATTAGAAAACATCTTGAGACAAACGAAAACACAACATACCAAAATGTATGGGATGCAGCAAAAGTGTTCTGACAGGGAATCTTATTTCAGTCAATGACTGCATTAAAAATGAAGAAAGATTCCTGCAGGTGTGCTAAAAAAAAAAAAAAAAAAAAAAAAGGAAAGATCTCAAACAATGCAACTTTATACCTCAAAGAACTAGAAAAAGAAGAACAAAGCCCATAGAGAGCAGAAGGAAGGAAATATGATTAGAGTAGAAATAAAACAGTGAATAGGAAAAAAAAAAAATCAACAAAACTAAGAGTTGTTTCTTTGAAAAGACTAACAAAATTGACAAATCTTTAGCTACACTAGGAATAAGAGAAGACTCAAAATCAGAAATAAAAGGAGAAATTACAACTGATGTCACAGAAATAAAAAAGTATTTTTTTGAGACAACTCAATAAATATACACCAACAAATTAGATAACCTAGAAAAAATGGATAAATTCCTAGAAATATGCCATCTACCACGAAGGCTGAATCATGAATAGAAAAATGTGAACAGAGTTCACAGCAGATTTATTCATAATGGTCTAAAACTATAAACAATCCAGATGTTCATTGACAGTACAATGGATAAACAAAATGTGGTATTCATATAATGGAATGCTATACAACAAAGAGAAGACTGCATGCAACAGCACAGATGACTTTACAAGAGAGTACATAGTTTTTTTAAGAATAGACAAATTAATCAGTAAGTCAGAATGATAAAATAAAAAAAGAAAATCTGAGCAGACACATATAACTTGTAATTATATTGAATCAAAAACTTCCCAATGAAGAAAAGCCAGGACCATATACATGACTTCACTGAAGAATTCTACCAAACACTGAAAGAATTAATACCAATCCCCCTCAAATGCTTCCAACAAACTGAAAAGGGAACATTTTCAAACTCTTTATGAAGCCAGCATTATGCTGATATCAAAGCCAAAGACACCATAAGAAAAAAACTATAGACCAATATTCCTTATGCATATTGATGAAAAATTCTCAACAAAATACTACCAATCCAAACGCAACAGTAAATTAAAAGGATTATACCACATGACCAGGTGGTATTTATCCCTGGGATTTGAGCAAGGTTCAACATATATTAATAAAACCAATCCATGTGCTACACCACATCAACAAAACCAAGGATAAAAATCGTATGAGGGATCTCAATTGATGCAGAAAAAGCATTTAACAAAATCCAACACCTATTCATGATAAAAAAAAAAAACGCCATTCAACAAACTAGGAATAGAAGGAATTTATAAACCAAGAAAAGGAGGAATTTCTCTTTCTTAAAAAATAAATTGGTTTGAAAATTATGCCCTTTGACTCAGTAATTTCACTTTGAGAAATAATAAAATAATCAAAGATGCATCTAAACTTTTATATTCATTGAGATATTATTAAAAATAATAAAGCTAGGCCAGTCACAGTGGCTCATGCCTGTAATCCTAGCACTTTGGGAGGCTAAGGTGGGTAGATCACTTGAGGTCATGAGTTCAAAAACAGCCTGGCTAATATGGTGAAACCCCATCTCTACTACAAATATAAAAATTAGCTGGGCATGGTGGCACACGCCTGTAATCCCAGTTACTCGGGAGGGTGAGGCAGGAGAATCGCTTGAACCCAGGAAGCGGAGGTTGCAGTGAGCCGAGATAGCGCCACTGCACTCTGACCTGGGTGACAGAGCGAGATTCTGTCTCTAAAAAAAATAAAATAAAATAAAAACAGTAAAGCTAGAACAAATTTAAATGTCTAACTGCATTAACAGTGGCATGAAAATATATCAGACATAAACCTGAATATAGCAAAAGTATCAACTGTGATTGCTCCTAGGTAGTTTATGGATGGTGTTTTTTGTTCTTTCTTTAGTACTTTCTAAAATTTCTCCCATGAACATGCATTACTTTTATAATCAGAAAGCTTAAGTGCTGCATTTTTTTTCTTTTTCTTTTAATTGTCCAATACTAGAGGCCTAGCTATACATGAGGAGGCAAATAAGATAAAACACAACCTGTTATCTATTCCAGAGAACAAAAACTTAACAGAGACTATTTTTCTAGCCATTTAAAGAAAACAAAGTTTCATCTAGTTAATAATTTTAAAATTATTAATTAAAAATGGCTAACTCAGGAATTTGAATTTTAAAAATTAAAACTACAGTTTTTCCCTAACCTAATAACCTACTGACCCACTGACCTACTTTGGAATTTAGGTTTGTTAATTCTGATACCACAGGTATTTCGGGAACTGACGGATCTATTAACATTAATTAAAAGTAGTGCTGAAATTTAATTGACCGGTATAATACAAAACCTAAGGAACAAACCTTAACTACTTTTATTACCACTTATGAAAAATTCTAACTTGCTTCTGCAGATTACTGATTTTGTATTATAACTGAAACAGTAATTATTTCTAAGAGAAAAACTATTTTAACTTGCAAAGAAAGGCCCAAATATTTAATACTTTTTAGATTCGTTGTTTAATGTACGAGGAAAAAATGAAATTAAACAGTGGTTCTCAATTTATTCAATATTGAATGTATTAGCCACCTCTACAACCGATATAAGATATTGGCAAAATAAAACACATATTTGGTTTTACAGCTATCTCTACAATCAATTTAAATTTGAAAACTGACCTGTAAGAATAAGAACCACATCCCAAACCAGTTTTATGAACCAGACCTCTTAAAACCAGAGAGGATTCTGGCTCAAGACAAACATCAACTGACACTATAACTCTAGCCTGCTGAATGTCAAGATGTAAGATATTCACTAAACCTCATTAAATAAACAAAAACTAAAAAATTAATACAGTTCTCTTAGTGGGACAATACTATTCCAACGATTCAACTAATATATATTTTTCAAGTAATGTCTGAGCTTTGTATTCATATAACAGACTGATCTTGCCCACAGAGTATAGGAGCACCTTATCCCCTTTTCAGAGATAAGACTAAGGCCTACATCTGTCCTCAGCCCCAAGTAAGCCCCACATAAAACCTGAAGGTGGAGGGAGAGCACAAGCCTCAGAATGAATTTCACATGTAATCAGGTACCATAAACCTGAAGCTATACGACTCTACACCTGGCCTTCATCCTGACACCAGCAGGAAGAAAGAGGGAGCCCTGTGGTAGGCAGAATAACAGCCTCCGAAGAATGTCCATTCCCTCTTCCCTGGACCTTATGAAGATGTTATGTCACATGGCAAAAAAGGACACTGCAGATGTGATTAAGGATAAGGATCTTGAGATGTGGAGATTATCCTGCATTATCCAAGTGGGTCCAAAATAATCACGTGAGTTCTTAAGAGGAAAGGACCTTTCCTAGCTGTGGTTTGATATATCAGAAAGAACGGTCAAAAAGATGGCAAGTTAAAGGCATAAGAATGATACAATGGACCATGGGGACTCGGGGAGAAGGGAAGGATAGGAGGGGGGATGAGGGATAAAAGACCATACATTGGGAACAGTGCTCAGGTGATGGGTGCACCAAAATCTCAGAAATCACCACTAAAGAACTTATCCATGTAACCAAACACCCCCTGTTCCCCAAAAACCTACTGAAATGATAATTCTTTTAAAAAGATGCAAAGTTGCTGGCTTTGAAAGTGAAAGAAGGTGGCCACAAGCCAAGGAATTCAGGTAGCCTCTACAAGCTGGAAAAAACAAGGAAACAGATTTTCTCCTGAAGCCTCCAGAGAGAAATGCAGCCCGCTGACACCTTGGGTTCAGGTCAGTGAGATTTGTGTTGGCCTTCTGAGCTGCAGAACTGTAAAACAATAAATTTGTATTGTCTTAAGCCATTAAGTTTGTGGTTATTTGTATGGTAGCAACAGAAAACTATACAGAATCCGGTTTCTCTCGATAAACCTGGCTCTCACCAACACTTCCCTTTCAGTATTTACAGCAACCTGCATAGGAGATCATCAAAGAGAATCCCATTATGCCCTCCATTCTTTTTACATCAGTCAACAAGAAATGCCCAAGACTCCCAAGTCATCCCCCATCCCTATATACTTTCATCCCTATATACTCTGTATGTCCCTACACTGACCCCTTTTCTCTTCCTCCCCCAATTCCCGAAATCCTTTCGCAGTGTCTTCTGGAACTCATGGTACACATCGTCGTTAAAATATCCTATTTCCTCAGTATTGTTGTTGCACACTCTTCACCTTACTTGCTCCCAGCTGTAACCTCTCTCCCCTCTGGGAGTTCTGCTCTAACTCCAGCCCTTTCAAACAATGGCTTCTCTCTCATGTGAGATAAAATATATTTACTCTCCCATATCTCAGATGACCAAGCCCTGTTGGTGGGGTGAACTTCCTTGTAACTCACTGTCATTTCTGAATTATTCTCTCCCTCCCTAAAACCTTAGCTTTGACTCTCATGCCACCAGACTACATCAGCTATTATCCCCTCCTTATTGTAGTCATTCACAAACCCCAGGATAAGCCCCTTCACTCCACGAAGGGTGTGACCCTCTCCAATACCTCTTTTGAATTTCAATGTACACAAAATGATCCCCCAAAACTGGCCAGTGAGTTCCTTGATCTCTTCTGCAACAATTTTGTGTTCCACCCCACCTCCCACTCATTCTGCTAGTGTTACCCCAGAATTCACCATTACTAATATCCAAAAGACCCTCCGTATCCTCAATTTTAAGCATCTAAGCCCTCTCTCACAAACTGGGATAGCATGTGATCCACCTGATGCAAAAAGACAAAAAACACAAACTTTTTTTAAAAAAACAAAAAAACTGCTGGGCGCAGTGGCTCACACCTGTAATCCCAGCACTTTGGGAGGTCAAGGTGGGTGGATCACCTGAGGTCAGGAGTTCAAGACCAGCCTGGCCAACATGGTGAAACCCCGTCTCTACTAAAAATACAAAAATTAGCCGGGCGTGGTGGCAGGCGCCTGTAATCCCAACTACTTGGGAGGCTAAGGCAGGAGAATCGCTTGAACCCGGGAGGTGGAGGTTGCATTGAGCCAAGATTGCTCCACAGCACTCCATCCTAGGTGACAGAGCGAGAGGTCGTCTCAAAAAAAAAAGAAACAATCAAAAAACAAAAACAAAAAAACTGACAATATAGCTCTAACTTATTTATGTTGGGTCTTTAAAAAGAAAAAAAAAACTGTGCCAGCTCATAATCTTTGTTGGAGCCTCAGTTTCTCTTCCTAGTAAAGGCACAAGGGAGTAAAGCAAGTTTATTTGACATGGTCGGGAAGACTAAACATAGTGACAGTCAATGATTGGTTATGTTGTTAATTACCTTCTATGAGAAATGCTTCATTCTTTTTCATGTTTCTCTAAACTCTAGCCTTCCTTTTGACCACTGAGTCCTTTATACACTTATCATATTGATAAGCTATTCTGTGGCAAAATGTAATGATTGCTTACCACTTTAATATAGTTCAAGTTGTGCTGACTATAAAAACTTTTTAAAATTCCAATTTACAGTATTTACTAACACAAACACATATAATGCAAATAATGAAAAACTTGTTCAGGGCTCTAAGGCTTCTGAAGATTATTTATCACATTCCAAGACACCAATTTTCCTTTCTAGCTTTAGTCTTATTTCTCCTTCCTCATTTCCCATTCTACTTTACTGTACACAGACTCCTTATTCTCCAGCTACACTAAGGAATCACGTCACCATTCCTAGATAGTAGAAAATAAAGACCTCTACGTAAAACAAAGGTTTGTCCACCAGTACCCAATATATTATCAACATAAATATCTTAATACAATAAACTGGAATTGACCTTCACAGAAAATCATATTGTCATTCACATCAAGATTCAACTAATCATGATATAAACTTTATGTTATTAGTGAAAAACTGAAGAGGTACTATGTGCTTCCTATGGCCTCTATAAAAATTATCACAAAGTTAATGGATTAAAACAACACAAATTTACTATCTTACAGTTCTGTTGGTGAGAGCCCAATATAGGTCTCACTGGGCTAAAATCAAGGTGGGCTAAAACCGAGGTGTTGGCAGGGCTGAATTCCCTCCTGTAAGCTCTAGCAGAGAATGTTTCCTTGCCTTTTCAAGCTTTAGAGGCCACCCGTATTCTTTAGCTCATAGCTCCCTCTACTCCATCTTCAAGCCAGCAGGAGGCCAAGTCCTTCTCGGGCTGCCATTTCTTCTGCCTCTTTCTTCCCTTATTACATTAAGCCCACATAGATAATCTAAGATAACCTCCATATTTTATGGTTAACTGATTAGCAACCTTAATTATTCCTTGCCATGTACCCTAACATAGTGGCAGGTTCCAGGAATCAGGATATGAACCTCTCTGAAGGGTCAGTATTCTGCCTACCACGTACCATGGACCAAAAAGTCTCTGTTTGGCAAAGACAAAATCAAATATTTTTTGAGGGGAAAGGTGAAACATCAAAGGATAATTTGATCTATTAATAGATAAAAGACTACAGTACTATGCCAGTAGTTCTTAACTTCTGAACTATCTTAACCTTTCATATTTCTTAAAGGGAATTGGAAAATAATGTGTATGACAATTCAGGCTGCATGCGTTCAACTGTAACTAAAGTCTAACTTTATTGCTATATGGTAGCAACAGGCTCTAGGGATATTCTTCTGAACGGAAAAATCTGTCAATGTCCAAATGAATACTAGCACATATTTCCCCTTTTGGAAAACTAATTGTTACACCATAAACACATATGATGTAATTTATATGCACTAAACAGATTGTCCAAAAAAGATGAATTAAACCCCAGACTTTGTAGAAGCCTATTTTTTAAAAGGGCAAATGTATATAGATTTCTGAGATGGATCTCCAGAAAAAAAAAAAAGAGATACAGAATTTTAGCAACCTAAAAGAAGTACAGAATTTCATTAGTACTATAAATCCTCTAGGGACCTCTTAGGAAATCGGATTATTAAGTAGTACTTTGACAATGCTAGGTTTAGAGCTAATTCATGAGTTGTTTAATAACATACAACTAATATGTATAAATATAATGACAATGTTTGACATATTATGTACTACATCTATGAGGTCACCAGAGCCACTTAAAACACCACCAAAAAATGCATCAATTTTCAAGGCCACAAGTATTCCCCTTTGTGCAATAATCATTTCACTGAAAAGACAGTTGTTTTGACTTATTAAAACTCGGGTAAACTGCCAGCTGCTTTTGTGTAGCCAAGTAGGCCCGGCAAATTCAAAATCATCTGAAAAGTATTTCAAAGAAGTTTAGATGCATCCTGAACCACAGATAATTCAGAAAAAAACTACCATAAAGCATGTCTTCTTCACTAAAATAATCATTATATCTAAGTTTATATTTAGGAAAAAATGTAATCCCTTTGAACTAGAAGATTTTGCAATATATAATTTATACATATGTTACCCATTTCTGCTTTTCTGTCCCTATTTACTTTCAAAGCTTTCAAATTTAAAAAATTGATCTATCTAGTTCCTTATTATTATTATTATTATTATTTTAACCCACTGACTGTTTGATCCTTACCCTAAAATGACAAGGTGTGGAAAATGGCAGGCCAAGACCATATCTCAATCTGTGGAGTGGCAGGGGAGATGGGGCTCAAACTGCATAGGTCTTTGCATCACGTAAGTAGGAGTAAATATAGGATAAATGAGGACGTGTAGGTAGTACAAGAATCCACCAGCCAGAAGGCCTGTGACCAGGTTTCACAGAATCCAACATGGACATAACAAGTATATTATAGAACAGACATATACTCTTGATACAGAAGACACGAGATCTGATGGGATTTCTACTGATTCATCTTTAAGCTCACTGACTCTTCTGTCATCTCCATTGTTACTGAGCCCATGCAGTACATCTGTATTTCATATATTGTATTTTTCAGCTCTGAAATTTCCATTTGATTATTTCATATAGTTTTTATTTTTCAGAGAACTATTTTTACACTCCTTTCAGAAGTGTTCACTTTTACCTCATGAACATGAGTACTTTAAGGCTTTTTTCTGATAATTCCATCATCTGGATCATCTCAGAGTTGTCAACTGGCTTATGTTCTTTTTCCTTTAAAAATGGTCAGATTTTACTGTTTCTTTGTATGTCAAGTAATTTTGGATCATATCCTGGACATTCTAGATATTAAGTTATGAGATTCTAGGTTCCATTAACATCCTCTAAAGCAGCAGTCCTCAACCTTTTTGGCACCAGCGACTGGTTTCATGCAATACAATTTTTCCATGGACAGCGGGGATGGTTTCTGGACAAAACTGTTCCACTTCAGATCATCACACTTGTTAGGGATGGTTTCTGGACAAAACTGTTCCACTTCAGATCATCACACTTGTTAAGTTAGATTCTCATAAGGAGCATACAACCTAGATCCCTTGCACTCGCAGTTCACTGCAGGGTTCACGCTCCTATGAGAATCTAATGCTGCTACTGATATGACAGGAGGCGGAGCTCAGGCGCTAATGCTCACTAGCCAGTCACCTACCTCCTGCTGTGCGGCCTGGTTCCTAACAGGCCACAGTACCAATCGTTGTTTCAGTTTTCAAAGCGTTCACAATGCTGCTTAAATCTATCCTCCGCATGCATCTCTCAGGGGCAACTCTGGGATTTGAGCAGTGGTTTACACCATAGTTCAGCTCTCTAGGTCTTTGCCATGTTTCTTTCGCTCTGTTCCATGTACGTGTAGCTCATGGATGCAGTAGGTAGGACCTTTGTGTGTTCATACATGCAATTAGGGAATCTCCCCCCAAACTAGGTGTCTTCTCTTTGAGACTTCCAAAGCATGCTCCAGCTTCCAGAGTTCTCTTTCCCAATTCCTCTGGCCAGAGAGACGGCTTTCTTCTTGGGATTTTAAGTACATATACCACTATGGCAATGTAATTTTACAAATGGAGATGGTCTCAGGGCACAGCTGGGAGAGAAAAAAAGGGGGGAATTTTCTTTGTCCTATGACTAGAAATAAAGGGTTTCTCTTGGAGTTTTTGCTAACTGCTGCACTCAACATGTACTTCTACAACCCAGCCTACCATTTGGTTAAAGCTGGATAACAAAAAGAAAAAAAAAATGGTAAGCTAAGCACTACACAAGCTATTCAGGTTTTGACTTCCCTTCTCAGTTTGCCTATTACTGTTTACTTTCGAAAGTCTTCAGATAATTGTTTTTGTTTCTATCTAGAGGGTTTTTGTTGTTGTTTTTGTTTTGTTTGGGGGGAGTGGTGTGTTTTGAGATAGGGCCTCACTCTCTCACCAAGGCTGCAGTGCAGTGGTGTGAACACAGCTCACTGCAGCCTCGACCTCCTGGGCTCAAGCAATTCCCTGCCTCAGCCTCCCAATGTAGCTGGGATTACAGGTACACACCATCATGCCCTATTGATTTTTAACTTTTTAATTTTTTGCAGAGACAAGATCTCATTATGTTGCCCAGGCTGGTCTCTAACTCCTGGGCTCAAGCAATCCTCCTGCCGTGACCTCCCAAATTGCTGGGATTAAAGGCATGAGCCATAGCATCGGCCTAACCGGGGTTTTAAGTTCTAATCAGAGAGGCTTACTCCACTTTTGCCTATCCATTATGTTTTATCCATTTCCCAATTAAATTTCACCTAATGGCTTTAGTAGTCACGACTAATTGTTATCTAGAATCATTATTTCATTAGGAGTATGCACTGTGGTGAGTTTGTAAGCCGATCGTTCTCCAGTGTTTCTGTTTGTTTGTCTGTTTTTGCGCTTGTTTTTGAGACAGGGTCTTATTCTGTCACCCAGGCTGGAGTGCAGTGGCACAATCTCAGCTCACTGCAGCCTCGATCTCCTGGGTTCAAGTGATCCTCCTGCCTCAGCCTCCTCAGCAGCCGAGACTACAGGCATGCACCACCATGCCTAGGGCTAATTTTTGTGTTTTTAGAAGAGACGAGGTCTTGCTATGTTGCCCAGGCTGATCTCAAACTACTGAGCTCAAGCAATCCTCCCACCTCAGCCTGCCAAAGTGTTTGGATTACAGGCATGGGCCACCACATCTGACCTCCAATGTTACTTAATAGCTACAATTCTTCTAAAGATATGCTTTCCCTCTTAACTATTTGGTAGTCCTGGAATATAATCTCTACAGAAAAAGATTAATAAATGGTTGACTTTTTCCTTTCACTTACCAATTATTTTCAGAATAATAAATTGGTGTATATGAGGGTTTTTTAAAACAATTATTATGAATTCTTGAATTACTACATTTTTGTGTATTTCAGTGTACTATAATCATTACACTTTTTAGTATTTATTTATATTAAAATTTCTGTCTTTTTTTTTAAGAGACAGGATCTCACTCTGTCACTCAGGCTAGAGTGTGGTGGCCTAATCACAGCTCACTGCAACCTCAAACTCCTAGGCTCAAGTGGCCCTCCCGCCTCAGCCTCCCAAGGAGCTGGGACTACATGCATGAGCCACCATGCCTGGCTTATACATATTTTTTTAAATTTGTCAAGTGCAGTAGTGAGAAGAGGGTGAAAGAGTAGAACAAGGAGTTCAATCTGTAACGGACTGTGAACAATCAAATGAAATAACCCATTACCTTTAGACTAGTCATAGTACACTTTTTTAAACCTATTTTTATGGGAAATTACAAATATACACAAAGTTAGAATAATAATATAATTAATCCTATATATCCTTCACCCAGTTTCCATAATTATCAACTCATGGCTAATCAATCTTGTTTCATCTGTTCTGCTCCTTCCCTTCCTCTCCACTCTTTCGGATTATTTGAAGCAAATCCCAAGTACTGTATCATTCCATCTGTAAACAGTCCAGTATATTTGTATAAACTACAAGGGCTTTTATAAAACATAACTACAATATCATTATCATATCTTACGAAGTCAACAAAAGACATATAAGACCTGTTTTTACACGTAAAATAACAAAACGCCCTGAGAGAAATTATAAAAGTCTAAATGTAAGAAGGCATACAACCTTGCAATTGATTGGAAGTCTCAACACTGAAAAACATCCAATATCTCCAAATTGATTTATAAATTCTACACTAAGCTAGACAAAATCCAATCAGGTTTGTGGCGGGTAGTGCGGAGGACTGCTTATAAGCTGAGTGCAGAATTTTTATTGAAATTCAAAGGATCACGAAAGCCAAGGTAATTCTGAAGAACAAATTAGAGGATTTAAACTATCAGATATCATGACTTATTATAAAGCTACAGTAATTAAAAGAGTATGGCAATGGCATGACAGACCAACAGAATAGAGTCCAAAAATAAATCCATGAATAAACAGTCCCTTGCATTACAACAAAAGTACTACTGCATTACGGTAGGGAAAGGATGATCTTCTCAATAAATACTACTGGAACAACTGGACTTCCACACGGAAAATAAAATGAACTATGAGGCTTACATATATCACACATAAACCTAAATGCAATAGTTGTAACAGTCAAGTTTATAGAAGAAAACATAGATAACATCTTCTTGGCTTTAGGGTAGGCAAAGATTTCTTAAATGAAACATAAAAAGCGTTAACCATAAAAAAATTTGATAAAATGGACTTCATTAAAATTAAGAAATTATCTTAATCAAAATACACTACTAGAGTGAAGAAGCAAGCCAAAGACTAGGAAAGATATCTTCAATACAACTGAACAACTGAAATTATCTATTTCTGGGGTAATCAAGACAACCAACTCAACAGAAAAATCAGCAAAAGACATAACAGTCATATCCCCAAAGAGGATATTCAAATGGTCAACAGGCATTTGAAAATATTCTAAGCCTTTTAAATCATCAGGGAATTACGAATTAAAACTACAATAGACCTTTACTACATATGCTCCATAAGAGCTAAAATTAAAAACACTAATAATTTCAAGTGTTGGTGAGGATGTAGAACAATGAGAACTCTTTGTACACTGCTAATGGGAATGTAAATTAATTTAACTACTTTGGAAAACTAGGATAATCTCCTAAAGCTAAACAGCCAGATACCTTAAGACCCAGCAATTTCACTCTTAGGTGTCTACTCAACAGAAATGTGTACACATGTGGACCAAAAGACACGCTCAAGAATGTTCACAGAAGTATTCTTCATAACAGCCAATACTAGAAACACCCCAAATGTTCATCACAGTAGAATAAATACTGACATATCCATACAATGAAGTATTTCACAGCAACAACAGAAAAGATGAACCACTGCTACATGCATCAACATGGATGAGTCATAAACAAGATTTTAAAAGGCTAGGCACAGAATTCAAAAATAGACAATACTGAATGAGTCACATAATAGTTATCTTTGGGAGTGTGTAATAACTGTTAAGGGGCATGAAGGAGGCTCCTGGGTTGACGAAAATGTCCTATATCTTATTCTTGATATTAGTTAAATGGGTGTTGACTTCATAAAAATTCATCAAAATGACACTCAGGATTTATGCACTTTATAATATGTGTGTTATAATTTGATGAAAGAGTAAACAAAAAAAAGTTAGTGATATCATGTCAGTCCCTTGATTTTTTAAATTTAATTTTTTTTGGTTATTTGACTATGAAATTAAAAAGTCTAGTAAAGCTAAGTTCTACATCAGCCTGCCTCTTTGTGGGTACTAAAAGTCATGTTCACGTTCTTTCTTAACACAATTACTGAGGAATTGTCTTGGTATGTGGATCCTTCCCATAACATGAGGTCAACAGAAAGTCTAGCTTGAAGCTAGAGTTATCCAATATTCACAAACTAGAAAATTGTAACACTGCAGGTACTTCTTCTTAGTGTAATTATAAACAATCAATTTTTCTTTATTACATTCCAGATCACTAGTTTCCACAGTTTCTATTTGGCAAAAAGAGGTAAAAAAAAAAAAAAAAAAAAAAAAAGCCGGGCACAGTGGCTCACGCCTGTAATCCCAGCACTTTGGGAGGCCAAGGCGGGCGGATCACGAGGTCAGGAGATCGAGACCATCCTGGCTAACACAGTGAAACCCTGTCTCTACTAAAAATACAAAAAAAATTAGCTGGGTGTGGTGGCAGGCGCCTATAGTCCCAACTATTCGGGACCCTGAGGCAGGAGAATCACGTGAACCCGAGAGGTGGAGCTTGCAGTGAGCCAAGATCGCACCACTGCACTCCAGCCTGGGCGACACAGCGAGACTCCATCAAAAAAAAAAAAAAAAAAAAAAAACACAACTTGAGGCTTCACATCTAAGCTTAGTTTTAGCTGGAATTGAAAACACTCAGCAAATCAAGGCAATGTATCACAATAAGGTTGTCATAAGAATGAAATAAATATTAAATGTAAAGTGCTTAGAATATAATGCCTCAAAGTAAATGCTCAAAATTGTATTAATACCGTTCTAAGAAACACATGTAACAGACCCTTATTCTTGAATTTCCTTCAAAATATAATAAATATATGGTAGTAAAACCAGACCCACTTTTAAACAAAGTATTTTTATGGAGCTGAGAACAAAATCAATTTTTAATGAATCTGAACTGAACATATTAAAGTACAGGATCAATAAAAACTTAGTAAATTGTACTCAAGAATTTTTTAAGTTCTAAATTATACTTATTGGTATTTAACTATGACCCTACGATTAAAATAACTGAGATAATCAGGAAAAATACTGCTAATATAAAGAGCTCATCTTTGCATTGTATTTTTTACATTTGCAAAGTTGTATTTCATTTCATTACCATATTACTATAAAATAATTAAACCTATTTTATAAAACTTAAGTCATAAACTTATTAAATCCAGCAAAGAATCGCAGAACAGGCCAGGCGCAGTGGCTCACACTGTAATCCCAGCACTTTGGGAAGCCAAGGAAGGCGGATCATGAGGTCAGGAGTTCGAGACCAGCCTGGCCAACATAGTGAAACCCTGTCTTTACTAAAAATACAAAAATTAGCCGGGTATGGTGGCACACACCTGTAGTCCCAGCTACTCAGAAGGCTGAGGCAGAGGTTGCAGTAAGCTGAGACAATGCCAGCCTAGGTGCCAGAGCAAGACTCTGTCCCCCTCACCCCCCCACCAAAAAAAAAAAATCACAGAACAAGAAATACTTATACTTGTGATCACATAATGATACGCCACCAAACAAAAAAATTCTTTTCAATAACAGTACCATCATGTAAACAAAGTATATGTAAAAGCAGTTTGAAAAAAAAAGGGGACTATATTTTTTAAGCAGTCCTATTGCAATACTCTAAGTGTATTTTTAATGGAAATAAATGTTAATTTGAAAGTAACAGTAGCCAGGCAAGGTGGCTCACACCTGTAATCCCAGCGCTTTGGGAGGCGGAGGCAGGCAGATCGTTAGAGCTCAGGAGTTCAAGACCAGCCTGGGCAACATGGCAAAACCCCTTATCTACTAAAAATACAAAAATTAGCTGGGTGTTGTGGCACGTGCCTATGGTCTCAGCTACTTGGGAAGCTGAGGCAGGAGGATCAACTAAGCCCTGGAAGTCCAGGCTGCAATGAGCTGTGACTGCACCACTGCACTCCAGGCTGGGTGACAGAACAAGACCTTGTCTCAAAATAAAAAATAAAAAATAAAATTAACTGGATGTAATTTCCAGTTTTATACATAGCTGCTAAACATGTTTCTTAAACTTTATACTTGGAAATCATTCAAACATGCAGAAAAGTTAAGAATAGTTCAAAGAGCTTCTACATATCCTTTATCCTGATTTGACCAACTGTCAACAACAATCCTGTTGACCAACTGTCAACATTTTGCATTATTGTCCATATCATACATAAACATATTTTTTGAACCATTTGAAAGTAAAATGCACATATCATACCTTTTTACCTCTAAATACTTCAACTATACCTCCTAACAACAAGGATATTCTCTTAAATATCTACAGTATAGTTACCAACTTCAGGAAACTTAACAGTTATACAGTATCTTAATGTAATGCCTATTTTCTCTCTTTTTTTGTTTTAGTTGAGCAAAAACTGCCCTCCAAGACTTTTTCCCTCTTCCAATACTGAATCCAATCCAGGGTCATGTACTGCATTTAGCTGTCATGTCTACCCAGACTTCTTTAAGCTGAAACACTTTTCTTTCAGTAAATATCTTTTGTTTTGTTTTTTTGAGACAGGGCCTAACTATGTTGCCCAGGCTGGTCTTGAACTCCTAGGTTCAAATGATCTTCCTGCCTCAGCCTCCTGGGTAGCTGGGACTAGGGGTGCATACCAACACACCCGGCTTCTGCTAAATACCTTTTAAACAATCTTATCTTTACATGGTATCCTGCAAGATAAGATTTTAAAAGTGGAATTCTTAAAAAAAACCATATAGGGAAGTTCCATTAAAAAAAGAGGTTCAGTGTAAGAGCTGCGAAAAGTTCAGAAGACTTAAATAAAAAAAATACATAAATCTTCCTATTCAAGAGTGGCTTTTTAGCATATGGTATTTATTTTATTTTATATTTTATTTTTTTTAATTTTTTTTGAGATGGAGTCTCGCTCTGTCCAGGCTGGTGTAATCTCGGCTCACTGCAACCTCTGCCTTCCGGGTTCCAGCAATTCTCTGTCTCAGCCTCCCAAGTAGCTGGGATTACAGGCTCCCGCCACCACACCTGGCTAATTTTTTGTATTTTTAGTAGAGATGGGGTTTTACCACGCTGGCCAGGCTGGTCTCAAACTCCTGACCACAGGTGATCCACCCACCTCGGCCTTCCAAAGTGCTGGGATTACAGGCGTGAGCCACCACGCCCGGTCTATAGTATATACATTTTAAAGCTTTATAATGAGGAGGTTTCCAGGTTTCTTTGAGATCAGCAATTCTTAGATTAGAGGTTTATATTCTCTCTATTAAATAGCAATATACAATCAATTTATACAAATAAATTTGGCCAATGATTTGATTGGTATCTGCAGAAAATGGACCTAGGCTGGGCACGGTGGCTCATGCTTGTAATCACAGCACTTTGGGAGGCTGAGGCAGAAGGACCACTTAAGTCCAGGAGTTCTAGAGCAGCCTAAGCAGCATAGTGAAACCTCATCTCTACAAAAAATAAACAAAGTTAGCTGGGCATGGTGGTATGCACCTATAGTCTCAGCTACTCAGGAGGCTAAGGTGCGACGATCGCTTGAGCCTGGGAGATGCAGTGAGCTGAGATCATGCCACTGCACTCTGGCGTGGGTGACAGAGCAAGACCGTGTCTCAAAAAGAAAAAAAGGTAGGGGGGAGCCAGGCATGGTGGCTCACACCTGTAATCCCAACACTTTGGAAGGCTGAGGTTGGGGGAACACCTGAGGTCAGGAGTTCAAGACCAGCCTGTCCAACATGGCAAAACCCCATCTCTACTAAAAATACAAAAATTTGCCAGGCATGGTGGCGCATGCTTGTAGTCCCAGCTACTCAGAAGGTTGAGGCACGAGAATCACTTGAACCCAGGAGGTGGAGGTTGAAGCCAAGAGAGCACCACTGCACTCCAGCCTGGGTGACAGAGCAAGATTCTGTCTCTAAAATAAATAAATAAAATAACTTTTTAAAAAAGGATCTACAGAAAATTACTATTTTCATCAAAATTCTCTCCTCCAGTTAACAAAAACACCCAGTCTCAATAAGCAAACCTTTAAAGAATGGGGAATGATTTTGATCATGCATAGACATAACAGTTATTGGAACTGGCACATACCTTGTTCTTTCACTGGACACTTACTGTGTGCCAAATATGTGCCAGGCCTATGCTAACTGTGGAGTTGAGAAATCCAGTGGTGAGCTAAAAAGGCACAGAACCCACTCTTAGGAAACTGGTAATTTAGCAAACCACCAAGACTCCTGTTTTCAGACAGTAAAGGTATTAGTTTTCCCTAATTTGGAAATGAAGCAATTAGATTCAGAGTGGTAAATGTGCCCCGAGTCACATAACTAAGTGTTCTCAAGGGACAAAGAAGGTAAACACAAAAATTATGGTCTTCTATCTCCTAATATAGTACTTAACCTGCCTGTGTCTGACTACAAAAGAGTTACTTAACCATATCCTTTAGGCCTATCCATTGACTCCAAAGGGACAGTGTACTTTCATCTCCAATGAACTACTTTTGTTTCATTGAGTCAGTCATCAACTAATCTTTTAAGTACTTAAGATGTTAGGTATGTAAGGTATTATAGTAACATTAAAACTTGGTTAAAAACAGAGCAGCATACTAATTTTCTTTCTACATATTCCCACATATTCATTTTAGAATAAAAATAATAGAAGAATCCATTTCCCCTGATTTACTATTTTAAAATGACACAGGTCAATATAATTAGAATATGTGTAATACTTTCCACTAAAGAAAAAAGTATAATTAAGTCACTGAGAATTGGCATGGACTCCTATCTCTCTCTAATTTCCCCCCAATTCATCTCTTAAACCATAGCACTCAAATCTATAAATACTCCTTCAGCCATGTAGAGCAAGGATCAGCTAAACTTATTCTGTAAAGGGCCACACGGGTAAATTTTTTTTTTTTTTTTGAGACGGAGTCTTGCTCTGTTGCCCAAGCTGGAGTGCAGTGGCATGATCTCGGCTCACTGCAAGCGCCGACTCCCGGGTTCACGCCATTCTTCTGCCTCAGCCTCCTGAGTAGCTGGGACTACAGGCGCCTGCCACCACGCCTGGCTAATTGTTTGTATTTTTAGTAGAGACGGAGTTTCACCGTGTTAGCCAGGATGGTCTCGATATCCTGACCTCATAATCTGCCTGCCTCGGCCTCCCAAAGTGCTGGGGTCTCTGCTGTAACTACAGACATATGTCGTGGGGATACATTTTGAGAAATGCACAGGCAATCTGTCATTGTGTCAACATCACAGACTATTTCTATACCTAGATGGTATAGCCTACTATACACCTAGACGATCTGGAATAGCCTATTGCTCCTAGGCTACAAACCTGCACAGCATGCAATGGTACTGAATACTCAAGGCAACTGTAACACAATATAAGTATTTGAGTATCTAAACATATCTTAACATAGAAAAGGTAATGGGTTGTGCCATGATGACATGATGGCCATGATGTTACCAGGCAATAGCAATTTTTCAGCTCCATTATAATCTCATGGGACCACTGTCGTATATTTGGTCCATCACTGACCATGTAATGCATGACTGTACTTAACTGCTGCTATAGCCTAAAAGCAGTCATACACAAAACCTAAAAAATAAGAATGGCTAATGTTCTAATAAAGCTTTACTCATAAACACTAAAAATTAAATTTCATATAACTTTCACGTGTCACAAGTTAGTCTTCGAGATTTTTTTTCAACCATTTACAAATGCAAACACCACTCTTAGCTCATGAGTCATACCAAAGCAGGCACCAGGCTGAATAAATTTGGTGGTGTGCAGACCCCAGTGAAGGCCTGCTTGTAAAGAGGAGCTGCAGTCTGGCTCTTCTTTTACCTCAGTCAGCTGACACTTTATCTCTATAGCTAAGGCCTGGCAGGAAATAATTCTTACTCGACTTTCAGTCATTTGCAAATCATCTTCCTTAAACTCAGGAAAAGGTAAGTTATGACTCTTACTTTTGAGCACTAGTTTTGAGAAATTTCAGGAATTGCTAAAATACTTTACATCTGGATTTCAATTATTTTTCCCAATAAATAACCTTCTTACTCCTCATAAGAATGAAAATTCTAAAGATAAATAAAAGCTGCCAAGGAAAGTAGCAGATCATTACCCAAGTATTTTTATAATTCCTTGTCCTATGCTTCCACCGGTACACTGCAAATTCCACCCAACCATGATTAAGGGAAAAGAAACAAAGATAGCATACCTTTGAGCTCAAAATGATGATTGAAGGTATCTAGTGAGACTTGCCAAGTTCTAAAGATTCATTTAAGAGGACTGTAGAATTATCCAAAGGCATCTTACAATGTGATAGAATCAGCTTCTGAGCTCCAGCAGCTTTGCAGGAACAAGTAAAAATTCTGCAAAGAAACAGTACTTACTGAAATAATGCTAACCAATTTAAGTAACATTATTATCACTAGTATTTTTGTTTCATCGACGTATAGAACATTTATTGCGAGCCTCCTCTACGTGCCAAGAATTGGGAATGTGTCAATAAATAGATCAGATCTCATCAACCCCTCTGGGAACTCAACCGTAAATGGGACAAAAAGTTTGAAAAATCACGATGGTGTGAAGGGAAAGCATAACAGAGATACAAACCAGTTTGCTGGAAATTGGTTAGAAAAGTTCTCCTGGGACGGGTGCGGTGGCTCATGCCTGTGATCCCAGCACTTTGGGAGGCCGAGGCAGGCAGATCACTTGAAGCCAGGAGTTCAAGATCAGCCTGGCCAACATGGTGAAACCTCGTCCCTACTAAAAATACAAAAATTAGCCAGGCATGGTGGCATGCACCTATAATCCCAGCTACTAGGGAGGCTGAGGCAGGAGAATAGCTTTAACTCGGGAGATGGAGGTTCCAGTGAGCCGAGATTGCGCCACTGCACTCCAGCCTGGGCGACAGAACAAGACTCTGTCTTTTTAAAAAAAAAAAAAAAAAAAAAAAAGGTTTCCCTAAAGGAAGAGAATTTAATGCAAGAATGTGTATGATCTAGCCAAATAAAGCAAGAGGGAAGAGGTGAGAAAGAAAATTTTTTGTCCAAAGGGAACAGTGTGTTCAAATGGCTAGGTGTAGGTGAAAATATGACATTTGTGTGGAAGTAAAAGAAGTCCAATGTAGATGTTCAGAATGAAACAGGAAATGAGAAAGGGCATTTCCTGAGACAAGATGGGCAAAGAAAGAAAGCAAAAGGTGAAGCAATTTGCCCTGAATCACACAGGGCTAAAGGCAGAGCCCATTTTAAACCCTTACCACTTGACTGCAATATACTAGCCATTCTGAAATTCTAAGCAGGAAACTAAAAGTTCCTAGAGAGGAATTTCAGGGGACCTTTGCAAGAGCCCAAGGAATGACTGCCCTGGGCCAATAGCTGACCTTGCCATGGATGGATAAAAGAATCAACTGATCATCAAGCGTCCATTGTGCAGAATGAGAAAAAAGTCTCATCACAATTCTCAACTAATAATTAACAATTACTAAGCACTTTACTATGTGTAAAGCCCTGTTTTAAGCACTTGACATATATTTATTCAATCCTCACAACATCACTATCAAGCAAGTGCTTTCATTATCCTATCTATCTAATTTTAATGACACAGTCCAATCATGGCTATTAATTTTCTTGTACTGACAACAAGAAATGTCAACAATACTTCTTGACACAATATTGAAAGCACTTTAGTGACTCTTCTTTCAGAAAAGTACTGCTCAAATATCAACAAAAAAAGACTTTAGAACATTAATTTGGTTCCTTTAGCTTTTCTAATTTAATACCACTGTTTCAGGTCCACATAAAAAACTGAGGGTAAAGTACAGAGATTTCCCATTGACTCCATTAATGCACAGCCTTCCCCATATTCAACATTCCCCACCAGAGTGGTACATTTACTACAACTGACAAACCTACACTGACACATCCTTATCACCCAAAATTTTAGGCTTCACTCTTAGTGCTGTACATTTTATGAATTTGGACAAACATAATGGCATGCATCCACTATCATATCACACCGAATAGTTTCATCGGCCTAAAAGCCCTCTGTGCTCTGCATATGCATCCCTCCCCTCACTAACCCCTACACCACATTCATTTTTTTATTACCTCCATAATTTTGCCTTTTCCAGAATGTCATGAAGTTGGAATCATACAATATGTAGTAGCCATTTCAGACTGGCTCCTTTCACTTAGTAAATACACATTTAAGATTTCTCCATGTCTTTTCACGGCTTGATAATTTCTTTTTGGCACTGAATGATATATTCCATTGTCTGAATATACCACAGTTTATCCGCTCACATAATGAAAGACATTTTGGTTGCTTCCAAGTTTTGGCAATTATTGAAAAGGATGCTATAAACTTCCATATAAAGATTTTTGTATGGATAGAAACTGTCAATTCTTTGGTTGCTAGATCATATGGTAAGACTATGTTTAGTTTCGTAAGAACCTGCCAAACTGCCTTTCAATGAGGCTGTACCATTTTGCATTCTAACCAGCAATGAATGAGAGTTCCTGTTGTTCCACATCCTCACCAGCACTGGATGTAGTTAGTATTTTGGATTTTCACCATTCAAATATGTATGTAGTAGTATCTCATTTTAATTTGCATTTCCATGATGACAGATGATATAGTGCATCTTTTCACATGCTTCTTGAGGTTTGTATATCTTCTTTGGTAAGGTTATCTGTCAGTGTACCTGGCCCATTTTTTAACTGGTTTGTTGGTTCTCTTACTGTTAAGTTTTAAGAGTCCATTGTGTACTTTGGATAAAAGTCCTTTATCAAATATGTCTTTTGCAAATATCTTCAAGTCTGTGGTTTGTCTTTTTATTCTTTTGATAAGTACCTCTCACAGAGCAGACATTTTTAATTAAATTTAATTTTTTCTAACACGGAATACGTCTTTGATGTTGAGGATAAAAACTCGCTGCCAAACCCAGTCATCTAGATATTCTCTTACGTTATCTTCTAGGAGTTTTATACTTTTACAATTTACATTTAGGTCTCTGATCCATTTTGAGTTAATTTTTATGAAGGGTATAAGGTCTGTCGAGATTCATTTTTTTGCACATAGACAGTTGCTCCGGTACCATTTGTTGAAAACTATCTTTTCTCCATTGTATTGTCTTTGTTCCTCTGTGAACCATTAGTTGACTATGCAATCATGAATTGCATTAACAATGTTTCAGGACAGACCGTATATATGACAGTGGTCCCATAAAATTATAATATGGAGCTGAAAAATTCCTATTGTCTAGTGACTTTATAGCTGTTGTAGCCATTCATAACATTGTAATGCAATTGCTTTTTAAATACATTTAGTGTAGTCTAAGTGTACAGTGTATATAAAGTCTACAGTAGTGTACCCTAATGTCCTAAGCCTTCACATTCAATCATCACTCACTCACTGACTCACCCTACGCAACTTCCAGCCCAACAAGCTCCATGGTAAGTACTCTATATAAAGTATACCATCATCTTTTAAACTGTATGTTTACATTCCTTTTCTACATTCAGATACACAAACTCTTACTGTTATATTAAAATTACCTATAGTATTCACTACAGTTAACATGCTGTACAGTCTAGTAACAGTAGGCTACACCATACAGCCTAGGTGCAGAGCAGGCTATACATCTAAGTTTGTGTAAATATACTCTATGTTATTTGAACAATGACAAAATCATCCAACAATGCATTTCTCATCTCAGAATGTATCCCTGTCATTAAGTGACACATGACTGTACTGATGTGGATCTATTCCTGGTCTCTCTATTCTGTTCCACTGATCTATTAAAATATTTGTCTATGCTTTCACCAATACCACACTGCTTGATGACTGTAGTTGTAAAGTAAGTCTTGAAGTCAGGCAATGTTGGATCTCCAATTTTGTTCTTTTCTTTCAATTTTAAGTTGCCTATTCTGGGTCTTTTGCCTCTCCATATAAACTTATTGGAATCAGTTTGTTAATATCTACAACAAACTGCAATTTTGACTAGAATTATATTCAGTCTACAAATAAAATTGTGAAGAACTGACACCTTGTTAATATAGTCTTCCTATCCATGAACATGTTATTTAGTTATTGTTTATCAGAGTTTTGAAGTTTTCTTTGTACATATTTTATATATATTTTATTAGATTTATACCTAAGTATTTATTTTGGGAGATATTAATGTAATGGTATTGTGTTTTTAATTTTAGAATTCCACTTGTTCACTGCTGGTATATAGGAATATAATCTACTTTTGCATATTAACCTTGTATCCTGCTACCTTGTGCTTATTGGTTCCAGTTTGTCAATTCTTTTGGATCTTCTACATAGACAATCATATCATCTTGCAAACAAAATGAGTTTTATTTCTTCTTTCCCAATCAGTATACATTTCTTTTCATTTTTTTATCTTACTGCATTAGCTAGAACTTCCAGTATGATGTGAAAAGGAGTGGTAAAACGGGACATCCTTATCCTGTTCCTGATCTTACTGGGAATCTTAAGTTCTAGATTCTCACCATTACATAAAACGTTAGCTATAGTTTTATTCTCACATTCATAAAATACTTTTAATCTTCCATTCATATCCCAATACCAACACCTAATTCAGTGACGCTCTTTACTGCATTTAGGCTGTTATGTCCCCTTACCTCTTTTGAAAAAATTATTATTTACCACTCTGAAGCACAATTCACATACTATAACACTCACCCATTTAAAACCTACAATTCAGTATTTTTTAGTGTATTTACAGAGTTGTGCAACTATCACTACAATCTAATTTTAGAACATTTTTATCCCCCCCCCACTTTGCTGAGCTGTAGATTTTTTTAATAGATGTTCTTTCTCAAGTTGAAGAAGTTTCTCTCTATTCCAAGTTTTACAGTTACAGAGTTTTTTTTTAAATCATGAATGGGTGTTGGGTTCTGTCAAATGTTTTTTAAACATCTATTGATATGATCATATGATTTGGTTTTCTTTAGCCAGTTAATGTAATGGATTAATTTCTTACATGCCTTGGATAAATCCCACTTGATCACAGCATATAGTTCATTTTATAAATGTTGAATTTGATTTGCTAATATTTTGTTGGGGATTTTTGCATTTATGTTCATAAGAGATATTGGTCTACAGTTTTCTTTTCTTGCAATATCTTTGTCTGGTTTTAGGATTAGAGTAATACTGGCCTCACAGAATAAGTTAGAAAGTATTCCCTCTGCTTCTGTCTTGCAAAAGAGAATGTTAACATTGGTGTAATTTCTTCCTTAAATGTTTGGTAGAATTAGAACTCACCAATGAACCCATCTGGACCTGGTGATTTCTATCTTAAAAGATTATAAATAATTGTTGACTCAATTTAATAGATATAGGCCTATTCAGATTGTCTACTTCTTGTATGACTTTTGGCAGATTGCGTCCTTCAAGGAATTGGTCCATTTCATCTAGGTTATCAAATTCGTGGGCACAGAGTTGTTCATAATATTCCTTTATATTTTTAATATAAATGGAAATCTGTTATGATTTCTACTTTCATGTCTTCTATTAGTAATATTAGCGTATCCTTTTTCCTTAGTTAGCCTAGCTGGAAGCACATCAATTTTATTAATCTCTTCAAAGAACCAGCTTTTGGTTTTGTTGATTTTCTCTATGATTTCTTATTTTCCATTTCACTGGCTGTTTTGTTTGTTTTGAGATGGAGTCTTGCTCTGTCACCCAGGCTGGAGTGCAGTGGCACAATCTCGGCTCACTGCAGCCTCCGCCTCCCGGGTTCAAGCGATTCTCCTGCCTCAGCCTCCCAATTAGCTGGGACTACAGGCGCCTGACACCATGCCTGGTTAATTTTTTGAATTTTTTGTATTTTTAGTAGAGACGGGGTTTCACCGTGTTAGCCAGGATGGTCTCAATCTCCTGACCTCGTGATCCACCCACCTCTGCCTCCCAAAGTGCTGGGATTACAGGCGCGAGCCACCACGCCCAGCCTCTGCTCTAATTTTTATTGTTTCCTTTCTTCTGCTTACTTTGTATTTAATTTGCTCTACTTTTTGTAGTTTCCTAAGGCAGAAACTTTGGTTTTAGATCTTTACTCTTTTCTATGTATTCCACGCTATAAATTTCCCTCTAGGCATTCCATTTGTTGCATCCCGCATATTTTGTTAAGTTGTTTTCATTTTCATTTAGTTCAAAACATTTTTAGATTTCTCTTGATACATCAGTGTAGTGTGGCAAAAAAAGATGAAAATAAAAATTTTTTTAATAGATTTCTTGAGAATCTTTGACCCATGTGTTGTTTAATCTTCAAGTATTTGGGGATTTTCCAGCTGTTACTGATTTCTACTTTAATTATATTGTGGTCTGAGAACAGATACTGTCTGATTTCTATTCTTTTAAATTTGTTAAGGTGTTTTATGGCCCAAAATGTTGTCTCTTGTGGTGAGTGTTCCATGTAGGCTTGAGAAGAATGTGTATTGTGCTGTTGTTGGATGAAGTAGTCTATAGATGTCAATTATATCAAGTTGTTTGACAGCACTGTTGAATTCATCTATGTTTTTACTGGTTTTCTGCCCGCTACATCTGTCCATTTCTGATAATGGGGTATTAAAGTCTCCATTATAAGAGCAGATTAATCTGTTTCTCCTTGCAGTTCTGTTTTTGCCTCACATACTTACATGCTCCACTGTTAGCTGCACAGATGTTTAGGACTACTATATCTTCTTGGAGAACTGACCCATTTATCATTATTTATGCAATGCCCCTCTTTATTCCGGATAACTTCCTTGCTCTGAGAGCTGCTCTGTCTGAAATTAATATAGCTATTCATGCTTTCTTTCGGTTAGTGTTAGCATATTGTATTTTTCTCCATCCATTTTCTTTTAATCTATGTATCTATATTTAAAGTGGGTTTTTTTGGTAGACAACATAAAGTTAAGCCTTGATTTTTCATCCACTCTGGCACTGTCTTTTAATTGGTGTGCTGAGATCACTAACATTTAAAGTGATCATTGATACAGTTAGATTACTAGCTACCATATTTGTGATTGCTTTCTGTTCTTTATTCCTATTTTAGTCTTCCAGTCTTTTTCTGCCTGTTGTAGTTTTACATGATTCTATTTTCCTCTCCTTTCTTGGTATACTTTTTTGCTTTTTTGTTTTACTTTTTTTAGTAGTTGCCCTGGAGTTCACAATACACATTTACAACTAATCTAAGTCTACTTTCAAATAACACTAAACCACTTTATGGGTAGTACAAGTACCACGTAATAATCCTAATACCTCCCTCCTATCCTTTGTATCATTCCTGTCATTCATTTCACTTTTACATAAGCGCATACATACATACGTGTATATATAAGCATACATAATTGAATACACTGTTGATAACATTATTTTGGACAAACCATCAGTTAAAAAGATAATGATTTTTCCTTAAGCCTGTTAATGTGGTGGATCACACTGATTTTTGAATATTTAACCTGCCATGTATCCCTAGAATAAACTCCATGTGATTACTATAGTGTAAGATTCTTTTGGCCGGGCACGGTGGCTCACACCTGTAATCCCAGCACTTTGGGAGGCCGAGGTGGGCGGATCATGAGGTCAGGAGATCGAGACCATCCTGGCTAATACAGTGAAACCCTGTCTCTACTAAAAATACAAAAAATTAGCCGGGTGTGGTGGCACGGGCCTGTAGTCCCAGCTACTCAGGAGGCTGAGGCAGGAGAATCACTTGAACCCGGGAGGCAGAGGTTGCAGTGAGCCGAGATCACGCCACTGCACTCCAGCCCGGGCAACAGAGCCAGACTCTGTCTCAAAACACAGAAGATTATTTTTATATTTTGCTGAATTCTATTTGCTAATATTTTGTTAAGGATTTTTGTGTCTCTATAAAGAATATTGGTTTTTAATTTGTTGTTTCTGTTCTGCCTTTGTCTGGTTGCAGTATCAGGATAATACTTGAAATGTTCCCTTCTCTTCTGTTTTTTAGAAGAGACTATGTAGATTAGACTCTGCAGTGAAACCAACTGGGCCTAGAGATATCTTTTTGGGGAGTTTCAGAATTACAAAATCAATTTGCTTAATGGTTATGGGATAGTAGTAGTAGAATGTTGGCTTTTTCATTACTCTCATACATTGCTGGTGGGAGTATAAATTGATATAAACTTTATAGAGAACATTATGTCAATACCCTTAACAAAATTACAAATGTTTTTACCCTTTGGTACAGAAATATAGGGGTTATAACCAGCATTTTAAAAATGAAACATGGTGGGGGGTGGGGAGTCGGATCGCAGGACACCTAGTTATGGTAAAGGGTATTTCCTGAAACTGTTGTTTCAGATATGTGTGTATGAGTGTACTAGGTCATAACATAAAATATATTTCTTACTATGAGTTGTGGTCATAGAAGTTTGGGAGCTATTGTTTCAGCTTTAAAAGGATAACCTGAGGCAAAAATTATAAGCTGACACTTAGGGAAGGGAGGGTATAATGTCAGGATATGAAGAGAAAGTTAAATAAGGCAGATAAGGAGACAAAGCAAACGTGAAATATGACATTACCAAGCTATGCAGAGCCATGAGAAAACTGGCCTATTTGGGGTAAATGCAGAGGAGAGAGGACGGGGAGAATTTATCTGACCAGTGCTAAAGAGACATAAGAGATCTGGCAAAGATTTTCCCACAGGGTATTAATCCCTAAACAAAAATGCCAAATATTTATTGTTTTCCTCATGACACTATCTTTGCTTAAAAGGTTGACTGTAGACATTCATTGTGCTCAGACTTCAAAGAACTATATCAGTGCTATGGTCTAAATGTTTGTGCCCCTCCAAAATTCTTATGTTGAAACTTAATCCCCAATGTGACAGTATTAAGACATGGGGCCTTTGGATGGTGATTAGGTCATGAGGGCTCCACCCTCATCAATGAGATCAGTGCCCTTATAAAAGGCCTGAGGGAGCTTGTTCCCCTCCCTTTCCATCATGTGAGGACACAGCAACAAGGCACCAGAATGGGCCTTCACCAGATACTGCATCTACTAGCACCTTGATTTTGGACTTCCCAGTCTCTAGAACTGAAAACAATAAATTTCTGTTGCTTATAAATTACTCAGACTAAGATACTTTGTTACAGCAGCCAAATGGACTAAGACAACCGACAAGCTATAAGAGGCAGTTCCAATGCCCCTGGATGACACTGAATCCCAGATCATCAATGAGTACCCTCATGTCAATACATTTTCCTCAAGCTAACCTTATATTCTGCCCCCCACCCAATCCAACACCTTTCAAAACATTCTCATACCTGTTTCCTTGGTTTCTCCAGATGCTTATTATTCAAGTCCTGCAATTTTATTTTATTTTACTTTTACTTGATAGGGTTTCGCTCTGTTGCCCAGGCTGGAGTGCAATGGAGCAATCATAATTGACTACCGCCTCAAACTCCTGGGCTCAAGTGATCCTCCCGCCTCAGCCTCTGGAGCAGCTAGAACTACAGGCACAAACCACTATACCCAGCCAATTTTTAAAAAAAGTTTTTTGTAAAGACAAGGTCTCACTATGTTGCCCAGGCTGGTCTCAAACTCCTAGCCTCAAGTGGTCCTCCTGCCTTGGCTTCCCACAGCACTGGGATTGTAGGTGCAAGCCACTGAGCCTGCAGTCCTGCAATTCTTTTTGTATATAGGATAGTTCTTTCCAGAGCAGGGCTTGTAATTCTCTTCTTGGGATGTGCTAAGACCCTGACTATAGTTATTAACCAGAGGATAATGAGTCATAGTAGAGGCAGATCTTAAGAATAAATGTCATTGGACCAGGCGTGGTAGCTCATGCCTGTAATCCCAGCACTTTGGGAGGCCAAGGTGGGCAGATCACCTGAGTTGAGGCATTCGAGACCAGCCTGACCAACATGGTGAAAATACAAAAATACAAAAATTAGCCGGGCGTGGTGGTGCACTTCTGTAATCCCAGCTACTCAGGAAGCTGAGGCAGGAGAACCAATTGAACCCGGAAAGCGGAGACCGCAGTGAGCCGAGATTGGCCACTGCACTTCAGCCTGGGTAACAGAGCAAAAATCTGCCTCAAAAAAATAAAAAATAAAAATAAAAATAAATAAACATCATTGAACATTTATGGGGTCACTGCACAGTCTTCAAGCAATGATGACAGGAGGGGTGGCAGGGGGTCTTTCCTCTGCCAAAGGGAAATGGGATGCTTCTCCTTGCCAGGAAGCTTCAGCATGAATTGTAGGATTAAAAATTCTGAAGTACAGGGATCCACTCTTTCCCTATTAGGGCCCTGACTTAGACACACAACACCTGCAAAGGTTGCATATTTAGTCTTCTCTGCAGTTGTATCACCTTAATAATCCGATTCAAGGCCAACATTTTAGCATAGTCTCCCTGAAGTCAACAGGATAAGATTCTGTTATCCTATAAAACTGTCATAGAAGCCCTCTGGGTTCCACAGTATGCCTTAAATTGGCAATTAGTTGTGCTAAATCTAACCACTTTTTTAAGGCCACCAACAAAAACAACCTCATACCACAATCCTTAAAATTATCACTGCCCCCACACCGATCAAGTGAAGTATCTGTTTTCTCCCAAAACCTTGACTTCTATGAGCCTCACTCCCATTAATTACAGATGAAAGCTTTAGAATTACAATGCCAACTGTATCCAAGGGTCATCAACACCTCATTTACTAACAGCAATAGTTTCCCCTAATATGCAGATGAACTGGTGAAAATTCAACTCCAAAAATGGCATTATGAGGATCTGCTTTTGTAGTATGAACTACTCCTAGAAAACAACACCTGAGGCAAAACAGACTGTTGACACAGGTATCCCACAGCTTCAAATTTATATTAATTTTACAATATACATTTAAAATAAATAAATCCACAGTAGACATACAGGGTTTTTCTCCCTCCCAAATCTTTTTAATACTAAGGTTCAGTTCTAAGGAAACAAAGTGAGGTAATGTTAAACTCATACAAGCTACAAATTTTAGAGGTATTTTAAATACTCTTTCTCCCTTACTCCTTCACAATTTTCCCAATTCTGTGACTGGAATTAATCTTCATAAATTCCTCCTCCCATCCCCTGCCTCCAGCACCAGCCCTCTTGAATCCATCCCTTGCTTTATATCAGAAGACTCTAACATTCATATTTGATCATGTCACTCAAATTCCTTGAGATATAAAAATTGCTCCCTATAACAACTCCTTTGTGAACTCCAGATTTAGTCCCCAAGGTTCAGCCTTATCTCTTTCAAGTCTCTCATGATTTAACCTTTTCCATTTACTTGCTATTCCCTACATACATCAAATTTTGTCACACCTCCAAGTCTATGCTCACGGTTTTTTCAGTCTACAATATTTTTACAGATATTCTTACAAAAGTGCAATTTTAACGTTGGTAAAATGGTTTCTTTCTCAAATGTACTAGAAAAAAATTCAATTTTAAATGGAACTACAGTAATTTGTGTCCCTTAATTAATCTGTCACATAAATTCAAATTTCTATTTTTTTTGTGTTTTTTTGAGATGGAGTTTCACTCTTGTTGCCAGGCTGGAGTGCAATGGCATGATCTCAGCTCACTGCAACCCACACCTCCTGGGTTCAAGCGATTCTCCTGCCTCAGCCTCCCAAGTAGCTGGGATTACAGGCATGCGCCATCACGCCTGGCTAATTTTTTGTATTTAGCAGAGACGGGGTTTCACCGTGTTAGTCACACCGGTCTTGAACTCCTGACCTAAGGTGATCCACCTGCCTTGGCCTCCCAAAGTGCTGGGACTGCAGGCGTGCGTCAACACACCTGGCTCAAATTACTATGTTTTATAGAGCTCACCTTATAGATTTTAGATGTGTGCTGCTACTCTCAAAATTCTGATTCTTGCTATGGTTATACCATACCACGGTGGTAACACCCCATGAATTATTGGCCTTCACAAATATGCAAAGGAAAGAAATGGGCCTCAGACTCAGACATACTTGAGCAAATTATTCACTTTGCTTGAATTTCAGTTTCCTCACCTCTGAATTCTCTCTAAATACATCTATGGATGCTATGCAATTTTTACTAATATCTTATATTGATTTGTGTCCATATGGTATGCATATATGAGTGTGTATGTAACTAGACAAACTGATCTTAGTATTTATGTGGAAGAGCAAAAGGCTAAGAATAGCTACAATAATTTGAAGAAGAAAATGGAGAGAGCAGTCCTACAAATAATCAAGCCTTATAATATGGGTCTTTCAAAACAGAGATAGAGAGATCACAAATAGAGTCATATGTATATTAAAAAGGCAGCATTATAAACAAAGAGGGAAAGAATGGACTATCCATTAATGGTAGAGACAACAGGTACCCAAATAGGGCAAAAAGTTATACCGGATTTCTTTCTTACCACACGTAAACATAAATTCCAAGTGCTTCAGACCCAAATATGAAGGCAAAACATATCAATTTTTAGAAGAAAACACACAATACCTTCATATCTATAGAGGAGAAAATAACTTTCTTAAACTATCATAAACCTTAAAGGAAAACAAGCCAAGCACAAACTTTAAAGAAAAAAAATAATATATTTGGCTTCATTCTAATTCAAATCTGAAGTCTAATTTAATTTAAATTTTTAATTTTTCTAATTACCAAAATATCCCATAAACAAATGAAAAGACAAACCACGGACTGAGAAAATATACCACAGAAGATTAGTATCCAAAGTTCGTAACAAGATACTACATATCAGTAAGAAAAAAAGATAAACAAAAGATGCCAACCAGTAATAAACTGTTTTTTTTTAAAAAAAAAAGAAGCATAAAGAACGAATAAACATAAGAAAACATGCTAAACTTTATGAACAGAATAAGTAGTTGGAAAAATAGGTAACTTAAACAGGTATCCTACCCCTTAAGGAACAGTAAGATTAACAGCCATATATTCTTAACCTAGATTCATCAACTGTTAACAATTTGCCACATCTATACTCTTTCCACCATATATATGTATGTATTTGTAAATGCACACTTTCCCTCTCTCATATATATGTATGCATCTCCATATACAACATACAAACATGCACATGTACACACACAAATACACACACTCATTTACTTCTGAACCATATAAAATGACTAACTCTAAGCTTGAAAGCAAGGAAGCTATCAAAACCTAATATGGTCATATAAAAAAGATTTAGAAGCAAATCTGAAGGGGCTCCTACTGGCCAGAGACAGGCCAGGTTGAATAAAAAGAAATTGTGAGGCACAGTAACATATAATGTGTATTGTTTAGCATAAGACAAACGAACAGGCTGGGCGCAGTGGCTCATGCCTGTAATCCCAGCACTTTGGGAGATGGAGGCGGGCGGATCGCGAGGTCAGGAGATCGAGACCATCCTGGCTAACACGGTGAAACCCCGTCTCTACTAAAAATTAAAAAAAAAAAATTAGCTAGGCATGGTGGTGGGCACCTGTAGTCCCAGCTACTTGGGAGGCTGAGGCAGGAGAATGGCATGAATCTGGGAGGCGGAGCTTGCAGTGAGCGAGATGGCACCACTGTACTCCAGCCTGGGAGACAGACCCAGACTCTGTCAAAAACAAACAAACAAACAAAACCAGACAAACGGACAAATGTAGAACTCTCACTTGTGACCAAAGAGTAGCTAGAGTATCAAGTCAACCCTCAGGGTACAGAACAGTCATCACTATTTACACCTTCTTGGTCCAATGGACCCTTTATATTTTCAAGTCATCTTATGAATTATTTATACGAGAATAAAGGGATAATAAAAAAAATTGACACTGAAAAATTAAACATATCACAACCAAATTTTTATTCCATTTTTTGAGGCTTTGAAAGTGTATCTACATGACATGGGTAATGTCCTCTGAATGCAACTGGCTGATCATCCATGCACGAATCTGGAACATAATCATCCTGTACTGCTTCCAGGTTTCATATACATCTCTAATACCTCTCCAGATACATCTCCACATACATTTCAAATATATTTCTAATACTTCTCCAGATTTCTAATACATACCTCTAATTTCATATCAGCTTATCAATATTTCTACTCTTCTTGCAATTTCATCATAAAAAAAATTGAAGAAGTTTTTGAAACCTTTGATGGCTTATAATTTTATTGAAGAGTGGATACCATCTTTTTTTGCTCCAAAACTGTAAAACATTCTTGTTTTTAAGCATCAATTAAAATGAGCAATCCAACAACTTTTTTCTTTTTAAATAATCTATTTCCTTCCAGTCACCTTTGTTACATGTCTTTAGCATTACAAATTGTTATCCAGTAAATTTTGGCATGCAGACACCATAAAAGACGTAAGAACACATCATTTTAGCAAAACAGGATGGTGTAAGGCTCATCAGAAAATATTCATACCCGGCCGGGCATAGCAGCTGATGTTTGTAATCCCAGTACTTTGGGAGGCTGAGGCGGGCGGATCACTTGAGGCCAGGAGTTTGAAGACCAGCCTGGCCAACACAGCAAAACCCGTCTCTACTAAAAATACACACACACACAAAAAAAATTAGCTGAGCATGGTGGCACCAGCCTGTAATCCCAGCTACTCAGGAGGCTGAGGCAGAATTGCTTGAGCCTGGGAGGCTGAGATTGCAGTGAGCGGAGATCACACCACTGCACTCCAGCCTGGGCAACAGAGTGAGACTCTGTCTCAAAAAAACAAAAACAAAAACAAAAAAAAAGAAAAAAGAAAATATTAATACCTATTAAATGACTGACTAGACAAGAATAACTATATTTATATTTTTACACTCAGAAATATAATTCTTCATGCATTGATTTCTGAGTTTGAGAAAATTCACCTATTATATGAATAAGTGCAGCCTGAGATTTTGCTTAATTCATTTGACCTAGTTTTACTTTTTTATTTTAAATTATACCTACTACTTACATTTGTGGTTCACATAAAATTTCTATTGGACAATGATGGTCCAGTGATTCACATGAAATTTCTATTGAATAAAGCCTGAGGTGCATTTATTTTTCTTTTTGCATTTATGTGCTGGTTTGTCAAAGAGATGTGAAACATCTTTCTGTAATTTTTCCTCTTTGCCATAATGAGCAGAAATGAAAATTTCTAAATTCTCAACTGTTTCTAATGAAAGCTGAAAGCGGCCTACAATGATGATATCTCCAGACTTATAACTTCCAGAAAGATGATGTAATACTTTGGGAAATGCAAAAATCTTAAAAAAAAAAATACAATAGTGACAATTTATTTCCATATTCTATCACTCTCCTAGGTGATTCCATCATTTTTCCATTTTCATATTATCTTTTAGGAGGGACAGAAATAATTGATGAGTAATTTGTTATGAATGAAATGAAACAAATCTTAGTAATGAAACAAGTCTTAGAATGATGAAATCACAATCCTTAAAGCTACAGGAATATAACCAATGAAAGATAGAATGAGTTTTATTCAGTTTTTAAAAAGAAAATTTTGGCTGTGCACAGTGGTTCATGTCTGTAATCACAGCCCTTTGAAAGGACAACATGGGAGGATCACTTGAGGTTGGGAGTTCGAGACCAGCTTAGGCCACATACCCTGTTCTTTAGAAAAAATTTTTAAAAAGAAAAGCAGCCAGACATGGTGGCACACGCCTACAGTTCTAGCTACTCAGAAGTCTGAGGCAAGAAGATCACGTGAGCCCAGGAATTGGTAATTATGATAAGCTATGATCACACCACTGCACTCCAGCCTGGGTAACAGAGCAAGACCTTGTCTCTAAAAAAATAAAATAAAATAAATGAATAATAAACATTTTTTTTTTGAGACAGAGTTTCACTCTTGTTGCCCAGGCTGGAGTGCAATGGCACAATCTTGGCTCACTGCAACCTCCGCCTCTCGAGTAGCTGATTACAGGTGTCCACCACCATGCCCAGCTAATTTTTTGTATTTTTAGTAGACACGGGGTTTCACCATGTTGGCCAGGCTGGTCTCGAACTCTTGGCCTAAAGTGATCCACCCGCCTCGGCCTCCCAAAGTGCTGGAATTACAAGCATGAGCCACCACACCTGGCCAAATAAAAAAATTTTTTAAAGTATATGTTACCTTTCTACTTTCAAAGGCCTTTAAGAAAAAATGAGTCAAGAAATTATTAGTCCTTCCATAGTTAGAACTGCTCAAAAAAAAAAAAAAAAATTCCAGTGTGTACTGATGGTATGCCAAGGGTTAATACGAAAATGTTTAACTATAGGTTGAGTATCCCTAATACAAAAATCCAGAATCTGAAATGCTCCAAAATATGAAACTTTTTGAGCAATGACATGACACTCAAAGGAGCATTTCAGATTTCAGATTTTCGGGATACTCAACTGAAAAGTATACTATAAATATTCCACAATCTGAAAAAATACGAAATCCGAAACGCTTCTAATCCCAAGCATTTCAGATAAGAGATATTCAACCTGTAACAGGAAATTTACAAAGCATTTTCCTTGACTGGCCTGTCAAACTGTATTTCAAGGTAGGCAAAGGGACCAAAGTACTGAAAGCTACTCCTTTAAAGAAAAATTTCAACTAAGAAGAACAAAAGAAATGACATAAATAGGCAAAAATCATCAATCCTAAAAACCCCATCAGGAGAAAAAGTAATGGTAAATTTCACAATGGATCATATTGTCACCAACTGAATTCACTGATCAATCTTAACATCTTTAACACTGGGACAACCACATATCATGATATAACATGTAGTAATAGTACTACTTACAGAATATTCTTGTTAAGAGTCAAACTAGAATCTATGAACCTTTAGATCATACATTCTCAACAGTAGCAATGTCACATTCAAGAAGGCAAAGAAATCTTAAACAGTAAATTAAGACAGTTTCTCATCCTCCAAATCATACTACTGTGTCTGCCCCCAGGTCTGGGGAAAAGGTGCAGTGTAGACAGTAAGGAAAAAAAAAGCTCTAGGCCGGGCACGGTGGCTCACGCCTGTAATCCCAGCACTTTGGGAGGTCGAGGTGGTCAGTTCACGAGGTCAGGAGATCCAGACCATCCTGGCTAACACGGTGAAACCCTGTCTCTACTAAAAATACAAAAATTAGCCGGGCAAAGTGGCAGGCACCTGTAGTCCCAGCTACTCGGGAGGCTGAGGCAAGAGAATGGCATGAACCCGGGAGGCGGAGCTTGCAGTGAGCCGAGATCACACCACTGCACTCCAGCCCGGGTGACAGAGTGAGACTCCGTCTCAAAAAAAAAAAAAAAAGCTCTAAAAACTCCGTAATGAGGCAACAATTAAAAAAAAAAAGGTTAGAAACACTGCTTCACATCCAATTTCCAGTTACATGAATACAAGAAAGTAATAAGTAAAATGACATCAAAAGGAATAAGAAAATGCAGAATGTGAAACGTTATAAAGAAAAATTGACCCAGTTACTTCAACATGGAGGGTAAAAAGACTTTACTGCGGTAATCATATTTAGAAATATACTTTAAAATATTAACAGATAAATAATATGTGGAATATACTTCAAAATAGTATTAGAAGAGGGTAAGGAGATTAAGATATAGATGAAACGAGAGTTGTTGAGTAAATAAATCACTAAAAGTAGGTGATGGGTACATAGGAGTTCATTTTACTATTCTATATACTGTTGTATATGTTTAAAACATCCTGTAAAAACAAAAGCATGTTTGGGGCACATTTTGCTTTCTTAGGATATTAGAGAGAACAAAACTATACAACACATAGCTTGCCCATATATTTTCTATCAAAGGTGATCTACAAACTGATGTCATTCCTCTCCCAAATAATACCTTTTTTAAAAAAAGATTCAATCATTATATAGGCATGACTGAAAATGAGAAAATAAAATAAAAATTTTAAAAGACTAAAAAAACATAACTGGGAGGTATGTACCTGATTCAAATCCTGATACAAATAAAGCAACAAAAAGGCATTTTTGAAAAAGCTGAATATGAACTAGGTGTTTTATGATATTAAGGAAGTATCGTTAATTTTGTTAGGTGTGGTAATGATACCGAGATTATGAAAGAAAATATCAGCTGGGTGTGGTGGCTCATACCTGTAATCCCAGCACTTTGGGAGGCCTAAGTGAGAGGATCAGTTGAGGCCAGGAAATGGAGAACAGCCTTGGCAACATAGCGAGATCTCATCTCTACCATAAAATTTAAAAAATTAGCTGGGCATAGTGGCACATGCCTATTATCTCAGTACTTTTGGAAGACCACTTTAGCCTAGGAGTTCAAGGCTGCAGTGAGCTATAATTGGGCTACTGCACTTCAGCCTGAGCAACACAGCAAGACCCTGTCTCTCAAAAAAAAAAAAAAATCCTATGTTTTAAAATAAATATATTGAGGCCAAGGGCAGTGGCTAACGCCTGTAATCCCAGCACTTTGGGAGGCTGAGGTGGGTGGTCAGGAGTTCAAGACCAGCCTGACCAATAGAGTGAAACTCCATCTCTACTAAAAATACAAAATTAGCCAGGCCTGGTGGTGCATGCCTGTAATCCCAGCTACTTGGGAGGCTGAGGCAGGAGAATCACTTGAACCCAGGAGGCAGAGGTTGCAGTGAGCCGAGATCATGCCATTGCTCTCCAGCCTGGGAAACAAGAGCAGAACTCCACCTCAAAAAAAAAAAAATTAATTAATTAAATATATTGAAGTATTTAAGGGTGAAGTGACTATTTCCTTCATCCCCCCCTCACTGCCTTATTTTAAAGAAACCTGGGGAGTGAATGAGATGATGATGGTGATAAACACTCATGTTTGCCGCCCCTCCATGCAGAAAGTCTGTGCAGATGAGCACATAAAAACAAACAAAAAAGAATAAATCTATAAGACAATGAAAAGAACAGAGAGAAAGTGTTTACAATAGATTTCTGGAGAACAGAAAGCAGACCCAAGTGTGTTAAGTTTAAACAGAACTAAGCGAAGCACAGCCCAAAATCTACACATGAAAGGACTACAGTGGAGGTCTAAGTCAATCTTTCAGAGATTCTACGCTCCCCTCAATGACTAAGCAAGGGCCAGTGTCACCTGTAGGTACAAAAAGTGAAATACTCTTTTTTTCCTAAAGACAGTTAACAAACTGAACAGAAAGAAACTGGGTCTTCTGGTGTCAATGTCAGTATCTGTAGAGCCCATTTCTATATGGCAATTGGAAAGCTCCGAAGCCTAAAAACAGGTTCCCTGATCTTTTGCCCTAAACCTAACTTGCCAGCAAACAAGAGATGCTCCAACTATGTACAAAGAGTTGCCAGTCTTCTCATTCCAAGATGGCAATTAGAAAACAAGTCCATGACTACAATCCAGGAAACCAACAGCAGTACCTAATATAATCAAGATGGTCCTTTAGCAAGAACCATGAACTAACAATAAGGATCCCCAGATATACAAGAAGAAACACCACCTAGAAAAAGACCAAGATAAAGATATTATCTATTTTTTTAGTTTTTAAAAGAGACAGTCTTACTTTGTTGCCCAGGCAGGAGTGCAGTGACACAATCATAGCTCACTACAGCCTCGAACTCCTGAGCTCAAGTGATCTTCCTGCCTCAGCCTCCCAAGTAGCTAGGACTATAGACATGCATGACCATGCTCAACTAATATTTTAATTTTCTTGTAGAGATGGGGTCTCATTATGTTGCCTAGGCTAGTCTCAAACTCCTAGCTTCAAGCAATCCTCCCACCTTAGCCTCCCAAAGTACTGTTATTAAAGGCATGAGCCACTATGTCCCACCCAGACCAAGACAAATAAATAGATCAAACTGACTTCAAAAAAATCATAGTTTATTCAGGACATAGAAGAAATCTCAAAATAGAACAAAGTATTCTCAAAGGACTACTGAAGATACCGCATTCAATTAAACAAAAATAGGTATATTTAACAAATAATAATACAAGAGTCCACTATGCCAAGAACTGTTACAAATGCTTAATAAATATGAACTCCTTTACTCACAAGGTAGGTATTATTATCCTCATTTTGTAGACTAGAAACTGAGGACAAAGAGATTAATCATTTGCCCATTGTCATGGTTTTGAAGTTGTGGAGCTGTGATCTAAACCCACACAGTCAGGAAGTCTGGTTCCATTGTCAATGCTTTTAGCTACTATCCTGTGTTGTCTCTTGAAATGATACCAGCAGAAAATAAGCAAAAGCTACTCATTAACAATTTATAAACATTCGCAGGTCAGAAACATACAATTGAAAACATCTGTCAAAATACAGAATAAAAAAGACAGAAAACTTGAGAAAAGAGATAAAGAAATGAGGATCAATCAAGAAAGCCAATATTCTGCTAGTAAGTATCCCAAAATGGGCAAACATAGACTAAGAAATATTACCAAGGAAATAATAAAAGAACATTTTCCATAACTGAAGGGAGACACTTGCATTTCAACTGAAAGGACCTACTGAGTCCAGCAAAGAATAACAAAAACAATTCATATCTAAACACATAATTATAAAATTCCATAACTACGAAGGACAAAGATAAGATACTAAAGCTTATCTTTGTGAGCGAGGGAAAGGATCATTTAGAAAATAACAAGACAGAATAGCATCAGACATCTTACCGTCTTGATGCTCAACAGAATTGAGCAAAAACCTCTAAGTTGTAAGAGAGAATTAATTTGAATTTAAATTTCTACACCCAGCCAAACTATCAAGCAATTATGACCCAGGCCAAAGCTATTTTCAAACATGCAAGAATTCACAATATTTACATTGTAAGTACTCTGTATACTGGAGTTAATTTAAAATACATTCAAAGCAGGATGCAGTGGCTCATGCATATAATCCCAGCACTTTGGGAGGCCGAGGAGGGTGGATCACTTGAGATAAGGTGTTTAAGACCAACCTGGCTAACATGGTGAAACCCTGTCTCTATTAAAAATACAAAAATTAGCAAGGCATGGTGGCAAACGCCTGTAATCCCATCTACTGCGGAGGTTGAAGCAGAAGAATCAGCTGAACCCAGGAGGTGGAGGTTGCAGTGAGCCGAGATTGTGCCCCTGCACTCCAGCCTGGGAAAAAGAGCAAGACTCCATCGCAAAAAAAAAAAAAAAAAGAGTAAATACATTCCAGCTAAAAAAGGAAGAATGCTATAAAAGAGGAAGATGTCGCATCTAAGAAACAGTAAATCTAACCAGAAATGCAGACACGGAATAGCTCAGAATGACATATACACAGCAGCTTCCAACCTGTCAAGACTGAAGCAGGAAGTAGGAGGGCTCTAAGAGTGATATCTCCAGGAAAAGGCATTCCACCTAACAGTTAATAGATATTATGATCCAAGCAGGAAAAACATCTGAGAATATGATAAAGGTATATATTTCTCTAAAGAAAAAAAGACAATTACAAACTGTGGGAGGAAAAGATGAACAAAAAGTCATCTAGAATATAAAGCAATCTAGCGGCATGATTTCGAAAAAATGATGAAGTACAAGAAGAAATAAGTAAATATTTTATTTCTTGAGTTCCACTAGCATTATGACTTTAGACCCATAGAAAAAAAAAATAGCCCCAGCACTATAATTAAGTAAAGTGTAAGTGAGCTAAATCCTCATCTTTCTTAGCAGTGAGTCAATAGATATAATTTGAAGTTAGTAAATCAAGAAATAAAAGCAGATCTCAACAACAACAACAAAAGCCTAGGAGGCTTTACTGGAGAATTCTATCAATCATTTAAAAGAATTAACCAGGCCAGGCGTGGTGGCTCATATCTGTAATCCCAGCATTTTGGGAGGCCGAGAAGGGTGGATCACAAGGTCAAGAGATCGAGACCATCCTGGCCAACATGGTGAAACCCCGTCTCTACGAAAACTACATCAATTAGCTGGGCGTGGTGGTATGCGCCTATAGTCCCAGCTACTCTGGAAGCTGAGGCAGGAGAATCGCTTGAACCCAGGAGGCAGAGGTTGTAGTGAGTCGAGATCACGCCACTGTATTCCAGCCTGGCGACAGAGCAAGACTTCGTCTCAAAAAAAAAAAAAAAAAAAAAAAAAAAAGGAATTAACCCAATCCTCCTCAAACTCTTCCAAAGAACTAAAATGGGAGAGAACATTTCCAAACTCATTCTAAAAAGCCGCCATTACCCTGATATAAAAACCAGACAAAGATACCACAAGAAAAGAAAACCACGGTAATAACCATAATGAATAGTGATTTTTTAAATGTTAAAAAAAACAAAAACAAAAACAAAAAAAACCCCAGCAAACCAAATTCAACAGCACATTAAAAGGATTATATACCATGACCAAGTGGGATTTATACCAGAAATTCAAGGATGGTTCACAATACAAAAATCAATTAGGGTAATATACCACATTAATAAAATGAAGCACAAAAACCACATGATTCCAATTGACGAACAAATGCATTTGACAAAATTCAACACCCTTCCATGATAAAAACACTCAATAAATGAAGAATAGAAGGAAACTACCTCGACATAATAAACACCATATATGAATATCCCACAGCTAACATCCTATTCAATGGTAAAAGACTGAACACTTCTCCTAGGATTAGGAGCAAGTCGAGGATGCCCACTCTCATCACTTCTATTCAACACAGTACCAGAAGTCCTAGATAGAGCAATTAGGCAAGAAGAATAAATAGAAGGCACTCAAATAAGAAAGAAAATTATCTCTGTATACAGATGACATGATTTATATGCAGAAAGCCCTAAAGAAGAATCCACAAAAAAACTGTTAGTACTAATACATGATTTCAGCAAAGTTTCAGGATCCGAAATCAACACACAAAAATCAGTTGCATTTCTATACACCAAAAATGACCAACTGGAAAGGAAAATTTAAAAAAAAAAATCCCAATTTACTATAGTATCAAAAGAGGAAAGGCAAACCATGGTGGCTCAAACCTGTAATCCTAGCACTTTGGGAGGCCAAGGTGGGAGAACTGCTTGAAGCCAGGAATTTGAGACCTTATCTCTCTATAAAAATACCAAAAAATTAGCCGAGCGTGGAAGCATATACTTTTAGTCCCAGCTTCTTGGGAGGCTGAGGTAGGAGGATCATTTGAGCCCAGGAGTTCAAGGTCACAGTGAGCCATGATTGTGCCACTGCACTCCAGCCTAGGTGACAGAGACCCTATCTCTTTAAACAAAGAAAAGGGGTCGGGTCGGGGGGGTAGTGTGGATAAAAATACTAGGAATAAACTTAACCAAGGAGATAAAAGACTTGTACTCTGAAAACTACAAAACATCGCTAAAAGAAATCAAAGAGAGAATACAAATAAATGGAAAAACATTCCGTGTTTTTAAACTGAAAGAGTTAATACTGTTAAAATGTCCATACTACCTAAAGCAATCTATAGATTCAATGTAATCCCTGTCAAATTCTCAATGACATTTTTTTTGCAGAAATAGAAACAAAACCATCCTAAAATTCATACAGAATCTCAAGGGACCCCCAAGTAGCCAAACCAGTCTTGAAAAACCACCAAAAATTTGGAGGCCTCATACTTTCTTATTTCAAAACACACTACAAAGCAACAGTAATCAAGACAGTGTGGTACTGACATAAATACAGAGCTACAGACCAATGGAACAGAACAGAAATAAACGCTCGCACATGCCACCAAATGACTTGCGACAAGGGTGCCAAGACTACCCAATGGAGAAAAAACAGTCTCTACAACAAACAGTGTTGGGAAAACTGAATATCCACATGCCAAAGAATGAAGCCAAAATATGATATTACTAATTTATTTTATGATGACCTAAAAGTTTTGATTTCCGAATATTTTTTCAACACTTTTTAATTAAGTATTTTAGATACATATTAGAATATTTTTCTGCCTAGAAAGTAATTCAAACCATATCACTGACTAAAGATTTTTGGGATTGTTTGTAAATCCGTGAAAAAGTGCTTAAGGCCAGGCATGGTGGCTCGTGCCTGTAATCTCAGCACTTTGGGAGGCCAAGGCAGGTGGATCACCTGAGGTCAAGAGTTTGAGACCAGCTTGGCCAACATGGTGAAATCCCATCTCTACTAATAGCACAAAAATTAGCCAGGCATGGTGGCACACGCCTGTAATCCCAGCTACTCGGGAGGCTGAGGCAGGAGAACAGCTTGAACCTGGGAGGCAGAGGTTGCAGTAATCCAAGATCATGCCACTACACTCCAGCCTGGGCAACAGAGTGAGACTCCATCTCAAAAAAATAAAACAAAAACAAAGTGCTTGTTTAAGATGCAGGAGAGTGGACACTTGTTTACTAAATTCAAGACACACTACAAAACTTTTGCTTTTCAGTAAACTCTCGATGTTTTCCTTTTTGCCTGTGTCTTAAAACATTAATGTATAAAGAACCCAATAGTAATAAAATGTTTTGTACATTTGTTTGCCATTTAATCTAGCTTGTACTACCCTATGATTAACAGCACTGAAGTAATTAATAATTACAGTTGTAATATGCAGCGAGTCAAGTGGAGCATCAGTGCAACAATACCAAACTTGAAACGAGTGCTTATTCTACTCTCAACTATCACCAAGCCAATCCTCCTCAAACTCTTCCAAAGAACTAAATGTGAGAGAACATTTCCAAACTCATTCTAAAAGGCCAGCATTACCCTGATATCAAAATCAGACAAAGATACCACAAAAAAAGAAAGCTACAGCAATAAACCTAATGAATACTGATTTTTTTACCCTTAAAAAAATACTAGCAAACCAAATTCAACAGCACACAGTCTATGTGCTGTTGTACTGCAGAATCTAATACTCCTGGGTATTTTTGTTATAGCAGCCAAAACTAAGATATCCATTCTATCCTCACATGCTAATAGACTCTAATCCCCTACACCTTGATTTGGTTTTCTCTACAATACAAATATCCATCTAGCATATATTTAACTCACTAGTTTCTCATCTGGTTTCCTCAGTTAGAACATAAGCTCCCTGAAGGCAGGGCTTTGTTCCCCAGCAGACAGAATAGTAGCTGGCACAGAACAGAATGCTCAATAAATACTTGCTGAATGAACAAGATGAAGACCACCATTAAAGGTATACTAAAAGACTTCAAAGCACTACTGAGAAAAATGAAAGGCCTAAATGAATGGAGAGGTATACTGTGTTCAAGGATCAAAGGACTCAATGTTGCTATCAGTTTTCTTTAAATTAATCTATAGAGTAAATACAACCCTAAACAAAATCTCAGCAGCCTTTTCTGTATAAAGTGAGAATTTTTTTTTTTTTTTTTTTGAGACAGTCTTGCTCTGTCATCCAAGCTGAGTCCAGCAGCACAGTCAATGGCTCACTGCAACCTCAACCTCCTGGGCTCAAGCAATCCTCCCATCTCAGCCTCCTGAGTAGGTGGGATCACAAGTGCATGCCACCATGTCTGGCTAATTTTTTTCTATTTTTTTGGAGAGCCAAAGGCCTCGCTATATTGCCACTACACTCCAACCTGGTCAATACAGAAAGACCTCTTTATCAGTATAAAAAAAAATTTTTTTGCTTCTTGATTATGGTGATTACAAGAATGTTTAGGTTTGTCAAAACTCAAGCTGCATACTTAAATTGGGCAGATTTTAACATATATACATTATACCCCAATAAAAATCAATTTTAAAAAATATACATCAAAAACTGAAACCCAACAACAAAATACCTAAAGAACACTACATAAAACAGCTCATAAATATTGAGTATTCTGCATACCTTTAAAAAATGACAGGCGCCAGCTAGAGTGGCTCATGCCTGTAATCCTAATAATTTGGAAGGTCAAAGCAGGAGGATCACTTGAGCCCAGGAGTTCAAGACAAGCCTGGGCAACAAAGTCACATCCTATCTCTGCAAAAATAAATGACAATAATAATAATAATAGGAAATTGTCTGCACTTAGGTAAAATGAACTAGTTTGAAGCAGGCCAATATTCTTGCTAAGAACAACTTAAAAAGCTAAATAAATTATAAAAATCATATTTTTAAAGTTAGTGAGGAGCTGTGGAAGCATGGGAAAGAAGGTCTAAAATTCCAGTGATGGGAGAATCTTTTTTTTTTTTTTTTTTTGAGATGGAGTCTTGTTGCTCTGTCACCCAGGCTGGAGTGCAGTGGCACAATCTTGGCTCACTGCAACCTCCACCTCAGAGATGGGGAGAATATTTTAAAGGTATTTAGATGACCAGTATCTGTCTTTTCCCTGGGAGTATTTCCTAATTATTGCTTGGGTTAGAGGCTGAAAATTGAGGCCTGACCTGTGTAAAATATTGTTGCTGAGGAACACAGAAGCCAGGACAGCTTTTGGTGTTCACACAGGGCTGGAATAACAACACTAGGAGACTAATTCTCCTAAAAAGTTTCACGCAAGGACCTCAAGCTTAAAGGTGGTATCTCCCCTCAGCATACTTGCTGAATTTTAAAACCGTGCAGGGTAAAAGGCTACAAAGTCAACTAAAAAACTTTGAAAAGCAAAGTGAAATTTCCTACCTTTGGCATTGCTAAAGGGACAAGACCAATAGGCTTTGAAATGAATGCCTTAGAAGACAACATCTGAAAAAACAAGGAAAAATAAGGATAGCAAACTATTAAAATAGCAACCCAGCCTCCACATAATTTAAGATGATGGGCTCCTGATATGGGTTGGATGCTTGTCCCCTCCAAATCTCATGATGAAATGTAAATGTAATTCCCAATGTTGGAAGTTGGGCCCAGTAGGAGGCAACTGGATCATGGGGGCAGATCCCTCATGAATGGTTTAGTACCATCTCCTCGGTAATAAGTGAGTTCACACAAGATCTGGTTGTTGAAAAGTCTGGGACCTGCCCCACCTTGCTCTCTTGCTCCCACTCTTGCCTTGTCATGCACCTGCTCTCCCTTCACTTTCAGCCATGACTAGAAACTTACTAAGCCTCACTATAAGCAGATGCCGGCACCATGCTTCCTATACACTTTGGAGAACCGTAAGCCAATTAAGCTTCTTTTCTTTATAAATTACCCAGTCTCACGTATTCTTTTATAGTAATGCAAACAGACTAATACAGCTCCCTAGCCTATCTGCATAGAAAATGAACTTCCCCTTCCCCCACCCCTCTCCCAACCCGGCAAAATGTACCATTACCTGGTAATGCTTACTTAAGTTTTTTACTACACAATGCCTGGCATTCAATAAAAAATTATGAGACATAAACAAAACAATCAACAGACTTGACCTAACTGACATTTGTAAAACACTCCACCTAACAACAAAACACACATTCTTTTCAACTGCACATGAAGAACACTTACAATGATAGAATATATTCTAGGCCATAAAATAAATCCGAATAAATTTAAAATTATCTCATTACAATGGAATTAAATTAAAAATAACAATGATCTCTGGAAAATCCTCAAATATTTGAAAACTATATAACACACTTATAAATAAACTATAGACCCAGTAAGACATCAGGAAAGAAATTATAAAGTACTCTGAATGGAATGAAAATGGAAACATATCAAAAACTGGAAACGGCCAGGAGTGGAGGCTCACATCTGTATCCCAGCACTCCAGGAGGCCAAGGAAAGAGGATTGCTTGAACTGAGTTCAAGACCAACATGGGCAACACAGTGACATCCTTGTCTTCAGAAAAAATTGTAATAAACTCTGGCCAGGTGTGGTGGCTTACACCTGTAATCCTAGCACTTTGGGAGGCTGAGGCAAGTGGATTGCCTGAGCTCAGGAGTTGACGACCAGCCTGGGCAACATAGTGAAACCCTATCTCTACAAAAAATACAAAAATTAGCCAGGCATGATGGCACGCGCCTGTAATCCCAGCACTTAATAGACTCTGGTGCGAGGATCTCTTGAGCCTGAGACGTCGACACTGTGGTGACCCCGTGATTGGGCCACTGCACTAAAGCCTAGGCAACGGAGTGAGACCCAGTCTCAAAAAAATAAAAATAAAAATAAAAAATTAGCCAGGCATGGTGGCACATGCCTGCAGTCCCAGCTACTCAGGAGGCTGAGGTGGGAGGATCACTTGAGCCTGAGAGGTCAAGGCTGCAATGGGCCATGATCACGATACTGTACTGCCTGAGCAGTAGTGAGACCTTGTCTCAAAAAACAAATAAATAAATTATAAACAATTAAAGGGAAGTTTATAGCATGCTTACATTAGAAAAGAAAAAAGGTCACAAATCAATGACCTCAGCTTCTATCTTAAGAAACCAGAAAAAGAAAACAAATTAAACCCAAAAGTAAGCTGAGGAAAGGAAATAAAGACCAGGGCGGAAATAAGAAAACCACAGGCAGTCAATTAAACTAAAAGTTAACTTTTTAAGAACCTCAATAAAATTAATAAACTTCTAGCCAGACTAATCAGGGAAAAGGGGAGCAGAGACAAATTACTAGTATTCGGAATGATACTAAATCTCTACAGGTTATACAGATATTAGACTCATTACACTTTCTACAGATATTAAAAGAACAATAATAGAGTATTATAAGCAACTTTTTGCAATAAATGCAACAAGTTAAATGAAATGGGTAAGTTCCTTCGAAAACTTATCAGGCATGTGAAGAGACGGAACAATACAACCATATGACCAATAACCAACAGAAAAACAAACAAGATAAACAGACCAATAGATGATGCCGATATTGGAAAAGACAAGCATTTAAATAACTATAATTAGTATGTTCAAGAGAACTGGAGTCTATTACAAGTCTATAAAACAACATCAAAGGAATACTCTAGAACTCAAAACCACAATGTAAAATTAAGAACACAAAAGATTATTTTGACAAAAAGAGAAGATAGTTTTGGCATACTGGAAGGCAGGTCGATAGAAAATATCCAAACAGAGAAAAAAATTTTTTTCAACATGTGGAACATGATAATTAAGTTTAATATATGTGTAATTAGGATCCAAAAAGAAAAAAGGGGCAGAATATATGAAAAGGTGGTAACAGAACTTTCCAAAACTAAAAGGCATCCAGCTAGATTCAAAAAACTCTATAAACATAAAGCAACAAAGAAAACCACATCTGAACACATCAAAGTGCTTTAAAAGTAACACAGAGAGTCTTAAAATTAGCCAAGGAAAAATAAAAGACACATTATCCTCAGCAAGAATATAGCTAATACATTGCCTTCAATAAGACTGGTAGCTGACTTCAACAAAAAGAAAGGAAGACAGAAAGCAACCAAACATTCTTAATGTGTTGAAAGAAAATAACTACCAACTTAGAACTTAATAGCCAGTGAAAACACACTTCAGGCCAGCCACAGTGGCTCATGCCTGTAATCCTAGCACTTTGGGAGGCCAAGGTGGGCAGATCACTTGAGGCCATGAGTTTGGAGACCTGCGTGGCCAACATGGCAAAATCCTATCTCTACTAAAAATACAAAAAATTTAGCTGGGTATGGTAGCACATGCCTGTAATCCCAGCTACTCAGGAGGCTGTGGCATGAGAATCATTTGAACCCAGGAGGCAGAAGCTGCAGTGAGCTCAGATCACGCCACTGCACTCCAGCCTAAGCAACAGAACGAGACTGTCTCAAAAAAACAACAACAACAACAACAAAAAAAACACCAAAAACCACTTCAAAAAAGGTGAAACTGCCGTGCATGGTGGCTCACACCTATACCCAGCACTTTGGGAGGCCAAGGTGGGGGGATCTCTTAAGCCCAGGAGTTCAAGAACAGCCGGGGCAACATGACAAGACCCCGCCTATACAAAAAATTTAAAAATTAGCTGGGCATGGTGGCATGTGCCTGTGGTTCCAGCTACTGAGGAGGCTGAGGTGAAGGATTGCCTGAGCCCAAAAGGTTGAGGCTACAGTGAGCCATGTTCACACCACTACACTCCAGCCTGGGTGCCAGAGTGAGACCTTGTCTCAAAAAAAAAAAAAAAAAAAAAAAAAAAAGGTGAAATTGAGATATTTTCAGAGAAACAAAAATAGAAAAAATCACTGATACTAGGTAGGCCAGTATCAAAATGCATGATATAGGGAAGTGACAGTATTATTATCCTAAAAATTGAAAACAACTTCAATGTCCAACAGAAGATTGATAAGTAAATTATTACACAGAGATGAGAATGTTACATACCTACTAAAAATAATCACATAGCAGAAAAATACTGACATGAAAATATGTTGATGATTCACTGTTAACTGAACAGCTTGCACTGCAGTGGACTACATTAGGAGCCCATAACATCATATAAGTATACATATACTTATGTAATGGCTCAACAAAATGCAGGAAGCAGATAGATAATCAAGAAGATTAACAACAGCACTTTCGGTGGTATGATCTCCAATGATATTAATTTTTTTTTTTTTTTTTTGAGACTGAGTCTTGATCTGTCGCACAGGCTGGAGTGCAATGGCGTGATCTCTGCTCACTGCAACCTCTGCCTCCTGGGTTCAAGCAATTCTCCTGCCTTAGCCTCCCAAGTAGCTGGGATTACAGGCACCCGCCACCATGCCCGGCTAATTTTTGTACTTTTAGTAGAGACAGGGTTTCACCATGTTGGCCAGGCTGGTCTCAAACTCCTGACCTCAAGTGATCCACCCACCTCAGCCTCCGAAAGTGCTGGGATTACAGGTGTGAGCCACTGTGCCCTGCCTAAAATGTAATCTATGCTTTCTTACTGTTTCCCACATTAGGGATGTGCTATTTTTTAATTGGGGGCAAGAGAGGAGGGGAGAGGAGGGGAGGGGAGGGGAGGGGGGAATGGAGAAAGGCAACTCTTTACATTAAACCATATTTTAATACAAATGATAAGTTCTTAGCTAGGCATATGGTCTAACCTTTATTGGTATATCCCCCATGTGTGCTTTTTAATTTTTTTTTGATACCAAAACCTGCCAACATGAATCAACCTGTACTTTCATTTTCCACTATTTGGACCTTGAGAGCTTGCTCGAAGGTTCTAGCAGGGGAGCGCAGCTGCTCGTATACCCTTGACCCAAGACCAGTCCTCCTCTATTTGGGATGGTTGTCCTCTTCAACCAAGCACGCAGCTTCAGCTTCAGGAGGGACGCACGTGGAGTGGAGAGGGAGGAAGGGGACACCTGCCGAGCCAGCCAGATGAGCTGAATCAACCCTGGGGATCAATGGGGTAACATGTCACAGCCAGATAGCCCTCACATTCAATTTTCCACTATTTGGGATGAGAATTAAAAATGTTAAGTACCTGAATGTGACCTCTTTGAAAAAGAAACTTAATCGTCGTCATTATTAATGTAAAAAATGAAAATGTTTCTGAAAAATGAAAAGCAAATTATATCCGAAACAGCATACTTTAAAAGACAAAGTAATTCATAAAATTTCATTTTTCACAAGTGATTTCTGTAGACTTCTAAGACTTAAAATTAACAGAATTACATCTCTGTGAAATATCCAACTAAAGTAATAACTCAGAGTTGAGGCTATAAGAGTAAGTTTAAATAATTCAACATTTGCATAATCAAAAAAATGGAAAAAAACAGGAATCTCGGTATCCACCTGTTTCACAGAAGTTACACCTAATAGGGCTTTTAATAAATGGTTGTAAAGCAACCTGTAAATATAAATGCCATTATGTAATTATAGTCAATTAGTAACAATTATATTGCTCTGACACTTGAGTGTTCTATAAATAATTCATACAACTCCATCTAGAATTTTTGATCCAGAAAAGGAGAAAATGCAACAGCCATTGGTGTAATGCCTACAAGGAACTTAAAAAATATTTTACTTTATGCATCTGTAAAAAACTATAAGGAAACAGATAAACATCAAAAGGTTTAGCTACAGTGCAGAACTTTGACTTTTCCCCCACAATATTGTTTTATTAAAATAGTCACAGTAAATAAATGCTTTATTTGACACAGCACTAGAAGTAAAAATGTGTGGAAGAGGTGACATAATATATATGCTTCAAGATTGAGATAAGAGGAAACAATTTTCTTTTAATATTAACACTGGCTGACATATTTGATGGTAGACAACAGTTAACTGATAGGATTTAATTTCCTAATTTTTCTAGCAATCCTGAAATGATTAAAGAGGCTGTATTATAATTATCAAATAAAACATCAAATGGTTCTTTCCAGCGGGAAAGCTTAAAAAAAACTACTGAAATAGCTATCAGTCTCACAGATGCCTGCTAAAAGAACATAACAACTCCTTACGTTATCAAGAGCTAAGATCTAAGTTTCCTTTCTTAACTAATTAAAAGGTTAAGATACGTATTCTCCCTCAAAATCCCATGCCTCTCCCCCCACCAAAAAAAAAAAAAACAGCCAGAAATAGGCTCATCCTTACAAATGTTGTATGTAATTTTCTTATAAAATCTATCATTTTCCACCTTGTGTTATAATGTCTATGCTTTTCAGTTGGGCATGGTGGCTCATGCCTGTAATCCCAGCACTTTGGGAGGCCGAGGTGGGCGGATCACCTGAGGTCAGCAGTTTGAGACCAGCCCGGCCAACATGGAGAAACACCGTTGTCTACTAAAAATACAAAAATTAGCCGGGTGTGGTGGCAGATACCTGTAATCCCAGCTACTCTTGGAGGGCTAAGGCAGGAGAATCGCTTGAACCAAGGAGGCGGAGGTTGCAGTGAGCTGAGATCACGCCACTGCACTCCAGCCCGGGTGACAGAGAGAGACTCTGTCTCAAATAATAATAATAATAATAATAATAATAATAATAATATTATTATTATTATTATTATTAATGTCTATGCTGTTTTAACCATACTAGATTTCAAAACCACTGAAGGCAGGGTCAATTATACTGCATCTTTCTAGGTATCTCCCATAGTAAATAGTCTTGATCAATACTCTGAACTTTTTGCAAACTCCATCAGCTAAAAAGAATTAAGGTTTGGTAATTCTTTGTAACCTGGTTTAAAACAAACCCTCTGGAACTATTAGAGAACCAGAGGGATGGATGGAGGAGAGGGTAGTGCATATTAGTTGTTTGTTGTCAGTTAAGCAAAAGCCAAACCAAAGAGCCTCTTCTCTCCTTTTCCCTTCAAAAGCTAAATTTTATCCAAGTCAGTATCAGTGTCCCTTAGTTAAGGACAGTCTGCTTAGGTTCACTTCAGAGGAGCTCAAGAGGCTGGTGTAATCTACGAGGCTTTCGTAGGAGTCTGCAAGCAAGTACAGAAGGAAAAAAAATCAAAGTTTAACCCATACACTATCGATCAAGTCAAAAGCCAAAGAAAACCCTAAAACTTGGACTCTAAAGAGTCCTATAAAATTCATGGAATCCAAGCACCTTTTGGGTTTGTTTTGTTTAAAACAGGGTGTCACTCTGTCACCAAGGCTGAACTCCTGGGTTCAAGTGATCCCTCCACCTCAGCCTCCCAATTAGCTGAAACTACGGTGTGCACCACCCCATCTGGCTAATTTTTTTTAAAAAAATTTTGTAGCAAAGAGGTCTCACTATGTTGCCCAGGCTGGTCCTGAAATCCTGGGCTCAAGCCATTCTCCCACCTCGGCCGCTCGAAGTTTACAGTGAATTAAATCTATACCAGATAAAACTCACATCAGTATGACCTCCCTTCAAACTCTGCAAATGCCTCCATAACAATTGGCCCCTCACTAGTGAAAAGATGAGTATGACCTATGGTCTATATCAGATGTTAAGCTTTCTGACAGGCTCCAAGTCATGTCCCTGTCCTGTAGGTAATAACAGAGCCCATACTGGAGGCAAAATGGCAAAGCAGATGATCATTCAAGATGATTCCGTTTTCAAGGCTGAAAAGAACATATTTGCAAATGCACAGAAAAAGATCTACAAGATCATACAGTGGTGTTAACAGTGTTACCCTTCAGTCAAGGGTATACGAGTAGCTGTGCTCCCTAGATTCCTCTGGGGAGGAATGTGAGCTAGAAGTGGATGTAAAGGGGTTGTCACTTATTATATATACACTGTATTAACTTTTTATGAGCATCAATTTACTTCTGTAATTTTAAAAATAAGAGTCCCAGCTACTCGGGAGGCTGAGGCAGGAGAATCTCTTGAACCTGGGAGCCGGAGGTTGCAGTGAGCCAAGATCGTGCCACTGCACTCCGGCCTGGTGACAGAGCAAGACTCCGTCTCCAAAAAAAAAAAAAATTGAAATGTAATTCCATTTTTAAAAAAGATTGAACGGACCCACATGGAATTCAAATGAAAAATAAGTGACACTTTGCAGAAGTCTATTAGAAAAACCTACATATCAAACAGAAATAATATAAGTATCCTATCCTACAAAATAAAAAGGAATACTGGTAATATTACAAAAATGCCCACAGCAACTGCAATCCATTACTCACTATTCACTACTTTCATTACACAATATTAGTCACCAGGGGGAGTTTGAGGGTCCCCTCCCAAAATTATATCTCATCTAACAGCTGCCTGTGCAGTCTTAACCTCATTAAACAGGTTTTCAACAATCCAGTCCTAAAAAAATGTTCATTTTGTACACTTTCATGAGAAACAACCAGACACACACACACACACACACACACACACACACACCCCAATTTACCTTTCACTGGGGTTCATGTTTGATTTCCTCAAAAGAAAGAAAAGTTTCCCAACCTGAAAAGCAAACTAACCTAGACAATCAAGTTTACTAGCACTTTAAGGGAATGTTCACATCCTCCTCATAATTGTTTGTCATGAAACTTTGGGGTTAAGTAAAATTTTACCCATCTATGACTCCTGAAAAAAAGAGGAGGGGGAAACACAAACTACACTCTGAAAGCAGCATAATCCAGCCATAATGCCAAATGTAAACAGTCATATATTTTAGCAAGGCAAGATATAACTAAACATCTTTAAAAGATAAATGCCTGTGACCTCTGCAATCTTAAAAATTAAAGTGTAAATAGTCATAAAAGGTATCCCAAACTTCCTTTTTAGTTGATTTTCCTAAAAAATATGAAAAGCAATCATATTGAAAATGACTCAAATCACCATAAATTAGGCAACAAAAATCACACAAATTATTTGGGGGAGGAGGATTTTTGTTTAATCCAGTTTATGAGTCCATAATACACACAAAAATTTGAAAACATGAAGACATACACATAATACATCTCATTTCCCACCATTCCCTCAGACTATTTCTCCCTCTCCTCTATTGTTAGTTTTCTAAATCCTCCCATAATTTCTTTATATAAAGAGCAAACATAAACTTGTATTATTACACCTCGCCCTTAAGATGTAACACACTATTCACAAAGTACCGCTACACCTTGCTTTTTTCACTTCATAGCAAATTTTTGCAATCTTTGCATGTTAGTACGTAGAAAGCTTCCTTATTCTTTTTTCATAACTGATTACGCCTAGCTTTAGAACATTTTCAGTCTGCTTTCTTCAGGCTAACTTTTTTTTTTTTTACTTTTTTTATTATTATACTTTAAGTTCTAGGGTACATGTGCACAACGTGCAGGTTTGTCACATATGTATAAATGTGCCACGCTGGTGTGCTGCACCCATTAACTCGTCGTTTACATTAGGTATTTCTCCTAATGCTACAGGCTAACCTTTCAAGACATTCTGTTCAGCCAACCACTTATCACAGGAATTAATTTCCTTCCCCCAAGCTTTGAAAACCAATCAGATTTGAGGTGTCCCAAGGGATAAGTTTCAGAGAAAGCAATTCATTATCTAAATTACATCCTTTTAAGAATGTTTATTTTCAAACAGGTAGAGGGGAATATTGCACAATTTTCTCTAATCGCTTAAAGCTACAAATCAGAACGCAATCTTCAAAGTGAAATTACCTTTGATTTGGGGGGATCAGCGTTATAGTCAAATCAACGACTGTAAAAGTTTACTTCTTGTGCTTTTCTTCCACTGTAAAAATTTTTTTATTTTTTAAAGAAGGCTAAAAAGCCTTAAAGTCTAATAGCACGGCATTCTAATAGCAGGAAACCACAATCTGATTTGATCTTTCATCTGCCAGGTCAGAGACTAGGCTTTTATCTTGCAGAATTAGGCTCACCTACCATCAACAAGAGGACCTCTACAAAGCTACAAACACTTTCAAAGAATATAAACTCTGCGGCGCTGCGTGTAGGAAATTACACTCCAGGGGCCAGAGCGCCAGAGCCAACTCCAGAAAACCCAGCTTCACTGGCGGAAAGAAATCTACAAACGCCAGCGGCGGTGACGGGGAACGGGAAGCGCGGGTGGACGGAAGAAGAGAAACCGAGCGCCTCGCCGCCAACCCTCGAACCCGCGCGCGGTCGCTGGAGTCAGACGCTAATAGCCGCGCGCTGCCTAGGAACGGAACCCCGGAACCACCACCACTAACGGAACCAGCCCGCGGCCGGCAACGGCGGCCGTTCGGACTGCGGACTGCGGCACGCGGGCCGGGCGCCGGGAGGGCGGGGGTTCCCCGGAGGAGCTGGCCGCCCCGGCGCCCCATTGGGCGCTGCTCCAAACGTGCCCGAGTGGTGACAGGAATAAAGTGGGTCACAAGGCCTAGCGGGTCCCCAGCGAAAGCTCTCTCGGCACCCGGTCCCCGTCTTTCCCCGCCTCCCAGCTGCTGGAATCGGCCGCAGCTCCGGGCGCCCTCAAGCCGCCCGGCCCCGCCGTGCACCCCACTCCCGCCCCTGCCCCGCAGGTAACCCCAGCTGCCCCAGAGGGCCTCTCAGGCAGGGCGGGCCTCGGCCCGAAGTCCCGGGAAAAGACACACTAGAACGACACGCCAAACTTGGGCTTCAGCTCCCGCCTTCCCCACCCTTGGCCGCCGCCCCCCGGCCCCACACACGCCGCCCCCCGCTCCCTCCCCTTCCCCGCGCCCTCACCGTGTGGCTTGCGGCGGCTCCGGCTTCTTCCCTCCCCCACCCAGGTCTCCCGCTGCGGTGACTCGGAACCACTACCCCGCCTGTGTCCAGGAGGCGCCGCGGCTCCCACCTCCAGCAGCACCTGGGGCTGTGAGTGGCGCCCCCCACCCACCCCCCCAAAAATTCGCCGCTCCTGTGGCCAGCTCCTCCTCCCCCTCCCTTCCCTTCCCCTCCTCCACCAGCCCAGGAGCGCGCATGCGCCGCCAAGGAAGCCAACCGGCACTCGGCAGGCCCTGGGCCCACCGGGCGGGCGCCTCTCACCGGGAGCGCTCGCGGCGGCGGCGGCCAGATTTCCTTCGCGCTCTCGCTCTCCGGGGTTTCCTTTTTTAAACCGGCAGCCGCAAGCCGAGTCCGTGATTGCGCCCCCTCCCGGCGCATGCGTCGTCAGCGACCCCGCGGGCTCAGACGGCCGGCGGAGGCTCTGCGCTCGCCCCTCCCCTCACTCTCCCTTTCCCCAGCGCGGCTCGGTGCGCATGCGACTTGCCCCGTTAGGCAGCACGGAGCCGCGCCAGGGGATCCCGGACGCCCGAAGAGACTCCCGCGCCCCTTGGGCCGAAATCTGGCTCTGCAGGCGCACCGTTCCCTGCCCCGGCCGGGAACGGCGCCGGTTACTAGAAAGCCGGGGAGGCGGGGCCTGGTCGGGTGGAGGGCGCGGCCGGCCGGCAGAGCGCTAGCCTTAGGTCCTGGAGGCTCTTTGGCTTTCCCCCCGTATGCCGGGGGCTAGGAGGAGGAAGAAGAGCTTCCTGCCGGATGAGGGATCCAGAGGCCAGAAAAGGAACCCGCTCTCCCTTCCAAAGCAAAACACTGCCGACGCCAGCTTAGATTTTTCGGGTGTTGGCAGGAGACTTTTTCCCCCAGTGGCATCATTCGTGTTTCCTCTCCTGGTGCTGGGAGAGAAGAGTTGCAAAGGCGCCTGGACCGCCAGTAACATCTTCTCCCATCTCCTGAGGGAGCGCGGCTTGGGTTGCTTCTTCTTGGTGGGTGGGCCTGGGGAGACAGGGCATGCGCCCTCGGCCAGAGGAGGGAAGCGAAAGGAGGTCGGGATTTATTTGCTCATTTGGAGATTTTTCCCTTGCCCTTTTATTAAAAATCAAGTGACAGTGTAATGGAAGATGGAGAATGAAGCATCAGAAATAAACCAGGACCCTAATTTGCATGGATTTCCTCGTTGGAACAACGTGTGACTACTACTTATCTTCGGGAAATTACTTATCTTGATGCGTTAAGGCACATTTGGTCCACATGAGAAAGCACATTTCAGTGCTTCTACTGGAAAAGAGATCTTTACAGTCTTAATTCCTAGTAATTCCTATGTTTTAATGAATATCTTTTGGATTTGAAATAAAAGCCATCTTTTTCTTTCAAAAAATGCACTTTTCTGGCCGTAAAATCCTCCCTTTAAAGTAACAGTCACCTCAGTAAACATTTTCAATTCTTGCTGTATGCTCTGGGCAAAAGAACATCAAACTGAAGCACTTATTCAGATCCTTGATCCTGCACCTAAGGATTTTTCTTTCAGGAGTGGGAAAACATGATTTGTTAATTTACCCCATCATATAGCAGAAGATATTTTGGTCGACATTTTTGCCTGTTCAGCATTCATTCCCTATTCTGATAATTTCTTTTGAAGAACTATCATTTATCCACTCTCAGTCCATATGGTCTGAGCAGGACACAAGGGGAAGGCATATTTGAGTTTAATCCTCGGTTGCAAACTACGGTTCCTAAGAAGGGTGTTACGTCTTTACCAATGGGTTTAAATCTGGGAGAATGGAGACCTGGAGCCATCTTTCCACACGTGAATTCTGAGAAAGAAGGCAACACGGAAAAAAAGCAGATTTGAAGACAGGTTTGGCCTAAAGACATGTTTGAGGCCTGGAAACAAATGTAGATTAGATTCCTCTGGAAATTTCGTTAAACCAGTCAGTAAATTCTTGCATCTGTTTTATTGCTTAAACCAGTGAGAGGTTTTCTTTCACATGTAATCAAGAGTCCCGACTGACAAGAGGTAGGTAGCAAGACGGAGGCAAAGTTATTAATACTGATAAGGTAGGTTGCAGCCAGACAAGAGAGGGCTTGAATGCTTTCCCTAGGATGGATTTTTGAATTTTATTCTAGAGACACTGATCCCTCCTTATATTCCCCATCATCTAGAACATATTATCTTCAAAATACCTTTGCCCTTTTTAATGATTTCATTGTCCTCTCAGTCACCAAGATCAAACCATGTCCATCTTTGACTCCTCCCTCTTTCACTGTATTTAATTATTTACCAAGACCTGTTGATAATCCCCCGTTTTTCTGCTCAGTCCTCTCTCACTGCTTGAACATTTCCCATGGTTCAGTTCACAGCTTCTCCTTTCTCCCACATTCTCTCCAAGAAAAGAAAAAATGTACTGGATATGTCTTTTTTTTGAGACAGATTTTTTGAGACAGAGTCTTGCTCTGTTGCCCAGCTGGAGTACAGTGGCATGATCTCAGCTCACTGAAACCTCTGCCTCCCGGGTTCAAGCAATTCTTGTGCCTCAGCCTTCCAAGTAGCTGTGATTACAGACTCCCACCACCACACCAGCTAATTTTTGTATTTTTAGTAGAGATGGGGTTCCACCATGTTGGCCAGGCTGGTCTTGAACTCCTGGCCTCAAGTGATCCACCCACCTCAGCCACCCAAAGTGCTGGGATTAACAGGCGCGAGCCACTGTACCCAGCCTGTATTGGATATTTCCAATAGCTTTTCCAACTTCCAGATCCCACATTTCCATAAAACAAAAATCCTGCCTCATAATTTCATAGCTCCTAAATTTATATTCCATAGCCTTAAACATAATTTCAGATATTCTGTTCACCCTTTCTTGTGAACCTTGCTATCATTTAAACTGAGTATTTCCAACTCCTCTGTCAACTGATTTCCCCCAGTTGGTAGGCAACGTATCATAGTGGTTAAGAGTACAAAATTAGGATCTTAACTGCCTGGATTTAAATCATAGCTTCACCACTAATATTCTGCATGACTTTAAGCAAGTTATTTCTCTGTTCTTTAATTTCGTCATCTTTAAAATGGGATAATTACAATCCTATCTCATAGCTTAACCGAGACAGTGTGTGTGTCTGTGTGTGTGTAATTTTATCTGGTACATAAGAAATCCCATAGAAATGTTGGCTATTCTTGTCAATGATGTTCCTTTTTGGGTAATTTTCATGTCTCTTTTGCTCTAATTCTTGCCCTAACTCCTATGTCCCATCAGTCACAAAGTCATATCTGTTCTTTCATAGTAACTCATCCATTCATTGACATTCCTAGTTTTACTACCATACTTTAAGGTGAATTGGAGAACAGGAAGCTTTAAGATATGCTTAATAGAGAATATAAGGTTAAGTATTTTTTTAAAGCTTGCATAGTTTATTCAGTTACTCATATTCTTTCTAATCCCTTTAAAATGGAACTACAAAACCCTGCCTCATAGTTGAGGTAGTATTATAGACTTTGTGGTCAAAACTCTTGGCTTAAATTCTGACTCATGCTGAGAGATAGTGAGCAAATCAAGTAATTCCTCTGAGCTTCAGGTACTTATCTGTAAAGTTACAAGACTAGGCATTTCAGAGAACTGTGATGATCAAAGGTAAATTAAACTGCTACATAAAGGCTAGGTGGTGACGATGGTGGTTGTAAATCTTTACAATTTCTTGTTGGAACCCTAAGAATAGTTGAAATGACTCACAGATTTTTAACTCCAGCCTTCACTTCTCCCTTGGGCTCTATACACACGTCTGTTTATCTACCTGATGTCTCTTCTTCTGTATCACAAATATCTTGGATGCTTCTTTCAATCTATTCTCCACAGAGCAGTCAAATTATTTTGAAAATATAAGTGAAGTCACATTATTTTCTTCTAAAACCCCTTTTGTCATTTCCCATTACATACAAATTCCTAATTATGGTCACAATAACCTGTTTGATCTGGCCCCTCCCTACCTCTCCAACCTCATGTCTTACCATTTTTTTCCTTTTCCTGTGACACTCCAACCCAGAAACTGCCTTTCATTTCTTTGCTAATTTATCTCTGCTCTCAGGCTTTCATGCATGCTGTGCCCTTGCCTGGACCCCTCCTACCTTTTCTCATGGCTGGCTCCTTCTCAACCATCACATCTCAAAGATCTAACTACCCTATTTAAGTAGGTCTCCCTCCAACACCCCACCTGCCCCCCCACCACCAATAATATCCAAAGTTATTCTCTTCTGTTGTGTCCAGTTTCCCCCATAATACTTAAGTTTAAATTATGTATATATTAGTTATATGTATATATGATATTTGTTTTCTTATTAACTATTTTCCCTACCACCACAAGATAAACTCCAGAAGGGCGAGAACCATGTGTTTTCTTTGCCACTATACGTGTAGCATCCATTTCAATACCTCAGGTGAGCTGGGTAGAGTGACACGTACATGTAGTTCCAGCTGAGCCGGGAGGATTGCTTGAGCCCAGGAGTTAAGGAACAGCCTGGGCAATGTAGCAAGACCCCATCACTAAAATAAATTAATTAAAATTTAAAAATAAAAACCAGGTTGGGTGTGGTACCTCAAGTCTGTAATCCCAGCACTTTGGGAGGCCAAGGCAGGCAGATCACTTGAGGTCAGGAGTTTGAGACCAGCCTGGCCAACATGGTGAAACCCTGTCTCTACTAAAAAATACAAAAAAATTCGCCAGGTGTGGTGGTGCATGTCTATAGTCTGAGGCTTAGGCAGGAAAATCACTTGAACCTGGGAGGCAGTATCTGCAGTGAGCCCAGTTCGTGCTGCTGCACTCCAGCCTGGGTGACAGAGCAAGAGTCAGTCGAGGCAGGATAATCACTTGAACCTGGGAGGCAGAGGCTGCAGTAAGCCCAGATCGTGCTGCTGCACTCCACCCTGGGTGACAGAGCAAGTCTGTCTCAAACAAACAAAACCACCAATGCCTGAGGTGAATGAATGATTTAATGAGTGAATGAAATGCCAGAAAGATGATTTTTAGAATCATCTTTGTCCCAAATTATGACTGTAGGCAGATTATTGTCAAGGGGTAGCCTTAGTAATGTGCATGAAAGTGTGTCCGGAATTTATTCCTTCCGGTGGGTTCCTGGTCTCACTGACTTCAAGAATGAAACCATGGACCCTTGCAGTGAGTGTTACAGCTCTTAAAGATGGTGTGTCTGGAGTTTGTTCCTTCAGATGTTCAGATGTGTCCAGAATTTCTTCCTTCCAGTGGGTTTGTGGTCTTGCTGACTTCAGGAGTGAAGCCGCAGACTTTTACAGTGAGTGTTACAGCTCTTAAAGGTGGTGTGTCCGCAGTTTGTTCCTCCTGGTGGGTTCATGGTCTCGCTCACTTCAGGAATGAAGCTGCAGACCCCCACAGTGAGTGTTACAGCTCATAAAGGTAGTGTGGACCCAAACAGTGAGCAGCAGCAAGAGTTATTGTTAAGAGTGAAAGAACAAACCTTCCGCAGTGTAGAAGGGGGGGCCGAGCAGGTTGCTGCTGCTGGATTGGGTGCCAGCTTTTATTCCCTTATTTGGCCCCGCCCACATCCTGCTGATTGGTCCATTTTACAGAGCACTGATTGGTCCATTTTACAGAATGCTGATTGGTCCATTTTACAGAGTGCTGATGGTGCGTTTACAATCCTTTAGACACAGAGTGCTTTAGACATAGAGTGCTGATTGGTGTGTTTACAATCCTTCTTAGCTAGACACAGAATGCTGATTGGTGCGTTTTTACAGAGTGCTGACTGGTGCATTTACAATCCTTTAGCTAGACACAGAGCGCTGATTAGTGCATTTACAATCCTTTAGCTAGACACAAAAATTCTCCAAGTCCCCACCCAACCCAGAAGCCCAGCTGGCTTCACCTCTCAAAAGTACAAAAGAGAAGCAAACTAAAATCAGTCAGTGAAATATGATGTGACTAATACCGTTCTAGTGATTGAATACTTGAGAACCAGCAAGAATATGTAACACTAATAGATACAGCTAATACTTGTAAAAAAGATGCTGACTGAAATCTAAAATAGGGTACAAGTGCATGAAGTACCTCAACTTCTAAACAGCTGCCAACATTTGGGGTCAGATACCCACTCCTTCACCCAAGGATAAAAGTTGGACAAAAAGGGATCTACCATAGCCAAAACCTCCAACTCTCTACCCTCAGACCACATAAGTTCAACACTTGGCAAGAGGAAAAACACCTGACAGAATCACTGAAGCCAGGTTCCTGGGGTGTACTATGGTTTTTCCTTTCCTTTTTATGCCTCACCCTATCCCAAGTGAACAAGACTCCAACAGAATCAGCTAGGTGACTATGAGGGAGGGAGAGTGGCATCTCATTCACTATCAAACTTGCTGATATTGCCTTGTACCTACATGAAACAGGAAAAGAGTTGGAGAAATAGCTGGCCAGGGAGTGGGCTGAAATAAAGCAATCTGCAACATCTACCATGTGGTATAGCAAGGATACCGAGGATGTGTAAGTTTCTCATGGGTCAATCGATGCTGCGTAGAAAATGCTGTCCAGGTTTGAACTATCTTGATCCTGAAGGGGGAAAGAAATTCTAGCAGCAAGAGGCTGGATTTACTTCTGGGAGAGGAAACTAAGAGAGTTAGCAGAGATAGAGCTAAGACTGCTCCATCGCCTGTGTTGATCGAGGGACTGTGCAGTTGGGAAGCTGTTTCAGAGTTTCTAGGAGAACTCAATGTGCCCCATTAAAGAGTGAACATTTGGATGCAGTATTCATTGTACAGTTAAGGAAAATTTATCCCTTTCATCCCTATTCTCTCTCCCAGTCCCCAACACTAGAGGGATAGGCCCTGAAAGTGTTACTGATAGAGGGTCTTGACTGCAAGGTGTCCAAGTTCTTTGCGTTTTGAACTAAGAATTGGACAAAACGCCCCGCAAAGAAAGAATAAAGCAACTAAAGAACGAAAGCAGGGATTTATTGAAAATGAAAGTACACTTCACAGTGTGGGAGCCGGCGTGAGTAGTGGCTCAGAATCTTCTCCGGTCCAAATACCCGCTAGAGGCTTCCCATTGGCCACTTCATTTCATGAAGTGGTGGCTTGCAATTGGTCTGAGTGGTTGCCAAAAGCAAGCAATCAGAGGCTAAGGTGAAGTTACAAAGTTGCAAACGAACTCTCAGCCAGCAAGCAGTGTGATTGGTTGCAGACAGCCAATTTCCCATCTGCCACGCACAGAAGGTGGGGGTTTGCAAAGTAGCCTCTGGTCCTTTTGTTACTTAGGCATGGCAAGTTAGGGTTTTCCTTTAAATCTGGCTCTAAGAAGTTGGAGTGAAACAGCCTTAGGTTCCCTGCCTCCAGACCTTATTCTCCTGCCTCAAAAGGAGAGGGAAAAACTGGTTAAAAACCCCACCTTTCATCTTCAGAGTTGCTTAAGTCACGAGTTCAGCCAGAGAATGTTTGCTTGGAACTGACACTGGAGTGTTCAACTAGACAGACTTAATAACCCACACTGTGGGATGGGTAAAAGAAGTTGCTCAGGTTGTCTTTAAAGGATTTGCTGTGTAGTGCTTCTCGAATTTTAATGTGCGTGTCACCTGGAGATCTCATTAAAATGAAAATTATGATTCAGTTAGTCTGGGATGGGGCCAGAGATTCTGCATTTCTAACAAGCTCCTTAGGAATGCTGCTGATTCTAGGACCACATTTACCACATTTTGACAAAAAAGGCACTATAGAGAAGGGAGATTCAATAGAGCACACTTGGCAAAAATAGACAAAAATATTAGGATAAAATATCAATTTTTATAGATCAAAAAATGACTGAATATTGGCAATTAAAAAAACTAACTTTGTACCCCATTGAATATTCATTCAGTAAAATGGGGAACAATATTACATATTAAATAATTTCTGCATATCCTGACAAATATTTTTACCCTAGTCAAATGAGAATGTATACATGAAGCACTGTATGGAAGTAGTAGTGACCTGTGTTGGTAGGCATCAATCAGTCCTTGCTAAAAGAATGTGTGTGTGCACTTTGCTAAAGAGCGGGGCTGAAATCACAAGCAGTCAGTTCTAACATGATATAATTTTATTATTTTTACAAATGTCAAAGTCTCCAGAACTGTTTGTGGGTAAAAACTTACTGCCACCTGGTGGATCTGAGTTAAGACAAAGGGAAATAGATATCTTTTTTAAGCTCTCCTAAATACTATTATTATTTCCTTTGTTCTTTTAACTTTAAAAAGAAAACAAATATGTATTTACTTTTTAAAAGACTACATTTGGGGGAATTTCTGCATTTGGTTTCAATTGGAGGGGAAAATAATGTATATGAATGTTATTTTGATAAATATGGTTATATGCATTAGATGTTATATGCATTATAGGCATTAGAGTTACATTGTAACTTTAGAAGATGGCTCTTCCTTTCATTTCCACGGCTGTTTTTATCCTGAATAGTAACTTATCCATCCATTTCTGGAAGGTTCAGGAATTGGATAAATAAAACTAGATAATTACCTGAAGTGTGTGTAATGCTGTAATAAAGACCACTGTGTGTGACCTCTCTGAACTTTCCTCCATCTAGTCCCAAGATGTATCTCAGAAGAATTTTCCTAATCCTTCCCAGAATTAGATCAATTGATTTCACCTGGTGAAATAAATTCTCATTACCTTACTCAAATGTGTATTTAACTTTCCTTCCACTTCATGATTCTCTGTAGCCTCTAAGATCCCTAAACCCCCACCAATAGCAAGAAAGAGCCTTTTCTTGACTCAATGTTCAACTGCCTCAATTCTCACCAATTTATTTTTGTAATCTAGGCATTTAAACCTAGTCTAGATTCTCTTACAAATATCAGTGAACATCCATAATGAGAATTATGGATCATGAATACAAACAAAGTAGAAAAAAATCTGTTACTGAACTATTATATGCTGGATTTACCAACCTTTCCTCTAAAAGTGATGTTCATTATTATGCCAAGACGAAACATCCTATAGGCCTTCTGCAGTGTACTAATGTATATTTTCTCATGATGAATTCTTCTGTGATTACTGTTAAAATATAAGTCATCCTACAATATATTTTTCTCACCTCTGCTCAGGATTTAGAAACTTACATGGTGTAGTGTTCTAATGATTCTATACTTTAACTATTAATGAGAATACTTAGTAATTTTCTAACTTAATAGTAACTACTCAGAACGATAATAATGAATAGAGATGTTTTTTATGTACTTTTCAGAATCTATTAATTGCATTATGCTATTAAGTGGTTAATGTTTTAATAGGTAAGGGATTCCAAAGAAAAAGCATTATGGCCATAAATTTAAAACTTTTTACTTAAGTCTCTAGATTTTAAAATGTGTTGACTTAAATAAAATTTCATGGTTTTCTTACATTGCTTTAATTTGTAGTTCTCTTTGGAAGTGAGTAAGCAAGAAAGGTCTTGTAACATTTGTGTTTTTGTCCAACATGTGTTAGAAAAAGGATAAACCACAGAAAAATACCAAAGGCTTAACACAAATTCTGTTTTTTTGTTTTGTTTTGTTTTGTTTTGAGATGGAGTTACGCTCTTGTTGCCCAGGCTAGAGTGCAATGACGTGATATCGGCTCACCACAACCTCTGCCTCCTGGGTTCAAGCGATTCTTCTGCCTCAGTCTCCCAAATAGCTGGGATTATAGGCACGTGCCAAGACACCCAGCTAATTTTTGTATTTTTAGTAGAGACGGGGGTTTCTCCATGTTGGTCAGGCTGGTCTTGAACTCCCGACCTCAGGTGATCTGCCCGCTTTGGCCTCCCAAAGTGCTGGGATTACAGGCGTGAGTCACGACGCCTGGCCGCCAAATACTATTTTTTTCAGAGGCAATGAATATTCTGAAATGCCTGGAAATTTTTAAAATGACATATATGCCATAATTCTAATATAAAAATGAAAATAAAATAAATCTATTTATGACTTTTCTGATCCCTAATATAAAAGCAGTCATAAGTAAAACATTCAGTACACATATACTAAAAGCTATTTATTGAATATTTCTCTCTATTTGGTATCATTATCACTGTTGGAGCTATCACTGTCATCATGAATAGAAGTGTTTCTAATTGAAGATACCATCATATCTACCATGTCTTTTCTGGGGTTTTCTTCCAAATCAGTCTGTATTGCTCCAACTTCTGCTAGCTTCCATTCAAGTTCTGTAATAAATAACCCATCATTCAGTTAAAAATCTTGAAAAAATGAATAATTTTTCATCTATATGAAACAAGAGTTGACTCTTAGTAATATTACCATGGAAATGATGATATATTTATTTATAGGTTTTTTTTTCTTTTTTGAGACAGAGTCTCCCTCTGTCACCCAGGCTAGAGTGCAGTGGCACAATCTTGGCTCACTGCAACCTCCACCTCCCAGGTTCAAGTGATTCTCATGCCTCAGCCTCCTGAGTAGCTGCAATTACAGGTGCACGCCACCACACCCAGCTAAGTTTTGTTATTTTTTTAAGTAGAGTCAGGGTTTCACCATGTTGGCCAGGCTGGTCTCGAACTCCTGACCTCAAGTGATCCCCCTACCTTGGCCTCCCAAAGTGCTGGGATTACAGGCGTGAGCCACCACGCCCAGCCTGATGATATCTTTAGAACCGGGTGACAGTAAAAGTGCTACAATATCAAAATACACATTGGATACAGCAAAGTTATACTGAAAGGGAGAAATTATGGTTAAACTGGGTCTTAGTCTGTTTTGTGATAACAGAATACCTGTGACTTGAGTAATTTATAAAGAACAGAGATTTATTTCTTATACTTCCGGAGGCTGGGAAGTACATGGTTGAGGGGCCTGCATCAGGTGAGGGCCTTCTTGCTGAAGTTATCCCATGGCAGAATTCAAGTGAGTTAGAGAAGGTGAGTGAGAGAGAGCAAGACAGGGCTGAACTCACTTTTAAAACAAACCCATTCTCATGACAACAACTCCATTTCTGCAATAATGACATTAATCCATTCATGAGGGCAGAGACCTCATGACCTAATCACCTCTTAAGGTCCCACTTCTCAACACTGTTTTACTGGGGATTACTAATTTTGGGGGACACATTCAAATCATACCATTCCACCCCAGCCCCCAAAATTCATGTCCTCTCACATGCAAAAGACATACATTCTATCCCAGTAGCCCCCAAAGTCTCAACTTGTTCCAACATCAACTCAAAGGTCCAGAGTCTCATCTAAATCAGATATAGGTAAGACTCAAGACACAATTTATACTGAGGCACATTTCCCTCCAGCTGTGAGCCTATAAAATTAAACAAGTTGGCCGAGCGTGGTGGCTCACACCTGTAATCGCAGCACTTCGAAAGGCTGAGGAGGGCGGATCACCTGAGGTAAGGAGTTCAAGACCAGCCTGGCCAACATTGTGAAACTCCATCTCTACTAAAAATACAAAAAAAAAAAAAAAAAAAATTAGCTGGGCGTGGTGGCAGGCACCTGTAATCCCAGCTACTCAGGAGGCTGAGGCAGGAGAATCGCTTGAACCCAGGAGGCAGAGGTTGTAGTGGGCCGAGATCGAGATCGCGCCATTGCACTCCAGTTGGGCAACAGTGCAAGACTCCGTCTCAAAAAAAAAAAAAAAAGAATGAAGTGAAATTTTAATAAATGGTGTTGAAACAATTGCATTTTCTTACAGAAAAAAAGTAGACACATTCCTGATATGGTTTGGCTATGTCCTCACCCTAATCTCACCTTGAACAATAGTTCTTATAATCCCCACGTGTTGTGGGTGGGAGGTAATTGAATTATGGGGGTTGTTACCTCCATGCTGTTCTCTTGATACTGAGTGAGTTCTCATAAGATCTGATGGTTTTATAAGGGGCTTTTTCCCCACTTCACTTAGCTCTCATTCTTCTCCTTCCTGCTGCCATGTGAAGAAGAACACGTTTGCTTCCCATTCTGCCATGATTGTAAGTTTGCTGAAGCCTCCCCAGCCATGCTGAACTGTGAGTCAATTAAACCTCTTTCCTTTATAAATTACCCAGTCTCAGGTATGTCTTTATTAGCAGCGTGAAAATAGACTAATACAATACCTTACATCAAATGATACACAAAAGCCCAATGTTATTCAAGACCTAAGCTCAAAAATGAAACTTTAAAACTCTTAGAAGAAAGTATAGGAGAATATATTTTTCACCTTGGGAATACAGAAAGCTTTTCAAAAGAAAGCACGAAACATGCAAAGTAAAGAAAAAGATTAATAATTTTCACTATGCCAAATCATAACTTTTATCTGACAATTGAAATGATAAGCCATAACTGGTGAGAATATATTAGTAATACTATAAAAATAGTATCCAGAACTTTACATACACATTCATGCACACATACCCACTCTTATAAATCAATGAAACAACATATGCACACACACGCACTCTTATAAATCAATGAAAAAACACAAATGACAAAATGGACAAAGTATATAAACAGGAGAGGAAATCAGAATGACCAATGCATATGAAAAAATCCATAACCTCACTTGTAATCAGGGAAATCCACATTTAAACAATGAAATGATACCAACTTCATATCCATCAGATTGACCAAAAAACCAATAGTCTAAAATTAACAAGAACTGGTGAAGATGTGGGTATATCTTCAAACACCGATGGAAGGATAAATTGATACTTTCATTTACAGAGCAATCTATCAACTATCAAGTGAAGTTGAAAATGTGTATACCTTATGATCCCACAATTCTCCATATATCCTTGAGAAAATTTTTACAGGTGGGCACAACAATGGTCACAGCAGAATTGTTCATAATGGGAAAATTGGAAACTCACATTTCACACAGTAGGGGAATGATAAATTGAGGAATAGCTGATTATAGAATGCTAGACAGGAGATAAAGTTATTGAATCAGACATATATGAAATAAGAGATTCTGAATACTATGGTTGAGATTTTTAAAAAAGCAAGTTGCAGAATGATACTACAATATAATGCCCTTTATTAAATACTTTCAATTTTGCAATTAATTATTCCTTCTATTTCTATAGATATACTTAAGTTAAAGCATAACAAGAAGACCAGATAGTTCTTTTTAAAATTAAAAATAGAATTACCATATCATCTAGCAATTCCATTTCTGTGTATATTCCCAGAAGAATTAAAAACGGAGATGAGCATATTATTTGTACACACATGTTCATAACAGCATTATTCACAGTACCCAAAAGGTGAAAACAACCTAGGTGTCCATTAACAGATGAAGGGATACACAAGATATACTTAAAAAGGAAAAAAATTCTGATAACATGCTACCACATGGATGAAACTTGAGGACATTATGCTAAGTGGAATAAGTCAGTCACAAAGGACAAATACTATATGATTCCACTTATATGAGGTATCTAGAGCTGTCAAATTCATAGAGACAGAATCTAAAAAGGTGATTGCCTGGGCTGAAGCAAATGGAGACTGAGGAGTTTTTAACGAGTACAGAGTTTGTTATGTAAGATGAAAAAACTTCTGGCGATGGATGATGGTGATGGAATGTGAATGTGCTTAATTCCACTGAACTGTATGCTTAAAAATAGTTAAGATGGTAAATGTTATGTTATGCATATTCTACTACAATGTTTAAAATATACCAATAAATTTCATTGATATCTGTCTCAAAAAAAAAGGGGGGGGGGACGAGATACACACTAAATTCGTGATAGTTTTTGCCCCTAAGGAAGCAGGGAGGGGAACAGGACTAAGTATGGAAATACAGGTAACTTCAACTTTATCTGCAATGTGTTTTTAAAAGATAAGCAAACAGGCCAGGCTTGGTGGCTCATGCTTGTAATCCCAGCACTTTGGGAGTCAAATGCGGGAGGATCACTTAAGCCTAGGAGTTTGAGACCAGCCTGGGCAATAAAGTGAGACCCCATCTCTACTATAAAATTTTTCTTAAAAAATAGTTAGGTGTGATGGCAGGCACCTGTAGTCCCAGCTACTCAGGAGGCTAAAGTGGGAGGATTACTTGAGCCTGAGAAGTCAAGGTTGCAAGTGAGCCATAATTGTGCCACTGCACTCCAGCCTGGGTGACAGAGTGAGATGCTATCTCAAAAAAATAGCTGAAGCAAGCATAAACAAATGTTCACATTTGTTACTTTTGGTAATTACTATGGTCTTGAATGTTTATGTCTCCCCAAAATTCATATGTTGAAATCCTAATGCCCAAGGTGATGGTATTAAGAGGTGGGGACTTTGGGAGTGGTTAGACCATGAGGGCAGAGAACTCATCAATGAAAGAGTGAACAGAGAGGCCAAAAGGAGCTTGTTTGCCCCTTCCACCACGTAAGGTCAATGAAGAGGTCACCATCTATGAAGAACAGGCCCTCAGAAAACACCAAATCTGCTGGCGCCTTGATCTGGGACTTCCCAGCCTCCAGAACTGTGAGACATTAATATAAAGTTTCTTGTTTATAAGCCACCCAGTTTACAGTATTTTTATTATAGCATCCCAAACAGAGAAGACAATAATGATTTCATGAATGCTTACTATATTATTATTCTATGTATTCTTTTATGTACTCTTATGTTGTTAATTTTTTTAATTAAAAAGAAAAGGTCCAAGCTACAAAAAACAAGGTGGTGAAACAAGGAAAGGCCTTAGAAGATTAAAAGAAAAATGGGAAAATTCTGAAACAAAGTATCAGAGGTCTCGGTAAGGGCAAAAACAGCTTTGGGGGACTGACAGAGTCAAAGAATACCTATTGAAAACAACCAGCCAGGGGCAGAGGCTCACGTCCGTAATCCCATCACTTTTGGAGGCTGAGGCGGGCGGATCTCCTGAGATCAGGAGTTCAAGACCAGCCTGGCCAACAGGGCGAACCCCCATCTCTACTAAAAATTACAAAAATTAGCCAGGTGTGGTGGTGGCCACCTGTAATCCCAGCTACTCGGGAGGCTGAGGCAGGGAGAATTGCTTGAACCAGGGAGGCAGAGGTTGCAGTGAGCCAAGGTCATGCCACTGCACTCTAGCCTGAGTGACAGAGCAAGGTTCTGTCTCAAAAACAAACAAACAAACAAACAAAAAACAAAAACCGAAAACAGCCACTCATGATGACTTTAACACAATGGTGAGAGAAAATGATTTTTAGTTTTGTAAAATCGAGTTAAAGCAGTGCCAAAAAATGAATATATCAAAGAGATGACCTTAGGAAGTAAAAACAATTAAAGAAGATAAAAATAGAAAGTCTTGTGTTGTGTGCTAAGAAAAATAAAGTAATAGGAGGCATGGTCCATGCACCTTTTAGGAAGATAAAATTCAAAGGGAATTGATTCATCAACAAAATTAGATATCATGCTAATAAGTGAAAAGAAAGATGCATTGAGAATATACACTACAGAAATTCAGTAGAGAAGAAAAAGATTACGAATTGGTCCAATATTACATAATGCAGTAAATAAAAATTGAACAGACTCATGAAGGAATAAACTTTGGATTTGGATAATAGAGAAAGGTAGAATACATTAGGTACAAGCAGAGAATGTGTAAAAAAAGTGTGATGGCACAAATGAGTAATGTCTATTTGTGGGTTGTGGCTGAAGACCAGCCTAACAGGAACAGAAACTAGCAAGCACTGAGAAATATAGTTGGAGAGGTGGGTGGAGATTCTAAAGGAGAAGATTCTAAATTTTTAATTTACTTGAGACAGGGAACTATTAAGGATTTTAAGCAAGGGGGTGTTATTAGAGTATTACTATAGGAAAATTAATCTGGAGGCATATAAAAAGAGACTAGAAGCAAGGAAAAAACCTTGGTACTAAGGAAGTAAGCTTTCAGGATGCTTGTTAGTTTGCAGATGTTTTCACCTATCATTTTTATAAACAAAATTTGTAACATTACCTTCCAGCTTGAGATTTATCCCTCCACATTCTATAATTCCAATGAATTTGGCTTCTATCTGACCATTTTTATACACAAAAATTGTTGGTAAACAATTGTCATGGTAGTGTTGAATACAGCTATTCACGATGGCTTTAACAAATTTAGTTTCTGGAAACTTTCTTGCTAGAAGACTAAGATGCTGGTTAACCAACAAACACATTGGGATGCTAAAAAGAGAAACAGTACACACAATCTTTAATAAATGGGCTACTCATCTCAGTCTAATGAAATAAGTAAAATATCGCCATGGCAAAAATATATCTTAGATTAATATAAAAGCACATTATTATCATCCTCTATTGTTACCTTTAGCAATGAAGAACTGTATGTAGAGTCCTCTGGTTTTTATTGCAAGCACCATTATAACCCGGGAATGAAGCTAGCTACCATGGCAAGCTGATGCTTAACTTAGGGAAACTACATTCAACTGAGCATCAGTTTGGTTCAAGCAGGTACCCAGTTTGTAGAAAAAAAAAAAAAAAACAGGACACTTCTAGGAAATCCTTTGCAGTTCTGAGTTGAAACAAAAGGATCCCAACCCTTGCTGCCATCATGAGCTTCTTTCCATGTAATGAGTTTACCATATCCAGAACTGTCTTTCCTGACTCCAACAAACTTCTTCCAGTCTTTGGAATCCCACTCCATGCCACATCCTGGTGGCCCATTATCCAGAACTATTCCTTACCAGAAATTTAATATTGATTGGAAGTGTGACCACAACCTCAGCTCTTCCTGCTTTATCACTTAATTCTCATCACACTCCTTGATCGATTAGTCCCTTTTCTCCCAGTTTATCCAACTTTCAAGTGAATCCCTTCACCTCTACTTTATTCCACATTCCTTCCACCTCCCTTGGGATCTTTGTTGGTTATTCTGCTTCCCTCTTTTCCTGTTTTCTCATCTTTCCTTCTCCAAAGACTCTTTCTCCATTTTACATAAACATATTCAATTTGAGCCGGGTGCAGTGGCTCAAGCCTATAATCCCGGCACTTTGGGAGGCCAAGATAGACAGATCATTTGAGGTCAGGAGTTCGAGACCAGCCTGGCCAACATGGTGAAACCCTGTCTCTACTAAAAAATGCAAGGTTTTAGGGGCCAAGGGAAAACTTTGCCCTCCAAAGGAAGGTTCACTGAAAGATCAACTAACAAAAGGCAAATTAATTGGAGAAAAGGCACACAAGTTTATTAACATGTACATGAGAGAGGAAACACAAAGTGATTACCCAAACCCTCCAATGGGGGACAGAAGCTTATATGCCATCTTGAGGCTACAGAAAGAATGGAGGCTCTGGCATGGCCAAAAACATGTTATTGGGGTAAATCAGGTTACAGTGACAAGACAGGCTATGGGAGGCAGAGAAGAGGAGGCCTGGATAGCAAAAGTGGTGTTGTTATGTAGATGAAACCTTACAGGTAGCAGCCCTCAAAGAGAATAGATGGTAAATGTTTCTTTTAGACCTTTCAAGGCATCAGATTCTCAGTTAACTTTGGTCCTAAATCAGACAAGGGAAGGCCCTCAGAGAAGGCCTGACTGCATGAATGCAGATTTTCTCTACAGTTGCAAATCCCCTCCACAAAAGACAGCTTTACGGGGTTACTTCAGTTTTGCTGGCTCTCTGAACACCCATCTCAAAATATGTCAAGAAAGTATATCTTAGGGTAAAATGTTTTGATTTCCTTCAAGGTGAAATGAGTCCACTAATATCTAATTCAGAGAAATTTTATAATTTTCATTAGAAATTTTGTCAGAATGAAAGCTCAGTCAGTGGTACAACAGATATTTGTGGGGTGGGTCAGTAGTGTGAATGGCAGAAGTCAGGTAGGTATTGGTGGTGGCAGTGAAAAGTATAGAATTAAGAGAATATTGCATAACAGATTGTGATGCAGGGAGAAAGGGTTGCCCGAAGACAGTTCTGACAGCAAGTAGTAGGGGAACAAATTTGGTGTTGGGGCTCAGGGCCAGAATTTTAACCCCAGAAGAGCTGTAAAATATGAGGCAGACCTCTAACATCACAAAACAAGTTAAGAGACTATTTATGGTATTCAAGCTTCAAAATATACACTTGGGTATAAGAATAATATAAAAGCCCCAAATTAGAATTGGGGTACAGGCATAGATTAAATAGAATTGGGGTACAGGGTAAGATTAAATAAAACCAGAAACAAGACTGACTTAAAGCTAAATCATTGGGCTTACTGGCCCAGGTTGAGTTAGATCCCTCTAAGGCACCTTAAGGAGGCTAAGCCTTCATTCCGATAAAAAGTGGGTCTAATCCTATCAATTTGATGGCAAAGAGCCATTGAAATTATAGAATTTAGGAGCCTAATCAAAAAACAAACACCACCCTTTTATAAAATTGATAGAAAGTAGCTAAAAATGAAACCACCTTTGTAAAAATTTTAACAGTGAGAGAATTATGACAGTGAAAGAGATTTGATCTAACCAACTCCCATCTTCCCTTTAACCTCCAAACTGCCCCGAATCATTCCTGGACTTGGGCCAAGCTAACTCTGGGAGAATTTCAGTTTACAGTTTAAATGATAATAGCTTTTCCCCAAAACTAAAACCACCTTTGTAAAGCTAAGGGAAGACTAGGTTAGGAGGATGAGAGGAGCCTGAACTCTGCTATGATACACACTTAAACAATTACCAGCCATTATTCTGGAAGTCACAAGATTTGCAACTTCCTCAATTACTCCTGCAGGTAACAACACTATTGTAGAACCTAAGATTGGTCTTTTTTATATATCTTTTAAGGTTTTTGCATTTCTGATGACTGATGCCTCTACCTGGACCCACCAAGCAGTACTGTGGCCCCATACAGAAGCAGACTTAGCACACATGAGGACTGTATTAGTCCGTTCTCATGCTGCTAATAAAGACATACCCAAGGCTGGGTAATTATAAAGGAAAGAGGTTTAACTGACTCACAGTTCAGTATGGCTGGGGAGGCCTCAAGAAACTTACAATCATGGCAGAAGGGGAAGCAAACACATTCTTCTTCACATGTGGCAGCAATGAGAAGTGCTGAGCAAAAGGGGAAAAGCCCCTTATAAAACCGTCAGATCTCATGAGAACTCACTCATTATCACAAGAACAGCATGAGGGTAACTGCCCCCATGATTAAATTACCTCCCGCCATGTCCCTCCCACGACAAATGGGGGTTATGGGAAATACAGTTCAAGATGAGATTTAGTGAGGACACAGCCAAACCATATCAAGGATCATTTTCTACATCCCTATGATTGCATTCCCAACCAATCAGCAGTACCCATTCTGTGGTCCTTGAAAAACCTCAGCCTCCAAATTTTGGGGGAGGCTGATTTGAGTAATAATAAAACTCTAGTTTCCTGTTCAACTGGCTCTGCATGAATTAAACTCTTTATTGCAATTCCCCTGTCTTGATAAATTGACTCTATATGGGCAGCAGGCAAAATGAACCCATTGTGTGGTTACAAAAACATAAATTAACAGCTGTCCTTCAACTTTACAATATTAAAAAGCTGTAAGTAAATCCATTTTTCTGTTTTTTTTTTTTTTTTTTTTTTTTTGAGATGGAGTCCTGCTCTGTTGCCCAGGCTAGAGTACAGTGATGTGATCTCAGCTCACTGCAGAGCTGCCTCCCAGGTTCAAGCGATTCTCCTGCCTCAGCCTCCCAAGTAACTGGGATTATAGGGACACATCACCATGCCCGGCTAATTTTTTTGTACTTTTAGTAGAGACAGGGTTTTGCCATGTTGGCCAGGCTGGTCTCAAACTCCCGACCTCAGGTGATCCGCCCGCCTCGGCCTCTCAAAATGCTGGGATTACAGGCATGAGCCACCGAGCCTGGCCAGTAAATCCACTGTTAAAAACTAAAGTTTTCTAAAGAATATTTGTAACACAATTATTTTCTGTTATATTTTATAAATTTAGATTACTACAGATTAATTTTCAAAATATATGTTTTATACCAACACAGGAATGTATTTTCCTTTTTCTCTTTTTTTTTTTTTTTTGATTTGGAGTCTTGCTCTGTCACCCAGGCTGGAGTGCAATGATCTTGGCTCACTGGAACCTCCGCCTCCCGGGTTCAAGCCATTCCCCTGCTTTAGCCTCCCACATTGCTGGGACTACAGGCATGCGCCACCAAGCCTGGCTAATTTTTTTTTTGTATTTTTAGTAGAGATGGGGTTTCACCATGCTGGCCAGGCTGGTCTTGAACTCCTGACCTCAAGTGATCCGCCTGCCTCGGCCTCCCAAAGTGCTGGGATTACAGGCAATGAGCCACCGCACCCAGCCCCAGGAATGTATTTTCTTAATGTCCAGAAAACTAATATGTAACTACTTTAGAGTGGCCCAGAAAAACCTTCTGAGAAGGTTTACTTAAAGTATTATGAAACCACATCCTTCTTTTTGAGTCTATCAAAGCATACAACAATTTGAAGCAGACTAAATCACATTCAACCTCTTTATGAATTTTTAAAAAATTATTTCTAAAAACTAGTAATTTATCTGGAAGTAACCATTAAGCTAGATAATTTTACTTAGAAGCCATATCTACTCTGCTAACCACACAGGATCAGAAAAAACATTCAGTAAACCACTTCAGTATATAATATTTACCACAAACAGATCCTTGTTTTATAAATGTCCGTGTTTCTCATCCTTATTTGTGAGATCTACAAGCAGCATTTACAAACTGGTTAACCAAATAAATAGTATAGGTAATATGGAAGTGTGATTTCAGGAAATAACTTTTCTCTGAAGAATGCAAGTCCTTTTAAATGTTTACCCCCACGGAGTCATTAAAATGAGACAGCAGGCCAGGCACAGTGGTTCACGCCTGTAATCTCAATACTCTGGGAGGCTGAGGCAGGAGGATCACTTGAAGCCAGGAGTTTGAGACCGGTCTGGGCGACATAACAATACCCCATTTCTACAAAAAAATTTTAAAACCTGGCCAGATGTGGTGGTGCAGACCTGTAGTCCAAGCTACTTGGAGGACTGAGGCAGGAGGATCATTGCTTGAGCCCAAGCATTCAAAGCTGCATTGAGCTACAATTGTCACTGTACTCCAGCTTGGGAAACACAGTGAGACCCTGTATCAAAAATAAAAAGAGAGAATCACAACCTACTCCCTCCTTGACCTATGTATTCATCTCTTGAAACTGCTTGCTATTGCTTGCAAGTAGCTATGAATCAACCCAATAATACTTCAGACACTGTAACTTTTATAGCTTAACAATATATTGCCAGTCACTAATCAATGTTATTTCCTTAAGCCAAAGAGAATTCCTGACAAACAACTTTGTATCAGTCCACTCCCTGTCCTCCTTTTATGTCTTCACAAACCTGCTCATAACAAAGGCTAAAGGGAGATCATATCCAAAGGTACTTGGGTTTAGTCTTCTGGGCAGCTATCCTCACTTTGGCTCAAGTAAACTCTTTAAATTATATTTTGTGCCCCAGCCTCTTCCTTTTAGGTCAACACATTCTTTTAAGGACTTTAAAGCTACTTAAAAATTAATCTACCAAGAGTTTTAGTTATAATAAAATAACTTTTATGGGGCATTTTCTTTTATGGGGCATGTTGTCCTGTCAAAATTTGACTCAGGAACTGCGAAGTATAGCCATACAGGCTATACAGGGTTATATACAGGGCTATAATTTGCATAAATTGCTCTGTATATAATTTCCCTGAGGACCTAAAGATAAAAACATTTATTATTCAGAGATTGAGATAAGGACAGTGAAGGTTGCTGTCATGGCCTCTGTTCCTAGAATGGTTTATAGCCCTGAGGCAGAGGGGTAGGGACCTAAAGCTAGAAGGACTGAACGAGAGAAACATTCAAAAGTCTACTTTCCCCATTTACTAGGCAAGACTGGTGAGGCCTAGGGACAGTGGGTTATACTTAGTACAACCAGGTATTTTTAAATTAACTGTCTTGGAGGAATGGGGGAGTGCAGGGGTGCAGGGAAATTGTTCTATTAGAAGAGACTTCAGAGAGCTGATATATCTAAATGTGCTGCATAATTCTTGATTGACTCCTTGTCCAAAACATATGTATTCATAAAAGATATTTTTAAGTCAGTCGGGAAAATCTGAGTAAGGACGACGTATTAGATGGTATTAGGAATTACTGTTAATTTTGTTAGGTGAGAAAATGGTATTGTGGTTATGTAGAAGAACGTTCTTGAAGGGATTCATAGTATACCACACCAAAATAAGCCACTCTGGCATAAGGATTATTTTGAGCTAAAGACAACTGAAAAGAAACAGACACAAGAAAAATATTCTCCACCCAGTAACATCCTCACTCCTGTCTCTACCAGGAAGGGCAGGACACTCTTAATCACTGGATAAAGCTCTAGATTCTTATCATTCCAGTGAGGCACCAGAGGAATCTATATAACAAACCTTGCTAAAACAACCTTTAATTTTGATTAAATTAAACACTCTAAATATCGACCATATAGATTCAACAAGTTGAATACATAGTTTCACCCATGTATTTACCATCCCACAGTTTGTCACTCCTAGAAGCTCAAAGACCCTTTCTGTTGTCTTATCAATTCTCTACAAATTTGCTGTTCTTTTGTTAAGAATCTATATAAGCCCAAGTTCTAACCACCCCTTTGAGTTACTTATCACTGAGCTCTCCTATGTGTATGTGTAATGCACTTGTAAATAGACTTCTGTTTGTTTTTCTCTTGTTAACCTGTCTTTTGTCAGTCCAACTTGCAGGGCCCCAGCCAATAAACCTAAAATGGGTAGAGGAAATATAATTTTTTTTTCTTTCCAACACCTTTATGTTTTGAAGGTGCATGCTGAAGTACACAGGAATAAATCATCATGCTATGTTCAGTTTACTTTCAGTTCACTTTCTACAAATGCAAATATACACACACACAGAAACAGTTATATAAATATGGCAGAAGGTTACTTGTTGAATCTGTATGGTCGATATTTAGAGTGTTCATTTTCTCATTCCTTCCACTTCTCTGTTTTTGAGATATTCTATAATAAAAAGTTTTTAACAAAACTACCAAAGAGTGCTTATTTTTCTAAAAAGTGTGACAAGTTCCTGAAATTAGAAATGAAAAGATCTTAAAATACCTAATTTAATCCCTGAAGCCAATGACTATCAAAACCTCTATGGATGTATATGTGTGCAATATATAGTTGCTTTTTCTTGAGTACTGTTATATACTTTGTAAAACCTTAAAACCAAAAATATGTCTTTTAAAATAGTAGTATATTAACATTTTGAAATATTATGGTAATTACCTTGATCTGTATAGATGAATTATAACCCACACATCTTCTTCTGCATTTGTGACTTCATTCACATACTGATTTCCAGAAATTTCTCTTAATTCTCCAAATTTTTGTTTTTTCTTAAGAGCTTTCCATTCCTGTAACCGCTTCTTTCTAATTAAAACATGAAATTAAATTACATAAGAATACTGTCATATTCTTAAGGTCATTCTCATATGTAATAACAATTTAGGGCAATGAATATAATGCCTATCCATATCAAACACTTTAAATGATGGGATAACCATGAATGATCTTATAAAACCAATTTCTCTTTTTATATGCAAATTTGTGTTATCATGGTTATTGGAAAGTGTAAGAAGTTTGCTATTGACTTTTAAATTTGTTTGTATTTAAGACTAGGTTTAAATCATAGCTATAGAGAGTTTATCTAGATGTTGTGCCAACAAATTCTCATGTACAAGTTGAATACTTCATTAAGGAGAATAATGATATCCAACATTAACCAAGTGCTTGCTATGTTACCAGGCACTATTTTAAATACATAACATTAATGAACTTAATCCTTGTAAAAATGTTACAAAGCCAGTACTATTATTATCCCCATTTAAATGTTAGTAACAGTCATGCTAAGATGATCTTCACTTCGAAGACTTTGTGGATATTTGTAATTACTTGTTATAAATATAGATTTATTATAGACAGAGAGGTAGTAGAGGAGAGTGATTATGAGCTTGGATTCTAAGCTCAGACTACACTGGGTTTAAATGCCAGTTCCAGTACTTGTTAATAGCATAAACTTGGGCAAGTTGTTTAATCTCTCTACACTTCAGTTTCCCTAACTGTACATGGGAATAATACTAATAGCTACTCACAAGGGATTACTGGGAAAAAAATGAAATAATACATGTAAATTTCTTAGCAGGGTGCCTGACACACTGTGAGCATTCAATAAATGTTGCTACCTATTTATCTATCCATAGAGAACCTTGAAACTGTTTAAAAAACCAACTCTCTCAACATTTACATAATTTGACAATTTCGCTGTTGAACGCCTGGATTCATGAAGCAAATCTAAATGGTTTCTGACTGTCTGCAAGTTTATTAACATTTAATGATTCTATACCTCTAAGTTTGCTGGAAGTATTTACTCCTTTTCTTTCTCTGTGTATTAACCATATTTTCTTATTTTATGTATTCTTGATGCTCTGGCATCTGACACATTGCTGATTCTGTAGAGTCTGCCCCTCCCAGGGCTAGTGAACTCCATGAAATAGCAAACACTGTTCAAACGCAAATCAATCTAGGGCCCATACCCTCAATCACTTCATTTATCAGACTGAGCCATGATCCCCTGCCCTAATCATTCCAGGGCCAGGTACCAAACAACTAGAGATAGCCTCTACAGCCCAGAGCCCACCAAAATTATTGAAACTAGCCAATCCTAACTCTGCTTACCCTGCCTTGCCATGTGTTTCCCACAGAAACCATAATGGAAGCCTTATGCCCATGCTTTCCCCTTGCTCCTTCTGACTTCTGATCAATTCAGGTGCTTCACTGCATGGCCCCTGTGTGGCATGATGTGGCATGCACCCCTCCCTTGGAAACTGTGAGTAACCAACTATCCTTTCAATAGCAACCATATCCTGACACACTTGAATAAAAACAAAACCCTGGGTATATTTTAAAACATTTTTAGCTGGGCGCAGTGGCTCACTCCTGTAATCCCAGCACTTTGGGAGGCCGAGGCGGGCAGATCACGAGGGCAGGAGATCGAGACCATCCTGGCTAGCATGGTGAAACCCCGTCTCTACTAAAAATACAAAAAATTAGCCGGGCATGGTGGCGGGCGCCTGTGGTCCCAGCTACTCGGGAGGCTGAGGCAGGAGAATCACTTGAACCCGGGAGGCGGAGGTTGCAGTGAGCTGAGATTGTGCCACTGCACTCCAGCCTGGGCGACAGAGTGAGACTCCATCTCAAAAAAAAAAAAAATTTTTGACCTTATTTCCCATGCTAGAAACATTTCAAGTAAAATCTCTTACTTTACATAACCAGTAATCCAAGCAAAATCAAACCCAGAGGAGAATGCCAAGGATAGTAACCCAAGGCTGGGGACCTCTCATAGTTTTCAAATTGAAGTCCTTCAATTTTTCCTCCACTGGCCCAGATATTTGGAACCTAGAGTTACTCCACAGTTCTTATGGGAGCCCTACTTTGTTTGCACCGAGTATCTAACTTCCCGCAATTTGATCTTACTGGCTTAATATCATTCAGAAATTTCAAAATATTCTTGTTCCAATGATGACACCATGCTCTAATGGTGCAACTATCAACAACTTCCCTTCCTCCTCTCCTCTTCCACTTCTTCCTCCTTCTCATTTCTCTGTTATTTCAGTGGAATTGGGCAGGGGAGAACAGTAAATACATGGGCTGGTTTTGCCATTAGAAGTTCAAACAGTGTTCAATGGCCTGCGTTTTTCACCTAACAAGCCTATCAGTTGGGATTCAGTTGCATAAACAGAAGGCCCACTAGCTATTTTAAGCAGAAAAGAACTTAATATGGGGGGAATTAAATGCTTTATCAACCCAATAAAAAGAAGGAGCAGGCTCTAGACTGGGATACCAGGAATGACTCCCAGAACAACATGCAAAACTGGTATGCCAAGGCTTTCTCTACCACAATCCAGAAACTAGGGAATCTGGAACTACCACACTATTGTTGGCTTTACTATCAAACTATTCTGAGAATCAGAAAGCCAGTGTAACAACTTTTGTCTCTAGAAACCTATCTCCTTAGTAACAATCTGAGGATGAGAAACTGTTGCCAAAATAATGGCTCCATTGGATACTATGCTCCACACCTGGATGAGGGGATCAATCATATCCCAAACCTCAGCATCATGCAATATACCAGTGTAACAAGCCTGCATGTGCATCCCCTGAATCTACAATAAAAGTTGAAATTATAAAACAAAAAAAGAATAATGGCTCCAAAACCATGATGCAAATTCTAGATTAGTACCAACTAAATGGATGCTTTGTGTGTTTCTTCTTCTTCTTTTTTTTCTTTGGGATGGAGTCTGTCTCTGTCGCCCAGGCCGGAGTGCAGTGGGTGATCTCGGCTCACTGTAAGCTCCGCCTCCCGGGTTCACGCCATTCTCCTGCCTCAGCCTCCCGGGTAGCTGGGACTACAGGCGCCCGCCATCACAACAGGCTAATTTTTCTATTTTTAGTAGAGACAGGGTTTCACCGTGTTAGCCAGGATGGTCTCGATCTCCTGACCTTGTGATCTGCCCACCTCGGCCTCCCAAAGTGCTGGGATTACAGGCATGAGCCACCGCGCCCGGCTGTGTGTTTCTACTTCTTTCCCCACTTAATTCTGAATTCAAATCCCCGGTGAAATGTCTAAATCATATTCTTTACCTTTATTGCAATAAAGTCTGAGAAATATCCTTTTAGTTTTTTAGCTTCCATGGTACTGGAATACACCAAGAGAAAGGGGAATATATGTCAAAAAGGCCAATTTAGTATTATATGCCACAAACAATATACTGCAGATTTGTTTATTGCTGTGTATAAATTTTTTTCATCTTTTTAGCTAGAAGAGCTTCTGAGCTGACTCCCTTGTTATTTTACAGCTAATTATCTACACAATAACATTTGTCTCTCCTTTTTTGAATATTACATCTTTTTTTAAAAGAAATCTTGTCCGAAGGTACTGGCTAGGACCTATTGTATGGTGTTTAATAACAGAGATGAGGCCTGGCGTCATGGCTTAAGCCTGTAATCCCAGCACTTTGGGAGGCCAAGGCGGGCAGATCACTTGAGGTCAGGAGTTCGAGACCAGCCTGGCCAACGTGGTGAAATGCTGTCTCTACCAAAAAATACAAAAATTAGCCGGGCGTGGTAGCATGTGCCTGTAGTCCCAGCTACTCCAGAGACTGAGGTAGGATAATCACTTGAGCCCAGGAGACAGAGGCTGCAGTGACCTGAGACTGGGCCACTGCACTCCAGCTGGGGCAACAGAGCAAGACTCTGTCCTCCTCTCCCCCACAAAAAAAAACAGACATGATAGTGAACAATTCTTCTTTTTCTCATAATAGTAACTTTTAATGTTTGTTAAAATTTTTATCAAGTAAAAAAAAAGTTCCATTACTTTAGCTTATCACTAGTTTTTGTTTGTTTTTTGTTTGTTTTTTTTTTTGAGACAGAGTCTCGCTCTGTCACCAGGCTGGAGTGCAGTGGCATGGTCTCGGCTCACTGCAACCTCTGCCTCCCAGGTTCAAGCGATTCTCCTGCCTCAGCCTCCCATTTATCACTAGTTTTTAAAAAATATTTTCTTGCTGTTTTGTTTTTACTTTAAATGAGGAATTTGCTTTAAATCAGCACTAGCAAGATAAGTACAGAATTTCTTAAGAACAAGTAATATTTTTAAACATTCAGGTACAGAAATGAAAATAATGCCATAATTTGGTGGCAACTAAATTTGTGATTTTGATGTGGAATACACAAATAAAAGAATTTCTATTTATGGTATCGCTCTTTAATCTCTGTGGTAGAGACAGGTAGGGTGATCATCATTGTAGCTTTCTCTTCTGGGGAAGCTACATTTACCTGAAAGACTACATTTGCCAGCTTGCCCTGCAGTTGGATTAGGGTCATGAGACTAGATTACAACCCATGCCACATGAGTGAAAGTGATATATACATTTCAATGACTCACCCCTAAAATGTCCCACGTGACCTTTCACACTTTCTGATTCACACAACTGGAAGTAAAGGTTTCTGAGATTATGTAGCCCCTAATGAAACAGCCCAGGTTCATAGTCATTGCCTGGAGGAGAGCTACTCAGGAGAACTATAGGATAAGCATCAAAGAATTGTGCAACCATCACCACTACCTAATTCAAAAACATTTTCATCACTCCACAATAAACCCATATCTATTTGTAGTTACTCCCTATCCCCTATCCTAGGCCCTGGTAACCAATAATTGTGTTCTGTCTCTATGACTTTTTGTACTGGTTTCTTTCCCCTAGCATGTTTTCATCCATGTTGTAGAACATATTGGTACTTCATTTCATTTGAATTATGGCTGAATAGTATTCCACTGTATAGACTGATGACATTTAGATTGTTTCCATTTTGAGGTTATTGTGAATAATGTTGCTATGGCCATTCCTATACATGTTTTGAATTTTCTTGGGTATATACCTAGAAGTGGAATTGCTGGGTCATATGCTAACTTTATATTTAACCTTTTGAGGATCCACCAGACTGTTTTTCAAAGTGGCTGTACCATTTACATTCCCAGTGGCAATTCAAAGGGTTCCAATCCTCACCAATTTATTTATTATAACCACCTTAGTGTGTTTGAAGTAGTCTCCCAATGTGGGGTCTTCCCTAACTCCAATAGTTAGTGTCAGAATTGAAATGAATTGTAGAACACCCAGTTGGTGTCCAGAAAGTTGGAGAATTGGTTGTGGGGGACCCTGCCCCAACATTTCATGTCAGAAGTGGTATGAGTAAAACATACCAGAGGAACTAAAAAGTACAGTAACTAAAATTAAAAAAATACATTGGAGAGTTCCAAAAGCAGATTTGAGGAAGCAGAAGAATCAGCAACCTTGAAAATAGGACAACTGCAATGATCAAATCTGAGAAAAAAAAAAGAATGAAAAAAAAATAAACAGGGCCTAAAGGGTCTGTGGGATGATATAAAGCAGACCAACACACATGTTGTGTGAATCTCAACAGAAAAGAGAGAGAAAAGAAGCATAAAGGATATTTTAAGAAATAATGGCTGAAAACTTCCCAAATTTGATGAAATACATTAATCTATAAACTCAAGTGTCCAACAAACTCCAAGTATGATAAAAGTATGATAAACTCAAAGACACCCACATGGGGATACATCATAAACTACTGAAAGGCAAGAAGAGACAATGAGAATCTTGAAAGCAGAGAGAAGCAAGTCATCACATACAAGGGATCTTCAATAAGACTATCAGCCAGTTTCTCAGCAGAAATTTTGGAAGCCAAAAAGGCAGTGAGTTGATATTTTTTAAATGCTGAGAGAAAACAACTGTCAAAAGCAAGAATTCGATATTTGGCAAAACTATGCTTCAAGAATGAGGGTAAATTAATGCATTCCTAGATTTAAAAAATAAAAATAAAAACAAAAAAACACCAAGGGACCTAGACCTGCCTAAAAAATATGTGAAAGGAGTCCTTCAGGCTGAAATGAAAGAGCACCAGATAGTATCCAAAGCCACATGAAGAAACGAGGAACATGGTGAAGTTAACTACATAGGGAAATATAATAGCCAGTATTACCATTTGGCTTTTACATAGGAAAATGTAAAAGCCATTATTGGAATTGGTTTCTTTTTTTTTTCTTTTTGAGACAGTCTTGCTTTGTTGCCTAGGCTGGAGTGCCGTGGCGCGATCTTAGCTTACTGCAACCTCTGCCTCCCAGGTTCAAGCAATTCTCACACCTAGCCTCCTGAGTAGCTGGGATTACAGGGGTGTGCCACCATGCCCAGCTAAATTTTTTGTATTTTTATTAGAGACGGGGTTTCACCATGTTGGCCAGGCTGGTCTCAAACTCCTGAACTCAGGCGATTTGCCCACCTCTGCCTCCCAAAGCACTGGGATTACAGGCGTAAGCCATCATGCCTGGCCTAGAGTTGGTTTCTAACTTCTCTTTTTTTCCTGTATGATATAAAAGGTAAATACATAAAGCAATAATAATAATCTATGTTAATGGATGCACAATATATAACAATGTAGTCTGTGACACTAACAAATAAGGAGAAGGATGGAGATGTGTTTACATGCTATTGACTCTAAGTTGGTATTATTCAAAGTAGGCCACTGTAAGACGTTAATTTTTATCCTTAAGATAATCACTATGAAAAAACTAAAAGATACACAGAAAATGAAAGAAGAAGGAAATAAAAATGGTACACTAGAAAAATCAGCTAACTGTGAAAAGAAAGCAGTAATGGAAGACTTAAAAAACAAAAATTATGTAAGAAATACAGAAAACACCTAAGTAGCAGAAGCAACTCCTTTCTTAACAGTACTTACTTTAAATGTAAGTGAATTTTAAATTAATATGATTAATCTCCAACTAAAGGCAAAGACTGGCAAAACAAATTTTAAAAAAAGCATGTTCCAGATTTCTCAGTCCTTTTTTTTTTTTGAGACGGAGTCTTGCTCTGTCGCCCAGGCTGGAGTGCAGTGGCACAATCTCGGCTCACTGCAACCTCTGCCTCCCAGATTCAAGCAATTCTCCTGCCTCAGCCTCCCGAGTAGGTGGGATTACAGGTACAGGCCACTACACCCAACTAATTTTTGTATTTTAGTAGAAACAGGGTTTCACCATGTTGGCCAGGCTGGTTCGAACTCCTGACTCAGGTGATCCGCCTGCCTTGGTCTCCCAAAGTGCTGGGATTACAGGCATGGGCCACTGTGCCTGGCCTTCTCAGGCCTCTTTTATAAGAGCATTAATCCCGTTCATAAAGGGGTAGCCCTCATGACCTAATTACCTCCCTAAGGCTCCACCTCTTAATGCCATCACATTGGGAGGGGATTAGGTTTCAACATATGAATTTGGGGGGGACACAAACATTCAGACCACAGCACCATCATTTAGTGGTTTTTATGGAGGTTTCATTAGATAGGCATGATTGACTAAATCGTTGGCCACTGGTGATTAACTCAATCTCTAGCCCCTCTCCCCTCTCCAGAGAGCAGGGAATAGTGTTAAAAGTTCTAACCTTCTAATCACATGGTTGGTTCCTCTGGCAACCAGCCCTCATCCTAAAGCTACTAGGATCCCCTCCACCAAGGATCATCTCATAAGCATACCAAAGGTACTTTTATCACCTAGCAAATTCCAAGTATGTTTGTGTCAGGAACTGGGGACAAAGATCAGATATATATTTCTCATTATCACAGTTCCAGAATATCTTTTATTCCTGTTTATAACTTCTATTTCTTTATTGATATTCTCTTTTTGATCATACATTATATTCCTATCTTTTTAGCTCTTTAAGCATCCGTAAGATAGTTGTCTTAAAGTCTTTGTCTAGTAAGTCTGACTTCTGGGCTTCCTCAAGTACATTTTCTGTCAGTATATTTTGTTCCTTTGAATGGACTATACTTTCTTGTTTGTGTATGCCTTGTGATTTTTGTTGAAAACTAGATATTTGAATCCTATAATGTGGTAACTTTGGAAATAAGTTCTCCTCCTTTGCTGGGGTTTTGTTTTTGTTTTTGTTTTAATTGTTGTAGGCTGTCTTTGTGCTGGCGATCATTCTGAGGTAGAAGCTTTAAGGTCTTCTCAGGTATTTTTTGAGCCTGCATCTTCCCCGGAGTAAATGCACTGGCTTTCTATATTTTCCCAAAAGCACAGTTTGTTTTGAATCTTTAAAAAAGGTTATAGCTCTTTTAAATTCTCTGATAGCTGCCTGAGCCAGTGGGAGTTCACACAATGGCAGTGAGCCTCTGTCCCTGTACATCCATGTTCAGAAGGAGCAATCTGTAATAAGAACACAGAACCCCAATATTTGGAGGAAAAGGTCCTTATTGTCCACCCTGGCTCCAGCAAGCTGTGTCAGAAATACAGGTTGTCAGCTGCCTGTCATGGAGCTAGGGGTTGAGCATGAACAGCTGCTACTGAACTGAGGGCTGAAATCAACTGATACTGCCATTTACCAGCCAAGTTTTCACTTGGAAACTACAAGCATTCAATATTCTCCAGAGTACTAAAACAGTCACTTCAGACAGTTCCTGCTAGTACAATCTTTGATTAGGTAGAGATGTATTTTTGGAGTTCCCTATTCTGCTATTTTCCCTGATGTGTCATCAGTGGGTTTTTTTTTTTAATGAGTTCTTCAATTAGGGTTTATTTGAAGTTTTCTTATAATTAAAGTTATGCATTACTGAAAATGATACCACAGAGGTGATATGTCCTTCTCAGTACAACATACCAGGGGTTACTTGATCACCTCCCAGCATATTTTACTGGTGATATTAACCTTGATCATCTGCCTAAGATAGTATCTGCCTATAAACTTACTATTTCCTCCTTTATAATTACTAAATATTTGGGGAAGAATTCTTTGAAATTATGCAATATCCTGTTTGTGTTTAAACTTTCAACCAATCATTTTAGCATCCATCACTGGATCTTACCCATAGGAAATTACCACTGTTCTGATGGTGATTTTTCTATTTCTCTAATTTCATTTACACTTATTAATTAAAACTCTTCTGTAAGGGAGAGAGATTACTTCTTCCAAATTTGTTCATGTATTAAGTTATTTATTTATATCACTATGGACTTTTATAAATTTATTTCATTATTTGCTTTACAATCCTATCATATAATTATTGATTTTGTTGTTCAAGTTGTTCTAACTTTGGCCCTTGGGAGATCTGTCCATTTGACTCCTGGGACTTTTTTTTTTTTTAAGTACTTCCTTACCTACTGGCAACATAAGATGCTTCATATTCATATTATACTTTCCTAACACACACCGTGGGATCAAGCAGTTCGCTAAGGAGCACTAATTCCTGTTATTAGAGAATAGTATTTATTTGTTTTTTGTTTGTTTGTTTGTTTGTTTGAGATGGAGTTTCACTCTTGTTGCCCAGGCTGGAGTGCAATGGCACGATCTTGGCTCACTGCAACCTCCACCTCCCAGGTTCAGCGATTCTCCTGCCTCAGCTTCTCAAGTAGCTGGGATTACAGGCATGTGCTACAACGCCTGGCTAATTTAAAGACACGGGTTTCATCATGTTTGCCAGGCTGGTTTCAAACTCCTGACCTCAGGTGATCCACCCGCCTTGGCCTTCCAAAGTGCTGGAATTACAGGTGTGGGTCACCGCACCCTGCCTCAGAAAGATCTGAGTGCTATATGTGCTCATTGCTCCTGGAGTATGGCTGTTGTAACTCCATTCACTGGTGGCTTTTGGTTTTTATTTTTGTTTTGTAGAGACAGGGTCTTACTATGTTGACCAGGCTGGTCTGTAACTCCTAGCCTCAAGCAATCCTCCCACCATAGCCTCCCAAAGTCTGAGATTACAGGCATGAGCCACTGTGCCCAGCCCCAATTCACTGGTTTTTTGTTTGTTTTTTTTTTCGAGGTGGAGTTTCGCTCTTGTTGCCCAGGCTGGAGTGCAATGGCGCAATCTTGGCTCACCACAACCTCTGCCCCACCGGGTTCAAGCGATTCTCCTGCCTCAGCCTCCAGAGTAGCTGGGATTACAGGCAAGCACCACCATGCCTGGCTAACTTTGTATTTTTAGTAGAGACGGGGTTTCTGCATGTTGGTCAGGCTGGTCTCAAACTCCCGACCTCAGGTGATCCGTCTGCCTCAGCCTCCCAAAGTGCTAGGATTACAAGCATGAGCCACTGTGCCTGGTCCACTGTTTTTTTATTGTTAAAATGATCTTGCATTCCTGCAATCAATACTACTTGATCAAGATTTATTATTTCCTTAAATTGCTGGACTTAATTTGCCAATATTTCCTTAAAGATTTTGTGTTTACAGTCATGAGGGATATTTGTAGTACTCTGTTTTAGTGATGTCTTTGTCTGGTTTTAGTATCAGGATAAATACTGGTCTTGTAAAAAGTACTTTAGAAATTAGAACAGGTTCATACATTTCCCAACTTATTTTAGTTGTGAAGTAAGTTGGGAAATTTATGAACCTGTTCCAGTTTCTAAAATAATTTAAGAATAGTAATTAATTATTCATGAAATGATAGTCACCTTTGACAGACATCATGCTAGAAGGAAAATCATGGCCATCTTTTTATTGGCCTCTTATTGCTATTTTCCACTTTAATCGTATGTAGCTTGATGAAGTTATATTGTACATGATTGGATAATTTTCTATTAAATCAAAGGCAAAATATTAAGAAAAAATGATGTAATGATGTAATAAAATTCCACCTTATATAAAGGGAGTTTCAAAATGTTACTTAAAAATTAGTTTTGTTCTTTGTAAAATCTATGTGACAAGACAAATCTCTTTAGTTTTATTCTTATTATACTTCATTCAAAAATTTATAATTAACCCAAATGAATCACTGTACCTATATGTTTCAACAGCCTGCATATCTTCTTCATCAAATTCATCTTCAGCTTCCTTTAGCTGTGCAAGAGTCATCTTTTCAAATGGTTTCACTAAAACAACATAAATTATAGATTATCAAATTGTTTAAAAATTTTTTTACTATACAGTCAATGTCTAGAAAAAAACCGTCTTATACAAAGGAGATCAACAGTATCTTTAAACAGCCGGGTGCGATGGAATCCCAGTACTTTGATAGGTCGAGGTGGGTGGATCACTTTAGGTCAGGAGTTCAAGACCAACCTGGCCAACATGGTGAAACCCTATCTCTACTAAAAATACAAAAATTAGTCAGGTGTGGTGGCAGGCACCTGTAATCCTAGCTACTCGGGAGGCTGAGGCAGGAGAATCACTTGAACCCGAATGGCTGAGTTTGCAGTGAGCTGAGATCGCACCACTGCATTCCACCCTGGCCAACAAAGTTAGACTTGGTCTCAAAAAAACAAACAAAAAAGAGTATCTTTAAACAAACATAAAGCAGCCAGCCACCAAAAAAAGCTATAAATATTATAGAAAGTATAATATTAAAGTATTACTCCCTCAAAGTTCATAGAACTGACAGGCTACATTTAAAACTAGGTATGAAAATCAATTAGATTTCATAAATTTAGATTTCCCTCAAGTACCTAGAAATCTTGATAAATAATACATACTATAAAGAATGATCAAAATAGATGGTAATAAGGCAGAGGGACATGGTGGGAGAAGAAAGCTCACTTGGTTACACACCAGGATATTTCAGCTCTGTTATTAGCATGTGATTTTCAACATGTGAAATTAGTCATTTTAGGTGTCATATCCAAATACTGAAAGTAGTTGAGGGGGGTTATATTAAATGTTTATTTGTTTTGTTTTTTGAGATGGAGTCTTGCTCTGTTGCCCAGAGCAGTGCAGGAGTGCAGTGGCACGATCTCAGCTCACTGCAAGCTCCATCTCCTAGGTTCATGCCATTCTACTGCCTCAGCCTCCTGAGTAGCTGGGACTACAGGCACCCACCACCACACCTGGCTAATTTTGTTTTTGTATTTTTAGTAGAGATGGGGTTTCACCGTGTTAGCCAGGATGGTCTCGATCTCCTGACCTCGTGATCCGCTGGCCTCAGCCTCCCAAAGTGCTGGGATTACAGGTGTGAGCCACCATGCCCAGCCTATACTAAATGATTTCTAATGTCCTCTCTCCCACTATGTTCATGAAATACCTTAGTACTAACTTAACTGTATTATTCCCATCATCCAGCCCACCAAATCTACGACCATACCCATTGCTTCTTTCTGTAAACGTAAAACCATTTCTTCAATTTCATCTTTTGACTCTTCTTTAGGAGGAAGAATGCCGAAATCTCTTAAAATGTCATTCCATTCTGTATCTTCATTGGGATCCTACACAAAAAGAAAAGAAAAGAAAATTAACATGGTTGTACACTTTAATATGTATTTGGAAAATTCATTAAGATGTAGCACTTCCAAGTATTCAATTGTTCATGAACTCTACAGTTAATTGGTTTTGAAGAATAAAGCAAAGTGACCTACTTTTTCCTGCTTCCCAGCACTAATGGGATTATATGCTCCACTCAAAATTTTAATAAAATATCAATTTAGAATACATATAGAGAATATTAAGGAAGTATCTCCTAAGTCATGGAAAATTTGCTGAAGACTGTATTGGGCAAAACCAATTCACATCATACACAAATACAGTTTGGTTTCTTTTTCTACAGAAGCATTCAAGACCATCAGATGAACTTCCTTTTTTCTTTTTTTTATTATACTTTAAGTTCTAGGGTACATGTGCACAATGTGCAGGTTTGTTACATATGCATACATGTGCCATGTTTGTGTGCTGCACCCATTAACTCGTCATTTACATTAGGTATATCTCCTAATGCTATCCCTCCCCCCTCCCCCAAGCCCATGACAGGCCCCGGTGTGTGATGTTCCCCTTCCCGTGTCCAAGTGTTCTCATTGTTCAATTCCCACCTATGAGTGAGAACATGTGGTGTTTGGTTTTTTGTCCCTGTGACAGTTTGCTGAGAATGATGGTTTCCAGCTTCATCCATGTCCCTACAGAGGACATGAACTCATCCTTTTTTATGGCTGCATAGTATTCCCTTTTATTTTATTTTATTTTTTTTGAGACAGAGAGATTCTTGCTCTATCACCCAAGCTGGAATGCAGTGGCACAATCTTGGCTCACTGCAACCTCCACCTCCTGGGTTCAAGTAATTCTCATGCCTCAGCCTCCTGAGTAGCTGAGACTACAGGCTTGCTCCACCAGGCCCAGCTAATGTTTGTATTTTTACAGGGTTTCCCCATGTTGCTCCAGCTGGTCTTGAACTCCTGGCCTCAAGTGATCCTCCCTCCTCAGCCTTCCAAACTGCTGGGATTATCTTTGCTAATTTTAAAATTGGGTTGTTTTCTTACTACTGTTATTTGAGTTCTGTATATATTTTAAGTAGTAATGCCATGTCAAGTGTATTGCTTGTAAATAGTTTTTCCCAATATATAGATTGTCTCTTCACTTTGTTAACTGTTTCCTTTGCTGTGCAGAAGCTTTTTAGTTCGATGTAATCTTGTCTATTTTTGCTTTTGTTGACTGAGCTTGGGGGATTAAATCCAAAAATTCACTGCTTGGACCAATAGTGTGTAGTTTTTCCCCTGTGTTTTCTTCTTGTATAATATTTTCACAATTTCAGGTCTTATATTTAAGTCTTTAATCCATTTTTAGTTGATTTTTATAGATGGAGTGGGATAAGGGTCCAATTTAATTCTTCTATATGTGGATATCCTGTTTCCCAACACCCATTATTGAAGAGACTGTCCTTTTCCCCATTGTGTGTTCTTGTCCCCTTTGTCAAAAATCAATTGACTGTAAATGCATGAGTTCATTTTTGAGTTCTCCATTGGTCAATGTCTATTTTATGCCAGTACCACGCTGTTTGGATTACAATGGCTTTACAATATAGTTTGAAGTCAGGTAATGTGATGCCTCTGGTTTTCTTCTTTTTGCTCAAGATTGTCTTAGCTATTCAGAGTTTTTTGTAGTGCCATATGGATTTTAGAATTGCTTTTTCTACTTCTGTATAAAAGGGCATATTGGAATCTTGATAAGGACTATATGGAATCTACAGATTGCTTTGGGTAATATGAACACTTTAACAATAATTTTTCCAATCCATGAACATGGAATATCTTCCTATTTATTTGTGTCTTCTTCAATTTCTTTCATCAACGTTTTATCATTTTCAGTCTATGAATTTTTCATGTCCTTGGTTAAATTTATTCCTAAGTATTTACTTTTTTGTAAATATTATAAATGGGATTATTTTCTTGATTTCTTTCTCTGATAGTTCATTGTTAGTATACAGAAATGTTACTAGTTTTTTTTTGTTGTTGTTGTTTTGTTTTGTTTTGTTTTTTGAGATGAAGTCTCGTTCTGTCGCCCAGGCTGGAGTGCAGTGGTGCAAACTCAGCTCACTGCAACCTCTGCCTCCTGGGTTCAAGTGATTCTCCTGCCTCAGCCTCCCGAGTAGCTGGGACTACAGGTGCCTACCACCTCGCCCGGCTAATTTTTGTATTTTTAGTAGAGATGAGGTTTCACCATGTTGGCCAGGCTGGTCTCGAACTCCTGGCTGCAAGTGATTCACCCATCTCGGCCTCTCAAAGTGCTAGGATTACAGGTATGAGCCACCATGCCTGGCCAGAAATGCTACTAGTTTTCATATTGTTTTGGAATCCTGCAACTTTACTGTATCCATTTATTAGTTCTAACAGTTTTTTTGGTGGGGACTTTAGGGTTTTACATATACAAGATTACATCATCAGCAAACAGCAACAATTTCACTATTTCCTTACCTGTTTGGATGCCTTTTATTTATTTCTCTTGCTTACTTGCTCTGGCAAAGACCTCTGGTACTATATTGAATAGAAGTAGTGAGAATGGGCATCCTTGTCTACGAAAAAAACCTTTCAACTTTACCATTGAATATCATCTGTAGGCTTGTTGTATATGCCTTTATTGTGCTGAGGTACATTCCCTCTATACCTAATTTGTTGCAAGTTTTTATCATGAAAGGATATTAAATTTGGTTGAATGTTTTTTCTGCATCTAACAAGATGATCATATGATTTTTGTCCATAATTCTGTTAATGTGGTGTGTCATATTTGTAGATTTGCGTATGCTGAAACATCCTTGCATCCACAAGATAAATCCCACTTAATTGTGGTACATTATTCTTTTAATGTGCTGTTGACTTCAGTTTGCTAGTATTTTGTTGGGGATTTTTACATCTGTGTTCCTCAGAGATAATGGCTTGTAATTTTCTTTTCTTGTAATGTCCAGGTCTGGCTTTGATGTCAAGGTAATGCTGATCTCATTAAAAAGATTTAGGGCTGGGTGCAGTGGCTCATGCCTATAATCCCAGGACTTTAGCAGGCCGAGGTGGGTAGATCACCTGAAGTCAGGAGTTCGAGACCAGCCTGGCCAACATGGTGAAACCCTGTCTCTACTAAAAATACAAAAATTAGCTGGGCACAGTGGCAGGCACCTGTAATCCCAGCTACTCGGGAGACTGAGGCAGGAGAATCACTTGAACCCGGGAGGCGGAGGTTGCAGTGAGCCGAGATTGCGCCATTGCACTCCAGCCTGGGAGACAAAGTGAGATACTGTCACACACACACACACACAGACACACACACACACACACAAAGATTTAGAAGTATTCCTTCCTTTTCTATTTTTGGAAGAGTTTAAGAAGGATTGTTATTAGTTCTCCTTGAAATGTTTGGTCAAATTTACTGGTGAAGGCATCAGGTCCCGGACTTTTCGTTGATGGGAGCCTTTTAATTTTTTATTCAATCTCCTTATTTGTTATTGGTCTGTTTAGATTTTGTATTTCTTCTTGATCCACTGTTGGTAGGCTATATGTGTCTATGGATTTATCCATTTCTTCTAGGTTATCCAATCCATTGGCATGTAACTGTTCATATTAATGTCTTACAATGCTTTGTATTTCTGTGGTATCAGCTGTAAGGCCTCCTCTTTTGTTTCTGATTTTATCTGAGTCTTCTTTATTCTTAGTATAGCTAAGGTTTTGTTGATTTTATATTTTCAAAAAACCAAAGATTTTCTTGATTTTTTCTATTGTTTTTCTAGTCTTTATTTCATTTATTTCTGCTCTTTGTTATTTATTTCCTTCTGATAACTATAAGCTTAGTTTGTTCTTTTTTGTTTTAGGCATTTATTGCTATGCATTTCCCTCTTAAATCTGCTTCTGCTGCCTTCCATAGGTTTTGTTGTAGTTCCATTTTTGTTTTTCTCAATATATTTTAAACTTTCTCTTCTAATTTCTTCTTTGACCCATTGGTTGTTCAGTAGCATGTTGTTTAGTTTCCACATGTTTGTTAATTTTCTAAGATTTCCTCTGTTATTCATTTCTGTAATAGAAAAACTGTACTCATTAAATAATAGCCCCTCATTCTCTCCTCTTCCAAACTCCAGGAAACCATTGTTCCATGTTCTACTTTCTACCATGTATTTGACTATTCTGTGTACTTCATGCAGGTGGAACCATACAATAGTTGTCCTTTTGTGACTGGCTTATTTCGCTTAGCATGTTTTCAAGGTTCGACTATGTTGTAGCATGTAGCAGAATTCCATTCTTTTTTAAGGTTGAATAATATTCCATTGTACCTATATACCACATTTTGTTTATTCATCCATCAATGGACATTTGGGTAGTTTTCACTTTTCATTATTAGGAATAAAGCTGTTATAAAAATGGGTATACAAATATCTGTTTAAGTCCTTACTTTCAATTCTTTTGGGTACATACCTGGAAGGAGAATTACTGAATCATATGATATCTGTTTAATTTGGAAGGAAATTACCAGTTTTCCACAGCAGTTGTGCAATTTTACATTCCCACCAGCAATGCAAAAGGATTCTAATTTGTCTATATCCTTATCAACAGTTTTGTTATTGCCCATCTTTTCTATCATAAACATTCTAGTGGGTGTGAAGTAGACTGTGGTTTTGAGCTGCATCCCCTTCATTATTAGTGATGTTAAGCATCTTTTCATGTGTTTATTGGCTATTTGGAGATCTTCTTTTAAGAAACGTCTATTCAAGTTTGTCTTAGTCCAGTTTGTACTCTATAACAAAATATCTTAGACTGGGTAAATTATAAAGAACAGAAATTTATTTTTCACTGTTCTGGAGGCTGGGAAATCTAAGATTATGGCACTGTCAAGTTCATTGTCCAGTGAGGGTCTGATCTCTTCTTTCAAGATGGTACCTTGAACACTGTGTCTTCCAGAGGAGAGGAACACTGTGTCCTCACGTGGCAAAAGACAGAATAGTAAAAAAAAAAAAAAAAAAAAAAAAAAAAAAGGGACATACTCTCTGTAGCAAGCCCTTTTATAAGGGTATCTAATCCCATTTATAAGGAAGGAGACTTCATGGCCTAATCACCTCTTAAAGGCCCCACCTCCTAATACTATCACATTGGAAACAACTGAATTTTGGAGCAGACACACTCAAACTATAGCAAAATCTTTTGCCCATTTTTATATTGGGTTGTTTGTCTTTTTGTTGTTGAGTTTTAGGAAGTCTTTATATCTTCTGGATATTATCCTCTTATCAAATATATGATCAGCCAATATTTTCTATTCTGTGGGTTGTCTTTTTTCTTTTTCTGTTTTTTTTAAATTTTTTTTTTTTGAGATGAAGTCTCAGTCTATTGCTCAGGATGGAGTGCAGTGGAGCAATCTCGGCTCACTGAGAATTCTTCCTAGGTTTAAACGATTCTCCTGCTTCAGCCTCCTGAGTAGCTAAGATTACAGATGCCCACCACCACACCCAGCTAATTTTTGTATTTTTAGTAGAGATTGGGTTTCACCATGTTGGCCAGGTTGGTCTCAAACTCCTGACCTCAAATGATCCACCTGCCTCAGCCTCCCAAAGTGCTGGGATTACAGGTTTCAGCCACTGTGTCTCAACACTTGTCTTTTCATTCTCTTGATAATATCCTCTGACGCAAAAAAATGTTTTAAATTTGGTAAAGTACAATTTATTTTTTTCTTTTGTTACCTGTGCTTTTGGTGTCATAACCAAGAAATTATTGTCAAACTCAATGTCATGAATCTATCTTATGTTTCCTTTTAAGAGATTTCTACCTTTAGCTATAGGACTTTGATGCAGTTTGAGTTAATTTTTGTATACAGTTGTGAAAGAAAAATAAATCTCAGGACCCCCAAATCACTAAGCCAAGGGAAAAGTCAAGTTGGGAACTATGTCAGGCAAACCTGCCTCCCATTTTACTCCTAAATAAAATAGCTACAAAGACACAAGCTACACACCTCCCTCACAATTTGCCCAAAAGGAAATTCCTTGTGGACAAAGGACAGACAGAACTGAAAGTCATCCCTCTCAGACTCACCTGAGACAAATGCATATCTGATTGCTTCCTCTGCTCTACTGTTTATGTAAAAGTGCAGACTCACTGAGCCAGACTAAATTGTGTATTCAGTGGAAGGCTAATCAAGGACTCAAAAGGATCAAGGACTCTCTTATCTACTTCTGACCTTAAAGCCCCCTCTTGAAGTTGTCCTGCCTTACTAGACCAAATCAATGTACATCTTACACATATTGAATGATGTCTCCCGAAATGCAAGCTGTACCCCAACCACACTGGACGCATGTCATCAGGACCTCTTAAGGCTGTGTCATGGGTACATCCTTAACCTTGGCAAAATAAACTTTCTAAGTCAACTGAAACCTGTTTCAGATATTTCAGATTCACAAAGTCTAAGATAAGGTTCCAACTTCATTCTTTTGCATGTGGATACCCAGTTTACCCAGCACCCTTTATTGAAAAAAAATTAACTGTTGCCCATTTAATGGTCTTGGCACTCTTGTTAAAAATTTTTTGAAAATATGTGTGGGTTTATTTCAAGGCTTTCTATTCTACTCTATTTGTCTGTTTTATAGTTTTCAGTATTTATAAGTACTTTTTTTTTTTTTAGAGAGTCTCGCTCTGTTGCCCAGGCTGGAGTACAGTGGCGTGATCTGGGCTCACTGCAAGCTCTGCCTCCTGGGTTCATGCCATTCTCTTGCCTCAGCCTCCCAAGTAGCTGGGACCACAGGCGCCTGCCACCAAACCTGGCTAATTTTTTGTATTTTTTTAGTAGAGACGGGGTTTCACCGTGTTAGCCAGGATGGTCTCGATCTCCTGACCTCGTGATCCGCCCACCTCGGCCTCCCAAAGTGCTGGTATTACAGGCATGAGCCACCGCGCCCAGCCAGTACGGATGTTTTATAACCTATTTCTGATCATTCTGTTATCTAAAAATCTCTGTAAATCTGTTTCTGTTGGTTCATGGTCTCATGGTGGCTTATTTCCTTGTGTGCTTGGTTACCTTTGACTGATTTCTGCTTTCTGTCCTCGAAAACTTATTGATGGGAATTCCTTAAAGCCTAAACTAAAGACATCTTCCTCTACAGAGGATTTATATTTTTTTTCTTCCAGGTATTTGAGAGCACTACAATATATAACGAATTCACAGTTTAAGGTTGCTGGACCACCCAACAATACGACTCAGGTTACAAATCCATATGAGAGCTGTCTTAGGCCGAAATGTTTTTCGACAGGGTTTACTCCTTTTCATTTTCTCTTCTGTTCCAATAAGCACCAAGATATCCTTCCCTGAATTCTCCTAGACATGTGTTTACCTCCGGTTCACCCTCCTATTCATCTCCCATCCTTTGATGGACCAAACCCTTTGGTTCCACCTCAAATAATTTTCTATCATTCTGACTTCTTAGCTGGGACAGACTCCTGTAATAAAAGACAGATTAACAAGAGAAAAAGAGTTTATGAGTATGTATACCTCATGGATACATTGGAGATACCAGGGAAAATGAGTGTATGTCAAAGAGGTTGCTTAAAATTCAGGCTTAAATACCATGTTTCGCTGAAACAAAAGAAGAAGGGTATGTGGGAGGCAAGTTATGGGGAGGTGACCAGGAAAAGCAGGGTACATTAAGAGTAAGCTTTGGCAGCCAGGCGCAGTGACTCATGCCTGTAATCCCAGCGCTTTGAGAGGCCAAAGCAGGCAGATCTTTTGAGGTCAGGACTCCAAGACCAGCCTGGCCAACATGGTGAAACCCTGTCTCTACTAAAAATACAAAAATTAGCCAGGCGTGGTGGTGCACTCCTGTAATCCCAGCTACTCAGGAGGCTGAGGCAGGAGAATTGCTTGAACCCGGGAGGTGGAGGTTGCAGTAAGCTGAGATCGCACCACTGTACTCCAGCCTGGATGACAGAGCTAGGCTCTGTCTCAAAAAAAAAAAAAAAAAAAAAAAAAGAGTAAGGTTTGTTGTGCGGATTTCAGGTGGTACCTTTTCCACCTTGAGCCCAACAGTTTGAGATCAACCTGGGTTTGGCGAGGCCCCATCTCTACAAAAAAAAAAATTAACTGTGTATGGTGGCATGCACCTGTAGTCCCAGCTACTAGGGATGCTGAGGTGGGAGAACACTTGAGCCTGGGAGGTTGATCATGTCACTGCACTCCAGGCTGGGTGACAGAGCAAGATCCTGTCTCCAAAAAAAAAAAAAAAAAGACATGAACTATGAATTTTTTCCCCCCCGAGATGGAATCTTGCTCTGTCACCCAGGCTGGAGTGCAGTGGTGCACTCTCAGCTCACTGCATCCTCCGCCTCCTGGGTTCAAGCGATTCTCCTGTCTCAGCCTCCCAAGTAGCTGGGACTACAGGTATGTGCCACAATGTCCAGCTAATTTTTTTTTTTTTGTATTTTTAGTAGAAATGGGGTTTTGCCATGTAGGCCAGGCTGGTCTTGAACTCCTGACCTCAAGGGATCTGCCTGCCTCAGCCTCCCAAAGTGCTGGGGTTACAGGCATGAGCCACTGCCCTCGGCCATGAAATTTTATCTAACAGAAACAGGCACCACAATCTATTTGCTCAAACTATGAAGGCATTTACCATGCCATTAATAGTTATATCTGTCTTCTTCTTGTTCCCTCATTAGTAAGCTCTTAGAACAGGTCCGTATCTAAAACATAAGCACTGAATAACTGGCTGTTGAATTAATCAGTAAACCAACAAAGATTAATGTGATGTTGCCTTCACTGTCAATTACATTTCAATCCTGAAGAGCAGATGCAAATCAGGACAAATCTGCAATGTTTTTACACACATATAAAATGTGCTTGCTACGAATCCATTATTAGCATGAAAGGACTGGCCATAAAAAATTATATGTAACTGATGTTCAAAATATCCTAATAAATTATACAGTACATACAAACACCCAAAATTAAATATGTAAAATGAGAAAAATCCCAGTGGTTTTAATCTGCAGGAGCAGGTGGGGAAAAGGTGTTTCTGTAAGTTAGAAAGACAATTTTACTGTACCAAAAAAAAAAAAGGACGGCACAGGCTTCTGATTAATAAGGAACCATTAGACAGAGGAGGAGCCTTCTAAGAAACATTTTGGAAGTCTGAGTTTTTGTTTGTTTGTTTGTTTGTTCTGAGGCGCAGTCTCACTCTGCCGCCAGGCTGGAGTGCAGTGGTGCAATCTCGGCTCACTGAAACCTCTGCCTCTGGTTCAAGCGATTCTCCTGCTTCAGCCTCCCAGGTAGCTGGGGCTACAGGCGCACGCCACCACGCCCAGGTAATTTTTGTATTTTTAGTAGAGATGGGGTTTCACCATGTTGGCCAAGATGGTCTCAATCTCTTGACCTGTGATCCGCCCGCCTCCGCCTCCCAAAAGTCTAACAGAGTTTTTGAGGTGAGGTGCAAGAAACTCTAGGGACATATGGTATTAAGACATATGTGACTAGTAGGTTTTCTGTTCTTATTTTTTAAGGTAGTGGAGGAGGACAACCAAATTGAATTACACTTGGGCTAACGTTGCCGCTCTATTAAGTCAAAAATAGTATTCAGCAGTAAGATTTCTATGATTTTGGTGTGAAACACAATACGTAACAACTCTTTTAACGTTTTCTCCAGCGACAGACACAAGTCTTAAAGGCTGAAAAAATGGCGTTCTCCTAGAGGATTTTTCTCAAAACTAGACAGAGAAGCACGCAAAATTTAGCACTTTCCAAGAACAAATGTTAGAGCCTACCTCCTGTGTCCGCCCTCCCCATTTGTGTCCCTTGGCTTCGGGCCCAGCTGGAGACCCACTGGGTGTTCCAGGGTGGCTCGGCAGGTCCCGACCCTCACCTGCATGATGCGCTGCTCTGCCCCTCAAGAGCCCGCGTCGTCCTGCAGCTGGCGAGGCGCCACGGATGGAGACCCGCAGCCTTCTCCAGGCTGGAAGAGCGCCCGCTTCAGGCCCGGCGGTTTCGAGTGACCGCCAGAAGAGGGAGAGGCGAACAAGGACTTGTTACGCATGGGCGGGCGTGGCAGCTTGGTTGCCAGGCAATGCAGAGGCCCAACACAGGGGATGGTTGTGGGTACTGACGCGCCAGGTCCTGGAGCATCTATCCCAAGCACTGCCTTTCCTGTTCCCTTTGTGGTGCTGGTGCTGACATTCTTGTCAACTTTTCCCTCCATCACCACCATTGAATCAACCGATTGTTTCAGAGACTCTGGCACCCTTCAAACCCTGAGTCCTGTCTTCATGGAGAAATAACAAACTCCTGGGGTGGAGAACCCTTCAGAGGAGGCGTTCTTAACCTGGAATCCATAGACTATATATTTTTTTGTTTAGAGACAGAGTCTTGCTCTGTCTCACCGGCTGGAGTGAAGTGGTGCAAACACTGCTCACAGCAGCCTCCACCTCCACGGCTCAAGCAGTCCTCCTGTCTAAGCATCCCATGTAGCTGGGATCACAGATGCATGTGCCATCATACCCAGATAACTTCTTAAATTTTTTTGTACAGACAGGGGTCTCACATGTTGCCTAGGCTGGTTTTGAACTCCTGAGCTCAAGTGATCCTCCCACCTCAGCCTCCCAAAGTGCTGGGATTACAGGCATGAGCCACTACACTTAGCCCATACAATGTATTTGGATAGATTTTAGGGAATATCTTGCCCCCCAGCCCCCAAGTGTACTACACGTAATTTTGTTGTATGTGTACATTTTTTTCTGAAATTAAGAGCCAGAGCTTTCATTAGATGCTTAAATGGGACTGTAGGCTCCCCAACTCCATCTTAAAAAATCCACTGCCTTAAGTGACAGAAGCTCTGGCTTTAGGCCAGGCACGGTGGCACAAGCCTGCAGTCCCAGCTCTTTGGGAGGCTGAGGCAGGTGGATCACTTGAGGTCAGGAGTTCAAGACCAGCCTGGCCAACATGGTGAAACCTCATCTCTACTAAAAATACAAAAACTAACAGGATGTGGCAGGTGCCTGTAATCCCAGCTACTCAGGAGGCTGAGGCAGGAGAATCACTTGAACCCAGGAGGCAGAGTTTGCAGTGAGTCAAGATCACGCCACTGCACTCCAGCCTGGGCGACAGAGTGAGATCTGTCTAAATAAAAAAAAAAAAAAAAAAAAAAAAAAAAAAAAAAAAGCTCTGGTTTTAGGTAGGATGCCTAGACAGGTAGGGGTTCCTCTGTGTTTAAATTAAGGAAAGGATGTTTACTGGGAGATGCCAGGAACTTGAGGAAAACACTTGGTGTTTTATACAAGTTGTTTTACACAGTTCCAGAGATATACTCACAGGACTTGGAAAGAAAAAAAATGTTTTTAATGACATAACTTTAAACTTGGGTTCAACATGGGGCCAGTCCATCTCTAGTGCCTAGCTGATACTTAATACAAATCTTATACTCCTAGTAGCCCATATATTCTGTTGTGTTTGTGTATGAGACATGAATCTGTTAAATATAAATAATTAAGAACATATCACAATTTTTGTAATCATGTCTTGGTATTTTTCTCATCTTCTTCTTCTTCCTCTTTCTTCTTCTTATTCATCCCAGGAGCCCTAAAAATGTTACCTATGTCTCTCTGGATTTCTGAGAGGCCCTGGGAACTGCTGATTAAATTAATATTCTTTTCTTATTTTGACAATCCAAAGTCCAGGCTAGTGGAAGTACTGTGCACAGAACTAGCTAATGCTGCCCCATGCATTTGTGGTTTTAGGGCAGCATGCTCTCCTTGCTCTCAAGTCCCCATCTTATCAAGGCAATTTATTTTTCTAAAAATAATGTATTTTTTTCTCTTCTGCTTCTTCTTATTAACCTGAGTTCTTCACTCAGGTTAACAAGAAGTGAAATTCAGGAACTTTGTTAGTAAAAGGTGTAACTTAAGCTATAATAATTGGTCAACATTAGAAAGACAAAGATTTGTTAGATACTCTGCTCTGAAGAATGTCTGTATAGACCCAATTCTACCTACTCAAAAGAGCCACTCCTTTCCAATCGGCCAGCAACCTTCCTGATGGAGGAGGTGGGAATCTAAGACAGAGGTCAGAAGGAAAAAAGATCAAGGGGAACCTCAGAGGAGATAAATTCAATCTCCATCTGAAGTTAACTCTGTGCCCACTAAACATTTATTTGATGTTAAAAGTTCCCAATGTGTGTTCATGATCCTCTATTAATAAGATTATTTTCTTTCTGCTAATAGACAAGACTGGTTGCCTTTCAGATATTGCGAGGTGAAGTAACTTATTTTAGGATAAATTGAATACTATGAGTTGGTAGAAGAAGTTAGTCCTCTGATATATTTGTAGCAATCAGAAATCCATTATACAGTTTATAAATCAGAACTTGCTTATTGGACTATTGGATGGGTTATGGCCCAATCCTCCAACTAGTATAGTTTCAGTTGGTGCTCACATTCTAAGATTGGTAGCTACTGGGCATTCTGGTATTTATGAGAGCTGGTGGTTTTGTCACTGACAAAAATCCAAACATGATAAACTAAAACAGCTCATTAAAACTCAACTCTCAACTCTCTCTGAGTGCCTTTAATGAAAACATCAAAAAAGCATATGGGCAGGGCATGGTGACTCATGCTTGTAATCCCAGCACTTTGGGAGGCCAAGGCAGGTGGATAACCTGCGGTCAGGAGTTCGAGACCAGCCTGGCCAACATGGTGAAACCCCATCTCTACTAAAAATACAAAAAAAATACAAAAAAAAAAGTTAGCTGAGCATGGTGGCGCATGCCTGTAATCCCAGCTAGTCGGGAGGCTGAGGCAGGAGAATCGCTTGAACCCGGGAGGCAGAGGTTGCAGTGAGCCAAGATCACACCACTGCACTCCAGCCTGGGTGACAGAGCCAAACTGTCTCAAAAAAAAAAATGCATGTGTGCTGTACTGTCAAACCTGGCAGGGATCTAAGGAACATCATTATTTACAGGTTTATTACACAGTATTTCTCATTAAAACACTAAGCAAAAATATTTTTAGATTTTTTAATTTTCAACAAATTGAACATTTACAACATTGTTACAACTGAGAACATTGACAACACAGGGATTTTCAACAGAGTACATTTAGCAAGGATTTTTTTCAGAAGAAAACAAAATGTCAGTACATTTTGTATTCCATAGCATTGCTCTGTGGAAAATTAGCTGGCATCCTGTAAAAAAAGAAAAATTGAATTAAAGTGTAAATGACCACGTGAATGTGTGTATATAATGTTTGTATATAGACATTTCTATAAATATTTTGTCATAGAATAACAGTAGCATCTGACATATTTCCCAGCTGTATATATATATATATATATATACACACACACACACACACACATGCACACAGACAGAAGAAATATATATATGTGTGTGTGTGTATATATATATATATATATATTTTTTTTTTTTTTTGAGACAGAGTCTTGCTCTGTTGCCCAGGTTGGAGTGCAGTGGCGCGATCTTGGCTCACTGCAACCTCCACCTCCCGGGATCAAGCAATTCTCCTGCCTCAGCCTCCTGAGTAGCTGGTATTACAGAAGTGCACCACCATGCCCAGCTAATTTTTGTATTTTTAGTAGAGACAGAGTTTCACCATGTTGGTCAGGCTGGTCTCAAATTCCTGACCTCTAGTGATCTGCCCCTTTGGCCTCCCAAAGTGCTGGGATTACAGGGGTGAGTCACCGTACCCGACCTGTCTGTATATTTTTAACTATATATCATTTAATCTGTCTCTAATGGAACACTTATTCTGTATGTCTGTGTCTTCCAACAGTTTACAGTATTTAACTATTTAAAAGTGATTTCCTAAAGCTCATTAATACCAATAAGATTTATGAATAAGCTATTTCAAAGGCTTACATTTACTCCTTGTATATCTATTTCCTCCTATATTTGCAACTAAATCATTCTATTTTATGTTTAACCACTTTCTAAATAAATATAGGTCATCAGGATAGAGAAAGGCCTTAGAAAATCAGATGAGAAAAACAAAGAAAAAATGATTATTATATTGTTTTTCTATTGGCAAAATAAAATGAAATCACGAGTACATTAGTTTATGGACACCCTAATCTTGAAAATAATCTGAATAAAGCAATTATTCTCAATTTTGGAGGTTTTTTTTTTTTTTTACTAAATTCACCAAATCATGGATTAAGTTCTGTTTCACATTGTGAACACTCTAATACTTATTTCAATGTTACAATCACAGGTATTTTTTCCCATTTAATATTAAGCTATTTAATAAAATTTTTAAATGCCAATGTACATTTATAATATTATAAAAGATAAAATAGTTTCTTTTCCATTAGCTCTCTGTTCTTTGTTCCTTGAAAAAATACAAAATTAAGGATATGTTTTCTCATATTCCTTATGTGAACATAATTTATCAGGCCTCTTCTGAAGCAGGAGTTAATACCAAACACAGTCTGCAAATTCAAGTTCCTAATTATGTCCCATGAGCACATTAAATTTTTCCTTCGCTTTTCCACTATTTGAATCTTTTATTTCTTTCTTTTCTAATTGAATTGGCTAACACATTAAGAACTACATTAAATAAGAAATTAGAGAGTATCTTTATCTTGTTCCTGACATTAACGGAAAAGCTCCAAAGTGTTTCACTAACAAGTCAGCTACTGTACTAACTTGGTTTGAGACCATTGTATAAATCATGTCAAGAAAGGTTTAATCTCTTCCTAATAGATCAGAAATTGATGTGAAATTTTACCAAAAGCATCTGTTGAGATTATCATAATTTTTCTTCTAATAGTGAAAACTTTTAACACACTTCTTAACGTTGAACAACCATCCTTGAGTTGCTGGAACAAATCTTAGTGGGGTCATAAAATTATTTAAGTATACTGATGAATACTGTTTAATAATATTCCTTTTAAATTTTTACATTAATATTTATAAATACAATTTACTTACAGTTTCATTTTTTTATACTTTTTAAAAGTTTTTGTATTAATATTATGCTGGCTTCATAAAAATATTGGGTAATTTTTCTTCTTTCTCTGAGCTGAAAAAATTCAAAATTATTGGCTTAGTACTTTTTGAGGGTATATTGTGGGTATAGTTTCTTTTTTTTCTTCTTCTTCTTCTTTTTGAGACAGAGTATAGTTTTGAGTGGGCATAGTTTCCTTTTTTTTTGCTCTTGTTGCCCAGGCTGGAGTACAATGGTGCAGTCTTGGCTCACTGCAACCTCTCCCTCCTGGGTTCAGGTGATTCTCCTGCCTCAGCCTCCCGAGTAGCTGGGATTACAGGCATGCACCACCACACCAGGCTAATTTTGTATTTTTAGGAGAGACAGGATTTCTCCATGTTGGTCAGGCTGGTCAGGCTCCCGACCTCAGGTGATCCGCCCACCTTGGCCTCCCAAGGTGCTGGGATTACAGGCGTGAGCCACCGTGCCCAGCCGCGGGTATAGTTTCTAGATAACATATTCCAATTTTTTCCCCATACCTATTAGTCTGTTTAGTGTTTTTCTTTCTTCTGAGGTCAATTTTGGTAGCACCTACTTTATTAGACAATCCTCCATTTTATCCAGGTTTCCAAACTGATGTGTAGAGAGATGTGCAAAGTACTCTTTCATGATTTTTATTTCTTCTCTGTTTTAATTTCTCTTTTCATTTGTACTTTTCTATATTTATGATTTTATCCTTTTTCTTGATTACACTAGTATAATTTATTTTATTTTTTGTAAAGAATTACTGACAGATTTTTGCTTTGTTTACCGTCCTTCTACTTTACTATTTTTAACATCAATTTCTTCTTTCATTTTTATAACTTTCTTCCTTCTGCCTTCTTGAAATTTACTTTGTTGTTGTTGTTTTGGTTGTGGTTTTTTTTTTTTTTTTTTTTTGTGAGATAAGTTCTTGTTCTATTGCCTTGGCTGGAATGCAGAGGAAAGATCATAGCTCACAGCCTCAAACTCCTGGGCTCAAGCGATCCTCCCATCTCAGCCTCTGAAGTAGCTAGGACTACAGGCATGCACCACCACATCTGGCTAATTTTTTTCTTAAGTATTTGTAGAGATGGGGTATCAAAATCCTGTGCTCAGGTGATCCTCGTGCCCTAGCCTCCCAAAGTGATGGGATTACAGGCATGAGCCACTATGCCCAGTCTAAAATGAATGATATATTTGAAAAAATATGTTCAGCATAAAATCTGGATTTAGGATTACAAAACTTAATAGAATACACTTTTATTTCTGTGGTATAAATTTATGAATCTGCATTTGGGTTTGATTTCAACTTTTATTGTCTAATAAAATATTAGGATTAACATATTTATTAAACATGTGGGAACAGTCAACAGCTACTAAATTTCTACTCTATGTCCAGCACTGAGGTAGAAATTCTGGTAGCACAAAAGAAGAGGTAACATTCTCTCATGTCTTTCCACATTTTAAAATATTCTCTAGAAACTGGTAAATCACTAGCTTTTATAAAGAATCTTTGAGTATCAGTTATTTAGATGACAGAAGTACTTTCAGTCCGTAAATCTTGGCCCGTTATGATAGACACTGATTACTGCAATAAGAATTCATTCCCTGACATATCCTACTTGCACAATAAATGATGATAAGATCAATGTCTACAAAATCACTTATGATCATTACTATTGTGACATAGTCTGAGGAATAAATGACATAGGCAAAGCAAATGAGGCCCTAAAATACTGGTATTTTCTCATTACAATAAAGCCCTTACAGCTCCTATCATTGTAGTATTTATATGGAACATTCATGTACATATGCAATCAAATAATAGAAATACATTTAACATAGTTTAATTTGTGACTATTTGAAAACAACAGCAAATGTCAAACTGTGTTGAACTGTGAAATGCATACTATTTTATTTATTTATTTGTTTATTTATTTCTCACATACCATTTTAAATGAACCCTGCTGACCTTCTTCCATTCCGTGGCTGAAAAATAATAGATTAGAAATAAATCAGTGTAACTAAAGATGCAAGCTAACAGTCATAGAAACAGATTGATGATTTAGAGGAGTGTTTAACGTGCATCACAATCATCTAGAGGGCTTTTTACAACATAGACTGCTGGACCCCATAGCCAGAATTTCTGATTTAGTAAGTCTGAGAATCCTGAGAAATTTGTATTTCTAACAAGTTCTGAGGTGCTGCTAATGCTGCAAAGACCACCATGAACTAGATGCTATTTGACTTTGCTTATTTCCTTGATGGTACCAACATTTTAAAACAAATGTTCTCAATTTTAATTTGATATGAACCAAAATGAACTTACTGAAGTCAGGGCTGTTTAGCTGCTTACTTCTTCCTGCTATCAGTCCAATTCCTTCATTCAATCCATTCTCTAATTTGCTGTTAGAATTATTTTCCAAAAGGCAAATCTTACCACATTTGCCCCCTCCTTAGCCTTTAGTGTAAAGCTGAAATTTCTTAGCTAAATATTTCATCAACCGATTCCCATTGATGCTTCAGGATTCAGCCCTTGAAGTCTTCTCTGTACCTCTTCCATTCCCCAGCTGGAATTAAATGCTTTTCTTTTGGAAATCACAGCCTTTGGACTACAAGTGCATTTCACACAGTACTTTATATTTGTTTACTTATCTGTTTTGAGCCTATCTAAATTCCTAGAGCATAGGAATGGAATCCTATCTGTCTTTATAGTCCCAGCCCTTGGTACATTGCTCAGCACCCAGTAGAAGTTCAATAAATAGTTGTTGAATGAATTAATTAAAACTTTCTGGTAATGTATTAAGGATGCAAATATTTTGCAAAGTGTAGCTGCCTAGAAAAAAACCTCACATTTTATAGACAATGTGGACAAACAAAATCAGAACTGTAATCCTGAAATTCTGTCTACTTATACCTTTTATTATGGCAGATTCTTTTAATTTTAAGAATTTGTGAAAGTATTCGTAACTCTTCCAATCTACTGAGTCAAAAATTTTGTAAATAATTCCATAGAACATAAGGAATAGTGTATCTTTAAGACAGTTACTTTCTATACATAAAATGTCATGGAATTAAAGTGTCAAATAGGTGAATGCTATTTGAGGTGTTTAAACATGAGCAATAGGTCAAAGAAGAGATCAGAGATCAGAGATACTGTGGTATTGAAGCAATAAGGTGGTGACAGAAGTGAATGTCAGACTGTAACACCTGATGCCAAACATCTATAAACTTTAAAACTTAATTGAAATGTAAAAGTTAAATACACAGGGAACATATTTTTAAATTTTGGTGTAGATTGATTTTTTAAAAATACAGTATGTACCTACCCTGAATAAAAAATATCCTCGACTTTGACTTGCAAAGGGACTTTGGAATTCTTCCTAGAAGAGAAAATGAGGGCATTACAAATCACATAACACTAAAAATAAGTGCAAATTCTCCTTGAAAGTATATTGAGGGTCAAAATTACTTTCAACTGTCATAACTAAACATAGAGGGAATCAGGGACTTGAATAGAGAATTTTTGTATCATACCTGAAAATTTTCAACAACTAGCAGTATCATCAGAATCTTATATTTAAAAATAATTTCCTTGTCAGTGTGACAGATTTGCCTTTCAGGAATTTTGTCAGTTTTAGGTGAATTCATCAATAAGTAGAAAGAGAAATGACAGACATTTCATAATTGACTATATTTAAAATCTCCTTTCAGCATTTTGTTAGAATGAAATAATTTATTTAAAATACATATTGCATGTGTTAACCCATGAACAGGGGAAAATATAAAACAGAATTGTGTCAAAGCTAAAAAATATTATCCAATATTTCTACAGAAATGTAGTTTGAAATTGAAGGACAAATTTGGTAAATTACATTTATTCAATGAAGCTTTAGGATAGATGTTCCTAATATAATTATATGTGCAGAATGTTAATTTTTAAATATCCAAATATTAACAGGAATGACCCAATTATTCATAATAAGTATATCTTTTTCTTAAACATTTCATTTTAAGCTTCATGAAAAAAATACATTAACATTTTATGGTTTCCATAAAATTGGCTTATAGCTTCAACTTCCTATTTTCATTAACAATTACCTATATCATAAAAGCATTATCAGCATGGCTATCACCATGAAATCTTTCAGCCAAGACCTTTTTCAACTATTTTATAATATGAATACAATCATATTAAATTCTAAGAAATGGCTCTGATGTATGTTTAAATTCTGAAATACTTAGTTTGCAACAAATGTATCTTAAATCCTCAATATTTCTACTTAATTTTCATCTTTACTATAACTCCCCAAATTACTTAATATTGAAAAAAATCTGTATTTAAAAATGTACACACTGTATACATGTATCAAAATATCACATGTACCCCCAAAATATGTATAACTATAATAAACCAATGAAAAATAAAAAATAAAAGTTTAAGTTTTCAAAATTTAAAAAAATGTACACATATAAACCATATGTTTATATACCTATATAAGCAACGTTCTCAGCTGGGCACAGTGGCTCATGCCTGTAATCTGAGCACTTTGGGAGGCTGATGTCAGAGAATCACTTGAGCCCAGGAGTTTGAGACCAGCCTGGGCAACATAGAGAGACCTAGTCTCTACAAATAATAAAAAAATTTAGCCAGGTGTGATGGCATACACCTGTGGACCCAGCTCCTCAGGCTCCTCAGGAGGCTGAGGTGGGAGGATTGCCTGAGCCCAGGAGGTCAAGTCTGCAGTAAGCCATGATCACGTCACTGCACTCCAGCCTAGGTGACAGAGAAAGACCCTGTCTCAAAAAAATAATAATAATACAAATAAAAAAATTCAAATGCATATTATATTAAAGAGAAAAAACTAAAAGGCCAGACAAAATGTAAATTTAAATGTGCCAAATACAAACTTCCAAATGCTAAACCCAAACATACAGATCTTTTTAGAGTTTTATCATTAGCATAGAGCATCATATAAAATAATTTGGGAGGTAGAGATAAAAGATGTGGGAATGATATTGAAAGATGTCTAGCAAACAAAATTTAAGAAAAGTGTTTTAAAATCTAAAACCTCATTTCTTCAAGAATTCAAAATATTTCACTATCAAAGATATATTTTAAAATGAGATGACTTAGGCCCAGCAAAGCGAACACTCTCCTGCAATTGCATTTCTATTCATCTTTTACATTATTTTCTTTCATAGCTTTCTAGGAAATTGACTGGCTGCAAAATACCCTTAAGATCTATCATTTGTCTGAAAATATAGATGGTATCACTGAAGATGGAAAATTCAGTCAATGTACTAAACTGGCCACAATACTGAGTGATTAGCTTTGGTTTTGTAAATCACGGCACTGAAATAATGTAGTCACACTAATGATTGTTGGTGTCTTTTAAGAAACTGTATCTTTAAGTTGAAATTGTTTACTAATTCATAACTCGAGCAAACACTTTTAAGAAGTAAAAGTTAAATCAAAAAAGCATGTATTACTTCTAGAGAGTTTGATGACAACTGCTTTTTTCTTCATTCTGCAAATTCTAAAATTTTAAGGGGCTACTGCCTAAGATCTTACATTTCTCTTTACAGTTGGCATCAGATATTGTCTTCTTTGATGGAAACTTCATTTAAGAATGTGAAGATTCTAGGGAGGAAATACTGGCCATAAAAATAAATTTTGAGGAATATATTCACCTAAACTCTATGTGTTTTTAAAAGTATCTGAAAACTTTGGGTAGCACTTTAAGAAGAATAAATTAAATATGGTGTTGAAATTAAGGAAAACTTTGATGATCTGAACTCAACTTCTTTTTTTTCTTTTTTGAGATGGAGTCTTGCTCTGTCACCCAGGCTGGAGTGCAGTGGCACGATCTCGGCTTACTGAAACCTCTGCCTCCCTGGTTCAAACGATTCTCCTGCCTCAGCCTGCCAAATAGCTGGGATTACAGGTGCCGCCACCATGCCAGCTGATTTTTTTTTGTTTTTGTTTTTGTATTTTTAGTAGAGACGGGATTTCATCATGATGGACAGGCTGGTCTCAAACTCCTGACCTCAGGTGATCCGCCCACCTCGGGCTCCCAAAGTGCTGGGATTTCAGGCGTGAGCCACTGCGCCCAGCCTGAATTCAACTTTTAATAATAAAATACGTAATTTAAAAATAACATAATAAAAGTATCCAAATTAAACTATAAAGGGTACAGCATAGTGAAAAAAAAATTGCCTAGATCAGAATTCAGAAAACTATTTTGTACTTTCTCTTACTAATACGATCTGGGGAAACTCCTTCAACTATTCTGACTTGCTTTCCCTTTTGTAAATGGGAAATAATACTTGTATAAGTACTAACGGAGTTCCTCAAAGGATAAAATGAGATAATATAAGACTGAAAATTATAATGTATTACAGCAAGGGAAGGCATTACTTAAAAATAATCCTAGAGGCCGGGCGCAGTGGCTCACGCCTGTAATACCAGCACTTTGGGAAGCCGAGGCAGGCGGATCACGAGGTCAGGAGATCGAGACCATCCTGGCTTACACGGTGAAACTCCGTCTCTACTAAAAATACAACAAATTAGCCGGGCGTAGCGGCGGGCGCCTGTGATCCCAGCTCCTCGGGAGGCTGAGGCAGGCGAATGGTGTGAACCCGGGGGGCGGAGCTTGCAGTGAGCCGAGATCACGCCACTGCACTCCAGTCTGGGCGACAGAGCAAGAGTCCGTCTCAAAAAAAAAAAAAAAATATATATATATATATATATGTATATATGTGTATATATATACGTATATATGTATATATGTGTATATATATACGTATATATGTATATATGTGTATATATATAATCCTAGAAATTATCAGTGTTACAAGGGTTAGGATTTTTTTTCTTTTTTTTTTTTCGAGACAGAGTCTCGCGCTGTCACTCAGGCTGGAGTGCAGTGGCGAGATTTCAGCTCACTGCAACCTCTGCCTCCCCGGTTCAAGCGATTCTTCTGCCTCAGCCTCCCGAGTAGCTGGGATCACAGGCGCCCACCGCCACGCCCAGCTAATTTTTGTATTTTTAGTAGAGACGGTGTTTCACCATGTTGGCCAGGCTGGTCTCAAACTCCTGACCTCAAATGATCCACCCACCTCAGCCTCCCAAAGTGCTGGGATTACAGGCATGAGCGACAAGAGTTAGGATTCTTTTTAAATGACTGTAAAATCTCCACAGTGTAACACAGTAAGAATGTGTTAATGGGGTTACATTCATCTTACACATAGATGCTGGATTTAGGTCACATTTTTTGTTGAAAAAAACAAAGTATATATATTTAGTTTCCGATATTTACTTCACGACCCAAACTCTTACTTTTTTTTTTTTTTTTGAGACGGAGTCTTGCTCTGTCACCCAAGCTGGAGTGCAGTGCAACCTCTGCCTCCTGGGTTCAAGCGATTCTTGTGCCTCAGTCTCCGAGTACCTGGGATTACAGGCATGCGCCAATATGCCTGGCTAATTTTTTTTTTTTTTTTTTTTTTTTTGTATTTTTAGTAGGGACGGGGTTTCGCCATGTTGCCAAGGCTGGTCTTGAACTCCTGACCTCAAGGGATCCACCCACCTGGGCCTTCCAAAGTTGAAGGGATTACAGGTGTGAGCCACCAGGCCTGGCCCACTCTTAACAACATTTAAATACTTGAGCAGAAAGCTTGCCATCCTAGCTATTTGCCAAGCTGGATACAGAGGGGCAGTACATTGTCCTTTATTTGTTCTCTTATTCCTACCTAAGGACTGGACAAAAGCAGTGTCCTTTCTTAAACCAAGAATAGATTTTCTCACCAAAAGTCATGGCTTTTGGAAAACAGTATAATTCCAGCTTTCCTCAATGTCCACAGCTTCAGCTAGAAGGGACACAATATTGCAGGGGGCCATGGAAGGGCGGCTTGAACAATTCTCTTCTAGTCTACAAACAGATGCTCTTACATTGGCTAACTGGGTATTAGTGTGGGCTTATCCTGAAGAGCAGCATTTGATGAACTACCACAGCTGGGAATTAACAGAAAGGGCTGCCCCACACGGAATGGCAAAGCCAGCATGCAGTTTGTATTACATACGTCCACTCTGAATCTCTTCATTCTTCTCTCATGCAGGTGAGGAACGAGCTGCAGCAACGGATGCACAACTGACGACTGAGAGGACATGAACACACACGTGAATAAGTGCATGGCTTCTCAGCAGTGGCCATCAAGACGGTTTCCTATTTGTTTTTGTTTTTACCCACTAAACTTGTCCCAGACAAAACAGAAAATTAAAGATGTCACCTAAAACAGGTCTTTGGGAGCAATTCGAAGAACTGTGGAGAATAAACCAAGAGGTGGGATAAAATTTGGTAGCTCTACGCTGGGATTTTTATCCTCATATTGAGAAGAAGCACTTTCCTGACGGCTGCAGCTCTCTTGTGAACTGTCAGCAAGTAAAACCCCTCACTGCCTCTTTGAGAGGCAAAAGGCAGTCTGTCTGTTACTAGACTTACTCAAAATAATTCGGACCAGGCGAAACCCACACTGCCAGTAGCAATTTTCCACTATAAACATGTTAATCTGGAAGATTATACTATACACACATCTAATAACCTCCTTTATAAATTATATACTTAAAACGGAAACGTTGGGAGCAAGACAACAATGTGTGAAAATGACAATGTGTTCTCGATAGTGAAAACTGTGACTAAGATACATTTTCCCAAAATGTAAAGGTGTCAAGCCAAAGAAATTGAAAGCACACTTGAGATATGTAGCTACCTATCTGATATGGCTGCATTTTTTAAAAAGGTATGGGTCACATTGAGACTTCTCATTAATCTTAAATTCATTTATCACATGGATTATGTTGAGCCCTGTATAACAGTTATCTGTGAACTAATTCAACTTGTACTTGGTTTAAAGCCAGTATAATCTTTCGCCTCCTCATATGTAATATTCCATGTGATAAATATTTCAAACTGAGTTTAAGATTATAGTTACCTTTCCATAGGTATATATCTGTTTAAAATACACTATGCTCCTCATTCCCTAAATTGGTTCATGGAAGTGAATCACAAGTGTGGAAATAGTATTATAGTCAAATAATTTCTAAGTATCCTAGATTGAAACACCAAGTAGGTTGGTTAACATTTTTAAAACCCATGCATACAAAAAGAAAAACTACCGCTAATACTACATGATTTTAAAGTGAACTGAATTCAAATTATTGGTTTTTGGCTAACCTTAGAGAATACATTCTCACATTAAATGCCTAATTACTAATAAGAAGATCTTACGAATAGAAGAGGATATTTCTAATTATATTTAATTACATTTTTGACAATCATTCTTTAAATAAAAAATGCCCTTGGATCAAATGATTTTTAAATTTGCAACAATTGCCATCTGAAACAATATGTTTTACTTATTTATTTGCTTTTTTTATTTTCTTGGTCTTTAGAATGTGTTTCACAAAAGCAGGGATTTTTCTTTCTTTTCTTTTTTTTTTTTTTGAGACAGAGTATCGCTCTGTCGTCCAGGCTGGAGTGCAGTGGCGTGATCTCAGCTCACTGCAACCTCCACCTCCTGGGTACAAGCAATTCTCTTGCCTCAACCTCCCGAGTAGCTGAGACCACAGGCGTGCCCCACCACACCTGGCTAATTTTTGTATTTTTAGTAGAGACAGGGTTTCACCATGTTGGCCAGGCTGGTCTCGAACTCTGGACTTCAAGTGATCCTCCCGCCTCGGCCTCCCAAACTGCTGGGATTACAGGCATGAGCCACCATACCTGGCCAGGGATTTCTTTTTTAAATTTTGTTTTATTTATTGCTATATTTCTAGTACCTAGGATTGTGCCTGGCACATAGCATATAGCTAATACTTTGTAAATAACTGTTAAATGAATGAATGAACGAATCAATTTAATGTACAGGTAGTAATTGACATATAAAATAAATCAAATGTATAATAAATATTGAATTTCATTCCTTTACTCACATATAAACTTTTAAAGTAAAAAATTTGAATTCTGATCTAGCTCTATTATGCTGCAAAAACAGTTTCATTCTTTTAAACAAATATTAGTGATTACTAAGAAGTAGTTCTACAACTTACCACAACATTTGACTTGCCCAACTTCTGTGTCTTCGAATAATGAAATAAGAACTGTTTAAAAAAAGCAGTAAGTTTTACTATAAAAATTAATGGTTCCCTTATTATTTTATAAGGTATAGATGTATGAAAATCATCTTACCCTTTTAGTATTATCTTTTTCATCTTGTTCCTATTGAAAAGAGATATTGTATATATCATTATATATTGTAAAATTTTACTATCTTATATACAGTAATTTTATAATGTTATAACACATAATTATTTAAAACACATGACTCATGTTACATATAAAATACAAGACTGAAATTAGTTAAGCATCCGTTGCTCTAAAAATAAATGGGAAATTAATTGAATATTGTTTACAAATAAAGATGTGCATAAAGATCTCTTTACTGCAACTTTATTCATAAGTGTAAAAAATTGGAAACATCCTAAATATTCAACAGTGGTAGAATGGGAAATTATTATATCATGACATGATGGAATATTCAGAGGAGAAGACTGAAAGAATCACATGCAAATATTTTTACTGTTTATCACTAAATATGAAGGTTATGAGTTGGTTTTGATGTCTTCCATAAAAAAATTTTTAGCCGGGCGCGGTGGCTTGCGCCTGTAATCCCAGCACTTTGGGAGCCCGAGGTGGGCGGATCACAAGGTCAGGAGACTGAGACGATCCTGGCTAACACGGTGAAACCCTGTCTCTACTAAAAAAAATACAAAAAATTAGCCAGGCCTGGTGGGGCGAGCGCCTGTAGTCCCAGCTATTCAGGAGGCTGAGGCAGAAGAATGGCGTGAACCTGGGAGGCGGAGCTTGCAGTGAGCCGAGATGGCGCCACTGTACTCCAGCCTGGGCGACAGAGCGAGACTCCATCTCAAAAAAAAAAAAAAAAAAAATTTAAATCTTATAATTCCTTTTTTGTTGTTGTTCTTTCTCACTTGCTTTTAATACAAATGGAAGACCATGAATAAACACCGTTGTCATTTCTTTTATCTTAATTAGGAAAAAATCAATTACGCTTTTTGGACAATGTCACCATTAGAAACAATGGATAAATATACAATTTCAGGCAGAGATTATTTAGTTTCATAAAACATTTATGCTTTCAAATTATGAATGTTTTTTTCTTTGAATTATTATATATGAAAGGTATGGAAGTCAGAGTGTACCAATCACCACAGATTAAGTTAGAATTGCCAATGAAAAATATAATTCCAAACCTGAAGCTCTCATCTTTAATAAAGTAGCTTTAAAATAAGTTCATCCATAAGATAGAGATTATAAAATTAGGTATGGTGCTTATGCTACTTTTCAAGTTCCCATCTACTCTCACTCCAGGACAAAAAGTTCTCCCAGAAGAATCAGGTAATTTTAATAAGAAACCAAGACAATGACAATACAGTTTGCTTTTTTTTTTTGCATTCTTAATGCCCTACTCTCCCACAAAGTACAATGTCCTGACCTTTGAACCATAAGATGTGCTTAGCAGCTTAGAAAGATGCATCTGTTCTCCAAAGTAGCATGAGTCAGGGCAAAAAAAAGAGAGCCAACATGACCCCATATTTATTCCTCCGGACTGGAACTCATTTTATATTTGATGGGGTGATATGATTTCCCAATTAGATTACTGTAAGCTCCATTAATATGATGCTCAATTCTCAGACATCAGAGAACCTGAAGTATTTCTTATCCAAAAACAATTTTTCCTCTTCTAACCTGTCTTGGCATGCTTCCTAAATTGGGCATATTTTCTTCCAGGAGAAATTCCAAGAAATTTTTGGATAATTTTTGTCTACAAACAAAACACTATTTCAAGCTTACCTGAGGCTTTGGTAGCATTCCCATAATCATAAAGCAAAGCTCCTCCAGTGCGTTGGATGCCTAACAGAAATGAGAAGATATGTAAGTTATGCTTCTGCTTTAACGACATTTACATAGAAGAGGTAACTACAAAATGTTAGGGGCATGAGGAAATGCTAACTACCTGGAAAAGAATCCTTCTGTAGATTATTAAAACTGTTGGAATCCTTTGATTTCTCTCACAACAAAAACTTGGCTGTAAAAGTAAAGCCTTCCTTCTAACCAGAAAAAAAAAAAAGGTAAGTACGGTACATATGCACTCATGAAGGCTTCCGCTGTGATCTAGATACATAGTTCTCAGCACTTGCTAAAATATTATGAAATTCTATGACTGAGAGTAACAAGGGACAGTGCCAGAAGAGGAATTATTCTTCCCAGCTTGTAGCAAAATCTGTATCTACATGCCAAAGCTGTGAGCCTCGCTGAATATTACTCATTATTGGCTAATTTGAAAATCCTGCAATTGCTCAAAAACAATGGGAAGTGGAGGAGAAGAACCCATGCGTGGTGCACCTAATCTGAGTACCACCCTTCCAGATTGCTGACTGCACAGCCCAGGATCAGGTTTTTCAAAGCATTCGAGCACAGAAGTAGGGCAGGGCTCTGTGGTTAGCAGCCAGCTGGGTGTGGTAAGGAGTAGAAGAAATGGACAAGCAGGGGCGAAACCTGCTTTGCACAGAATTTAGCACAGTAGCACCATAAACAATTGATTACTTAATGTATGCATTTTGGAAGTAATGAAGAACTAGAACAGTAGGGAGGGCAATGTAATTAGTGGTTAAAAGCATGAGCTATGGAGTTGGGAAGCCTGTAACTCTATCGCAGTGCAAATTCCATTTCTGCTCTTTATTAGCTGTGTAACCTTAGGCTGGTTACCTAACCTCTCTTAATTTCCGTTTCTTCAGCTCTAAGTCGGGGATGACATTGCTGCAGAGAGTTCTTAGAAGAATTAAATGTAGGTAAAGTTCTCAGGTTGATTTACAGCTGAAGGGATTCTTAATTTAGAAGTTAAATGAAAAAGAGGTCGGGTGCAGGGGCTCACGCCTGTAATGCCAGCACTTTGGGAGGCTGAGGCAGATGGATCACCTGAGGTCAGGAATTCGAGACCAGCCTGGCCAACACGGTGAAACCCAGTCTCTACTAAAATACAAAAAATTAGCCGGGCATGTTAGCACACGCCTGTAATTCCAGCTACTCGGGAGGCTGAGGCAGGAGAATCACTTGAACCTGGGAGGCAGAGGTTGCAGTGAGCCGAGATCTCGACACTGCACTCCAGCCTGGGTGATGGAGTGAGACTCTGTCTCAGAAAAAAAAAAAAAAGAAAGACATATGAAAAGAATTGTTCAAGGCCTCCAGTAGTCTCACCTCCTCTCCCTTTGAACAACAGTACATGCTTGACATGGTTGGTTGTGGTTAGAGACACAGGTGGAGTTGACAGTTTTTCTGTGCACCCTTCCTAGCATCAGAGGCCTGCTTTGTTCTCTTCATTCCATTTGTTTGCTTGTCATGCAAATTCTTGGGATATTTATTAATAATGCCTCATATGTACATAGTGTTTCAATAAATTATAAAACATTTTCATATACAGTCATGCACCACATAAGGGCATGTCAGTCAATGAGTCAATGATAGAATGCGTATACAATGATGGTCACATAAGATTATTATGAAGCTGAAAAACTCCTATCATCTAGTCACATCTTAATGATCCTGACCTGTGTAGGCCTAGGCTAATATGCATGCTTGTGTCTTCATTTTTAACAACAAAGTTTAAAAAGTCAAAAAAATTCTTTTTAATTTCAAAAGCTTATAGAATGAGGATATAAAGAAAGAAAATATTTCGTACACCTGTTCAGCATGTTTGTGTTATAAGCCAAGTGTCATTACAAAAGAGAAAAAAGTTCTAAAATATTAAAAAGTTGGCCAGGAACGGTGGCTCATGCCTGTAATTCCAGCACTTTGGGAGGCCAAGGTGGAAGAACTGCTTGAGCCCAGGAGTTTGAGACCAGCCTGGACAACATAGCAAGATCCTGTCTCTACAAAAAACACAAAAAATTAGCCAGGTGTGGTGGTGCATGCCTGTAGTCCCAGCTACTCAGGAGGCTGAAATGGGAGGATCATCTGAGCCCAGGAGTTCGAGGCTGCAGTGAGCCATGATTATGCCACTGCACTCCAGCCTGGATGACAGAATGAAACCCTGTCTTGAAAAAGAAAAAATTAAAAAGTTTATAAAAGTAAAAAAGTTACAGTAAGCTAAGGTTAATTTATTATTGAAGAGAGAAAAATTTTTAAATAAATTTAACGCAGCCTAAGTTTACAGTGTTTATGAAATCTGCAGTAGTGTATTGTAATGTCCTAGGCCTTCACATTCACTCATTACTGACTCACTGACTCACCCAAAGCAACTTCCAGTCTTTCAAGCTCCATTCATGGTGAGTGCCCTATACAAGTGTATCATTTTTTATCTTTTACATTATGTATTTACTGTACCTTTTCTACATTTAGATATGTTTAATTACATAGTGTGTTACAACTGCCCACAATATTCAGTACAGTAATGTGCTGTACAGGTTTGTAGCCATATAGCCTAGGTGTGTAGTAGGCTGTACATCTAGATTTGTGTAAGTACGCTCTATGATGTTTATACAATGACAAATCATCCAAGGACATATTTCTCAGAATGTATATCCCCATTTTTAAGTGATGCATGACTATACGTAATTTGTATTCTGTCCTACACAGGACATGAATTGTTATTCTCATATACAGAGGAAGTAAGGTTCTAAGAGACTGTCACTTGCCCAATACCACACATGGCTAGGAGTTGGAGGAGTGTGGCCTGGGACCTTGGCCTTCTGATTTGTAGATATTATTGTGTTGCATTGGTATTGCCTGCTAAGCCTGGAGTTGGGAGTTGGCTGCGAGAAAAACTAGAGTGTGAACACTGATACATCCTTTCTCACTGGTTATATTTAAGGGCTGAATACACAGGTCACCCCACAAAAATCTGAAATAAAATCCCTATAACTTCCCTTAACAGCTTGGTCAAGACAGTGAGACCCCCATCTTTACACAAAATTGTTTTCTTTTAATTAGCTGGGCATGGTGGCATGCTCCTGTAGTCCCAGCTATTCAGGAGGCTGAGGTGGGAGGATTGCTTGAGCCCAGGAGTTCGTAGCTGTGGCGAGCTATAATTGTACCACTGCATTCCAGCCTGGGCGACAGAGTGAGACCCTATCTCTAAAAACAAAAACAAAATGCTCCACTTATGCTCATTTCAAAATAGAAAATACAAAACAATAAGAAGAAAATACCCAGTGATGTCATGTGTCAAAAATGTATTTCACCTCAAAGAAGAATAAACACGTATGGCTGATTTCAAAATAGAAAATACAAAACAATAGAAAGAAAATACCTAGTGATGTCATGTTTCAAAAATGTATTTCAACTCAAAGAAGAATAAATTCACACATGAGTTGTTTCTTCTTAGAAAACAGTTTCTAAGCTGGATGAGCTTCAGTAAGATTGAACTTTGACTGAAAAAGTTTCAAAGCAAGTGCATTTTCCCCAACTCCCCTTTACAAGAAGCCAATTCTCAACTATTCTTCAAGGATTTAAATACATGAAAGTTTTAATATCTTATTTTTAAATGTATAGACCTTAAAGATAACATTTTCTACTTGGTAAAAATGTTTCAAAGCAATGGTCATGTAATCACATAAATAATAAGATAATAGTATATGTGAAAATTAACAATGTTTTAAAATTGTATCAAATTTGGTGGTACATATACACCACCGAATACTACACAGCCATAAAAAAGAATGAGATCATATCCTTTGCAGCAACATGGATGGAGCTGGAGGGTATTACCCTAAGCGAAATAACATAGGAACAGAAAACCAAATACCACACGTTCTCACTTATAAGTAGGAGCTAAACACGGATGCACGTGGGCAAAGAGAAGGAAACAGTAGATACCGAGGCCTACTTGAGAGTAGAGGGTGGAAAGAGGGTTAGGATAAAAAAAATACCTATTTAGTACTATGCTTATTACCTGGGTGATGAAATAATCTATACACCAAACCTCCACAACACACTTTAACTACATAACAAATCTGCACATTTACCCCTGAACCTAAAATTAAAAAAAAAATTATTTAGGTTCTGTAGGCTCTATCAAGGGATTTTGATACTATTCTAATTGTAATAAGAAACCATAGGAAGATTTGGAGCAAAGCAGTGATATGATGACTTAGTATTTTAAATGACTAAGTGATGCTAAAACCTTAAATCTGAGTACAACAATAGTTATACTTATCACTAGTTTTCAGTTGTGTACCGAATTGCCCACTCATGAATTGAGTTTATTATCAATGTTTTGAGAAAATAATGACAATTTTTAGAAATTATAGTAATTAGTTATAATAATATCCCCATTGAATCACGCCCCCCTGTATCCATTGCCTTTATGCAGTCAGTCCCCTAACGCAGACACTGAGTGTGGCCCCCCACATTGACTCTTTGTCTTGCTTTGGCCAGTGAGGCATGAGTAAATATGTCACAAGCAGAGGTTTGAAACCCAATTAGGTGATGGAGCTTGCTCTCCCACAGCTGGTGGAACCCAGCAACCATGTGAAAAAGCTCAGACTACCCTGCTGGACTGTAAGTAACACTTCACCCGGTTGCCTCCACCACCCCTGCTGATAGCCAGCCAGCGACCACCAAGCATATGAAGAAACCCAGCCACAGAAGTAAGCCCATAAAATGATATATTCCCAAAACATTAGGAATACAAAAAACAATTCCTAATTTATTAATATTACTTATTCTTGTGAAGGTACCCAAATACAGTTACTATACATAAGCACCATTCCAAAGAGATGCATCTGTATTAGTTTAGCAGCTATTTCTAGGGAAGGGACTTGTGAATCTATCTCTTTTATATAATTTCTTTCATTTCTTTCCTTTGAGTTTTTTGTAATTCATAATTTCACAAGTTTCAAAACTAAAAAATTATAAGATGATATCCAGTTAAAAAGTCCTCCTGTTTCTGTCCTATCCACCTAGGACTCCCCTTCCACATAACCATTATCATTTATTTTGTATGTATTCTTCCAGAATTTATATTTTTTATTTGAGAGCCAAATCAGTAAAACCATATTTATATGGTTTTTAAACTAATGAATGGGCCAAAAAAAAGGGATGATATAATGATATTTGTTACAAGAGAACAATTTCTGCATAGCATGTTTGCTACTGGGTCTTATTAACTAAGTAATTAAAGAGATATTTATTGAGTCTCTTCTCAAGCATGATTCCAGGTGCTGGCTATAAATGTATCCTATATAAGAACATCACCAATATACTACAGTGAAACCAAAATTAGGTTTTAATGCATAGCTTTAATTTCACATGTAATAAAACAATAATTTTTTAAAGTATTAAATTTATTACAATTTCAATTGCAAATGTAAAACTTTCAAATAGTAAATTTACTAAGCTCCTCTTGAAAGAGGCACAGTACTGAAATCCAGTCAAACATTAGTTTATCTTGATGAAGTTTAAATGAGTGCTTTAAAATTCATCCTCTTAGTACTAAAGAACTAGAAGTGATTTTGAGGATGTTCCTGAATTTTAAATACAATACAAATGCATATATGCTGATTAATATAATCTCATGTTATTAATATATATCTGCCAATGCTCCTTGAATAATTTGAAATATTGTTCAAAAACATCATCTATTGTGATTCTGGTCTTGCTTTACTATCTAATACCTCAAATTTCCAGCAGGTACCTACGGAATGGGTTGAGGCAGGAGAAATACAACACTATACAAGGCTGTTTCTTCACACTGGCCAGGAAAACACAACTGGAGACTGTGTGACCAACAGCCTGGGCACCTCGGCCAAACTATGTAGGGAGTATGCCGCAGGCGCATAGCTGATGACTCTGAAAGCAGCAGCATCCAGTAAAGACAATGTAAGAACACACTTATTCCCCACTTCTTAAGTGTCCATGCAGAGGAGCTAGATTAGCACTCCTGGCCTCTTTCCAAAACCTCCTCTTAATTCTTTTCTATTGAAGAGGAGTGAGCTGTCTGGTAGGTGAACTGAGAGGAAGAAACTGGGCATGTTCAGTTCAGCTCTTTCCTCTATAGAGTCAGTGTTCTTGCTCTGGTCAGCTGTTCTTGCTTGGTCTCTGCCCTGTGGCTGAGAATCTGACTGGTGGAAAGCTCAGAGTCACTGTCTGGGACTTGCAGGCAAGTTTAATTCTGGAGGCAATTATAGCAAACACGCTTGATATCAGATCTGAAGCCACAGTAACAAATGGACTTTTCAGTTATAATGATGATGCTTTGACCTCCAAAAGTCTGACTCATAAATTCATCTCTCAATGGTTTCAAACTCAATTGGGAGATAGGATATTTGTCCCCAAATACAGCAATAGATACAGTATTTTAAATTTTTATTATTATTTAAACTTTTATTTTAGGTTCAGGAGTACATGTGCAAGATTGTCATGTAGGTAAACTTGTGTCACAGGGGTCTGTTATACAGATTATTTCATCACCCAGGTACTAAATCTAGTACCCAATAGTTACTGATCCTCTCCCTCCTCCCACCTCCACCCTCTAGCAGGCCCTGTGTCTGTTGTTCCCCTCTTTGTGTCCATGTGTTCTCGTCACTTAACTCCCACTTATAAGTGAGAACATGCAATATTTGGTTTTCTGTTCCTGTGTTAGTTTGCTTAAATTTTTATTATTTGGTGGAGACGGGGTCTTGCTATGTTGCCCAGGCTAGTCTTGAACTCCCAGCCTCAAGTGATCCTCCCACCTGGGCCTCTCAAAGCACTGGGATTACAGGCATGAGCCACTGCACCCTGACAGATACAGTATTTCTAACTTAACACATAATTTGATTTTGAAATTAACATTTTAATTTGACGTTACAAAATACGTGTATATTGTCTGCAAATCTATTTTATTTAGAGATGAAAGCCCTAGCACATTACAACACAAGCCCACAGTATTGATTATTATCTACAGCAAATGTAATAATATCTCACACGTTGACATGTTTTCACGAACACATAAAGGTTCCAAAGGCAGCAATGGAGAGTTTAAGCACTACACAAACACCTACATTATTACAAAATATCTTCAATTGGAATTACCTGAGGCTGAGAATCAATGGACAGAAAAGACGAACAAGTATCATCTATCTGTAGAAAACAAAAATGTCAGTTACATCCTGGGAATGGACAGAAAATAACAGAAAGTAGATTTTACAAAGTCACATTACCTATGGAACATTAACCACAGTTCCATGATAGTTTAGGACTCTGGATTTGGAAGACAGGAGCCTCAAAAACTTTATAAGAGAGTCTTGGAAATGAGACTTCCCTCAAGATGTCCCCCTGACCGCAGGGTATACGTCTCTAGTGACTGCTGACAGGGACCATCCTAGGGCATGAAGATGCCTCACATTAATATATTGAGGAAAAGACTTTTCACGTATTATTTAGCCTGAGAAATGTGAGAGCTGGCTAAAGAATGACCTTGAAATTAAGGCAGACCTTTGGTTATCATATGGTTCTTTATGACACATGAACCTAATGTCACCTAAATTAACATAATAACAGCATGATAAACAGCATACCAGAAAAATTGTTCATACAACATAGGCAATCCACTAGATCTCTCCCATGAAACCAGTATTGGAAGAGAGTTCTATTTTATAATGAGGGTTTATTGAGCTACAGTTGGCAACTAACTATTTTCAGTCCTTATCCTAAAAAGAAAACTTGAGACTTTAAACGGTAGAATGAGAGACTTATATTAATCATAAAAAACCTATGCTGAGAAGTTAAGCACTAAGCTGGATGTCTGGCGTTGTTTATGACATTTATTTCTTTGATGGCCTTTTAAAATGGAACTGGAAAAAAATGGTACTGATTCTTGTCTCTCTGGAATGATAGAGGTTGAGTCCTATTCATGGTATTCCATCTCAGAGGCCAGTTTCAGTACCAGAATTCTTTTTCTCATACCAGGGGGCGGATTATTATACTCTACTGTCATAAATTCTCAAGCTCCTCATTGCTTCCAAGTTGAACATGTCCTAAAATATATTATTTCCTAACTTAGAGAATAACAAAGGTATAAGATATTACAGAAAAAGCATAAGCTTATGTCTCCTTCCTTTTTATCCTCACAGAACTTTTATCCTCCTTTTATCCTCATCTTCCCTTTATGTCCCAAATATTTGGGGAATTGTTTGTTCCACTCATCCTTTGCACCCACCCACCTGGTCCCTCTTCCTTGCCATACAAACCTGAAATCATGGACACACACACACACACACAAACACACACACACTGAGGGTAGGGGCCGTGTTATCGCTAAATTGCCCAGAATAAGTGTTCAACAAAAATCCTTTAATTAAGTTGTATTAAACTTGTGGGGGGGAAAAAAGTGAATTGAGAGGGGAAAGTCAAAAAGATAACCATTTTAAAGCTCTGACTTTTGAGCAATGCTTACTACATCACCTCCAAATGTCACCTTCTGTGGTTCAGTAGGGTAGGAGAAAGTAGTTCCTACTCTTTTATGGTGTGCAGGTATCTGAAGACATTACCCACTCCAGGGGAACACTGTCCACCCACAGACCAGGCTGCCCATCTATGTGAGGTGGTCCATGTTCAAGAACAGAGAACCCTTGAATCTCAGGACATCAACGTCATTTGAATAAAAACATCAGACTTTTAAAAACCCAGTTAGTCAAATTAGGAGATAACTGCAAAGTTTTTCAGTCTTTGTTCTCATTTCTTTGAAGGACACAGGAACTCTGCTTGCCCACTTTCCATTTGAGTAAGCATTTGTTCACTGTACTCAGCATATGGCTCTAATGGTTTTGAATGCCACTGACTGCTTTTGAGAACTCTGTACAGACCATTGGTAAATCTCATTGAAAATGTTTAGGTCTCTACATATGGTTAGAAAGAATGTGTTTCTAGTGCCTGGGTAGCTCTGTAATTATTATTATTTATTTATTTTAATTTTACTTTAAGTTCTGGGAAACATGTGCAGAACGTGCAGGTTTGTTACATAGGTATACACATGCCATGGTGGTTTGTTGCACCCATCAACTCGTCATCTAGGTTTTAAGCCCCGCATGCATTAGGTATTTGTCTTAATGCTCTCCCTCCCCTTGCCCCCCAACACCCCCGACAGGCTCCGGTGTGTGATGTTCCCCTCCCTGTGTCCACTTGTTCTCATTGTTCAACTCCCACTTACGAGTGAGAAATTGTGTTTGGTTTTCTGTTCCTGTGTTGGTTTGCTGTAGCTCTGTAATTTTTAAATCTTCAAGCAGAAAAATTAACTATATGTTCCTAGCATCTTAACTTCCTTTCTTTCTTTTCTTTCTTTCTTGTCTTTCTTTCTTCTCCTTCTTTTCTCTCTCCTCTTTCTTCTTTCTTTTCTTCTCTCTTTCTTTCTCATCTTTCTTCTCTCTCTTCCTTTCTTCTCTCTTTCTTCTCTCTCTTCTTTCTTTTTCTTTCTTCTCTCTTTCTTCTTTCTTTCTTTTTCTTCTCTTTCTTTCTTCTCTCTCTTTCTTCTCTTTCTTTCCCTTTCTTTCTTCTCTTCCTTTTCTTCTCTTTCTTCTCTCTTTCTTCTTTCTTTTCTCTCTCTTTCTTTCTTCTCTCTCTCTTTCTTTCTTTCTCTCTTTCTTTTTTTTTTTTTGTCTGGCTGTCACCCAGATTGCAGTGCAGTGGTACAATAAGGGCTCACTGCAGCCTTGACTTCTTGGGCTCAAGTGATCCTCCAACCTCAACCTCCTGAGTAGCTGGGACCACAGGCAAGCACCACCATGCCTGGCTTATTTTTTATTATTTATAGAGATGAGGTCTCACTATGTTACCCAGGCTGGTCTTGAACTTCTGAGCTCAAGTGATCCTCCTGCTGCCTCGGCCTGTCAAAGAACTGATATTAGGGTTCAGGGAGGAGCCAAGATGGCCGAATAGGAACAGCTCCGGTCTACAGCTCCCAGCGTGAGCGACGCAGAAGACGGGTGATTTCTGCATTTCCATCTGAGGTACCGGGTTCATCTCACTAGGGAGTGCCAGACAGTGGGCGCAGGCCAGTGGGTGCGCGCACCTTGCGCGAGCCGAAGCAGGGCGAGGCATTGCCTCACCTGGGAAGCGCAAGGGGTCAGGGAGTTCCCTTTCCGAGTCAAAGAAAGGGGTGACGGACGCACCTGGAAAATCGGGTCACTCCCACCCGAATATTGCGCTTTTCAGACCGGCTTAAGAAACGGCGCACCACGAGACTATATCCCACACCTGGCTCAGAGGGTCCTACGCCCACGGAATCTCGCTGATTGCCAGCACAGCAGTCTGAGATCAAACTGCAAGGCGGCAGCGAGGCTGGGGGAGGGGCGCCCGCCATTGCCCAGGCTTGCTTAGGTAAACAAAGCAGCCGGGAAGCTCGAACTGGGTGGAGCCCACCACAGCTCAAGGAGGCCTGCCTGCCTCTGTAGGCTCCACCTCTGGGGGCAGGGCACAGACAAACAAAAAGACAGCAGTAACCTCTGCAGACTTAAGTGTCCCTGTCTGACAGCTTTGAATAGAGCAGTGGTTCTCCCAGCACGCAGCTGGAGATCTGAGAACTGGCAGACTGCCTCCTCAAGTGGGTCCCTGACCCCTGACCCCCGAGCAGCCTAACTGGGAGGCACCCCCCAGCAGGGGCACACTGACACCTCACAAGGCAGGGTATTCCAACAGACCTGCAGCTGAGGGCCCTGTCTGTTAGAAGGAAAACTAACAACCAGAAAGGACATCCACACCGAAAACCCATCTGTATATCACCATCATCAAAGACCAAAAGTAGATAAAACCACAAAGATGGGGAAAAAACAGAACAGAAAAACTGGAAACTCTAAAACGCAGAGCGCCTCTCCTCCTCCAAAGGAACGCAGTTCCTCACCAGCAACGGAACAAAGCTGGATGGAGAATGATTTTGACGAGCTGAGAGAAGAAGGCTTCAGACGATCAAATTACTCTGAGCTACGGGAGGACATTCAAACCAAAGGCAAAGAAGTTGAAAACTTTGAAAAAAATTTAGAAGAATGTATAACTAGAATAACCAATACAGAGAAGTGCTTAAAGGAGCTGATGGAGCTGAAAACCAAGGCTCGAGAACTACGTGAAGAATGCAGAAGCCTCAGGAGCCGATGCGATCAACTGGAAGAAAGGGTATCAGCAATGGAAGATGAAATGAATGAAATGAAGCGAGAAGGGAAGTTTAGAGAAAAAAGAATAAAAAGAAATGAGCAAAGCCTCCAAGAAATATGGGACTATGTGAAAAGACCAAATCTACGTCTGATTGGTGTACCTGAAAGTGATGTGGAGAATGGAACCAAGTTGGAAAACACTCTGCAGGATATTATCCAGGAGAACTTCCCCAATCTAGCAAGGCAGGCCAACGTTCAGATTCAGGAAATACAGAGAACGCCACAAAGATACTCCTCGAGAAGAGCAACACCAAGACACATAATTGTCAGATTCACCAAAGTTGAAATGAAGGAAAAAATGTTAAGGGCAGCCAGAGAGAAAGGTCGGGTTACCCTCAAAGGGAAGCCCATCAGACTAACAGCGTATCTCTCGGCAGAAACCCTACAAGCCAGAAGAGAGTGGGGGCCAATATTCAACATTCTTAAAGAAAAGAATTTTCAACCCAGAATTTCATATCCAGCCAAACTAAGCTTCATAAGTGAAGGAGAAATAAAATACTTTATAGACAAGCAAATGCTGAGAGATTTTGTCACCACCAGGCCTGCCCTAAAAGAGCTCCTGAAGGAAGCGCTAAACATGGAAAGGAACAACCAGTACCAGCCGCTGCAAAATCATGCCAAAATGTAAAGACCATCGAGACTAGGAAGAAACTGCATCAACTAATGAGCAAAATCACCAGCTAACATCATAATGACAGGATCAAATTCACACATAACAATATTAACTTTAAATATAAATGGACTAAATTCTCCAATTAAAAGACACAGACTGGCAAGTTGGATAAAGAGTCAAGACCCATCAGTGTGCTGTATTCAGGAAACCCATCTCACGTGCAGAGACACACATAGGCTCAAAATAAAAGGATGGAGGAAGATCTACCAAGCAAATGGAAAACAAAAAAAGGCAGGGGTTGCAATCCTAGTCTCTGATAAAACAGACTTTAAACCAACAAAGATCAAAAGAGACAAAGAAGGCCATTACATAATGGTAAAGGGATCAATTCAACAAGAGGAGCTAACTATCCTAAATATTTATGCACCCAATACAGGAGCACCCAGATTCATAAAGCAAGTCCTGAATGACCTACAAAGAGACTTAGACTCCCACACATTAATAATGGGAGACTTTAACACCCCACTGTCAACATTAGACAGATCAACGAGACAGAAAGTCAACAAGGATACCCAGGAATTGAACTCAGCTCTGCACCAAGCGGACCTAATAGACATCTACAGAACTCTCCACCCCAAATCAACAGAATATACATTTTTTTCAGCACCACACCACACCTATTCCAAAATTGACCACATACTTGGAAGTAAAGCTCTCCTCAGCAAATGTAAAAGAACAGAAATTATAACAAACTATCTCTCAGACCACAGTGCAATCAAACTAGAACTCAGGATTAAGAATCTCACTCAAAGCCGCTCAACTACATGGAAACTGAACAACCTGCTCCTGAATGACTACTGGGTACATAACGAAATGAAGGCAGAAATAAAGATGTTCTTTGAAACCAACGAGAACAAAGACACAACATACCAGAATCTCTGGGACACATTCAAAGCAGTGTGTAGAGGGAAATTTATAGCACTAAATGCCTACAAGAGAAAGCAGGAAAGATCCAAAATTCACACCCTAACATCACAATTAAAAGAACTAGAAAAGCAAGAGCAAACACATTCAAAAGCTAGCAGAAGGCAAGAAATAACTAAAATCAGAGCAGAACTGAAGGAAATAGAGACACAAAAAACCCTTCAAAAAATCAATGAATCCAGGAGCTGGTTTTTTGAAAGGATCAACAAAATTGATAGACCGCTAGCAAGACTAATAAAGAAAAAAAGAGAGAAGAATCAAATAGACACAATAAAAAATGATAAAGGGGATATCACCACCGATCCCACAGAAATACAAACTACCATCAGAGAATACTACAAACACCTCTATGCAAATAAACTAGAAAATCTAGAAGAAATGGATACATTCCTCGACACATACACTCTCCCAAGACTAAACCAGGAAGAAGTTGAATCTCTGAATAGACCAATAACAGGATCTGAAATTGTGGCAATAATCAATAGTTTACCAACCAAAAAGAGTCCAGGACCAGATGGATTCACAGCCAAATTCTACCAGAGGTACAAGGAGGAACTGGTACCATTCCTTCTGAAACTATTCCAATCAATAGAAAAAGAGGGAATCCTCCCTAACTCATTTTATGAGGCCAGCATCATTCTGATACCAAAGCCGGGCAGAGACACAACCAAAAAAGAGAATTTTAGACCAATATCCTTGATGAACATTGATGCAAAAATCCTCAATAAAATACTGGCAAACCGAATCCAGCAGCACATCAAAAAGCTTATCCACAATGATCAAGTGGGCTTCATCCCTGGGATGCAAGGCTGGTTCAATATACGCAAATCAATAAATGTAATCCAGCATATAAACAGAGCCAAAGACAAAAACCACATGATTATCTCAATAGATGCAGAAAAGGCCTTTGACAAAATTCAACAACCCTTCATGCTAAAAACTCTCAATAAATTAGGTATTGATGGGACGTATCTCAAAATAATAAGAGCTATCTATGACAAACCCACAGCCAATATCATACTGAATGGGCAAAAACTGGAAGCATTCCCTTTGAAAACTGGCACAAGACAGGGATGCCCTCTCTCACCGCTCCTATTCAACATAGTGTTGGAAGTTCTGGCCAGGGCAATCAGGCAGGAGAAGGAAATAAAGGGTATTCAATTAGGAAAAGAGGAAGTCAAATTGTCCCTGTTTGCAGACGACATGATTGTTTATCTAGAAAACCCCATCGTCTCAGCCCAAAATCTCCTTAAGCTGATAAGCAACTTCAGCAAAGTCTCAGGATACAAAATCAATGTACAAAAATCACAAGCATTCTTATACACCAACAACAGACAAACAGAGAGCCAAATCATGAGTGAACTCCCATTCACAATTGCTTCAAAGAGAATAAAATACCTAGGAATCCAACTTACAAGGGATGTGAAGGACCTCTTCAAGGAGAACTACAAACCACTGCTCAAGGAAATAAAAGAGGATACAAACAAATGGAAGAACATTCCATGCTCATGGGTAGGAAGAATCAATATCGTGAAAATGGCCATACTGCCCAAGGTAATTTACAGATTCAATGCCATCCCCATCAAGCTACCAATGACTTTCTTCACAGAATTGGAAAAAACTACTTTAAAGTTCATATGGAACCAAAAAAGAGCCCGCATCGCCAAGTCAATCCTAAGCCAAAAGAACAAAGCTGGAGGCATCACACTACCTGACTTCAAACTATACTACAAGGCTACAGTAACCAAAACAGCATGGTACTGGTACCAAAACAGAGATATAGATCAATGGAACAGAACAGAGCCCTCAGAAATAACGCCGCATATCTACAACTATCTGATCTTTGACAAACCTGAGAAAAACAAGCAATGGGGAAAGGATTCCCTATTTAATAAACGGTGCTGGGAAAACTGGCTAGCCATATGTAGAAAGCTGAAACTGGATCCCTTCCTTACACCTTATACAAAAATCAATTCAAGATGGATTAAAGAGTTAAATGTTAGACCTAAAACCATAAAAACCCTAGAAGAAAACCTAGGCATTACCATTCAGGACATAGGCATGGGCAAGAACTTCATGACTAAACACCAAAAGCAATGGCAACAAAAGCCAAAATTGACAAATGGGATCTAATTAAACTAAAGAGCTTCTGCACAGCAAAAGAAACTACCATCAGAGTGAACAGGCAACCTACAACATGGGAGAAAATTTCGCAACCTACTCATCTGACAAAGGGCTAATATCCAGAATCTACAATGAACTCAAACAAATTTACAAGAAAAAAACAAACAACCCCATCAAAAAGTGGGTGAAGGACATGAACAGACACTTCTCAAAAGAAGACATTTATGCAGCCAAAAAACACATGAAAAAATGCTCATCATCACTGGCCATCAGAGAAATGCAAATCAAAACCACTATGAGATATCATCTCACACCAGTTAGAATGGCAATCATTAAAAAGTCAGGAAACAACAGGTGCTGGAGAGGATGTGGAGAAATAGGAACACTTTTACACTGTTGGTGGGACTGTAAACTAGTTCAACCATTGTGGAAGTCAGTGTGGCGATTCCTCAGGGATCTAGAACTAGAAATACCATTTGACCCAGCCATCCCATTACTGGGTATATACCCAAATGACTATAAATCATGCTGCTATAAAGACACATGCACACGTATGTTTATTGCGGCATTATTCACAATAGCAAAGACTTGGAACCAACCCAAATGTCCAACAATGATAGACTGGATTAAGAAAATGTGGCACATATACACCATGGAATACTATGCAGCCATAAAAAATGATGAGTTCATGTCCTTTGTAGGGACATGGATGAAATTGGAAACCATCATTCTCAGTAAACTATCGCAAGAACAAAAAACCAAACACTGCATATTCTCACTCATAGGTGGGTATTGAACAATGAGATCACATGGACACAGGAAGGGGAATATCACACTCTGGGGACTGTGGTGGGGTGGGGGGAGGGGGGAGGGATAGCATTGGGAGATATACCTAATGCTAGATGACGCGTTAGTGGGTGCAGCGCACCAGCATGGCACATGTATACATATGTAACTAACCTGCACAAAGTGCACATGTACCCTAAAACTTAAAGTATAATTAAAAAAAAAAAAAAAAAAAAAAGAACTGATATTAGGCCTGAGTCACCTTGCCCAGCTGCATCTTAACTTCTTTAAATATATTTTTTTCTGTAAAAGAATGTATACTTTTTTTTTGCAAGTCTGAGTTTTTTCCAGCATTATCATCTAAAGTATTTTTCCAATTATTTTCCATGGAAATATAGAGTATTTCAAGCTAAAATAAATGTGTCTGTACTATACATTAATATCTGTTATCTAAGTCACTCTTCATCTTATTTATATTTCTAGCATGTACCTAGATATTCTATCAAGGCAGAGGCCCTTGTAATACACTTGATGAATTTCTATACTATTGAACACTGTTTTATACTTGGCACTTAGCATCTATCTTATCTTTTCCCTTATGTATTTTGTTGCGGGTGACCTAGGTACAAAGGGTACTCTTCTCAGTTCATAGCTCACTATCATCATTAGCCTTGCTTTACTTATTTATTCTTTTTATATTTCCATTTCCTACCCCCATTCCACCCTCCTATAGGCAACTCTTCCAGTGTATTTGAGGCATATCCTCCATTTGTATATGTTTTTGTAAAACCCATATTGTTGTTTTGTGTGCATGTATATTTCCTCACTTTTTTCCCACTTAACACTGTCCATTGAGACCTATCCATGTTGCTGGGTGTCTATCTAGTGTGTTGCTTCAAGTGCTGTAGTAGATTCTATGATGTGTGCCCACCACATGTTGCCTATCCACTCCCCAGTGACAGACAGCTGGGTTTCCTCCATTTCCTTCCACTACAAGCAAAGCTATAATCAACCTCCTTGAATCTGTCCTCCACTTATGGATCTGTGGGAGAATATCTTTGGGCTATCTACCCAGGAGAGGGAATGCTGGATCGTGGGGATATCTAGGTTGTTTTCCAGATGGCTCTACCAGTTGGCAGTCTGCCCAGCAATGCATGAGAATTTGTAGACCCCACATCCTTGTTAACATTTGCGATTAACTAGATTTCAATTGTTTTGCTAGTCTAATAGGTAGAAAGTGACACTTTGCTCTTGTCCCAATTTTCATTTCATTGTTACTAATGAACATCTTTATATGTTTTAGATGTTTGTTAACCTTTTGAACTTCCTCTTCTGTAAACTGTTCTTATCCTTTGACTATTTTTATTTTGAAGTCTTATCTTTATCCAATTGATTTGGTGTAGTTTCTTGTATATTCCAGAAAAGCAACCCCTTACCAGTTTTAGACATTGTCAATATCTTCTTTCAAAGGCTGGGCAGGGTGGCTCACACCTGTAATTCTAGCACTTTGGGAAGCCAAGGTGGGCGGATCACTTGAGGTCAAGAGTTTGAGACCAGCCTGGCCAACATGGCAAGACCCTGTCTCCACTTAAAATACAAAAAAATTAGCCGGCCGTGGTGGCACGTGCCTGTAGTCCCAGCTACTCAGGAGGCTGAGACACGAGAATCACTTGAACCCGAGGAGGGGGAGGTTGCAGTGAGCTGAGGTCATGCCACTGTACTCCAGCCTGGGCAACAGAGCGAGACCCTGTCTCAAAAACAAAAACAAAACAAACAAACAAAAAACCAACAAAGGCCCTTACCTTTTTCCATGTAGTCCTTTGCTGAAAGAAGTTTTATTTTTAATGTAATTTAATTCATGAATGTTTTTGGCCTTACGATTTATATTTGAAGTTTCTTACGATTTATATTTGAAGTTTCATCAAGAAGTTTTTCCCTGCTCCTAACAAAGATATTGCCCTATATGATTTTCTACTAACTCTATAATTTACCTTTTATATTTCTTTCTTTAGGGGTGAGGTGGCAAAGGCATTCATCCACCAACTCCCTTTGGTCCTCAACTGGGGTCTGCTGTCAGCGGTGCAGTCATTTATTCTCAGGCACTTCTGGCTGGCGCAAGCACAGGCAGCACAGGAAGAGCCATGGATGCTTGCAGTCAGAAACTATAAATTTCCAGTACCCTGGGATGGCAAATGCCAAAGGGATATGACAGGTACTGGTGGTGACTGCTATTCTCTCCAAGCTCTAGTCTCTGTTCCATTGGTTCATTCTGTCTGTTCTTGTGAAATTACCATGCCTTTTTTTTTTTATTACTGCAGTTTTTATACTATGTCTCAGTATCTGATAAGGCAAGTTCCCACGAGTAGCTGTTCATATTTAAAATGTTTTCAGCTAATTGTAGACCTTTATTTTTCCAAATCAATTTTAGGTTAAATTTTAAAGTTTTTTTTTTTAAAGTAAATGAAATTGTTTGGGATTGCATTGATTTTATGGGATTTATATTAATTAATGAGGAAAATTGATATTTTTATTATATTAAATTAATTGTTTCATCCAAGAGAGAATGTCGCTCCAAATATATATATCATCATCTATTTTCTTCATTAGAAATTAGTTTTCTACTCCATAAATTTAGAGTGTATTTTTGGTTAATTTCTAAATACTTACAGATTTTGTCACCATTGTGTGTACTACAATATTTTAAACTGTACTTTTACGTTACTTTTGCCTAGTGAAAAGAAATGTATATTGGTATTATATCCAAAATCCAAAAATCTCCTGAACTCTCAAACGAGTTCTAATAGTTCAAGAGCAAGAAGTTTGTTAATGCAATTCATTGCAGTTATAGACTAGAAGAGAAAAAGCATATTGCTTATCTCGATAGTGACACAAATAAAGTATTTAAGTTCACATTTTATTTAGGATTAACAAAACTCTTAGCAAGACAGGAAAATAAGAGAACTTTCTTAACTGGGTAAAGGTTATGTATCAAACTTCTAGAGCAAGTTTATACTTTATGGAAAAGCTTTAGATACATTTACTGTGTAAGATAGTAAGCAGGCCTTGGCCAGTGATACAAGGAAAGAAGAAATTGTTCCTTCAGTGCTTATCATATTACCACTGGACCTTTTTTGGCACAGCATATTTATCTAGGAGTTTATCCATTTCATCTAATTTCAAAATTATTACCAGATAGCCATCCATACTTTCTTTTTAACAGCTTTACTGAGATATAATCCACAAGCCATACAATTCACCCATTTAAAGTGTACAACTCAATGGTTTTTAGTGTATTTACAGAGTTGAGCAACCATCCATCACGCAGTCAATTATCCATAAAATTATTTTAAAACTTTTTTTATATCTCTATTTTTCTTGGGTTCTACCCTTTTTTGGTCTATATCTTGTTTTTTTGACTTCCCCCTGCCTTTTGAAATCAGTACTACCAGCGCTTAACTTACTGAAAGAACAAATATATGGTTTTGTTAAAACTGTTGCTCCGCTCTCCTTTTAAAATTTATTTCTGCCATTATTATTATTATTATTATTATTATTTATTTTTTGAGATGGAGTCTCACTCTGTCACCCAGGCTGGAGTGCAGTGGTGCCATCTCGGCTCACTGCAACCTCCGCTTCCCAGGCTCAAGTGATTCTCTTGCCTCAGCCTCCTGAGTAGCTGGGATTACAGGCACCATGCCCGGATAATTTTTGTGTTATTAGTAGACAAAGTTTTACTATGTTGGCCGGGCTGGTCTCGAGCTCCTGATCTTGTGATCCACCCACCTCAGCCTCACAAAGTGCTGGGATTACAGGTGTGAGCCACCACACCCGGCCTTATTTTTATTATTTACTTCATTCCTGTTTTTTTTTAATTTTCCCTGTTCTTTTTCACCTCATTTTTAGCAGAATGCTTAGCTTATTAATGTTTTTAAATTTTCTTCTCCCCAATAAATATATATGAAGCTAAAATTTCTCTCTAGCTACTGTTTTAGCTATAGCTTATACATTTTGAGTTATAATGTTTTTATTTTTTTCCCTGAAGGTCTATCAGTTGTTAAACAAATTTTGTAATTTTCTTTTTAGCCCAGGGTTATTTACCAAAATACTATATATATCCAAACAGAAGAGATATTTGTTATACTTTGTTATTAATTTCTAATTTTATTGCATTATAACTGGAAAACATTTGGAAGGCATATTTTTTCTAACTTATGGACTCTTCCTTTCTGTCTAACACATTCTGTTTTTCAGATGCTCCAATTATACACAACGAGAATGTGTATACTATTTAGTGCAGGTTTTAAACAATAGTTCTGTCTTTTTTTTTTCCTGAAATGGGGTTTCACTATGTTGTCCAGACTGGTCTTAAATTCCTGGGCTGAAGTGGTCGGGTGCGGTGGCTCCTGCCTGTAATCCCAGCACTTTGGGAGGCTGAGGTGGGTGGATCATGAGGTCAAGAGATGGAGACCATCCTGGCCAACATGGTGAAACCCCGTCTCTACTAAAAATACAAAAATTAGCTGGGCATGATGGTGTGCGCCTGTACTCCCAGCTACTTGGGAGGCTGAGGTGGGAGAATCGCTTGAACCCGGGAGGCGGAGGTTGCAGTGAGCGGAGATAGAGCCACTGCACTCCAGCATGGTGACAGCAAGACCATGTCTCAAAAAAAAAAAAAAAAAAAAAAAAATTCCTGGGCGGAAGTAATCCTCCCATTTCAGCCTCCCAAGTAGTGAAAAATATTTCCAGTAGCTCTAATTTATTAATTGTATGATTATGTCGTTGTTATAGCTACTTATGAGCTATCTGCTTTAACTGTCAGTTTTTGAGACAGGTGTATTAAACTCTCCAACTATAACTGTTGATTTACCTATTTTTTTCCCTGAAGGTCTATCAGTTGTTAAATAAATTTTAAGGTTACATTATTAGTTTATATTAATGATGTCTATATTTTCTTGTTCTGGTTTTCTTTTATTAACATATAAGATCCTTATTTGTCTGTTATGATGGTTCATTTGAATTCTATTTGATGAGATATATTCCCTTTCAGTTTATATTTGCTTGCTATATCATTTTCCATCCTTTTATACTTAGTCTTTTTTTTGTTTTCTGTTTTAAGTGTGATACTGATAGACAATATATTTCTGGATCTATTAAAAAAATCCAATCTTAGAATCTCTGTCTTTTAAGTACATACACATTTACTGTAACTACTCTGTTCTTGTATTACTCTATTATATCCTATTATTAGGACTTATTTCTGCTCTCTTATTTACAAAATTTTTGTTTCTTCTCTCCTTCTCTTTTATTTAATAAAAATAGTAATTCTGGGTTTTATTATTAGAGTGTTGGTAAAATCATAGTTCTCCCAAAGCTCAATTATACATTTTAACATGATAATTTCAAAGAAGGGTAAAGTTTCTACAAATTTGTGTGATGATAGTTCCTTACCTCATTCCACAACTGTAGCTGTTGTTCAGGCTGTAATCCTTGAGGTAATATTGGAGCACCTAAAAATAAAGTTGTAGCCACAGATTAATTTTATAGCATTTCTTCTAAAATTAAATATCCATATATAATTCTTTCTCGCACACTTTCTTCATTTTTCACTGTACATCATCACCCACCTATTTCAATATTTCAGCATTTGACTTAGTACAAGGAGACATAATTACTAAATAAACCTTAATAACATTACGAAGATATTACTCTCAAGAACGAATTACTTATGTCTACAGACAAATAGAAACACATCTCATGCTCATGAATTGGAAGAATGAATATTATGAAAATGACCATACTGCCCAAAGCAATCTACAGATTCAATGCAATTCCCATCAAAACACCAACATCATTTTTTACAGAACTAGAAAAAACAATCCTAAAATTCACATAAAACCAAAAAGAGCCCACACAGCCAAAGCAATACTAAGCAAAAAGAATACTTCTGGAGGCATCACATTACTGGACTTCAAATTATACTATAAGCCTATAGTTACCAAAACAGTATGGTACTGGTATAAAAATAGGCATTTAGACTAACGGAAAAGAATAGAGAACAAAGAAAGAAAGCCAAATACTTAAAACCAACTATTCTTCAACAAGTATACAAAAACATAAATTGGAGAAAGGACACCCTATTCAATAAATGGTGCTAGGAAAACTGACAAGCCACATACAGAAGAATGAAAGTGGATCCTTATCTCTCACCTTAAAAATCAACTCAAGACCTATCAAAGACTTAAATATAAGACTTGAGACCATAACAATTCTAGAAGGTCCATTGGAAAAACTCTTTTGGACATTGGATTAGGCAAAGAATTCATGACTAAAACCCCAAAAGCAAATGCAACAAAAACAAAAATAAATAAATGGGACCTAATTAAACTAAAAGGCTTTTGCACAGCAAAAGAAATAATTAGCAGAGTAAACAGACAACCCACAGAGTAGGAGAAAATATTTGCAAACTATGCATCCAACAAAGGACTAGTATCCAGAATCTATGAGGAACTCAAATCAGTGAGAAAAAACAATCCCATCAAAAAGTTGGCAAAGGACATGAATAGACATTTCTCAAAAGAAGATACACAAACAGCCAACAAACATATGAAAAAAATGCTCAGCATCACTAATCATCAGGGAAATGCAAATTAAAACCACAAGATAACACCTTACTCCTGCAAGAACAGCCATAATTAAAAAGTCAAAAAACAATAGATGTTGGCATGGATGTGTAAAAAGGGAAAACTTTTACACTACTGGTGGGAATGTAAACTAGTACAACCACTATGGAAAACAGTATGGAAATTCCTTAAAGAACCAAAAGTAGATCTACAGTTTGATCCAGCAATCCCATTACTGGGTATCCATCCAAAGGAAAAGAAGTCATTATATGAAAAAGACACATGCACACACATGTTTATAGCAGCACAATTTGCAACTGCAAAGATATGGAAACAACCTAAGTGCCTATTGACCAACAAGTGGATAAAGAAAATGTGGTCAATATATACACCATGGACTATCTCTCAGCCATAAAAAGAAACAAAGTAATGTCTTTTGCAGCAACTTGGATGGAGCCAGAGGCCATTATTTGAAGTGAAGGAATGGGAAACTAAATGCCATATGTTACCACTTATAAGTGGGAGCTAAGCTATGAGGACACAAAACATAGAGTAATGTAATGGACTTTGGGGACTCGGAGGTGGAGGCTAGGAGGGGGTTGGGGGATAAAAGACTACATATTGGGTACAGTGTACACCACTCGGATGATGGGTGCCCTAAAAACTCAGAAAATCAGTCTGGTTGATTGCATATCCTGATAGATTTTTTTTTCCTAATTCTACCATGTTTTAGGCAACTCTTGCCTTGAATTCATACAAGTTTTTACTATTATTTCATTTAAGTTCTAATAACAACAATAATAATGACAGTAATCAACTACATTTTCTGTGGTACTAAGCATTAGAAATAACTTATAAAGGTCATGCAGTCCATAAAAGAGTTGGTTTATTTCAGAACCTGACAGAATCCCCTTTCATGGGACAACTATTCAAAGTGGGTAAACAATCTTACACACTTCTCAATTATATATTTCTCACCCTACCACAAACATATATCCCAAAGTCACAGTTATCTGGTAGATCCTACCCTGAGCTCATTGTTTTCAGGAAGGGATAAAGCTGTGCTTCTCAAATTTCCATATAAAACACCTGGTGACCTCACTAAATGAGATTCTGTTTGACACAGCATTCCTGTTTAAATAATGCTAATTTTTATTCTTATACTTTTGACCATCCCCGACCCCCAGTAAAAGTGGAAGTTTCCACCTCAACTTCACTGTGTTCAGACACACCGCCTCATCAGAACCATGGAGAGTTTGCTTCTTTCCATTTCCCAAGCTTGCATGGGCCACTTAGAAAGGCCACTATGCCTAACTTAGCCCCAGGCACTTCCATAAAATAGAAAAAGGGTATTTTGTGGCTCTTCTAAAAAACACGTAAACACAGTTTCACTGTGGAAAAAAAAAAAAAAGGAGAGGAAACAAAATTAAAAAAAAATTCTATAATTTATAGAAAACGACTAATATCCTGGCTGGGTGCAGTGGCTCACACCTGTAATCCCAGCACTTTGAGAGGCCAAGGCGGGCATATCACCAGGTCAGGAGATTGAGACGATCCTGGCTAACATGGTGAAACCTCGTCTCTACTAAAAATACAAAAAAATTAGCCGGGCATGGTGGCGGGCACCTGTAGTCCCAGCTATTCGGGAGGCTGAGGCAGGAGAATGGCATGAACCCGGGAGGCGGAGCTTGCAGTGAGCCCAGATGGCACCACTGCACTCCGGCCTGGGCAACAGATCGAGATTCTGTCTCCAACAAAAAAGAAAAAAAAAAAAAAGAAAGCGACTAATATCCTATGACTGAACCCAAACATAAGGAGGAGTTATTCTTTTTTTTTGTCTATGTGTTAATTAGAGTCAATGTGATTTTCATTCTGGATATGGACTTCATACTGTCAAAGAGCAATACTGTAATTAGGTCACTTTCCATGTTTTCAGAGACAGTGCCTGTATCATAAAAACTGTACTGTTTTTGATAAGTTTCACTGAGAAACTTCAAGATATTTATACTTCATTACTATCTACTAAAGTGAAATCTTCATTCTTACACAGTATACGCTGGAAATAATAACTTGTATATCCGTAAGTACATTATGTATAAGAAAGACAGACCTGATTATTCTAAAAGTAGCACCAATTTTCTTTTCTCATTGTGAGTATGTACTTCACTGTCGGATTGGGAAGTGAGAAATCGTTACTGCCAAGTGAACATTAAGAATTATTCTATGAGCAAGAGGCCTGGGCAGGAAAAGACACTCCTTAACTTAGTCTTGACCATTTGATAACTTATTGTCACAGGCAAAATCAAGTAACAGTTTGTTGCAGATATTCAAAATGTGTTCCTCTTATAGGAAGTTTCCTTCTTTATTTTACTAGTGTTCTCTGAATAGTAAATTGTTTCCACCCACTGAATCTGTGGCTGACCCTTTATCTTCGCATGGCCATTGTATGCTCTAATTGTTTTTTGTTTGTTTGTTTTTTGCCAAGGATGCTGCATTTAGTGACACTTTTATTTTCCTCTGGCGTTGCGACATTTGTTATGTTGTTTTTCGAGGCATCCAGTTGCATCTTGCATGATGATTGATCATGGTAGATAATCTCTGGGTTTTGTTTATGTATGTCACGCCCCCCTCGGTGCCATCTTTAGGGATTCAGGACTGGGGCAGATCACATGGCTATTCACCCTCTGCCCTTCCTACCACATTTTTAAAGAGATAAAATTAGTTTTTTTAGTATTCAGAGCAGGTCTGAAGGGGAATGAAGACACAAAAGGGCAATCTAGGGGCCTCTGGGTAGTAAAAGAAGTATCTCATTCTTTTACTTGAAAAATATTGGGGATGTTTATGAGACGATTGGTATGTCAGCAGATATGCTCTTTTGGAAATATAAACCAAGACTCATCTCTTTTAGGAACCAGCTGCTGCCTTCTACAGTTACTGTTCAATCAACAGCAGTCTGAAATTCTCCAACCCACCCCAAGGCAGTTATCTCTGATGCAAATTTCACTGCATGCAAAATTCACTGCAAGCATATAGCATGCAAATGCATAGAAAGCCATTTTCTTTACATAGCAAAGTCAGTTTTCAAACTATGCTTATCAGCATCCTTAAGAAGGCAGATAAAGATTACCATCCTAAGTTACCAATAATATATTTAAAATCCTAAAAGATGAACATTTACCTTGGGGGAAAGTCATGTTGTATCACTACTGGCTATGTGGAGAAGGTTTAGGTCTGCTAGCTTCTGACTGCCTGGATTTCAAAGCCAAGTTATCTTGCTTTTCAAGTAGGGGAGTCTCTCTTTCTGTCTCTCTCTCTCTCACACACACACCCCCCTCCAATGCCTCAGGAAAGGACAAAATCAAAACAATGAGAGGAGAATAATAAAAATACATAGATTAGGAAAAGAATAATGGTCTCTATTTCCCCATCTCTAATTGAGGGCTGGACTACAGGCTCTGCAGTTGTGATTTTAAGTACCCAACGTTCTGAACAATGACACAACAGTCTGCCACTTTTACCTCACGACAGGAGAGCAGAGGGAAGCTAAGAGAACCTTCTGCCAAGCTAGAAAATGTATAGCCAGGCAGTGGTTGGCAATGGAGGGAACCCTGACTTGGGGATGAATGACGGTCCCCATAAGGCACCTGCAAACGTAAGCTGTAACCCTTAGAGAACCCAGAAAATGATATCTCCCCTGGAACGTTTGCGTTCTGCTCGGCTATGTCTCCAAAGCTTCAGATCTCCTTCCCTGACCTTGCGTTTCCTATTTCTTCCCTCTAAGCCAAGCTCAGCATGTCCCTATTGTTATCAAATCACATCTGCCATCACTTGCTGTAGCTGTCGCACTGCCTGAAAGCCTGGCTTGCACACTTGCCTCTCCGACTTTATGTGATGAGAAGTTCTCTATTCCTTTTCCTGATCTAGTGCCTGAAAACCGATAAGGCACAAAGCCCACTCCTTCCCTTCTAAGCGGTTAGCGTGGGGCCCGTTGTACCGCTCAGGTTTATCTCAGCATAACACTAGCTCACTCACCAAAGAGGCTGAGCACTCGCCAAGTTTACCTTGCCTCAGCGGATGAAGTATCAAACTCACTCTTGTTTTGCTTCAACCATCAATCTCTCCAATAATTGCAATCAAAGGGAAAACATTTTAATGTTCACTATTTTAGTACCCGTTTCCACGGGCCGGGGGGTCTGGAAATCCCGAGGATGAGGGAACCCTACCAGTCTCCATCTATCGCAGCCGGCCCGGCGCAGGGTCTCCGCTGGGCATCAACGAGCAGGGCCTGGGTATTTCGGCCCTGGCCGGGCCCCTTGCTCCTACGTCGCTAGTTGCCCTGGGGAGGCGACCTGTGCCTGGGAGGCGGGAAACCCCGCGGCACCAGAGAAGCCAAGTGAAGTCCCAGAAGCCAAGTAAAGGTGAGAGAAAGAGGGTGGAGGAGAGCGGTGAGTGGAGCCAGAGAGAGGCGCGCATGGCGTGGAAGCGGCCGGGTGCGGGGCCGTCTTACCTCGGCAGGCGCCCGCGCACCAGGCGAGCAGCAGCAGCAGCAGCAGGAGCGGGGACGCCGCGGCCACCTGTCCGGCGGGCGACCTGGGGCGGCAGCTCTCTGTTCGCAGCATCTCGGCGGCTGCGGGAGGCTCGGTGCTAGGGACGCTGCGCTGCGCCACGCGTAGCTGGTGCTCCACCTGGTGCCCTGGCTGTGCCTCGGGGCCCGGACACAGGACTGAGCGCCCGGCGAGCCGCCAACTTTTAAATCTCGCGCACAAGTGGGCTGGGCTGCGCGGTCCCCGCCGCGCGTCACCTCGCCGCCTGCCGCCCCCGGCCTACCTCGCCTCACCCCGCCCCGCTGCCTGCCCGCGCCCCACCCTGCAGCAGGACCCGAGCCCCCTAGCCTGAGTTTCTGACCCGAGTACCACGCATTTTCGCTCTGGGATAAAGAGAATGGAATTTAAATAATGCACCATTCCCACCTTTGGAAGGACTGGACTGGGAACAGGGTGTGGATGGCAAACCAGGCCGTCTGAGTTTTTAAACTTGGTAGTGGCGACGCTCTCTGGTGTCCTGGGTCTACGTGGGACACCCTTTCTCCTTCACCTCTTCCAGAGCTCCGGCAGTCACTAGTACGCACCTCTGTGGAAGCACCTCTGTTTTGTTCCCCGGTTTATCCCCAGTTCCAAGCGCAATGCCTGGTGCATATCAGGGCAGTGTTGGTTCAACTGTGATGTTGATGCTATCGACCCTCCCCCAAATTCCTGCAAAATCACAGACCCCTTAGGGAAATGCAGTTGCCTGTTAATAAAGGACAAAGAAGAAAGGACTGCTGGGGCTTGACCACACACACACATTTCTAACTGGTCTGGAGCGCTGGTTATCCTACGGATTTCCAAGCCTAAGGAAACTCCTTTTTCTATGCATTTCTGCTGCTATTGCATCCTGATTTCTACCGTGACCTGACTCCCTCTTTCCATCTCTATACTTTCCTTTATTTCCTTGATTGGAAACGTTCAGGAAGCAGCCTCTTCCAGGACACCAGCTAATACATCCTAATTTCCTTCTATAGAAAGAGGGAAAACTGGTCTTTATTATTATTATTATTATTATTTCAAGTTACGGGGTTACATGCGCAGGATGTGCAGGTTTGTTCCATAGCTAAACGTGTTCCATGGTGGTTTGCTACACCTATCAACCCGTCAGCTAGGAATTAAGCCCAGCATGCATTAGCTATTTTTCCTGATGCTCCTCCTGCCCCCGCACCGCCCCTCCCCGCCCCCTCTCCCCCGCGCCATAGGCCCCAGTGTGTGAAAACCGGCGAAAACCGGTCTTATTTGACCTCCCTTTGAAAGGTGAGGAACGCTGAGGAAAGGGCAGGAAGTACATTAACATTTTTGAAGGGGCATTTTTGCGTCAGGCATTTTCTCATGCTATTTTATTTAATATTCATGGCATCTCTGGGATGTAAAAGTACTGAAATTCTCATTATGATGCCAGGAGAGATTAAACAATCTGCTCAAGGCTGTCAGCATGTAAGGAAGCCACTGGCTATTCTACTCCACCAAGATACTTCTCCCTCAATCAAGAGTTTTAATGTATCAGGCACATACAGTTCAACCTACTGTAAACAAGACCCGAGCTTTGGGGATACAAGATTTAGTGACAGTTACAATTTGGTAAAGGACCCTAAACCCTTACTCAAATAGCTGAATTACAAGGCAGATTGGGATAGTGCTCTGTCAGAAATACGAAGAGAGGCAGGAGAAAACCTGATAGATTAGGTAAAAAAAAAATAATGGCCACCTTCTTTAAGTTCTTTATACACAGGAAGCATGTAAGAAAGGCTGGATTTTAGCGTCTGGTCCAAGTTCAAGGATGGGTGAGAAAATACTGGATTCAAGGTTCTTGTACTTTGATTTATTACCAAAGTAGTAAAAAAAAAAAAAAAAAAAAAAAAAGAAAGCACAAAGGATGTAAATGACCTACAGATGCAAGCAAGTGAACATGGCTCTGCTTCCCCGTGACCTTCTTCCTGGTGTCTCCCAGAGGTGCTCTGAAAGATCACCAGTCCCAGCAGCCAGTGTGAGAGTGAAATGTCAGCCAGAGCAGAGAAGCCTCAAACAGTGGGCTCAATGTTTTTTATATCCCCAGCAGCTCAGCAAAATAAGCAACTTGTGTATTAAAGGTTTTTTTTTTTCTTTTCCTGCATGAACCAGGCTGCTTGGAATGTTCTTGTACATGCCCCCTAGTGTACATGTGCAAGAGTTTTCTGAGGAATATTCCCAGGAGTGGAGTTATTAGGTCACAGGGGATGATCTAGCTAAACTCTGTTTTACATTGTTTTCCAAAGTGTTATACCAATTTACATTCCCACCAACCATGAATGAAGTTTCCATGGCTATTCATTCATGCAAAAACCTTTGTCCGTCTGGTGAGTGTGACTTCTTTTCTTTTTTTTTTTCCGAGATGGAGTCTCACTCTGTCACCCAGGCTGGAGTGCAGTGGCACGATCTTGGCTCACTGCAACCTCTGCCTCCCAGTTCAAGGGATCCTCCTGTCTCAGCCTCCTAAGTAGTTGGGACTACAGGTGTGCACCACCACACCTGGCTAATTTTTGTATTTTTAGTAAAGATGAAGTTTCACCATGTTGGCCAGGCTGGTCTTCGAACGCTTGACCTCAGGTAATCCCCCTGCCTCAGCCTCCCAAAGTGTTGGGACTATAGACATAAGCTGCCGAGCCCAGCGAGTGTGACTTCTTATTGTGGACTTAATTTGCAATTCCAGTTTACTAAAGAGGTTGAGTAATTTTCCACGAATTATTGGCCATTATTGCTTCCTCTTCTGTGAAATATCTCAGTGGAAATTTATTTCGCCCATTTTCCCCCATTGGGTTGTTAGCTTTTTTCTTATTCATTATAACAATGCTTTATGTATTTGGGAACATTTGTTTGATTAAATATGTGGCAAATATTTTCTCCCTATTTCTTCCATTATTTTTAATATGAGTTGTTATTTTTGAAGAAATGTTCAGGAAAAGACTTGCAGGCTTGAAGGTCATGCCATTATGTGACTTGAATGATACGAGAAAATAGATAGGGGAGTAGGGAAAGTGGGGGCAGATAGGCACTGGATTCCTCTGGGAACAGATGACTAAATGGAAGCTGATTCCACAGGTACCCCTTTGTCCAAGCATTGCAAAGAAGTGAAATCCCAGATCACTGAAGTGGTCCCTTGATAATTTAGTTACAGACATTCCAATCTGTACTTCTAAATTCACATTCATTTAAGTTGAGCTTGTATATCCATATATAACAGCTTTGAGAGCATTTCCATTTATTCTGTATCAGATTGAAAGTTTGATTCTTAATGCCATGCTGATTCCTCTCACCTATTATCTCTTGCATTCTTCACCACAAATTGGAAACTGGACTTTGCTTTCTGCTGACAATCTATAACAATGAAGGTTCAATTGGTCAAGGGCCTGCAGATTAGCAAGACCTACTAGCTTGTGATAGAGATGTCTAGAAAAGTTGTCATGGAAAGGATTAAGAAGGGGAGGAGAGTGGGATATCAGGAGAATGAGAGAGTCAGCAATAGATGGAAACCAGTCAGGCAACTAAGTGGTATTTCATGCCTGTAATCCCAAAGCTTTGGGAGGCTAAGGTAGGAGGATCACTTGTGGCCAGGAGTCCAAGACCAGCCTGGGTAACATAATGAAACCTCATCTCTACAAAACATAAGAAGAAAATTTAGTTGGATGCAGTGGCGTGCACCTGTAGTCCTAGCTACTCAGGAGGCTGAGGCAGGTGGATTGCTTGAGCCCAGGAATTTGAGGTTGCAGTGAGCTATGATTGTGCCACTACACTCCAGCCTGGGCAACAGAGTGAAACTGTGTCTCTATGAGTGGATGAATGAATGAATGAATACATATATACATACATACATATATACACACATACATATATACACATATACAGTCAGTTGGCCATAGGGAAGTCTAGTAATAAGCAAAGAGATCCAGCTTCAGGAACTAAGAGTAGAGGCAAGATCTGGCAAATTTAAGGGTTCTAGGCAAGGTGAAGTCATGAAGTCCTTCAAATATTAATCGAACTGGGCTCCATTCTGGGAGCTTGGGATATAGCAGTGATGTCTCTGCCTTGGAGCTGGCAGATTTTCAAGGGAGTCAGATAATAAGAAAGTAAATTTTAAAATTAGCAATTTCAGCTAGTAGCAAATGCTATAAAAGAAATTAAACCAGGGTAATGAAATAATAGAAGGTGGCTGGCAGTTGGGGGAAAGATACTTGAGCTAGGATCAACTAGGCATGCCTCTCTGAGGAGGGGTTATGGGAGGCCTGAATGATGAGAAGGAATGAGTTATGGGAAGAACTGTGAAAAAGGAACCCCAGACAGAGGGACCATCAAGTGCAAAGGTCCCAAGGCAGAAACAAGTCTCAAAGCTTTAAGGAGCAGAAGGAAGCCACTGTAGCTGGCACGGAGTGACTGAATGGAGTGTGGGGAGCTGAGGTCAGTGAAGTAGGCAGGGTAGGGTCTTGATCATTGATGAGTCTTAGAGGCCATAATAATGAGTTCAGATTTTTCTCTAAGTAAAATGGGAAGCCTTTGGAGGATTTAAAGAAGAGGAGTGAGATGATCTGAATTATATTTGAAAAAGATCACTCCAGCTTCAGTGAAGAGCAGGCTCTGGGGGACCTGAATAGAAGCAGGAAGACCAGGTAAGAGGATACTGCAGAAGCTCATGCCATGGCCAAAAGGAACGAAGTACTGATATATGCTACAACCTACGTGAAACTTGAAAACACTTATCCCAAGAGAAAGAAGCCAGACACAAAAGGCCACATATTGTATGATTCCATTTATGTGTAATGTCTAGAATAAGCAACTCCATGGAGACAGAAAATAGATTAGTGGTTTTCAGGGACTGGTGAGAGTGACTGCTTCTAAGTATAATGTTTTCCTTTTGGGGTGATGAAAATGTTCTGGAATTAGACAGTAGTAACAGTCGTACAGCCTTGTGAATAGACTAGAAACCATTGAATTGTACACTGTAAAAGGATGAATTTTATAATGTGAATAATATTTCAACTTTGAAGAAAGAATGAAATCTAGGTCACATATTATAATAACATGTTGGATTGGATGGTGGCAGTCTTTGCATCGTAGCACAAGCAAAATTTGTCTATTTTTGGCATGAAATATCCAAATTTTATCACATAGTCCTAGATGTTCTTAGTAACTTAAAATGCTCCTCTCCCACTTCACGAAGGCATTCACCAAAGACATGTCTGCATCAATGACTCTGCTGTAATTCCTAGCTTTAATTTTTTCAGGGCAGAAAATACTTTATAAAAGCCAAGTAGAGAGCATTGGTCTTTACACTCACTTTGATATGACTCTTAACTAAGAACAGCATCATTATCTAAAAAGTGGACAGTGGATACTATCAGTGAAATAATAATAACCTGCTACGAATAAATGCTTTACAGGATGTGTATTCACCCATTTAATGAGCATTCAAGTGTCAGCCATATATAGACTCTCAAAATTCTGAAAGTTCTGTGTTCTGTTTTATCATCTCTAAGACCACCTGCACCCTTTCATACATGCTATAGACTGAATGTATTCCCCCAAAATTCGTAAGTTGAAATCTTAATCCCTATGTGATGATATTTGGAGGTAGGGCCTTTGGGAGATGATTAGATAGTGAGTGTGGAGCCCTCATGAATGGGATTAGTGCTCTTAGAAAAAAGGCCCCAGAGAGCTCCCTTACCCATTCTACCAGATGAGGAAACAGCAGAAAGACAGCCATCTGTGAACCAGGAAGTGGGCCCTCACCAGACACTGAATCTGCCAGTGCATTCATCCTGGACTTCCCAGCCTCCAAACTGTGAGAAATAAATTTTCGTTCTTTATAAGCCACTTAGTTTATGGTTTTTTTGTTTTTTGTTTTTTGTGTTTAACAAGGTCTCGCTTTGTTACTCAGGCTAGGGTGCAGTGGCATAATCACAGCTCACTGCAATCTCAGTCTCCCAGGCTCAAGTGATCCTCCCACCTAAGCCTCCCAAGTAGCTGGGACTACAGGTGTGTACCACCACACCCAGATAGTTTTATTTTGTGTAGAGATAGGATCTCCCTATGTTGCCCAGCCTGGTCTCCAACTCCTGGGCTCAAGTGATCTTCTCACCTCAGCCTCCCAAAGTGCTAGGATTACTGACGTGAGCTACCATGCCTGGCCTATGGTATTTTTAAATAACAGCCCAAATTGACTAAGACAATATATCTTCCCAATGTCCTACTATTCACTGCTTATGCTGATGCAGGCTGAGCCATTTAGAAATACTACCCTAATTGGCCGGGCACGGTGGCTCACGCCTGTAATCCCAGCACTTTGGGAGGCTGAGGCAGGCGGATCACGAGGTCAGGAGATGGAGACCATCCTGGCTAACATGGTGAAACCCCGTCTCTACTAAAAATACAAAAAATTAGCCGAGCGGGGTGGCGGGCGCCTGTAGTCCCAGCTACTGGGGAGGCTGAGGCAGGGAATGGCGTGAACCTGGGAGGCGGAGCTTGCAGTGAGCCGAGATCGCGCCACTGTACTCCAGCCTGGGCGACAGAGCGAGACTCCTCTTCAAAAAAAAAAAAAAAGAAATACTACCCTAATTTCAAATTTGAAATGCAGAGGAAAGTTTTTGCTTAAGGATGTCTAATACTAAGAAGTCAAAGTTCCACTGAAGTTATGGAAGTTGAAAGCGAAGTACTCCAAAGACCCAATTTAGCCTGTGATCTCTAAATAGAGTTCAGGATAGAAGCCAATTGTGGAGCGACAGAGCTCAGACTCTAGAACAGACAGTCATTTGTGACAATTACAGGAAACTGACCAAGTGATTGGGGGCCTGTTTGCTTCCGAAGGTGGATAACTATCATTTAATGACAGGATACCTTTCAATCCTCTCCACAAAAGCCTTTGGCATCTGGATAGAATTCCTTTTTTATAACTGAGTTCTCTTTCAACACTAATATGTCATAAGCTCTATGGTAACCTCAATAATCCTAATTCATAACATTTCATAATATATAGTAACCCCAATAATTAGGATTACTATAACTGATAATTAGGATTACTATAACTGATAATTAGGATTATTGGTGTTTCTATAACTATGGGGTTCCCATTGGGGTTGCTTCAAACTATGTAGATATCAACCTCTCTGCTTGCAGGAAAATCTCTTGATTTGGAAGGAATTTGTCTTTTGTTTTTGTTTTTTTAATTTTTGTGGACACATAGTAGGTATACATATTTATAGGATATATGAGACATTTTAATACAGGCATGCAATAAGTAATAACCATATCAGGGTAAAGGCGGTATCCTTCACCTTAAGCATTTATCCTTTGTGTTACAAACAATCATATAGTCTTTTTGTTATTTTTAAATGTACAATTAAATTATTATTGACTTTAGTCACCCTGTTATGCTAGCAAATACTAGATCTAATTCATTCTTTCTATTTTTTGTACCCTTTAACCATCCCCACTTCCTCCCCTCCCCTACTAGCCTTCCCAGCCTCTGGTAACCATCATTCTAGTCTCCACCTCTTTCAGTTCAATTATTTTAATTTTTAACTCGCACGAATAAGTGAGAATACAGGAAGTTTGTGTTTCTGTGCCTGGCTTATTTCACTTAAGATAATGACTTCCAGTTCCATTCCATGTTGTTGCAAATGACACTATCTCATTCTTTTTATGGTTGAATAGTACTCCATTGTGTATATGTACCACATTTTTTAATCCATTCATCTGTTGATGGACACAGGTTGCTTCCAAATCTTGGCTATTGTAAATAGTGCTGTAATAAACATGGAGTGCAGATATCTCTTCAGCATACTGATTTTCTTTCTTTTGAATATATACCTAGCAGTGGGATTGCTGGATCATATTGTACCTCTATTTTTTGCTTTTTGAGGAACCTTCAGACTGTTCTCCATAGTGGTTGTACTAATTTGCATTCCCACCAACAGTGTTACAAAGGTTCTTCTTTCTCTACATCCTTGCCAGCATTTGTTATTGTCCGTCTTTTGGATATAAGCCATTTTAACTGAGGTGAGATGATATCTCGTTGTAGTTTTGATTTGCATTTCTCTGATGATCAATGATGTTGAGCACCTTTTCATATACCTGTTTGCTATTTATAGGTCTCCTTTTGAGAAATGTCTACTCAAATCCTTTGCCCATTTTTAAATTGGATTATTAGATTTTTTTCCCTATAGAGTTGTTTGAGCTTCATATATATTCTGGTTATTAATTTCTTGTCAAATAGATAGCTTGCAGATATTTTCTCTCATTCTGTGGATTGTCTCTTCACTTTGTTGATCGTGTCATTTGCTGTGCAGAAGCTTTTTAACTTGATGAAGTTTTTTAGCCCTTTGTGCATTTTTGCTTTGGTTGCCTGTGTTTGTGGAGTATTACTCAAGAAATCTTTGCCTACTCCAATGTCCTGGAGAGTTTCCCTAATGTTTTCTTTTAGTAGTTTCATAGCTTGAGGTCTTAGATTTAAGTCTTTAATCCATTTTGACTTGATTTTTGTATGTGGTGACAGAAGTCTAGTTTTATTCTTCTGCATACGGATTGTCAGTTTTCCAAGCACCATTTGTTGAAGAGACTGTCCTTTCTCCAATGTATGTTCTTGGCAACTTTGTCAAAAATGAGTTGACTTTAGATATATGGATTTGTTTCTGGCTTTTCTACTCTGTTCCATTGGTCTGTATGTCTGTTTTTGTGCTAGTACCATGCTGTTTTGGTTATTATAGGTCTGTAGTATGATTTGAAGTCAGGTAATGTAATTCCTCCAGTTTTGTTATTTTGCTCGGGATAGCATTGACTATTCTGGTTCATTTGTGGTTCCATATAAATTTTAGGATTTTTTTTCTACTTCTATGAAGAATATCACTGGTATTTTAATAGGGATTGAATTGACTCTGTAGATTGCTTTGGGTAGTATGAACATTTTAACAATATTGATTTAGAAGGACTTTTGAATGAACTGAACTGTACTGAGAAATCATCCCAGGAGAAATGCTCTTCTAAAAGACAATGAAAAGTACAATGAATACAAGAAATGGAAGACTATAGACCAAATAAATTGATGTTTCTTAAGACTTCCTGTTGTAGGATAATTAACTTTGCCCTGATAATGACACAACAGTTCATGTAATTGTAAGAAATACAACATCCTTTACAGGAAAGGAAAACTTTTCTTATTTCTCTAATCACTTGCTAAAATTAATTTTAAACCATTTACAAAAATAATAAGGAACATTATGAAAAGTCCTTCCTTTTGAGGTTCTTTTTAGATTCACCCAGTGAATGTAGTGTGGACTGATGGGCTAATGGCAAATAAAAGATTTGTATGAAAGTTCAAGAGTCATTCTTTTGCAAAAGAGGTTTCATCTCTTCAGCCTCTTGGGGTCATGAAGCATTGCAGGTGGGGATAGTTTTGATGAATTCTCTAAGTGCTGGCCATGGAAGGTTAAGATGCCATCTGAAAGTAGCATGGGTATATCTCAGAGAGAACCTTGAGAAATAAATTTCTTTTGAGAAAAGTAATAAGAGAATTTTTTAAAAAGCAAAGTCAATGGCTTTTTACGTTTACATTGATGCCCACAAGGCTAGATTTTCACATGATAGATGTTCTGAGAGTAAAGCCATTAAAGAAAAGCAGCAATGTCACTGCAAATTTGGAACATGACATTAAAAAAAATTCAGTCCATTGAAGGCAGAATCTTTTCTTGTTCCTTAAATTGCAATGAAAATATTAATACCCCCTAAGGAAAAATTTATTAGATTTTCTTGACTTATTTATAAATCACATCTGGACAAAGCTGGCAAAAAAACAGATATTTCTAGACCTATGAAGTGTTGTAAAAATGGAACCTAAAATTAAATGATAGCTATAAAAATACAAGGACAAATGATAAAGTAATTTTTATTATTTCTACACAGTATAGCCACTTTTCTATTGCTAGACTAATTTTCAATCTATTTAAAAATAAATCAAAACATTATTATATTTTCTAAAGGCATCTGGTATCTATGAAAAAATATATACAGTTTTTATATAGACATGTTCAGATCAAAATTTTTATTGCATTTGGGCAAAAGTGATTGAAAAAAGTGAAGAGAAAAATAGTTGGTATAATTTGATGTTTTTTAAAAAGTTTAAATAATTGAAAGATACCTGGAATGAATTTCTGAGTATAAAAATAAGTGACATGTTAGTTAATGTTATAAAAGGGGTAATCACTACTCATTTTATCTCCAGTATCACAAATAATTTAAGCTCTGATTTTTTAAGTAAAAAATATCTGTATTTTTTAATACAGATATGAAATGCTGAAAATTGTATAAATATGCATGTTATGTTGCTCTAAATTAAATAGTAATTGATATTATTTTAAGAAATTTAAGAAATTTCTGAGAATAAAATTAGCCAGTGTTGAGCAGCTTATTCTCTTTGTTCATCTGTAATCAAATTCCTTTTTTCTAAAAAATTAATCACATGTCCTTTTTCTATGTTTTCATCCATTAGTGTGAATTCAGATGTAAGCTGCTTTCAATCTTCCCAAGTTTCAACCATAATTTTAAAGTTTTTAAACAGTTTAAAGGGAAAAAGCAAAAATAGACAATATATTTACTTCTTAGAGAAAACTGAAAAAAAATGTAAGGCAATCATTGTATTAACTGAGTAGGTTTGCAAGCGGGTCATCTCTGGTCTTCTCTATTATGACATCTATTGGTTTGGTGCAAAGTAATGGCAAAACCTCAATTACTTTTGCACCAACCTAATATATGTTTAATGTCTATTGGTTCAATTGCCAACAATTGATTGGTGGCAATTGTTGATCAAATAAAACCAACTTGAACTTTTTTGCTTTCATCCTTCTCTCCTCCTATACTTTTATTCCCTTTTTAACATGGTGGCTCACCCTTGTAATGCCAACATTTTGGGAGGCCGAGGTGGGAGGATTGCTTGAGCCCAGGAGTTCCAGACCAGCCTGGGCAACATAGGGAGACCCTGTCTCTACAAAAATAGAAAAATTAAAGTTAAAATTTAAAAATATCAAAGAATTGCTTCTAACTCCTATTCTATCCCACCACATCATTATTACTCTATCTTAGAGATCTTCAGGTATACGGAGTTAATTCTATACTGGGAAAGGCATTTGAGGTAGATAGTATGTTATCTTATTGATGACATCTTCCTTCCTTGATCACCTGATAGTTAACAAAAACTTCCTTCCTCTCAGCACTTCCTTTCTCCTTTGCATAGCTTTTTCCCCCTGAGCACTTACAGCCTCCTGATAATACCATACTATATGTCTATATCTAGATAATTCTTCATTTGCTTATTGTCTATCTGTCTCCTTTTAGTAGAGTGAGAACTCCAAGTAAGGTTTTAAATCCCTTTTATCCTTTTAAAAACACTCATTTTATATTTGCTTTTATATTCTTCTAATATCTCAAGTTCTTGGTGGTGTCAAGATAACTTGGCACATAGTGGGCACTACAGAATTTATGTAAATGAATCAGGGAAATAAATAATCTGATTTATGAAGCTTCTATTTATACTATTATTCAAACTTTAAGCACATATGCATAAATGGTGATATACCCTTAAACTATACTGGAATAATGAACAATCTTTCACTGTATAAACCGTTGCTTAGAATCTTCCTGAGTTCTATTTCCTATTTTGTTGTAGTCAATTTGGGAGACGAGAACCTGGAATTGATAAAGAGTCAATTAGCATATGGTGGAAAATAAAAATATAGAGGTATTATTAGGAACTGGGATTATCTAACCAGGAGAGCAAGGATTCTTGGAGATAGTGTGACCTCATGATTGAGAGATTGAGCAGTGGAGCTGGACAATCTGACTTTGAGTCATGGCAACACCACCTGCTCAGTGGAAGACACTGGGATGATAATTAGCTTCTGAAAGCTTTAGTTTTTGTTATTTTTAAAATGTGAGTGTATGATTTTTTGTTTTTTGGCCTACACAGCACCCCTGTTTTGGAAAACTGTGCCTTCCCTCTTTCTATAATAATCTTACACAATTCAGGGATCAATCTCTGGATTTGTGCAGGGGCTATGGTGAAGGCGTTCTCATTCTCTGTTAATCTGACGTGTAAGGACAATATAGCTTACATAGAGAGAGGCTGTTTTACAATGACACCAGCCAGCAATGAGAGATGAAGAGAGAGAGAAAGAGAGATTGACACTGATAAACATACTGACAGTCAGCTGTGCCTGAAACCAGGTCCATCCTTTGGAGTTTGGAGTTAGGTAAATCAAAAATTTCCGTTTTTCTTTTAAGTTGGGTTTGGGAAATTTGCAACAGTGACCGAAACAAAATACATACCCAATAAATTTTAGTGTGTTGGTGATGATAAATGGAGGAGGAACAGAAGTCATCACATAGCAGAGAGGGCTTTAAAAACTTCTAAAGTTTTATTCGATTTTGTGTGTATTTCATAATGAGAGTGGCAATGTCTAAAATAGGAAGAACAGACATGAGAAAGAGCAGAATTCATTTTCTTCCACCAAACTTTCAAAGACCTAGACCCACCAATTCTTCAGGGAGAAAGGAGGCTACTATACTAATTACTACATAGCCTCTTACTATTCGGGCCTTTCCATAAACACACAACCCAAGCTCTCACCAATTTTTAAACACTTTTAACTTTGATGTAATTATAGGTTCACAGGAAATTATCAAAAAATGTACAATGAGGTCCTATGGATCCTTCGCTTAGTTTTCCCCAAGGATAACATCCTGAATAACACGATATTAAAACCAGGAAATTGACATTGGTACAACCCATAGAACTTATTTAGATGTCACCACATTTACATGTACTCATTTGTGTGAGTGTGTAGTTCTATGCAATTTTATCAAATACGCAGACTCTTGTAACCACCACCGCGGTCAAGATACAGAACAGTTCCATCCGCAAGCCTCCCTTACATTATCTTTTTTTTTTTTTTCAGATGGTATCTCGCTCTGTTGCCCAGGCTGGAGTGCAGTGGTGTGATCTTGGCTCATGGCAACCTCCGCCCCCAGCCCCCCTGCTGCCTGGGTTCAAGCGATTCTCCTGCCTCAGCCTCCGGAGTTGCTGGGATTACAGGTGTCCACCACCACACTCAGCTAGTTTTTGTTATTTTTAGTAGAGACTGGGTTTTACTATGTTGGTCAGGCTGATCTCAAACTCCTGACCTCAAGTGATCCTCCTGCCTCAGCATCCCAAAGTGCTGGGGTTACAGGCCTGAGCTTCCCACTGTGCCCAGCCACATTATCCTTTTATAACCATACCCACCCACCATGTTCTTATCCCCAGCCCCCGGCAACCACTAATCTGTTCTTCATCCCTATAATTTTGTTATTTTTTATTTTATGAATGTTATATTATTTTGTTTTATGAATGTTATATGTTTTATTTTATGAATGTTATTTTATTTTATGAATGTTATATAGGATCATATACTATGTTATCTTTGGATTTTTTTTTCACTCAGCATAATTTCCTTGAGATCATCCAAGTTGTGTATGTCAACAGCTTGTTCCTTTTTATTGTATTCCATTTCACTCTTCCTCGCCTGAAGGACGTTTGGTTGTTTCTGGTTTTTTACTATTAAGAAAAAGATGCTATGAATGTTCTTTTACAGGTTTTTGTGTTGACATAAATTTTCTCTTATCTGGAATAAATGCCCTAGAGTGCAATTGCTGGGTTGTATAGTAAGCACTTGTTTAGAGAATGAGAAACTAATTTCTAGAGTGGCTGTACCATTTTACATTCCCACCAGCAGTGAGTGATTCCGTTTCTTCATATCTTTGTAAGCGTTTGGTGTTATTGCTATTTTTTATTTTAGCCATTCTGATAGGTGTGTAGGAATATCTTGTTGTAGTTTTAATCTGCATTTCCCCCCAAAAACTAGTGATGTTGGGCATCTTTTCAGGTGCTCATTTGCCATCTGTGTGTCCTCTTCATTGGGACACAGGACATTTCCTTCAGACAGGAAATGTCTGTTCCTGTCTTTTGCCCACTTTCTAATTGGATTGTTTAGTTTTTTTACTGTTGAGTTTTGAGTGTTCTTTCTATAGTCTAATACAAGGCTTTGTGTTGAATATGTGATTCACCAGTATTTTCTTCCTGTCTGTAGTTCATTTTTTCATACTCTTTACAAGGTCTTTTAGATAGGGTCTCACTCTGTCCCCAGGCTGGAGTGCAGTGACATGCTCACTGCTCACTGCAGGCTCAATTTCCTGGGCCCAAGGGCTCCTCCCACCTCAACCTCCCTAGGAGCTGGGACTACAGGTGCACACCACCACACCCAGCTAATTTTTGTACTGCTTGTAGAGACAGAGTTTTGCTATGTTGCCCAGGCTGGTCTCAAACCCTGGGGCTCAAACAATCTGCCCACCTCAGCCTCCCAAAATACTGGGATTATAGGCGTGAGCCACTATGCCCATAAAACAAGTCTTACTAGTGAGAAACATGTTATCATTTAGAGTTTCTCTGACTAATGTGGGTGATTCTAATACGAATTCTTACGAGATACTGATTGTATCAGTTGTATCGTCTTTCTTAGTCAGAATCTACCAGGGGCAAAATAGAAGGATTCATAAATCACTCAACTTTTTTTCTTCCTCTGAGTGCCTTGATATCCCAGGTGCATCAGAAACTACTTAAAACCATTTCTATGGTTTGAATGTGTTCCTTAAAAAGCACGTTTTGGAAACTTAATTCCCAATTGCAACAATGTTGGAAAGTGGATGGAGTCTAATGGGAGATGTTCAGGTCAAGAGGACTCCACTCTCATGAATGGATTAATGCCAACTTTAAAAGGGCTTGAGGCTGCAAATTCAATCTCTTGTTTTCTTGCGAGTGCTCTTTTGCCCTTCTGCCTTCCACCATGGGCTGATGCAGCAAGAAGACCCTCACCAGATGCCCATTCCACAATCTTGGACTTCCCAGCCTCCAGAAGCAGGTGCCAAATAAACTTCTGTGTATTATAAATTACCCAGCCTGTGGTATTCTGTTATAGCAGCACAAAACAGTCTAAGAGAGCTATTAGAGCTACTGTAATCAAATTCTTTTAAATCATTAGTATTATTTTCAATATCTTAAGGAAATTAAATAATTTGCCCCAGATCATAGATAAATAAATTAAAAAAACAGCATCTTGGAAAATAAAATTCTAATGTATTTTTTATTGTCTTAGAAATAAGTTTTTATATTTATTAGTGATATCACACCTATCAAGTATTAGCATTCTCATCTATAATCATTGCCATTTTTCAAAAAGCACAATAAGGATACCATCTAGACCCAGTCACACAAGATAACTGACCATTCTCATTCTTATTATGTCAAAGGACAGTCTAGAGAAAACAGTTCATTTTAAACATCATCCCTAAGAACTATTAACATTCTCTTGGGACAGAGAAGAGAAGACTTCCATTGCTTGTCAGTAGATTTGACAGCAGACTTTCATTCTTTTCTTTCTTTCTTTTTTGGATACAGAGTCTTGCTTTGTCACCCAGGCTGGAGTGCCGTGGCACGATCTCAGCTCACAGAAACCTCTGCCTACTGAGTGCAAGCAATTCTTGTGCCTCAGCCTCCCAAATAGTTGGGATTATAGGCGTGGGCCACCACACTCAGCTAATGTTTGTATTTTTAGTAGAGACGGAATTTCACCACTTTGGCCAGTCTGGTCTCAAACTCCACTTTCTCCACTTTTTTTTTTTTTTTTTTTTTTTTTTGATGGGGTCTTACTCTGTTACCCAGGCTGGAGTGCAATGGCACAATGACAGCTCACTGCAGCCTTGACCTCTTGGGTTCAAGTGATCTCCCCGCCTCAGCCTCCCATGTAGCTGGGACCATAGGCCCATGCAACCATGCCTGGCTAACTTTTTCATTTTTTGTAGAGATGAGGTCTCATTTTGTTGTCCAGGCTGGAACAGCAGATTTTCATTTCCAAGCACATATAGTACTCATTTAAAACTTATACAGATATCAAGTGGATAATATCTCCCTTCTTCCCAAGATTTGATTGATGATTTAATTCTGTGATCTTCTACTTCATGAGGGTGTGATTTCATGAGAGTCATTTTAATTCTCTAGGTCTGAGATGGAATTGAAGTGTTACTTTTTTGATTGTTAATTGTGAAATCTCAAAATTCATTTAACCCACTTTTGAATCTTATACACCAAAAAATGTCACACTCTAGGCATTCCAAGTTATTTAACTTTATCATGCCCTCTAGATTCATGATCAGCACTTAACTTAAACTCAGTTGGATTGTAAACGTAAATGGCTCTAGACAGTCCCTGAATCCTGTTATCTCCCCAAGTGAAGGACTCTTAATCATCATAAAAAGTATCCTGTCAATGTATTTGATTAAAAATAACATCAGTGGAATGTTTATTTCCAAATGCCTTTTTTTGTACAGGAGGAGTGCAAGTAACTTAAAAGTGAAATTTTAAAGCTTGTAAAAGTTTGGCTTATGAATGAACTCTCTGCACATTTAAGTATTTAAAGTTCTCATGCTTTGGCAGCCATTATCTAAAATGTATAACTATTTCTTTTCAACTTCTTAGAGAAATTACAAGTTCAAATAAAGTTACTAGATGTAAATGACTACTGTTTTCAAAACTCTCTGTGCACAGTTTTTTTTTTTTTCAAGTAGAGACCTTTAAAACCACTTTGATATTATCAAAAGTCCAAGCTTAGCCACATATTTTATTTTCACATTTGGACTCTTCTCATGAATGTGTCTTGCCCAAGACAAAATATAGCTGCATATATAGAAACTAAGTTTGTATCTCTGCTTAAATAACCAAGATGTGTTGCATTTGAAACAGCAAAAACAAACCAACATTTTCATTCCAATTGCTCTTTGAACAATCATTATTATTTATTTTTTTTTAAATGGAGTCTCGCTCTGTCACCCAGGCTGGAGTACAGTGGCACAATCTTGTCTCACTGGAACCTCTGCCTCCCAGGTTCAAGCGATTCTCCTGCCTCAGACTCCCAAGTAGCTGGGATTACAGGCATGCACCACCATGCCTGGCTAATTTTTTAATTTTAGGTAGAGACAGGGTTTCATTATGTTAGCCAGTCTGATCTTGAACTCCTAAATTCAGGTGATCTGCCTGTGTCAGCCTCCCAAAGTGCTGGGATTACAGGTATGAGCCACCGCACCTGGCCTGAGCAATCATTTTCTATAAACTCCGCCATCTAGACTGCCCACTACTTATGAGTGGCAACACATTAGCTAGTTGATAAACAACTGGGCTCAGTGACAATTTACTAAATTTTGTGAGAAATTATATTATCTGTTGATATTCACAAGTTTGTGGTTTCATACGATCTCAAGATATAACCCATGGGAATGTCAAGGGTCTACAGAGTTACCATACACATTTTATAGATGAGAAAAATAAAGTTCAGAGAAGGTGACTTTCTCAAGGAAACACACTTAATAAATGGCAAAGTCTGGGAGCCAGCTCTAGTGAGAAAGCATATTCCATTTCCTCCGCGAATGGGACGTTTTAAGCACCAACACTCAGCAAACACTCTGTGCACAGGTGATATTTTTATTTTATAATCAAAGCTTGAGCTATATAGTGACAAAGGTGATAGAGTCCACAAACCCATATTTGCAATTCTGAAGTTTAAAAAGCCCCAAAGTAGGTTTTGTAATTCGTTTCACACCTGACCTGACTTGAATTCATTTGCTGGCAAAACTTGGCCTGAAATGTAATGATTTTTCATGGCTCTTATTTATTTAATTTAGTGTGAATAATCATATATTTTGTTGCATAATTATTAATATGTTTGTTACAGAGCTCTTCCTCAGACTAAATGGGGTTGTTATGTCACACGTGGTAAATGTACAGTATTACTTATAACTTTTTTTTAAATTCTGAATTTCAAAACACCTGGCCTAAGGGTTTTAGATAAGAAACTATAGACCTGAAGAACAAAAATATTAATAGCAATAACAATGAGAGTAAAACTTGCATTCTACAGTTTGATCTCATCTTTATGTATTTTTGCAAAATACTTTCAAGTATATCTTATTGCATTGTCACCAAATGTGAATACTTCCTAATGTCTTTGGATAGATTAGCGCTGTTATCAAGTCCCTTGGCCAAATATAGGCCTGACATCAAACGGATGCAGGACTTTTCTTCTCACTTTGCAAGCCGATGACCCCTGGACAGCAATGCTCCATGCAGGGCCTTCCTCAGCCACACTGGTGTGCCTCAGCTTGCCTGTGTTATAGCTTGTACCCACATTTGTTCCTGAGCTCTTGTACCGCGCACAAAAAGAATGAGAATATGCAAGACATTGGAGGGTGAAGAGGGTGGAGAATAATTGTATTGAGCAATGTAAATGGCTTTCAGTGGAAAGGGGACAGGGCGGGGATGGATCCCTTGTGTGGCTGGGTCTGGGGCCTTTTATGGACTCAGAATGGGGAGTGCATGCTGATTGGTTTGTGAGTATGCAAAAAAAGTTAAAGGGATGACACCACTCAAAGGTGGGCATGACAGTGTAGAAAACCAATTAGGAAAGGGTAGGTATATGTAAAATAGGTGAAGGATGGGAACTAATCAGAGGAAGGTGCACCAAATGGGAGGACAAGTTCTCAATCCAGTCTGAGGATTTAACTTGTAGCTTGGCTTTCAGGCTTTAAACTGTCTTCAGCTTGGAGATGGGGTTTTGCTGGGGATCTGCCCCCTATCTGCCTAGGCATTTGTCTGCCTCTATCAAAACTAAGTTTTGACATCTTAAGTAGGATATTAATTTTAAAAATTAATAATATTGTATGTCTGTGTGTATGTCTGGTGTCTGTGTATGGTTTTCCTTCTCCTGGGCTTTTCTTATAATTAAATTTCTCTAATGATTTTATTTTTATATTGGATGGCATAAGATTTTTATTTAGTTGTCTAAATGTAACTAGCACACTGTAATAAGTTAAGGGCCTTAGTGGCTGGGCCTGTTGCCTCACACCTGTAATTCCAGCACTCTGGGAGGCTAATGTGGACAGATCACCTGAGGTCAGGAGTTTGAGACCAGCCTGGACAACATGGTGAAACCCCATCTCTACTAAAAATACAGAAACTAGCTGGGCGTGGTGGTGTGTGCCTGTACTCCCACTACTCGGGAGGCTCAGGCAGGAGAATCACTTGAACTCAGGGGGCAGAGATTGCAGTGAGCCAAGATCACACCACTGTACTCCAGCCTGGGCAACACAGTGCAACTCCATCTCAAAAACAAAACAAAACAAAACAAAAGTTAAGGGCCTTAGTGAGCTGTGTTATGAAATAGGATTCCAGCATTTATACAAAGAAAACAAAAGGGTTAATTCTTATATAAGCATAAAAAGTATTTCTTTGCCTAAAATATTATGGATAATAATATTTAATCAAGATGTTTCCTTTACTTTCCAGAAAATTTTAAATTCAAATCAAGATTACAGATATAATATTAGTTGTTTACTGGATCAGTAGTTTTCAAAATTTTTTTCCTGCTGCAAAACACATAATGGATACAACATATTCTATCCAGTAACGGTGGAGAGAATTATTCACAAAATAGTTATTATTTATACAGCCAGCAATCATTCCCATGCCTAGGGTCCAACAGAACCAGTGTGGATCAGCTTGAATTTTAATAAAAATCCAACACATTTCATAAAGCTCCTGTCATAGGTTCTGGAAGCTCATTTCCTATAGTAGCAACTTCCCTTTACTCTAGCATGCTCTTTGCTGGCCTTGGTTGCAGGCCAAGGGTGAAAGGAATCTAGAATGGATGAAAGAGGAGATAGATTATAAATACCAACTATAGCTTTGGGACCACTGCAGCAGTGTGGAGTATAACCCGTTCTATTAACTTTCCTGAATTGAGTCTTTTGTAGATTGTTGCCAGCCACCATCTTGAAGGCTTTGGATTGGACTTCATGTAGGACACAGTGGATCTTGTGGTACGGGTGAACTGCAGTGGACATCTCTTATGCTCCACTTCACATCCTCTCAGCCCATCTTTTACTAGTGGCATTACAATGGCCTATACAACCTAAATGTTCAAAGTTTAAGGGAGTCATTATCCTTCTGAAAAAAATCCTTGATACAATGGTAGTGGGGATGGATGGATAAATGCTCCTACCTCCTCTTCAGGAAGACAGCTGTGAGAGATACTTTATGGCTCTTTAGAATATCCCAGCAGCATCAAGCCTTGGGCATTCACAATGACGATCAACTTGATAACATGGCCTTTTCTCCCTTCTTTCTCTTCTGTTTTCTAGATTGTCTCTTAAGTAAGCTGTCTTAAGGGGCCATCCGGGATTAGTCTTGCCTGTTACATGCTTCATTGGAAGTTCTTAAGGCTACAGTTGGGCTTGAAGATTTGCAAGAAAGACTCACAGAACTCAAAAGAGCTGGTATGTTCATGATTACTGCTTATTACAGAGAAATGAGTACATACTAAAACCGGCAAATGGGAAAGGTATATGAGACAATGTCCAGGAGATACCAGGCACAAGCTTCTGGGTGGAGTTGTATGGGAATGCATTTAATCCTCCAAGCAATGGTATGTGACAACATGTGTGAATTATTGCCAGTCAGGAAAGCTCACATAAGTCTTGGTATCCAGGGTTATTATTGCAAATTGGTCAGGTAGGCATGGCTGACTTTAATTGCTCAGCCTACAGCCCCACCCCTCTACTTATGTCAAATTGATACAGCATGGTCCAGGACCCTCTGGCATATGAAAACACGCTTCATCAGGCAGGATATTCCAAGGGCTCAGACGTTATCTACCAGGACTGGCCAGTCAAGGACCAGTCCTATGAAGAAAGACCTTCTTTGGAATGTACAGGATTTGAGCAACCCAGACCTGCTGAGTTAATCCTTTACTGCACACATGTATTGGTCTTATCACTCTAACTACAACATAAGGTTCTCAAAGAAATGGATATTTATACAGTTTTTCACCCAAGTAAATACTTAGTAAAGTCCCTCTGCCAGAGTTAGAGCAAATCAATATTCCTGAATTCCACCCCCCAACTTTTTTTTTTTTTTTTTTAAGCAAAGTCTCATTTTGTCACCAGGCTCTCATTTTTAACCCAGGAGTGCAGTGGCACCATCTTGGCTCACTGCAACCTCTGCCTCCTGGGTTCAAGCCATTCTCGTTCTTGAGCCTTCCAAGTAGCTGGGATTACAGGTGCCTGCCACTGCACCCAGCTAATTTTTGTATTTTTAGTAGAGACAGGGTTTCACCATGTTGGCCAGGCAGGTCTCCAACTCCTGACCTCAAGTGATCTGCCCACCTTGGCCTCCCAAAGTGCTGGGATTACAGGCGTGAGCCACAGTGCCCAGCCAGTATTCCTGAATTCCCAAACTGATTTTCTCCCAAGAACACATTTCAGTGTGCATTTTGAAAAGTACTCTGGGGTATTTGTACACCAAGTCCCATTAGTCCTCAGTTAAGGGTTCTCAGGGATATTAATTTCCCCATTTCTTCTTTCTGGACTGCCATTTTGCATCTGGGCAAAGCACATGGTCCCAAAATGCCCTCAGGCAAAGAGGTGCAGGTACCCGCAGCTGGAAGTGGGCTAGAATATGCTGAAGGGGCAGGGAGAGGAATCCAGGTGAGGCAATGCAGCAGCTGCTACAGTGCTCCAAAGTTCCCTAGGGTTGAGGAGGAGGAAAATGAGTTAGAATTGTGGATGCCTTCAACTTATTGTCACTTGATAGAAGAGTCTCATCTCCTAGAACACAACACAAATTCCATCTTTGGAGGTCAAAAAGCTGAAAGTCATATAAGACTGATACGGTGGGTAAAATCTAATGTAAATTGGTATTGGCATTATATTTGCATTATAGATAAGGTTATAACTTCAAGGAATAGGTGAATATCCACTATAAGTCAATAATGATTTTTTAAAGGTTTAGTCAAAACAAAATGAGTACACACTGCAAATGGGGAGCATGGCATTTCATCATGAATATTAACTAAATAAACATAAAGACATTTAAAGACCAAGTTAATAAAGGTGTGAGCAGATAGGATCTGGAATAGCACATCCCAAATGGAAAAACCGTATTAAGAACCTGAATAGTCATCTGATGTGACTGTGCTTATTGTCTGAAGATCTCTTCTGGGGTTTTGTAAGGGAGTTTTATGGAGAACAAACTAACAAGGGGCAAAATATAAATGGCTGGAGTCTATGATAAAAGCTTATAGGGAATAGTGCTATATTATTTCTTTAATTTTCTCCAGCACTGTTTTTACAGCTATCTCAGTGAGCAAAATGCAAGTTTTATAAATAACTTCTTGCATGGAGCTCTCTGATTTATCCCATTCATAGCAAGCTACATCTGTGCAGGCAGCATAGCTTAGCTGTGGAGGCAGGGGGCAAAGAACTGACTTGACTGAAAAACATGAACACGTTGGCAAAAGGTAGCCAAATTCTAAAAAAAGCGGGGGTGGAGGAGTAGATTTTAAGAGTTCTGGCTCAAAAATAGAAATATAGAATTGATCTGAGTATATTAGTATTGCTTAATAAAGAATATTGCAACGCGAGCGGGTGGCCTACATGAAAATACAGAAAAGGGGATCAGAACAACCAAAGTCAGTAGTGTCCTTCCAGCTGATGTTGACTCTGACCCTAAGGAAAACAAATACACTTAGTAAGGGCTATACTCTGCTCTGAGTTAGAAATGACTCACTTAGCTTCTGAAGATACTCTGCCATTTCTGTCAACCTCCCTTTGCTCTGAATGCATGCTCATAGAGCAAACTACTGATTTGTTTTCACACAGGCTTTAAGATATCTTGAAACCAGGAAGAGCTTGCTGAAGGGCGGACATGACTATGTCTGTCATTGTAAAAGAACGGCCCTGATGATAAATTGATAATTTGGTAGGTATTGTTACCTTAAGTCAGATGACTGTTTTGGTAGGCTGAAAAAGTCAAGTTCCTGGATCACAAAGTGAAGAACCAGATTTGAAAGTGTTAAAGCCAATCCATGAGGTCCGGCCTGGAAAACTAGCCATGCAAGCCCCACTCAGTTGACCTATACACCTTCAAACTGGACAATAGTACCCACATTAGTAGTATACGTGTAAGAACATATGTAAAAGAAAACCTCCTCAAATCACACAGATAAAAGGGCCTAGTACACTATGAAGAGCCCAGACTCTCCAAGGATCATTACGGGGACACTCTGTGCCTCTACTTCTGCCCCTTTAAGATTCCAAAATCTATGCATACAGATAAACGTTGTCCTCCAAATTCCTTCTGAGAATCTATATGTTCTCTCAAAAAAAAAAAAGGTTACTCACCTTGAGTAACATAGCAAGACCCCATCTCTACAAAAAAATATAAAAATGAGCCAGACATGGTGGCACACACCTGTAGTCCCAGCTACTCAGGAGGCTAAGGCAGGAGAATCATTTGAGCCTAGGAGCTCAAGGCTGCAGTGAGCTATGACAGAACCACTGCACTTCAGCCCAGGCAGCAGAGCAAGACCCTGAATTAAAAAAAACAAGCAAACAAAGAGGTTTCTGTTCAAATGCTTTTAGGAACTTTACTTTGGAAATTTCCCTTAGAGCCATTTATGCAAAAATATCTGTTATTTAAGCCACCCAGTCTATGATAGATTTGCTGTAGCAGCTTGAACTGACTGAGACACTCTCAACCACATTCTCATCCCCTGGAGAAGAGGAACCTGGTCCATTCTCCTCTAGAGTCCCCTGACACTCTGACTTGTGCAAAGTAGGTGCTCAGTGGAGGTTTGTTAGACTAATGAGTGTGATTACTCATACCTCTACATAGGAAACTTTTTGCAAATAGACTCAAAAATATTTCTTTGACTTTTACCACTTAAACTAGAAAACAGTAACTACTTGGCAGCAGAACAGGGATCTAGACCTGATACTCCTGTAGGAGGAGTTCATGATCTTGTCCATTGGATCATTCAGATAGTCCTTTCAGAAAGAGATAAAATGCCTAAAAGGTAAAGGGTCGTGTCATGACAAGGGTCTTTTTACTTGCCGCAATAGTTTTGGTTGCAGAGCAGTTCCAATACTCTGGGTGTTGCCCATGTCAGGGCCTGGTAAGAGTTTCCCAAAGAGCATTTCCTGTCTTTTTGCATAGCAAATGCCAGCCACAGTCTTACCGCACAGGTGAGTGAATGGATTGATGCTCTATCACATAAGAAATGCCATGCTAAATAGGCATGATACAGGTAATGGTTTTGTCCTTTTCATCTATATAATATATTATAATATGTTATTTTCTATTATGAGGTCTTCATAAGCAAGACAATATGTTCTTCAATTTCCTGTTCTTGTCTCATTGTTTTCTCTGACCATTCTTATTCAAAATTCTCCTGTATGCTTGTTTTTTGTCAAAGTGACTGCAGTGTAAGTTGAGAGCAATGTAAAACAGAAACTTCGAAATTGGCAGCCATGACACAAGAGGCTGTTTTAAATTAGTTGGGAGGAATAGGATTAGGGAAAGATGTTTTTTGTGTGCTATTAGCAGTTTAATTCATTAAGATTTTAGTAAGGTACTTTTGAATGGCTACTTCTGGTTGCCTGCTTTATTAAAATTGACTGAACTCCATCATGTCTCAATATTTGTTCTTGACATTTCTGTGCATCATTTATGTTCTGGAAATAAGGTAGTCCGTGTCTTGAGAGAACTTGTATTAGTCTGCTTACACGCTGCTAATAAAGACATATCTGAGACTGGGTAATTTATAAAGGAAAGTGGTTTAATTGACTCACAGTTCCACATGCCTGGAGAGGCCTCACAATCATAGTGGAAGGTGAAGGAGAAGCAAAGCCACGTTCTTACATGGCGGCAGGCAAGAGAATATGTGTAGGGGAATTCCTCTTTATAAAACCTTCAGATCTTGTGAGACTTATTCACTTTCATGAGAACAGCATGGGAAAGAGCCGCCCCCATGATTCAATTACCTCCCACCAGGTCCCTCCTGTGACACACAGGAATTATGGGAGCTACAATTCAAGATGAGATTTGGGTGTGGACACAGCCAAACCACATCAGAGCTGGATGTCTTAGGCTGGAATATAGAGAAGCAAACAAAAATAACCACAATAATATGTTATATGTTATAATAAATTGTAATGTTTTGTGTTATATAAAATTACAAAGGTATAGGGTGGTTGATTATTTCTGGCTTAGAATAGGCAGCTTAGGAAAGCAAAGTGAAAAGAGGAATTCCAGGCAGAGGCAAATGTAGGAGAGAAGGATTGAGGCTGGAATGTGTGCAGGATATTCAGGTAAACAATAGTGAGTGATGGGGTTGGTGAAGAGAACAGATGGAGGCATAACTGGAGAGCTGGGCTCAGGTGAGGTTGTAAAAGGGCTTTGTTTACTGTGCTAAGATGTTCATGTACTATCTGGAGTGGGTGGTGAGATGCCATCAAGAGTTTCAAGTGGGTTTCAATGAGTGCACAGAAATGAGGCTGGAATGTGCACAGGATGTTCAGGTAAACAATAGTGAGTGATGGGAAGGTGGGGAAGAACAGATGAAGGCGTATCTGGAGAGGTGGGCCCAGGCTAGGTTGTAAAGGGGCTTCGTTTATTGTGCCAAGATATACGGGTAGTATCTGGAGGGGGTGGTGAGAAGCCATCAAGAGTTTCAAGTGGGTAGGTGTCATGGTAAGATGTGTGTTTTAGAAAGATCACTCATGCAATGTGGGAGGTTAATGGAAAAAGAGTGAGCCAGGAGACGGGGCTGTTAAACAACTTCAGGACTGATTCAAGCAGTGGGGGTGGAAGAGGAGATGGATGCAAGAGACTGTTCAATAGATCCCAGTGGCCTCGCTCTTCAGAGAGATTATGACAACATAATGGGAGATAGACAGAAGAGTAGCATGCCAGAGTGTGTGCACAATTGTCCACCCATGTCCTCAAACTCAGTTTGCTACTTATTTCTTAAGCACAGCACCCTAAGATACTGCACGTTGTGAATTTTATTCTATTTGTTTATGATTTATGATTACTCATTATTTTTAGACTAAATCAGAATTTGTGATGAAAAAGGTAGTTGGGTACAATTTGACTTGGCCCCATATATTAAAAAAGAAAGGAAGACTTACTAAGAAAATTTAAAGTTTTTTCTTTTTTAAAACTCTTTTTTGAGATAGGGTCTTGCTCTGTTGCCCCAACTGGAGTGCAGCTGTGCTATCATAGCTCACTGCAGCCTCAAACCCCTGGGTTCAAGCAGTCCTCCCACCTCAGCCTCTTGAGTGGCTGGACTTCAGGTGTGCACCACTATGGCCAGCTAATTATTTCATTTTTATTTTTTGGCAGAGACAGGGTCTCACTGTGTTGCCCAGGCTGTTCTCTAACTCTTGGCTTTAAGTGGTCCTTCTGCCTTGGCCTCCCAAAGTGCTGGGATTACAGGTGTGAGTCACCATGCTCAGCTAAAGATTTCTTCTAAAAATAGCAGTTTTGAGCCTTTAAAAAGCACAAAAGGCCAGAGAAATGTAACATGTCCCGGGTCCCCTGTCCATGCAGGAGCCATACCACTGTCCTCCCCTGGTCCTGCTCTTCACCCAGGCTTCTCTTCTGTGGTTGCCAAAGAAGCCAGTGGGACTAATCTTAGACATATTAGAAAAACTGTGGGTTTGGGAGTGAGAAAAAAGGGGAAATATTCTCCCTAAGAATATACGGAGAGGTGGAAGGAACTACAGCTTTAAAATCCCCTGCCAATTTTAATTTTGTTCTTAGGGACATTCCAGCACAATGGAAAGAAAGAGGGATTTGCTACTAAGAAAGTACAAGACAAGAGTGCTAACATTTTTTAGGGTTTTGTTGTTGTTAGAATGAGGAAAATAAAGCTAGGTAACTTACCCAACATCACAGAACTAGTAAACAATAGTAGAACTCAGACTTGAACCAAACACATGGCTTCCTAAACAATGGAAGATTTTGGGCCAGGCATGGGGGGGTTCACACCTGTAATCCCAACACTTTGGGAGGCCGAGGTGGGTGGATCGCTTGAACTCAGTAGTTCAAGATTAGTCCAGGCAACATAATGAGACCCCCGTCTCTACCAAAAATACAAAAAATTAGCCAGGCATAATGACGTGCGCCTGTAGTCCCAGCTACTTAGGAGGTTGAGGTGAGAGGATCACTTGAGCCCCAGAGGCGAAGGTTGCAGTGAGCTGAAATTGTGCCACAGCACTCCAGCCTGGGCAACAAAGCAAGACCCCATCTCAAAAAAAAAAAAAAGGAATGGAAGATTTTTAAGAAAGAGAAAGGTACTGATGTGGTATTTATGAGAACAAAGAAGATAACATTTAATATTTGGGGATCCAAAATGTAAAACAAACCTAGAAAGATGAAGAAGACCATATGGATTAAATCTTTCATGAATGACTAAAATTAAGCACACGCCCTCCCAATCCCTGGTTTTCTGTACTCTGTACTCTTATAAATTTATTTTTAAAACTTTTATGGTTACAGATGTACAGGATTATCACTTGCTATTTTTGTCTTTTTAGTGGTTATTTAACTTAAAAGCACAAACTATAAATTATGTTTAATGCAACGATATATTCAATAGCTGGTTCTAGACAAATAACTCCAGATTAGAGATCTGACCAATAATACAGTCACATAGAAATAGGAAAAATATGACCTGCCTGTTGATCTTAATTTCAGTTGGAATTACTAGGGATTTAATAAAAGATGAATAACTCATCCCCATCATCATTGTCATCCTCATCACCACTAATATTGATCAAGCATATTAAATGTCCTAGGAACGGTATATTATCATTTAATCATCATTATCACTCTATGAGAAGGTGTATTGCAATCCCTTGTCACGGATGCAATAACCATGGCTTAAGGACTGTAGCAGACGCTTTTGGAGCACCATGCTACACGCTCTGCTACACCTGGTATCAGTCCATTTTGGTTATACAGTTCCACGCATGTTGCCCAGGTCCCACATCAATTCATTAGCATTTTACTAATGGGGGCTTCCCTATAATTGTTTATATGGTATTGAGATAATGCATGCTATGGCAACATTCTGGCACACTTTATTCTTTGCATAGGATGAGTTGCAGGGCCAAAGTCACTGCCATGGAGTTAGCTAATTGGTTAAGGACATCAGCATTGCTCTGCTTTGCTGCCTTGGGAAGCTTTGAAGTCTCAGGAAGCTTCTCAACCACTTGACAATTTGGAAGTGTCGGGGAGCTAATGACCAGAGGGGACTCTCAACCAGTGAAGGCAAGAATCACGGCTGAGACAGCTTCTGAGATGCAATCTATGTATAGTTCCTTAGAAGGTCCCCACACAATTGAGTCTCAGTTGCCCCCAGTGGTAACTAGATAATTTGTATGCTCTCTATTGGCTTCTCTTCCTTCCAAGTCTCACTTTTCTCATTTCTGCTTCCCAGGATCACCTTTGAAGTAAACCATCTTTACCCAAGTTCTCAGGAGAACCCAAAACAAGGCAGGTATATTAAGTATCTTGCCCAAAGACACTCAGTAATATGCAGAGCCAGGATTCAAACCCAGAAAGTCTGTTTTCAACACCTGTGGTCTTAGGCACTGTCCTGAGGAACTTGGGCTCTAATGCAAACAATAGGCACCTTGTTATATAAACTCCAGAGAGTCACATGAAGAGTAATTTACATAGAGCACTGAGTCTAGTGATAAATAAGTGTGATCTTCATGCCTACATCAGGGTCATTAGTAAGAATCAATTCAAGGTGGAAAGTAATATACAATTGGAGTAGTTATCAGGTTTAGAGGCAAATTTTGGACAGTCTTTGCAGGCCTGTGTTCTGGTTCTGACTCTACTACTAAAAACATTTTGTGATTTGGGACATGTTATTGAACTCCTCTCCTCATCCGTAAGGTGAAGACAATTCTCACCCAGCCTGCTGCCTAGGACTACTGAGAAGCCCAAGGGAGATACTGTACCTGAGATTTCTTTGACTCTCATAAAGCACTTGGCTATTATAAATTATTATTATTAAAACTTCGACTCATAACCCTTATCAATTTGTATGATTATTTCTGCACATGTTATGCAACAGGCACCATGGACAAACTTTTTAAGGGATATGCTAAATAGAGTAACATATGACCTTGCTGTGACATTAGTTACAAGAGAGTGGAATTGAATATAGAACAGATCTGATTTTGAGCCTAAGAAATAGCATTTTACTAATGGGGGCTTCCATATAATTGTTAATATGGCACTGACATAATGCATGCTGTGACCACATTCCAGCATACTGCATTCTTTCCCTAGGTTGGATTCCAGGACCAAAATCACTTCCTTGGAATTAGCTAATTGGTTAAGGAAATAAGTTAACTCTTCCAGACCATTATCCTTAGTACCAATTAGTGCTAATGGATCCTAATAAAGAACGGGCTATAATAAAGAAGGGCTAAAACCAACCTAAGGACATTTAATGAGATAAATGTAAAATCATAGACCCAGAGACAAGGAATTTTAGAAAAGGAACACTGGTCATCATCCCATTGTTTGGGAGAGCCCAATAAATATTACTCTGTGCTGAACCAATTGAGAAATAAGATAATGAAGTAAGACAGTTGGGATCAAAACTATTACATTATCACTGATAAAGCTGATAATGAAGAAACTGGTTTAAGCATGCAGGGAAGTGGCCCTCCCAATAGGGAATCCTACTGGACTACTGCAGACCTCCTAACCTGAAAAAAATGCTTGCAAAACTTAGAGCATGGGGAGAGTAGGCCAGAGTACGTGCTTTTGGTGGCTTGTTTATTCCTGAAGAAAGAGGAGATTGTGTAGCTAGTTGGTGACAGTGCCAGGGCTGAAACCCAGTGCTGTTCTATTTATTTATGTTTTTTTAAAAGGGGCAAAATCAGAATGGCAGAAACCTCCTGTTTATTAGCATTGTGTCTGAAAAAAGCTGGAGGTGGGGATTGTTTCATTAACTATCAACTTAATATGAAACAGTCTGTGATGGGTGCGGCTCTGGTATAGGGTCCAGATCACAGAGAATAGCATTTCTTGTGTTCCTAAAACTGAGGTGAGGATTGTACTCAACTCCAGGAGCCACATTTTATTAGGAGGATTGAAAATAAAAAGTACAGAAGGATACCATGAGGATAGTAAGAAGCTGAAACAGAGCTGGAGTTTTAAAAGCCCTCACAGAAAAGAGAAAGGACACTTGTTTCTGCAGAGCTCCGGAAGAAAGAAGGCAGAAACCAACACTAGCAGCAGAAAGCTGAACGAAGGCAGTTATAAGTCAATAGAAGGAAGAACTTTCTAATACACACACACACACAGACACATACCCCTAAGCAGTGAGTAGGATGCAAATTTGATCGTGTTTCCTCCATTTGATCCTGTTTCCCCTTGTCTAAAACTACTGAATGGTTCCTTAGTACTCTTAGGATAAAGATCAAGTTCCTTAGCAGAGTTTACAAGGCTCTTTGGGGAGTGGCCCCTCCTTGGTGTCCAGCCCCAGCCTGCACCTGGTCCCCTTTTCCACTGATGGCAACCATACTGACCTCCCTTCTGTCCCTGGTGCACAGCAGCCTCCTTCCCACCTGTTGAAAGTGCCAGTCCTTCTGCCTGGGTAGTCTTCCTTCAATTCTATATCAAGCCAGCTTGTATTCATTCTTCAGCTCTCAGTTTACCCATCCTCCGGGAGACCTTCCTGACCAACAAGAGGAGGTCATTTTGCCTTTGTGTGCTGCCCTTCTTAAGCATTTGTCAGAGTTGTGCCTTTACTTTTGTTTTGTTTTGTTTCTTTTTAATGTGGTAAAATATACATAACATAAAATTTACCATTTTAGCCACTTTTAAGTGTATAGCTTAATGGCATTAAAGACATTCACATTGTTGTACAACCATACCGTTATTCATCTCCAGAACCTATTCATCATCCCATACTGACACTCTACACCCATTAAACAATAACTCCCCATTCCCTCCTGCCCCCCAGCCCCTGGCAATCGCTATTTCACTTTCTGTCTCTATGAATTTGACTATTCTGGGTGCTACTTTTTTTGTTTGACTCTTTAATTAATGTTTGTTTCTCCTACTAATCAATGAATTCCATGAGAACAGGGAATGTGTTTTTGCTCACAATATCCCAGAGCCTAGCACAGTGTCTGGCGTATGGATCTCCTGAAGGAAGGAGTGGAGGGGAGGAGACAAGGAAAGAGGAAGGAAAGGGTTTCCTGGAACTGGCAAGTCTTAAGCAGAAAATATTAAGGACCATCTTAGGGGAACATAGTTGAAAATATTTCTGCAATGGATAGCAAGATTGAACAAGATGAAGTTATTCAGCAAATATTTACTAAGCACATACTGTGTTGTAGGTACGAGGTACAGGGGATACTGTACTGAACCAATCTGTGCACTGATGTAGATGGTACATTTCAATTCTAAGAATTGGTGATTAGATGGAACAAATCCATTTAATACCATGTGACAGAAAAAATAAGAATGTACAGCATTCTGGACCAGGTTTTCATCCCAAATTGCAGTCATATCTAATTTCATTAACTACATATTCTTGACCTTGAATATTGGAATTACTTTTTATGGTGAGCCATAGCTATGATTTACAGAGGATGGGAGAAGGAGAATCAAGTTAATGTCTTGTGGAAAACAACCGTGAGAACTAAAATAAAGAACCATTCCAGTGATTCAGACCAACACTTTTTAGTAACCACTAAGTACGCAATTAAATAAAGCCCAACTGAGCTTGTTTCCACTGAGTGCTTCCGAAGAGTTTGAATATGTAAGAACAGAGATGAGAAAAATTCTAATTCCCTTTTCCTGGGACGTTGTCCTCAGTAAAAGGCTCCATTTGGAAGCAATTGCTAAAAAAAATTTTTAATTTTCGTGTTCTAAAACTGTGTACTTGTGATGAAAGAATGAAATCAGACTTGCAGCTCTTTCTGTCGGGAGAGGCAGAGGCAGAATAGATCATGAAGGAACAGAAGGATTGTGAAGGATAAGGCCAGAGCTGATTCTGAGCTTAAAGAGCACAAAATGAACCCCCTGCTGATATGTAATTTCTCTGTGCAATTTGTTATTTTATTATTTTCTTTTCTTTTTGAGACAGAATCTCACTCTGTTCCCCAGACTGGAGTGCAATGGTGCGATCTTAGCTCACTGCAACCTCTGGCCTCCCGGATTCAAGCGATTCTCCTGCCTCAGCCTCTCGAGTAGCTGGGATTACAGGCGTCCACCATCACACCCAGCTAATTTTTGTATTTTTAGTAGAGACGGGGTTTCTATGTTGGCCAGGCTGGCCTCAAACTTCTGACCTCATGATCCGCCCGCCTCAGCCTCCCTAAGTGCTAGGATTACAAGTGTGAGCCACCACCCCCAGCCTATTTTATTATTTTCTTGCTGGCCTATTCAGAGTCGCTGGTGAGACTCATCCATTGTTATTAAATACCTTCCCACCATCACTGACCTTGGAGCATGCTGCCTAGCGATAGCCATGTGAGAAGCAGCTGGAAGGCGAATTAGTGCCACAGTGCATGGCCTCTGCCCCTGGGACATTCAGTTTGGTATCCACATTTGCAGTCACTGCTGTCTTCGTCCACATTGCCTTAACCACCTACACCCTTGTCCTCTTCTTGTGCATCAGCAAGAGTTTTGTGCATGGGAAGAGTATTGTTGTATCTTAAGATAAGGAATATCAGATCAGACTAGTCTACAAGATGCAGAAAAAGTAAGGACATGGAAAGAGACTGAAGATACATTGGAAGAGAAGATAATGGAGTGAGATTTTGGAGGAGGTGGGAGGGGTGAAACAAATGCCCATTCATCTGAAAAGTCATTTTAAGACTGAGTTCCAGAGGGCTGCTAAAAATGCTTAGGGTTCTCTAACTTGGCAACTGTTCAAATGTGCAACTCCTCTATTATTGCTCCTTCTGTATTTGTTTCTTCTCACCAAAGTACTTTAGTAAAATAATAATTCAAGAGAAATTTATCATTCAGCTCTCAAAATAGCGCCATTCAGAATACAAATTTAACTACACTGGCTTCAGTGCTTTGAAAATGTTTAGGATCTCATTAATTTTGACCTAATTTGATTAGTATATTTAAGAATCATATTATATAAATGTAGTTTTATAAATTCCTATGTAATAGAATAAGCATGACCTAAATAAACAATTTATTAACAATTCAGATATATCCAAATGGTTAAATATCTAAACACAGTTTCCATCAAGGTAACCATCTGGATATACCTGAATACTAAAAAAAAAAAAAAAAAGAGAGAGAAAAATAAATGTAGAAAAGTGGTTTTTTGTTTTTTTTTTTTGAGACGGAGTCTTGCTCTGTCACCCAGGCTGGAGTGCAGTGGCGTGATCTCGGCTCACTGCAAGCTCCACCTCCCAGGTTCATGCCATTCTCCTGCCTCAGCCTCCTGAGTAGCTGGGACTACAGGAGCCTGCCACCATGCCTGGCTAATTTTTATTTTTATTTATTTATTTATTTATTTATTTATTTATTTATTTATTTTTTGTATTTTTAGTAGAGACAGGGTTTCACCGTGTTAGCCAGGATGGTCTCGATCTCCTGACCTCGTGATCCGCCCGCCTTGGCCTCCCAAAGTGCTGGTATTACAGGCGTAAGCCACTGTGCCCAGCCCAAATATCATTTTCTTTCATCTGTGTCTATGCATTACAATTTTAACTATTACTACTAATGCTTACTTCCTAGAATTGACTCATCAGGAGTTTGTTCTACCACCATTTCTAAATACAATTCGTAACTTTTACCTTTAACTGATTGCAGCAAAGCTGCAGTTTTGTACCATAGGTGACTAGGTAGCCCTCCAGGGATCAAATATTCTTCATTTTCTCTCTCTCTCTCTCCCCCCAACCCCCTATTCTTTCTGTTCCCAAACCACATGTTTCCTAAGCCAAGGTTATTTTAGCAAATCCCACCTCTCTGACACCAACTGAAAAGGGAAAAACGTTTTTTTGTTTTTTTGTTTTTTTTTCCCCTTATACTCTCACTTAACACTCACAACACTTCACTTCTGACCACCAATTGTGTAGGGATCTTTTTCACACCAAGCAATTCCCTAGTTCTCTGCAGACACTGACTGGGCATTCTACAGTTTAACCCAATTTTAACACTATCTACCTGGAAATGGCTTTCAGAGTACACAGGTTAAGGGCTCAGTCCCATAAGTGAAGATGGGACCCCACTTCAGATATCAATCACAGCTTGTCACCTGCATTTCTGGCTGACCAGCTATAAATCAGAGGTTTGCATGACCTCCTGCTGGGTTCAGTCATTTGCTAAAGCAGCTTATAGAACTCAGGAAAACAGTTTAGGAGTCAAATTTTGAACTAGAAGCATTATATAAAACTAGATTACCAGATTATTACAAAGGATATATTGAAAGATAGAAATGAACAGCCAGATGAAGAGATACATAGGGAGAGGTCCAGAAGAGTCCCAAGCACAGGACCTCCTGTCCCTATGGAGCTTCCAGGTGTGCCACCCTCATAGCACATGGTTGCGTTCTTACTCACCACCCAGAAGCTCTCTGAACTTCATTCCTTTGGGTTTTTATGGAAGCTTCATTGCAACAACATGATTGATTAAATCGTTGGCCATTGGTGATCAACTCAACCTTGAGCTCCCCTCCCCTCCCTGAAGGTGAGCAATGGGGCTGGAAATTCCAACTCTCTAATCACATGATTGGTTATCTTGGCAACCAGACCCCATCCTGTGGTTATCTGGAGGCTTTCTAAAAATTACCTCATTAACATAAATTCATGTATGGATAAAAGGGGCTTGTTATGAATAACACAAGATGCTTCTTTCACTTTTATCATTCTGGAACTGTTTCAGGAACCAAGGGCAAAAAAGTCAAATATTATAACAATAAGATACTACCATAGCTCTAATAGCTTAGGAAATTTCAAGGGTTTTAGGGGCTGTGAACCAGGAACTGTGGATGAAAACCAAAACATATACTTCCTATTATATCACAATATCACACAACTGTATGCAATAAATATTATCTTCACATTTCAGATGGGGAAACAAATGTAAAGAGAGGAAGGGACTTCCCCAAAGAGAAATATAAATTAAATTGAAATGAAATCAAATTAAATCATATCGTGAATGTAGAATAGAGATGAAGCATGAATGACAATTGATATTTTAATTAAATTCAGAATTTAGGTCTTTGAGAATGAAAGATTAAAGGTTCCTGGCTGAATTAAATAGTTTAGTACTATAAACTATACACTTTCCTCTTAGTACTACTTTCACTGTATCCCATAAGTTTTGGTATGTTGTGTTTCCATTATTATTTGTTTCAAGAAACTTCAATTTCCTTGTTAATTTCTTCATTGAATCACTGGTAATTCAGGAGCATGTTGTTTAATTTCCATGTGTTTGTATAGTTTTTTGAATGTTTTAAGGCTTGTTTTGTCGTTTTCTTTCAGACTGAAGAACTCTCTTTAGCACTTTTTTGTAGAAAAGACCTGGTGTTGATGAAGTTCTTCAGCTTTTGTCTGGTAAAATATTTATTTCTCCTTCATGTTTTAAGAAGATTTTCACTGGATATACTATTCTAGCATAAAATATTTTTTCCTTCAGCACTTTAAATATGTCATGCCACTTCCTCCTGGCCTGTAAGGTTTCCACCAAAAAGTCTGCTGCCAAACATATTGGAGCTCCATTGTATGTTATTTGTTTCCTTTCTCTTGCTGCTTTTAGAATCCTTTCTTTATCCTTGACCTTTGGGAATTTGATTATTGAATGTCTAGAGGTGGTTTTCTTTGGGTTAAATCTATCTGGTGTTTTATAACTCTCTTGTACTTGAATGTTGATATCTTTTCCAGGTTTGGAAAGTTCTCTGTTATTATCCCTTTGAATAAACTTTATATCCCGATGTCTCTCTCCACATCCTCTTTAAGGCCAATAGCTCCTAAATTTGCCCTTTTGAGGCTATTTTTTCTATATCTTGTAGGCCTGCTTTATTGCTTTTTATTCTTTTGTCTCCTTTGTGTATTTTCAAGTGGTCTCTCTTTAAGCTCACAAGTTCTTTCTTCTGCTTGCAATTCTACTGTTAAGAGGTTCTGATGCATTCTTCAGTAGGTCAATTGCATTTTTCAACTCTAGAATTTCTGCTTGATTCTTTTTAATTGTTCCAATTTCTTTGTTAAATTTATCTAATATGATTCTGAATTCCCTATGTTATCTTAAATTTCTTTGAGTTTCCTCAAAATAATGATTTTGAATTCTCTGTTGAAAGGTCACATATCTCTGTCTCTGCAGGATTGGTCACTGGTGCCTTATTTAGTTCCTTTGGTGAAGTCATGTTTTCCTGGATGGTCTTGATGCTTATGGATGTTTGTCAGTATCTGGGAATTGAAGAGTTAGGTATTTATAGTAGTCTTCACAGCGTAGGGTTGTTTGTACCCATCCTTCTTGGGAAGGCTTTCCAGGTATTCTAAAGGACTTGGGAGTTGTGATCTAAGTTTTGGCCATTGTAGCTGTATCTGTATTAGAAGATACCCCAAGCCTGGTAATGGTGTGGCTCTTGCAGACTCATAGAGTACTTGGATAATAGAGGTGGACTTGGATAATACCCAGAAGAATTCTCTGGATTATCAGGGAGAGACTCTTGCTCTCTTCCCTTACTTTTTCCCAAACAAATGGAGTCTCTCTCTGCGTGCTGAGCTTCCTGGAACTGGGGAAGAAGTGACATAAGCACAGTTGTGGCCACCACCACTGGGACTGTGCTGGGTCAGACCTGAAGCGAACACAGCACTGGGTTTTGCCCAAGTCCCACAGTAACCACTGTCTGGCTATTGCCTATATTTTCTCAAGGTCCTAGGGCTCTACAATCAGCAGGTAGCAAAGTCAGCCAGGCTTGTGTCCTTCCCTTCAGAGAGGCAAGTTCCCTCCCTGCCTCAGGGCCTGGGCAGATCTAGAGATGCCATTGGTGAGCCAGGACCTAGAGTCAGAACTTTAGGAATCTACCTGGAGCTCTATTCTACTGTGGCTGAATTGGTACCCAAGCCAGAAGTCAGAGTTCTTCCCACTCTTCTCTCAATTTTCCACTAGCAGTAAAGTCTTTCCCTGTGGCCACCACCACCGCAGGCCCATGGCCAGTACTGCAGGACTACTGCCGATGTTCACGCATGGCTCAAGGGCTCTTCAGGCAGCTTATGGTGAATGCTTCCACACCTGGGACTCTCCCTTCAGGGAAATTGGCCTCCCTGTGGCCCAGGACAGGTCCATAAATGTCCAAGAGCCAAGGCTTGGAATCAGGGACCCCAAAAGCCCACTTGCTGCTTTATACCATTGTGGTTGAGCTGGCATCCAAGCTGCAAGACAAAGTCCTCTTTACTCTTCCTTCTTCTTTTTTCAAGCAGAAGGACTCCCTCCTCATACCCACCATAGCTGGAAATGTGCTGAGTCACACCTGAAACCAGTATATCTTTGAGCTTCACCCAAGGCCCATGGCAAACACTGCCTGGGTACTACTACTAACTATTCGGGGTCCAAGGGCTCTTTAGTCAGCAGGTGATGAATACTACCATGACTGGGTTCCTCCCTTCAAGGCAACTGGTTTCCTTCTGGCCCAGAATGTGTCTAGAATTGTTGTCTGGGATCTAGGGCCCAGAATGGGGGACTCAGGACTCTGCCTGGTGCCCTATCCTACTGTGGCTGAGCTGGTATCCAAGTTGCAAGACACAGTTTTCTTTACTCTTCCCTCTCCCCTCCTCGAGTGAAAGGAAGGCATCTCTCCCAGAGCTGTGAGCTGTGCTGCCTATGGTGGGGGAGGGGTGGTACAAGCCCTCCCTTGGCCATCCAAGCTGATGCCTCATTGAGTCACATGCCCCTCAAGTCCACTGGCTCAGAGCTCATCACAGCACCAGGACTTGCCCAGGAACTGCAGTCCTTGTGGCCTAGACTGCCTTTAAAGTTTATTTAGGACACCAAAGCCCTTTAGCCCATAGTGGTAAGGCTTGCTGGAACTCAGGTTCCAACCACTGGGATGGGTGACTCCCCTCTGACTAGGGCTGGTCTAAATGCTCCCTCCATGGGCACTGGCTGAGTTCTGCCCAGTGCTGCTTTCTGCTGTAATAAGGCAGCACTGAGTTCCAATGAAAAGTCCCACAATCACTGTACTCTCCTTCCCCTAAGCACATATCTCCTCCTTCAGTGATATGAAGTTCAACCAGGTACTGTGATTGCTCACCTGATTTTTTGTTCATATAAAAGTGATTTTTTGTATGAATAGTTGTTCAGTTTGGTGTTCCTGCAGGGAGGATGATCAGTGAAGGCTTCCATTTGGCCACCTTGCTCCTATCTCTGGAATGGCCAAATGGAAGCCTTCACTGATCATCCTCCCTTGAGCAAGAGAAAATTCTCCAGCAGATTGCCGTTACACTTCATTTGTACTATCAACCCTCATAGGTCTCCAGCCTATCACCCACACTGCAGATTTTGGATTCTCCAGCCTCTGTAATTGCATGAGCCAATGCCAATCAATCAAGCAATCAATCAATATAAAAATAAATAAATTGAAGTGTTGATCTCCACTCTGGCTGTTTAGACCTAGTCCTAGTTCAGTATCTTAAAAGCAGTCACCCATATATACTCATTTTAAACAATGCATTGATTCAAATATGGCTAAAACTTGCAGCAAACACCACTCTGATGAGAACAAAGAAAAGGCCATCTGTGAGCTGCTGCTACAGGCTCCAGGAGATAGCCAAAAAATTGAGTGCTCAAAGTTTGAAAGTATGAAAAGCGGATTGTCTGCCCCCGAACACACATCCTCACTGGGGAACCTGAAAGTCCAGATCACAGGAGAAGGATTTGACCTTACCTGGAGGTGAGACGAATTTAGAGAGCTAAGTGAAATACAGGGATAGAAGAAGAAGCAGGAAGAGCCCTGTGGGAACTCTCAGTCCCCAGGGAAGCTGTCTCTGACTTTGTCTTGCAGGGGTGCTTGGGGAGAGCTGCCAGTGGAACTGGGCAAAGACCACAGGGAAAAGGAAACTTCCAGCTGAACTTTGTAATAATTTCAATGGAACACAAAGTTTCCTGGATAGGATCTGGGGGAGGGGGTGAACTAGGAGTGCAGACACCTTCACAGAAGCCACAGCAGGCAGGGAGGTGTGAAATCTGAAAGCCCTGCTTGCTTTCTCAGCAGGGAGGCTTGAAGTCTGGGGCAAGTTCTCAGCCATGCTCACCAGCTGCCTGGAAATAAACTCAGTGCTGTTAGGCAGCACCGTGGGAGAGAGACTGGCCTTTAGGAACTGGGTGAGGCCTGTCGTTGGTTGCTTTTCCCAATTTCCCTGGCAACTTTTATGAAGTAGCAGAAGCAGCCATAATCCCCCTGGGAACATAACTCCATCAGCCTGAGAACCACAACCCCATCCCCCATAGCAGCTGCAGCAAGCCCGGTACAAGGAGAGTCTGAGCTCAGACATGCCTAATGCTGCCCCCACCTGATGGTCCTTCCTCTACCCACCCTGGCAGCCGAAGACAAAGGACATAATCTCTTAGGAGCTCTATGGTCCTGCCCACCACCTAATAAACCCAAATACTTACCCAGGCAACCTTAGGGCAAGCTTGTCTCCTCCCTATACTACTGCAGCTGGTGCTCTCTTGAAAGCACCACCTCCTGACCAGAGGCCAACTAACACAAAACCAGCACACTAAGCAAAACTACAATCAAGGAACCCTCAGAGAGTCCACTTCACTCCCCTGTTACCTCCACCAGAGCAGGTACTGGTATCCATGGCTGAGATACCTAAAGATGGATCACATCACAGGACTCTTTGCAGACACCCCCCAGTACCATTCCAGAGCCCAGAAGCTCTGCTGGGTGGCTAGACCAAGAAGAGAAATAACAATCACTGCAGTTCATCTCTCAGGAATCCCCATCCCTAGGGAAGCGGGGAGAGCATCGCATCAAAAGAGCATGCTGTGGGACAAAAGAATCTGATCAGCAGCCCTTGAGCCCCAGATCTTCCCTCTGACATAGTCTACCCAAAGGAACCAGAAAAACAATTCAGGTAATATGGCAAAACAAGGTTCTTTATCACCCCCAAATGATCAAACTAGCTCACCAGCAATGGATCCAAACCAAGACAAAATCTCTGAATTGTCAGAAAAAAAATTCAGAAGGTTGATTATTAAGCTAATCAAAGAGGCACCAGAGAAAGGTGAAGTCCAACTTAAAAAAAAAAGATAGAGGATGTGAATGGAAAAATCTCCAGAGAAATAGATATCATAAATAAAAAAACAATCACAACTTCTGAAAATGAAGGACACAGAGAAATGCAAAATGCACTGGAAAGTCTCAGCAATAGAATTGAACAATAGAAGAAAGAACTTCAAAGCTCGAATACAAGGCTTTTGAGTTAACCTAATCCAACAAAGACAAAGAAAAAAGAGTTTTAAAAAAATGAACAAAGCTTCCAAGAAGTTTGGGATTATGTTAAATGACCACACCTAAGACTAATTGGAGTTCCCAAGGAAGAAGAGAAATTTAAAAGTTTGGAAAGCTTATTTGAGAGAATAATCAAGGAAAACTTCCCTGGCCTTGCTAGAGGTCTAGATATCCAAATACAAGAAACTTAAAGAACACCTGGGAAATTCATTGTAAAAAGTTCATCGGCCAGGCACAGTGGCTCAACCGTGTAATCCCAGTACTTTGGGAGGCCAAGGTGAGTGGATCACTTGAGATCAGGAGTTTGAGACCAGCCTGGCCAACATGGTGAAAACCCATCTCTACTAGAAATATAAAAAATAGCTGGGTGTGGTGGCTACTCGGGAGGTTGAGGCAGGAGAATCACTTGAACCTGGGGGGTGGAGGTTGCAGTGAGCCGAGATCGCACCATTGCTCTCCAGCCTGGGCAACAGAGCACGACGCCATCTCAGAAAAAAAAAAAAAAAGATCATTGCCTAGGCACATAGTCATCAGGTTATCTAAGGTCAAGATGAAGGAAAGAATCTTAAGAGCTGTAAGGCAAAAGCATCAGGTAACCTATAAAGGAAATTAGATTAACAGCAGATTTCTCAGCAGAAACCCTACAAGCCTGAAGAGACTGGGGTCCTATCTTTAGCCTCCTTAAATAAAACAATTATCAGCCAAGAATTTTGTATCTAAACTAAAACTAAACTTCATAAATGAAGGAAAGATAAACTTTTTTTCAGACAAAAAAATGCTGAGAGAATTTGCCACTACCAAGCCAGCACTACAATAACTGCTAAAAGGAGCTCTAAATCTTGACACAAATCCTCAAAAGACACACAATAGAACCTCCTTAAAGCATAAATCTCACAGGATCTATAAACCAATAACACAATGATAAAAAGGTATTCGGGCAACAACTAACACAATAAATAGAATATTACCTCACATCTCAATACTAACATTGAATGTAAATGGCCTAAATGTGCCACTTAAAAGATACAGAATGGCAGAATGGATAAGAATTCACCAACCAAGTGTCTGCTACCTTCAAGAGACTCAACTGACACATAAGGACTCACACAAAGTTAAGATAAAGGGGTGAAAAAGATATTCCATGCAAATGTACACCAAAAGTGAGCAGTAGTAGCTATTCTTATATCAGACAAAACAAACGATAAAGCAACAGCAGTTTAAAAAGACAAAGAGGGACATTATATAATGATAAAAGGACTTGTCCAACAGGAAAATACCACACTCCTAAATATGCATGCACCTAACACTGGAGCTCCCAAATTTATAAAACAAATAATTACTACTAGACCTAAGAAATGAGATAGCAACACAATAATAGTGGGGGACTTCAGTACTCTTCTGACAGCACTAGACAGGACATCAAGACAGTCAACAGAAAAACAATGGGCTTAAACTATACCCTAGGAAAATGTACTTAACAGATATTTACAGAACTGTCTAGCCAACAACTGCAGAATATACATTCTATTCATCATACATGGAGCATTCTCCAAGACAGACCATATGACAGGCCACAAAACAAGTCTTAATAAATTTAAGAAAATCAAAATTATATCAAGTACTCTCTCAGACCACAGTGGAATATAAAATTGGAAATTAACTCTGAAAGGAACCCTGAAAACCATGCAAACACATGGAAATTAAACAACCTGTTCCTGAATGATCGTCGAGTCAAAAGGAAATCAAGATGGAAATTTAAATTTAAAATTCTTTGAACTGAACAATAGTAATGGCACAATATCAAAACCCCTGGGATACAGCAAAGGTGGTGCTAAGAGGGAAGTTCATAGTATTAAATGACTACATCAAAAGGCCTGAAAGAGCACAAATCTAAGGTCACACCTCAAGGAGCTAGAGAAACAAGAACAAAGCAAACTCAAACCCAGCAGAAGAAAAGAAATAATGAAGATCAGAGCAGAACTAAATGAAATTGAAACAAATGAACAAAAATATAAAAGACAAATGAAGCAAAGAGCTGGTTTTATGACCATATGATCATCTCAATAGATGCAGAAAAAGCATTTGACAAAATCCAGCATCGCTTTATGATTAAAACCTTCAGCAAAATTGGCATAGAAGGAACATATGTTAAGGTAATAAAAGCCATTTATGACAAACCCACATCCAATATTACACTGAGCAAGAAAAAAAATGAAAGCATTCCCCTGAGAATTGGAAGAAGACAAGGATGTCCACTTTCACCACTTCTATCTAACATAATACTGGAAATTCTAGCCAGAGCAATCAGACAAGAGAAAGAAATAAAGGGCATCTAAATTGGTAAAAAGGAAGTCAAACTGTCGCTGTTTGTTGATGATCTGACTGTATACCTAGAAAACCCTAAAGACTCATCCAAAAAGCTCCTAGAACTGAGAAATGAATTCAGCAAAGTTTCAGAATACAAATTAATATACACAAATCAGTAGCTCTCCTATACACCAACAGCGACCAAGTTGAGAATCAAATCAAGAACTCAATCACTTTTACAACAGCTGCAAAAAAATAAAATAAAACACTTAGGAATATACCTAACCAATGAGGTGAAAGGCCTCTACAAGGAAAACTACAAAACATTACTGAAAGAAATTATAGACACCACAAACAAATGGAAATACATCCCATGCACATGGATGGGTAGACTCAATATTGGGAAAATGACCATACTGCCAAAAGCAATCTAAAATTCAATTTGTAGACTGAATTGTAATCACCACAACTGCATGGTACTGGTGTAAAAATAGGCACATAGACAAATGGAACAGAATAGAGAACCCAGAAATAAAGCCAAATACTTATCACCAACTGATCTTCGACAAAGCAAACAAAAACAAATTTATGTTTGGGGAAAGAACACCCTATTCAACAAATGGTGCTGGGGTAACTGGCAAGCCACGTGTAGAAGAATGAAACTGGATCCTCATCACTCAAGATGAATCAAAGACTTAAATCTAAGACCAGAAACCATAAACATTCTAGAAGATAACATCAGAAAAACCCTTTTAGACGTCGGCTCAGGCAAAGACTTTATGACCAAGAACCCAAAAGCAAATGCAACAAAAACGAAGCGCTAGTTTGTTGAAAAGATAAATAAAACTGATAGACTATTAGTGAGACTAACTAAGAAAAGAAGAGAGAAGATCCAAATAAACTCAATTAGAAATGAAAACGGAGATATTACAACCGATACCACAGAAATACAAAAGATCATTCAAAGCTACTATGAACACCTTTATACGCATAAACTAGAAAACCTAGAGGAGATTGATACATTCCTGGAAATATACAACCCTCCTAGATTAAGCCAGGAAGAAACAGAAACTCTGAAGAGACCAATAACAAGCAGCGAGATTGAAATAGTAATAATAAAAAAATGCCAACAACAAAAAAGTTCTGGACCAGATGGAGGATAACTGAATTCTATCAGACATTCAAAGAAGAATGGGACTTAATTAAACTAAAAGGTTCTGTACAGCAAAGAAATAATCAGCAGAGTAAACAGACAACCCACAGAGTGGGAGAAAATATCCAGAATCTACAAGGAACTCAAACAAATCAACAAGAATAAAACAAATAATCTCATCAAAAAGTGGGCTAAGGATATGAATAGACAATCTCAAAAAAAGAAATTCAAATGGCCAAAAAACATGAAAAAACAATCAACATCACTAATGATCAAGGAAATGCAAATCAAAACCACAGTGCAATACTACCTTACTGCTACAAGAATGGCCATGATAAAAAATTTAAAAATAATAGATGTTGGCATGGATGTGGTGAAAAGGGAACACTTTTACACTGCTGGTGGGAATGTAAACTAGTATAACTGCTATGAAAAACAGTGTAGAGATTCCTTAAAGAACTAAAAATAGAAATACCATTTGATCCAGCAACCTCATTATTGGGTATCTACCCAGAGGAAAAGAAGTCATTATATGAAAAAGATATTGCACATGCATGTTTATAGCAGCATAATTTGCAATTGCAAAAGTATGGAACCAGCCCAAATGCCCATTAATTAACAAGTGGATAAAGAAATTGTGATATATATATATATGTATACCATGGATTAATGGCCTTCACAGCAACCTGGATGGGTTTGGAGACCATTATTCTAAGTGAAATAACTCAGGAATGGAAAACCAAACATTGTATGTTCTCACTCATAAGTGGGACCTAAGCTATGAGGACACAAAGGCATAAGAACGATACAATGAACCTGGGGGAAAGGGTGGGAGGAAGGTGAGGGATAAAAGACTACACACTGGGTACAGTGTACAGTGCTGGGGTGATGGGCGCACCAAACTTCAGAAATCACCACTAAATAACTTATTTTTGTAACTAAACACCACCTGTTCCCCAAAAACCTATTGAAATAAATAAAATGAAGTATGAAAAAATAATTAATAATAAACAAACACATACATGCATCCCAGTGGTTCTGTATCTCTGGGGAACCCTGACCAATACAAAGGGCATGATGTATGCAACCTACTCTCAAATGTTTCTAAGAAAATTTTACATTAAAAATATGTGGCAAAATGTTAAAAATGGTGAATCTGGTTAAAGGTCTATGAAGTTGTTTATACTATTACTGTAACTCTTCTATATGTTTTAAGTTATTTCAGAATAAAAAGTTGGACATTTAAAGTGGTAGGCCATTTATGTTTCAGCTAACAAAATTCTAGTCAGGGGAAGACCCTGACTGGCATTTTTCATAATAGGCCAGGATTTTTCTTGTTTTGGGTTCTGCTGAAATGAGAACCTAAATCAAGCTTTAGGTTTAGGCAAGTTATTGGGGGTAGGGGGGGTGCATCTCAGGAAGCAGAAATGAGAGAATGGAAGAGTCAAACAGGGAAGAAGCATTATCAGTTGAGCTCTCACTGTAGGTACCTGTGACTCAGTCCTGCTGGAGACCTGTGGTAGCCAGGCTCCAGGATGGCCCCAATGAGCCCGGCCTCCGTACAGTCATACCTTTGTGTAGTGCCTGTTCACTCTGTACCAGGGTTGGTGTGTCTGACCAATGTCACATAGCAGAAGTGATGGTAGGTCACTTACAAGATTAGGTCATAAAAAAGACCATGGCTTTCATTTTGGGCACTGGCCCTCCCTCTGGGGGAAGCGATGTGGTGAGGAGTCTTATGAAGAGGTCTGTGTGGCCAGGTGAAGCCTCCTGTCAACAGTCACTCTGTCAACAGAAGTGGATCCTCCAGACCTAGTCAGGCCTCCAATGACTGTAGCCTTCGTGGACTCATTGATTGTAGCCAGTGAGAGCCATTGAGAGTCTCTGAGCCAAAGCCACCCAGCTAAGCTGCTCTCAGATTCCTGATGCATAGGAATTGTGAAATAAAAAACATTTGTTATTTTAAACCACTGTTTGAAGTAATTTGTTACACAGAAACAGCTAACACAGGACCCTCTGAGGAATCGTGTTGAATATATCTCAGAACTGTTCCTCCAAAGATGGGGAGGCTGAGGCATTTATCCATAAAATCCCATTCCCACCTTTGCTGAGAGTTAGGAACCCTTGGTGTGAACACTGGAGGTGAGATGCCATCAACGTGCTGGAGCTGTTCAACATTGTTGAAATTGAAACTGACCCAATTTTCCCACAGAGCTGATGTTTATGGTTTCTTTGAACAGACATAGAAATTGATCCTCTCAATCTTAAAACTTGAGGAAGTTAACATTTGTCTTACCTGAGTTCCTTTCTCAGGAAACCAACCGTCAGGCCTCCCAAATAGTATCAAGGAGCTGAAACTCACTAGATTACTTCATTTGGACAGTGAGAGATCAGACCCCCTCATCTGTCATGACTGCCTAACTGACCATCTGCTTCCTGTTGACCAACTCCTCTTGTTTACCCTCCCTAATTCCTGTTTTCCCACACATGGTTACATTTCTTCCCTGCTATATAAACCCCTTATCTTAGTAGGTCAGGGAGATGGATTTGAGACTGATCTCCCATCTCTTCAGCCACAGTACCTGATTAAAGCCTTTTTTTCTTTTTAATTATACTTTAAGTTCTGGGATACATGTGCAGAATGTGCAGGTTTGTTACATAGGTATACATGTGCCATGGTGGTTTGCTGCACCCATCAACCCATCATCTACATTAGGTATTTCTCCTAATGCTATCCTTCCCCTAGCCCCCTACCCCCCGACAGGCCCTGGTGTGTGATATTCCCTTCCCTGTGTCCCTGTGTTCTCATTGTTCAACTCCCACTTATGAGTGAGAACATGGGGTGTTTGGTTTTCTGTTCCTGTGTTCGTTTGCTAAGAATGATGGTTTCCAGTTTCATCCATGTCCCTGCAAAGGACATGAACTTATCCTTTTTTATGGCTGCATAGTATTCCATGGTGTATATGTGCCACATTTTCTTAATCCTGTCTATCATTGATGGACATTGGGTTGGTTCCAAGTCTTTGCTATTGTGAATGGTGCTGCAATAAACATACGTGTGCTTGTGTCTTTACAGTGGAATAATTTATAATCCTTTGGGTATATACCCAGTAATGGGATTGCTGGGTCAAATGGTATTTCTGGTTCTAGATCCTTAAGGAATTGCCAAACTGTCTTCCACAATGATTGAACTAATTTACACTCCCACTAACAGTGTAAAAGTGTTCCTATTTCTCCACATCCTCTCCAGCATCTGTTGTTTCTTGACTTAATGATTGCCATTCTAACTGGTGTGAGATGGTATCTCATTGTGGTTTTGATTTGCATTTCTCTAATGACCAGTGATGATGAGATTTTTTTCATATGTTTTTTTGGCTGCATAAATGCCTTCTTTTGAGAGGTGTCTGTTCATATCCTTTGCCCACTTTTTGATGGGGTTTTTTTTCTTGTAAATTTGTTTAAGTTCCTTGTAGATTCTGGATATTAGCCCTTTGTTAGATGGATAGATTGCAAAAATTTTCTACCATTTTGTAGGTTGCCTATCATTCTGATGATAGTTTCTTTTGCTGTGCAGAAGCTCTTTAGTTTAATTAGATCCCATTTGTCAATTTTGGCTTTTGTTGCCATTGCTTTTGTTATTTTAGTCATGAAGTCTTTGCCCATGCCTATGTCCTGAATGCTATTGCCTAGGTTTTCTTCTAGGGTTTTTATGGTTTTAGGTCTTACGTTTAAGTCCGTAATCCATCTTGAGCTAATTTTTGTATAAGGTGTAAGAAAGGGGTCAAGTTTCAGTTTTCTGCATATGAAAGCCTTCTTCTTTAGCAATATTCATCTCAGTGATTGTCTGTCTGTGTTGAGCAGACTGAACCCCTGGTGTTCAGTAAGCAAATCAAAGGTGGGCTATGATTTCAGGAACGTATGAGGAAAGGGGGCACAATAAAGCATCTAAATAGTATCATCTTTAACGTTGCCAAAACAAGATACAGGGTTTAAACAATGTGAAGCTCTCTTGAGGATCTTTTCCCTCTTTATTTACTGTTAGTTTCTTAGTCTTCAAAGTTTATCTCATAGAAATAGTAATCCAAGCAGAACTGGAACTGTTTTAAAAACTCCAAAATGCATCATTCACAGATTGCCATTGTTAAAATTGTCTGCCATTTTATATGCTATAAAAATACACACACGTTTTTATTGAAATCATAATCATAGTTTATAGCCTGCTTTTGTCACTAACAAATATATGGAAAACAATGTCCAATGTCAAGTGATACCATTTTAATAAGTAAATCCTGAACACATCATCCAATGAAAAACAACAATCTAACTTATCAGGCTTCATTGTGTTTTCCAGTGTGAGGAAGTTACCAGATGGAGCTTTGAGCAAATGAAGGGTATGATGTCATTTATTTAAGTGACACAAAATAAATCCTGTGCCATGACCTCTATAGAGGCACTTCTAAGAGCGTATTGAAATCACTTTCCAATTATATTTTTCAATCTAAGTTTTCTTGTTAAAAATAAAAATGAGGCCAGGCATGGTGGCTCACGCCTGTAATCCTAGCACTTTGGGAGGCTGAAGCGGGTGGACTGCCTGAGTTCAGGAGTTCAAGACCAGCCTGGGCAACATGGTGAAATCCCATCTCAACTAAAATACAAAAAATTAGCTGGCATGGCAGCATGTACCTGTAATCCTAGCTACTTGGGAGGCTGAGGCAAGAGAATTGCTAGACCCTGGGAGGCGGAGGTTGCAGTGAGTGGAGATCACGCCACTGCACTCCAGCCTCGGTGACTGAGCAAGACTCTGTCTCTAAAAAAAATAAATTAAATTAAATAAATAAATATATATGAGTTGAGCCAGTGGTTCTACTTCCCTTTGTCAGGTGGGGTGCCAAGAACTTGGCCTGGTACTCATTCCACACTTGCTGCTTGACCAGGTGCTTACTGATGGCCTCCCCTATGGGGTAGGCACACACCAGCTCTAAAGCCCTTCTCCTGAATCCAGTGCTGGCTTCTGCTAGAAACAACTTCTTGGGAATGAAAATGCATTTCGTTCCTTCACTAATCTAGAAGAGAGAATAAACATTTTGATATTTATTTTGAGAGATTTTTAGTTGCTTAATGCATAAAGGTAATGTAGGTCAAACATGGATTTGAGAGTTCATATGTCTCATTAGGCCCACCCCAGTGCCTAATGAATCAACATGGATGTGATGTATATAAGAGGAGTGGCAGACTAGTCTACCCAATCTGGGAACCAGGATGGCAACTGTGAAGTCATTTGGGTCCATTATGTCCTAACATCCCTCCTAACAAATAAAACATTCTGCATAAAGACTATAAAAGGATTAGTCTAGAAAATATGAGCCCTAATGGGGACAAATGATACACAGTTAAACTATAAGATAGTATAAGATAGGTAGTTATTTAACAATTGGCAGGTAACCTGGAATATGGTTCTGATGTTAACTGTTAATTCTCTGTCAGTAGGCCATAGTGTTCTCGTCTCTGTTCTAGTCCTCGTCTAGATCTTTCTCTTCTTCTGTTGGGCCAGGTTTTATTCCTCTGACCTCTATTGTACATTTCTATGTTGTAGATGGATCTGTATGAGCCAGGGACACATTTATGAAAGAGAAACTGATCACTCTGTCGTATTAGACTTCATTCTCTCTTCAACTCAAAATATCTGTCTCCCCCAAGGTTCAGCAAGGTATTTTTTTGGTTTTTCAATTTGTGTTCTTTTTAAATTGCTATTTTCCAATGCCAGTGTATCAGATGTTAGGATCCTGGTTCTTTAAAATACCTTCTATACCAGTGCGAGAGTAAATTAGAATCCTGTAAGATTTTAAAAGAGGAAGAGAACATATTCTTGGTTGGATATTCCCTGGGATGCAGTCTCTTATTATTTAAATGGCTTTTCTTGTAGAGCTGTTTCTCTGTTCTAGTAACAATGCTTCCATTGTAACTGCCTGCTCTGGAGAACAGAGATTGGCCCCATAGTGGACTCTGTAGGCTAACTCTGCACAGGTTCTATAGGTACAGGGAAGGCTCTGGCTATGTAAGTTTCAAAACTTCTTTGAATACTCAACTTTATATTGCTTGAAAACTTTGTGAATCTCAAAAAGTGAGGAAAATTAGGAAAATCTGAAAAGTTTCAGTTAACATGGGATAAATCCTGAATATACATGACGTGGAAAATGGCAGATGAAAACTGGTATTTATTCTTGAAAAAAAAAAAACCTACCAATAGACCAAAAAAATTCCAAGGTAGGCCGGGTGTGGTGGTTAACACCTGTAATCCCAGCACTTTCAGAGGCTGAGGTGGGTGGATCACTTGAGGTCAGGAGTTTGAGACCGGCCTAGCCAACGTGGTGAGACCCCATTTCTACTAAAAATACAAAAATTAGTTGGGCATGGTGGTGTGTGCCTGTAGTCCTAGCTACTCAGGAGGCTGAGCCAGGAGAATCGCTTGAACCCAGGAGGCAGAGTGTGCAGTGAGCCGAGATCACGCCACTGCACTCCAGCCTGGGTGACAGAGCAAGACCCTGTCACAAACAAACAAACAAATCCAAGGCAATTTAAATATTTTAAATTCCATTTTAAAAATGTTTCAATATTTCTGAACCCAAAGTTTTTTGATTTCCATAAATCTCTTTGGATTTCTACGTTGTAGGATGCTGCTAGGAACGTTGTGTCCTGTCTGTGAGCTCCTATGTGCTGAGCAAATGAACATAGCATGTGACTTTTGGAAGAATGATTCAGAGACCACTTTGGAAAAAAGATGTGCTTTTACCAGACACAAATGAAGATCACATGATTTGTCCAGTGTTTCCTCCAAGCCCTCAAATTGTAAGAGAACCCAAGTCACTAAACGTCAAAGGTAACTTTTTATTAATTAAGCAAGAGACCAGAAAAATAAAATCAGCAGCAGATTTTTAATTAATTCTACTGTAACAATGAACCTACACATGGTCTTTTAGGAGTCAAATAAAATAGGAATGTAAACTATGTATTCTAAAATCCATGTAAAGTTCAGAATCAGATATTCAGAAGGAATGAGCCACACTACCAATTAAAATATCTGTTAAAAATTCAAGGCAGATAATCTATTTTTGTTTTGAGTCTTAAAAAATTTATCATAATGGCAAAAATGAATGATTGTTACTTTTGGGGACAGCCAGACTTGAGCTAGGACTTGCAGGACAGAAAAAGTCTTGCTCAGGAGGGCAGATGATCTAAATTAATTTCCATTTTCTTTTTTTTTTTTTTTTTTGAGATGGAATGCTGCTGTGTTGCCCAGACTGGAGTGCAGTTGTGTGATCTCGGCTCACTGCAAACTTCACCTTCTGAGTTCAAGTGATTCTCCTGCCACAGCCTCCCAAGTAACTGGGACTACAGGTGCCCGCCATCACACCTGGCTAACTTGTATTTTTAGTAGAGATGGTGTTTCGCCATGTTGGTCAGGCTGGTCTCGAACTCCTGATCTCAGGTGATCCACTCGCCTCACAGCCCCTCAAAGTGCTGGGATTACAGGCATGAGTCATCGCACCTGGCCTAATTTCCATTTTCTTAGTAACCAATATGCATGAGTCTTATTTTCTACCTCACACATGAGTCTCATTTCTTAACTCATGAGACAAATCTTTATACATTTTTCTTAAGTTATAGAGCCCAGAACTGGACAGTTTATTGGTAAACATCTGTTCAGCATTGAGCTTTCATTTCCATACAGGAAGGCGAACACCTAAATTAAGCAGAAACTTACAAACCAGTTTGAGGAGCCAGCACCCAGAAGCTAGGTGCCCCCATTATCTTTGAATCAAATGTTTGTGGAGGGAAAAATAGAATGTTTCAAAGTACTCACGTATGTGATTACATAACAAACAGTTTGGCTACTGTAAATAAAATATTTTGGTCTTTTTCAACAACTTAAAACTTATTTTAAGAATATTTTTTTCTGAGCAAATGTAGGTTCCACCAAAAATAAAATTTTATAATAATCATCCCCTTTTAACATAAAATATCCCAGTTTTCTAATAATTTTTTTTCTGAGACAGGATCTCACTCTGTTGCCCAGGCTGGATTGCAGTGGCGTGACCTCAGTTCACTGCAGCCTCGACCTCCCTGGCTCAAGGGATCTCCCTACCTCAGCCTCCTTAGTAGCTGGTACTACAGGTGTCCACCACCACATCCGTTTAATTTTTATATTTTTTGTAGAGATGAGTTTTCACCATGTTGCCCAGGCTGGTCTCAAACTCCTGGCCTCATGTGATCCACCTGCCTCAGCCTCCCAAAGTGCTGGGATTACAGGCGTGAGCCACTGCAACCAGCTGGTAATTTATAGATATATATCTGAGTTTGTTGTTTTATACTACCTGTGCCTATGATGGACCTTGTTCTTACTTAAGTTTTTGCATATAGTCCAGCTTTTTTCCATTTTCTTGCCTTTTGTCTCTATGAGAAAATGCTGATATTATTATAAGAGTAGAAATTTTGGAATCAGAGCCTAGTACTGAAACTTGCTATGTAAGGGACATTAGACCCAATCCTTTATTTTAGGAAGCCCAGTTGGTTTTTTATTTTTTATTTTAATTTGTAAAGTGAGGATAAAATAACTTATAGGTTCATTGTAGGATCAAATGAGTGAACATATATAAAACTCGTAGCGTAGTTTCCCCATATTAGCTACTCAATAAGTGAGAGGCTCTCCTTTTGTATGAGGTAGCCTAGACATCCTCGATCTAAAAATTAATAGTTGTCTAGGCTGTGAGAGCATACGCAAATATCTGTTTTAAAATAATTATTTTTAAGGCTGGGCATGGTGTTTCACACCTGTAATCCCAGCACTTTGGGAGGCTGAGGCAGGTGAATCACTTGAGGTAAGGAGTTTGAGACCAGCCTGGCCAACATGGCAAACCCTGTCTCTACTAAAAATACAAAAATTAGCCAGGCGTGGTGGCAGGTGCCTGTAGTGTTCAGCCTGTAGAGGCTGAGGCAGGAGAACTGCATGAGTGCTTGAGTCTGGGAAGCAGAGGTTGCAGTGAGCCGAGATCACGCCACTGCACTCCAGCCTGGGTGACAGAGCAAGACTCCCTCTCAAAAACAAACAAACAAACAAACAAATAAATAAATAAATAAAATAATTTTTTTTAATTACATATATGCAAACTAAGAATTAAATATAACATAGATTAGACTTCTAATAGGAGGCTCTGAGAAGACTGTAACGTAATTTCAAGTCTCATTTCTCCAGAGCTCTTCAAGAATGGAGTCAGTCTAAAGGCCAGATAATATGAAACTAAATGAGCTTTGTTTCTGATTCTCTGCCTGAGCCCCATCCATAGCCTGGTAACACATGCAAAGCCCATAATGAATCTTCTTACTTCCTTGGTGACCACTTGGTCTAGGAAAAGTTCCAGGAAAAGGCATTCCTTCAGCTGAGGTTTATAGTGAATAGTAACCCATAAAAGTGACTGAAAAGTAGTCTATAAATATATATGCCTGATAAAAGTGATTAGCAATCAGGAAATACTTATTTATAATGTGTGAGACTATGGGAAAGACGAATGAGATGTGTTCTTTGCCTTCAAGAAACCTCAGTCTGCTTTGGAAGATAAGATTTGCTTTTTGCATTGATCTAATTGCTTTCTGAAAAATGCAAGGACTTTTTAAAAAATGAGCTAAATTTATGTGAGGAAGAAATTATTGTTTTCCATTCTCAATATGTACCAGGCACTGAACACATATTATCTCACTTAATGCTCTTGCCAATTCTGTGAAGTGGATATAATTATTCTCATTTTTTAGATGAGAAAACTGAGGGTCATACAGGTTAGGTGACTTGGGTAAGGTCCATAGGAGTGGCATTTCCAAGAAGGCAATGCAGACCAATGTCTCTGGATCCAATGTCCACACTATTTTCACTACCTCTTATGGTAGCAGGGAGAATGGAAGGGAAGAAATAATTGTGAAATACACTTTGAAGAAATAAATTATAAATTTTAAAATTTATAGAATTTAAAAAGTTTTTTTAAATTATAAAATTTATAATTTTTATAATTTCTTGAATAGGGATGTTTTAATATCAATACTTTATTAACAAAATTATATGAAGCCTTGGCTGAATTTTAATGAAAGCTTTCATAAATGAGACAAGGTGGGAGCATCAGGAAATGAAATAATTAAGTGTGTTGAGGGAATCAGATTAGTTTTATCCTCCTATTTTAAAAGACTTAGCTTAATAATTTTAATAAGTATACTATTGTGCTTTTATGCAATGTATTTTTACTGTTGGCGTTTTAAATTTAGAAGGCAGCATTGTGAAAAGGAAAAAGCGTTAGGTTAGAAGATCTGGGTTTGAGTTTTAGCTCCCAAATTACTATCGTGTGTTTGATTGTGGGAGGCTCACATAATCTACTTTAATCTTGTAGGAATATTATTACAGATTCTACCTGATCCAGCCATCCATCCATCCACTTATGCAATTATTTATTCAATATGCATTTATTGAGCATCTACTAAGTGCCGATCACTTTCACTTGAGACATCTTAGAGTTAAACTAGATTCAGATTCTGCCCTGGAGGAGACCAGTATAGAAAGAGAGACAGACATGAATATAAAACAAGGCAGTGTAAAACATCATAGGTGACATAAAGAAAACCTGTCCTGATCACAGTGGACAGAAAGAAGAGGTCACTTCTTGGTGACTATGTTGCCCAGGCTGGTCTCAAACTCTTGGCCTCAGAGATCCTCCTGCTTTAACCTCCCAAAGTGCCAGGATTACAGATGTAACCCACTGCACCTTGCCAAGAGTTAGTTTTTAAATCATTGACAGTATGAAGGGTTTCTTTTCTTTTCTTTTCTTTTGGTGGGGAGATAGTGGCTTACAGTAAAAAAAAAAAAATTATACACTATATCTCAACTAGAAACTAAATGAAACCAAACTAGTATGCACTTTTGAGACATTAAGATGAAATCAAAAACTAACACCAATCATACTTCCAAACTCATTTATCATATCAAAGCCAGAGAAGGACACTATAAGAAAATAAAAATTACAGGCCAATATCCCTGATAAACATAGATGAAAAAGTCCTCAACAAAATACTAGCAAGCCAAATTCAACAGCACATCAAAGGATAATTCATCAAAAGGATAATTCATCGAGATCAAGTAGGATTAACCCTGGGATGCAAAGAAGGTTCAACATAGGTAAATTAAATATATGTAATGTACTGCATTAAGAGAATGAAGGTCAGGAATCACATAATCATCTCAATAGATGCAGGAAAGGCATTTGGCAACATTCAACATCTTACAATGATAAATACTCTCAATACATTAGGTACAGAAGGAATGTATCTTAATACAACAAAGTCTATATATGACAAGCCAATAACTAGCATTAGTGAAAAGTTAAAAAATCAGAAAGGAAGAAGTTATTTCTGTTTGTGAATGACATGATCTTATATAAAGAAAATCCTAGGGTCTGTTCCAAGATGGCCAAATAAGAACAGCTCCGGTCTGCAGCTCCCAGCGTGATCGATGCAGAAAACAGGTGATTTCTGCATTTCCAACTGAGCCTCTGCTGGTGGTACCCAGGCAAACAGGGTCTGGAGTGGACCTCCAGCAAACTCCAACAGACCTGCAGCTGAGGGACCTGTTTGAAGGAAAACTAACAAACAGAAAGGAATAACATCAACATCAACAAAAAGGACATCCACACCAAAACCCCATCTGTAGGTCACCAACATCAAAGACCAAAGGTAGATAAAACCACAAAGATGGGGAGAAACCAGAGCAGAAAAGTTGAAAATTCTAAAAACCGAGAGCCTCTTCTCTTCCAAAGGATCACAGCTCCTTGCCAGCAATGGAACAAAGCTGGATGGAGAATGACTTTGACGAGTTGACAGAAGTAGGCTTCAGAAGGTTGGTAATAACAAACTTCTCTGAGCTAAAGGAGGATGTTTGAACCCATCGCAAGGAAGCTAAAAACCTTGAAAAAAGATTAGATGAATGGCTAAGTAAAATAAACAGTGTAGAGAAGACCTTAAATGACCTGATAGAGCTGAAAACCATGGCATGAGAACTACGTGATGCATGCACAAGCTTCAGCAGCTGATTTGATCAAGTGGAAGAAAGGGTATCAGTGATACAAGATCAAATTAATGAAATAAAGTGAGAAGAGAAGTTTAGAAAAAAAGAGTAAAAAGAAATGAACAAAGCCTCCAAGAAATATGGGACTATGTGAAAAGACCAAATATATGTTTGATTGGTGTACCTGAAAGTGACAGGGAGAATGGAACCAAGTTGGAAAACACTCTTCAGGATATTATCAAAGAGAACTTCCCCAACCTAGCAAGGCAGGCCAACATTCAAATTCAGGAACTACAGAGAAGATCACAAAGATACTCCTCAAGAAGAGCAACTCCAAGACACATAATTGTCAGATTCACCAAGGTTGAAATGAAGGAAAAAATATTAAGGGCAGCCAGAGAGAAAAATCAGGTTACCTTCAAAGGGAAACCCATCAGACTAACAACGGATCTCTTTGCAGAAACTCTACAAGCCAGAAGAGAGTGGAGGCCAATATTCAACATTCTTAAAGAAAAGAATTTTCAACCCAGAATTTCATATCCAGCCAAACTAAGCTTCATAAGTGAAGGAGAAATAAAATCCTTTACAGACAAGCAAATGCTGAGAGATTTTGTCACCACCAGGCTTGCCTTACAAGAGCTCCTGAAGGAAGCACTAAACATGGAAAGGAACAACCAGTACCAGCCACTGCAAAAACATGCCAAATTGTAAAGACCATCGATGCTGTGAAGAAACTGAATCAACTAACAGCTAACATCATAATGACAGGCTCAAATTCACACCTAACAATATTAACCTTAAATATAAATGGGCTAAATGCCCCACTTGAAAGACACAGACTGGCAAATTGGATAGAGTCAAGACCCATCAGTGTGCTGTATTCAGGAAACCCATCTCATGTGCAGAGACACACATAGGCTCAAAATAAAGGGATGGAGGAAGATCTACCAAGCAAATGGAAAGAAAAAAAAAAGGCAGGGGTTGTAATCCTAGTCTCTGATAAAATAGACTTTAAACCAACAAAGATCAAAAGAGACAAAGAAGGCCATTATATAATGGTAAAGGGTTCAATTCAACAAGAAGAGCTAACTATCCTAAATATATATGCACCCAATACAGGAGCACCCAGATTCATAAAACAAGTCCTTAGAGACCTACAAAGAGACTTAGACTCCCACACAATAATAATGGGAGACTTTAACACCCCACTGTCAATATTAGACAGATCAATGAGACAGAAGGTTAACAAGGATATCCAGGACTTGAACTCAGCTCTGCACCTAGTGGACCTAATAGACATCTACAGAACTCTCCACCCCAAATCAATGAAACATACATTCTTCTCAGCACCACACCGCACTTATGCCAAAATTGACCACATAGTTGGAAGTAAAGCACTCCTCAGCAAATGTAAAAGAACAGAAATCACAACAAACTGTCTCTCAGACCACAGTGCAATCAAATTATAACTCAGGATTAAGAAACTCACCCGAAACTGCACAACTACATGCTCCTGAATGACTACTGGGTACATAACGAAATGAAGGCAAAAATAAAGATGTTCTTTGAAACCAATGAGAACAAAGATACAACATACCAGAATCTCTGGGAGACATTTACTGCAGTGTGTACAGGGAAATTTATAGCACTAAATGCCCACAAGAGAAAGCAGGAAAGATCTAAAATCGACACACCCTAACATCACAATTTAAAGAACTAGAGAAGCAAGAGCAAACAAATTCAAAACTAGCAGAAGGCAAGAAATAAGTAAGATCAGAGCAGAACTGAAAGAGATAGAGACATAAAAAACCTTTCAAAAAAATCAATGAATCCAGATGCTGTTTTTTAGAAAAGATCAACAAAATTGACAGACCACTATCAAGACTAACAAAGAAGAAAGGAGAGAAGAATCAAATAGACGCAATAAAAAATGATAAAGGTGATATTACCACTGATGCCACAGAAATACAAACTACCATCAGAGAATACTATAAACACCTCTACACAAATAAACTAGAAAATTTAGAAGAAATGGATAAATTCCTCGACACATACACCCTCCCAAGACTAAACCAGAAAGAAGTTGAATTTCTGAATAGACCAATAACAGGCTCTGAAATTGAGGCAATAATTAATAGCCTACCAACCAAAAAAAGTCCAGGACCAGATGGATTCACAGCTGAATTCTACCAGAGGTACAAGGAGGAGTTGGTACCATTCCTTCTGAAACTATTCCAATCAATAGAAAAAGAGGGAATCCTCCGTAACTCATTTTATGAGGCCAGCATCATCCTGATACCAAAGCCTGGCAGAGACACAACAAAAAAAGAAAATTTTAGACCAATATCCCTGATGAACATAGATGCAAAAATCCTCAATAAAATACTGGCAAACTGAATCCAGCAGCACATCAAAAAGCTTATTCACCACAATCAAGTCAGCTTCATCCCTTATATGCAAAGCTGGTTCAACATATGCAAATCAGTAAACATAATCCATCACATAAACAGAACCAACGACAAAAACCACATGTTCATCTGAATAGATGCAGAAAAGGCCTTCAACAAAATTCAACAGCGCTTCATGCTAAAAACTCTCAATAAACTAGGTATTGATGGAATGTATCTCCAAATAATAAGAGCTGTTTATGACAAACCCCCAGCCAGTATCACAACGAATGGGCAAAAAACTGGAAGCATTCCCTTTGAAAACTGGCACAAGACAGGGATGCCCTCTCTCACCACTCTTATTCAACATAGTGTTGGAAGTTCTGGCCAGGGCAGTTAGGCAAGAGAAAGAAATAAAGGGTATTCAATTAGGAAATGAGGAAGTCAAATTGTCCCTGTTTGCAGATGACATGATTGTATATTTAGAAAACCCCATCGTCTCAGCCCAAAATCTCAAGCTGATAAGCAATTTCAGCAAAGTCTCAGGATACAAAATCAATGTACAAAAATCAGAAGAACTCCTATACACCAATAACAGATGAACAGAGAGCCAAATCTTGAGTGAACTCCCATTCACAATTGCTACAAAGAGAATAAAATACCTAGGAATCCAACTGACAAGGGATGTGAAGGACCTCTTCAAGGAGAACTACAAACCACTGCTCAACGAAATAAAGGAGGACACAAACAAATGGAAGAACATTCCATGCTCATGGATAGAAAGAAGCAATATCGTGAAAACAGCTATACTGCCCAAGGCAATTTATAGATTGAATGCCATCACCATCAAGCTACCAATGACTTTCTTCACAGAATTGGAAAAAACTACTTTAAAGTTCATATGGAACCATAAAAGAGACCGCATTGCCAGACAATCCTAAGTAAAAAGAGCAAAGCTGGAGGCATCATACTACCTGATTTCAAACTATACTACAAGGCTACAGTAACCAAAACAGTATGGTACTGGTACCAAAACAGAGATATAGACCAATGGAACAGAACAGAGCCCTCAGAAATAACACCACACATCTGCAGCCATTTGATGTTTGACAAACCTTGCAAAAACAAGAAATGGGGAAAGGATTCCCTATTTAATAAATGGTTCTGGGATAACTGGCTAGCCACATGTAGAAAGGTGAAACTGGATCCCTTCCTTACACTTTATACAAAAATTAATTCAAGATGGATTAAAGACTTAAATGTTAGACCTAAAACCATAAAAACCCCAGAAGAAAATCTAGGCAATACCATTCAGGACATAGTCATGTGGAAGGACTTCATGACTAAAACACCAAAAGCAATAGCAACAAAAGCCAAAATAGACAAATGGGATCTAATCAAACTAAAGAGCTTCTGCACAGCAAAAGAAACTACCATCAGAGTGAACAGGCAACCTACAGAATGGGAGAAAATTTTTGCAATCTACCCATGTGACTAAGGGCTAATATCCAGAATCTACAAAGAAATTAAACAAATTTACAGAAAAAAAAACCCCATCAAAAAGTGGGCAACGGTTATGAACAGACATTTCTCAAAAGAAGACATTTATGCAGCCAACAGACACGTGAAAAAATGCTCATCATCACTGACCATCAGAGAAATGCAAATCAAAACCACAATGAGATACCATCTCACACCAGTTAGAATGGGGATCATTAAAAAGTCAGGAAACAACAGATGCTGGAGAGGATGTGGAGAAATAGGAAAGCTTTTACACTGTTGGTGGGACTGTAAACTAGTTCAACCATTGTGGAAGACAATGTGGCGATTCCTCAAGGATCTAGAACTAGAAATACCATTTGATCCAGCCATCCCATTACTGGGTATATACCCAAAGGATTATAAATCATGCTACTATAAAGACACATACACACATATGTTTATTACAGCACTATTCACAATAGCAAAGACTTGGAACCAACCCAATGTCCATCAATGATAGACAGGATTAAGAAAATGTGGCACATATACACCATGGAATACTATGCAGCCATAAAAAAGGATAGTTCATGTCCTTTGTAGGGACATGGATGAAGCTGGAAACCATCATTCTGAGCAAAGAATCATAAGGACAGAAAACCAAACACTGCACGTTCTTACTCATAGGTGGGAATTGAACAATGAGAACATTTGGACACAGGGTGGGGAACATCACACACCGGGGCCTGTCATGGGGTAGGGGGTTGGGGGAGGGATAGCGTTAGGAGAAATACCTAACGTAAATGACGAGTTGATGGGTGCAGCAAACCAACACGGCACATGTATACCTATGTAACAAACCTGCACGTTGTGCACATGTACCCTATAACTTAAAGTATAATAAAAAAAGAAAACCCTAAAGACTCTACAAATAAAAATATTAGAACAAGTAAACAAATTCAGTGAAGTTGCAGGATAAAAAAAATCAACATAACAAAAATCAGTAGCATTTCTATACACTAACAACAAACTACCCCCCAAAAAATCATGAAAATGATCTTGTTTATGATAGCAACTCAAAAAATAAGATACTTAGGAATAAATTTCACCAAGGGAGTGAAAGATCTGTACTCTGAAAACTATAAAACACTGATGAACAAAATTGAAAAAGACAAACATAAATGAAAAGATATTCCATGTTCATGGATTGGAATAATTAATATGGTTAAAATGACCATAAAAAACCCGAATAGCAAAGCCATCACAAGCAAAAAGAATAAAGCCAAAGGTACCATACCACCAGATCTCAAAATCAGAACTACAATGTATCTCCACTAGAAACTAAATGTCAGTACCATGCTGTTTTGGTTACTACAGCTTTAGTAGTAGTATAGCTTAAAGCTGTAGTAACCAAAACAGCATGGTACTGACATAAAAACTCATACATAGTCAAATGGAAGAGAATGAGGGACCCAGAATTTAATCCACATATCCACAGCCAACAGATTTCTGACAAAGATGTCAAGAATACTCACTGGAGAAAGGACAGTCTCTTCAACAAATGGTGCTGGGAAAACTGGATATCCATATGCAGAAGAATGAAACTAGACCCCCACCTCTCACCCTATACAAAAATCAACTCAAAATGGGTCAAAGGCCTAAATGAAGAAGAAAAACAATAAAGCGACTAGAAGAAAACACAGAGAAGATGCTTCACAGCAATGGTCTGGGAAAGATTTTATGAATAAGACCTCAAAAGCACAGGCGTCAATAGGAAAAATAAACAAATGGGATTATATCAAACTAAAAAACTTCTGCACAGCAAAGGAAATATCAACAGTGAAAAGGCAACCTACAGAATAGGAGAAAACATTTAAAAATTACTCATCTGACAGGGGATTAATATCCAGAATATACAAGGAACGGAACCATCTCAACAGCAAAACAAAAATCTGTTTTTAAAATGGGCAGATGATTTGCACAGACGTTTCTCAAAGGGAGACATGCAAACAGCTAACAAACATATGAAAAAATGCTCAATATCATTAATCATCAGGGAAATGCAAATCAAAACCACAGTGAGGTATAATCTCACTCCATTTAGCATGGCTATTATCAAAAGGATAAAAAAAGATGCTGATGAGGATGCAGAGAAAAGGGAACTTTTATACACCGTTGATGGGAATGTAAACTAGTACAGCTACTATGGAGAACAGTATGGAGGTTTCTCAAAAAACTACAAACAGAACTACCGTATGATCCAGCAAGCCACGACTGGGAATTTATCCAAAGGAAAGGAAATCATTATATTGAAGGAACATTTGTACCCTATATTTATTGCAGCACTATTTTCAACAGCCAAGAGATGGAATCAACATCAGTATCCAGCAACAGATGAATGGATTTTTAAAAGTAGTATATATACACCGTGGAATACTATTTAGCCATAAAACAGAATGAAATCCTTTTATTTGTGGCAACATGGATGGAATTGGAGGACACTATCTCAAGTTAAACAAGCAAAGAACAGAAAGTTAAGCACTGCAGGTTCTCACTTGGAAGTGGAAACAAAAACATTGATCTCATAGAAGTAAAAAGTAGGACAGGGTAGTAGAGGCTCAAAAAGGTAAGGGAAAGGAGGGGATAATTGGGAGAGATATGTTAGAGGATCCAAAATTATAGCTAGATAGGAGACAAAAGTGTTCTATACCACTGTAGAATTATTGCAGTTAACAATAATATGTTATATAGTTTCAAATAGCTAGAAGGAGGATATTAAATCTTCACAACACAAATAAATGATAAATGTTTGAGATGATAGATATGCTAATTACCCTAATAGAATACATTATGCTGAAACATCACTATGTACTCCATGAATTGGATGGTATTATTTGTCAATTAAATAGAAATGAAACAATTTAAAAATGTATACAATTTTTAAAAATTGCTAAAATGTCCATACTGCTCAAATTAATATACAGATTCAATCCAATTTCTATCAAAATTCCAACGACATTTTTACAGAAATAGAAAAAACAATCTTAAAATTCATATGAAACCACAAAAGACTCTGAATAGCCAAAGCAGTCTTGAGCAAAAAGAACAGAGGGAGGTATCACACTACCTGATTTGAAAATCTACTACAGAATTACAATAACCAAAAAAGCATGGTACTGGCATAAAAAAAGTCACATGCACCAATGGAATAGAACAAAGAGCCCAGAAATAAATCCACACATTTAAAGTCCATTGATTCTCAACAAGGATGTCATGAACACACAATGGGAAAAGAACACTCTTCAATAAATGGTGCTTTGAAAACTGGATATTCATATACAGAAGAATGGAATTAGATCATCACCTCACACCATGTAAAAAACTCAATGCAAAATGAATTAAAGACTTAAATGTAGGACTTGAAACTTCAAACCTCCTAGAAGAAAACATAGAGGGAAAGCTGCATAACACTGGTCTAGGCAAAGACTTTTTGCATATGACTCCAAAAGCATGGCAACAAAAGCAAAAATAGACAAATGAGATTATATCAATCTAAAAAGCTTCTGTACCACAAAGGAAACAATCAGCAGAGTAAAAAGAGACAACCTATAGAATGGGAGAATATATTTGCAAACCATATGTCTGCTAAGAGGATAATATCTAAATACATATAATGAACTCAAACAACTCAATAGTAAGAAAACAAATAGCCCAATTAAAAAATGGGCAAAGGACCTGAATAGACATTTCTCAAAAGAAGACATACATATTGTATAACATGACGACTACAGTTAACAAAATATTGTATTCTTGAAAAATGCTGAGAGTGGATATAAAATGTTCTCACCACAGAAATAGGAATGCTTTTACACTGTGAGAGTGTAAATTAGTTCAACCATTGTGGAAGACGGTGTGGCAATTCCTCAAGGATCTAGAACAAAAAATACCATTTGACCCAGCAATCCCCTTACTGGGTATATACCCAAAGAATTATAAATCATGCTACTATAAAGACACATGCACACGTATGTTTATTGCATCACTATTCACAATAGCAAAGACTTGGAACCAACCCAAATGCCCATCAATGATAGACTGTATAAAGAAAATGTGGCACATATGCACATGGAATACTATGCAGCCATAAAAGGAGTGAGTTCATGCCCTTTGCAGAGACATGGATGAAGCTGGAAGCCATCATTCTCAGCAAACTAACACAGGAACAGAAAACCAAACACTGCGTGTTCTCACTAATAAGTGGGAGTAAAACAAGGAGGACACATGGACACATAGAGGGTAACATCACACACCGGGGCCTGCCAAGGGGGTGGGGGGCAAGGGGAGGGAAAGCATTACAACAAATACCTAATGCATGCAGGGCTTAAAACCTAGATGATGGGTTGATAGGTACAGCAAACCACCATGGCACATGTATACCTATGTAGCAAACATGCACATTCTGCACATGTATCCCAGAACTTAAAGTAAAATAAAAATAAAAAAGATTTAGTTGTAAGAACGTCCGCCGGGCGCGGTGGCTCACGCCTGTAATCCCAGCACTTTGGGAGGCCGAGACGGGCAGATCACGAGGTCAGGAGATCGAGACCATCCTGGCTAACACGGTGAAACCCCGTCTCTACTAAAAATACAAAAAAAAAGAAATTAGCCGGGCGTAGTGGCGGGCGCCTATAGTCCCAGCTACTCGGAAGGCTGAGGCAGGAGAATGGTGTGAACCCGGGAGGCGGAGCTTGCGGTGAGCCGAGATCAGCGCCACTGCACTCTAGCCTGGGCGACTGAGCGAGACTCCGTCTCAAAAAAAAAAAAAAAAAAGAATGTCCTATAAATTTTTTTATTATGAAAAAATGTTATCACCACAAAAATGACAGCCATATGAGGTAATGCATATGTTAATTAGCTAGATTTAGTCATTCCACAATGTATAAATACTTCAAAATATTATGTTGTACACAATACATACATACAATTTTATCTGTCAATTTAAAAAGTAAATATTTATTTTGGGGTATGATAAAGCAAATATCTTCAGTTACATGCTGTTACTGAAATTTAAGGACTATTATTGTTCAAGAACGATTTTTAAATTAAAATTCTTTATACTCAAAAAATGAGGGCATAAATGGTTAATAGGTATATTTTTTTAATGTTCAACATCACTAATCATGAGAGAATGCAAATTAAAACCACAATGGGGTATCATCTCACACCTGTTAGAATGGCTACTATCAAAAACATGAAAGATATCACAAGTTGGCAAGGATGTGGAAAAAAGGGAACCCTGTACACTCTTGGTGGGGATGTAAGTTAGTACAGCCATTATGGAAAATAGTATGGAGGTTCCTCAAAAAATTAAAATATAACTAGTATGTGATTCAGCCATGCCATTTCTGCATATATATCCAAAGGAGATGAAATCAGTATGTCAAAGAGATATGTGCACTCCCATGTTCACTGCAGCATTATTCACAACAGCTAAGACATGTAAACAACCTAAGTATCTATCAGCAGATGAATGGATAAAGAAAATGTAGTATATATACAAAGTGGAATACTATTCCGCCTTAAATAAGAAGGAAATCTAATTTGCGACAACATGGGTGAACCTGGAGAACATTAAGTGAAATTACCCAGACACAAAAAGATTTAAAAATTGCATGATCTTATTTATATGTGGAATCCAAAAAATTCAAACTCATAGAAACAGAGAGTAAAATAGTAGTTACCAGAGGCTAAGGGGTAGGGAGTTTGGTGAAATGTTGGTCAAAGACACAAAGTTTCAGTTACACAGGAGGAGTAAGTTCAAGAGATCTACTGCATACCATGGTACTATAGTTAATAACAATATATCGTATACTTGAACATTGTGAAGAGGTAGATTTTAAGTTTCTTACCATACACAAAAAATGGTAACTATGTGAGGTGATGCATATGTTAAATAGCTTGATTTAGCCATTCTACAATGTATACATATATCAAAATATCATGCTGTGTGCCACAAATAATACAATTTTTAGTCATCAATTTAAAAATTTAATAAATAGTAAATAATAAGCAGTTTTTTATATTAAGTATAGAAACCTTAAAAAGAGAAAAATCAAATAATTTTATCTATTACTTTTAATTTAATGGCAGCTAAAAATAAGCAGAAATACTACAAATCTAATAAATTCAAGAACAGAAATTTAGGAGGAAGATATGCAAATGAAATTACTCATAAGATTATATATTACAAGGCAAATCAAACTGTTGTATAGGTCAAGCTAATCTTTTTTTTTCAGTGTAATGAAGTAGGATTTGCCCATTAACTAAGTTATGTAGATCTACCTTGCTTTTTTGCCTATGTTCAACAAGATACTTAGAAAGGAATTATTTCCAACCCATTAGCATGGTGGTTTTTCAAACCTGAGTGTAAGAATCACCTGGGGAATCTGTGAAAATTGCAGATCCCACGGCATCATCTCCTTCTGCCAGATTCTAATTCAGTAGGTCTGAGGTGAAGCCAAGGAATCTGCATTTTAGCACACATACAAGGGTATTTTAGTGCTTCAGGTTCACAGACCATACTTTGAGATAAACTATATTGTAGATGGTCAAGTAAAAACAATCTATCCCACATGTATCCTGATTTTTTTTTTTTTTTTTTTTTTGAGACACAGTCTTGCTCTGTCGCCCAGGCTGGAGTGCAGTGGCACAATTTCAGCTCACTGCAACCTCCGCCTCCTGGGTTCAAGCAATTCTCCTGCCTCAGCCTCCCGAGTAGCTGGGATTACAGGTGCATGCCACCACGCTCGCCTAATTTTTGTAATTTTAGTAGAGATGGGGTTTCACCATGTTGGCTAGGCTGGTCTCAAACTCCTGACCTTGTGATCCACCCGCCTCAGCCTCCCAAAGTGCTGGGATTACAGGCGTGAGCCACTGTGTCTGGCCATGTATCCTGAATTTTGAGATACAGTTGATAAATGATCAATTCTAATTGGAAGATTCCTTTAGCATCAAAAGGTAAACTCATGTTATGTCATATTTATCCTTTGAACAAGATCTCCAAGGATTTGACCATGATCCTCAAGTTAGACTTGAGGTCCAAGATGGCTGTGACCATGACATGTACCTACAGCCTCCCAGTAAGGAAGAGTGTCACCCATCGCCTCTTCTGTTGGAAACTTCTCTGCTCTCCTGAAACCCACAATGGATCATTTTAGGGAATTTAAATTAGCGTGGGCATGCCCATTGGTGTGCTCTGACATGTAACCAAAGGAGACAGGGAAAAGTCAGAGTTGAATGAATCCTGGAATTTCAGAACTGGAAGATGATGCTTGAAGGTCTAATCCTCTAAATGTACAGATGAGTAAACAGGCAGCCAAATAAATAAATAAAAATGTAAGCAACTTACTAAAAACCACATTTGTGGAGTTTCCCTGTACTCTATGTCAGATGATAGCCTGACCTTTAATTCCTCCATAATGATGGATTGCTTCATCCATCCTTCCATACACCAGGAAAAAACAAACTAATTAGATGCATATTTTCTATCTACTGAATGGCAAAAGGGATTCTTGGAGTGGGGCAGCAGGCAATTTGGGCTCTTGCAATTTTCCTTATAATTATGTCATTTAAAATTTTTAATCTGTCTTCTCTATTGAGATGTCTTCACTGGTAATGAATAATGACAGATGCAAACTTTTTAACTAGAATTTCATATGTTATGGAAATACTGACACTCAAGAGTTGAAGAAAACTCACTGGTGTTTTTGCTGATAAAATACATAATTTGCTTTTAGTTGCTCCTAGATTTTTATGTTGTATATACCAGTACAAAAAGAAATAACTGACATAATTGTACCTGATTTGCTAAATAACTAGCAATCATGGCAATAGTTTGATAACAGTATGACAGATAGGAAGAAAAGCAGCAGCTATTCTATATAGTCTGTGAGGACCAGAAAGTGAAATCTATGCTCTTTACTGTAGCTGAATGCATAGATCCCAATAAAAATGGCATAGGTATCAATAAAATGAGAAATGAATTGATTCCTAGATTCAAGGCCAAGTGCTTCTTGTAAGCCACCTCAAACCATTTTGTGAAACAGATCAAGGTGTAGATAAATGCATGCACACGCAGCACATTCATATATACACATAAAACTATTTTTCTCTTTCACTTCACCATCATTCATTCAATTTATTCAACAAATTTTTACTTCATGCCTACCAAGTACCAGGCACTCGTGTGAGTAACAGCAGCAAACAAGACATACCAAGCTTTCTGAGGCTCATAACCTAGAGGGAGGAAGACAGACCATAAGCAAAAAAGCAAACAGATATACAAAGTAATTTCAGAAAGTAATAAGAGCTCTGAAGAGTTGGACCAAGACATGAGAGACAGACTGGGTAAGAGGTCATTTTGATGGGAAGACCCCAGTGAAGAAGTGACTCTGAGATGGGAACAATGAGAAGGAGCCTGAGAGTGTAAAGCACTGTGTGAAGAGGGAGGAACATTCTGAGCAGGGCAAACAGCAAGGACAAGGTCAGTCAGGAGGCAGGAATAAGCTCAGCCCTAAGCATCGTGAGCGGGTGAAATGAGCAAGAAGGGGATGGTATGAGCTGAGGTTGGCAAGACAGGCAGATGTCAAGTCATGCTGGGCTTTAGGGGTTATTCCAGTGTTGCATAGCAATAAGGGTCAGAACTCTGATTTTCTGATTTATAGCTCAGGTCCTTATTCTCCCCTTTGCCACTTTCTTTGGGGGGAGGCATGGAATGGAATAGCCAGCTGCCCATTCAAACAAAACAGAGACCTGCCAAGCTCTGGGAGGCATGGAAGAGGTGACTATGTCCTCAGTCGCATTTTGCCTTCTTGGATGTGGCTCCCCTTGGGGTTCTCTTACTTTGATTCCCATCAGTCCCATCCTGCCCAAGTCCCTGAAGTATAGTTGTCCATACACGGACAAAGAAATACTGCTGTCCTTGTTTCTCCTTGGCATGTGTGAGATAAGCAAACATTTTTAAAGGAGAAATTTAGTAAATAGAAAGGGAGAAATAGATTTCCAAAATGCAGGTTACTGAACATAAGATTCATTCATCCCTGTGTTACCCAGCCTCAATGGATTGGTGCAGATCCTCAAATACCCTGACCAGCTTTTTTCCCACCCAAGTGCCACCCATTATTTGACATTAGATCTTGGGGACCCATCCTGTTTCCTGACTGTGGGAGATGATCTTCCTGTCCAGTCTGTCATTCTGAGACAAGTTTGCAAAATAATCAAATTAAACTTTGATTCAAACTTGCTCTCCTTATGAATGAAAAAAAAATTTACTTTCCCAAGAAGCTCTTTCTTCATTGCCTATCCAAACCCTTTTCATTCATTAAGATCCAGTTCACATTCTATCTGATCACTCTGGGTTATATTACTGTCTTTCTCTAAATAGCTACCTACCTACCATTTATGTAAGCCAACAAAGCATTTATTTACATATGGGTTTATTCCCAAATTGTGGCAGCAAAGCCATAAACTTCTCAAGGGTAGAGACAATGTCATAATATTTTATTATTACTGTCTGTTATAACTTGAAATGTAAATGTTGCATTTCTGTTTTTTGTTTTTGTTTTTGTTTGTTTGTTTGTTTGTTTGTTTTTTTGAGATGGAGTCTCGCTCTGTCACCCAGGCTGGAGTGCAGTGGTGCAATCTTGGCTCCCTGCAAGCTCTGCCTCCCGGGTTCACACCATTCTCCTGCCTCAGCCTCCTCAGTAGCTGGGACTGCAGGTGCCCACCACCGCACATGGCTAATTTTTTTTTTTTTTTGTATTTTTAGTAGAGATGGGGTTTCACCATGTTAGCCAGGATGGTCTTGATCTCCTGACCTCATGATCAGCCCGCCTCAGCCTCCCAAAGTGCTGGGATTACAGGCGTGAGCCACCACACCTGGCCCTGAAATGTAAATGTTGTATTTCTTGGATTGTTATTTTTCAGTTATTTAAAAAAAAAAAAAAACATGGACTACATTTATATCTTAAATAAATAAAACAAAAAGATATCTTTCTTGATTAGACAGTCTAGCATAACTTTGGGTACAAGATTATGTAACTAACATCCTTATTAAATTTAATTAGGAGGTAGGGGGTTGCACTTACATACTAACATTTTTTCTTTGTGCCAGGCAATGTTCTTAGTGCTTTGCATAAATATTTTTATTTAATTAAGTGGAATAAAATCTGAGTCACATATAAACATTAGTGTACATTTAGGATGCGCAAATAAGATGAATTATTTTTATCAATTTAAAAATGTCAGTTAATCTAATTCAGCTACCCAAGAAATCATTCCTCAGAATCCCAAATTTCTGTCTTGATGCACCTCATCATGATGAAAATATCAAACTTAGAATGTTCAATACACTATAACATTGCTAATCATATTCTCCAATAATTTATAGTGATAATCATGTTCTTAAAATATGATTACAAAAACTATTTGAATTGTCCTAAAACGATTTTCATTTTATGCATTTGAATTAAAGTCAATAAGTTCCTCTAAAATAATTACTTTATCTCACTTTCCTTGGTATATTCTCTTAGTACTCAAGAGTATCTTTGTTTATATTAGATTCACATGACTGTCCAAATATGTAACTGTGGATGCCAGAAATATTTTTCAGATTAGGGCAAATAGTTACTGGAAAAAAATTACTATTTTTCTACTAAAATAGTCACTGGAAATTTTTTTCTAAAAATACCCAATATGAAATGTGGTAGAATTATTTAATGTGGGAACCACAGCTTTAACTCAAATATTGTTGGCATCAGTGAGAGTCTGTGTTGCTACATAAAGGAAAAAATAGCCCTTATTATAGATGAAATATTAAAAAGATTTCAGAAATATATAAATTTAAAAGAGGTCACTTATATTTAGTGATATATTTAGTGATATAACTTGAAATGTAAATGTGGATTTGTTGGATTGAATGTTATCTTTCAGTTTTTTTTAAAAAACCATGGACTACATTTATATCTTAAATAAATTAAACAAAAAGTTATATTTTCTTAGATAGTCTAGCACATAGCATCACTTAATAAATGTAACCTTTCATATCACATTATCACATGACTCTCAACATTTCCAATGGTGAGATTTAGTGAGTGATAGAGATAAGTTACTTATATGTTAGTTTTTCATAACAGTCTCAATCAATACTTATTTAAATATTTACTCATGCAGATATTCATTCCTAAAACATTTTTGTCTAATACGTGCCAAGGACTGAAGAATTACATGTTTTCTATAACACATACAGGATGTGCACATGCATCAGTACCTAATCTACTATACTCTAAAATTTAAATATTATCTCATGCTTTCAGCAGGGAGTGATTATTTAACTATATGTATATCATGCTTCTATTTACACCTCTAAATTTAAGTAATAAATAGAGGCAGATTTACCAAGAAACAATGAATCTTAAACTTTAGAGTCCCTCATTTGCACAGGCCCCTTGCAAGGTCTAAGAGGAGTTCCAGCAACAGAGTCACAAAAACATATATTTTTTGTCAAATTTGAAAATGTAAGACATTTTAACTACAATTGTTTAAGAGCTTTCCCGGGGGGCAGTTCCAAGATGGCTGAATAGGAAGGAACAGCTCCAGTCTATAGCTCCCAGCATGAGTGACACAGAAGACGGATGATTTCTGCATTTCCAACTGATGTACCAGTTTCATCTCACTGGGGATTGTTGGACAGTGGGTGCAGGACAGTGGGTGCAGCACACTGAGCGTGACCCGAAGCAGGGTGAGGCATCACCTCACCCGGGAAGCAAAAGGGGTCAGGGAATTCCCTTTCCTAGTCAAGGAAAGGGGTGACAGACAGCACCTGGAAAATCAGGTCACTCCCACCCTAATACTGCGCTTTTCCAACGGTCTTAGCAAACAGCACACCAGGAGACTATATCCTGCGCCTGGCTCGGAGGGTCCTACGCCCACTGAGCCTGGCTCATTGCTAGCACAGCAGTCTGAGATCAAACTGCAAGGCGGCAGCGAGGCTGGGGGAGGGGCACCCGCCATTGCCGAGGCTTGAGTAGGTAAACAAAGCAGCCAGGAAGCTCGAACTGGGTGGAGCCCACCGCAGCTCAAGGAGGCCTGCCTGCCTCTTTAGACTCCACCTCTGCGGGCAGGGCACAGACAAACAAAAGGCAGCAGAAACCTCTGCAGACTTAAATGTCCCTGTCTGATAGCTTTGAAGAGAGTAGTGGTTCTCCCAGCATGCAGCTTGAGATCTGAGAACGGACAGACTGCCTCCTCAAGTGGGTCCCTGACCCCTGAGTAGCCTAACTGGGAGGCACCTCCCAGTAGGGGCAGACTGACACCTCACACGGCCAGGTACCCCTCTGAGATGAAACCTCCAGAGGATCGATCAGACAGCAACATTTGCTGTTCAGCAATATTTGCTGTTCTGCAGCCTCCGCTGCTGATACCCAGGCAAACAGGGTCTGGAGTGGACCTCTGGCAAACTCCAACACACCTGCAGCTGAGGGTCCTGACTGTTAGAAGGAAAACTGACAAGCAGAAAGGACATCTACACCAAAACCCCATCTGTACATCACCATCATCAAAGACCAAAGGTAGATAAAACCAAAAAGATGGGGATAAAACAGAACAGGAAAACTTAAAATTCTAAAAATCAGAGCGCCTCTCCTCCTCCAAACGAATGCAGCTCCTCACCAGCAATGGAACAAAGCTGGGCAGAGAATGACTTTGATGAGTTGAGAGAAGAAGGCTTCAGATGATCAAACTTCTCCGAACTAAAGGTGGAAGTTTGAACCCATCGCAAAGAAGTTAAAAACCTTGAAAAAAGATTAGACGAATGGCTAACTAAAATAACCAGTGCAGAGAAGTCCTTAAAGGACCTGATGGAGCTGAAAACCACGGCATGAGAACTACGTGACGAATGCACAAGCATCAGTAGCCGATTCGATCAACTGGAAGAAAGGGTATCAGTGATGGAAGATGAAATGAATGAAATGAAGCAAGAAGAGAAGTTTAGAGAAAAAAGAATAAAAAGAAACGAACAAAGCCTCCAAGAAATATGGGACTATGTGAAAAGACCAAATCTACGTCTGACCAGTGTGCCTCAAAGTGATGGGGAGAATGGAACCAAGTTGGAAAACACTCTGCAGGATATTATCCAGGAGAACTTCCCCAATCTAGCAAAGCAGGCCAATGTTCAAATTCAGGAAATACAGAGAATGCCACAAAGATACTCCTTGAGAAGAGCAACTCCAAGACACATAATTGTCAGATTCACCAAAGTTGAAATGAAGGAAAAAATGTTAAGGGCAGCCAGAGAGAAAGGTCAGGTTACCCACAAAGGGAAGCCCATCAGATTAACAGCTGATCTCTTGGCAGAAACTCTACAAGCCAGGAGAGCATTTCTTTAAGAATATTCAACATTTTTAAAGAAAAGAATTTTCAACCCAGAATTTCATATCCAGCCAAACTAAGCTTCATAAGTGAAGGAGAAATAAAATACTTTACAGATAAGCAAATGCTGAGAGATTTTGTCACCACCAGGCCTGCCCTACAAGAGCTCCTGAAGGAAGCACTAAACATGGAAAGGAACAGCTGGTACCAGCCGCTGCAAAAACATGCCAAATTGTAAAGACCATCGAGGCTAGGAAGAAACTGCATCAACTAACGAGCAAAATAACCAGCTAACATCATAATGACAGGATCAAATTCACACATAACAATATTAACCTGAAATTTAAATCGGCTAAATGCTCCAATTAAAAGACACAGACTGGCAAATTGGATAAACAGTCAAGACCCACCAGTGTGCTGTATTCAGGAAACCCATCTCGCGTGCAGAGACACACATAAGCTCAAAATAAAGGGATGGAGGAAGATCTACCAAGCAAATGGAAAACAAAGGCAGGGGTTGCAATCCTAGTCTCTGATAAAACAGACTTTAAACCAACAAAGATCAAAAGAGACAAGGCCATTACATAATGGTAAAGGGATCAATTCAACAAGAAAAGCTAACTATCCTAAATATATATGCACCCAATACAGGAGCACCCAGATTCATAAAGCAAGTCCTGAGTGATCTACAAAGAGACTTAGACTCCCACACAATAATAATGGGAGACTTTAACAACCCACTGCCAACATTAGACAGATCAACGAGACAGAAAGTCAACAAGGATATCCAGGAATTGAACTAGGTCCTCACCTAGCGGACCTAATAGACATCTACAGAACTCTCCACCACAAATCAATGAACTGTACATTCTTCTCAGCACCGCACCACACGTATTCCAAAATTGACCACATAGTTGGAAGTAAAGCACTCCTCAGCAAATGCAAAAGAACAAAAATTATAACAAACTGTCTCTCAGACCACAGTGCAATCAAACTAGAACTCAGGATTAAGAAACTCACTCAAAACCACTCAACTACATGGAAACTGAACAACCTGCTCCTGAATGAGTACTGGGTACATAACGAAATGAAGGCAGAAATCAAGATGTTCTTTGAAACCAACGAGAACAAAGACATGACATATCAGAATCTCTGGGACACATTTAAAGCAGTGTGTAGAGGGAAATTTATAGCACTAAATGCCCACAAGAGAAAGCAGGAAAGATCTAAAATTGACACCCTAACATCACAATTAAAAGAACTAGAGAAGCAAGAGCAAACACATTCAAAAGCTAGCAGAAGGCAAGAAATAACTAAGATCAGAGCAGAATTGAAGGAGATAGAGACACAAAAAACCCTTCAAAAAATCAATGAATCCAGGAGCTGGTTTTTTGAAAAGATCAACAAAATTGATAGACCGCTAGCAAGACTAATAAAGAAGAAAAGAGAGAAGAATCAAACAGATGCAATAAAAAATGATAAAGGGGATATCACCACTGATCCCACAGAAATACAAACTACCACCAGAGAATACTATAAACACCTCCACGCAAATAAACTAGAAAATCTAGAAGAAATGGATAAATTCCTCAACACATACACCCTCCCAAGACTAAACCAGGAAAAAGTTGAATCTCTTAATAGACCAATAACAGGCTCTGAAATTGAGGCAATAATTAATAGCTTACCAACCAAAAAAAGTCCAGGACCAGACGGATTCACAGCCGAATTCTACCAGAGGTACAAGGAGGAGTTGGTACCATTCCTTCTGAAACTATTCCAATCAACAGAAAAAGAGGGAATCCTCCCTAACTCATTTTATGAGGCCAGCATCATCCTGATACCAAAGGCTGGCAGAGACACAACAAAAAAAGAAAATTTTAGACCAATATCCCTGATGAACATCGAAGCAAAAATCCTCAATAAAATACTGGCAAACTGAATCCAGCAGCACATCAAAAAGCTTATCCACCATGATCAAGTGGGCTTCATCCCTGGGATGTAAGGCTGGTTCAACATATGCAAATCAATAAACATAATCCAGCATATAAACAGAACCAACGACAAAAACAACATGATTATCTCAATAGATGCAGAAAAGGCCTTTGACAAAATTCAACAGCCTTTCATGCTAAAAATTCTCAATAAATTAGGTATTGATGGGACATATCTCAAAATAATAAGAGCTATTTATGACAAACCCACAGCCAATATCATACTGAATGGGTAAAAACTGGAAGCATTCCCTTTGAAAACTGGCACAAGACAGCGATGCCCTCTCTCACCACTCCTATTCAACATAGTGTTGGAAGTTCTGGCCAGGGCAATCAGGCAGGAGAAGGAAATAAAGGGTATTCAATTAGGAAAAGAGGAAGTCAAATTGTCCCTGTTTGCAGATGACATGATTGTATATTTAGAAAACCCCATTGTCTCAGCCCAAAATCTCCTTAAGCTGATAGGCAACTTCAGCAAAGTCTCAGGATACAAAATCAATGTACAAAAATCACAAGCATTCTTATTCACCAATAACAGACAAACAGAGAGCCAAATCATGAGTGAACTCCCATTCACAATTGCTTCAAAGAGAATAAAATACCTAGGAATCCAACTGACAAGGGATGTGAAGGACCTCTTCAAGGAGAACTACAAACCACTGCTCAATGAAATAAAAGAGGATATAAACAAATGGAAGAACATTCCATGCTCATGGGTAGGAAGAATCAATATCATGAAAAGGCCATACTCCCCAAGGTAATTTGTAGATTCAATGCCATCCCCATCAAGCTACCAATGACTTTTTTCACAGAATTGGAAAAAACTACTTTAAAGTTCATATGGAACCAAAAAAGAGCCCACATTGCCAAGTCAATCCTAAGCCAAAAAAACAAAGCTGGAGCCATCACACTACCTGACTTCAAACTATACTACATGGCTACAGGAACCAAAATAGCATGGTACTGGTACCAAAACAGAGATATAGACCAATGGAACAGAACAGAGCCCTCAGAAATAATGCCACACATCTACAAATATCTGATCTTTGACAAACCTGAGAAAAACAAGCAACAGGGAAAGGATTCCCTATTTAATAAATGGTGCTGGGAAAACTGGCTAGCCGTATGTAGAAAGCTGAAACTGGATCCCTTCCTTACACCTTATACAAAAATTAATTGAAGATGGATTAAAGACTTAAATGTTAGACCTAAAACCATAAAAACCCTAGAAGAAAACCTAGGCAATACCATTCAGGACACAGGCATGGGCAAGAACTTCATGACTAAACACCAAAAGCAATGGCAACAAAAGCCAAAATAGACAAATGGGATCTAATTAAACTAAAGAGCTTCTGCACAGCAAAAGAAACTACCATCAGAGTGAACAGGCAACCTACAACATGGGAGAAAATTTTTGCAATATGCTCATCTGACACAGGGCTAATATCCAGAATCTACAATGAACTCAAACAAATTTACAAGAGAAAAACAAACAGCCCCATCAACAAGTGGGCGAAGGATGTGAACAGACACTTCTCAAAAGAAGACATTTATGCAGCCAAAAAACACATGAAAAAATGCTCATCATCACTGCCCATCAGAGAAATGCAAATCAAAACCACAATGAGATACCATCTCACACCAGTTAGAATGGAGATCATTAAAAAGTCAGGAAACAACAGGTGCTGGAGAGGATGTGGAGAAATAGGAACAGTTTTACACTGTTGGTGGAAGTGTAAACTAGTTCAACCATTGTGTAAGTCAGTGTGGCGATTCCTCAGGGATCTAGAACTAGAAATACCATTTGACCCAGCCATCCCATTACTGGGTATATACCCAAAGGACTATAAATCATGCTGCTATAAAGACACATGCACACGTATGTTTATTGCGGCACTATTCCCAATAGCAAAGACTTGGAACCAACCCAAATGTCCAACAATGATAGACTGGATTAAGAAAATGTGGCACATATACACCATGGAATACTATGCAGCCATAAAAAAGGATGAGTTCATGTCCTTTGTAGGGACATGGATGAAGCTGGAAACCATCATTCTCAGCAAACTATCGCAAGGACAAAAAACCAAACACCGCATGTTCTTACTCATAGGTGGGAATTGAACAGTGAGAACACATGGACACAGGAAGGGGAACATCACACACCGGGGACTGTTGTGGGGTGGGGGGAGGGGGGAGGGATAGCATTAGGAGATATACCTAATGTAAATGACGAGTTAATGGGTGCAGCACACCAACATGGCACATGTATACTTATGTAACAAACCTGCACGTTGTGCACATGTACCCTAAAACTTAAAGTGTAATAAAAAAAAAAAGAGCTTTCCCTTTCCACTACTACTTTTCCTTTATCACATTTTCCATTTTGTTGGGTGGCCTTGGTGTGACCAGAGGTATTTTGAAGATCCACCTTAGGGGAAGTTGAACTGGAGACATTCAGCCTGAATTTAGTGGGATCTATTGATTCAGTCATCAGTCAATTCTCTGTGTAGTTAGGTTACTACTGGCCTCCCAGGATAAAATTTCCTCGATGAATAGTGCAAGTGCCCACTCTGGGACTCATCTGGTATCATAATTCAAAGATTAAGGGCATGGGCTATATTGTGTAATGAATGTGGAGACAAACAGAACTTTGAAATAAACAGAGCCAGATGCTAGTCTATGAAGAATTCTTTCAATTATCAGATAGGTAAAATCGTAAGTTGAAGATTTTATCTCATTTTCTGCTATTCAAAATGGAAGTTCTATTTTGTCAGAGACATGCTTGATATTGCAATGTATTCAAATGTAAACACATTGTATTTTTTAAAGTAGGAATCCTAAAATAAAAATGTTCAGAATTCCTATGAATGGAGGGTACAAATTTACAGTGACACTACAAACAGTGTTTTTGTAAGCAAACTTGGATATCTGTGATCTCAACATATCTGATCATCTCTTGGCATATCTGACACATCTTGCAGTGTGGAAATTCCAGAGAAAATGGGTTCCAAAATTCCTTTTCTTAAAAAGTGATCTCTAAATTATATAAGGTTCATGTTCCACAAAACCTGGATCTGTCCCTAGATTATCCTGAGCCAGTGAATCATAAAATCATAACATCTTAAGAGATGGTATAGACTTTAAATACCATGTAGTCTGGTGGGGTTTTTTTCATATATTTTCTTTTAAGTTTCAAGATCCTTTCTTTTTTTTTTTTTTTTTTCAAATAAAGGCCTATGTTAGTTTCTATAGCACTTCCCAGGAGATGCAATAGAAAGTCTTAGTAGTTGATATTATGAAAAAAGTAGAAAATAATAAACCCTGGAGTTATATATATAAGATGTATACTTGTTTCTATTTAATAAGAGAAGAACATATGCAGAGAACAAGGACACCAAATAGTTCTAGAAAAAAAAATAAGAATTGTACCAAAATAAAGAAAGGATTGTCTAGCATGGGTAATCAAGAATCATAAGAAAAGGAATCCAACAATATGTGTCCTAATGATAAATTAACCCAATGTCCTAAAGACAAAAATTAAATATGTGTCTTCAAGCTCTCATAGCTGGGGGGTCAAACTTCTATACTACCAAACTAACTATAATAAAACTCTTGGCCGGGCACGGTGGCTCACGCCTGTAATCTTAGCACTTTGAGTGGCCAAGGTGGGTAGATCACTTGATCTCAGGAGTTCAAGACCAGCCTGGGCAACATGGCAAAACCCCGTCTCTACAAAAAAATACAAAAATTAGCCAGGCATGGTGGTGTGTACCTGTGGGGCTGGGGCAGGGAGGATTGCTTGAGCCCAGGAGGTGGAGGTCGCAGTGAGCCAAGATTACGCCACTGCGCTCCAGCCGGGGTGACAGAGACCCTATCTCAACAAAAAATAATAATAAAAAAATTCTAATACAATGTACATAGTTTTATATAATTTTATTTTTTTTAAATGTAGCCACATGGTTCAAATTTCAATCATAAAATATTAAAAGGTATAATTTTAAATTTTACATTTCTTTTTAAGTCCCTCTTTTTCACTTGTCCCCCATCTGCTCAGTTATGAGTGTCTCAGAAGCCCCTCCCAATCCAGGTAACCACTGATCAGTGTGTTATGTCTTCTTACAGAGTTTCTTCATGCATAATAAAGAAAATAATGAATTATTTGTCCCTCTTTCTAAACAAATTTTATTCTCTTCCCAGGTTTTAAAAATTGAAACATAATATACCATAAAATTCACTCTTTTAAAGTGTACAATTAAGTGGTTTTTATTATATTCATAAAGATGTACAGCCATCATCACTAATTAAAGAACATTTTCATCACTCCAAAAATAAATGCCCCTTAGCTATCACCCCCCTGCCCCCAGTTCCCCCAACCCACTATCCCTAAGCAATCATTAATCTACTCCTGTCTCTGTAGATTTGTCTATTCTGGACATTTCATGTAAATTGAATCATACAGTAGGTGGCCTTTGTGACTGGCTTCTTTCACTTAGCACAATGTTTTCAAGGTTCATCCATGTTGCAGCATGTATCAGTGCTTCATTCCTTTCTATGATTGACTATCCCCATTGTATAGACATATACCACATTTGATCTATTCATTAATTGATAGATATTTATTGTTTCGAAGCTTTTGGCTATTATGAATAATACTGCTACAAACACACATGTACACATTTTTGTATGAACAGGTATTTTCAATTGTCTTGGGATGCATCTAGGAGTGGGATTGCTGGGTCATACAGTAAATCTACATGTAATTATTTTGCAAAACTGCCAGACTCTTTTCCAAAGTGGCTACATCATTCTACCTTCCCACCAGCAACTTATGTGTGTTCCAATTTCTCCACTTCCTCACCAACAGTTGTTATTGTCCATCTTTTTAAATTATTTCACTTTTTAATACAAAAGGAAGGAAGCATACCATGCACACTGCTGTGAAACCTGCTCTTTCACATAGTATCTTGGGCAGATTTTACTATCTGGAAAACAGAAAGGACCTGTTTCTCGGAAGCAGCCTCAGCTGGTACAGAAGAAGAGGATGTGAGGGGAACCCTGAATGCACGTGTGCATGCACTCACACACACACATTAATACAATATAGTATATATAATATATATGTGTATAATATATATACTATATAACACACTATACTATATATACACTATATATACATACTATTTCATTTGTTCCAGTTTTCTGTATCACAAACACTCACACAGAGGCCCCTGAAAGGCTCCAAGAACACCATCAATAAACTACTTATCTGCTGTAATCGCAGCACTTTGGGAGGCCAAGGTGGGCAGATCACTTGAGGTCAAGAGTTTGGGACCAGCCTGGCTAAAATGGTGAAACCCCATCTTTACTAAAAATACAAAAATTAGCCGGGCATGGTGGCAGGTGCCTGTAGTCCCAGCTACTCAGGAGGCTGAGGCAGGAGAATCACTTGAACCCAGGAGGTGAAGGTTGCAGTGAACAGAGATCGTGCAACTGCACTCTCCAGCCTGGGTGACAGAGCAAGACTCCGTCTCAAAAAAAAAAAAAAAAGCTACTTATCTGGTTCATCCCTCACTTGACATACAAGGAAACCAAGTCCAGAGAGGCCATGTGACCTTCCTAGGTAGACTGGTTTGCCGAAGCTATTGTAATAAAGTATTGTAAACTGGATGGCTTAAACAACAGACATTTATTATCTGGGGTTCTGGAGGCTGGACATCCAAAATCCAGGTGTCAGCAGGGTTGTGAGAGAAAATCTCTCTTCTGACCGCTGTGAGAGAAAATCTGTTGCAGGCCTCTCCCCTGGCTTCTGGAAGTTGGCAAGCAATCTTTGGAGTTCCTTGGCTTCCAGAAGCATCACTCTGATCCCTGCCATCAGGTTCACATGGCTCTCTCCCTGTGTGGGTCTTTGTGTGCAAATTTCCCCTTTTAATTAAGACACCCATCGTATTGGAGTAGGATGCAGCCAAATGCTCTCATCTTAACTTGATTCCCTCTGTGAAGACCCTGTTTTTAAATATAGTCGCGTTCTGGGGTGCTGGGGGCTGGGACTGCAATATATGAATTTTGGAGAAACACAATTCAACCCGTAACACCAAAGTTACTGCCACTAGCAATGCTTTCTAGATTTCCCAGATATCCTTGAATTTCCTAAGTGTCTTTTATACGAAGGATCTAAGCTTATAAAACATTTTCATTAGTAACACCTCTAATTAAAGACAAATCCCTTAATTCCACAAGAAAACAACTGAGATTTGATGTCAATTCAAAAAGCTAGTTATTAATCCATCATAACCCATTTTGTGGGCATTAATGGAGGATAACTTTTCATGCACACTGTGAGCTGAGGGTCAGGAAATATGGGGCCAAGCCCTGACTCTGCCATTCATTCACTGTGGGATCATTTACCTTCTGGATTGCCACTGCCTCTTATTGTAGAGGAGTTGATACGATTTTGAAATTCCAGATGATCCTCTGATTCCTATTCTATTTGGTGATGCTCTGTTTTGTGCTAGTCTCTTCTATGCCCCCACACAAATATAGGCAACAGAGAGACAGATGATATGTACAAGCAAGCATACTTATAACACTTATTCACAGCCCCCTAGATTCTTAGAAATAGAAGGCTTTCACTGACTGTCCTCATTTAACAAAGAAATGGAAGCCTAGGGGGCTTAAGTGACTAGTCCTAAGACACACACATCATTCCTTGCTTGAACAACTTCAAATAGGGCAGTGGTCCTTAAATTAGATCCACAGACCCAGGGGTCTTCATGGATGAATTTTAGGGGTCTATATATCCCTGAGAGTTAGTACACAGAAATGGAAATGAATGTACATGTGTACATTTTAATTTTTTCTGTTGGAATGAGTCCCTAGCTTTCATCAAACTCTCAGCTCTCAGCACAATGCCTGGTATATAAGGCATACCTAGGAAACATCAGTTGACTTATGTGTGTCAAGTTCTCAACCACAGAAAAGTTAATAACTACTGAAATAGGGTAAAATAGAATACAGTCATTCTCTGGAAAATAATCCTCACTAGTTCCCATCACCCAAATGCCCTATGTATACAGAGTCTTTCATCATCCTGCTGTTCTGAGTCCTGGATGAATTACACCATGCTGTGCTTGTCTATTAAACCAATAGAGAAAGATTTTTTAAATCACTATTTCATCTCCTTCAGGAAATCATCCATTTTTTAAATTTCACTTTACTATCCTATTTAATTAATAAGGGTTTAAAGGTAGTTAATAAATTATAATTAATTTAGGAAATGACCGTTTTGTCCTTATTAAAGTAATTCAAATTTTAAATGCTTGTAATTTTCATTAGTTCAATCAAGTAAGACAGCCCCATTCCAATTAAACCTAAGCTAACTTACTTTACTGTTAGTCCAGGGAAAATCTCTGATACATTGAGCACATGTGATAGAATGATTATTAAAACTGTGACTTTGATAACTTAATTATTTCTGTAAAGAAAAAAAAATGTGACTCTGAAAAAGGCAGGGAAATGCCTTGGGTCCAAGACAGGTGGTATCATAAGCAGAGAGCAGCAGCCCCATGGAGTAGGTGCTCAATACATATGTGATGAAGCAATGAATTAAAAAGAAGTAGCTGGCCGGGCATGGTGGCTCACACCTGTAATCCCAGCACTTTGGGAGGCTGAGGTAGGCAGATCACCTGAGGTCAGGAGTTTGAGAGTAGCTTGGCCAACATGGCAAAACCCCATTGCTACTAAAAATACAAAAAGTCAGTCAGGCATGGTGGTGCATGCCTGTAATCCCAGCTACTCGGGAGGCTAAGGCATGAGAATCACTTGAACCCAGGAGGTGGAGGTTGCAGTGAGCCAAGATTGTGCCACTGCACTCCAGCCTGGGCGACAGAGCGAGACTGTGTCTCAAGAGAAAAAAAAAAAAAAAGAAGCAGCTGATGCTTCTAAGAGAACAGAAAAGGCCGGGTGCGGTGGCTCATGCCTGTAATCCCAGCACTTTGGGAGGCCAAGGCGGGCAGATCATGAGGTCAGGAGATCGAGACCATCCTGGCTAACGGTGAAACCCCGTCTCTACTAAAAAAAAAAATACAAAAAATTAGCCAGGTGTGGTGGCGGGTGCCTGTATTCCCAGCTACTCGGGAGGCTGAGGCAGGAGAATGGCATGAACCTGGGAGGTGGAGCTTGCAGTGAGCTGAGATTGTGCCACTGCACTCCAGCCTGGGTGACAGAGTGAGAATCCGTCTCAAAAAAAAAAAAAAAAAAAAAAAGAGAACAGAAACTCTCTTTGAGCAGAAAACTATCCACCTTAAGAACAGCTAATAGGACATCCATCAGTGGAGGGATATATAATGGTGAGACCCTTGTCTAAAAGATCATGGTTTTTTTGTGACCCATTGAGGAATGGTGCCATGCTGACAACTATCAATATGGATATCAAATACAACTATCTGTCTGTAGTTATTAAACATTTCCTTCTGTCAATTTGTTACTAAGGACATGCCAATATGGAAGAAGCCCAGAGGTCCAGGGACAGGGCCTCAAGACGGAAGAAGTATGATACCCTACAAGAAGCAAGCCAGGCCATTTGTGCCATAGATATGTGAAATAATGAATTATGTTAAAAAATCAAATCTTATTTGGAAATAATGTATATTGTTAAGTATTTACAGATAATGATTAACTTTGCCAATGGAGGTTAAAAGCTCTCTTCCTTACAGTACAGGGTCTTACTCATGTTTATGTCCCCAATCCCAGGAAAGAGTAGCTGCTTAATAAATGATTGTGGATATAAATTAAGTTTAATCAAGAACATTATTAAGATAATCAAGGAAGATCTTACAAAGTTTTGCCATTTATCTTGTCTAGTTTGTTCAGCTACCTTATATTACAAGGAAGGAGTGACTTTTGCATCCTACAAACTTCCTGGAAGAGTAATTATCAGTTAGACATCTAGGGACCATCCAAGACTTAAATGAACACAGGAACTTTGAGTGCTCCCTTGGTGATCATTTTTATCAAAAGGATCTTTCTATCTCATTACTCTGTACTCCTTTGAGCAACAATCCTCAATATTTTAGATAGTAAAGAACCTAAGAGCCAGATGTTCAATGAGACACCAAATTTATTCCATTTATCTTACCTGGAGCTGAGGTTTCTTTGTGTTTAGCGTTGTTTTTCTAGAAGCTGAGAATGATGTCTTGGGAGAGACTGTGGATGCTTTCAGAAGAGTACATATTTTGTTGTTACAGATTTTTATTTTAAAATTATTCATATTATGATCCATTTATTAGATGAAATACTAGGCATTTCTTAAAATGGACTCATAGGAGGATATTTAACGAAAAAGGCAATACATATTTTAAGCTTTTTCCTGATTTTTATGGTACATTGAAATTATTTTATGTAATTAATAAAAATAAATATGAGACAGATAACAGGCCCACTATTGGTAGATTCCAACTCAGAAATCAATTTCAATATTTGTGTAGCATCATTTCACAGAAATGTTCTTACTTTCTAAACTTCTCCCAGGTACATCAACAGTTCCTGTTGGTGGAAGACCAGTGTGGAAATTTTTTAGGTTGGAAGAATCTGTCATTACCCAGGAATGTACAGATATTTTCTCATAATTCATCTGAGTAATTACCAGACAATGGCCCTGAAAAAAAGACTGAATAACTGACTACCAAAGAAACTTGGATTTCTTTAACGCATCATCTTCTATATTGACATGTAAAGATTATTTAATTCAAAATTCCAAAGAGGAGTTGAAATTACTCCTGATTAGTTATACTATTGAATCATCGAATATGTCAATGGGTAATCTATGGTCAGGTTCAACTAGCTCCTAGTTCTAGAGATGATCATAAATATGAAGGCATTATAGAAGATATGTAATCTTTGGTTGTAGCTCTCTACCAGAATTTTAACTGAAAAAGTTAATGCTTCTATTACATACTTACAGATGTGATTAATACAAGGAAATCTGAGTTTAAATTATCAGAGATAATGTTTGTTCCAGCCCTGAAAGAAAATGGGGGATTCAAGATGCATTGAAAAAATGTCTATTTATTCATACAAAACACTCATTGAGATTATTACGCACTAGGCCTAAGATAAAATGAGCAAGGCAGAGACAGTCCCTCACTGTGAAGTGTACGTATTTATCCACTCACAAGTACTTCTTGAGCATCTTCTATGTGCCAACATTGTAGATTTGGGGTGGAGAGGGTCATAGCCCATAGTGCTAGCCTTGAAAAGGAACAATATATTCTATTTGTGCTCCACCTGGAGATATTGAGGAAACACACTACTTAAAAAGTTGGGGGAGACCATTACATGATATCATTTAAGCAAATGTGCAGTGGTATAGGCAGAGTAATTTGAGGTAGGATTGTGAAATAGATGACATTTGATTGCAGTGCTCCACTTCTGTTTTTATATGTATATTTCCTTTCTCTGAGTGTCTCTGAGGCTCCTCAGCCCCTTCTTGTGGTCTCCCCCTTAATATTCACCATCTATGTCCTCACAGTGAATTCAAGGCCAAATAACTAATTTGATAAACTAATCTCTAGTAAATTGCCATGGAAAATAATTTAGGGTTAGTCTCTTAAATAAAAGATATGAATTTTAACTTCAGCCTTGTAGAGACACCTGGAATACAACCATCATGCCTCATATTATAATTATGCTGTTAATTTATGTGCAAACATCAGTGCAAGGTACTATGTGTTAAGCACTAAGGTGATGCGTAAAGGAATAAGATGCTAGCTCTATCTATCAGGGGTCTCATGAGTTAACAAGGGGGAGAGATCAATATAGAGACAACTTTGATCAAGGCAGTTAATAGCATGGGCGGAATAGGCACAGTGCCAAGAGAGGGCTGAGCTTTCACCGGTGCCAGCTGTTGTGCACGCCTGAGATTCTGACGCTTGATGTTAATGGGCGTTTGTAGCTAAACCTGTTGTCACATTTCTCTAATGAAACCAAGCCCTAGGCAGGGAAGTGGAGAAGTGAGGGGTGACCCCAGTATAACAGAGGAGCAGGGCAATTAGTGAGCTCCCCATGGGAAAGATAACCTCTAGAAAGAGAAGGCAGGGCTCTGAGGTCCAGCCATTCCCATCCACATGAAGAATCTCTGTTCTTTCATTAGCTTGGAAGGTCCAGGTCCAATTTTTCCAAAGAGTTAGCTTTTTCTTAAATTCATACATAGCTTTTCAGAGATAGAAGCGGGGCTGATGAAAGGTTACTGTCCCAGCCTACCGGGTCCAAAGACTTTTGAAGGAGTTTTGTCTTTGTGGTTTAACCCAGCAATGATGAATACTGGTAATTCCAGGTCAAGCTGGGGGAAAGATAGTGCCCTGGCAGGGCAACAAGGATACAACTGTGGGCAGCCAGTGCCTTAATTACCACTCAAGTTACACTCAGCTTTGGAGGCTTATGCCAGGAAGATAGGTCATGAAACTTATCTACAGGTCCCAAGTGCATCCTCAGGTCTCCTGGATCCTTCCCTTCTTGTATTTTCATTCCTGTGACATAGATCAGATTTTTCTTTCTCTCTAGATTACAACAACAATATTCCCTGTTTCCAATAAATCTGATGGCAATGCATCCTCTTTTTTTTTTTTTTTTTTTTGAGATGGAGTCTCGCTCTGTCGCCCAGGCTGGAGTGCAGTGGCACAATCTCAGCTCACTGCAACCTCCGCCTCCCGGGTTCAAGCAATTCTCCTGCCTCAGCCTCCCAAGTAGCTGGGATTACAGGTGTGTGCCACCACGCCCGCTAATTTTTGTGTTTTTAGTAGAAATGGGGTTTCACCATGTTGGCCAGGCTGGTCTCGATCTCCTGACTTCATGATCCACCTGCCTCGGCCTCCCAAGGCAATGCATCCTCTCTTAGCAGTCACCAGAATAATCCTTAAACACAATTACACTGTGTTAATTATATAGATAAGGGTAGTTTTCTTCTAATGTTTTTTGGAGGCTGATCCTAAAGTATTGAAAGCTTCCACCTACCTCATCTCATCTAAGTTAATTTCTTCATCCCTCTATGTTACACACACTCTCCTCTCCAACCCAGAAACACAATTTAGGCTTATCTGCTGAAGCATGTTGTTACACTATCTGTGCTATTTACTTCTCTGGATGCTTTATCCAGAGAAGTTACCCCAAAGCTGGCTTTACACGTGTTATTCTAGGAAACCTCTAATCATTGACTCTAACTTAACCTTTCACATCTGGAGTCAATGCTTCCAGTATTAATATTAATTTGCTTGTGAACCTGCTTGTTTCGATTTCTTTATTCCAAATGTGTTATTTTGTTGTTTCATGTCACATTCTAACTTCCTAAGGAGCTTTCAAAGCCTTGAGATCGGAAACCATGTCCTCCAGTTGTGTTTTGTTTGTTTTTGTACTCTCTGCATCCCATCTCCCAACTCTCCAAGACAGTTTATTTTGAGCTATATATTTCTATCAATTAGCGGATCATGAAATCAGTTTAGTAAGTCTCCTACTAACATCTCTAAATGAAATAGAATTGAACCTAAGAGAATTGAAAACATGAGAGTGACAGACGCATGGTAAGGGCAAGTATCTTTCTGAAACTCTGACACAGGAGTGTGCATCAGGCTATGATATAAAATATATTTCATACTATGAGTTGTGGTCAAAACAGCTTGAGAAACACAGGTAAGGATGAAACATCTGCCTGAAGCAAGAGATTTACCTTGTGCAAATTTATTTGGGTCCCCCTAGCATTTGCTCCCAGATTCCTGGCTTTAGTTTGGCTTTTGGTGTCACCCAGTTGGCTCCAACCATTACCCAGGTGACCTCTCAGGTTGGATCCTGCTTGCCCCTTGGATTGCAGGCTGACCTCAGCATGCTGCTGTTCACACTGACCCTATACACCTTGGTCTCGAAACTTTCTGCCCCATATTATTTTTTTATATTTTGAGATGGAGTCTTGCTCTGTCACCCAGGCTGGAGTGAAGTGGCGTGATCTCGACTCACTGCAACCTCCGCCTCCCGGGTTCAAACGATTCTCCTGCCTCAGCCTCCCGAGTAGCTGGGACTACAGGTGTGCGCCACCGTGCCTGGCTAATTTTTGTATTTTTAGTAGGGACAGGGTTTCGCCATGTTGGCCAGGCTGGTCTCAAACTCCTGACCTCAGGTGATTAGCCCGCCTTGGCCTCCTAAAGTGCCGGGATTACAGGCATAAGCCACTGCACCCGGCCTCTGCCCCACATTATACCGGATGCAACCTTGCTCCGAGCAAAAGCCCAGACATGATGATGAGAATACTGATATACATAAATGCAGATACCTGGCTCTTTTTGGAAAGAGAGTCCAATATTCTCTTTCTATGTTAAAGTATTGGGTGCCTGGTATCTGATTTTATCATATAATGGGAAAAACAGACTCCAGGAAATTAACATTTCTTGGAGCTTCCTGAGAGTAAAACTCTAATTCATGGAGGAGTACTTAAACCCATGATTTTAAATGAGCAACTTAGTTGAATTTTGAAAATACAGCAGCAAAAATTCAGCATTCTTGAAGAAATAAGTCCTGTGAGAAAAATATTCTAATTACTAGTTACATCTGAGATGATATAATTTTTCTAACTTTCCTAATGCAAATGATTGGCTTTAAAAATGGCCTAGAAGGGACTTTCCTCTACAATAATTTTGCTTAAAATATACAAATTAGGTAGTGATTTGGAGGAAATCTGTAGCTTTTCTTGTTGCCATGGTAACAATCTACGTTTCCTTATATTTGTACAGTCAGAATGGTCCATGCATAGTTTGCCCTGGAGCCGTAGATGACGATGTTGGTGCCATGGAGTGCTCTCACAACATTTGAAAAATGATAATCATATCCTTATCTTATTTGCTGCCATTTAGCCAATGTAGAGGAAACAACATATAAATGAGGTTTCTTTTGCAGAAGCAGCTATAACCTAATGAAAAGCCTGCCAGTAGTTCATTTTATTAGACGTTAATATAATGTACTAAGTACACACAAGCTAGAATAGAAGTTCCTTGAAAAAAATTGAGGGATATCCAGTCTCCCCAGCATAATTATATGAATGGCTTTACAGTCTTGGCATTGAAGACTTGAGAACTTGAAAAAGACTCAGAGAAGAGCTAGCAAGATATCGATGGAGTGGGAAAGAAGGTCCTTTGATGAAAAATACTAGCACCATCAAGATTACACTGTTGCCTGATTTCTACAGACACACAATAGTAAGGAGTAGGTGATTTCATGAGAGTATGGGTAAGTCAGGACTGAATTATTAACACTAAAACTCTGGTGAAGGTTTGAAGCTGGTCTCTGAATGTTTCCTCGTCCAAAAGCCACAGCTTTGCCCTGGGTCGGGTCTGTATTCCAGGAGAGCAGGCACTGTCTATCATGTGGGACATGACTAGTGTTCAATAAATATTTGTAACACTTGGCTTCATCTTATATTCCTATATTTATTTTTCTTACATTTGCATTTTCTCATTTATATTGTATTTTCTTCTATAGATTTCCTTTATGGAACAGGGAGGGTTATAAATTAAATGTTGTTGAAGAGAAAAGGAAGAAAATAAAATGGGAGGGCCATAAAGAACTTACAAACAAAGGTGCAATGTATGGGGTTTGAAGGATGGAAAAATCACCTATCGATGGATGAGCCAGGAGAGGTTTCATGGAAGAGGTGATTTTTGACATGATTATAATCAGTAGGTAGTAGTGTGACTGGCAGAGAGGATTCTGAAAGGTGAAGACAGCCAGGCCTTCCAATTCATCAAAACAAATTTGTACTCAAATATTTATTGATTCTGAAAAAGAAACTGAAAAGTACAAAATATAACAATATAACCTGTAGTATTGGCATAAGGAAAAGTGAACCAGAAAGGCTATCTTTTCTCTGGGCCAAGAGGAAAATAATGGGAGATTCCTGTTGAGAGAGGAAAACAAATTTATCAGAATTTAGAATCATTCTCCAGACTCTTTTTTTAATTTTAAAACATTTTTTGAATGTTTGTCAGTACAGAGTAGGTGTATATATTTAACATGAGATATTTTGACACAGGCATGCAATGCATAATAATCACATCAGGGTAATGGGGTGTCCATTATCTCAAGCATTTGTCCTTTGTGTTACAAACAATCCAATAATGCTCCTTTAATTATTTTTAAATGTCCAATTAAATTATTTTTGACTATACTCACCCTCTTGTGCTAGCAAATACTAGATCTTATTCATTCTTTGTAACTACTTTTTGGCCGCATTAAATGTCCCCACTTAACCTCCATGTTTCCAAGCTTCTGGTAACCACGCTTCTATTCTCTGTCTTCATACGTTCAGTTGTTTGCATTTTTAGACCCCACAAATAAGTAAGAACAAGTGTAGTTTGTACTTATGTGTCTGACTTATTTCACTTAACATAATGACCTCCAGCTCCATCCATGTTGTTGCAAATGACTGGATCTCATTTTTTTATGGCTGAATAGTACTCCATTGTGTATATGTACCACATTTTCTTTATCTATTCATCCGTTGGTGGAAATTTAGGTTGCTTCCACATCTTAGCTATTGTGAATAGTGCTGCAGTAAACATGGGAGTGCAGCTATCTCTTCAATATACAGATTTCCTTTCTTTGGGGTCCTAGCAGTGGGATTGCTGGATTATATTGTAGCTCTATTTTTAGTTTTCTGAGGAAGCTCCAAACTGTTCTCCATAGTGGTTGTACTAATTTACTTTTCCAGTAGCAGTGTACAAGGATTCCCATTTCTCCACATCCTTGCCAGCATTTATTATTGTCCAGCCTATCATTTTAGTTCTTTAAAAGTGGCTGTAATTTCTCTTGTTCATTTCATGATCAAAGTCAAAATGCATTACTTCCTAATCTATCAATCCGTACTCTTGGTCCAACAGAACCCACTAATCATTCCCTTCCATCTCACATGCACCTCCACCTGCCCGCTCTAGCCTCACCTGAGAGTAATGAACATGGCCAGGGCATCCTCCAAGACCGCGGGAGACTAAGGCTGCATTATGGGACGGTCTCCTGGGCTTCCTAGCACAATCTGGCCCTCCAAGATTATCCTTCTCCTTAGGGATATCTAGCACATGATCACCCCCACTATGACCCTGCTGGACTTAAGAGGGTGAAGCTTCAAGGACACCCAAATCCTTTCACATCTGAACCAAATGGACCGAAGCTTTGAAAGAAGCTGGAGTTTCCTCATGGCCTGTCTAGCCTCCTTGGTGAATTCTGGTGTCCAGAGGACCTTTCATTTGCTCTAATGGCTGCCATCCAGTAACAACATCTTTCTCAATAGAGAGGTACCACTCAGTTTTTACCCATAAGGGTACAGCCTAACCCAGCCCATCAAGACAGGGACACCACACAAGCCTAAATATTCTGTTTGCCCTGAGAGGGCTGGAGGCGGTTATCACCCCTCCCATCTCTGTGGCTGAATTCTTGACTGATGCTGTATTTCCCAGGATCTTCTCTGGTCTCCCACAAGCACTAGAGCCCTGCCTAAAATAGTTTCAGTTCACTGGAGCCCTAATTCCCACATCCAGAATATGATAGCCCTGTTTCTCCAGGCTATATCTTGCTTCCAGGACGCCTTCCAGATATACCATCTACACACCCTTCTGAATCCAAAAAGTCCTTGCTTCCCAGTCTTGCCCTACCCTCTGAGAGAGAGTTTGAATCCTGATGCCAGATTGGGTTGGACTAAAGCAATGTTTTCCAAATTTCTCTAGTCATAAAAGCTCATCAGGAGCACTCATTAAAAATACAGAATCCTAAGCTCTCTCCTAAAGATCCTGCTGTGAGAGACATGGGGCAGGGCCTGGCCGTGTATTTTTTTTTTTTTTTTTTTTTTTTTTTGAGACGGAGTCTCGCTCTGTCGCCCAGGCTGGAGTGCAGTGGCGGGATCTCGGCTCACTCCAAGCTCCGCCTCCCGGGTTCACGCCATTCTCCTGCCTCAGCCTCCCAAGTAGCTGGGACTACAGGCGCCCGCCACTACGCCCGGCTAATTTTTTGTATTTTTAGTAGAGACAGGGTTTCACCGTTTTAGCCGGGATGGTCTCGATCTCCTGACCTCGTGATCCGCCCGCCTCGGCCTCCCAAAGTGCTGGGATTACAGGCGTGAGCCACCGCGCCCGGCCCTGGCCGTGTATTTTTAGCAAATGTCCAAGATGATCGCTAGAACTTTTTGATATTTAGAGAAACACTAGATTAAAGTTTGCTATACTTTCTTAGACCTGGTGATTTGGGTTTCTAGCCCTAGAAGGGCTCAACCCTTTTGTCCCAACTAATTTCCCGTTGCTTCAACCTCAACCACTTCAATCCTGCCCTTCTTTCTTCCATTTCCCAGCATGTCTTATAGCCAACATCACCCTCACCATGATACTCCTTATACACAGAAAGACTTCCCTAAGATTCTGTTACTAACCTTGCAGGGAACTAGCCTCACCTTCCCGCCCCTTGGATCCGTCCCCTTGGACAGTATGGCTGGCCCATATCAGAATGGAGTTTTCCACACTCCATGGACATGGTGATTTTAATCTCTGGGCCTTCCTGAGAGGGCACCAGCTTTTTATATTCATTAGTTTCTTTTGGCCCTTGCTGGTAACTTCCTTTTTGCTGGATGGCCTATGATCAGCCTATTTATGGTAATTCTAACACTTCAAAACAATATAGAAATACAGTCTCTACCATAGTGTTATGCATATACCTATATCCTCTAATAATTTTTCCTAGGGGTGTAATGTTTACAAGATTTGTCTCTTCCATTTAACTACAGACCTAGTAATTATTAAAACCACTTATTTAGCACCTTTATTTATGCAAGCCATTTTATAAACATATATAATACAGTAAATATTTTAAATTTTCGTTGTATTTCTTTTCTCCTTGAGAATAGAGTCCAACCCCTCAACTTGTTTCTTATCCTTCCTTATTTCCCACAGAACTAAAATGCAAAGACACAAAGTAGGCAGTCAGTAACTGATTACAACATTAGTTAATAAAATAAATGAGACATGTAAGGTATACAACTGAGTGATAGTGAGAACACATAATTAACCTCAAAGACTAGAATGCTTGGAAATCATTTATTAGATGAATGTAATATATCAGGCATGAAATGTCAAAAAGAGAAGAAAGGTCTGCATTTTTGGACCCCTAGGTCATCCTAGACATTAAAGAGGGCCACACCCCCCTGGCAATGAAATGGGACAAAATAAAAATTTGGCCATCAATACTGCCTCTGGGAAATCTCAGGCAAAAGGAAGAAAATGAGAAATAGAAATGAAATCCTAAGCCCACCAAGCAACAGAACAGACCTCTTCTTTGCCAAGGGACCCCAGAGAAACTCAAAAACTGAGTTCCCAGCCATGACGGGATGGGAGGTTGGAGAAACCTCATTATAACCCCTCCCTCACCTTTTCCTAAGGGTTAAACAGAAACCAGCCCTTTGGAAAGACTCACTCCACCCCTAGTATCAACCACCTGATGCGACCTCTCCCTTCTGTGGTTTCTACAAAATAACCGGCCAGCATTCCTTCCTGATAAGAGACCATGGAGGATGCGCAGTAAGGGTTTTCATGTCCTCTGCTTCAACTTTTGACCTCAGAGGGCTGAAAACTCCTCCCTGGGATCATGCTAACTCCACTATTTTTTGAACATGGTACCCATGAAGGGGCATGAAGTTTACTGGGGCATGTGCATATTTCTCCTTTCATAAATATTCATGACTCCTGCTATAGTTTATTGAATATGTATGTTTCGCCACCCCTTTCAGCATAAATTCCTGTTCCCTTTGCTCCTCCCTCAAAGAGCCTGTTTCTAGCTTGTCAGAATGGCCACCCTGTAAGATGCAACCTTATATGAGAAATAAAGCTCCGCTTTCCAAACGAAATAGAGCTACATATTAATCTTAATCTACTTGACAAGTGGAAAATAAAATAGAACAAATAAAAACACAACTCAACTCAACTCTTCTGCCTGAAAATACTGAATGTTCAGGTTGACAGAAATCTAAAAAATGGTGTTTTCCATGTTTATGCTGGTGTAGATCCTATGGAGATGAGATTAGCTGATTTAGGGCTTGTAAAGCTAAGAAATACAGGGAGAAGTTCATTCTGTTTCTGGGAATTCTGATCCTAGATACTCTTCTTAGAAATCATGATAGCTTTCTCTGAAAATGCTTTACTTTGAATCAGTTGCATTCAGGAAAATAGATAATTCTAGCAGAAAAAGGGTAGGATGGCTGTGAATTCATAAGGGAATGGTCACTGACTAAGCATCTGGTACCTCCCAAGCTCCATGCTCAGTGCTTTGTGCATACTCTCTCTGCTGAGGTCCAATGGCACCTGGCATATCAGAAAACTGAAGCTCTGGGAAGTGATATACTTTGTCCCAGGTCACTGAGTCACAGAGCCAGGACTCTGACCTAGGTCAGTCTGACTCCAGAGACAAAGTTATTTTCCCAACATCCAGTTACCAACCCAACTCAATCAAAGGCTATTGAGCACTTGTGCCAGACACTGTTCTAGAACTGGGATGGCAGTGATCACAGACAAAATCCCTGCCTTTGAGGAGTCTACATTCTAGGGGTTCCCAGATTATCATTTGGGATATTTAACATATTTAAGATCATTTAAGATAACTTTGAGATATCTGGAGAGACACACCAAGAAAGGAATGATGAAGCTATCAGAATCCTAAATCAACAAGAAACCACATCCAGAGATGTTTTTTTACACTTATTTTTCTAAGGTTCACTAAAACCAAGGCAATTTTTTTCTTTATTTCAAAATGAATGAAAGGCAGAGAAGGCATGCATGCAAGGAATGACATTAGAAATGGCCCGATTAATGTCTCATAAATGTTAACTTTGTGATTCATCTGCTACATTGCATTAAATACCCATAGATACCAGGGTCCACTTTGATATTTGTTTCTTGTGTCATATGTAATAAAAGAAGTCATGTTCTCTATTCCACACAGACACTCCATGTAGCTGCAATTGCAGTTCTTATTCTGGTCGTCTCTTGACCTTAAAACTTCTAAAGGCTTTGGAGAAGAGTTTAGAGTGGCCCAAACTATAAAGAAAATTGAATTTAGCAAGCAATTCCCAAGAGTCTCCAAAGTTCATTTATGTAATTGCCAATGCAGAATCATTTTTAAATCTTGAACAGAAACCTCCTTTTGCTTTCACATTTTTTTCCTAAGTATAGAATAAAAATCAATTAGGAATAATTGTCTTCAGATTTGGTATGATACTGATCTAAAGATTCAAATAAGCATCAACCCTGAAACAGCTTTGGGAAAACCTACTTTAACCCTGTAGTAAGGAGATCTTGCATTGGAATGAGAAAATTAGCAATTTTGAGTGCCCCCTTATATTGTCAACATTTTGACCAAGGCGAGTGTTATTGAAAACACTACCAAACTGGAGGTGCCTTTATTTATATGTAGTTATGTTTGTTGCTTTTAAAAATCTAGACACATTCTTGCCATGCAAAGGAATAATTCAGACATTTAAATGCTGAGACTCTTGCCCTCAGTACTAAAGTATAAATAAAGAGAACTTCTCTGCTCTGCTCTCCCCACCTACCTCTGCTAGTCAGATTCTTCCAACACCCCATCCTCTCTTCAGAAATACGTATGAGTGCACACAGAGCAGAGACCAGATTTATGACTATAAATGGAATTTGCTGACCTGGATTTGGGTTTTGTGAGGATAAAAGAGAGAGATTACATTAGGCACAAGGAAGAGAAGGCAGTGAAAAAGGGAGAGAGAAGCGAAGAACTTTCATATATTAAAAAGGAGCAGAAGAGAGTGATGGAAACTGGACCAATGGGAGGGAGAGAAGAAACTAACACTGAAAGGAAATATTATTGAGGAAACTGTGACCAGAAAATTGTTATGGATTATTGTCAACCTTCCTTTTTTCCCAAAGCATTTGGTGTTACTTCCTTATACAAGTAGTCCAAGAACTCACATTCTGGCATTTAAAATTTTCTTTAAAAAAAAAAATTCATATACCTAATTACTTCTTTCCATTCATTTGTTAAAATAATAAACATAAAATTGATCTTTATGTTTGAAATAGTTTCTCACAAGAAATTGGAAAAATAGTACAGAGAATTATCATGTACCCTTCACTTCCCCCAGTATTATTACATATCCCCAGAGCACATTGTCAAAACCAGGAAATTGATGTTGTTCATTATTATTACCTCAGATACAGTCCTTATTCATATTCCAGTGTTACTTACACTTTTTCTTCTTTTTTTTTTTTCTTGGTCTATAGTTTTCTGAAGTTTTATCACACATGCAGATTCGAATAACCAACACCACAGTCAGGGTACAGAACTCTTCTGACACTACAAAGAAACCCCCAGTATTCTTCCTTGAGAATCACACCGTTCTCCCAGTGCTGGTCCCAGGCAACCTCTGATCTGTTTTCCATACTATTATTTTGTCACTTGGGGTTAGTTATATAATCAATCATGTGGTATACAACCCTTTGAGACCGGCTGCTGCTGCTTCTTTTTTTTTTTGAGAGAGAGACAGGGTCTTGCTACATTGCCCCAGCTGGACTTAAACTCCTGGGCTTAAGCAATCCTCATGAGTAGCTGGGACTACAGGCATGTGCCACTGCACCCGGCTGTGACTGTCTTTTTAAGCTTGCCTTTAAGATCCAGCCTTCACATTGATTTTTAAAGTTCCAATTAAGCAAAATTTAAAATAAGACCAACACCTTATTATCTAAACATTTGTTTTCCATGTGCTCTATTCAAGAAAATAAAGTGATCAGAATAGTTTTTTTGAAATTAAAAATAAAGAGAGAATGGTGACATGCAATTTGGAATGAATTGCACAGTTAATAATTTAACTTTTTTGGAGGTGATTAAGAAGAAACAGCTTTGGCAAGTTGAAGCATCATATTCTGACTTCCCTACAAACTATGATATTAGGATCCTTGGGACCATAAGCATTTTAGTCCATGGCTCAAAATGGCTATTGCTATTTTAGGAGAGCAGACTAAAGTTTTCGAGATAAAATTTGCATTAAGAATCAGTTTCACAGAACCCAGAGCTTGATCAAATGCTGATTACCACAATATTTCTCTATCTGTAACTGGCACTATCTATGAAAAGCAGCAGATTTTCATAACCATTTCCATCACTAATAAAGTGGCGCATTTGCAAAGTTTCTATTAAGATACGTTTATTCTCTCAGAATTTTATAGCCTTGGATTTTAAGAATTTAATGTAAAACCCACATGAAGCTAAATGTTAACAAAACAGTCAATTCTTCCTAACAGAAGAAGCATTTGTGGCTGTATAAGTTTGAAGAATAAAAAGTAATTCAGATAAATGGACTTTCTAAAGGACTCGTTTTGGCATAAAAACAGTTTCAGAAAGATGGTATATAAAGTTATGTCCAGAAACTGTAGAGTTGGTATTTAAATAAATATTAATAGGAAAGTTCTGCTAAGCCACTGCAGGAACATGTATCCTAATGGGTGTGCCCAGCTGGCAGCTTTCCAGTTGTACAGCCTCATATGACTCACTGCGTTGGGGCCTTTGGCCTGGACTACCTGCTCCAAATGCACACAAATACAGAGCTTCTTACTCGGTCTCCCCTGGAACACCTCACCTCACCTTTCAGACTTCCTATTACAGCTGTGGCAATGCTGCCTTAGGTGGACTCCTGCCTGGAAAGAAACAGGTTTTATGGTGGTGCAATGCCCCAGGTGGCATGCTTGCTGATCTTCAAGCTGTACTAGCAGAGACCAGCAGTCTCTATCTGGACAGACAGACCACTTCCCAGCTCCACTTTAAAAATCACAGCCTTTCTGCTTTTGTTCAAAAGTCAAAAAATGACAGATGTTGGCAGGGCTGTGGAGAAAAGGGAACACTTATACTCAATGTGAATATATTGGTGGAATGTAAATTAGTTTAGCCACTGTGGAAAGCAGTTTAGAGATTTCTCAAAGAAGAGTTGAATGACCATTCAACCCAGCAATCCCATTACCAAGTATATACCCAAAGGAAAATAAATCATTCTACCAAAAAGACCCGCACCTGTATATTCATTGCAGCGCTATTCACAATAGCAAGGCCAGGCACAGTGGCTCACACCTGTAATTCCAGTGTTTTTAGAGGTCAAGGCAGAAGGATCCCTTGAGGCCACGAGTTCAAGAACAGTCTGGGAAACATAGTGAAACCCTTTCTTTACAAAAAATAACTTAAATAAAATTAACTGGGCATGGTGGCATGTGCATGTAGTCCCAGCTACTTAAGAAGCCGAGGCAGGAGTATTGCTTGCGCCCAGGAGCTTGAGGTGCAGCAAGCTATGATCACACCACAGAACTCCAGCCTGGGTAACAGAGCAAGACCCGGTCAGTCACTCTTTTTAGATCATACTCTTTTTGAAAAACAAAAAAACAACAAATATAGAGACAATAGCAAAGACATGGAATCAACCTTAATGCCCATCATTGGTGGATTTACTAAAGGAAATGTGGCACATATACACCATGGAAAATTATGCAGCCATAAAAAAGAATGAAATTTTATAATTTGCAGCAACATAGATGCAACTGGAGGCCATTATCCTAAATGAACTAACACAGAAATGGAAAACCAAATACCATGTGTTCTCACATATAAGTGGGAGCTAAACATTGGGTATATATGAACATAAAGATAGGAACAATAGATACTGGGGACAACAAGAGTGGGGAGGGAGGAAGGGGGGCAATGGTTGAAAAACTACCTATTGGATACTCTGCTCACCACCTAGGTAACACATTCAACCATACTCCAAACCTCAGCATCATGCCATACACCTTTGCAACAAACCTACACATATACCCTCTGAATCTAAAATAAAAGCTGGAAAAAAATCACAGCCTTTCTGAACATGTGCAGGTGGCAAAGAGATACTATGCACAGTGCAGCTGAACAGCTCTTTTCTGAAGCATCAGGCCCGGTGATTTGGAGGCAGGGTAACATTTGGGGGTTGGGGAATGGCTAACCCAGCAGCAGGAAGGGGGATTTTGTTAGGTCAAGGGGAGTGGTGGACATACCCAGTTGTCAGGGATAGCCATTCAAGAAGGTGGGCAGGCAACTAGCCCCAAAGAGGTACAAAAAAACACATCAGGTGGTTATCCCAGCAGTGCATGGGCCGACAGGGAACTGAAAGTAACAAGATGGTAGAGATCCAGCCAGTGGTCAGCATCAGGAAGATTTGGAAGCAGATTACCAAGGTAGGCGTAAAGTTGAGGGGAACGCAGCAGCATCCCTGTTACTGGCACTGGGGTACAATTTTGAGTTAGAGCACAGGAATAAGGTAAGGAAGGGAAAGGAAAAGGTACTGAAATTGATAGGCAGCCTACTAACCTAGGTGCTTTAAGCATATGATCTTATTTAATTCCCACAACAACCATGCAAAGTAGGAATTAGCCTTATTATATAGGAGAGAAAAGTGAAGTTCAAAGAGAAATGAATTTTGCCAAAATAACACACTTAAGAAGGGGGGCAGTCAGAATTTGAACTTAGGACCAGCTGACTCCAAAGATACCATTGCTGTATTCCCATTGTCATTTGTCCTCATTATTTTTTAGTGCCAAATCTTTGAGAACACAGCCCCCAATGCATATTTCCCATTGTGTCATTTATGTTTTCCCCTTTAAATTACATTGTATCATAAATTAGAGACTTTAAAAATTGGTCTAAATTCACTTCCAGTGCCTATGGGAGGGAAATAAGGGTCAGACCTCTCTGCAAATGATGTGTGGAGGCAGTCAAGAGGAAATCAGTGGGTTGGATGAACAAGCTTCTGCAGGGTCCCCTGAGGATGAAGATGAACCAAAAGCAGCAACCAAAACTTGGAGTATAGGGCTAGAGTGTGTTTGGTGAGGCCAGGTTGGATCCAGAAAACTAGACTCCTCCCATGAACTTTTCACAGTATTCCACAGCATTTCACAGACACACAGTGGGGGCCGACGGCTCCAATGGAGCCAGTGTCAGTCCTAAGGAACTTCAAGGAGGATATGTAAACATATAGATTTTTTTGGTCCAAATATTTATTGCAATTCTCTTGATTTTTAAAATTGTATACTTTATATCCAAGAAAATAAAAAATAATTTAAACAGCAATCTCTAGTTTTCCTCCTAAATGTCATCTTTCAAATACAAATCTTGTATGTTTTTATACAGTATAAATATTTTCAAATAAAGGGTGGTTGGCCATGTATCTTTTCCACCTTCGATAATAGGTGGAAGGTGTAGTAAATGTAATTTTTAAAATTAAAGACTGAAGTTTATTTGGTATTTCAGAGCACCACCTGGTGGATTAATTAACGATAACAGTCCAAAACAAAAATGAATCTTAAAACTGGCTCCGAAATAAGAAGTATTGGAACCCTTATGAGGCTCACTTCTTCTATTCTTTTCCCTCTCCTTTAGTTCTCTTTTTCCCCTTCTCTCTCTCTTTCTCTCACTCTTTTCATTTCCTACCTAGTCATTTCCTCCCTCCTATTTTGTTTATACCTTAGAACTTGTCCACATCATCTACTGGTATTGATGAGTCCTCAGAGTGGGTAAGGAGCTCACTTACTTATGCTTGGTTTAATAAGATCTACAAGGTCTCTAAATTTCAAGTAGAAAGGCAAATATAGAGTTGCAAAATTCAGTTGTCTTTCAGAGACTGAATCTTTTTACCTAAGGATGGGCCTGTATTTCCCCAAGGTGGAGTTTTTGTTTGTTTGTATGTCTGTTGTACACACAACATTCATTCCAATAGAACCCCTCTTTCCTATTTTATTTGTAAATAATGCCTAAAATTGACTAATTTTCAGTGTTTTTGCCTGTTGTTCTGAGTAAGCTACCCAATAGCTTTTGAAAGAGAGGCAAGCTGGTTTACTGCAACCTTCTTAAAGGTATCTGATCTCACATGACCCACATGTAATATGAATGAATGGAACAGGAAAGATATAAGACACTAGGGAGTGGGGAGACTGAGGACCTGGAGACCTCAAAGCTTGTCTATGGGGGTACACATTATTCTGATCCAGCTGCTGCTTTTAGTTTTTTAAAGAGAAGCCAAAAACTTGATTTTTATTTTTATGAAGATCCTTAAGTATTTAAATGTTAGCAAATTTTCAAAACATACCTGCAGACCAGAAATGGCGCATGGGCCAACCTCTGATTTAAAGTGGTGGGAAACATCAAAAAAGCAATACACCATGATCAAGTGGGTTTCATCCCAGGGATGCAGGGATGGTTTGACATATGCAAGTCAATAAATGTGGTACATCACATACGCAGAATTAAAAACAAAAACCATATTATCATCTCAATAGACACAGGAAAAACAATAAAATCCAGCAGCCCATTATGAGAAAAATTCTCAACAAACTAGGCATAGAAGGGACTTAATTCAGAATAATAAAAGCTATATATGACAAACCCACAGCCAACATCATACTGAATGGGGAAAAGTTGAAAGCATTCCACACTGAGAACTGGAACAAGACAAGATGCCCATTTTCACCACTTCTATTTAACACAGTACTAGAAGTCCTAGCCAGAGCAATCAGGCAAGAGAAAGAAATAAAGAATATCCAAATTGGAAAAGAGGGAGTCCAACTATCACTGTTTGCCAATGATATACCTACAAAACCCTAAAGACTGCTCAAAAAGACTCCCAGATTTGATCAATGAATTTGGTAAAGTCTCAGGTTACAAAATCAGTGTACACAAATCAGTAGCACTTCTATACACTAACAATAACCAAGCTGAGAATCAAATCAAGAACTCAAAATTAGCCAGGCATGGTGGTGCGTGCCTGTAATCCCAGTTATTCGGGAGGCTGAGGCAGGAGAATAGCTTGAACCCAGGAGGCAGAGGTTCAGTGAGCCGAGACTGCGCCACTGCACTCCAGCCTGGGTGACAGAGTGAGACTCCATCTCAAAAACAAAACAAAAAAACCAATAAACTCAATTCCTTTTACAACAGCTGCAAGAAAAGTAAAATACCTAGGAATATACTTAGTCAAGGAGGTAAACAATCTCTACAAGGGGAACTACGAAACACTGCTGAACGAAATAACAGATGATACAAACAAATGGAAAAATATCCCATGCTCATGGATTGGAATAATTAATGTTGTGAAAATCACCATACTGCCCAAAGCAATCTATAGATCTGATACAATTCCCATCAAATTACCAACATTATTTTTTCACAGAATTAGAGAAGACAATCCTAAAATTGATATGGAACCAAAAAAGAGCCCGCATACCCAAAGAAATCCTAAACAAAAAGAGCAAATCTGGAGGCATCTCATTACCAGACTTCAAATTATACTCCAAGGCTACAGTTACCAAAACAACATAATAGTGGTATAAAAATAGGCACATAGGCCAATGGAACAGAATAGAGAACATAGAAATAAAGCCAAATACTTACAGCCAACTGATCTTCGACAAAGCAAACAAAAACATAAATTGGGGAAAGAATACCCTATTCAACAAATGGTGCTGGGGCAATTGGCAAGCCACATGTAGAAGAATGAAACTGGATCCCCATTTCTCACCTTAAATAAAAATCAACTCAAGATGGATGAAAGACTTAATCTAAACCTGAAACCATAAAAATTCTAGAAGATAACATTGGAAAAACTGTTTCGGGCATTGGTCTAGGCAAAGAATTCATGGCTAAAACCCCAAAAGTAAATGCAACAAAAACAAAAATAAATAAATGGGATCTAATTAAACTAAAAAGCTTCTGCACAGTAAATGAAATAGTTATCAAAGGAAACAGATAACGCACAGAATGGGAGAAAATATTGCAAGCTATGCATCTGACAAAGGACTTGTATCCATAACCTACAAGGAACTCAAAGAAATCAGCAAGAAAAAAATAATCTATCAAAAAGTGGGCAAATGATATGAGTAGATATTTCTCAAAAGAAAAGGGGGTATACAAATGGCCAAGAAACATATGAAAAAGTACTTAACATCACTAATAATCAGGGAAATGCAAATTAAAACCACAATGAGATACCACCTTAATCCTGCAAGAATGGCCATTATTAAAAAGTCAAAAAACAATAGATGTTGGCATGGATGTGGTGAAAAGGGAATGCTTATACATGGCTGGTGGGAATGTAAATTAGTACAATCTCTATGGAAAACAGTGTGGAGATTCCTTAAAGAACTAAAAGTAGATCTACCATTCAATCCAGCAATCCCACTACTGAATATCTACCCAAAGGACAAGAAGTCATTATATGAAAGACACATGCATACATATGTTTATTACAGCACAATTCACAATTGCAAAGATACGAAACCAACCTAAGTGTCCATTGACTGATTAGTGGATGAAGAAAATATGGCATCTATATATACACCCACGGAATACTCTTCAGCCATAAAAAGGAACAAAATAATGTCTTTTGCAGCAACTATTAATCGTGCCTGTAATCCATTTTTCTAAGTGAAGTAACTCAGTAATAGAAAACTAAATACCGTATGTTCTTGATTGTAAGTGGAAGATGAGCTGTGAGTATGCAAAGGCATACAAAGTGATGTAATGAACTTTGGATATAGTAGGAGGAGGGTGGGAGTGGAGTGAGGGATAAAGAAAAACTACACATGGGTACAATGTACACTACTTGGGTGACAAGCGCACTAAAATCTCAGAATTCACTACTACATAATTCATCCATGTAACCAAAAACCACTTGGACCCCAAAAGTTATTGAAATAAAAATATATTTAAAAAATAATAAAGTGGTAGGAATATAGACAACTCACTGGATGATACAACATGAGTAAAGAATAAGTCTGAGGATAAAATCCACTCTGTTCTCTGAACAAACGACTTTTATTATTCCCAAGGATCTCTATCGCCTCTCACACTCTGAATCCACATTATCTACCCCCATTCTTGACATAATCACATCACAGGATCATATAAAATTGAGATATCCTGGCAGTGACCTTTTATCCATGAGAATGACGTTTGTCTTGAAATAATCTGAGGTTCAGATTTTGGCTCCAATGAGAAGCTGCTGAGCAAAGCTAAGAAAAGCAGTTATAGAGTTTATAGGCTTCAGATGTGTACTGTCAGATTAATCCATATTTAAGTTTAAAATGTGTAAGTTAAATATTTGGATTCTAATTTTGACCATTTATAAAACCTACTCATTTATACACCCTAGTGGGGCAACCAGAAGCACTTTACTGCTAACTGATTTAGGAAAGATGTTGATGGAATTAAGACAGTCAAAGAGAAAAAAATTAATTTCCTTACAGTTCTTTGGGAAACAGTACATGGGGTTTTGTTTGTTTCTACTTTTTGTTTGGCATGAAAAAAACTCATAGAGTGTGATGTTTTAGTAACAAATTTCATGGCAAAAATGATTTGAAGGAGAGGAAGGAATTAGGAATATTTTGTTATTATAAAGTACTTGCCATTAAGTGGTATAGTGTTGAGAGAGTGGGCTTGGATTACCTGCAAATGTACATTACAAACTCTAGGGCAACTACTAGAAACAAGTTTAAAAATATATAATTGACATGCTAAGAAAGGAGAGAAAATGGAATCATAACACACTCAATTAAAAACCACAAAAGGCAGAAAAAGTTTGGAGAACAAAAATAGAAACTAAGATCAAGGGCAACAAATAGGAAACTATAACAAATATGGTAGATATTAATGTAACTCTATCAATAACCAACCTAAATGTCGATGGTCTAAATATAGCAATTAAAAGACAAAGATCGTCAGAGTGGATCAAAGATCAAGACCCAACTATACATTATCTACAAGAGACCCCCTTTAAATATAAAGACAGATATAGATTAAAAGTAAATGGGTAGGTGCTGGGATAATTGGCAGCCACATGTAGAAGAATGGAACTATATCCTCATCTCTCACTTATACAAAAATCAACTCAAGATGGATCAAAGACTTAAATCTAAGACCAGAAACCATAAAAATTCTAAAAGACAAAATCAGAAAAACTCTTCTAGACATTGGCCTAGGCAAAGAGTTCATGACTAAGAACCCAAAAGTAAATGCACCATAAACAAAGATAAATGTATGGGACTTAATTAAACCAAAAAGCTTCTGCACAGCAAAAGAAATAATCAGCAGAGTAAACAGACAACCCACGGAGTGGGAGAAAATCTTTGCAAACTCTACATCTGACAAAGGACTAATATCTAGAATCAAGGAATTCAAACAAATCAGCAAGAAAAAACAAATAATCCCATCAAAAAGTAGGCTAAGGACATGAATAGACAATTCTCAAAAGAAGATATACAAATGGCCAACAAACATGAAAAAATGATCAATATCACTAATGATCAGGGAAACACCAATTAAAACCACAGTGTGATACCACCTTACTCCTGCAAGAATGGGCATAATCAAAAAATAAATAAAAATAGATGTTGGTGCGGATGTGGTAAAAAGGGAACACTTTTACACTGCTATTCTACTAAGAGTAGAACTACCATTTGACCCAGCAATCCCACTACTGGGTGTCTACCCAGAGGAAAAGAAGTCATTATATGAAAAAGATACTTGTACATGCATGTTTATAGCAGCACAATTCACAATTGCAAAAATATGGAGCCAGCCTAAATGTCCATCAATCAATAAGTGGATTTTAAAAATCTGATATATATTCCACACACCATGGAAAACTACTCAGCCAAAAAAGGACGAAATAATGGCATTTGCAGCAACCTGGATGGAGTTGGAGACCATTATTCTAAGTGAAGTAACTCAGGAATAGAAAACCAAACATTGTATGTTCTCACTTATAAGGGTAGCTAAGCTATGAGGAAGCAAAGGCATAAGAATGACATAATGGACATTGGGGACTTGGATGGGGAAGAGTGGGAGGGGGGTGAGGGATAAAAAACTACACATTGGGTGCAGTGTATACTGCTTGGGTGATGGGTGCACCAAAATCTCTGAAATCACAGCTAAAGAACTTATCTATGTAACCAAATACCACCTGTTTCCACCAAATTATTGAAATAATAATAGCAAAAAAATACTTTCCCATTAGCTCCGTGAAGCATTTATCTTTGTATCTTATCTCTTGGTACAGTATTTGGCACAGACTCAGCATTTGGTGAATGCTTATTGAATGAGTGGAAGAATGAGTAGAAAAGCCACTTGTCTAATTCTGAGAGTTATCTGGTTGAGACCATAACATTTTGACACAAATTGCAATTTCTTCATTTTTCTCTTCACTTTGCCCATCCACCCTGTAAGGAACATGGCTGTGCTTTAGTCAAGCATAAGCCGAGGTAAACATCCAAAGTGACTCAGCAAGTCTAGAGTGCAGATGCATAACTCCACTTGTTATCACAGCCATGTAGCCATAACATGGGAAGGCTCATCATTTGGCTCTAAGCCAGTAATGTCTGTAAAAGGTATAACTGCCCTGCTGACACTGTACAGGCACTGGTGCCCAGAGAAAGAGAGGGAGTCAAAGTTGTCCGTTTTTCAGACAGACAGAGGGGAGCCAGGGCACAGCATGGCTTGGCTCGTGCCCAGAGAGAGAGAAAGAGTTAAGCTGCTGACCCCGAAGGCAGGGGAGAGCCAGCCACACAGCTGTGTGTGGGAGCCAGCTGCTGAGAGGAGCCGCAGGGCTGGAGCAGACAGCAGAGACAAAGCTCAGTGTGAGAGAGCTAGTGGGAGTAAGCTGCTGATGAGAGAGCTGCTGAATAAAACTACATTTCACCTGCTTACGGCCCCCCTGCGTGTTCTTTCAGCTACATGCCCATCTGCCTACTCCCCTCGAACCTCAGCATGGGCTGGAACCTGAACCCAAGCAGGGCATTTGGCATAGTGATGAACCTGACACACTATATCCCAGGAGGCACAAAACTGTGCAACCTCTCTACCCTTTCTCACTCCAGGAAGCATTTACCTGGAATTTAGTCTGGAGCCACAAACTCTAGAGCCCACCAAAAAAAAAAAAAAAAGTAAATGGGTAAAGAAAGACATACCATGCTAAGGGTAATCAAAAGAAAACAGGAGTAGCTATATTAACTTCAGACAACGCAGACTTCACAGCAAGGGAAATTGTCAGGAATAGAAGGGGATATTACATGATGATAAATCGGTCAATAATCAAAGAAGACATAACAATCCTTAATGTGTATATGCCTAAAAAAGTGTCAAAATGTGAAGCGAAAATGGATAGAACCTCAAGGAAAAATATTTGTATCCGCTTATAGCTGGAGACTTTAGAAATGAACAGATCCAGCAGGCAGAAGAGTCAGGTTAAACTCAACTGTACCATTAATCAACTGGAAATAATTGACATGTGCTCCACATTTTGAAATGTATTCACTAATTGGGTAATACATTTTTGTGGTGTGTCTCTCCTTTTAGACGTCTAACTTCTTACTGGCAAAAGTATTCTGCATTTCTCATTCTTTCCTTTCTCTGGGCCTTTATTCCTCATATAAAAGTCTAGGCTGTAAAAGGGAGGCATGAGCAGAAATGAGCTCTCAGAATACTGCTCTAACAAAACCAAACATAAAGGAAATAAAACATAAATTGAGCTGCTTTTAAGTTCTATGGCCCTCAGCTGCTTGGCTATTGTAGCACTGGACCCCTATTAACTCCAACAGGGATGGCACCAGGTTCAAGAGGCCAAATAAAAGACCTGCAGCCAGTGAAGAAAAAATAGGGCTTATTTGGAGGAACTTACAGGGTGGCCCAGTAGTGGTGGGCTGGACGAAAAGAACCACAACCGCTTATGAAATGCAAGCAATTTATATAGCATTTTTACTTAGCACTCTCCCCTTAGCAACCTCTTCATGGCAACCCTCATTTCTTAAGTGATTGCTGTCAGGTGTATCTGCCATACGGGGTATGTTTAAGTTATGCTTTCAGGTGCGTCTACCATACAGTGATGATTATCCTTGATTTTCAAAATGTTTCCATTACTTGTCTCATAGTCTAGTTCATTCATGCACTTATTCTTAGATAGAGTAATCTATGGCCAGTCTGATATCAGCCGTGGTAAATACATGACTCATATGTAAATTAAATACATGAAGATGTACTGACCACATCAAATGCGTTTGTGTCATGAAATTAACAGCGTTAAGAACACACATGTGCAGGTACGTGCACACATACACACAGTGCTCACAGATGCTACTAATTTCTGACAAGTGATTGCCCTGCCTGATTCAGTGATGCTCCAGGAATAGACCAAGCAGTAGGAAAGAATAGAAGACCCAGAAACAGATGCACTCATAGGGTTTATATAACAGTTTTAGTATTTTTAACCTGTGCTATTCATTCAGTCATTTATTCATTCAACAACTATTTATTGAATATGTACTAAATGTCAGGCACTGTTCTAAGTATCCTGAATAAGAAAAAAATCAAAAACTATTTTTTATTTTGTTTAATCTATGGCAGCTCAATGAGAAAGGTACTAGGAAGTCCATTTTATCAATGGACAGGCATAAGTAAATTTACTTGACCAAATAAATATAACCAACAAGTGGTAACCATGGGGTTCAGATTCTAGTCTATATGTCTTCAAAGCCTATGTGCTTTCACCACACCCTGTTGCCTTCCACCATAGAAAACATTTAGAAGGGATTAGCCTGAATTTCAAATCAAAAATTTCAAATGACTCTGTCAATGACTTTCTTTTAAAACTGTTAAGAACTGTCCATGGTAAATGCACACCTTAGAAAGCTGCATGTTTCTTGATATTGTTCTTGTGCTCTCTGTGCAAGAATACAGTAAAAATCCTAGAAGACAATGTAAAAATAATGAATCTCTCTTTCTCTCTGTACACACACACACACACACACACACACAAGACTACACACACACATAAACATATATGAAGCAACCTTGTAAAGTCATTCACCCTATTCTTCCCTGGCCAAGTCACATGATTTCAAAAAATCCCATATACCTCCCTTGGAATAAAAATTTGCTAGAAAAATTGTTCATCATTTATTTTGAGAAATAATTTTAATGGTGGTAATATTTTACATTAATATTACAAGATTAATAAATATTACTTAATAAATTAATTTCTTCTTACTTAAAAATAAATGCATGATAGTTTCAGGTAGCTTCAATTATTAAAAAATAGATCTTTAAAAATAAATAGGCTTTTTCCTAATTTCTAAATTGCATAATTTTCTTATAAAGTGGTGACATTAACGGCCCTTCAAACAAGCTATTCTATTTCCTACGGTGTATTTTTCAACAAGTGATACTACATGAAAAGATACTGGAGTACAAACGTATACAATGATTTTTTAAAGACAATAGTCAGTTTTACCATATCCCCTAACACCAATATAAAACCAAACTTGTACAGTAAAGGTAAATACAACATAAAATAAATGCACTGTATTGCATTAACTGCACGCTGAGATGTGCATATGTCAGTTAAAGAGCAAACTCCAGTGAAAGACCAAAGCATAATATGTGGAAAAAAAGAAAAGATACAACAATGGGTTAAAAGGGCAGTTTTCTCCTCTGTTCAAACAGAAACCAAGGAGACTCTCCTTCTGGGGAGGGGGTGCTTTTCCTAGCTTAAGGCAAGTAAGTGATGGGAGGCTTCAAGAGAAACTCACAATGGAGCAGCATCACTTTGAGCTGCCTTTGCAAGAAGGATACCAATCTTTTGTTCCCTGACTGATTGCTTGCTGCAAGCCTATTAGGAGATACTGGTGGAGCAGAGTGTGGTGAATGAGATCTGAGGACAGCTTGACATCTGCCCCTGAAGTCTCTGGTCTTCTAGAGACTGGTGCCCACTTCTGGTCTAGACTTTTCTTGAGCCAGGTGGTCTTCTGGTATAGCCTGTATCCAAAGGACATAAAGGGGTTGTGGCATCAAGTGCTGAGGGAGAAAATGGGCATCCCCCAACCCTTTCAAGTTCTCTAAGTGCTCAGAGGGTGTGGAGGAGGACAACAGAGGTTCTTTCAGCTCCTTGTGGAGAAGCAGGTAAGTGAACAGAAGGGTGCGAGCCATGGGTTGCCTACTCAGTGAGATACCCAGCTCTCTGAGGGGTATCAGTGACAGGGCAAAGATTAGTGCTGCCAAAGGAAAGACCACATCAGGAGAAGAGGCCAAGGAAGGGTGCTTCCTTCATGAAACCTTTCACTCCTCTATACCTCACCTCTGCCTCTCCCCAAGGAAGAGTGAGCTAGTGTCTCAAGCGAGATCACAACCCCTCTGGACTCAAAGCAGCCAGGACCACAGCTTCAGATTTCATTGGAAGGAAGAGAGAAGCCAAGAGGTAAGAAGCTATATTTAAGGACTGAAGTTTTGGATTGGACTAGATTAAGTTTTAATAACTGAAAATGATTGAATAATTATGGAATTGGGCCAGGATAATGTTAAGGGAGCCACTAACCAGCAAAAGAGTAGGAGTCAAGCCAGCACAACTAAAATCAGTTAAATAAATTAGATAAAACTATTTTGTGTTTGTCTTGATGACGTGAGACTCAACAAACTCCAGTTACACCTACTAGACATTCATATAGAAACACATCAATTTGGGTATATAAATCTAGAGCCCAGAAGGAAGATCAGGAAAGGAAAGATAGATTTGGAAATGATGGTTATAGAGACGGACCCTGCTGATGGTTAAAACCATGGGACTAGATAAGAACTTTAGAGACAGTGACAAGCCCTAGAACACTCCACAGTGACACATCAAGCAAGAGTGGAGTCAGCAAATCACAGTGGGAAGCGGGCCTTGAGAGAAGTGAAATACAGCATAATGTGTCCCAGAAGCAAGAGAAGAAAATGTTTTCTGAGGAAGAGAATAGACAACTGTGATGGTATGTGGAGATGGCACCTTTGGAAGGTGATTTGGTCATCAGGGTGGAGCCCTCGCTATGGGATTAGTGCCCGTATCAAAGGACGCATCAGAGCTTGCCTCCTCTCTCTGGTCTCCACCTTGTGAGGACACAGTGAGAAGTTGCCATCTGTAAGCTAGGAAGCAGGCCCTCGCCAGAAACCAATCAGCTGGTGCCTTGCTCTTGGACTTCCACTCTCCAAAACTGTGAGAAATAAGTTTTTGTTGTTTAAGCCATTCAGTCTATGGTATTATAGCAACCCAAATGGACTAAGACAACTGAAGCAAAGACATCGAGATGTCTAGAAATAAGAGAAGAATCTAGAAACTACAATGGGTTTTTTGGTCACTCAGCAGTGACCTGACAGAGGCCACCTTACCAGAGTGGTGGGAGCAGAGGTACAGGTGGACCAAGCTGAGGAGAGACCAAGAGAGGAGGGTGCGGAGACCACCGATGACCCTTTCAGGAAGCTCTGTTGTCAAGAGGAGCAGAGCAACAGAGTGGTAGCTAACGGGCTGGGGATGGGGAGTATGGAAGGTTTTCTTTGCGTCTGTTGAAAAAAATGAAATCTCTTGGGCATATCTGCATGCCGAAGGGAAGGATCTAGGAGAGAGGGAGAGGCTAAACGTGGGACAGAGTCACCACAGCAGCAGGCCACACCCTGTTCTAAGCATTTCCCAGAAACTTACTCCTTTAACCTTCACAACAACTCTGTGAAGGAGATAGCATTAACTCCAGATTTTACAGATGGGACAACTGAGGCATGGAGAAATTACATAATTTTCCTAAACTCATCCACTTGCATTGGCTGCCAAGGAAAACTACTACAGAAGCCGTGTCCCCAACAAATGACAGAGGATGGGACCAGGGCATGTGAGGAGAGGCTGGCATTTGACAGGCTCAGGGACACCTCCTCCACAGACAGGAATGGATGGAGACTATGGTTACAGATGGAGGGAAGTTATGTAATGGAGCCATGATGGAATGAAGAGGGGCTCCTGCTTTCTTACTTGTTTTTACTAAGCACTGTATAAGGCAAGACCATCAGATCAAAACCAAGGGGAGAGAATTTAGGAGAGAAGAAAAGAAGTGAAATCGTCACTTCAGAGAATGAGAATACTAACATATTAAGGAAATAAAGTACAATGATGGTGCATGGCTATACACCACGCAGACAGACTAGCTAACACGTTTGAGAGGTATTTCCTCCATATTATTCAGCTGTTCAGGTTCCCAGTTTATACAGGTTTGAGAGAGAGAGAGAGGAGGGAGAGAGGAAGAGGATAAGGATATTTGTAGAAGTATGGTTATAGTGAAAAACCAAGGGATCTAAGTTGGATATGGAGAGAACCAACCACAGGAGCAGAAAGCATGACAGTAAAGAAACAGAGAGAGAGAGGTGGGTCCATGGATGAGAGGTCCCAATGGAACTGAGGCACTGTTGGAATGGGAGAACCAGAGCACACAGGCTGGAGGCATAGAAGAGCCTGGTTGGGAGATGAATGCTACAGTAGAGATTTTGGGAATAGTCCAGTTATTATAAAGATCAACATTAGACCATGGGAATGGTGGGTGAGGTAGGGAGAACCAATCCAGGATCAGAGAGACTTGGGTGCTGGGTGCAAATCACCAAGAATGAAGACAGAGAGTAGTGACAGGAAGACAGTGAAGCAGTCTGTGGTCAGCAGTGAATGAGGAGGAACCAGGAGGTTGTAGTAACTGGAAGGGGGAAAGGGGGAGGGGTGGGAAAGTCAGAGGCCATGAGATTCAAAGGAGCTGGGTGTCTAAAGGAAGAAAGAGGAGATAAGGTTGGGAAGCAGCAGTAGGGTGCTAGGAGGACACTCACCCCATCCCCAGGGCTGCAGTACTTGTAGTGTGAGAAATCGCAATAATAAACTGCATCCATGGGAGAGGGCTGTGGAGGAGATGGTGTCTGTAGGAAGCACCCCAGTTTCAATTAGGTCCAGGTGGGAAAGATGTTCAGCACAGCAGTTGAGGAGACTTGAGGATGCAGGAGAGTTTGCTGTGACCGACCTTAAGTTCCAAAGGGCATGTGGAAGAAGGTAGAGGTTGGGGAGGAACAGAAACTGGGTCAGATGAGCAGAAGCACAGAATGATAACAGAGGGTATGAACAATATGGAAGCCCTTCCAGTGGACTGTGAGGCGTGATGGGATTCATTCTCATAAGCCCCTGGTGTCTAGTCCAAGCTGAACAGTATGGGGCCACTGGGCAACAGTCCTCCCCTGCTGACCTCAGAGTGTGGTGCCCTAAGTAGGAACCCTGGGTGTGAGGGCCTTTTTTAGTTGTCTGTAGTTCAAAGAGGCCTGCAATGAAGGCACAACAGCAGGGAGGAAGAATTAGAAAATTAATTAGTCACAGTTCTGTTTCTACTGTGCAACAAAGAATAATCATTTACCAGCTTAAGTAGGACAGTGATTAAAGGTGTTAGTTATTGGAAAGTATTGAATTGGTCTGGTTCTTGCTATGAATTCCAAGTATGATTTGAAAATGAACTTACGCCCTCAACTACACTCAAACACTAGTCACTTGAATTAATTCAGAATTAAAACACACAAATGATTTACTTGGATGGAATAAGCATAAGCTAGCTTCTTAAGGGTTCTTTCCTGCTGTGAACATTGACTAGAGTCCTTAGAACAGAAAGTATTCAGACTTGATTCTACTGAAAATTGCAAAATGACATTGGTGGGCATTCAGTTGTTACTTATGACATACCTTGTAATAAATTGCCCTGTTTATAAATTTAATATTTCATAATCCAAATGTCCATGAATGGATGACTAGTTGATGAAATTATAATATGTCTAGATAACATACCATATAATATACTTGTTTAAAATGAGGTATACACAATGAGATACCATCTCACACTTGTCAGAATGGCTATTATTAAAAGTCAAAAAATAACATGCTGGTGAGATTGCAGAGAAAAGGGAATGCTTATACACTGCTGGTGGGAGGGTAAACTAGTTCAACCATTATGGAAAGCAATGTAGTGATTCCTCAAAGAACTAAAAATAGCAGTATCATTTGACCCAGTAATCCCACTACTGGGTATATACCCGAAGGCATATAAATCATTCTACCAGAAAGACACATGCACACATATGTTCAATGCAGCACTGTTCACAACAGCAAAGCTCTAAATGCTCATGAACAGTAGACTGGATAAAGAAAATGTGGTACATATACACTGTGGAATACTATACAGTCATAAAAAAAGAATGAGATCATGTCCTCTTCAGGAACATGGATGAAGCTGGAGGCCGTTATCCTTAGCAAACTAACACGGGAACAGAAAACCAAATACTGCATGTTCTCACTTATAAGTGGGCGCTAAATAGAACTTACAGACACAAAAAGGGGAACATTGGGACCTTCTTGAGGTAGGAGGTTGGGAAGAGAGAGAGGATCAGAAAGAAAAAGAAACTGTCAGGTACTACGCTTAGTACCCAGGTGATGAAATAATCTGTACACCAGACCTCTGAGTCATGAGTTTAACTATATATCAAACCTGCACATGTACCCCTGAACCTAAAAGCTAAACTATTTTTAAAAATTTAAAACATAAAAATGAGGTATATCTATATATACTAATGAGGTATTACTAAGTGAAGAGAGAGAGAGACAGTATGGGAGTACACACTGGGGGAGAGGGGGAGAGAGAGAGAGAGAAAGATTAGATAGATGATAGATAGATAGATAGATAGATAGATAGATAGATAGATAGATAGACAGAGATCTTTTTTTTTCAGGGGTTACTTCTCCATGGTAAAAATATTGAGTGTTTTATTTTTAAGTTTCTTCAGTCTTTATATTTTTTACAGTGTCCAGTTGTAGCACAGAGAAACAGGAGATAAATAAATAAGGTTTGTATTTATCATGGCCAGCAGAGAATCTCAAAGCTTAACCAAAAGTTTGTATTGTTCCTTGGATGAATCCTGTTTGTTATTTAAGCTTGTCTGAAAACTCGCTATTGCATGGATTTTTGTGCTTCCCTTGTGCCTAACATTTCCTGATTCTCAGTTAAAACTACATTTGCAGCAGAGTGTCCTGTGTCCAAACCAGACTGTGGTTTGCAGCAGTGGTGACCGAGTAATCCCTGTAGAAATCAATCAGTGTGAGTTGATCATCAAGATGGCTCATGTCTGACTGAAGAAGGAGATGCATTTCTTTCCTGGGGTGAGCAGGGATGCTCAGAAGAGGGATGACAGGAGATGAATGGGATGGGATGGAGTCTGTGCCCTTCACAGTCCAAGGCTCTGGTTCTGAATCATAATGGAGAGAAGGTTTAACCATATAACTGAAGGGCATGGAGAAGTCTACTCTATCCCGCAACAGACCAAAAGACCACCATGTAGAACTGACATTGTTCCCGGAGGCATTCTCCTGGCAGCCAAAGGAGCTTAGCGAGGAGACGAGCAGAAATTTTGAGTGGACAAGCTTCTAAATACAAGCAAACACTACCTTAGGGATGCCTGAAATAAGAAGGGAGATTCCAGGGAGGGAATGGGGAGACAACAGCTACCATGGTTTGGGCATCAATGTTAACACAGCTGCATCTGTGGTGAAGGCATGAGGGAGGCTATGTGGGGTTCACTATCAAACAGGGTTATCAGGAATTAGTGAGCCTGTCCAAGAGTATGGGTCCATATCTCTTTTCTTGCTGGGAGATTCCATTACATATTCCTCATGTCCATATTTCTGGCCCCTTAAAAAACAGTAAACTTAAAAAATCGTTTACTGTATTTATAGGACTACATTCCGATTTAGGTCAGAACTTCTTTAACCAATCCTGAAGGCTGTCAAAATACTTGGTTTCTCTTTTTACATTCAAATTACTCCATGCTAATGTCAGAAAAACTCATGGAATCTTCAATTTATCTTTGAGTTTTGATCTAATTTTATGTGAAAAATTTCCACTTGATAGTGCGATTTTTAAAAACTGTCCTCTTTGGGCATTTAATCAAACACTGATCACATAAGGGCTCATTTTTTCAAAGAACAGACCCATGAACTGAGAATCCTTGCAAATGTACTTGATTTTAAGTGAAATGGCTGGCCATTCTGAAATAAGAATAGTAGGGTTTTTAAAAAACAGAGGTTTAATGACATTTGTCACATGCCTGCATTCAAGTACTAGGCTGTAACTTTTAGCAAAACTAAGTCTTTAAGAATGTGCCATAAGCTCTACTGGAAAGAATATAAATAATGGAAGCCGGAGCCTAGAAAATGGCAAGCTGGCTCAGCCTCCTGTAGCATCATTCATTAGATCCAACTCCAAAAGCTAGAAGTCATAAAAAAATGCATGCAGGATTTCTTTTTAAGCATTAACACACCACTACTTTAAATGTTGTTTCTGACTGAGAAATTCCTCTCTGCAGGTACTTTTTACCCCTGTAACCTCAGCAAACTGCCAGGGCCTCAGGAGACTAAACAAACGGCCAACTTAAAAATTCATTATAGTATCTGCTCCCTTTCCAAGACATAAAATATACTCTGTAATATTTGCTCTTCTGAATCCTGAGACTTTAATCTTCAAGGCTTCGTGTGCTTGTATGACACCATCTCTTGTCCATTATTTTTAAAAACACATCATATCTGAAAGTTTTAAAACGAGAAGTGAAAATGCCGCTAGTCAGCATATTAATTTCCCTGAAATAAGCAATATCAGTAGTGATGACAAAAGTTACATCAATGCACCAGATTCCTGGGAAGGAAGTGTGAAATGCTAAACTACATAGTTCGCAGTTACCAACCAATGGTAGCAAATGGATGATAAAATCCAGGGGCATGAACTCACTGTTAGAAGTCCATGAACAGAAGAAATTCAATTTCATACAGCTACGAAGATAACATAAAATTATCAAGTATATAATATAAAAGTGTGATGGTCAGGCACCATTTTGAAAACATAAAGACTAGCCATCTGGGCAAAGGCCCAGACTTAGTACAGATAAAGCAAGTGGCTGCTTACCTTATCACATCTCAAAGACTTCTAAAAAGGGCCCATGAACTCAAGATGGCTATAGCTCAAGTAGGCGTAGGCAAGACTTCTGCACTGCAGAATGGGCACATAGAAAAAGAAGGAAACGAGCAACCAGAATGAAGGAAACTGACCCAGCCAAAGAGCAAAGAGGAATTCCTGAGAAAGTGATAAAAGAGTGAAAAATAGAGGTTATTGACATTATTTCATTTTAAAATAATTCCTTAGGGTGTAGGTCATGATTAAGAACCAGCTTTTCTTTCTCAGAAAACTTGGGGCTGAATTCCTAAGTGAATTCAGTTCAAAGTATTTGTCTAAAATTTAGTCTGTGGCAAATATAGTAGAAATGGGTTAAATGAATTAAAGAATTGAAAGGACTAACAAAAAATCATAGATTATTTATGGATAATGTTTCTGTTCTAAAGAAATATAGCACTTTTTTGAACGCAGTAAGAGAACAGAGGCAAAGAGAACAATTTGATTAGACAGAGTTACAAGAAAAGCCCCCAAAACTCCAAGAGTTTAGCCAATAATCATAACCCATTATGAATTAAATCAGAAATAAGCAAAGTCACTTCAAAGGGATGGAATGGCTAATTTAAGAGTATGATCTGACTATAACTTCACCTTGATGATATTGGTATATGTCATGAAAGAATGTGTCACTCAGAAGAGCAATCAGTCTCAAAACACAGGACATGGGGACTTAGAGTTAGCAATCAGTTCCCAGCACTGGTGAGACACTGAATTTGGAAATACAGTGGCTTCACTCTCGAAGTGCTCTTAGCTACAGGGCTTAGATTTCTACCAGGTAGCCCCTTGGCCTGGATAAAAGATCCCTTAAAACCACTTACATAACTTTACTTCAATTCTGTCTTCACTTAGCAAGCTCCCAACTGTTAATTCAACCTCTCAGTCACCCTGATACTGGAAGGGTTCATTAGATGATAAAAATGATAATTTTAGTAACTGGAAAGAGATATTCTCCATAAAAATTAATAAATCAACAATCAGATTTATACACCATTTGCTCATAAGTTAATATGAACCTGTCTTCTCCTCTTGTCTCAGGTAGCATCCTGTGAGACACTGACACAGAAACTTCCAGAATTGCAAATTTAATATCAGACCCAGATGATGGGAATTCCACCACCCCATGAGTCAGCTTGGCTGCCAGTTAGCTAGCCCCCTTAAGTGGCTCTACCCCTTCATGTTATTAAAAAAAAAAGAAACATATGGTGGAGCACAGTGGCTCACATCTGTAATCCCAGCACTTTGGGAGGTGGAGGCGGGCAGATCACTAGAGGTCAGGAGTTTGAGACCAGCCTGGCCAACATGGTGATACTCTGTCTCTACTAAAAATACAAAAAATTAAGTGGGTGTGGTGGCGCTTACCTGCAGTCATAGCCACTCCGGGGGCTGAGGTATAAGAATTGCTTGGACCTGGGAGGCAGAGGTTGCAGTGAGCTGAGATTTCGCCATTGTACTCCAACCTGGGTGACAGAGCAATACTCTGCCTCAAAAAAAAAAAAAAAAGAAAGAAACGTGTAAGAATACATGATTCACTTCATATCCTGTGAATTTAGTACTAGATGATTACATGAGTCAGAACTCAACTATGTACATCAATAACTAGTATTAAGTTCGTTAGATTGTGCAAGGAGAGATACTATATCTTTTTCTATTGTGGGCCATCACGCAGTGTCTGACATTTTAGGAACACATGAAGTATTTTTCAAATAAAAAAAATTTTAAGAAAGGAAAGGAGATGAAGCAAAAATAATCCAGTTTCTTTCCAGAAGATTAAGCTACTGATGAGACATGATGACTTTCATATGATTTACATCAAGTGGTTTCCTTCCTTTTGAGGAGCTATTCAAAAAACTTTTGGAGGATAGAGAGAACTATGAAAATAAGTCAATCATATAATTGGACTGTTCCTTATGGTACAAGGGTGGGAAGATGTAAGTTGGTCCTGCTTCAATATAAACATAAATTAAGGTTATCTTAAGATTATTTCCTGTTTATATTTACTATCCTGCTTGAAGAAAAGAGATAACTGAAAGTCCACTGTGTTTGTCTATTATATGACTCAGGTATACACAGTCTACAGAGCTAAGTTTCAACAAAAAAATATAATGTTGAAGAAAGAGAGACTAATAACCCACAAAAAGGTGATAAACAGCTATGCCGATGTTGTCCTTATGCTCTCTGAGGGAAGAGATGAGATAAGCCATAGTAGATCAATCAGGACATTGAAACCCTTGTTATGGAGACTCAGCAAGCCTTTTGCACACACTATAGACACTGCTGCGTCATCTTGAATTATGCAGTGTGTAAGTATTAAGAGCTGCCTAACATCTAAGCTAGTCCTATGCTGTTATAAGGTCAGAGATCAGGGTCCGAAAAACGGACTTATTAAAATTTAGTGAGGACATCATGCTAAGTGAAATAAGCCCATCACAAAAGGACAAACCCTGTATGATTCCTCTTATATGATGTACTTAGAGTAGTCAAATTCATAGAGAAAGAAAGCAGAATAGAGGTTACCGGGGGTTTGGGGAAAGGAAAATGGGAGGTTAATGGGTACAGATGTCATTTGGAATGACAAGTTCTGGAGATGGATGGTGTTGATGGCTGCACAATATGAATGTACTTAATACCACTGAACTGTATACTTAAAATGGTTTAAATGGTCAATTTTATGTTGTGTATATTTTACCACAATAAAAAAAATCTAGGCCGGGCACAGTGGCTCACGCCTGTAATCCCAGCACTTTGGGAGGCCAAGGCAGGTGGATCACGAGGTCAGGAGTTCAAGACCAGCCTGGCCAACATGGTGAAACCCCGTCTCTACAAAAAATACAAAAAAATTAGCCGAGCATGGGAGCGGGCACCTGTAATCCCAGCTACACTCCAAGCTGCACTCCAGCTTGGCAACAGAATGAGACTCCATCTCAAAATAAATAAATATATTTATATATTCAAAATAAATAAATATATTTATATATTCAAAATAAATAAATATATTTTATATATCTAAAATAAATAAATATATTTATTTATATATCTAAAATAAATGAATATATTTATTGATATATCTAAAATAAATAAATATATTTATTTATATATCTAAAATAAATAAATATACTTATTTATATATTTAAAATAAATAAATAAATATATATATAGTGAGTAAAAAAATATTGTGAAGGCACAATTTGAATGGGGTGAAATCAGCCACCCAGATGCAGCAACCTCTTCTTCCCACTCGGACGCCTGGCATATTAAAATGCTCTGAGAATTAGTCTTCCATTATGACCCTTAAGCATAGTTAGAATGTCCCTCTCTTACTGGAAATAAATGATTCTAAGAACTCAAGCATCTGCCGCTAATAGCCATTGCCTTCATTTACGGAGGGCAAGTTTTGCGCTAGTACAGATCCCTTTACATAAGCCATTTCTTTGGAATGAGATTCCACACCCTTGTGTTCTTGCCCTGGCTTGACTCTTCAGCCTCACTTTTCTCCAGCTCTATGTCCAGTTGCTGCATTTCCCTAGAATGTACCACAACACAATCTTTTGCCCCTCCAGCTCTATACACATAGACACACACACACACACACACACACACACACACACACACACACACGGCTTTTCTTGTATATGTGGTTCCCTCCTCCTTTCATTTAGCCAACTCTGGTGCATCCGGCTGACTTCAGTTCAAGACTTCAGCTTCCTTTGATAAACATCCTGATCACCACAGGAACCACTGTTCCTCAGACCTGGCTCCACGTTAGAATCACCTGGGGCAGCTGAAAAATTACTGACCCCTGGCTACACTTCCAGAAATTTATTTAACTGGTCTGTGACCAGGGCATTGTTCGTTTGTTTACAAAACAAAACAAAAATGAAAAACGTCTCTATGAGATCTTATTCAACAATGGAGGCAGAGAACCACTGGCCTAAAATGGGGTATTTTCCCCCTCACCACCTGATGCCTCTCATGCTTCTCCCTATCTTAGCCCACATCTTATTTTATTAAAATCACTTGTTAGTTTAGGCCTCCCCTTTGAAGCTCAAGTTTACCATCATATTCACAGGGCCTAGAACAGCACCCAGCACACTGTAAGGGCTCAACTACTGTGAACAAATGTGAACCAGAAAGAGCCAGTCCTGCAAGATGGATTCCAAATAGCTAACTGGGCCTAAATTTAAAACAGAGCCAAGCAGCCACTTGCTGACTAAAGGTCACACACACACTTTGAGCTCCCTGAAAACCCACACCTCTGCTCAACTTTGGGACTTTCAGAGCTCACCTGAACCAACCAAACAGGGCTCAGCTGTATCAGCCAATCAGAACTAAGAGCATTTTAACCCTTAATTTGCATAAATGGATCTGATTGAGAACCTGAGCAGGAACTTTTGCTATAAAATCCAAACCCTCCCTTTGTTCTCTGGAACACACCTTTGTTTTACACCAGGCTGTTACACCAGGCTGTGTCACCCCAGTTTGCACTGGAATGAAGTCTCTTTCCTCCAAATTCATTTTCAAATAACTTTTGTTTACATTACCTTGAGTTGCTTTCTTGAATTAATTTTGTACCCACTAAATGAGGCTCAGAGAGGCTAAATCATTTACCCAAAGTCACACAACAATTGAACAGCAGAGTAAGGACTAGAATTTAGCTCTCTCTGACTACAAAACTCTGTTTACTACACCACACTGCTTTCTGGCTTCTTGAATAAGTTGCTCGTAATGAAATGAGTTATTCCTACTGAACAAGTTCAAAATAAAGATGAAACCAGAAGTGTGCTGTGAATAACTGGATGACACACATCCAAAGATCACTCAATTTCCTAAGTACTCAGGGACAAGCTTTTGTAAAATCTGGACCTCAGATGAACAATCAGCAACATACTCCCGAACAGGCTTAATCACCACTCTCAGAGGGACATTTATTTCTCAGTGCTTAGAACTCTTTTTTCTAGTACTCTAGATCCATTAAAACCTAAAATGGTTTGGATGTATCAAGTTTCTGAGTAAACAACAACAAACAAAACAAAACCAGGAAGAGAAAATTGTGAATTGTAACGGCCACTGTAACTTTCTTAGGCAACCACACCAGTACTGCTGACAGCCACTCACTCAATTTTAGATAGGACCTGTTATGCATGTGTTCAAAATACAAAACTAGGACTTCAAGTTTCCTGTGGCCACTCAGTCTCTGCCACAGTATGTGTTTTCCCACAAAGGCAGACACTGCTGAAACTGCCCCACTGCCTGTCTACAGCAGAGCGCACACCATGGCTCTAGATGCACCAGCATGAAGCTGCTTTCCAAAATACAGGCAGTTGTTGACATCTGAGGTTTGCTAATGTCCTGAGATGAACTTCCACCGCTGAGGTTTCCCTGACTGCTCAGGAGAGGAGCTTGGCTGCCAAGTGCCAGATGGCATAGAAGTGCCAACTGCTTACTTCTCAGTACCCAACCCCAGCTTTTATTATGGAAAATTTTAAAGCATATACAATAGTAAGTAAACGCTTCTACCCACTATGGAACCAGATAGTAAGCATAGAGTGTACGAGTCTTTGATTAAGACGGTGAGTCAGGGCCAGGTGGCTCAGGCCTGTAATACCAGCACTTTGGGAGGCCAAAGTGGGCAGATCCCTTGAGCCCAGAGGTTCAAGACCAGCCTGGGCAACATGGTGAAACCCCATCTCTACAAAAAATACAAAAATTAGTCGATTGTAGTGGCATGCGCCTGTAGTCCCAGCTACTTGGGAGGCTGAGGTGGGAGGATCGCTTGAGTGTGGGAGATACAGGCTGCAGTGAGCCGTGACTGTGCCACTGCACTTCAGCCAGGGTGTTAGAGTGAGACCTTGTCTCAATTAAAATAATAATAATAATAATATGGTGAATCAGGCTACAATCCTAGGTTTGCACAGTGTTCTAGTGGCATATTTGTCAGATGGGCCACTTGGCACTTGGCACAAATGAATAAATATACCTTATTTTATTTTATTTTATTTTATTTATTTTATTTTATTATCCTGGAAGTCTCACAACCATTTCTCCAAGCTTGCCGGTGTAATCTTTTGGAACTTTATGGGGAGGCCTATAGCTTTCATTGCATCACTCACTGGGAATAACTTAACAGACAGAAAATCATAGTGGTTACAAGTAGAAGCTTTGGTCAGGTACTCTGGGTGTACCCTGGGTGAGTCCCAGTTCCACTACTTATTAATCTTGTGAACCTTGAACAATTTGTTTTAACATCTCTTAGCTTCCTTTCCTTCATCTATGAAAGGTAAAAAGAAAAGTAGCTAATAGGGTTATTGAGAGAATTAAATGAGATAATACAAGTAAAATACTTAGAACAATGCAGTTTGGCTTTTTTAAAATAAGTGTTCCATAAATGGCAGTGGTGGATACTGTGAGTTACAGCTGTGTTCATTCCTATAATCTTTTCCTACTTGGTCTTGGTTTTATTAAAGGCCTCCGCCCTAGCAGCCGTTCCCTGGGGTCCCATGGTGTCTCATGACCATAGCCACTTCACATACATTTCTCGCTGTAATGTTCAAAGAGCCTACAGATGGCTGAGTGAGTTGTATAATCAAAGTAGCTCTGATGTCAGGGGATGGTGAAGTCACTCTGGCCTGAATATATGGAACGCTTGGTGCAGGAGATGAAACTTTTAAAGTTAATTTAATTTAATTTAATTATATTTTACCCCAATCCCTAGTATTTGTTGGATTCATTAAAAATACACATAATACAATGGTGAAAATAAACAGGTTAGAGTCAGAGAGAGGGGAGAATACAGACAGGGAAATAGAAAGCTAGCTATAGTATTTCACCAAACTGTGTCCCAGGAAATCTTAGGCTTGATGTGTGCAAATCAGGACGTAAATATCCTCTTACCAAAGCAAAGAAGGAAAATATAATCAATTGCAAAACTCATATATGTCAATATATATCTCATATGCCAGGCACTGTTGTAAACATTTCATCTATACTAGCTCACTTAATGGTCACTGTTAACACTCTATCAATTGGTGTTGTTTTTGCTGTTTTTATGGATGGGAAACTGAGGCTCAGAAGGTGAAATAAGTGGCCCCGTGTTCACTGTGGCTGCACTGAAATTTGAACCCTGGTAGCCTGGGTTCAAGACCCATGCTTTTAAGGCCTGGACAATACTGTTCTGATAGACAATGTGGCATAGAAAATAGCAAACAAGCAGTGTAGAGAAAGCATTTGTTATCACTGAGATCTGAGTCCCCAAAAAGACAAAACAGTTAACAAAGCATACTAGTTTCCAGATTTGAAGATTTCCCAGATCAATTAAAATATTTTTTAAATGGTGGGGGATAGAGGGATATTATGTACAATTGGCAACCTCTTTTTTGTTTGTACGTGCCAAGTAAAAGCATTAAAATAACTACCAGGGTTGGGAAAACTGGCTAGCCATATGCAGAAAACTGAACAGAAAACCAAACACTGCATGTTCTCATTCATAAGTGGGAATTGAACAACGAGAACACATGGATACAGGGAGGGGAACATCATACACAGGGGCCTGTCGGGAGGTGGGGGGCTAGGAGAGGGAGAGCATTAAGACAAATACCTAATGTAGATGACAGGTTGATGGGTGCAGCAAACCACCATGGCACATGTATACCTATGTAACAAACCTGCACGTTCTGCATACGTATCCCAGAACTTAAAGTACAAAAAAAAAAAAAAAAAAAAAGAAAAGAAAAAAAAAAGAAAGAAAGAAAAGCTACCAGGAGCATCAACATAGCTCCTCACAAAATAAATGACCTTGACTAGGCTTGGTGACTCATGCCTATAATCCCAGCACCTGGGGAGGCCGAGATGGGTGGATCACCTGAGGTCATGAGTTCGAGACCAGCCTGGCCAACATGGTGAAACCCGGCATCTACTGAAAATACAAAAAAATCAGCTGGGCATGGTGATGGGTGCCTATAATCCCACCTACTCAGGAGGCTGAGGCAGAAGAATCACTTGAACACGGGAGGTGGAGGTTGCCGTGAGCCAAGATTGTGCCATTACACTCCAGCCTGGGCAACAGAGGGAGACTCTGTCTCAAAGAACATAAATAAATAATTAAATAAATAAATAAATTTAGGCACTGAAATATATATATACACACACATACATACTATATATATATACACATATATATATACACACATATATATACACATATATATATACACATATATATGCACACACATATACACACACACACAAAGAGCATACTCTAAAAACTAAAGGACCTTGCTTTAAAAATGTGAATAAATTCAGCTTTGTGAAAAATATACACATACACTGTCCATATCATTCTCATTTTACCTGTTTGGTGAAGACCAATTGGAGAAACTCAGTGATGCATTTGAGAATCGCTGACAGTCTCCCCCCGGATTACCTCTGTGACCTCAGAACACCAAGGGCCTACGGCAGAACTGAGGGCTCCATTCTTCTGGTTGGTCTCAAAATTAGGTTCTTAAGAACCAGATGATGTGATCAGATCAGAAAACACAGAAGGTCTGCGAAGAGCAGCCTGAGAGGAAGCCCATGGTTCGTGATTATCATACAAGGTGTACACGGTACTCAAAATATGAGCACATCCCTGCCGTGGCTGAGATACGCCACAGTGACACTTAGTGTGAGGACATCATTTCAGTCTTGAATGAAAGCTATGACTGTTACTTTTAAAAGGATATGAAATGCAAAACGAAAATATAAGATTAACCCTAGGAACATTATTAGATTTTCCTGATGCTAACAGATTGGCAGCATTTTTTTTCTATTTTGTTTGGTAAAAAATTTGAGTTGCTTATAAATTTATTCTAAAACTCACTGGACACTTTCAGAGGCTGAAGCGAGCAGCCCCAGTGTTTAGGGAGTTGTATTTACAATACCTACCTACTGTTCCTCTATTTCCATTAGAATGCAATTATCCTGCTTGGGGAAAAATAAAGGTCACTGGGTTAATGGAGCTCACCTTTCTTTTTTAGTCCATAAATAATAAATCAAATATAATATTTAAAAAGAAAACCACATCCTATATATCACTGTATTTCTGATGTTTTTTTCATAGGACATTTGAGTATATGGTGCTTACTCTGGCCATAATAGTTGCAGTCCAGCAAGTTCTTACAGCACTGGTTCAGTAAAGAAGAATATAGAATGCATCTATTAAGTTGATATTCATAGATACTAAAATGTTCCAGAAATTTCTCATGATACTTTCAAATCAGATTACTGTACATTCTACTCTGAATTTGAGGAGCATGTCACAGAATGATTTACATACAGAAAAACTCATGAACTTTATCTGATAAGTATTGACAAAAGTATCCATTTGAAAAATTCAAATCATTATAGATTCAAACACATTCTGGGCTTCCATAATGGCCTACTGAGAGTAGAGAGTAGACAGTACTTATGACCACACTAATACTAATAAATATCTCTAGGCAAGATTCTGTTGCTCCTAGGTTCCCTAATGAAAAACACAAAGACTTTCCTCCCAGTTAAATAGCTGAATAGGGCTCTCGGCCCAAAGAAGTCTAATCAATGCTTTCACTTCAGTTTCCCAAGGGATCAACTAAGCAATCCCTCCCGTACCTGGCACATCAAGATTTATAAGGCAGAGGAGGAATGCATGGCCTAAATAGCTTCAGAAAGCCATTTGTCATGAGTAATAAAAAAAACACCTTAGAGTAGCTGCTGTTAGATCACCATTACCCTCAAACTAAGGCTGCATGTCTCACGAGATTTATCTGATAAATATTTTTAAATAAAAAGGAATTATAGTACACTCCTGAGCCTGCTATAAAAATTGTTAAACACTTGTAATTACTCCCCAAAAATAATAAAAATGAAAAACTCTGCTTTCCACTTGACACAGGCTTGTGCAACAAAAACCACTGTGATTGTCAAACAACAGAGTCACACACAGCTCCTGCTTCATTAAGTGTTCCAGCAGCATCATAGCATGGCCCTGGGAAGAGGTATTTTAACTTTAAATTATAAACCTACCAATGAACCAGTCAACCATTTTCCTAAACAACACAGCACTTATAGTCACTTGACAATTTTTTTTAATTTGATGAACATGTTTGCCATCAACAGCGTCGTTATTCTTTATTATAATTAACAACAACAACTAATAGTAATAATACTATTTGTTCAGTTTTGTTCTTCCAGGTACTAATCAAACAGATTTACATGGATTATCCTGAAAACATCTTATGGTCTGTGGCAATCTGTTGTCAAACTAAGGTTACTGATGTACCAGCACAAAGCATCAAGATCTAACACTATGCCATAGACAAATTTTTTGTTAGTATTCATTCTCAATGTAAATATTTTCGGCTTTGGCATTTATCAAGGTTTCCCAAAAAGGTTTTCTTAAAATAGTAGATGTTTTTAGGACTATGATCAGATATTTACCTCTTTACTTATTACCAGAAGTTTTACATCTGTTTCACATAAAATTGAAGTAGGTAGATTGGCATTAATTGAAAGGCAGTTTTCCTGAAAAATAAAAACAAATGCCTCTCTTCTAGAATTATTTCAGCTCTGACATTATTCTTATAATAAACTCTGGGAAACTGGAATTATAAGTATGCATTATTTTAAGCAAATAATTTTTAAAAAATAAATCTTGAGCTTACAGAATTAAGAAATATGAACTGTTTGGACTTTACTTTCAAATAATTCATCAGCCTTGGCAGAACTATTTTCGGCAAACTATTGCACTAAAACAGAATGTCAGGTTGAATGATTCTTTGCTATGGAATGCCTCATGTGTTAAAACAGAAGCATGATCTGTAAGAATACATAATGCTGTGTCCTACCTACATTCAGCACTGTTACTGAGGAAAGGGGGTGCTTTGTTCTGAAGATGACAAGCCTGAAGGGAGAAGCTGACAGAGATCCATGATGCTCAGTGAGGGGGGATAGTGTTAGTGTGACCGTACACAAAATTATAACACTTTTTGTGATTACAAAATTGTTGGGAGGCTGAGGCAGGAGGATTACTTTAGGTCAGGAGTTCGAGACCAGCCCAGGTGGCACACCGAAACCCCATCTCTATAAAACAATTTTTTTAAATAGAGGGTGCGGTGGCTCACGCCTGTAATCCCAGCACTTTGGGAGGTCCAGGCAGGCTGATCACCTGAGGTCAGGAGTTCAAGACCAGCCTGGCCAACATGATAAAACCCCGTCTCTACTAAAAATACAAAAATTAGTGGTATGGTGGCACGTGCCTGTAATCCCCGCTACTCGGGAGGCTGAGGCTGGAAAATTGCTTGAACCCGGGAGGCAGAGGTTGCAGTGAGCCAAGATTGCACCACTGCACTCCAGCCTGGGTGACAGAGCAAGACTCTGTCTCAAAAATCAAACAAACAAACAAACAAAATCCAAGCATGGTGGCATATGCCTGTAGTCCGCTATTTGGGAAGCTGAGGTGGGAAGATTGCTTGATTCCAGGAGTGGAAGGCTGCAGTAAGCTATGATTATACCATGCACTCCAGCCTGGGAAACACAGCAAGACCCTGTCTCTAAAAAAAAATAAAAAATAAATAAATAAAATTGAAAAAGATGTGGCAATAAAGTCTCAAGGTAGGGGTGTCTTAGAGAAAGGAGCATGCTGTGACCTCAAAATTAAAGTTGACAAACACCAATCCAGATGATCTCCAAGTTCCTTTCCTTTAGTTGGAAAACCAATGGCTTGATTTGGCCTCACACAATTGAGGCAGCACAGTGGAGTGAACGAGCAGTAAAATCAGTATTCGGCTCTTATTTCTGCCACTCATCAGCTGTGTAAACAGGAGCGATTTGGTTAACTGCTATGGTTCTCCATTTATGAAGGAGTAAAGTCAAAAGGTTTGTTTAGCTAACCGCTGTGGCTCCATCTCATACTAACAATTGCTGATCCTGGGCAGAACCTTGGAGTCCACAGAGGATCAGAAAGTCCTAAGGGGGCCTCCTGAGCGCTTCCAGCACTATAATGTCTGCCCTGTCACAGGCTGGCCAGCAGTCTCGAGTAGCTGGGATTACAGACACACGCCACCACACCCGGCTAATTTTTGTATTTTTAGTGGAGATGGGGGTTTCCTCATGTTGGCCAGGCTGGTCTCGAACTCCTGACCTCAGGTGATCCGCCTGCCTTGGCCTCCCAAAGTTCTGGGATTACAGGCATGAGCCACTGCACCCGGCTGGGTTTGATTTTTTTTTTTTTTTTTGATTGCTGGAAATACATGATTTGTTTTCTCCTTTGCCCTTCACATTGAATTTGTTACCAATAAAATATCTGGAATCCATCTCCTATTTGGTATCTTGATGGCTAGTGCTTTGGTTCAGGGTCCACTGATGAGTTTCCCAACTGCTCCCCAATTCCATTTTGTCTTCCCTTTGCTAATAGCACCCCCACATCACCACAGTCATCTATTTAGAAGTTAATCTGATCCATCTCCTCCCTACGTAAAAACCCTCAATGAGCTCTACTGCCTGTAGCATTAAGTCCAGAATCTTTAGCATTTTTTCTAATACTGTATCTCACCTTAACTGGCACTTTCAAAATCAACCCCAGCAAATGCTCCCATCTTTCAAGACCTTGTTACTTAGAGGTGTTTGGATCTGAGGATCAGCAAATCCTATCTGACCATGACTCAATATAGAAATGAAATGTTTTATTATTTATATACAAGCTGCTTTCTTAGCCTAAATGTTATCCTTTTTATATAAAATCTTTTACAAGAATATAATTTTTGTAAATAATTAAAAAGAGTTCCTTGAATCAATCACTATTTGGGTATAATTATTTTATTTGTGAATATCACCCTACCTCCAAGGCTACATGGTTTACAACTCATTCATTTAGCTGGTCGATCTTTCATATAACAATAATTTGTGACTCTTATTGTATGTTCTATATGTTGACAAACTACATATTAGGTTATATATTGGTTCTACACTACCAAGTAAAAATGTGCTTTTATTCTAAGTATTTCAATTAGTGAGACATTTGATACTTAAGGACAATACTATAGCATGTTATGTTAATTATTTTTATGCAATATCATACAGATTACATAATTTAATGATGATGAGAGACTGAGAAATTGAGAGACTATTTACCCCTATGAAGTCACCTTCTTCAAACTCACTTAAAATGTCAGAGTTTGAATTTTTGTTTGTGCTTGTATTGCTTGAGATGACCTTTAAATGTCCAGCAAGAATCCAATAGCACTCAAGTGGTAGGTGTCCTTGTCTTAGAACCAGACTTTCAGCTTCATACCTGGAGAGAAAGAATATCAAAAACATTTAGCATGCAAAATGGTTAGGATGAAGTCATTGGTGACAAACAAGACAAAACACAAAACCCTTTCATCTTCATCTGTAAAGAAATTTACGTTTTGTTAAGAAGCAAATATTGTCTTCCTCTGGTACAGACCTTGAAGGCAGGGATTTCAGCCACCTTATCCACTACTGTAGCACCGTGCCTAGAATGGTGCTTGGCCCAGAAAGCAGGGACTCCATCTACATAAATTGAGTGCATTTATGTATAGGCAAAAGGAGGTGCTGTAAAACCACAGAATAGAAGGTCTCCACACACATTTCTTAGATGAGTCCTGCAATTTCACAAAATATAGGCACGTTTTCTAATTGCTACTGCTGAATTCATGATGTAAGGCAAGATTTTTGGTTTTCTAGAGGATAAATTTGGCGTTGGTTTGCACACCTTTTATCAAGACTTTTTTTAAGTACTATCTTCAGCAACAGGTTTGTATATCTGCCAATTCTCCTATTCGTAGGTATTTAGCCAGAGGATGGTCATTTTCCCACCCTTGGTTTATAAAAATAACCTATCCCTGGCAGTAATGCATGCCAAACTAAAATGGGCGTTAAAAGGTCACCTTGGACATTTGATAAAAAACACAGGATTCCTTTGCACCTTGGAAATTCTGATTAGGTAGCTCTGGGGTGGAGCCCAGGAATCTGTATTCCTAAAGGGCTCTCCAGATTATTTTGATGAGGACCATGCTGTGAGAAATGCTGTGTTTGAGGCTAAGAATGAACATTATTGATATCATTTTATTTTTCTTATATGAGTATTATTTTTGTGTGAAGACTGAAACAAATCATGTTGAAATATTGAAATATTGGGAAGTCTGCATAATTTCAGATTTTCAGTTAGTAATTACACTACCCAGAATCCTTTCTTCCTAGAATAGCAATTATAATTTCTATATTCCAAATTAAGCAAAGAGAAATGTTAGTTGAGAAAGAAGATAGCACTATTATATAGCAAAGATACTACCATTCCTGTGTTATCAGTGAGAAGGGCTAAAATGTAGCACTTGACTTGCTACGAATTAACTAAATGATTCTGAGAAGGTCAGGCATGGTGGCTCACACCTGTAATCCCAGCACTTTGGGAGGCCGAGGCAGGAGGATCGCTTTAGCCCAGGAGTTCGAGACCAGTCTGGGCAACATAGTGAGACCCTGTCTCTATAACAAATACAAAAATTAGCTGTGTGGGGTGGCACATACCTGTAGTCCCAGCCACTCGGGAAACTGAGGTAGGAAGACCACTTGAGCCTAGGAGGTCGAGACTGCAGTGAGCCAAGATCACACCACTGCCCTCCAGCCTGGGTGAGAGAATGACACTCTGTCTCAAAAAGAAAGAAAATGATCTTGAGAAAAATCACTTATCCTCCACTTCCAACTCTTCACTTATAAAATGGAAAAAACCTGTATCTACATACTTCTCAAAAATGTTTTAGGAGAAAAAATACAGAATGTATAACAATGACTTGAATTCTTTACAAATAAAGTATCGGGATTTTGCCCTACTTTACTATGTTTGACGATATGAAGGAAACTTAGAAGCAGGAAAACTCCCACCAAAATAACAAGTTAGCCTGCCACAGTTCCATTAATGCTGACTGAAGGCACTAGACCCCTGAGCTAGAGACAAAGGACATTCTTAGCTGCAGCAGAACAGTAATGAGATTTACCAGCATGGTTGCATCAGTTTCTCAAGTCCCAAATCCCATAGGGCAATATGGAGGGCCCAGTAGAGCTTGCAGATACAGCGGGGTGAGTCACAGGAAAGGAATCCAAGCTTAGGGAATGTGTTTTTAAGCAAGCCTATTCTTTGTCCGGAAAAAGCCCAAGTGCAGTGTAAAAACTGCAATGCACCATCATCTCAGAATTACCAGGTACATGAGCAATCCCGAGAAGTGACCCAGGTATAACAGTCAAAGCCCTGGGATGTTGGCAAATGCAGCAAGTTGTGTAGGAGCCCAAGAGGCCCATGGTGGACTGTATCTCAGCAGACAGTGCATAACAATGAAAATGAATACAATTGTTTTAAAAGGTTATGCAGTTACTTAAAGAACTATGATTCTAGTTCCAAAGGAAAAAGATGGAGGAAATTTTACCATGCTATTTTCGCTGCCTTTGGAAAGAGGATCAAAAGATTAAAATGTGGAGACTACTGACTTCCCATTGTTTATGTTCACAGATTCCAATTTTTTGAAAACCACTACTTGAAGCCCATAGACTTGAAAAAAATTATTAAAAATTGCTGAAGTAACTGCCACATCATGTAAATATCCTCAAAATAATGGTTGGTTTCTATGAACTAAGAAGAAAAGAATAGTCCTTTGGACCACTGTGGAATCACGAGAATGAGGCCAATAAGATGTGATAGAAAAAGAAGGAGAAGAGGGCATGTAGAAAGGAAAGGTTACAGAGGGAAGAACTGATATGTGGATGATATTTTTTCCAATAGAAAAAATCCTGGTTTTGAAGACTAAGTTGGGTTTAAAGCATCACAGAAAAAGCAGGACTCCACATCCTGTTTCCTCTCTCTTGTATTGTAAAAGTATGGATGAGGGCCAGTCATTCTCAGCCAGGCTTTGAAGTGCACCATTAGGCTGCCAGATACCCATTACACTAATTGGATCACCAGCCTCATCTAGATCTCATTGGCAAAAGGATTCCAGGGCTACCCATTTCTTCTGCAGCATTAAATTGACATACAATAAACCATAAAATATTCACATGGACCTGTACTCTCCTTTTGTATTATATGGTAACCCCAGAATGATTTTCCAACAGGCTACTTGAATGATGTGAAGAAATGCCAATACTAAATATGTTTGTTGGGCTTAAAACACTTAATTTTACACTTCCAGAGGATTTGAAACATTTGCGAATGGAATCACTGTCTGCCTTGAGAATTTTTTCTCATTAAGCCTACAGACACAACTGCTCCAACCTAAGAAATACAGAAATCAGAATATGTTTAAGAATAGAAAAAGAAAGATTTAATATATTCACATTCAGAAAGAAAAATGTCTACATCAACATACATATGGCTATATATAGTCATGTGCTACATAATGACATGTCAGTCAACGATGGAGATGGTAGCTCCATACCTATTGTTGCTTCTGAAGACCCTTCAGTGGGGCAAGATGCAGAGGTGGAAGACAGTGATATTGATGATTCTGACCCCATATAGGCCTAGGCTAATGTGCATGTTTTTGTCTTCATTCTTAACAAAAGAGTTCAAAAAGTTTTTAAAAAATTAAATAGAAAAAAAGCTTATACAAAGGAACAGAAAGAAAATAAGTTTGTACAGTTGTACAAGTATTTGTATTTTAAGCTAAGCATTATTACAAAAGAGCTTAAAAGCTTAAAAATTTAAAAGTGTGTAAAGTAAAAATGTTACAGCAAGCTAAGGGTAATTTATTATTGAAGAAAGAGTCTGGCACAGTGTCTCATGCCTATCATCCCAGCTACTCAGGAGGCTGAGGTGGGAGGATTGCCAGAAGTTCTAGACCAGCCTGGGCAACACAGCAAGACCTTGTCTCAAAAAAAGAAAGAAAGAAAACAACAACAACAACAACAAAAACCCTAGCTGAGTGCGGTAGTATGTGCCTGAAGTCCTAGCAACTCAAGAGGCTGAGATGGGAAGATGCCTTGGGTCCAGGAGTTCGAGGCTGAAGCAAGCTACTGCCATTGCTCTTCAGCCTGGGCAACACCACAAGATCCCATCTCTAAAAAATATAAAGAAAGAAAAAAATTAAATAAATGTAATGTAGCCTAAGTTTAAAGTGTTTATAAAGTTTAAAACAGTGTACAGTAATGTCCTAGGCCTTCACAGTCACTCACTACTCATTCAGAGACTCACCCAGAGCAACTTCCAGTTCTGTAAGCTCATTCATAGTAAGTGCCCTATACAGGTGTGCCATTTTTAATCTTTTATACTCTATTTTTACTGTATCTTTTCTATGTTTCGATGTGTTTAGATACACAAATAATAACATTGTGTTATAATTGCCTACAGTATTCAGTACAGTAACATGCTATACAGTCTTACAGCCTGAAGCAATAGGCTACACCATATAGCCTAGGGATGTGGTAGGCTATACCATCCAGGTTTGTGTAAGTCCACTCCACGATGTTTGCACAATGATAAAATCACCTAATGACACATTTCTGAAAACATATCCCCATCGTTAAGCAACACATGACTATATGTAAATTTTATACTGAAATATAAGAAAAGCCTATGAACACTAACTACTTATAGATATATTGATTTATTTTTTGTTTTTATTCTCCATTTAAAACATTAGATTTGAATGAATATCAATGTTAATTTTTATTGAAAGAACTAATGCTTAATGAAAGTAACTCTCCACTAAAACTTTTGGATATCCACAATTTTTTAAATGAGACTTCATGTTAATGCCACACTATTAAACTTTTTCCAAAAGAGTCACATACTCAACAGATTTTATGTTAGAGATTTCTGAATTTCAGACAACAGAATTCACTCTGATTAGTTTAAGAACAAAAGGATTTACTGCAGGTAGCAGGTCACTTACAGAATCTTTGGAAAGATTTGTAAAGTGGTTTCTAGTCCAAACTTCCAGCAACAACTCTGGTGAAGATGCTGGGCAGACCTCAGAACCACAACGTCTCCACCATAGTTAGGAAGGGGGCCAGGGGCGGGGGGCACAACATCTGACCAAAGGATCGCATGATTTTTGCCAATATCTGCACCAGGAAAATTGATGCCCCATGTCCTTCCTTTTTCCCCACATATACTGATTTCAAATGAAAATATCATGAAGAGCTATCTAATTGTCAGAATCTAAATCATTATACATTAAAAAGAAAAGGTAGGCTCAGAAAGGTAGCTTTTAGTTTGTTTTCTACTTTGTTTTGTTTGTATTCTACATTGAGATGATGGTGTTTACACTGTGAAAAACTATAAAATTATTAGAATCTGTTAAAAATATTTGAGACAACCTGAAATTACAAATGTTAACTGTATTTTATTTATCATAAAATGTAAGGTCTTCACCTAACACGTTTTGCATGTTTTTTCACATTCTAGATAAATAAGTGGATTGTTATAGCAGTCTAATAACTTTTTTATTGTTTTGGTACTTTGCTTATATTGTTTGATCATTATCCTATCTTCCTTCCTTCTTCCTTCCTTCCTTCTTTCCTTCTTTCCTTCCTTCCCTCCTTCCTTCCTTCCTTTCTCTCTTTCTTTCCTTCTTTCCTTCTTCTTTCTTTCCCTCTTTTAATTTTTTTATAGGGCCTCACTCCATCACTCAGGCTGGAGTGCAGTAATGCTATCTTGGCTCACTGTAGCCTCAATCTCCCAGGCTCAAGTGATCCACCCCAGTCTCCGTAGCAGCTAGAACTACATGGACGCACCACCACACCTGAATAATTTTTGTATTTTTTGTAGGGATGGAGTTTCACCATCTTGCCTAGGCTGGTCTTGAACCCCTGCACACAAACAATCTTCCTGCCTCAGCATCCCAAATTGCTGGGATTAGAGGCATGAGCCAGTATGCCCGGTCCATCATTCTAGTTTCAATCCTACTTTCCTTCAGGCTGGTTTGAAAACTCACCATTATGTTACAGAGTTCAAAGAACAAACCCCAAATTATTACATACTTTTTGGTCAATATTTATTTGTAATGTGTCTTTTGTCTTTGAAATTTTGTTAAACTCTATTCACTACCTGCCACTGTCTTTCTTAGGGGACTGCCAAGACCTAAATGGAACATTTTCGTGTTACTTACTCTTGATAGATTGCAGTCTGGCAAAGTTGGAGTTGCACTGTACTTGGCAAACTGAAAAATGACCTATTCTTCCTCAGCCATAGTTGAATCTTCAAAAGAAAATAAAGAAAATAAAAAATAATACCTTACAGAAAGGCTAAAGGAAAATTATTATGATGCTTTGCTATTATCTCAAATTCCTTCAGTGTTTCTGAAACCAAAACAAGAATAGTTTGTATGTGTTCTCCAAGGTCTAGTCATTTTTTATGTGATAGATGCCAGGAAGTAAAATCTTCTATATAGAGATTCATGAGAATTTGATATGATCCTAATAAAGCAAAACTTCTCCTATGGAAGGGAAGGAGACATCAGATCCAGTAAGGAGCACTCTGAACTTCCGTGATGCTAGGCCACCTACCTCCATGAAGAAATTGGTAAGGAATCTTTCAGAACCTAGCTTGCCCAGAAAAACAGGATAAGCCAAGGACCAGAAAAATAAAATCTGATGGTGTTCAGGAGTCCTTCATTGGAAGACATTAGAGGTGAGATTTAAACATGCCTTTTTTTCCTCTTCCAAAGTATTAGGTTTTGAAATATATTAACATTGCATCTGCCTATTTTTAAGAAGGAACAGTCTTAAAGGAGTTATTTAAGCAGAAACAAAGGATGACAATTACTTTCATGAATACATATGAAAGTATAACACTCACTGGTAGAGGTTAATACATAGTCAAATCCAGAATACTGTAATGGTGGTATGTAAATCATACACATCTCTAGTATGAAGGTTAAAAGTAAATATGATTAAATAATAACTAAAGTAGCCAGGCATGGTGGCTCACACCTATAATCCTAGCACTTTGGTAGGCTAAGGCAGGCAAATTGCCTGAGCTCAGAAGTTTGAGACCAGCCTGGCCAACATGGTGAAACCCCGTCTCTGCTAAAAACTACAAAAATTAGCTGGGCATGGTGGCAGATGCCTGTAGTCCTGGCTACTTGGGAGACTGAGGCACAAGAATCACTTGAACATGAGAGGCAGAGGTTGCAGTCAGCTGAGATCATGCCACTGCACTCCAGCCTGGGTGACAGAGCGAGACTCTGTCTCCAAAAAAAATAAAAATTAAAATTAAAACTGGTTGTTAAAATTAACAACTGAATAATAAGTTGTTAAGAAATATACAGTTTAAAAAGATGATATAAATTGTGGCATCAAAAACACAAAATTGCAGGGGGAAGGGTAAAAAAGTCTAGATTTCTTTTTTTTTAGACGGAGTCTCGCTCTGTCGCCCAGGCTGGAGTGCGGTGGTGCAATCTTGGCTCACTGCAAGCTCCGCCTCCCGGGTTCATGCAATTCTCCTGCCTCAGCCTCCCGAGTAGCTGGGATTACAGGCGCCCGCCATCACGCCCGGCTAATTTTTTGTATTTTTAGTAGAGACGGGGTTTCACCGTGTTAGCCAGGATGATCTCGATCTCCTGACCTTGTGATCCGCCCGCCTCGGCCTCCCAAAGTGCTGGGATTACAGGCGTGAGCCACAGCGCCCGGCCAAAAAGTCTAGATTTTTTGTATGTGACAGAAGTTAAGTTGTTATCAGCTTAAAATAGTAGACTATAACTTTAAAAGGTTTTATGGAAGCCTCATGGAAACCACAAAACAAAAATCTACGGTACATATTCAAATGCTAAAGATAAAGGAGCCAAAGTTTAGCATTAAAGAAAAATCATCAAATCACAAAGATGGACAACAAGAAAGGAAGAAAGAAACAAAGGAGCTACTAAACAACCAGAACATAAATAACAAAATAGCAGTAGTAAGTCCTTACCAGTAAATAATACTCTTGAATGTAAATAGATTAAATTCTCTAATCAAAAGATAGAGTGCCTGACGAGATTTAAAAAAAAAAAAAAGCAAGAACCAACTGTATGCTCCCTGCAAAAGACCCACCTAAACTTTAAGGACATGCATAGGTGAAAGTGAAAGGATAGAGGATGATATTCTATGCAAATAGTAACCCAAAGACAGCAGTGGTAGCTATACTTGTATCTGATAAAATAGACTTCAAGTCAAACACTGTCGCAAGAGACAATGAAGGTCATTATTTAACGATAAAGGGGTCAATTCATCAAGAGGACACAACCATTGTAAATATATATGTATTCAACATTGGAGCACCTAAATACATAAATCAAATATTAATGGACCTGAAGAGAGAAATAGATAGCAATACAATAATAGTCAGAGACTTCAATACTCTACTTTCAACAATTGATAGATCAACCAGACAGCAAATTAAAATGGAGATACTGGACTTAAATGAACAGTTTTGACCAAATGGACCTAATAGACATACACATAATATTCCATCCAACAGCAGCAAAATACACATTCTTCTGTAGGGCACATGGAACATTACACAGGATAGACTATAAGTTAGGCTACAAAACAAGTCTTAACAAATTATTGCAATGGTATCTAGTATCATTTCAGACCACAAGGGTATCAAACTAAAAGTCAATAACAGGAGGAATCTTAGAAAAGTTACAAACACATGGAAATTAAGCAACATACTCCTGAAAAACAAATGGGTCAAAGAAGGAATCAAAAGGAAAATGTAAAAATAGGTTGAGACGAATGACAATGGAAACACAATATACCAAGACCCATGGGATGCATCAAAGTCAGTTCTAAAAGGAAAGTTTATACTAGTAAATGCCTACATTAAAAAAGAAGAAATCTCTCCAATAAATAGTTTAATATTATGCCTCAAGGAATAAGAAGAAGAGAAATAAACTAAACATAAAGTTAGCATGAGGAAAGAAATAATACCAATCAGAACAGAAATAAATCAAATACAGAACAGAAAAACTGTAGAAAGAACTGATAAAACTAAGAGTTGGTTTCTTGAAAAAATAAAATTGGCAAAACCTTGGCTAGTCTATCTAAGGAAAAAAAAGAGAATATTCAAATAAATTAAATCAAAAATTAAAGTGAAGAAATAACAACAGATACCTCCATGGTAAAAATGATTATAAGGAACTATTATGAACATTTTTATGCCAACAAATTAGACAATCTAGAGGAAATGGAAAAAATCCTAGAAAAATATAACCTACCAAGGTTGAAATAGAAAGCCTGGACAGACCAATAACAAATAATTAGATTGACAGAGTAATTTTAAAACCTCCCTCAAAAGAAAAGCCCAGGACCAGATGGCTTCACAGATGAATTCTTCCAAAAATTCAGAGTTAATATCAATACTTCCTAAGCTCTTTTGAAGAACAATGCTAGAGGAAATACTTTCAAATACATTTTATGAGACCAGCATCACCCCAATACCTAAGCCAGACAAATACATCATCGTAAGAAAAGAAAACTACAGGCCAATATCTCTGATTAACAATGATGTAAAAATCCTCAATAAAATATTAGTAAACCAAAACTAACAAACATCAAAAAGATTATACATCATAATCAAGTAGGATTTATCCCCGACATGCAAGACTGGTTTAACATATGCAAACCAATAAATGTGATACATCACGTTAACAGAATAAAAGATAACCAATGATCATCTCAAATGACTCAGAAAAACTCCAACATCCTTTCTTGATAAAAACTCTCAAAAGTTTAGGTATAAAAGGAAAGTTTCTCAATGTAATAATGGCCATTTTTTAAAAACCCACAGCTAACATTAAAATCAATGAGGGAGAACTAAAAGCTTTTTCACTAAGATCCAGTACAAGGCAAGGATGGCCACTCTTGCCACTTCTATTCAACATAGTGCTGGAAGTACTAGCAAGAGCAATTAGACAAAGAAAAAGAAAAAAAAGTGAAATGAAAGGTATCCAAACCAGAAAGGAAGAAGTCAAATTATCTCCATCTGCAGATGATATGATTCTATTTGTTTAAGAAGCCCACCAAAAAATTGTTACAATTAATAAATGAATTCAGTAAAGTTGCAGGACACAAAATCAACATGCAAAAATCAGTAACATTTTTATACACAAATAACAACATAAATGAAAAAGAAATCAAGAAAGTTATCCAATTTATGATAGCGTTAAAAAATTAAAACACTTAGGAATAAATTTAACCAATAGGTGAAAGATCTGTACACTGAAAACTATAAAACACTGATGAAAGAAACTGACGAAAACACAAATAAATGGAAAGATATCTTGTGCTCATGGACTGGAAGAATTACTATTGTTTAAATGTCTGTATTACCCAAAGCAATATACAGATTTAATGCAGTGCCTATCAAAATCCCAATGACATTCTTCACGGAAATTTTTTTAAAAATCCTAAAATTTTTACTGAACCATAAAAGACCCCAAATAGCTGAAACAATTTTGAGAAAGAAAAACAAAGTTGGAGGCATGACACTTCTGCTTTATAATTATATTACAAAGTTATAGTAATTAAAACCGTATGGTACTGGCATAAAAACAGACACATAGACCAGTGGAATACAATAGAGAGCCCAGAAAAAAATCCAAACATATATATGGTCAACTAAATTTTGACAAGCACACTAGGAGGACACAATAATAAAAGATTGGTCTTGTCAACGAATAGTGCTTGGAAATTTGTATTTCCACATGCAAAATAATGAAACTGGACTCTAATACTATACACAAAAATCAACTCAAAATGGATAAAAGACCTGTATATAAGATCAGAAATCATAAGACTTCTAGAAGAGAACATAGAGGAAAGCCTCCTGGACATTGGCCTTTGCAATTATTTTTTGGATATCACACCAAAAGCTCGGGCCACAAAAACAAAAATAAATTAATGTGATTACATCAAACTAAAAAGCTTCTGCACAGCAAAGGAAACAATCCACAAAATGAAACAGGAGCTTATAAATTAGGAAAAAGTATTTGTAAACCGTATATCTGGTAGGGGTTACTATCCAAAATTTAAAGAACTCATACAACTCAATAGTGAAAAAACAAATAACCTGATTTTTTAAATGGGCAAAAGTTCTCATTTCTCCAAAGAAGACATAAATATGGCCAACAGGTATATGAAAATGTGCTCAACATTATTAATCATCAGGGAAATACAAATCAAAACCACTATGAGATACCAACTCACACATGGCTATTATCAACAAGTCAAAAGACAGCAAATGTTGGTGAGGGTGTGGAGAAAAGGAAACTCTTGTACATTGTTGGTGGGGATGTAGACTGGTACAGCCATTGTGGAAAACAGTGTGGAAGCACCTAAAGAAATTTAAAATAGAACTACTATATGACCCAGCAATCCCTCTTCTGAGTCTATACCTAAAGAAAGTGAAATCACCACCCTCTAAAGATATCTGCAATCTCATGTTCATTGTAGCATTATTCACAGTAGCCAAGATATGGAAACAATCTAAGTATCCACTGATGAATGAATAGATAAAGGAACTGTGATATGATATGATATGATATGATACGATATGATATGATATGACATGTTCATTGTAGCATTATCCACAATAGCCAAGATATGGAAACAACTTAAATGTCACTTGACAGACGAATGGATAAAGAAACTGTGGTGTGTGAGTGTGTGCGTGTGTGTGTGTGTGTGTGTGTGTGTAATGGAATATTATTCAGCTCTAAAAAATAATGAAATCTTGCCATTTGCCACAACATGGATGAGCCTGGAGGACATTATGCTAAGTAAAATAAGCCAGACACAGAAAGAAAAATATTGCATGATCTCATTTATATGTAGAATCCTAAAAATATCAAAAATACAGAGACATAGAATAAAACAGTGGTTACTAGGGGTATGGGGATCCAGGGGAGGAAATGGGGAGATGTAGGTCAGAGGACACAAAGTAGGAGGTGTGTAGGATGAACTAATCTAGAGCTCTAATGTACAGCATGAAAACTATAGTTAATAAAATTGTACTATGTATGGGTTTCATGCTAAACGAGTAGGTTTTAGCTGCTCTTGCTACTAAAACAAAAAAGAATAGGTAACTATGAGAGATGATGAATATGTTAATTTGCTTCACTATAGTAACTTTTTTTTTTTTTTTTGAGACAGGGTTTCACTCTGTCATCTAGGCTGGAGTGCAGTGGAGTGACACTGTAGCCTTGGACTTCTGAGTTCAAGTGATCCTCCCACCTCAGCCTCCTGAGTAGCTGGGACTACAGGTGTGTGCCATCACACCCAGCTAATTTTGGCTTTTTTTTTTTACAGATGGGGCTTCACTATGTTACCTAGGCTAGTCTCTAATTCCTGGCCTCAAGCGATCTTCCTGCCTCGGCCTCCCATAGTGCTGGTATTACAGGCGTGAGCTGCCAAGCCTGGCCTATCGTAACCTTTTTACTATATATGGACCTTATAACATCATGTGGTATACCTTAAATATACACAATAAATTTTATTTTAAAAAATAGACAAAAGATTAACTCAGAGTGGATCGATGATCTAAATAGAAGAGTTAAAACCATTAAAGCAGAAAACAAGTCTTTATGATCTTGGATTTTATAACAGATTCTTAGCTATGACACCAAGAGCACAAACATTAAAAGAAAAAATAAACTGAACTTCATCAAACTACTTTTTGCATCAAAGGACTTCCTCAAGAAGGTGAAAAGACAACAAAATGGGAGAAAATATTTGCAAATCATATATCTGATCATATCCAGAATATGTAAGGAACACTTACAATTTAATAACAATAAGGCAAACAACCCAATTTAAAACTGGGCAAAGAACTTGAATAGATATTTCTCCAAAGATATACAAATGGTCAATAGGTATTAGAACAATTGCTCAACATCATTAATCATTTAAGAAATGCAAATCAAAATCACAATGAGATACCACTTCACACCTGCTACAATGGCCATAATAAAAAGAAAAGAAAAATAACAAGTGTTAGCAAGAATGTGGAGAAATTGGAATCTGTGGGCATTGCTGGTGGGAATGTAATATGGTGTAGCTGCTGTGGAAAACAGTTTGGCAGTAACTCAAAAAAGTAATTGATTATTTGACTCATCAATTCCACTCCTAAGTATATACCCAAAAGAACTAAAAACACTTACTCAAACAGACATTTGTACACCAATGTTCCCTGCAGCATTATTCACCATAGCCAAAAGGTGGAAACAATCCAAATGTCCATCAACAGATAAATGGATAAACAAAATTTACTATGCATATACTGTGGAATATTATGCAGGCATTAAAAAGAATGAAGTTATACATGCTACAACATGGATGAACCCTGAAAACATCATGCTAAGTTAAATAAGCCAGCCACAAAAGAAAAGCTATTGTAAGATTCCCCTTATATATCTAGAATAGGCAAATTCATAGAGACAGAAAGTCAATTAGAATCTATCAGGGGTTGGGGGAAGTGGGTAATGGAGAGTTATTACTTAATGGTCACAGAATTTCTGCATGGGGTGACAGAAAAGATTTGGAAACAAATAGTGGTGATTGCTGCACAATGGTGTTGTATGTGTAATTAATCCCACTGAATTGTAAACTTAAAATGGTTGGAATGGCATATTTACATTATACATATTTTACCACAATAAAAAAATCTTAAGATATGCTCATAACAGGTAGAAGCTATTACTTAAAGTTTTAAGTACCCTAAAATTTCAAGTGTTTTTAAATCTAGTAGCCATTGCAGAAAATTGTTGCCTAGCAGGTCAGAAAATGAGGTCAGCACTACAAAGGAATTTGGGGGACAATGAAACAGTTCTGTACATAACCATTATGGTGAATACATGACTGTGTATTTGTCAAGACCTGTAGAACTAGAGTTGAACAAACAAAGAAATTATAGATAATGACAGCTAGGTTTGTATCTGTGGGAGAAATAAATTACAAACAGGCTAAAGGAGGATTCTAGAACAATCCCTGTGCTAATGGACTAGAGTTAGAGATATCATTACGAACTAATGTTTATTTAATATGTATACAGATGGATATACAGAAATAAATATAAACATATGGATTTGTATACACACAATCATTCGCTAGCTCTAAAAGCTGAGAGGGGCTATAAGCAATGACCATCTAGAGGCAATGGGGAATCCTAGGCGCCAGATTTTGGGTTCTAAATGCCATTCTCCGATAAAAGGAACCATGTTTCTTAAAGAAACGGGTGATTCTTGGGCTGGAACATGGGAAATAGAAGAGGTTCATCTTTCAACGACAGAGGTAAGTTAGTGCTGAAAAGAAACATGCAAAAAGATGAGACAGCTCCTAATAATTTGAGCAATACAATAAACAAGAACAGTAATGAATCGTAACCCAAAAAGTAAAATAACTATCCATAAATCAATAAATATCCATGAGTCTATATACAACAGAAAGAAGGAAAGAGGAGGAGGGAGGGAGAGAGGAAGGGAAGGAGAGGAAGAAAAGAAGATAGGGAGGGAAGAGAGAGGAAAGAAGGAAGGAAGGAAGGAAGGAAGGAAGGAAGGAAGGAAGCAAAGAAGGGAGGGAGGGAGGGAGGAAGGGATTTTCCCTAACAGAATAATTCCAATTAATACATGGAGAAGAAATGTGGAAAATAGAATGTCACCGTTAGGGTGCCACAGTTATAACTGCAGCAGGCAAGACCCACTGACAAATGCTAAAATTAGTGAGCAAAACTTTAAAGAGGATCAGGGCATTCACATTGCTTCAAAATATCTGCCATCAAATATTTATTAATAACTGTGGTAGTTTTAACACGTCCACAAATCCTTAAACACTCTCCCTCCAGGAAGTGAAGCTTAATACCCCTGGATTGGACATAACTCCAGGGTCTAGACTTCGTAACTCACTTCCAAAGGACAAAGTATGGAAAGGGGAAATGGCAGGCAGTACCTTAACCAAGTGATCAAGCCCAACATCACTAGTAATAACACATAGTGACATTCAGCACCCAAAGTCCATAACCTCAGTCTAATCATGAGAAAACATCAGACAAAACCAAACTGAAAGACGCTCTACAAAATATCCAACCACTGCTCTTCTAAAGTGTCAAGGTCATGAATGACAAAGAAAAACTGAGGAACTGTCATAGATTGAAGGAGATTAAGGAGGCATGACAACTAAAGGCCGTGCAGTATCCTAACCTGAATCCTGGAACAGGAGAAAGACATGAGTGGAAATACTGGGGAAATCTAAATAGTCTGTAATTTAGTCAATTTGTTGAGCTCATCTTAATTTCTTAATTTTGATTATTGTACCATGGCTATGTGAGATATTAACATTATGGGAAGCCAGGTAAAAGGTATATGGGGACTGTCTGTACTATCTTTGCAAGTCTTCTGTAAGCCTAAAATTATCAAAATAAAGAGTTTAAAATTTGTTTAGCCTCAGCTGAATACAAGGGTTATACTCAGCAACTTGGAGTGGAAGGGTTTCAAACCCTGGTGACTGAAGTTGAAAATTAAAACAACTCAGCAGTAACCACTTACTCCTTATTACCACTCACCAGGGTAATTTGTGTTCAAGTTTCCCAAACTAAAGTCTACCAGGAAATTGGCTAGGGGAGTGTTCTCGGTTGTTGCTCTGCCAGCTGGCCCTATTTCAATCCACCCAGCTGCAGGCCCTGCAGTGGACTAGGGAGATTCAGCTTCCAGTTCAACCCCTTTCTCCTGCTATCCCTGCATCATGGATGTAGTTTAGCCCTGGTGGGTAATTTGGATGTTTGGGATGGCTAAGCTGAAACAAAACAGATGGACAGATGGAAATTGGTGATAATTGGTACTTTGTAGAAAGGTGAGAAAAGCATAAAGAATGTACAGTTGATCCCTAAACAACACGAGTTTGAATGGTGTGGGTACACTTACACATGGATTTTCTTCTGCCTCAGCCACTCCTGAGACAACAAGACCAACCCCTCCTCATCCCCTCCTCCTCAGCCTACTCAACGTGATGACAACAAGGATGAAGACCTTTATGATGATCCACTTCCACTCGATGAATGGTAAACATATTTTCTCTTCCTTATGATTTTCTCAATAACATTTTCTTTTCTCTAGCTTACTCTGTGGTAAGAATACACTGTAACATATGCGTAAGAATACACATTACATACAACATACATGTACATATAAGAGCACATATAACATACAAAATATGTGCTAATCAACTATGTTATTGGTAAGGTTTACGGTCGACAGTAGGCTATTAGTAGTTTTGGGGGAGTCAAAAGTTGTATGTGGATTTTCAACTGCACAGGGAGTTGACACCCCTAACCCCTACATTGTTAAAGGGTCAACTGCAGTAATGTTCAGCTCTGTCCTTTCTTCTTTTTTTTTTTAATTTTTTATTTTTTGAGACAGAGTCTCGCTCTGTCGCCCAGGCTGGAGTGCAGTGGCGCTATCTCGGCTCACTGCAAGCTCCACCTCCCGGGTTCATGCCATTCTCCTGCCTCAGCCTCCCGAGTAGCTGGGACTACAGGCACCCACCACCATGCCCGGCTAATTTTTTTTATTTAGTAGAGATGAGATTGCACCGTATTAGCCAGGATTGTCTCGATCTCCTGACCTCTTCTTACTGAAAATGCATGCGGCATTGATGTAAGCATCTACCTTAAGGACAATGCAGAGGAAACCCTCTGGCTGACAGAAATTTTATTCCCTGAACTGACAACTACTCTCACCTGATTAAATACAAACTTTCCATCCCTACCAGTATCTTTTTGACAACATCCAGAACAGGGATTTCCAACCTATCACCTCTGGAGCTCCTTGAAGAAGTAAAAGGGGATTGGGATTAAGTGGGATTTTGAATTTTGAATATTTCCAAATGTCTAATGAGATCATTTATTTACCTGTGATAAAACCACCCAGAATAATATGTAAATTGTATTTGCTTCAGCTGGAATCACATCCACTCAGTATGGAAATATGGGTTATTTTTATTGTATTTTTATTTATAAAAAATAACTGATTAAAAGTGCTGATAGGAAGATATGTCTTAAATTTTCAAAAGAGGGAGATAAATGGACTATTAATGAATGACTTTTGTTCAGGAGGCAAAAACCTTTGAAAACATAGGGTTCATGGGGCAGCAATGATTAGGAACTAGTGCACTACTGTGTAAGACAGATACCCTGCCCTTGGCTCTTGACTGTGAAAGTCCCCACTCCTACCCCATCATCAGCATCCTCACCCCCAGCACTTCTTCCTACCCTGGAAAGCCTTTTCTGGTGATCTTTTCCTGTAAATTAGAAGTGCTTGGTAATTTAATGTCATCTTAATTGATTTATGCATATACAAGAAAGCTATCAACCTCAAAACATGCACATAATTCATAAAGACTTGAGTAAATATAGTGTCTATTTTTACATCTTCAGGATTACAATTTGTTATTTAAAATAGATTCTCTAAGAAAGATGAACTGAATTTAAATCATGTTTATTTATACTCCTTTTTCCAAGTTGCAAATTCACTGTTAAATTGAAGTCTGCCTATGCCCACACACGAATTTCAGCTCATAGTAACAAGAATTTATATGGCTTTGATATTTACTAGTGTTAGATCCCTCTGGGCTAAAAGGATGTCAGTGAATTCAAGGTAATGTCATAAGCACAGAAAACACTGACTTTTAGAAATGTCTGGTGCCAAAAGATGATGAAAATACTTGTAATACAGCACTTTATTCTTAGGATATTCTGAAATGCTTTATATCTTAAGATGTTTAAAAATCAATACTGCTTTTTACTTTATAGCTGGTTTACAAAACGTAGTACACATCCTTTAGAAGCTAAAAAACAACAACTGTAAATCCAATTTACCCAAGCATATAAAAATTTTCACAGAAGCAGAAAAGGTTCACCTAATATTTTAGGGACAGAAATCTATATCTATGTAATGGATCACTGAAGTCTGCTAGTGAAATGTACTAGTTCCTAATCATTGCTGCCCCATGAACGCTGTGTTTTCAAAGGCATTTGCCCCCTGAACAAAAGTCATTCATTAATAGTTCATTTATCTCTCTCTTTTTAAAATTAAAGACATATCTTCCTATTAATCAGTACTTTTGATCAGTTGTTAAATACATTAATTTATATTCAAAATTAATTATCTATCTCAAACACATTCCACAAAAAAATACACATATTAGGAACTCAAGGATCAAGATTTCTTTAATCAGTGTACAAAATACATGAAAGGAAAGAACTGCTTCATTAGACCAAAGAAAATAGAAATACCCCAACCACCTTTATTTAATGCCATTTTGTTTTCTAAAACACTAAAACTAAAGGAAGGATTAAGAGAGTAGAAATGTAAGAAAAATAATTTGACATGATGTTTTTTATAGTGTGATATGGTTTGTCTCTGTTTCCTGACCCAAATCTCATCTTGAATTGTAATCCCCCCATGTCAAGGGAGGGAGGTGATTGGATCATGGGGGCAGTTCCCCCATGCTGTTCTCGTGAGAGGAGTGAGTTCTCAAGAGATCTGACGGTTGTATAAGTGTTTGGCATTTCCCCTGCTTGCACGTCTCTCACCTGCCACCTTGTAAAGAAGGTGCCTGCTTCCCCTACACCTTCTGCCATGATTATAAGTTCCTGAGGCCTCCCTAGCCATGCAGAACTGTGAGTCAATTAAACTCTTTCCTTTATAAATTACCCGGTCTCAGGTATTTCTTTTTAGCAGTGTGAAAATGCACTAATACATAGTGCTAGCCTGTATTTGCTTAAAATAATAAAATAAAAGCATAATTGGATAGTATTGGAATAATCATATATCAGAAAAACATCTTTTTTTTTTAACCTCTCTGAGATTTTCTTGGCTTCTTAGATTAGGTTGAATGAACAACAATGTCTTCAGCTTTTCAAAATCTTTGCTCTATAAAACAAAGTGTATTTACATTGAATGCATCTCACTTGTCCCATGGACACAACTTCTTCTAAAAACTTGGAAAGGATTTATTGCCTGTGGAACATGAGGTGTTATGTTTAATTTTGCACATACATTTTGTTGAAATGACTTTAGGAAACAGATTTACTTAAAACAATTGAAGCACCAAGCACGGAATTCACTGGTCATGTTATAGATAGACAAGTTTAATTATAACTAAGACAATAGGCCCATTATAATAAATTGAGAGTTGTTTGCATAATGAAATGCTATTTCTTGAGTTATGATTATGATTTACCCTATGAATATAGCTTAATTTCAGATCAACTAAGTCAAATAGGGTTCACATTCACCAAACAGATTTCATGTACCTATAAAAAAGGGTCAATAGTAGTCATTTTCTTTTTATCTAGGGAATTCAGTTTGAAAATTTGTATTACCAACTAAGGGCTATGACATAAGGTGAAACACAACTCAGTTCAGTTGTGTTTATTTATCCCAATTATGCATTATCTTTTACTATTTATTCCAGGTCTTCAGTATCAACATAAAAATTATTTCCATGCTATATCTTGCTACTCTTCACATCACATATGTGATGATAAAAATCTGAATACAGGCCAGACATGGTGGCTCACACCTGTAATCCCAGCACTTTGGGAGGCCAAGGTGGATGGATTACCTGAGGTCAGGAGTTCAAGACCAGCCTGGCCAACATGGTGAAACCCTGCCTCTAAAAAAATACAAAAATTAGCCTGGCATGGTGGTGGGTACCTGTAATCCCAGCTACTCAGGAGGCTGTAGTGGGAGAATCACTTGAACCCAGGAAATGGAGGTTGCAGTGAGCTGAAATTACACCATTGCACCCCTGCCTGGACAACAGATAGAGACTCCATCTCAAAAGAATAAAAATAAATTTTAAAAATCTGAATACAGATCTAAGATACTCCCTGACCTATTCTGATAACTGTTTGTTCTTAATAGTAAAAGTAATAATAATAATTTATTGAGTGTTTAGTATGTCAGACACTATTCCAAGCACTTTATATGTATTAATTAACTCATGAAGGCAGTTTCCATTTTCTGGTTTCCTGTATAAGAAAAAAAACTCTCCTGGTTATTTAATATTTCTATGAATGACATACAGGCAATTTTCTGACTTGATCCTTCTTTTTTTTGTAGCTATTTGTAAAAAGGGAATGAAGGACAGCAGTACCATATAGCCTATCAAAAAAATATAGCAAAGATGACACAACGCGTAATCCTATACAGCTTGCCTACACAGGGAATTATCAATACATCATAAAGTGTGAAGCAAATTAACACTCCCATCATAGCTGGAATTGTTCTAATAGGATCTAATACCATTCGCATGAGCTCATGAAAAATGAAATTTTACCTAGTCTAATCCTAATGAGTCCAATCTACTCAAATGAATGCCAGCAAGCAGCAGAAAATTATTATTGATGTAATAAATAGCAATGTGCCTGTACCAAATAAAAATAACAGAGGAAAGTAAATTGTTTTATTTGATGTCAGTATATTCCCCAAATACATATATCAAGGAATTTAACTATATTAAGCATAATCAACTGAAATTTTCAGAATTAAGTTTTAATCTGTGATGGAATGCACATATATAAGCTTGCATTATTTTAACATTAAGTGTGTTAAATTTCAAACTAGTCTACAAAAACATGTAACTACGAAAATAGCCAATACATTCATGTGCATAGGAAAAAATGGAGGAAAATATACCAAAATGTTAAAATTAATCATCTGTCATTTAGGAAATAGAATTTTTTAGCCATTTTTATTTTGTTCTCGATAACCTTTCTATAATATCCAAGTTTCCTACACTAAACCTGTATTACTTTTACTTAAAATTTTTAAAAATAGCTACAATTTTTTCTGATTTATAAAAATAATACATTTACATTTCAAACGTGAAAATTTGTTGAAATTCTACCAACCATAATCACTGTTAGATTGTGATGCATTCTAGATCTCTCTGATTTTCTGTGTCTTTGTCTGTGTGTGTGTCTATAGAGTGGGAGAGATGGAGAAAGGGAGATGTTTATATATGTATATGTATGTTAGCATGAATATATATTCACACACACACATATATATATACATCTGTACAAATATAGAAACATAATTTTATAGAAATAAAATTATACTATTCTGTTTTGTAGCCTGATTTTTTTTCCTCAATGGTATATTGATTTTTCCCATGTGTATATTGTTATTTCTAATAGCTGCATCTTATTCCATTACATGATACATCAAAATATATTTAACCCAGTCACTGCTCAGCATCCAGTTTAAATATCAGTTCATCTAAGAAGCCTTCACTGCCTCTCCAAGTTAAGGTTCAACACCCATCTTATGTGCTCCAACCACAGTCTATACCACCAGCACCACATTCAATTAATGTTTAGTTGACTTTCTTCTTTCCTAAACTGTAAGATATGTAAGGACAGGGATCATCTATTTCTAGTTAATTTTGATAGCCCAGTACCTACTACAGTGCCCAGTAGGGGTAGGTACCCTATAAATCACTGTTGAAATATAAATTGTTTCCTTCTTAAAAACTATAAACAGTAAGATGAACATCCTTAAACATACAAATCTGTGAACTTATCCAATTGTCCTCATGAAGTAAATTTCTAAAATTGGAATTGCAGAAAAAAAAATGGTATGGGCTTTTTGAACTTTAATACATATTTTTAAATCACCCTCCAAATCCCTGTAGGAATTTACATTCTCACCATCAGCGAATGAGTGTATCCATTTTACCATGTCCTTAAAATACTGAGCCTTGTTATCCCTTTAAAAACGTTTCCAAATGTGATATCTTATTACTATTCAGCATTTTATCATTACAAAAACATTTTAATATATTAGAGATTTTGCTATCCTTAAAACTAGATTGGGATGTAAATAAAAAATACTAACCAAGTTATATTTGGAAAAATTGTTCATGCTAAATAATGGTCCATTCACTGAATGATTCTTCATATTCAAGTAAAAAAGTGCCCACTCTTCTGTGTGACTCTTTTCAGTGTACCTAAAGATGATATAAATTTAAAATATAAACACATAGAAAAAATATATATATAAGTACCTACTTGATGGAGAAAATCTGCACAAAAACAAGCTAACATTGAGATAAATCATGGATTCAAAAAACAAGGTGAAATTGTCAATTAACTGCCGAGGAGGTGATGTGTTGCTCTGACACAGGAAGTTGGAAGATGCTCTGTTGTGCATTCCAATGGTCTGTTGTCTCCATCCACAGGGATGCTAAACAATACCCCAAACTCACTGTGTCCAAAGCAAAACTCATGTTCTTCCTCTTTTCCCCAAGAACACTTAGTAAATTTTAGATCCAAGGCTATCATATTATGTCTAAGAGTTGTGCTGCCCAATATGGAAAAGCAGTTAATATAAACTGAGATGTGCTGTAAATGTAAAAAATACCCACTGCATTTTGAAGACTTAATATGAAAAAAGAATGTAAAATATCTCATCAATTTTTACATAGATAACTTGTTGAAATGACCATTGCTACTGGTAGACAATATCTGAGTTACTAGTGGAAGGTATCATTGTTACTGGTGGAAGCTATCAGTGCCAAATCCGTACATGTCTGCAGCTACCTCAATTCTTGCCTCCTCAGAAGAAGGTATTCGACTGAGGGGCATAAGGCAGAAAAAGAGACCGAGGCAAGTTTCAGAGCAGGAGTGGAAGTTTATTTAAAAGGCTTTAGAACAGGAAAGAAAGGAAAGTATGCTTGGAAGAGACCCAAGTGGGCGCCAAGGTCAAGGGCCCCATTTAACCGTGATCATAGGACTTTATGGGCCCACCTCTTTCCCGTGATTCATTCCTCCCTTAGGGTGGGCTGCCAGCACGCTCGGTGCCCCCCTTACCCTTGGGAAGGGGGCATGTGCAATGTGTTTAGGAAGTTGTATACATGCCCATCTGAGCCTTTCTTCCCTTTTCCAGTGGAGTGTCCCCAAAAGGTCATACTTCGCCATCGTGTCTCTTAAGGAGCATGCCCAGGAAGTTCCTTCTCCCTGGCATCTGCATTCAATTAACACTTTAATATTAACAGCTGTGGATCATCAGGAGATTGTCTCTCCTTGGCACCCTGGTGCCCAGTTGCCAAATTATCATTTTTAGAGAGGCAGTGTGATAATTGTTGAACCATCACCTGACATCCCTAGTGGGTTGGGGAGAAGAGCCCTCTCCTGCCCCACTCATGCCTGTCTAACTCCCTGTAACAACCACGTTTTTGAGCTATTAGGTTGAAAACATATCATTCAAAGTAACTTTACCTGTTTCTCTTTTCCCTTTTTTTTTAATGTGGCTACTAAAAAATTTAAAATTATATATGTGGCTCATGTTTATGACCTGCATTATATTTGTATTGGACAGCAATGGTCTAGAGCAGTGAGATCAGGGCTAGATTATGAAGCTAATTATCAGGTTGGATGTTATGCCCTAATAATCCTGCAGAAAGGAACAAGAAAGTGAGAATAAAAAGGAGAAAGGGAAATCCCATGAATTGTGCTTGGTGTGGACTTTGGCAGTCAGTGAAGGGATCTTCCAGGCATAAGAGACAGAGTAGAAGCTGAGGAGAACTATAAACCTGAAGATAAGAAACCTATGTTATACATGCCAGATTGTCTAAATCTATGGCTGTCACTGTGTTATCTCTCTGATGTTGTTGCCAGAGCTTTTAGCAGTGCCTCAGGACATTCTAGTCTTGTCTGAGTTGGACTACGAGGTAGCAAACTTGAGCTAGAGTTAAGGTTAAAATGAGAAGGTGTGGAAGCTAAACAACTCCATTTTGGATGCTAATCCACCATGTTGACTTATTAACCCCAGTTCTGGGAATGCCTCTAAGATTTCTATTTGATTTACCATTCCTTGTGTACTTACATCCCCTTAGATCAAAACAATCTTGACCATAAATCCTGCCCTTAGGTAGACTCACATAGCATTCCTGCCTTTCCCTGAGGAGTCAACTGTAATTGTTCTACACATTCCTTCCCTAAGGTCTGGGGGGTAATGGGGTTAAGAGTGGGTAATCCACCATCTTGTCTTATGCCACCTGAGGCACAGACATGCTTCTATTCATAAGTCCCTGTTAAATGTTTCTTTCTGAGAAACTGGATTTGTCAACCTCTTTCTTTGGCCTCTCTGCTTCCTTGGACTCTGGGGATCATTTTGCATAGACCTGCCCACCACGGAATGATGGTATGTCTCCCATCGCCAGGAGTGACCCTAAGAGAGCCAAGAGGATTTGAAGGACAAAAATCAGCTGCCCCACCTACCAGGAAAGTCCTTTTCCACTGCCAACCTTGAAGTTCTGGGTTTGGGTTGGGGGTTCTGTCTGTATGTTTTTATTTTGGTTGTGCAGTTCAAGGATGGCATCATTTCCTAAGGACCTCCTTTAAAGGACCTGCAAAACCCCAGTCTACCCCAATCTTAAAGTTTACCTGAACCCAATCCGAAGTTGCCACATGCTTTGGAATCTGTGTCCTGTTATCACCAAGTTCCTCTTTGTATCCATCCCCTTTCCCAGTGAGCAGATATCAGCCTAGTCCCAGTTACTTCAACTTCCCTCCTGGTCTTATTCCATGGAAATCTCCACACGCTGAACTACTTGGTAACAAAGGCTAATGATCTCTAAGGTATTTTTCAATCTATTGTTACCATAACAAAAAGCATATCAGTGGTTGCTTGGGGCCAGTATGGGAGTTATTACAATAACTTTTGGGAGTAATGGGTACTTTCATTATTTTGATTGTGTGATGGTTTATGGGTATATATGTATATATATATAAATGTATCAAAATGTACACTTTACATATGTCAACTATACTTTCATAAAGCTGTTAAAAAACAGCATTAACATGTTTCCTTCTCATAATCAATTTCATCAAACAAGAAATGAATGATGAAATACTTATGTATAACCCACTCTAGCTATCTGAGTCCCTGGTAGGAATAGGGACTCTCTTGGCCAAACAGCATCTCAAAGGGAACTTATTCTATCATCTGCTTTACACACACAAAACAATATTTTGGCAGCATACCTTCCATAATATATCTCAAGGTGCTCATCAGAAGAGAAAGTCGTCTGATATACATTTGAAACCATTGGATTGGCTGGTTGTCTTTCCATACAAAGAAATATCTCTAGTGAATAAAGAATAAAACTCTAAAAACCTTCACCACCCAGTATAGTAGAGTTATTGTCTTAGGTCAGGTTTCATAGAAGCAGCGCCTGAGAGGAGAATTCTTGTGCAAGTGATTCGAGGCTCTTGAGTGAGAACTCCCAGGAAGTGCCACAAGCAGGACAGGAAATGAAAGCAGCCAGGCAAAGATGCAGGGCCAGCTGCAGTCCAGCCCCAGCCTGATCCCACAGGGAGCAGGGGAAAAATGACTCACACCACAAAGGTGTTCCCTATAAGGCAGCAAGATTGGCTCTATGTACCCCCTGGTCAGTCATCCTTTAGCTATTGACCACACCTGAAAGTCTTGAGGTGTAACCTCCTGGGCATCTCCCAGCAGGCAGCTTCCATCAGCAAGGACAATTCTTGAGACAGGGTGCAGCTGTGAGCTGTTGGCAACCTATGCTCGTAGCACCTGGAAAATGGGGATATGATTTGTCCTCACTAAACTCATGTTGAAATTTGATCCCCAGTGTGACAGTGTTAGGAGGTGAGGCCTAGTAGGAGGTGATTGGATCATGAAGTTGGATCCCTAAGAATGGCTTGCTGCCCTTCTTGTGGTAGTGAGGAAGTGCTCACTCTGCCAAGGCTGTATTAGTTCTCGCAAGAATGGATTAGTTCTTGACAGAGTGGGTTGTTATAAAGGCAGGACGTCCCTCGTGTTTTGTCTCTGTTTGCATTTGTCCACTGCCCCTTTGACCTTCTCTGCCATGTTATGATGCAGCATGAAAGCCCTCACCAGAAGCCAGGGCCATGCCTTTGAACTGTGAGCAAAGTAAACCTCTTTCTTCATAAATTACCCAGTCTCAGGTATTCTGTTATAGCAACATAAAATGGACTAAGACATCATATAATCTTAGAAAAGTTACTTAACTCTGTATTTCAGTTTCCTCATCTGTAAAATGGGGCTTATGAGAGCAGCTGCTTCATATGCTTGCCAAAACTAAATAAAATAACAAAGCACTCAGAATAGTACTTTATATTAAACTGTATATGCAATTTACTTAAAGTTATGCATAGCACGTAATGATCAATAACTGTTATAAATTTTATTGTTGTTGCTGTTATCCTGTCCTCAGGGATGCCCGCACCAGGTGTCTTGTTGCTCAAGTGCTATCCAGGTGGTTTATACATCTGGACACCCAGGAGTGAAATTTTTTGTCTCAATATTGAACTTAAGGGTAATCTAAAGACTCCACATCTAGGTGACTGCCTAAATAGATATATGCACATATCCATTTAATCTGACATTTCTCCAGCTCAAAATCAAACAAGTGTAGAGCCAGGCCAGGTGGCTCATGCCTGTAATTCCAGCAACATGAGAGGACTGCTTGAGCCCAGCAGTTAGAGGCTGCAGTGAGCTATGATTGCACCGTTGTACTTGGCCCTATCTCTTAAAAAAAATAAAAATAAAAAATATTTAAACAGGGGTAGCCTTTTGTCTGTTTCTCTTTAAAGAGTGGGATAGGTGCTATTTCATCATTGGCTGCTTTTTTACTTATGTGAAGACCCTCAATAGGCAGATTCTTCTTCTAGTCTGTGGTAGGAAAAACAAAGAAAAATAAAACCCCCTCTTTCCTAAGCCTCCAGACCCCAATCATGAAACCAGAGTTTCCCTCAGGCAACAATGTCCCCACAAAGTTATACCCAAGTATAATTTTGCACAAAGTTATACCCAAGTATAATTTTGCACAAAGTTGTACTTGAAGCAACACTTCAAATCAAAGTCCCAGCGGCCAATTCTCTAATTCTTGCACCCTCCAGAGGCAAATATGAAAAACTTCAGACGCTTCCTCCAGTTCTTTTAGTTTGGGGAAACAAACTGGCATCTCTGACCCACACCTGACTAGAGAAGGTGGGATGGGTCAGTGGCGAGTGGGCACGGCTCTCGGGAGAGGGAAGGCAGCGATTCCAGGAGTCGGGGTCGCCTCGCTGCGATGGCAGGTTCAGCTTCGGTTCACTAATCGCAACCAGCCCCACCGCGGGAGACGGGGAGAGCCCTGGCTGCTGCAGGCCGGCACCTGGGTAGATGTTACCTTTTCCCGCACAGGGTCAGTCCACAGACGTGCACCAGCACCCCGGCGACCGGTCACAGCCTTCCCCTCGCCCCGGGCGGGCGCGGCCTCAGGGAGCCCTCAGGGCTTGGGGCCAGGACCATGGCCATCCACGCGCTTCGGCCTCGCACTCCCCGGGTATGCTGCGGGCCCTCTCCATCCGGGGAGGCGGGGTCCGGGGAGGACACATCCCCGGCCCGGCCTCTCCGAGAGACCCTTTGGATTTTTCTCTTCCACACCGCCTCATCCGAGGGGAGCCCCCCACCCCACACCCCGCAGTGATCTGGGGATGGGGAAGAGGGACGGGCGCTAGCGGTGGCGCTCCAGCTGGAACCGATCATGCCTATGTGGAGGTGGGGGATTTGAACTTTTATTTTATATGAAATTAATAAGGATAAACTGAGGAGGTAGAATATAACATCTTCTTTCATTCTTAAAAGAATGCATGGCTTTTAAATAAACGTAGCGGGACAAGAGAGACCCTAGGGGTAGCGTTGCCTTGGGTGCAAGTTTGAGAAGCGGCTATTAGGTACACAGGTGCTTCTTTCTAAATTCAAGTTACTGAAGCTAGACCCCGCGGCGCGCTCTGCGTCTGGGTCTAGGACACGCCTTCTAGCTGCGATCCACGTTGACCCCGCACAAGCCGAGGTGCGAAGGAGGATCGCAGACCTTCGCCCGGGTTAAACTCCTTTACCGAGAGACCGTGTAACCTGCATCTGGGCCCTCCTGGAGAAAACGGAGAGGCCTGGTGCATAAAAAGCCATTTGCAGAACGTTAGACAACTGGGCGGTAAAAGCAGAGGTCTCTCCTTGGGCTGTAGAATAAACCGCACTGATGGCTCAAGAGGCCCTAGAACAGTTCCTTCTGTTAGGTTGATTCATAAGTCATTGCTGTGTTGGTGGATCAACAGAATAGGCCCGGTTGCTTTAAATTTCCTGGGAAGTGAAGCTAAATATGCTTTAGTCATCTATAAGTAGTTACAATGCCATGAGCAACAGCCATGTAATGAACTGGTCATTAAGAAATGTAATGTTTTCTATAATTTTCACGTTTTTGTTCCATTAGAAAGGCCTCAGAATGGAATTATGCCAGAAATACATGAAAATATACATGATTTTATTAGACTTACCTAAAATATGTGGTTTATAAGGAAACTAATCTAAAACAGTAAATCTGTGAAAGCCACTGTTGCCTTTATAATTCAGCTTAATTTTTTTTAAAAAAGTTATGAATACAATCAAGATTTTTTTTCTAACTGGGGAAGGATAGAAGGATGGGTATAAGGATGCCCAAATCTCAAGATTTAAGCTGATTCTGAGTCTGATATAAATAATGATCATGAATTTAAGAACTATCTAGTCTTAAACATACACTGATTTAAGAACTATCTAGTCTTAAACATACATTGATTTTTGTTTTGTTTTGTTTTGTTTTGTTTTGTTTTGGAGATGGAGTCTTGCTCTGTCATCCAGGATGGAGTGCAGTGGCACGATCTCGGCTCACTGCAACCTCCACCTCCCGGGTTCAAGCGATTCTCCTGCCTCAGCCTCCTGAGTAGCTGGGATTACAGGTGTGTGCCACCACGCCCAGCTAATTTTTGTATTTTTAGTAGAGACGGGGTTTCACCATGTTGGTTAGGCTGGTCTTGAATTCCTGACCTGGTGTTCCGCCCGCCTTGGCCTCCCAAAGTGCTGGGATTACAGGCGTGAGCCACCATGCCTGGCCAAACTTACACTGATTTTTCTTATGCAAAATCAGCTCAGTAAAAATAAATAAAATTTTAAAACTGTTGGAACCCCCAAAAACACTTTAAGCCTTGACAAAGATATGGCTGATCTGAGTCACATATGGTTACAACTTCTGTTCTCAGATTATAGATTAACTCATTTTCTTGTTCTCTACAATGACTAGTGAGAATTAAACAGCATCAGGGACAAAAATCTCCTGCCTTCTTAATTCATGACCCTTGTTATAGATTAACTTCTCTCTTGTTGTCCTGCTTTGCTTAGACCAGATGAGAGAAAACTCAGGACTGTTAGACCCTCTGTTGTAAAAAAGTGTTATATGTACCTTTCCCAAAAAAGAACATTCCCATAACTAATCATATTGCTGTAACTATTTGCCAACGTTGTATGAATAATGTTGCAATCCTGCTAAAAACACCTCTGTCTCTGCCAATAGAAATGAAACCTTAACTTCCCTACTTGTGAATGCTTACTCCATTCCTTTGGAGTTGGTGTTTCCAGGTGGTCCATTCTCACACTTTGCACTTGAAAAAACTCTCTTTAAATTCGATTCTGATCTTTTTTATTATTTTAGATTGACAGCTCTGATCAATTAGATCACTCCCCTAGATACTATAATAGACTTCCCGCCCCCAACCAGAGGCTGTTCCCTGTCTCAGTGAATGGCACCAACTTGTCCACTTGTCCAAGACAGAGACCTAGGAATCATTTTTTATTCCTCCCCCATTCTAGTGGCTCTCAAATTCATTCTCTCTGTGGCTACCACAATGATCTTTATAAAATACAAATTTGTACACGTCACTCCTTTGCTAAAACCCCTTAAATGATTCCCCATTGACCAGAGGATAGTCCTAACCCCCTCATTAGGTTTTAAGGCTCCTTCTAGTTCACTTCATCACCTCCACCCCTTCCACCTGCTTCTTGCCTCTTTTTACTCTCTCCACCTCCTGCCATCCCTCCTTCCCAATGGCACTTGTGGTTAAATTGCTCCAATTTCTGCAAGGTACAGGAATGTCCCTTTGATCACTGAGCCTGAAACACCCTTCAGTCCTTTCTTCCCTGACAAGCTCCTTCTGCTCCATCAGATCTCTGATTAGATTATTTCCTGTAGGTAGCTTCTCAGATTCCCCACCTGCAAGTTCTTATAACCCCACCAGCCCTTATCACACAGTATTGTAATTACTTTTTCCTCCATTTCACCACTAAACTAAGCTACTGACCTGTGCCCAAAAGGAAGCTGCATTTGGAAAGAGCCTGAGCTTTCAACTCAGAGAGACCTGGGATCTAAATCCAGGTCTTGCATTTACAAGTTATGTGCACTTCAACAAATTTCTTAACCTGGCTGGCTGCATCTCAGTTTCCTATCTGTAAAGAAAGAGGATCATAATGAAAATTAATGAGACAATGTGTGTAAAGCATTTTGCAGGTAGCCAGGCACTTAGTAAATGCTCAGTAAATAGTAGTTACCAGTGGTAACCCTTCTGCCCTAAAGCTTCTCCCAGACTGGGCTCCTCCCAAGGGAGTGGACAGCTCTTGTCACACCAACTAGAGACAGATGAAGAAGAAGACTATAATTTTTCCTAACCCCAAAAAGATTCATATTAGCTGTATATATTCACAGAGGTTATTTGACTGGTCTGCTTCGTGCCTATTTATCTATCTGAACATGCTTCATGCCACCAGTATAATCAAAGAATAGCATGAAAGTATTTTGAACAAAATACAGCATTTTGAAGTGATATGTTCCTTTCTTATTATTTGTTGAAAAAAATGTGATTTTAAAACATTAAAATATTTGAAACTATCTTAGGGTTAAGGGACCATAAATAACTTAAAACAGCAAACCCTCACTTGTAGCCAAGATCATTGACATTTTCCTTTAGCATCCTTTTTACCAGAAAGGATAAGTTGTAAAACAAATTGTTAGGAATGTTACCACACTTTCTGCCACCATCTACTATGATAGTGATATAACTAAGCAAGTGAACAGCTAGTATGATAAGACAGGTCCCAGGAATCAGGAAAATCTGTATCTTGTATAACATAGCCTTAGATAATTAAGATTAGGGTTTTGTTTGTTTGGTCGGTTGTTTTTTGTTTGTTTGTTTGTTTACAATTTATCATATACATCTTAGACTAACAGATTATTAGAACTAGAAAATATATAGCATTCTGGAGAAAAGGAGAAAATTGAACACATACATACGTACTTTCACTACCTCCAAATTCCACAAAAATGATAGTAAAAAAAGGTGGTTGTAAAACACATAAGATAAGTATGGGAGAGGAAACATCGCAACAAAACTGTAAGCTGGAAAACAGTGGATGAGAGGAAACTTACTCAGACAGCTGATTTAGACCTCAATGCTAAACCTGCAGGAGAAAGCTAAAAAGCAACCCAGTTTCACTACAGAATCCAGGATGTCTCCGGAATAGGCAGCGCCAGATACCTCTGAAAGTAGGGACAAAACTAGGGCCATTGAAGGATTGGATTGGTTAGCTTAAGAAGCGATTAGAACTTCTGATCACTCATTGTCACTCAGTGTAGCAAATCAAATGCCTCTCTAACACCCCATCCAAACACTGGAGGTTTACTCACTTTAGATAGAAAAAAGAGTTTCTGGAGTAGGAGTTATTAGGCACAGTTGAGGGAGTATTATGCTGAACCCAGTCATATTAACAGAACATTGACATGCCGAATGTTGAGAAGACACCCCTTCCCTTCCAGTCTCTCTTCTTCAGCTCCAGAATGAAGAGAGCCAGCGCTGTGCATTTTAAGTAGGAAATGTAAAAATACTTCTCTAGGAAACATGAGTACTCCTAATTAATATATATTAAGGATACCCACAAAATGGCCCTGGCAAATCACCCTCCAGGAATCCCACAGTCAACAAGCTTAGAGCTCTTAAATATGAGCAAGTGGCCAAAGATCAGATATCTGAGGGAAAGCTATGGCATGAAAGAAACTAAAACAAAGGAATAAAGGGGAAAAGCAAATTAAAGAAATAGAGACCTCTGTAGGAAGAATAAGTCCTTAAATGACTATAATTAATGTATTCAGACAAGTAGGAAAAGTTATTTTATTCACAAGACAATAATAAGATGTTCTCTTTAAAAAAGAAATATTCTGGAAATCAAAAGTTCTTGGAAATCACATGTATAATAGTATAAATAAAAACTCAATAGAAGAGTTGGAAGATAAAGTTAAGAAAGTCTTCCAAAAGTAGAAACCAAAAATACATAGAGTTCTGCTTTGGCAGCATATATATTAAATTTGAATGATACAGAGAAGATTAGCATAGCCTGTTCCAAGGATGACACACAAATTCATAAAGCACTCCTTTAAAAAAAAAAAAACAGAAAGTAACAAGTGTTGGAAAGATTGTGGGGAAGCTGGAACCCTTGTGCACTGTGGGTAGGAATGTAAAACGGTGCAACCACTGTGGAAAATAGTATGGCAGTTCCTCAATAAATTAAACATAATTACTATATGATCTGGCAATTCCACTTTTGGGTATATTCTCCAAAGAATTGAAAGCAGAGACTCAAATAGATATTTGTACACTCGTGTTCATAGTAGCTTTATTCACAATAGTCAAAATGTAGAAGTAACCCAAATTTCCACTCACAGATGGATAAACAAAATGTGACATATACATATAATGGAATTTATTCAGCCTTAAAAAGGAAATCCTCACACAGGCTACCACATGGATAAACTTCGAAGACATTACACCAAGTGAAATAAGCCAGTCACAAAGAGACTAATGTATGATTCCACTTATATGAGGTACCTGGAGTAGTTAAATACATAGAGACAGAAAGTATAACAGTGGCTGCTAGGGGCTGGGAGCAGGGGTTAGTGAGGAGATATTGTTTTGTGGGTACAGGGTTTCAGTTTGGGATGATGAAAACATTGAGATGGATAGTGGTGATGGTTGCATGAAAATGTGAATGTGCTTAATTCCATCGAGTTATATACTTAAAATGGTAAATCTTATGTATATTTTACCACAGTAAAAAAACTGACACTTTAAGCATTAACTTAAGTGATATAGAGGCAAATATTAAAAGAAATAACTCAGAGTTGGAAGTGGTTTCTTCCAAGGATGGGAAACTGTCAGAGGAAGGGCTAATGTTTTTCAAAGAAGCTTTGTAAAACTATTTATCTCTTTAAATTATGTGCATGTAAAACCGTGGTAACAATTTTACAAATAACACTAATAATGAACTTGAAGACTGAGCATGATGAACAAGTAACACTAATAATGAACTTGAAGGCTGAGCGCGATGGCTCATGCCTGTAATCCCAGCGCTTTGGGAGGCCGAGGTGGGTGGATTGCTTGAGCCCAGGAGTTTGAGACCAGCCTGGGCAACATAGCAAAACTCTGTCTCTACAAAAGATATAAAATCAGCCAGGTGTGGTGGCATGCACCTGTACTCCCAACTAATAGGGAGGCTGAAGTGAGAGGATCACCTGAGCCTGAAGAGGTTGAGGCTGCAGTGAGCAGTGATGGTGCCACTGCACTCCAGTCTGAGCAACACAGAGAGACCCTGTCTCAAAAATAAATAAATAAAATAAACGAGATATTTTTAATTCCCTCAATTTCATGGGGAGAGTAGGACCTTTGGCCAAAGTAATCTAAAACAGCAAGTGGCAGAATAAAGACTTGAACCAATATGTTCTAAATCAAAGTTCAGCATCTTACCACCACAACGCATTGTAGTCTATGATAGCATCTTCCTTAGTACCCTAAAATAAACTTTTCTGGGTGTCCTGGCTTAAACCTTCTTAAATTACATTTCTTAATGTTTTATTAAATGCCTAATAATACTGCAGATTTTTCCATTTTTACCTAGCATTATTCATTAATACCTAATGACATTTTTTCTAATCCAAATATGCTTTTGAAATAATATACTTTTCCTGACTTTTTTCTCTATCTTCATACTTAAAATTGAATAGGTTTTGGGGTCCTATATTTAGAGTTGCTCCTTAAATAGTTGGAGAGACTTTGCTATTGCTGAATAAGATACTGTTCTTTATTTCTTTTCTTTCTTTCTTTTTTTTTTTTTTTTGAGACAGATTCTTGCTCTGTTGCCCAGGCTGGAGTGCAATGGCGTGGTCTTGGCTCACTGCAACCTCTGCCTCCCGGGTTCGAGCGATTCTCCTGCCTCAGCCTCCCGAGTAGCTGGGATTACAGGCATGCACCACCACGCCTGGCTAATTTTTGTATTTTTAGCAGAGATGGGGTTTCACCAGGTTGGTCAGGCTGGTCTCAAACTCCTGACCTAAAATGATCTGCCTACCTTGGCCTCCCAAAGTGCTGGGATTGCAGGCATGAGCCACCACATCTGGCCAGTCGTTTATTTCTTGGGTGGGATATTTTTGTACTGAGTCCAAAGAGCTACGTATGGTCACCTTTATGACAACAAAAGGCATTGCCAGTTCAATTCAACTCAAGTCACTAGTCTAATATTAATTTTAATGTTAATTTTTTCCATTAGAAATATGATATCATTATAAACAGCATTTAGACTAAGGAATGATATATAACTTACCATGCTTCAGACTTTACAATAAAGCCCTTATTTGCACAGCGCTTCCAACAATACTCCATTAGTTATCAGTTGAACATATACTAATGCACATCTATGAAATATTTTTTAAGGAACTGTGAGGACCTGTCATAAGCATATCCTCCAACACTGACAAAGTGCCTTTTCCCAGAATACTGTGCTTGATAAGTTATCCGTGTGAAAACTCTAAATAAGATCTATTATGCTTTTAAGATATCATCCCTTATCAAAATAGTGTAGATTACTCCGTATGGTTTCTCATCACATGTGACTGTTTCAACCAGGTTGTGTGCTTCTTGAGGGCAAGGTAGTACAGCACTACACACATAATAAGTGATCTTTAAGCATCTGTAATAAGTAATGAATCAGAGTATGGAATCATGGAAAGTTACAGCTGAAATGGGGCTTAGGGATCCATGGGCCTACCTACCTCTTTTCACAGTAAAGGAAATGCTAATGGATATTTGAATGTATATTTATGTGGGATATTTCATACGCATTTACTCACAACAGCCCCTCTAAATAGGTACTGTTATTACCCCATATTAAGATATTAAAAAGAAGATCAGACAGGTCAAGTAACGTACTCAAGGTCACATAGCTGGTCAGTGCTTACACTTGGACTGTAGCCAAGGTGATTGGAGTCCAGAGCCTGTGCTTTGCTAAAGTCTAGAGATAGATGTTAGCTCATTTACATGTGATCATATGGCTGGCTGCTAACAGAGGCAGGCCTAGAATTCAGATTGGTTGGCTGCCCAGAGCAAAAGCTTATCTTGGGACCCACTGATGCATATTTTAAGTTAAAAATAAGTTTCTGTGTAGGGATGCTCTTGGCTATAATTTCTCATTTTTATATAGCAAAGTTTGAAAAGACTACATGTAAATTACTCCTGCAAAATTGTCTCTCTGAAACATGTATCTCAGAGCTGAAAAAAGTTAGCATTGATTCGCTTCCATTTCTTAAATAAGGAAACCAGCTCAGAGAGATGAAGAGACAAATCCAAGACATCCCACAGCTAAGGGAAGGTGGGCAACTGGGACCAAGTCCCCTGCTTACTGGGGCAGAGCTGCCTCCGCCACATTCTGGTTCCATGTGTCAACAGAGTCTTCTATTGCCCATGCTCTATAAATCCATATTCCAGATATATCCTTCTGGAACTTTCCATTTCCCTAATTACTTTCATCACACTTCCAATCTCTGATTTACTCCTTATCTATTACTGTCTATAATATCAGACTCAATTTATGCACATCCTCAGATTAGCTCTTGCCATCTGCCCCCTGCCACTTGCTCAGTAGAAAGCTCTGGCCACTGCCACCATTGCCTCTCTGCCCAACACTGCAGGATATCTGTTCATTCTATGGGGGGCGGCCAGAGGCTGCATGGCCTCCCTTGGGCCCCACACGGGAGCAGCCATAACTGCTCCCACATCAAATCCAGCTTACAGACTCTCTGAGGCCCTGTGCTGTGCAGCACGGGATGTGGATTTCCCATCAGCTGTCCCAAGCAGTCAAATAACACGACAAAAATTGGGCAAACTTTGACCACTGAGAGACATAAGACAGGAAGGAACCAACATATAAGTTTCTTTCATTTCATTTCTTTCCCATGACTTTTCCATGGACAGCTTCAAGGCATAATGGTTTCATATAGCCTATCGGGAGACATCCTTGTAACCAAAATATCAGCTGCATTTTCTTTTGAAGCTTTTTCCAGTACAGTAACGTTCTACAACTCTCTCTGTATGGCCCCTCACTCTTGCTACCCTGGGGTTGCACTCCCCAATAAAACAATGGCAAGAACCCTTTACCCTACTCCTATCACAAAAGCTTCATAGCAATGAGTGAGTTTTGGAGGAATAAAACTCAAATTTAAAATATCTCTGGCTGGCCACAGTGGCTCATGACTATAATCCCAGCACTTTGGGAGGCCAAGGCAGGTGGATCACTTGAGGTCAGGAGTTCAAGACCAGCCTGGCCAACATGGTGAAACCCCGTCTCAACTAAAAATACAAAAATTAGCTGGGTGTGGTGGTGGGCACCTGTAATCCAAGCTACTTGGGTGGCTTAGGCAAGAGAATCACTTGAATCCAGGAGGCGGAGGTTACAGTGAGCCAAGATCACACCACTGCACTCCAGCCTGGGTGACAGAGTGAGACTCTCTCTCAAAAAAAAAATCCTTTCACAAACTCAATTGGCAATTGTGGTGGGTGAGCATTCTTTTCTGAGATCTCCTGAGTCCTGGCAAGGAGGAGAAGGGACACACAGAGGTTGGCAAGGAAGAGGTCAAGGGAACTGTAATACTCATCATTGATCTTCATTTCTTTCCTCCACTTTCAAACACTTCAGCTCTCAGCAGATATTTTTGGACCTAGGAGAGGAGGTCCTCAAGTGAGGAGAGGTCACGGATGTGTATATTCTTCTAGGATATCTAGAATATCTAGGCAATTAACTTAGAGTGTGGAATCTTTGGGTTGCTCTTAAATTCAATGCTGAGGGCCAGGTGCTCCCTCCCCTTTGAAAGCGAAGCTTTGCTACCCACTCTGATTCTGGAGGAGGGAAGAGATTTCACAGATGGGAAGGAAGAAAGACTTTGGAAAGGAGCTGGCAGCCCTGGAAGTTGAGCTAGTAGCACATGGCTCTGGGTGTCCAGCTATGAAGGGGACCTGGGCAGGACTCAGGCAATCAGGCATCTTGTATGGGCACCTCTGGTCAGGTTATAACTGCTACTATCTACTGAGCATTTTCTACAGTAAGCACTACTTTAAATGCTTTACAAGAGTTAACTTATGTAGTCCTTGCCACAAACTGTAAGATACGTAACATTATTATCTACATTTTATAACTAAGGAAGCTAAGACAAGGTAGCACAGGAAAGTTCAGTGACTTGCCCAAGCTCACTCAACTTGAAAGGGGCAAAGCCAGGATTCAAATCCAGTCAAACTGACTCCAGAATCTACTCTCTTAGCTATTGTAACACTGTAATACTGTCAGGGAAGCTGCGGAAACCCCAACCCATGGAGAGGACAGAGCAAAACCTTCTTCTGTGGTCATTGCTAAGCTATTGTCTCTCGGCTTCAAACATATCCTATACCTGGCTTGATGATGCTGTTGCTAGGGCTCTGCCAACCACATTTCAGCTTTGTCAACTGGCTTGTCTTTAGCCTTGCCAATGCGGGCTCCATGGAAGACTTGCAAGGCTGGAAGAGGAAGAAGGGGCTGTCTGCTTCCTATGGGCTTCTTGTTCCTCTCTATCTTCCTGCTTCCAGTAAGCAATATCCCAGCAATTCTTCTCCACCCTGCAGGGGCTGTGCCTTTCTGTAGCAGCAGCTAAATTCAGTTTACAGTTTTTCAGCATTTATAGAACCCACCTTCATAACATTCTCATCAGAAACGTCCAGCACTAACTGGCTGAAGGTCCCTCCTTAGAGATTAGGGTCCCAGTCCCCAGGCCCCCTCCTCTGAACTCAGAAACGCCAGTTCAGCTGAACAGACCTCCTCCTCAGAGACCTGAGTTTCAACTCCATGGGTCCCTATTCTAAATTTGTAAGTTTTCATCATTTCAACCTCTTTTCTTTGTTTCCTCAGTCCTAGGGGTGGTAGAGTCACTTCCTGCTGTTGCCACTTCCATGATACAGAGTTCTTCTTTTGTCTTTTACCTAGTCAACAATTATTCATATGAAATTTTCTAAGTCAAAATAACTGTTGTGTTTTCTCCTTCTTGACTAGACCCTAACAAAACAAATATACCATCTTATGGTTAATCCTGGCACTTGAATTTGCATCAGAGTTTAATAATTTATCAATAGCTCGTGAGATATTGCCAAAGTTGGGGGAAGGTATGTGTGGAATAAACCCAGCCAGTAAAAATTCTGGGAAAACAAACAGATTCAGATCAATTTACAATGTGACATCCTCAAGAAAATAATGCTAAATTCCTCACACCTGCCAATGTTTCATCTTACACAACAATGATATTCTGTCTTCACCTTTTATTAAATCAATACTGGAGACAGATTCAAGTATCTGTTGTCAATAAAGGTCATGATAGTCTTATGGAAATTGAGAGGATTTCAAAAATGTATATATAATGGAGAGCAAGATCTTGCCCTGTGACAGACTTCTCAATGACATCTTTATCTTCCTACCACATAGGAATCACTCAGCTAGGCTAGCTATTTTTGTAATGATGGGGAGTGGGAAATACTCTGGAGTAGGTAGCAAAGTACTTGGGTTCTAATCCCATCTATGCCATTTCATATTAACTTGGTGCCCTTGGGAAAAGCACTAACTTCTCTGAACCTCAGTTTCTTTATTTCAAATGAAGTTATTAATACTACTTACTCTGCCTCCTTTATAGGCTTATTCAATTCACTATTTATTCATCATCCATAGGCAAGATGTGTGGTAGGTATCCGAGGATTTAGATAGAAAAGTAAACTACAGGTCGGGCATGGTGGTTCATGCCTGTAATAAGCCCAGCACTTTGGGAGGCTGAGGCGGGCAGATCACTTGAGGCCAGGAGTTCGAGACTAGCCTAGACAACATGGCAAAACCCCATCTCTACTAAAAATACAAAAAATTAACTGAGCATGGTGGCACGTGCCTGTAATCCCAGCAACTCAGGAGGCTGAGGCACAAGAATCGCTTGAACCCCAGAGGCGGAGGTTTCAGTGAGCCAAGATGATGCCACTGCACTCCAGCCTGGGCAACAGAGCAAGACTCTGCAAAAAAAAAAAAAGAAAAAAAAAAGAAAGAAAAGTAAAATACAGTCCCTGCCCTAAAGAAGTTTACAATTCATTATTTCTTTATGCGTTCAACAGTTATGAAACACTATCTGTCAGGCACTGTGCTAGGAGCTAAGAATACAGTGATGTCTAAAGTATGATTCCTTTATTCAAAGAGATTACAGTCTGTACAGCAATAAGACAAGGGTGCAGATAACTAGAACAGGAGGCAGAGTGTACAAGAAGGAGATGAAACTAATCAGTTAAAGAAACAGAGGACGTACACTGAGTTGAGAGGGTCAGGAGAGGCTTTGTAGATCTGGTGTCATTTGAACAGACTATGGACACAAACTTAATGAAGGAAAGGCAAAGGGAGTAACTAAAAAAACAAGCTTCATGAAAGCCTAGAGGCCAGGCATGGTGGCTCATATGTGTAATCCCAGTGCTTTGGGAGGCTGAGGTGGGAGGATCACTTGAGGCCAGCAGTTCAAGATGAGCCTGGGCAATATAGCGAGACCCTTTCTCTATAATTTTTTTTTTTTTAATTAGCCGGGCATGGTGGCATGCACCTCTATAGTCCTAGCTATTCAGAAGGCTGAGGCAGGAGGATCACTTGAGCCCACGAGTTTGAGGTCATGGTGAGCCAAGATTGTACCACTGTATTCCAGCTTGGGCAACAGAGCAAGACTTCATCTTAGGAAAAAAAAAAATCCTGAAGTGGAGTGGAGTTAGTGGAAATTAGAAAGAAAAAATGAATATAAGTGATACTAGATGAACAGTGCTCAAAAATCCATATAGGGCAATTATAATAACAAATGAGTTACTGTTGAGGATATAGTAATGGATAAAGCAGATGTGTGGTCTGTTTTCAAGAAGCTTTTGATTAGTTGAGATATGAAAAAGTTTTGAAGTTTCCTTAGTATGGTCTGTCTTAAAATATAGTGTATTGATAGAAAATTTGAGGTTCCATAAGGCCAACAGATTGGGAGACTATTGCCAGTGAAAAGATGGCTTCGTTTTACTCACAGATCCCAGGAAGAAGGGAGGAAGGGGCATACCATGTCTCACAATGGAGTCGGGGGAGACACAGGGAAGCACCAGGGTTGGTCAGGAGGCAGAGATAGGGGGAAATTGTGGGCAAGAGCTTTTATTACGATTTCCACAGGCAGGAAGAGATGACACAGGGTAACCAGGTTTAGGATTGGCTAGTTTGAATAATTTCAGCAGGCTCTGGAGCATAGAGACTGGCCTAATTGTCTAGCACTTGGCTCTGGAGTGATTGGGGCAGATGGCCAGGAATATGAGATAAAGAAGGTAGAGGGGGTATGGGATCTGGATTGGTTGGTTTGCAGCTGAAAGTTATACTTTCAGGTGAGGTATTTACTAGCTCTAGAAATTAACAAACTCTGGGAGGGGACATCGCTTCAGGGTCAGCAAGGCCCCAGATGTCCAAGCATCAGATTACAGAAAATACAAGACATAGTTAATACAGCCTCCTTAAAATAGGGGAGCGTATTCAGCTTTGTATCCCTAGCATCCACCATAATACTTTGCACATGAGTGTTGGTTGGATGATCAGATTAATAAATCCCCTCTTTGACTCTTTAACTCTGTTAGAGTTTGACAACTCATCCTTCAGTTCTCAGCTGGGTGGTCACTTTCTTAGGGAGGCCCTCTCTGATTCCTTAGACAAAGCAAGTTACCACTGTCATGGACACATCGATGCACCGCCCCAACACCCCTTCAGTGAAGGAGGGCTGACAGACAGCCTTCAGTAGGTTATGCATAAAGCTAAAAAGGCAATCCTTTTAAAAATTAAAGGTACTTTTAAAACAGAAAATGAAAGGTGAATGAGTGGTTATTTTCTTTGTGGCAAGGCTACTTTATATCATAATTAGTATTGTTTCAACTTTGAGAGGCAGAAATCCAACCCAAACTTACTTAAGAAAAAGAATTTATTGGTTTATATGACTGGAGAGCTATCTTCAGGCATGGCTGGATCCAAGGGGTCAAATGATGACATCAGAATTCTCTCCATCCTCATTTACCTCACATCTATTTCTCTCTCTGTGCATGACCTCATCTTTTTCTTTTTTTTAACTGAAAATAGCCTCCCTCTCTGTCACTGGGGACAATGGCATCAAGCAGCTTCTGTTTACCTTATACTTACAGCTCTCAATCCAGTAAGAAGATAAAGATCATCATTGTTTTCACAGAACCTGTATAAAATTTCAGAGGACATTTATATCAGTCAGGATCCATTCTAGACACAGAAACCACATTGGTTATCTGAACAGGAAAAATTTAACAAAACAATTTTTAACCAGAGCAGTAGAAGATGGTTCAGTAAAAGTTAACATCCCCTGCAACTTTTTTAAATAAGTGACCAAAACACCACACACACACAAGGACGCTATTGAATCCAGAAACAGCAGGTACGAAAGAGCAGCTACTAATTGTAGGCTCAGGATGAATTAACAATAAAGGAACCAAGGACTAAAGGAGCCCTCTCCTTTGAAGGATGAGGCTGAGACCCCTTTGAAAATGATGTGGCTAATGCAGGAGCCAGAAGCCTGCTGGTGGTAAGTCAATTTGCCATAGGTCACAGACCACAGCCAGTCTATAGAAGCAGCTTGCAATTGAAGGAGGGTGTGGACAGACTGCAACTTGTCTGTTGAAGCAGCCCACTGCTGCCTAAGGGTGTGGCTGAGCACGGCTGCTGAAAAGTGGTTGCAGATGGGGAGCACATGGCCTGAGGATACAACTAGAGCTCACTGGTGCAGCCCCTGGGCTCCCACCCGAATTAATAAGAACAATAATGTTATACATTTAATATGCAACATTTTATATATATATATATATATATATATATATATTATAATAATAATAATGTAGGACCAGGACCTGGAAAGGAAGATTCTTCTGCTGCTATTGCCTTGCAGGGACACCCCATTGTTCTCGATTGGTGCAGTTTAACATTCCACTAGCAAGCACGGGAGAAATGTTTACAGGGCTCAGTTCCAAGATCCCAAAGCAAGGAAAAGAAGGATGGGTTTGAAGCTGGGAGACGGTAAGTTAGGCACAGTCCTGCTTGGGTCATATACACAGCCCTGAACCAATCACCGTGACTAGGGGAAGGAGGACTCTGATTAGCTAAGTCCAGGCCAGATTCATGCATAAGCAAGGGGCAGGAGGAACAGCTCCACCTCTACACGTGGAATGGCTTCTTCATAGAAAAGATGGATTCTTCTACCAGAAAAAAGGAAGAGTGCTAGGCAGAGGAAAACAATAGATATCCTTTGTATATTATATGTTGACCTTAAAATGTCTGGTTCTATTTGAGGTTGTTAGTATAAGAAAGGGAAAATTAAAGCTTTCCTTTAAGACCAATGAAACTGTGTTCATTCTTTCATTTAAAAGATGGTTATTATGAGAAGAGTGCATCCTTATCAGTTCTGAACTCCTGGCATCTTTGTGCATGTAGGCAAAATTGAAAGGTCTGGCTGGGCATTCAATGCCTATAATCCCAGCACTTTGGGAGGCCGAGGCAGGAGGATCACTTGAGCCTAAGAGTTCAAGACCAGCCTGGGCAACATGGCAAAACCCCATCTCTACACAAAAACACAAAAATTAGCCAGGTGTGGTAGCATGTGTCTATATTCCCAGCTACTCTGGAGGCTGAGGTGGGAGGATCACCTGATTCCAGGAAGGTCAAGGCTGCAGTGAGCCACAATCAGGCAACAGAGTGAAACCCTGTGAAAGAAAGAAAGAGAGAAAGAGAGAGAGAGAGAGAGAGAGAGAGGGAGGGAGGGAGGGAGGGAGGGAGGGAGAGAGGAAGGAAGGGAGAAAGAAAGAGAGAAGGAACGATCTAAAAATGAAAGAAAAGACAGTCAAATAAAAGGTTAAGATAAGAAAATGGTAACTTGGCCAGGCATGGTGGCTCATGCCTGTAATCCCAGCATTTTGGGAGGCGGAGGAGGGCAGATCATGAGGTCAGGAGTTCGAGACCAGCCTGGCCAATATGGTGAAACTCTGTCTCTACTAAAAATACAAAAATTAGCTGGGCGTGGTGGCACGCGCCTGTAGTCCCAATTACTCGGGAGGCTGAGGCAGAAGAATCGCTTGAACTCAGGAGGCAGAGGTTGCAGTGAGACAAAATCACGCCATTGCACTCCAGCCTGGGTGACAAAGCGAGACTCCATCTCAAAAAGAAAAAAAGGAAAAGAAAATCATACCTTTATTTAATGATTAAGATGTCCAGAGAAAATATGTGTACAATTTTTTTGACAACTTTTTTTCTTTTCTTCAATGTTTAAGTTCAGGGGTACATATGCAGGTTGTGCACGTTTGTTACATAGGTAAACATGTGTCATGATGGTTTGCTGCACAGATCATCCCATCACCTAGGTAAAAAGCCAAGCACCCATTAGCTATTCTTCCTGATGTTCCGCCCAACCCCCCACCTCTGAAAGGCCCCAGTGTGTGTTGTTTCCCTGCATGTGTCCATGTGTTCTCATCATTCAGCTCCCACTTATAAGTGAGAACATGCGGTGTTTGGTTTACTGTTCCTGTGTTAGTTTGCTGAAGATAATGGCTTCCAGCTCCATCCATGTCCCTGCAAAGAACATGATCTCATTCCTTTTTATGGATGCATAGTATTCCACAGTGTATATGTACCATATTTTCTTTATCCAGTCTATCATTAATGGGCATTTATGTTGATTCCATGTCTTTACTATTGTGAATAGTGCTGCAGTGAACATACACATGCATGTATCTTTATAATAGAATGATTTATATCTCTCTGGATATATACCCAGTAATGGAATTGCTGGGTCAAATGGCATTTCTCCCTCTAGGTCTTTGAGGAATCACTACACTGTCTTCCACAATGGTTGAACTAATTTACACTTCAACCAACAGTGTAAAAGCATTCCTTTTTCCCCACAACCTTGCCAGCATCTGTTGTTTTTTGACTTTTTACTAATAGCCATTCTGACTGGTGTGAGGTGGTATCTCATTGTGGTTTTGATTTGTATTTCTCTAATCATCAGTGATATTGAGCTTTTTTTCATATGTCTGTTGGTAGCATGTATGTCTTCTTTTGAGAAGTGTCTGTTCATGTCCTTTGCCCACTTTTTAATGGGGTTGTTTGTTTTTTTCTTGTAAATTTGTTTAAATTCCTTGTAGATTCTGGATATTTGACCTTTGTCAGATGAATAGATTACAAAAATTTTCTCCCATTCTGTAGGTTGTCTCTGATGATAGCTTCTTTTCCTTGCAGGAGCTCTTTAGTTTAATTAGATCCAGTTTGTCAGTTTTTGCTTTTGTTGCAACTGCTTTTGATGTTTTCATCATGAAATCTTTGCCCAATGTGTACAGTTTTTTTGAGATGGAGTCTTGCTCTGTTGCCCAGGCTGGAGTGCAGTGGTGCAATCTTGGCTCACTGCCAGCTCCACCTCCCGGGTTCATGCCATTCTCCTGCCTCAGCCTCTCGAGTAGCTGGGACTGCAGGTGCCCACCACCACGCCCGGCTAATTTTTTTTTTTTTTGTATTTTTAGTAGAGATAGGGTTTCACTGTGTTAGCCCAGATGGTCTTGATCTCCTGACCTCGTGATCCACCCACCTCAGCCTCTCAAAGTGCTGGGATTACAGGCGTGAGCCACCGCACCCCACCAATGTGTACAAATTTTTTTAGCAAATTTTTAACGACTACTTATGGTCAAATTGGAACAAACCAGTAGATATAGTAGTTAAGAGCACAAACTGTAGCATAACACTGCCTGCATTCAAATCAGCTCTACTAAAATGTGACATTGGACAAGATATAACTGGTAACTTGTGTCTAAGTTTCCTCATATGCAAAATTTGAACAATAATACCTATTTCATGGGACTGTTTAAAAGATTAAATAAAATAACATCAGTAAAGCTCTTAGAACAGTATCTGGCAAGTAGTTAGCACTATATGACTGTAAGGATCATTATGAATTGGTTGTTATAGCTATTATGATGATGAATTGGTTATTATTAGTTGGATATCAAGTAATATAATTTTCACTCCATTTGCTAATTTGAAATCCCCTTATCTCCAAAATTAGGAAAAAGCTTATTTTAAAAGCATCTAACTGGTATATATATGTTGGCACCCACAAAACAGGACATCCTATAGGAATAGTTTTATTCTTTTTTCATTACCTTATGATATTGAAGTAGCCTCTTCATAAACATAAATCATATTTCATAGAACCAAAAAACAAAAAACTTGTTATTGGTATTATCCTATAGAATATGGAGGAAAATACAAATCTTTTCTTTATAAGCTTTATTTAAATATTCACAGACTTGCATGAAAACACAATCTTCCTGAAAATCTATTTGTGTATATATTTTTTCAGAAGAATGTGGTTTTTTTTCTCATGAAGTACTTTTAGGATTTCTTTTATTTTTTCCATTTAAAAGGAAACTGCCTCTGTAAAACCAATGTTTTAAAATCACACCAGAACATTCTGAGCAAGAGATGTACTCCAGCTCTGGCTGAGTCAGAGAAACCCATAATGAGGACTCTGGCACTGACTATGAGCCTCTGAGGCCTTACTACTGTGACACATTCTGCAATATTAGTGATAAACTGATGTCTGAGGTATCAGGCATCTCAAATCCTCATCAGCGAATACTACAATGTCAGGCAAGAGTGGTCACAAAAAGAAGCAACTATATTTCTTTTCCTTTCACAGATAGGGCTGGTTCTTTATTAACTCTTACAATCGAGTTGTGGGATTACAAATATCCATAACCAAATGGAAACAAGAGAAAACACCTCACAAAGTATACCCACTTGAAACCCACCCTAAATCATCATAGTGTGCACAGACAGGCACTCACATGCATATACACACACTCACAAAACGTTCCTAAACTATAGTCACCAAAGAAGTATGAGATTAAGTAAAACTCATATGATACAATAATAGAGTGTTTGTATGTAATAGAAGATTAAATATTTGGATAACAATACTGTCTTGATTCCTACAAATAAATTTAAGCAATACAATACAGAACTGGCATTTTCCAATCTCATATGTAATCACACATAAAAAGATATCAAGTTCAGGACTCTATTAATAAAGAAGTTTTAGTTACAGCAATGTTTTATTACTAAACATTGATTTAATAATAGTTAGCTTTAATTCCTGAGCTTGTGATTTCAATGTTACTTAAGACATTATTACCAAGGGTGGAAGCAACCAATGTGGATCAGAGATGTATTATTTTCCTTGTTGGGCTTTAAGGAGGGCTACCATGTTGCCATAGAAAGCTCTGTTTCCTCAAGACAACCCACAGAGCAGGAGAAAATCTTCACAATCTATACATCCGTCAAAGGACTAATATCCAGAATCTACAAGAAACTCAAACAAATCAGCAAGAAAAAAGCAAACAATCCCATTAAAAAGTGGGCTAAGGACATGAATAGACAATTCTGAAAAGAAGATATACAAATGACCAACAAACATATGAAAAAATGCTCAACATCACTAGTGACCAGAGAAATGCAAATCAAAACCACAGTGCAATACCACCTTACTCCTGCAAGAATGACCATAATCAAAAAATCAAAAAATAATAGATGTTGGTGTGGATGTGGTGAAAGGGGAACACTTTTACACTGCTGGTGTGAATGTAAACTAGTACAACCACTATGGAAAACAGCGTGGAAAGTCCTTAAACAATTAAAAGTAGAACCACCATTTCATCCAGCAATCCCACTCCTGGGTTTCTACCCAGAGTGAAAGAAGTCATTATACGAAAAAGACTCTTGGGCATGCATGTTTATAGCAGCACAATTGGCAATTGCAAAAATATGGAACCAGCCTAAATGTTCATCAATGAATGATTGGATAAAGAAATAATGGTATATATATACCATGGAATACTACTCAGCCATATAAAGGAATGAAATAATGTCATTCGCGGCAACCTGGATGGAATTGGAGACCATTATTCTAAGTGAAGTAACGAAGGCATGGAAAACCAAACATCGTATGTTCTCCCTCATAAGTGGGAGCTAAGCTATGATGATGCAAAGGCATAAAAATGAGACAATGGACTTCAGGGACTCAGGGAAATGGTGGGAGGGGAGTGAGGGATAAAAGACTACACATTGGGTACAGTACCGCGTACACTGCTCAGGTGATGGGTGCATCAAAATCTCAAACATCATCACCAAAGAACTTATTCATGTAACCAAACACCACCTGTTCCTCAAAAACCTACTGAAATAAAATAATAGTAATAATAATTTTAAAAAGAAAACTCTGTTTCCTCATAGATAAAATGAGGACAATGATATCTACGTCTTAGCTTTGTTGGAAGATTAAATGGAACAATGTATATTTTAGAGGCCAACACACAGAGCCTGTCATTGATAGTGCTGGTAAATAGTATTTCTCCTCCTGTCCTAGAGGTCACTCAAGGACTTAGTGATGTGAGGCCATACATAACCGCCTAAGCCAAAAAGGCTTTGGAATGTGGGCCTAAAAGAAGACACGGAAGTTGGGGCCCAGCCCTTATTTGCATAGTGTTTTCTACTACGTCCTTATGCACCTGAAGAGCAGCCCTGAGAAGAACTTTGGTTTAGCAAACTCCCAACAAGGCCAACTCTGTAATTCCAGAAGAGCAATTAACTACCTTAGCTATGAACTCTGTACAGACCTATTATTCGAGTAATTTGTGAATGTGCAAAGGGGATTCCTATTATCATTTGCTCATATGATGATCCTATTACTTATGTACAGATAGCGGACTTCCAGATTTCTTAAGCAAATAAATAATTCTATGGTTGCAAAAAATGTGAAAATTTTGAAGACCAGGTTGGGAAGTGATTAATGCAAGATTCCAAAACTGAAAATTAAAAGAAAAAGTATTCTTTCTCTCTGAAAACAAAATTAATAAGGATAAAATAGGTCTGGACTATTTTTAGACTTAGAAATGATAGTTGACCCCTTTAATTGTGGATATTTTAGAACCTAGGCTTCAGTTTCTCAATTAACTCAAAGTTTAATCTATAGATCTTATATGCAAGAAGGTCTTTTCTTCTAAGTATCTAGTCTTCCTCTATACCATCAGGGCTACATCCATATAAACTGAGGCCTCCCCAGCCATGCTTCATCACTTAATCAGATGGTGAACTAGCTGAGCCTCACTAGTGCAACAATAGGTATTAAAAAGTCCTTTCTTTTAGGAAACACACTTGGGGGACATTGGGGTTCTTAAAATGAGTCTTTCCAGAAACATACCATTTTGCCACAGTTTCCTCTTTATCCCCACTGATAATTCTATTGCATTTCAGAAAATAAATTTACAGACTAGAATAATCTTTAGCTGTGAGGAAAAAATATTTTAATAGCTCTATTAAACATCTTATGGAACTTTTTTGGATATATTTGTTACTTTTCAATAACCTCTTGTTTTGATGTTAGTTTTCAAAGATCTGATATTTTATTCCTCTTAATTAACAAAGAAATCAAGGTCTCTAAAAATTTTCCTTTTTTCACTTTTAGTGAATTATCTTTTGTACTACTTTTAAAGTTGAATCCTTTGAATTATTTAACTTAGGTAATGTTTTGATAGATTGTAGAATTATTGAGAACCTTAAGAAAAACATTTATTAGCATTTTAACATGACTTTTTTACTTTTCCCTTTGACTCTTATGGTTTGGGTCTGTGCCTCCACCAAATCTCATGTAAAGTTGTAATCCCCATGTGTTGAAGGTGGGGCCTAGTGGGAGGTGATTGGATCATGGGGATAGTTTCTAATGATTTAGCACTATCTCCCTAGTGCTGTATCATGATAGAGTTCTCACAAGACCTGATTGTTTAAAAGTGTGTAGCACCTGCCCCTTGTTGTGCTCTCTCTCTCTCTCAGTCTTTCTCTCACCATGTAAGATGTGCCTTGCTTCCCCTTTGCCTTTCACTGTGATTGTAAGTTTTGTGAGGCCTCCCCAGCCACGCAGAACTGAGTCAATTAAACCTCTTTTCTTTGTAAATTACCCTGTCTCAGATAGTTGTTTATAGCAGTGTGAAAATGGACTAATACAACTGTCAAACAAATCGATATAAGAATATTCAAACCAATGGCATATAGTTTCTGAACATACTTACTTGATGGCACACATTTCATTTTGGAACTACAAAGTCACTAGGTCAGTTCCTGAACTTCTGATTTCAATGTTACTTAAGACAATACTGGAATACATACACATTCTTTTCTTAAGAACCTAAAGAGAAAGTTGCAGTAGTTTCTCCAGAAGTACATCTGAGACTCACAAATTAAGACCAATTCCCCTCTATCTGTAAGGATATAGCACTACCAAATCAGCTATGCAAAGTATTTCCAAAAAGTCATTACAAGACTTTTTGATTTACTTATTTGTTCTTTAGTAAACATTAACAAATAAATGAATAAATGAATGCAAGAATGCCCATTATATGTAAGTCACTACAGCCCACATATCTTGGATATGTAGTAAGAGAAAAAGCATGGTTTCTCACCTCATGAAACTTGTAGTCTAGCAGGTAACAAAACATGATAAAAAGAATCATGAAAATAATTATCTAATTACAATTTCAGTAACAATATTGTTGATGAGTTCCTGAGTCATATGATTTTTTTTTTCTCCATATGAAGATGAAAACACATAGGAAATACTTTTTTTCTTTTGCTCTGTCACCCACACTGGAGTGCAGTGGTGCGATCTCAGCTCACGGCAACCTCCACCTCCCAGGTTCAAACGATTCTCCTGCCTCAGCCTCCCGAGTAGCTAGGACTACAGGCACATGCCACCACGCCCGGCTAATTTTTTGTATTTTTAGTAGAGATGGGGTTTCACCATGTTAGCCAGGATGGCCTCAATCTCCTGACCTCATGATCTACCTGCCTCAGCCTCCCAAAGTGCTGGGATTATAGGCATTAGCCACTGTGCCCGGCTGGAAATACTTTTTTAAGTGTAAAATCTGAAAAATAATTTCTCCTCAAAAACGTATCTCCTATCATGGGAGGCCATTTATTCATTCCCTAGGTGGATGTAGAAAGCCGTTGTGACATATTGACTCCACTTTCCATCTTTCACATTCAATTGTGTGCCACTGCTTACTGATTTTATTATCAGATGTATCTTACATTCATCCTCCTTTCTCCATTTCCATATCCAAACATAGTGCTACTTGATATGGTTTAGATTTGTGTTCTGACCCAAATCTCATGTTGAATTGTAATCCCTAATGAAGGAGGAGGGACCTGGTGGGAAGTGATTGGATCATGGGGGCGGATTTCACCCTTGCTATTCTCACGATAGTGAGTTCTCATGAGATCCGGTTGTTTAAAAGTGTGTTGTACTTCCTCCTTCTCTCTCTTCCTCCTGCTCCAGCCATGTAAGACTGTGGATCCTTCCTCTTCACTTTCTGCTATGATTGTAAGTTTCCTGAGGCCTCCCCAACCATGCTTCCTGTACAGCCTGTGTAACTGTGAGTTGATTAAATCTCTTTTCTTTGTAAATTACCCAGTCTCAGGTATTTCTTTATAGCAAGATGAGAATGGACTAATACACTAGTCCTTTGGTCACCTTGCTCAAATTGTTTTCATAGATTCCCAGAATCACAAACAAAATAGGAGGATATTAAAGGTCGGAAAAGATCCTAGAGAATATTCTTCAGATGAGGAAACTGAGGCTCAGAAAGGCAAATGTCTCACCCAGGACTCCACAATTCAGCCTAGCTACAGGCATGTCAAGTTTTTCTTTAGAGCAGCCATGGTAGACACTGTTGGTTATCTGCTCATAGCTATTCCCATCCCTTTCTTCTTTGTTAGAAAATCCCACCTCCCATGATAGCAGTCAAAAAAGACAAATACCATTATGCATCACTTAATGATGGGGATATCCTCTGAGAAATGCACTATTAGGCAATTTTATCACTGTGCCCACATAATAGAGAGTACTTACACAAACCTAGATGGCATAGTCTACTACATACCTAGGTGGGCTATATGGCACAGCCTATGGCTTCTAGGCTACAAACCTATGCGGCATGTACTGTACTGAATAGTGTGGGCAATTGTAGCACATGGTAAGTATTTGTGTAACTAAACATATCTAAACATAGAAAAGGTATTGGGTTGACATCGTGGGGGCTATGACGTCACTGGGTCATAGGAATTTTTCAGCTTCATTATGAGATGATGGGATCACCATCCTGTATGCAGTCTATTGTTGACTGAAATCTTGTTATGCAGCATATGACTGTACTTGCTTTCCTAGGGATGCCATATGATCCATTTATGGCCACTGAGATGTAAAGGAAAGTCTGCTTGATGGTTTTTGAAAAAGATTTTTCTTCCTCATGAAAAGAAATATAAAAGAGCCACCTCTCCTACTTTCTGTCTTTGGATCTGAACCACACAGCCTCAGGACAAAAAAGCCAACATCTGAGGAAGGTAGATCAGAAGAATGGAAAGCATTTGGGATCTTTATCTATGAGTCCTGAGCTAACTCTTGGGACTGCCTACCTGCAGACCTTCTATTACATGAGATTATTTATATCTTTATGTCATATATTCTGTTACTTGCAGCTGAGTGCACCCTGGATGTATGACTGCTTTATTTCTTCATTTTCTATCTACCCCATTGAGCTCCATAGAGCAAGGAATTGGCCTATTTTTTCATTGCCGTATCACCAGTTCTTAGAAAAGAGCCTGGTACATGGTCAATTCTTAATAAATGTCTGTTGAAGGAATAAATGAATGAAAGAATGAATGTCAATAACCTTAATTGGCCCTCTACTTCTGTAGAATAAAGTCCAAAGGCTTAGCTGGTATTTAAGGCCCTTCATGATCTGGCCCCAATCTATCTTTCCAGGCTAATCTTTTACCTTCACATACCCTACAACTCAGAAAAGCTGGGCTATTTCCTGTCCTTCCAAATATCCGGTCTTAGTCCATCTGTGCCACTATTACAAAATACCACAGACTGGGTCATTTATAAGAAACAGAAATGTATTTCTTACAGTTCTCCAGGCTGGCAAGTTCAAGATCAAGGCACTGGCAGGTTCAGCTATCTGGTGAGGGCTGCCTCCTCCGGATGGGAAGAATGTTGTGTCTTCACATACCAGAAGGCAGAAGCGCAAGTCAGCCAAACCTGCGTGAAGGCTCTTTTATAAGGGCCTTAGTCCTATTCAGGATGGAGTAGCCCTCATGGCCTACTCACTTTTTAAGGGCCCCACCTCTCAATACTATCACATTGACAACACCTGAGTTTTGGAGGGGGCCCATTCATACCATAGCACAGCCCTCATGCTTTTTTGGCTCCCTGGACTGGCATGTGCTTCTCTTCCACCTCTCTACTTTTCTCTCATTCTTCAAGCTCCAGATCTTCTCTCATAGCACGTTCTCCAATACCTTTCAGGTATAAATGCCTTTTCTATTCCGTGTTTCCTTCTCCTTTGTGCCTTTATCACTCTTACACATTTATGATAACTGTTTGGTGTACTAATCTCCATTAGATTAGAAGTTCCTTGAGGCTAAGAAATTCACCCTCCTAATTTCTATGCTTTCCCCTAGTAGGTGGCTAATACATTTTTGTGAGTGGAGGCATAAATACTATTAAATTGAGCCCATTAAAAATTTCCATTTTAAAAATAATTTAGACCCAGGAATTGGTGCAGACTGTCATGGAAGCAAAGATCAGGAGGCGAAGGAAGGGAGGGAAAGAGACTTGTTGGAAGTGTTAGGAGCAAGCACAAATGTCTTTTCTCTTGCCGATGATAGAAAAGTTCTTAATGGAAGATGATCCCAATCAATAGAGCCAGACAGCTGATTTATATAATGGCATCAAGCTGAAATCGTGGTCTTTGCATAGTGTTGTGAAAGGGGAAGAGGCTACCAAGACTGGAATAGCCAGGGGACTCCACAAGTAGATCTATGAGTATCAGTCGGTGGTCGTAAATATGTTTCCCTACCAGCAAGCCACAGAGGAGCTCCAGAGAGCAGCCTGCTTGAGGCTGGTCGCGGAAGACTGACGGTGGGGCTAGTGAGGCTGCTGTATTTTGGCTGCCGCCGCCGCTGCTGCCACTGGGCAGATACCGCAGTGAGGGGTCTGACCGCGCTGAGTGCTCTCGGGAATCTGGGCTCTGGCTAGGAATGAGAAGTTAAGAGAGGGAGGGCTGAGAGGTGGGCAGGACTCACCAAGGAGCTGCAAACCCAAACGAGAAATCTAGGGAGCAAAAGGAGAGGAAAGAGTGAGCTTGAGCCAAGACATCAGGCCAAGTGGAACTGGAGGAAATGTCATCATTGGTAAAGGAGGACTTGGAGAAGAAACTGTTTAAGCCACTCTCGCAGAATCTGTACGAGTTTATTGAAATAGAGTTCTCCGTCCAGGACAGGTATTACCTCTGTGTGTCAGGTAATCTGTTCCTTCTGTTATCATTTCAAAAAGCAAGTCACCCAAAGATGCTTGGATGATAGAGGGAATTTTTTTTTTTTGTATTTATTTTCCTATATAGCACGTGTACCTTCTTCTGATAAGAACTTAACTATGCCAGGTTTAAGAATTTGGGTTCTACAGAATTTTTTAGAGTGTTAAAAATGAAAGAAAAAAACATTGTATTAGAATACTTTGGTTAATTGTGGAGAAATGAAACTGATGTGTCCTTCTCCTGATTTGATTATTTTGTCTCCAATCGTTTGTTTAATTCATTTGCATGGCATGCAATTTTATTGTGCAAGAGCTCATTTTTAAAAATGCAACAGAGAGCTCTCTGTATACTTTTAAATACATTGGAGAATTGAGTTATACAGCACCATTTGCAACTCGTCTGGAACACTGGCATTCTCCCTTTTCATCCTAGGAAAAAAACAAAGCCTTAGATTTTCTTCTGAGGGCTTTAGACTTCTTGTGGTTTATTTGAAGACAGAAATTATATTTTAAAACTTCTTTCTCTTATAGGAAGTGTGCTCACAAAAACAATACCTTAATGGTGAAACTAGTTCATGAAAATGGAACTTTAAGGATAAGAGGATGTCCTCCAAACTGTTTAACTAAAATAAAGATTTTTACCCTCATGTTTCCAAAATTCATAAAAATTGTCCAAAGCTAGGAACAGGCTTTTGCACTTAATTATGATTTGCCTAACCTGTGATTTCTGTGCTGAATTTAGACAGGAGTGCTCATGCCATTATTGAACAGAATATACAGTATTCCCTTTTCTTGGTCCATGCCTTTTAATACTTTTCAGGCGTTTAGGAGAAAAGAGCTTAGAAACTTTGTGTTCATCGTGGACTTGCCTATCTAAGGAACACACCTATTTTCAGAAAACAACTTCTTATAATTCCCTTTCTGGTAATTGACTTAGAAGGCCTTTCAAAGTTGTCAGGAGGGAGTGCTGTAAGGGAAATAGAATGTCTTTAAAGAACATGCCAAGAATTTTTAGAATTCTGTCATTTCTAATAAATATAGTAATATTTACCCAATAATAACATTAGAAATATTTATCTGACACTTTAGCATATTTTGCTATATGACTACAAAGTATAGAGGGTATTCTAGCGACATAAAAAAATTAATTGGCCCAGGAAAAAGAAATTAAGTATTTTAGAAAGTCAATTAAAAACAATATAAGTAAGAAACTATATTGTATCCTAGCCATCAAATCACTGTGTCTTAAAATATTTTTACTGAATATATTAGAGAAGATGCTTATTCCAACATTAAAATGTAATAATTTTGTATTTGTTGTAATTTCCACTTTATAAAGCTGATTTCTCATTGGTAACATTAGTATACACATATTTTTAAAGAAAAACATGAAAAATTAAATAATCACAATAATTTATATATCTAACTTACCAAATATATCTTAGTTTCTCCCTCCAAATTATGTAATTAACTAGACTTGTTCTATCTGACATGAAAAAAAAGTCTCCTAGATTTAAATGTTTGGAAATAATTCAATAATTCTGTCATGTAAGAAACAAGGAAAAAACAAGATCTCAGAGATGAGGAAGAGAAGACAATATTGTGCTATTCTAGATACAAGTTAACTTTATAAGCCATGTCAGTTCACTAACTTTTCACTACTCTCTTCTACATCACATCATCAATTTGAGAGCACTTTCTCCAAATGTAACACCTTTTTATGGCAATTAAAAATACATTTTGCTGGAACAGTAATTTAAAATAAGTCAGCGTGTTGCTTGAATAGTCTTGGCTTTGACCATGCTTGACTCAGACAATTTCCATTGGTAATGAATCAAAGAGATCACATCGTAATTGTTGAGATGTGAAACTCCATACTTTGAACGATGGCCACCTTCAGGGAGTAGAGTCACATTATGATTTCCTCTTTATTCCCTACAATCTAGCGCTTCTAAATTTGTGAGACTTGCGAGTCCAGTGTAGTCAAATTCCATCATGTATTTTTAAAATTAACAAAAATATGTTTAAATATGGTTAAGCTTTCTCTTTATATGACCAGAGTCTCTCTTTTGCAGGGGTCTTGCAGCCAAAGGATTATGACTTACTGTTAAATCTTGATATTTACCTGGTTGATGTCAAAATTAAATGTCAAAAACTCAATTTCCCTTTCTGGTTTGCTAGGATGTACATGGGGGATTTCCTGGGACCGCAGCCCACTCCCACCTTAGGGTTTGCATGGTCATTTCTCCCTGGAACTAGCGTCCCCTACCTAGAACATTATCACTGGAAGTTAAAAGTAGCATCTTCTTATGAAGCAGGGAGGAGCTCTATTATGTGCTGGCACTAGAAAGGAATAAGTCACATGTGCAATTGTGAGAGTGCACATGAATTAAAGAAATGCTGAAGGACTTGACATAGCATATTAAAGCATTAGCCAAAACTGGATGGAAAGTAACAGGGCATAGTGGAACAGACCTTCACACACTTGGAATCAGGCAAACTTGGTGTGAAACCTGGTGCTGCTTTGCCACCCACCAGCTGTGAAATCTGGGGCGAGATAAGTAGGCTCTTTGGCCTCAGTGGTGACATCTCTGAAACAGAAATAAAAACACTTATATCTGCCCACAGTGCTCCCCTGTTAAATTCTTACTAGGATAAAACCAAATGTGATACACTGTATTCTAAATAAATAGAATTAAATTAAGGTTATAATTTTCAGATATACAGAAAAAATAATTTATCATTAAAAATATGCTGAAATATATGTGTATATATGTATATACTATAAATACATATTTATAGTAAAAACAAAATAGTAAACATGTGTGTATATTTAATATAAAATTAAAAATTGATATATTGTATATTATGTTAATTTAAAATTATATGTATATTCAGATGTTGATTATTTTTCAGTATTCTCATATTTCTAGAAAAACATCTTCCATTCATAGCTATTAATCTGAAAATAAATGGCATTTGCTAGAATTATAAAAATAATATGCATAAATTCTCTATACATATTGTTTTTTTAAGCCATACCAGAACTTCTCTGTGAATCAAAGAATCTAATAATCATTTACAATAAGAATGTTAACAATAAGATTGTTAAATAAGAATGAGTTAATGAGAAAAGGAGGTTGCTAAAAACAATTTTAAAGACTTCATTTGGGACCACTGCTGCTACATTTGTGAATTCCCAATATCTTAACAACAGAGAGCACAATCTAAAGAATTTCTTTCTTTAAGTTGTCATTTCAGGAGATGATAGTATTGTCTGGAAGAGGTTAGTTTAATTTTTCAGCTGTGAATTGAGAACAAACTATCCTAATACATAGTGTTTTGAAGAATTAAACATGGACTAATGTTTTAAAAAATTTTCATATAATTAAAGATGTTATTAGCAGCAGTAGAATAACAATTATGCAGGCCAAAATATATCCAAACAGCTATGCATATGTTCTGATTATAGAGCCAAACATAGTTTATGTGTATATTCTTTTTCAAGTTGCAGTTTTACTCAAGGCTGTTTTTTGTTTGTTTGTTTGTTTGTTCGTTTGTTTGTTTGAGACGGAGTCTTGCTCTGTCACCCAGGCTGGAGTGCAGTGTCACGATTTCGGCTCACTGCAATCTCCGCCTCCTGGGCTCAAGGATTCTCCTGTCAAGGTTGTTTTGCTACGTAATAATTTAATATCTTCCCTTTTATGACCTATAATACTTCCTTTAATAAATATGAATAGATTTGGTTCTGCGACAACACAGAAATCTTGTGCTCAAAAAGAGAACACACTTGAAGAAATTCTAATTTGATGGTGTTTATTATTCTCTACGTTAAAAAATAATGAAAAGAAGAAATATAGGATTGATTTCCAAGAGATACATTTTATTAAAAAATAAAATACATATATCATAAAATTCCCAAAACTTACTAATTGTTACTGATTGTAACAATTAATTACAATCACAATTGTCAAATGGGGAACAGACCTTGAATATTAAAGTAGATTTTATACTTTAAAATTCTTGCTCTTTGTCTTCTAAAGGTAGAAAAAAACACTTTATTATTTTTGTTCAAGACTCTATATTTTTTTCAAGTCTCTCTCTCTCTCTCTCTCACACACACACACACACACACACACACAAACACAAAATGCATTTGTGGAATATCACTAAATGTCTCTATGGAGGAATTTATTTAAATTTAATTTAATTTTATTTTTTGAGGCAAGGTCTCACTTTGACACCCAGGCTGGAGTGCAGTGGCCTGATCTTGGCTCACTGCAGCCTCAACCTCTGGGGCTCAGGTGATTCTCCCACCTCAGCCTCCTGAGTAGCTGGGACTACAGTCATGCGCCACTATGCCTGGCTAATTTATTAGTGTTTTTGTAGAGATGGGGTCTCGCTATATTGCCCAGGCTGGTCTCGAACTCCTGGCATCCAGCCATCCTGCCTCAGCCTCCCAAAGTGCTGGGATTACAAGCATGAGCCACCACACCCAGCCCTATGCAGGAATTTAAATAAAATATTCTGACTCTCCAAATCAGGGTAATTGTAGGTGAAGGTTACAATATGGAAATGATGAAGCTCCCATTTGAGTCCTCTTGTTACCTTGCGTTTATTGTGACTTAGCATTTAGTTCTAAAAGGGCCGGTAGCTTGGATTTTAGAGTAGGGATATTATCATTATCTCTAAAATGAACAACCCACATCACCATCATCAGTCAGTAACTTACGAGACAGATTTTCCCAGTGGCTAATCTATTACCTTGGAGATCTAAATGTGGAAATCAAGATGATCTGCCAATTCTAAACTCCAAGCCATTTGCATCATTTGTAGAATGAATAGGAGCTTGATTTCAGAGCTTTGAAGGGGGGAAGTATTTAAAATTTTTCATTATTAGCATGGCATTATTGATGATGCAATAAAAGGGATAGCTGTAAGGCATGCCTGCTGAGTGTCAGGCACAAGTCCATTTAGTACCATTTATATGCTTTATTCCTTTTAATCTTCACAACCAGCTTATGTGATAGATAAAATTCCTGTTTTACAGACGAGGAAACCATAGGTCACAAGAAGTTAAGTACCTAGTCCAAGGCCCACAGGTCATAAATCTGATTCTAAAACCCAGGTTTTTTTCGACTTTACCATATTGCTTCTAACCAGTAAGAGTAGATGCTTTTCTTAACACATTTGCCCGGCACTATGGTAAGTCCTTCACATATTTTATCTTATTTGCCACATCTAGGCATGATAAAATTGAAGCATACAGTAGCTAAATAACTTGCCCAAGATAATCAGCTGATAAGTGACTAATGGAGGCTTTAAATCCAGGTCCACTTGTGCCAAATTACTATGCAATATTACTTTTAGTAGGGGTACTGAGAAATGCTAGATTGGAGCTCATAAAGCCAAACCTTGCATATGCCTCATTGGATGTCCCTTCTCTCTTGGTGCTTCTATTCCCACAAAATCACTTTCCTTCTCTTTCATTCTATCTCCCGTTCTGTAAAAACATCAGCAACTCATGTCCTTACTTGCTTATAACCAATCTTTTTCATTTTAAAGACACTCAGTGTAGCCCAAAATTTGATTTTAAAAAATATTTCTAAAGAAAAATATTATTTGAAAATTACTCTTTTGGCCAGGCATGGTGGCTCACACTTCTAATCCCAGCACTTTGGGAGGTCGAGGTGAGCATCCAGATCACCTGAGGTCAGGAGTTTGAGACGAGCCTGGCCAACATGGTGAAACTCTGTCTCTACTAAAAATACAAAAATTAGCTGGGCATGGTGGTAGGCGCCTGTAATCCCAGCTACTCAGGAGGCTGAGGCAGGAGAATCGCTTGAACCCAGGAGGCGGAGGTTGCAGTGAGTCGAGATTGTGCTGTTGCACTCCAGCCTGGGCGACAAGAGCGAAACTCCATCTCAAAAAAAAAAAAAAAAAGAAAGAAAAGAAAAAAAGAAAATTACTCTTTTGATGAAAGTAATGGTAGTCTTCTCAGTGACCCAAGACAGGACCATATATGTTGTAACATTTCACTGATGCTGCTTTTCTTCAATATCTCATAGTAATTTCTCTCCATTATTTAACTTAAATGATGAAAACAATTGTAAAACAATAGGATGTAAAAGAAGAGTTGTTTCTTTAAAGCATTCTGTGCAACTTACTTGTGAGCTACTGTTTTTTTCTATTCTGCCAAATTATATTGGATCAATCGGGCAATGTTTCTTCCATTTAGCCTCATGAATAATAGTGACTATTTTACCATGGTAATAGAGGCATTTATTAATGACAAAGTTTATTTTAAAATTTAAAGTGAAAATAAATGATTGGCATGAAGTTAAAATTATAATTCTGAAAATGCTGACTAAAATTAAAACTGGAACAGATTAACTCTGAAATTCCCTGAGTCTACAGATATGCTCACTAAATCATAGTTTGATAATGGAAACTCTGATGTTACTGAAAACAACTCTCTAACATTTTGATTATATAAACACATTTCTGTTTTAAGACAATGTGATAGGTTTCCACTTTGCCACTGCATTAATGTGGATACGGCCATTTAATTTTAGCTGGCAGCAAAGCTGAAGTGTGGAAATTAGGGATTGGGTTGACTCCAGGCTAAGTAGACTTCTTTGGCTTGTGGCTAAAGACAATTCTTGGAGACTCCTTAGCTATAAAGGAAGCTGTTTTGTCAAAAGGTTAACTTTTAAAGAATGCTCTTTTACTTTCTTAGTTTGGTGTTAATGGGACAGTGACCATTAATGTAAGAAAATGTGATGACTCGTAGGACTCACCTTCTTCATGTCTCTTCTCTCCATTCCCCACCTCCAACCTATCCTTTATGGAAGATCACAAAATAAGTTTCTGAACCTTAAAAGCTCAGTCTGTCCATTCACTTTAAATCCTTCAGTGACAACTTCTCTCTCTTATACAGAGAAATGCATGGCTTTCAGAATAACCTTTGATCTTCTCAGCCTGGTATTCTAGACCCCTCAGGAACTAGTCTTGCCTAACTTGTTCCCTGCCACCTGTCCACCCTCACACCTCATGCCAGCAATACCAGATGCTTTTAATGACTTAAAAGTGTCAAGTATTTCATGCCTTTGTGTGAATGCTTTTCTAGAACTACCTTTACCCATCTTCATTCTGCTAACTTCTACTGCCATTTACAACTCAGGTTACCTCTCTCAGGAAGCTCTCCCAGACCCCCACTTGGATGAAGACATCCTTCCTCCACGTTCCTCAATTACTTTGTCTATTTCTTATTTGCAGAACTGTAAGCACAGGTTTTCTTTCTGAAGACCCCACTCCCTACAATCTCAGTGACAGCAGGAATGATGCCTTATGAGATTTAATGTTTTCAATTCCTAACACAGTGCTTGGTACAAAAAGGGCACTCGAATATTTATCAATTTAATGAGATGAATGTGTGGCCTACAAATGACCATAACATGCTTTTCATAACATGTAGATGAGGCAGTGGAATTTGCTCCATGAAAATTACATTTTTCATACCTCCCCAACCCCATTCTCTCCCACCCCCTAAGCACCATGTGAGACATCTAGCTGGAGCAAGAACATAGTCCTTTGGTTCTGGGGTACAGCTTCTTTCTGGGCATACAACTGCCTCCTGGTGGAGGAAAATGTCTCCAAGATCTTGTCCTTAGTAAGCATGACAGATTCAAGTGTGCCTCCACTTCACCACCTCTGCCTAACAGCTTCACTTTTAATCCTTTCGTCTTCCCAAGACTAACATCTACACCAGTGGAGACGGAAACTTTTTAGTGCTAGAGAAGGATAGGTGGGCAGAAGCCCACCAACTTTGGTACACTGTCAGAGGGATCACAGACTCTAAACTAGCTCATTGACCCCAAGTTAAGATCTTCTGCTTGAGGTCCTCTCCAGAAGATGTGCCTTAGTCACTCTCTCTGCCTCCAAAACGTATAATCCCTCCTCTTCCAAACTCCTGGAATATGTGATCTCCATCATAGCCTTTAGTCTTCCTTCCTATTACCTTTGTAAATCCTACCTAACCTTGAGGCTGGCACACAATGTGCACTCAAATAGTGTTAGTGCATGAAGGAGTCCTCTGCAAGTTGTCTTCTGCCCTCAGCATTCTAGAGAAACTGCCCTCATGGAGGAAATTCACGATCTTCTTCCAAGTCAGATTCAGTGCTAGGGCTGAACTCTGCCTTACCTAATAAAGGGACTTAACGGGATTGTCTCCAAACCTTTAAACTTCACCATCCTCTTGATTCCCATAGCATTACACAGCTGGGCCTGTCTCTCAGACCCCTTCTCAGACGTCTTTCCTGGCATCTATTTTTCTTCTCACTTTCTCTCACCTCTTTCCTCTGCTCTTTTCTCTACAAATGTGGTTTGGGGGCCAGGCATGGTGACTCTCACCTATAATCCCAACATTTTGAGAGGCCGAGGCAGGAGCATGGCTTGAGGCCAGGAGTTTGAGACCACTATCACTATCACTGGGTAATACAGTGAGACCCGTCTCTACAAAAAAGATAAAAAAAATTAGCCAGGCATAGTGGTGCATTCCTGTAGTCCCAGCTACTCAGGAGGCTGAGGTGGAAGTATGCTTGAGCCCAGGAGGTTGAGGCTGCAGTGAGCCATGATCATGCCACTGTACTCCAGCTTGGGTAACAGAGTGAGACCCTCTTTCAAAATGAAAAACAAACAAACAAACAAACAAACAAATGACGACAACAAAAAACTGGCCTTGGAAACCTTTCCACAGGAAAAAACCCAAGTATCTCCATTCCTAAACTACAAAACTTCCATCTCATTCTCTTTTGAGATAATTTGTGGCTACTTCAACTGTGTGTCAAAAACAAAACTCATTTTTCCACCCAACCAACTCACCCTCTCTACTTTCCTATTTGGGTTTGTATTCAGTGTTTGGTTTTCATCCAGTGTTGTTTCCATCCAGTGCTATTTTAAATCTTACTTGGATTTTCCACGTCTTTATCCATGACCCACATCCCATGCCCAGGTTACTACAACAGCCTCTTAAAACAAACAAAACAAAACAAAACATTTTTAACAGTTACTGTAAACCAGGCACTATCCTAAGTTCTTTATATATTTTGTCTACTTTAGTCTTTACACCCTATGAATTTGGATCATTCTGATGTCTATTTTACAACATAAGAAAAGTGAGGTTTAATCTCTCTAGAGATTAAATCATTTACTTAGACCACACTGTTGAGAGGTGGTGTCATGATTTAACTCCAGAATGTCCAGTGCCAGAACTCATTAAGCTGCATTGCATTTTCCAGGGTCCTCCAGTTCCTCTTTCATTTCTTCTTCCATGTATCCTGTACATAACTGCTGCCAGAAAAATTCTTCTTTAATAGAGTACCATTTTATTAGTCTTTTGCTACCAAAGGAGGGAGACTCAACGAACAGGTGTTGCTATAAGAGCTTTTGCTGAACACCCGACACAGTGCCTTCTTCTGAGATTTGTCAGACTGCTTCCACTCCCTTCTCCCGAGGACTGAGCTCTGTCATCAACTCTCAGCTCAACTGGCTGTCTTGATTTTAGTATCACTGGCACCATCAGGCAATGGATGCTCCCTTTGCTAGACCCAATTCTAGAGCCCTTACTATAGTAGGTCAGCCTCACATCACTCCATCCAGAAAAGAGAATTCAGACACAGGTCCAAAGTGGTTTCTGTTGCATTTCAAATCCAGAGTCTTTCAAAACATTTTCACAACCTTCTGTACCTAGTGAATCCTACTGCCCACATGTCTTAACATCAACCAACCCATGCAGTCCACTTTCTTTGATTCTACCTGGTGACGTTAACTTCTATTGCTGATGCATCTCCACATGCTGCCCTTCACCTAGAAATGTCTGCAGTATGACCCCTGTCTTTTCAAAATTTAAGCCCCATCTCAAATTCTATTTCATTTGTAATTCCTGCCTTAACTACTCCGATCCTTTCCCTTCTCAGAACTCCTATTGAACATGTAGTCTGCTCCACATTACTTATCTTTCACTATGATTATACTGTGATATATTGTTTCATGTCTACAGCGCTAGGAGAGCATGTCAAAGTGATGCTTTCCAGAACCAAGGGAGAGTCACTCTTAGAAGACAGAACCAGCTTGCAACTCTCTAAGTAACATTACTCATCTTGAAGGGAAATCTTAGGCATTCGATCCCCACCTGCCACCTCTTTATAATATGTTATTGTATGTGACATGTGTGTTAGCCTTGTCTCCCCAGTGAAACCATAAATTTTTAGAGGGCAGGGACCATGTCTTTTACTTGTATCCCCTGCGGCATCTATTACAGTTCTATCATGCAAGTAGCAAATACTCAGTAAATACTCCTTTATTATAATAACTCATTGATAATTTTCAACTTAAGAGCTCTATGCTCAAATATTGATTCTTCTGATGTGTGTATATAAGACCAAATGATTTTAAGACAAAAAAAGCATTTCCCTCATTTTGTTCCCACAAAATAAGCAAAAATTTTCCCATATCTTTCAAAGTATAGTACTAAAAGCTTTTGTGCAAATAGCACATTTTGAATACTAGAATTTGAGAGACACACTTGAGAGGATTACAATCTCGAGCAATACCAAGCGGGTTAACAATAGCTGTGATGCAAGCATTTCTACATTGTAAGTCTCAGAGTGAATTTAAAGGCAAGTGTCCACAGTTACTGCGGTATTTGCTTGGTCACTTACTCTTCAACACTGTGTTGCTGTAAAGCAGTACTGTTTACTTCCATGACCTCATTTGCTTATATTGTCATAAATTAAAATTCCAACGTGTTCTGATAAACACTTGGCACTGACTGTATGCTAAGGCTAAGCCTCTTATTTCCTGCCCCAAGATGAACCCTATTCTCTACCACAATGCTCAGAGCTCAAAGCACATAGCTCAATGTTCTATTTAACAGACATTACTGTGGCAGTATGTAAGCACAACTGTAGCAAAAATAAAGTTAATACGTTGAGCAAATTTGGGGGCATACTGTGAAGATTCAGATACATCAGGACTCACAATTGAGGCGCAGCTATAATGTGGGTTCAAGGTCATTTTATTAAAAGGGGATACATAAATACCAAAAAGTATGACTTGAATAATTTATTAGCTTCTAAGAATTTATGTAAACTAAGTATTTTTCTGTCCTACAGTGACCAAAAAGGAAGAAGTAAAAATAGTCATGGTGAAACACTACAGAATAGGTTTAGATGAAAAATATGAAGTAACAAAAAAGTGGTCTTTGAACGATCTGCAGATGATTGATGGAAAAGAAGCAGATACTGTAAGTGTTACATTTTATAAGGAGATGTGGAATCAATATGCTGGAGATCTTTATGTTCAATATCCTGCTTCATATATTCTTGGCATGTACTAAGTGTTAAGATGACATTATATTGTTCGTAAGTGGCATAGTTTAATCTACTGGGATGATGTACTGGTTTTTTTATTCTGTTTTTATGAGTTTCAAGTGAAATTTTGTCTATTAAATTTAAAAGCACCTTTCCCAAGGGCCATTTAACAGGTTAAACACAATCTACCAGTCAATCCTGAAAATTTAAATGCCACTTTTCCAAATATATGATGCTTCTACCATCACTTTCTCCCCACCACAATTTCCTCTATAAATTTAGGGGATTTCTTCCCTCATCTTCAAATTTTACCATCAGCAAGCCCACTTTATCCTCTAGAAGGATGGAAATCCTATAATCTTAGAGTTGAAAGTGGAGAAAGAGTAAATACTACAATCTCACCACTTGACCCCTGACAAGTGATTTTCACAGTCTGTTTTTGAACTCTGCTGTTGATGGAGAACCCTTCCCCCTTGAACTTTCTACCTCCACAATGCTCAAGTACTGGCTCCTGAGGCTTCAAATGCCCAATTACCTTTAACTGTTACCCAGATTTCCCATTGAGTAAAGTCCTATTGACTCTCTGCCCTCATACACTCATTATGGCATGGGTGGAAATGTATTATAACCATAATCCTACAAACTGCAATTGTTGGGTTACTCTGAATTCCCTCTAGACGGAAAGCTCCTTAAAAATTAGGTCCATGGTTTTCATCCTTTATCATAGGCTGATAGATGATAGGCACTCAATAAGTCTTTGTAGTGTTATTGTTGAATGAATTAGAACTTTAAGTTCATTTATTCTTAATCTTAATAAATGCCATAGTCTTCATTTGGCCTATTGTTCCAACCTTTAAAATCTTCTAATATCGTTATTTTTTAATATCACTATAGTATGATTCAGATTTAATGAGCACAACATTGAGGACTTCATCCAAGTCAATAATAAAATTGATGAGGCAGGCAGGGCCAAGTATGTACCTCTAGATCATTGATGGTTACCATTACTACTGCTAGTAGTACTGTTACTTGCTACCAACAATATTCAGTAAACTCTTATGAGGTGCCAGAAACCAAGCTAAGCTCCTTTCATGTATATTTTTACATAATCACCATAAAACCTCTTGAATTAGATTCTATTATTCCATTTTACACATGAAGAAAGTGAGACTTAAAGAGATTGACTTGCCCAAGGTGACATAGCTATTAAGTGGTAGAGCTAGACTTTACCCAGAAATCTATTAATTTGCCTTCTTTGGATTGGTTGTTGAAAGCCTCTACAAATTCATATATTCATTTATTCCTTCATTCATTTATTGAGAATTTATTGTATACCAGGCCCCACTAGGCTCTGAGGATACAGTAGAGAATTAGCCAAAAGCACTTATCTCTGCCTTAATTATTCATCTAATCTGAATATCTAAAATTTGTCATTTACTAAAATCAACATATACTATCTGCTATTACCTGGATTTTTCAACTTAAAAACCTTTTTAAAAAAGTTGGTGTGTTTGACATGACTTCTTGGCAAAAGAATGCTGGATTTCATTGCTGTGTTTCCTAAATATTCATGTAACACCTTTTTGACAATATGTTCTACCTAAATGTTTGATGCTTAGGAAATGGTTAAATATATTATTACATATTTATATGATAGAATATTATACAGCCATTATAAAATATGCTTCCAAAAGAATATCTCAGAACACAATTGTTCAGCCACTTAACAAGTTTTCTAAAAATCAGCTAAATATAAAACTTTTCTAAAATATTACATCAATTTTGCATATTTAGTTTGTCATGTTATTGAAATATGAATCTTAATGTTTTTACAAAAAATATGTCAGTATATGTATATATGTATATACATGTATAAGTAAAACAAACCAGTACTTTAATAAGTTACCTCTGTGATAAGATTACAAATTTTTTAATTATTATTTTCTATTTTATATTTTTCTGTACTTGTCAAATTTCTATAATACTGCATTTAATTTGATCAGAAGTGCAGGTCAAGTTCACTAATCTGTAGTTTCAGGAACTAGCCCCACAAATTAACTATTCCCACCAATCTTTGACCCATTTTTCTTGTCTTTTTTCTCCAGCTCTCAAATATTACCGATGTTATCATTGATTTTTACAAGTTTGCTCAATGCCTAGGATTATATTCACCAGGACTGTCAATTTAGATTCATTTCAAATCAACTAACTGTGCTCTATTTTTTCCTCACTTTTGATGGCCTTTAATTCCATCCCAACATTGTTGATTCTTCCCTTTTCCCTTTCCAATTTGAAGATTATTATCTTTCATAGTGAACAAGATACAAAATATAGGTTGAGTATTTCTGGTTTTCTCATCACTTTAAGACCTAAAATACTCAATTGCCAGAAGAAAAACCATAATATCTAAAGAGTAGTTCTTGCAAGGTTTATTTTCTATAGATGAAGTAAAAATACCCTGACTGTTCTGGGAATTTCTACTTCTCTTTTTTAAAATCAAATCCTTGGGGGTCAGCATTTATTACATTTTTTACATTTACATGATTGCATTTAATTTACATAAATGTAATAATTTACATTATTACATGTTTTACATTTACATATCAATACCAATGATACAGTTTTATAGAGAGCAATTTTGAGCCAAAAAGTTGTCAACTTTAAAATGTAATGGAATTGAAATTGAAGTCAATTTATAAAGCAGAAATCAAAATGACTGGGGATTTGGAGACTGGTGCAACAGGAGACAGGATGATGTAGCAAAAATTGAGCTTGTGCTGATTGAGATCTTGGGTTTTGTCCTGGCTCTGCCAATAACTAAATGTGTGACCTGGACTTCATATCTCTGGAAACTACTGTGTTATCCCAGCTAAAAACATATCAATAAATGATTCCTGAGATCCCTTTTAGTTCTAGCATTCTATCAAAAAAGAGAGAGAAAGAGACAGGCAGATTTGTATCCTATGTGCATGCATACTCAGGCTCCAATTATTACGCTAAAGGAAAATATTGCTCTGTTGCAATTATCTCAAAGGCATGAGGGGTATTTTCTACCTGATGAGGAGCAAATGTTTGCAAGAGAAAACTCCCTAAGGAGCATGATTGGTATCTGGTGATGCAATGGATGTGCTTTCCCTTTATGGAGATTCTTGGCAGAACTGTCTTTCAAGCTGTAGTTATGAGCGCCAGAAAAAAAAAAAATTGTGAATGTGACTATAAAAGTGCTGCGCTTAAAAACCACACCACCTTTATACATTTTTTAAGTATGATTATGGTTTTTTTAATTTTTATTTTATTTATATCTTTTTATTTCAATAGGTTTTTGAGAAGCAGGTGGTGTCTGGTTACATGAGTAAGTTATTTAGTGGTGATTTCTGAGATTTTGATGCACCCATCACCCAAGCAGTGTAACTGTACCCAATGTGTAGTCTTTTATCCCTCACTGCTCATCCTACCCTTTCCTTGAGTCCCCAAAGTCCATTGTGTCATTCTTATGCTTTTGCATACGCATAACTTAACTCCCACTTATGAGTGAGAATATATGATGTTTGGTTTTCCATTCCTGAGTTACTTCTCTTAGAATAATGGTCTCCAATTCCATCCAGGTTGCTGTAAATGACATTATTTCATTCCTTTTTATGGCTGAGTAGTATTCCATGATATATATATTATATAAATCATAATATATGTTATATATATTATTATTTCTTTATCCACTTGTTGGTTGATGGGCATTTGGGCTGGTTCCATATTTTTGCAATTGCAAATTGTGCTACTATAAACATGCATGTGTAAGTATCTTTTTAATATAACGACTTCTTTCCATCTGGGTAGAAACCCAGGAGTTGGATTGCTGGATCAAATGGTAGTTCTACTTTTAGTTCTTTAAGGAATCTCCCCCTTCTTTTCCATAGTGGTTGTGCTAGTTTACATTCCCACCAGCAGTGTAAAAGTGTTCCCTTTTCACCACATCCATGCCAACATCTACTATTTTTTGATTTTTTGATTATGATCATTCTTGCAGGAGTAAGGTGGTATTGCATAGTGGTTTTTATTTGCATTTCTCTGATCATTAGTGATATTGAGCATTTTTTCATGTTTGTTGGCCATTTGTATATCTTCTTTTAAGAATTGCCTATTCATGTCCTTAGCCCACTTCTTGATCAAATTGTTTGTTTTTTTCTTGATGACTTGTTTGAGTTCCTTGTAGATTCTGGATATTAGTCCTTTCTTGGATGTATACATTGCAAAGATTTTCTCCCACTCTGTGGGTTGTCTGTTTACTCTGCTGATTATTTCTTTTGCTGTGCAGAAGTAAAAGCATGATTATGTTTTGTTTTTAACTTTTTAAATGGTAATATCACAATCTTTAGGAACTATCATTTATTAAGCTCCACGCTCGTTTACATGATTATTCGCATGTAAATTTCACAGCAGCACTATCTAAAATAAGGAGAAAAATGAGAGTCAGATCAGATAAGCATTTTGCCCATGGAACAATCAAAATGTTGTCTAACTTTAAAATTCATCCTCTATTTCCTGCCTCCTGCAAGAATTTTCCTATTTAAAAAACAAATTGCAAATATGTAAGTTGCCTGTATGTGATGTTACATACTACATGCTGGTGAATTATTAATACTCCTGTTTGGTTGAGTCCTCTGCCTATTTGTTATTTAGGGCAATGTTTGCCTCCACTTCTCCTTTCTTAGGACTACTTCAGGTCAGTTCAACACACATTTGTTGAGAAATTAGTAGTCATCACGCATAAGTACTAAGAACATGATGATAAATAATGCGAAATATCTGTCTTAAAGAAGAGTTAGGAGTTAGGCAGATAATGAATGTGAAAGCATTTTGTAAACTTTTTAAATGCAAGGCATCATTGTTACTGCTATTAACAGTAACAATTATTATTTTAACATGTAGGACCTAGATCAGGTTTGGTTTCCACTTTTTCTTGAAACATTTCTGCTACAGATATAGTAAGAGCCTAGAGGCAGTCTTTAGTAAATTTGTCAGTTTCAGTCAAATGATTTGATCGTCCTTGCTATTACCTTCAAAAGTAATTCCTTGCTGTAAACTTCAAAGACAGCAAATTGGTGATCTGTAGCATGCCAATGGCTAGCTATCATGTATTTCTTCCTTCTACCTTGAAATAGCACAAGGAACCAACCTCGTACTAAAAAGGGAGAGGAACCTTTTCTGTTTTCCAGAAGTCTGTGAGTTTATTCTCTGCTTTATTTATTTATTCCCTACTCATCCTCTCCAATTCATTACATTGAGAAGACTTAATAACCACACAGTCTGAGGCACATTTTATTTGTCTAATTGAAAAAACATAGATGCTTCAAAAATAACCTTTCTTATTGTTGATTTTTAGAAGCAATTACTTTGAAGTAGGTAGCTTTGGAAAGCCCATTTGTAGATTTTAGAAATATGTTTGATACTGATACTTTACAATCAATAAACATATCCAAGAGAATATGAGAGAATCCAGGAAACCTAACTACTTTCTTGGCTACCAACTAAATCATGTCTCTCATTCTCTTCCAGGACAATCCATTTTTTGATCTGCACTTCAAGAAAGTGTACAGTTTGGAAGCATATAGCTGTGCTTCTAAATATGCCTTTGCTCGAACTGTAAATAAGCTGAATCATGCATATCTTAAAAAGGACTTACAGATCGTGAACTTTGATTCTACATACATTAACGATGATTCCATTTGGTCCTCCAACAATAAGGATTGTTTGGTCCTTATGAGAATATGCTTTTACGCTTTCAATCTTGTGTGCTTGTCCCTATGTCCCTTGCCACTCTGAAGCTGTGTACCACATTCCTTCATCAGTGACCTATGAAAATGGTTTCCCAAGTAAATATTGATTGTCATAATTTTGTTTTTCCTTCATCAGTGATTATTATAATTTAAATAAAAATAAAGTAATGCTTTGTGAATTGCAGTGAAATGCATTTTAATGTAATCATTCAACATTGAAGACTTCTTGCCAATGTGATCCTTGGTAACTTTGGTAGGAACTGGGTGGTTTTGACTAAATTAGTATTCTCCTAAAGAGTGTGAAGAAAAACCATAAAAGATCTAAGTATGTGGAAAAACACCTTGTGTTCATGGATAAGAAGACTTAATATCTTCAAGATGTCAATACTACCAAAAGTGATCAGCAGATTCAATGCAATTACTATGAAATTTCCAACAGCCTTTGTTGCAGAAATGGAAAAGTTGATCCTCAAAATTCATATGGAATTTCAAGGGGTCCCAAGTAGATAAAGAAAAAGAAGTACAAAGTTGGAGAACTCACACTTCTTGATTTCAAAACTTATTATTAAAGCTATAGTAATCAAAACAGTGTGGTACCTATATAAGGAAAAACCTATAAACCAATGGAATAGAATTGAGAGTTCAGAAATAAACTCACACATTTATGGTCAACTGATTTTTGACAAGGGTGCCAAGTCCATTCAAAAAGGAAAGAATAATCTCTTCAACAAATTGTCCTGGGATGACTGTATATCTACATATAAAAGAATTAAGCTGGACCCCTACCTCACACCATATACAAAAATTAACTAAAAACATAAAACAAGAACAAAACATAGAGGTAAATGGGCAATGGGTTTTTGTGACATCAAAAGCACGAGCAAAAAAAAGAGATAAATTGGACTTTATTAAAATTAAAATCTTTTTGCATCAAAGGACATTATCAAAAAGTAAAAAATAAACCTACAAAATGGGAGAGAATATTTACAAATCATATATTTTATAAAGCTTTAATATCCAAACTATATAAATATATTCTACAGCTCAATAACAAAAAGACAATAACAAAAAGACAAGCAAAGCAATTTAAAAATGGGCAAGAGCTTGAATAGACATTTCTGCAAAGAAGATAGACAAATGGCCAATAATCACAGGAAAAGATGTTTAATATCATTAGTCAAGAGAAAAACGCAAATCAAAACCACAAAGAGATACCATAGCACTGACAATACCACTTAGATGCCACTAAGAATGACTATCATTTTAAAAATGGCAGGGGTGGGAGGGAATAAGTATTGGCAAGAGTGTGGAGAATTGGAACCATCATACATTGCTGGTGGGAATGTAAAATGGTGCAGCCACTATGGAAAAGAGTTTGGCAGTGTCTCCAAAAGCTAAATAGAGAATTAACATATGACCCAGCAGTTCTACTCCTAGGTATACATACACACACACACAAAATGGAAACAGGGACTTGAATAGATATCTGTACATCAGTGTACACTGTGGCATTATTTACAACAGCCAAAAGGTGGAAACGACTCAAGTGTCCATCAAAAATGAATGAATAGACAAAAAAAGTGGTACAGCCAAACAATGGAATATTATTCTACCTTAAAAAGAAATGAAGTTCTGATATGTGCTACAGTATGAATGAACCTTGAAAACATTATTCTAGGTAAAATAAGCCAGACACAACAGTATATATATTGTATAACTCTCCTTATATGAAATATCTAGAATAGGCAAATTCAGAGACAGAAGTAGATTAAAGATTTACAGGAACTGGGAGGACAGAAGAATGGAGAGTTATTGCTTATCTGTTACAGAGTTATTCCTTATCAGTTTCTGTTTGGGGTGATGAAACAGTTTTGAAAATGGTGATGGTTATACAATCTTGTGAATGTAATTAATCCCACTCACTGAATTGGACATTTAAAGTGGTAAATTAGCAAATTTAATGTTATATATAACCACAAGTTTAAAAAAAAATAATGTAATAAGCCAAAAACCATTGAACTGTACACCTTACATGGTAAATTTGTATGATATGTGAATTATATCAGTATCTACATAATTATATAACCTAGATCTATAATCTATAATTATATCTAAGGCTATTAAAAGGAGAAAAAGTGGTCTTTAAAAAGAAGAAAATCTTGTCATTTGTGACAACATGAATAACCCTGGAAGACATTATATGAAGTGAAATAAGCCAGGTCCAGAAAGATAAATACAATATGATCTCATTTACATGTGGAATCCAAAAAAGTAGATTTCATAGGTGAGTAGGGTAGTGGTTACCAGCGGCTAGGGGGTTGGGAGGGTTAGAGGGATTATGGAGATACTGTTCAAAGGATATAAAATGTCAGTTAGACAGGTGAAACAAGTTCAAGAGATCTATTGTATTATATATTATGGTAACTACTGTTAATAATTACATATTGTTTACTTGAAAATTGCTTAAGAGAATAGATTTAGCTTGATTTACCCATTGTACAATGTATACATATTTAAAAATATCATGTTGTACCCCATAAATATATACAATTTTGGCCAGTGCTTTGGGAAGCCGTGGTGGGAAGATTGCTTGAGACCCAGGAAATTCAAGACCAGCCCGGGCAATGTGGCAAGACCTTGACTCTAGAAAAAAATTAAAAATTAGCCAGGCACAGTGACATGCTCCTGTAATCCCCATTACTCAGGAGGCTGAGGCAGGAGCCCAGGAAGTGGAGGGTGCAGTGAGCTATGATGGCACCACTGCACTCCAGCCTGGGCAACAGAGTGAGACTCTGTCTCTTAAATAAATAAATAAATAAACATGGGAGTAATTGCTGCAGACGTGACCAACAAATTAATGTTTAAATTAGTGGGTAAAAGTTTAGGTAGAGATGGAAAGTTTTAATAGCCTCAAAGTGTCTCCCCTAACATATTTGTTGACTAAAAATAAAAAAAAATGTAAGTTTGCAATAGTAGACATCTGCTAGACATCATCTTAACCAGGGGTCAAGGATAACATTCCAGTATGGGGACATAACAATATTACATGCCACCAGATATGAGGCACTAAGAAAGGCACATCACCTCTGATATTCCTCCCAAATCCATAACCCTAGTCTAGCCATGAGACAATATCAGGCATACCCAAATTTAGGGACATTCTACAAGCTACCACTCTTCGAAAGTGTCAAGGTCAGGAAAGACAAGGAAGAACTGAGTGTATTTGTTTGCTAGGGCTGCCATAACCAACTATCACAAACCAAGTGACTTAAATGACAGAAATTTCTTGTCTCACAGCTCTGGAGTTCAGAAGCCCAAAATTAAGGGGCTGCAGGGCTTGTTCCTTGTGAGAACTGTGAGGGAAGGATCTGTTCCTGGCCTCTCTCTTGAGCTTGTAGATGGCCATCATCTCTTTCTCTTCACATCATCTTCCTTTATGTTTTTGTACAAATTTCCCTTTTTATGAGGATACCAGTCATATTGGATTAGTATTAGATTACCACTCTATTGACCTCATTTTAACTTGATTACCTGTATAAAGACCCTATCTCCAATTAAGGTCACATTCTGAGGCATTGGAGGGTAAGATTTCAACGTGTGAATTGGAGGTGATGAAACACAATTCAGTCCATAACCCTGATGCACAGATTGGAAGGAAGTTTAAGGAGACATGAAAACGATGTACAATGTAGATTGCTAGATTGGATCCTGAAGCAGAAAAAAAAAATATGGGTGAAGAAGCTGGTGAAATCTGATAAGGTCTATAATTTAGTTAGTGGTATTATACTGAGGTTAATTTCTTAGTTTTGATCATTGTACCATAGTTATGTGAGATGTTAGCTGTGGGGGAAGCTGGGTGACAAGTGTGTGTGTAGGAGTTCTCTGTACTATCTTTGCAGTTGTTCTGTAAGGCCTTTATTTATTTATTTATTTTCAAAATAAAAAAGTAAAGATCTATTCAAGTTTATTTCCTATGAAGGAGCTAAAATATAAAGGCCATCATTTTATAGACAGCATCAAAATGTGGAAAAATGAGTTAGTTTAATCTTATTCCCTGAAAACAAGTCATCTAGTATCTAGTTGTGTTGAGAATTGTCCATATTGTTGAGAATTAACAAAGAGGGCAAGAGGTAAAAACAACTTTTGATCAAAGCAGGGAGTGAAAATGATGATGTGCTAAAAAAAAAAATCTCATATATCCTATGCCAAGTCTTTCACTGCCCTCTCCAGTGAATAAAAACCTATCCATATAGTTCATGTGTTTGCTTCTTAGGGGAAAAGTTCAGACTGTGATTAACAAAAGTGACCACTTCCTATATTAGAGTGATGTCTTTATAAAGAGAATAAAGATAGTATCTCATTCACCTTTGGATTATATACAGGAGGCACTCAAGATATACGTATTTAATTTTTGACATATAATTTTTATAAAGGGGAAGCAGCCAAGATGGCCACATAGGAACAGCTCCGGTCTACAGCTCCCTGCGTGAGCGATGCAGAAGACGGGTGATTTCTGCATTTCCATCTGTGGTACCGGGTTCATCTTACTAGGGAGTGCCAGACAGTGGGCACAGGACAGTGGGTGCAGTGCACCGTGCCTGAGCCAAAGCAGGGCGAGGCATTGCCTCACTCAGGAAGTGCAAGGTGTCAGGGAGTTCCCTTTCCTAGTCAAAGAAAGGGGTGACAGACGGCACCTGGAAAATCGGGTCACTCCCGCCCTAATACTGCGCTTTTCCGACGGGCTAATAAACGGCGAACCAGGAGATTATATCCCACACCTGGCTCGGAGGGTCCTATGCCCACGGAGTCTCACTGATTGCTAGCACAGCAGTCTGAGATCAAATTGCAAGGCGGCAGCGAGGCTGGGGGAGGGGGGCCCGCCATTGCCCAGGCTTGCTTAGGTAAACAAAGCAGCCAGGAAGCTCGAACTGGGTGGAGCCCACCACAGCTCAAGGAGGCCTGCCTGCCTCTGTAGGCTCCACCTCTGGGGGCAGGGCACAGACAAACAAAAAGACAGCAGTAACCTCTGCAGACTTAAATGTCCCTGTCTGACAGCTTGGAAGAGAGCAGTGGTTCTCCCAGCACGCAGCTGGAGATCTGAGAACGGGCAGACTGCCTCCTCAAGTGGGTTCCTGACCCCTGACCCCCGAGCAGCCTAACTGGGAGGCACCCCCGAGTAGGGGCAGACTGACACCTCACACGGCCGGGTACTCCTCTGAGACAAAACTTCCAGAGGAACGATCAGGCAGCAGCATTCGCGGTTCACAAAAATCAGCTGTTCTGCAGCCACCGCTGCTGTTACCCAGGCAAACAGGGTCTGGAGTGGACCTCTAGCAAACTCCAACAGACCTGCAGCTGAGGGTCCTGTCTGTTAGAAGGGAAACTAACAAACAGAAAGGACATCCACACCAAAAACCCATCTGTACGTCACAATCATCAAAGACCAAAAGTAGATAAAACCACAAAGATGGGGAAAAAACAGAGCAGAAAAACTAGAAAGTCTAAAAAGCAGAGTGCCTCTCCTCCTCCAAAGGAACGCAGTTCCTCACCAGCAACGCAACAAAGCTGGATGGAGAATGACTTTGATGAGTTGAGAGAAGAAGGCTTCAGATGATCAAACTACTCCGAGCTACAGGAGGAAATTCAAACTAAAGGCAAAGAAGTTGAAAACTTTGAAAAAAATTTAGACAAATGTATAGCTAGAATAGCCAATACAGAGAAGTGCTTAAAGGAGCTGATGGAGCTGAAAACCAAGGCTCGAGAACTACATGAAGAATGCAGAAGCCTCAGGAGCTGATGCGATCAACTGGAAGAAAGGGTATCAGTGATGGAAGATGAAATGAATGAAATGAAGTGAGAAGGGAAGTTTAGAGAAAAAAGAATAAAAAGAAATGAGCAAAGCCTCCAAGAAATATGGGACTATATGAAAAGACCAAATCTACGTCTGATTGGTGTACCTGAAAGTGACGGGGAGAATGGAACCAAGTTGGAAAACACTCTGCAGGATATTATCCAGGAGAACTTCCCCAATCTAGCAAGGCAGGCCAACATTCAAATTCAGGAAATACAGAGAATGCCACAAAGATAATCCTCGAGAAGAGCAACTCCAAGACACATAATTGTCAGATTCACCAAAGTTGAAATGAAGGAAAAAATGTTAAGGGCAGCCTGAGAGAAAGGTCAGGTTACCTACAAAGGGAAGCCCATCAGACTAACAGCGGATCTCTCAGCAGAAACTCTATAAGCCAGAAGAGAGTGGGGGCCAATATTCAACATTCTTAAAGAAAAGAATTTTCAACCCAGAATTTCATATCCAGCCAAACTAAGCTTCATAAGTGAAAAAGAAATAAAATCCTTTATAGACAAGCAAATGCTGAGAGATTTTGTCACCACCAGGCCTGCCCTACAAGAGCTCCTGAAGGAAGCACTAAACATGGAAAGGAACAACCGGTACCAGCCGCTGCAAAATCATGCCAAATTGTAAAGACCATCGAGGCTAGGAAGAAACTGAATCAACTAATGAGCAAAATAACCAGCTAACATCAAAATGACAGGATCAAATTCACACATAAAAATATTAACTTTAAATGTCAATGGACTAAATGCTCCAATTAAAAGACACAGACTGGCAAACTGGATAAAGAGTCAAGACCCATCAGTGTGCTGTATTCAGGAAACCCATCTCACGTGCAGAGACACACATAGGCTCAAAATAAAACGATGGAGGAAGATCTACCAAGCAAATGGAAAACAAAAAAAGGCAGGGGTTGCAATCCTGGTCTCTGATAAAACAGACTTTAAACCAACAAAGATCAAAAGAGACAAAGAAGGCCATTACATAATGGTAAAGGGATCAATTCAACAAGAAGAGCTAACTATCCTAAATATATATGCACCCAATACAGGAGCACCCTGATTCATAAAGCAAGTCCTGAGTGACCTACAAAGAAACTTAGACTCCCACACAATAATAATGGGAGACTTTAACACCCCACTGCCAACATTAGACAGATCAACGAGACAGAAAGTTAACAAAGATACTCAGGAACTGAACTCAGCTCTGCACCAAGCAAACCTAATAGACATCTACAGAACTCTCCACCCCAAATCAACAGAATATACATTTTTTTCAGCACCACACCACACCTATTCCAAAATTGACCACATAGTTGGAAGTAAAGCTCTCCTCAGCAAATGTAAAAGAACAGAAATTATAACAAACTGTCTCTCAGACCACAGTGCAATCAAACTAGAACTCAGGATTAAGAAACTCACTCAAAACCGCTCAACTATATGGAAACTGAACAACCTGCTCCTGAATGACTACTAGGTACATAACAAAATGAAGGCAGACATCAAGATGTTCTTTGAAACCAATGAGAACAAAGACACAATATACCAGAATCTCTGGAACACATTCAAAGCAGTGTGTAGAGGGAAATTTATAGCACTAAATGCCCACAAGAGAAAGCAGGAAAGATCCAAAATTGACACCCTAACATCACAATTAAAAGAACTAGAAAAGCAAGAGCAAACACATTCAAAAGCTAGCAGAAGGCAAGAAATAACTAAAATCAGAGCAGAACTGAAGGAAATAGAGACAAAAAAACCCTTCAAAAAATCAATGAATCCGGGAGCTGGTTTTTTGAAAGGATCAACAAAATTGATAGACCGCTAGCAAGACTAATAAAGAAGAAAAGAGGGAAGAATCAAATAGACGCAATAAAAAATGATAAAAGGGATATCACCACCGATCCCACAAAAATACAAACTACCATCAGAGAATACTACAAACACCTCTACACAAATAAACTAGAAAATCTAGAAGAAATGGATAAATTCCTCGACACATACACCCTCCCAAGACTAAACCAGGAAAAAGTTGAATCTCTTAATAGACCAATAACAGGCTCTGAAATTGTGGCAATAATCAATAGCTTACCAACCAAAAAGAGTCCAGGACCAGATGGATTCACAGCCGAATTCTACCAGAGGTACAAGGAGGAACTGGTACCATTCCCTCTCAAACTATTCCAATCAATAGAAAAAGAGGGAATCCTCCCTAACTCATTTTATGAGGCCAGCATCATCTTGATACCAAAGCCTGGCAGAGACACAACCAAAAAAGAGAATTTTAGACCAATATCCTTGATGAATATTGATGCAAAAATCCTCAATAAAATTCTGGCAAACCGAATCCAGCAGCACATCAAAAAGCTTATCCACTATGATCAAGTGGGCTTCATCCCTGGGATGCAAGGCTGGTTCAATATACGCAAATCAATAAATGTAATCCAGCGTATAAACAGAACCAACGACAAAAACCACATGATTATCTCAATAGATGCGGAAAAGGCCTTTGACAAAATTCAACAACGCTTCATGCTAAAAACTCTCAATAAATTAGGTATTGATGGGACGTATCTCAAAATAATAAGAGCTATCTATGACAAACCCACAGCCAATATCTACTGAATGGGCAAAAACTGGAAGCATTCCCTTTGAAAACTGGCACAAGACAGGGATGCCCTCTCTCACCACTCCTATTTAACATAGTGTTGGAAATTCTGGCCAGGGCAATTAGGCAGGAGAAGGAAATAAAGGGTATTCAATTAGGAAAAGAGGAAGTCATATTGCCCCTGTTTGCAGATGACATGATTGTATATCTAGAAAACCCCATTGTCTCAGCCCAAAATCTCCTTAAGCTGATAAGCAACTTCAGCAAAGTCTCAGGATACAAAACCAATGTACAAAAATCACAAGCATTCTTATACACCAATAACAGACAAACAGAGAGCCAAATCATGAGTGAACTCCCATTCACAATTGCTTCAAAGAGAATAAAATACCTAGGAATCCAACTTACAAGGGATGTGAAGGACCTCTTCAAGGAGAACTGCAAACCACTGCTCAATGAAATAAAATAGGATACAAACAAATGGAAGAACATTCCATGCTCATGGGTAGGAAGAATCAATATCATGAAAATGGCCATACTGCCCAAGGTAATTTATAGATTCAATGCCATCCCCATCAAGCTACCAATGACTTTCTTCACAGAATTGGAAAAAACTACTTTAAAGTTCATATGGAACCAAAAAAGAGCCTGCATCACCAAGTCAATCCTAAGCCAAAAGAACAAAGCTGGAGGCATCACGCTACCTGACTTCAAACTATACTACAAGACTACAGTAACCAAAACAGCATGGTACTGGTACCAAAACAGAGATATAGATCAGTGGAACAGAACAGAGCCCTCAGAAATAACTCCGCATATCTACAACTATCTGATCTTTGACAAACTGAGAAAAATAAGCAATGGGGAAAGGATTCCCTATTTAATAAATGGTGCTGGGAAGACTGGCTAGCCATATGTAGAAAGCTGAAACTGGATCCCTTCCTTACACCATATAGAAAAATTAATTCAAGATGGATTAAAGACTTAAACGTTAGACCTAAAACCATAAAAACCCTAGAAGAAACCCTAGGCATTACCATTCAGGACATAGGCATGGGCAAGGACTTCATGTCTAAAACACCAAAAGCAATGGCAACAAAAGCCAAAATTGACAAATGGGATCTAATTAAACTAAAGAGCTTCTGCACAGCAAAAGAAACTACCATCAGAGTGAACAGGCAACCTACAAAATGGGAGAAAATTTTCACGACCTACTCATCTGACAAAGGGCTAATATCCAGAATCTACAATGAACTCAAACAAATTTACAAGAAAAAAACAAACAACCCCATCAAAAAGTGGGCGAAGGACATGAACAGACACCTCTCAAAAGAAGACATTTATGCAGCCAAAAAACACATGAAAAAATGCTCACCATCACTGGCCATCAGAGAAATGCAAATCAAAACCACAATGAGATACCATCTCACACCAGTTAGAATGGCAATCATTAAAAAGTCAGGAAACAACAGGTGCTGGAGAGGATGTGGAGAAATAGGAACACTTTTACACTGTTGGTGGGACTGTAAACTAGTTCAACCATTGTGGAAGTCAGTGTGGCGATTCCTCAGGGATCTAGAACTAGAAATACCATTTGACCCAGCCATCCCATTACTGGGTATATACCCAAAGGACTATAAATCATGCTGCTATAAAGACACATGCACACGTATGTTTATTGCGGCACTATTCCCAATAGCAAAGACTTGGAACCAACCCAAATGTCCAACAATGATAGACTGGATTAAGAAAATGTGGCACATATACACCATGGAATACTATGCAGCCATACAAAATGATGAGTTCATGTCCTTTGTAGGGACATGGATGAAATTGGAAATCATCATTCTGAGTAAACTATCTCAAGGACAAAAAACCAAACACCGCATGTTCTCACTCATAGATGGGAATTGAACAATGAGAACACATGGACACAGGAAGGGGAACATCACACTCTGGGGACTGTTGTGGGGTGGGGGGAGGGGGGAGGGAGAGCATTAGGAGATATACCTAAAGTTAAATGACTAGTTAGTGGGTGCAGCACACCAGCATGGCACATGTATACATATGTAACTAACCTGCACAATGTGCACATGTACCCTAAAACTTAAAGTATAATAATAATAAAAAATAAAAAAATTAAAAAAAAAGAGATGATTTCTGCACTTCTGAGAGAATCTCCTAGAATGTGTATACGGAGTTCAGCACTGTGCATTTGTAATGACTGCCCTTTATTGTAATATCACTCTACAATATGTATATTAAATAAGGCAGCTGCATAAGAAAAGCATTGAGACGCAATGTGATTCTGCAAGCCAATCTTTGCCTTCCTTATATTTATTTGTATGTCACATTATATTACTTTCCAATAATGATGTCAAATGTGCATCTACTATCTAACTAATATTTATTTATAATATTTACTTAATTAATATTGATACAGGTAATTACCATCCTTATTTAGTGACTCCCTGACTTCCTCCCATAAAGCTACAAAGAAATGGAAAGTATCACGTGGGGATATTTACATCTATTTCTAACAAAACCTAAAACAAACACCAATTGCTTTATGTATTTAACAGTAGAGACATTTCTTCCTTGCTGCAGTTGTTAAAGATATTTAGAAAATAAAGAATCTGGGCCTAGGTGGGCAGATCACTTGAGCCCAGGAGTTTGAGACCAGCCTGGGCAACATGGCAAAACCCCATCTCTACTAAACCCCATCTCTACTAAAAATACAAAAGATCACCCAGGCATGGTGGCATGTGCTTGTAGTCCCAGCTACTTAGGAGGTTGAGGCAGAAGAATCGCTTGAACCTGGGAGGCAGAGGTTGCAGTGAGCTAACGCCATTGCACTCCAGCCTGGGTGACAGAGCAAGACTGTCTCCAGAAAAAACAGAACGAAAAAGAAAATAAAGAATCTGGGAAGTGCAGCATTGTAACTCTCATTGTCCACCCCCCACCCCCACAAAGAGTTACTTGGTGTTCTTTGTGTTGATACTAATAGTCTTACATCTCTGAAAAAAAGTTCTTCCTTTCTTAGACAGGAACATGCATCATTAAATTATAAGAAAACAATGCTAAGAAATAGGGAAGAGAAAAATCAAAGTAAGTGTCATAATAAATGTCAAATGTTTAAAATGTCACATTTCAAATTGAAATTATATAAATCTACATGATTTTAAACATTTGAACATTTTAAACATTTGAAGATCCCTTAGCTTTATACCCAAATTAAAATTAATCAGACTGATATCAAAAGACAGTTTGGATGCCAGTAAAAGAGGCATCCAAATATGAAATATGAAAGTCCACTTCCATGAAATCTATGAGTTTTCTCACTAAACAATGTCCTCAAAGCCAGTGGAGCTACCACCGATGTCATCAGAGACAGCCCTAGAGGGAGTGGGGCACTTTTGCCCTTCCTCCTTCAGGGGTTCAAGCTGAGGAAAAGGATGGTCTCCCTCCCCCTTCAAAAGGTGCAAAATGGATTCAGGTCTTGAGAAGAACATGAAGTCTTTACAATCTTCAGGCCTCTGCTTTACTGGTGCACAGTAACAAGAGCGATTTCTCTGAGGAAACAATTAACTTCTATAAATCATCAATATTTACTACTCTTCACCATTTAGAAGAGACTTTTCCCTTGGAGCTTACTAACAATGGAAAAGTTATTTCATGCTATGTAAGTATGAGATTCCCTCATATGTGATACATGTTAATATATACAGCCTTCTTTCTATGTAAAGGAAGCGGGACCTCAGAACCTCCTTGGGCAGAACCTCCTTGGGTGACTATTACATGTTTTTCAAGTAGGTAAATCTGCCCAATTTAATCTACTAAACCAATCTGCATGTAATAACAGCTACCATTTATTGAATGCTTATACTGTGTGCCAAGCAATGAGACAAGTGCTTTACAAGAAACATCTTAGCAAATATGCCCAAGATGGGATTACTATTTTTTATATACAGATGAGAAAATTGAGGCTCTGAAGAGTTAAGTAACTTGCCCTGTGGTCACTGACTCAGTAAAGGGTAAAGACCAGATTTGAACCCCTGGTCTGTGTGATTCCGAAACAGGAAAATTCCCTTATCCCCATCGCAGGGCATGCGATGGGGGTGTCACTCACTTCTTCAGTGCCCCACTGCTCAAACCTCTAGGGGGAGCATGCAGAAGGGCAGGTTGTGGGGCTCGGACTCCACGGCAGCGTATAGGGGTGAACGTTTACAGCTCCTGAAGCCCTGCTCAGCGTTTGTTACAGGGTGCTCTTTTAGTTTAGTCATCCGGATGGCTTGTGTTAGCTAGCTCAATTAGACCTCCTGCCTAATTGCAAGGAGAGGGCTTTCTGTGTCCTGAGGTTTCTTGCCTTGGTGTAACCGGAAGAATCGGATCCCACGTGAGGGCTTGGAGAATGAGTGCAAGATTTTATTGAGTGGAAGTAGCTCTCAGCAGATGGAGAAGCCAGAAGGCAGATGGAGTGGGAAGGTGGTTTTTCCCTGGAGTCGGGCTGCTCAGCAGCCCAGATCTCCCCTGACCACCTGGGGCTAAAATCTGCATCATTCTGCCGGTGGATGGCCTGCCTGTTGATGGCCTGCCTGCATCTGTTGTGTGCTCTTCCCCTGGCACGCTTCTATGCACGTCCAGCCGCTTGTGTGTTCTTCCGCCAATATGTTCTTCTCAACATCCAGCTGCTTGTGTCTCTGCCTGCTAGGGTCTCAGGGTTTTTATAGGCACAAGGCAGGGGTGTGGCAGGCCAGGGTGGTCTTGGAAAATGCAACATTTGGGCAGGAAGGCAGGAGTGCCTGTCCTCACCTAGGTCCATGGGCACAGGCCCAGTGGTGGAGCCCTAGCCAGGGCCCACGTCCTTCCCTTCCCAGCACTTCCCTGCCCCACTCCTGTGTCAATTCCAGTAATGATATACTTTTCATTATTTCATGTTGCTTCTTAAGTCTACTTCATGCAGTAGGCTGTGATGACATAAAGATATTCATTGAGAGACTACCATGGTATACCACGTGTCCTAGGACTAGACAATTTGTTCCTCAGTTTTCTGGTTTTAAAATGAGGATAATAAAGATTCCTTCCTCACAGGGTAGTTGTGATGATTAAGTTAATTAATACATGTAAAATGCTTAGAATAGTACATAGCACATAATAAGTGCTATGTAATTGTTAGATATTATTCTGAGTTCCAGGAATCAGAGATACATCACTGAAAAAAACAGATAAAAATCTTTGCTTTCATAAAACTTCATTCTAGAGAAACAGCAAATGAACAAACAACATATACAATATGTCAAAATGTAGCAAGAACCATGAAGAACAAAAGTAAAAAAGGAAGATAAAAAATACTGGGAGGAGGGTGGTTGGGGAACTATTTTACATAGGGTTCTCTTGGAAGGCCTCAGTGAGGTAACATTTGAGCAAAGACTTGGAAGCAACATGGTAGTAAGCCATGCAGACTGAGGCATGAGAATTGCTTGAACCCAGGAGGTAGGAGGTTGCAGTGAGCTGAGATCATGTAAGTGTACTCCAGCCTGGGTGACAGAGCGAGACTCTGTCTCAAAAAAAAAAAAATTAGTATTTGCTAGATTGCAATAATTGGTTCTTCAGGAGTTGAGTGGGGAATGCTGCCACCAGGATAAACACTATGGAATTCATTGCACTTCAAACTTTTACTTAGTTACCTTGTGCTTCTTACGGAAGTGGACAAGCTGGCAAAGAAAGGAGTTACTATGCTCGTGGGAGTAATCAACTGTGATTAGCAAAAGGATCTAGGATTGTTGCTCCACAATAGCACTAGGGAGGAATTTGGAATCCAAATAATTCGCTGGGGCTTACTAGGTGTTTCTGTACCCAGGGATAATTTGAACAGGTAATTACAGCAATCATGGCTTAACCAGAGAAAGGAAAATAAAGGCTGAAGGTGGGGGCTATTTCACCAGAGAAACAACTTAGACCAGCTGATGTGCTGGTCAATGGTGAGGGAAAATTAGAATGGGTAGTGGAAGAGGGAGTTAATACAAGTATGGTCCTGACATTGATGCAGCAGTAAAAACTGAAGCTTATTCTATTAACTCTCTTATATTAAGGCTTTGCTGAGATTGTGGCTGGCCATCACCTTGAAGAGACCTCTGTGAAGGACTGAACATAACAGAGCACACAGGCAGATCAGAGTGCTGCAAGATATGGACACCTTCTATGTCCTTCTGTGCAACTTAGGCCATGACTTCAAATCCCTTCAGCCTATTATTCTAACCACTGCTGCAGCAACCTGCTCGGAGCAGGTTTGATGACCTTTGAACAAGTGCGAAATACCAGCACCTCTCCTCTCACTTCCTGCCCCAGCATGTCTCTGATGTGGGAGTCAGCTTGGCATTCACAACTGTGCGATTTGTAAGTGTGAAGTAGTTAATGCCCAAGGGCATTAACCTTCGATCAAAGAGGACAGGAGCCGACATACAAATGCTTCCTCCGTTCTTTCCTTTAATGGACAGTTCTGAGACTCATTTCATAAAGCTTCTTAGAAGGTCCTAAGGGACTAAGAAAACATTCAAATATGGTGATGACCAACTCAGTAACACATTCTTATACTGCATCTCCCTTTTTGTTTTGTCTTCTTCCTCTTCCCTCATTTTGCTCCCTGGGATCAAATTTCCAAATAAACTATTGCATATAAGTGTCACTTTGCAGGGAATCCAAGAGGAGAGAGGATAATTTAATTTTTGGACACACAAGTTTGAGGTGTCTATAAGACATCCAAGTGGAAATGTCAGGCGATGGGCAGTATATACACAAATCTTGAGGTTCAAGAAAGAGATCTAGGCTTCTGAAATGCAATTCATTTCCCAACTTTGAGGAGGGCTATAAACATACAGGTAAATAAAAGAAAGATAATAGGACCAAAAAACACATGCAATTGTCATAGAGTGTCCACAGTAAGCATTCCGGTGCCAAGCAGGAAAGGGTCTTTGTAAAGATATAACCAGATCCTGCTCTTAAAAGGGAAGTCATTTGATGAAAGTGAAAAGTATTCTAACTACTGTTTGCTCATTTAAATTTCTAGCACATTTATCTGATCTGTACCTCTCTTTGGTCACTTATTTTGTGTCCTATTTTATATATATTTGTACCTACACCTTGTCTAGTCCTACCACACTGTGAACTCCTTTAGGTTAAGATTCATGCCTGAATCACCTCTGTACCTGGAATCAAAGTGCCTAGCATTAAAAAAAAAAGGTGCCAGGAATATTGAATAAATAAAACACCTACCTGCAACCAGCAACATTGGCATCATTTATGCATCCCAAACTTAAATATGCATAAGCATCATCTTGCTAAGATGCAGATTCTGATTCAGTAGATCTGAAGTGAGCCAGAGAGGCTGCATTTCCTAAAAAGCCCCCAGATGATACCCAAGCAGCTGATCCACGGACCACACTTTGAGTATCAAGGTCATGAGGACAATGGTTCTTGACCTTAGCTGCATATGAGAATCATCTGGGAAGATATTAAAAGTACTGATGTCTGGGTCCCACCCGCAGGGATTCTGATTTAACTCATTTAAGCTCTCCAAAGTTTAAGTAGCAAAGATCTAGAGTTAATAGAGCTTTACGTATGAAAAAAGAAAACATTTAATCGAATTTCTTCTTAAATGAATTGCTGCAAATATCTGAATAAATAACTCTTAATCCCCAACTCCCAAGTCAGTTTCTGTGCCACAAAGGCCCCGCCCCTGCCCTTCCCTGACACGCCCCTCCAATGAGGCCTTGTTCCGCCTGGCCACGCCCGTCGGTTGGCGCCCCGCCCCTCCGCGTCTATTGGCCGCTCCCTTTTTCTCCCATCGCTGCTTCTTCCTTCTCTACGCGGTCAACTTCCGGCGCGGAGTTTGTCACGTGCCCGGATATAGGAAGTGTTGGGGGAACGGCCGCTTCCCGTTCAACGCTTTATTGAGGGGCGTATCCTAGTGGCCCCCATCCGGTCTCCGTTTTGGAAGACCCGCCTCGGCACAGCCAGGCTCAGTCCGGCCTTGCGGTAAGCCTTCGGCCGCGGCTGCCCGGTAGTCCCGGCGGCGGCGGACAGACGAGCTGACAGGCACCAGGGTCTAAGGCGGCTCCTCAGTCCGGCTGCTGTCTCCACGCCTGGGGTCGGGCACCGCTCCTTCTGACCTTCCTTTCCCCGTTTGTCCCGGTAAGACGAAGTTTGGTCAGAGCATTCTCCAGTCCCTTGTCCTCGGGTCTAGGAGAATGCGGAGCTGGGAGGGCAGTCCTCACGGGCCCCATTACGGTTCCGCCCATCGGAACCAGATTTTGTTTGTGCAAAATGACCCTGATCGTAAGCTCTTTGGCGTGGTCCAGGAGAGGAGAGCGTGACTGTGCCTTCCTCTTTGTCCAAATTCACATCCCGGCCCCCCAACCCCAACTCCCCCCCACCCCCCGCCAAATCTCTTAAGTGTATTTCTCTATTTCCTTGCACAGTTATATCTTCTAGATGGCAATGCTTCATGCATTAATATATCTCAGCAGCATACAGGGCCCAATGCACACGGGCACTCACACTGACAGGCTATTTGTCACACAGTGTGGTGGTCCAACTGAGCTGAAGGAAACAACCAGTACAGAGTAAGCAGTGGATGGCTGCCTTTGGAACGTGGTCAGATATGGGTTCTCAGACCTGGAGAATAATTTTAGAGGACCTCTAGGGATTTATTTACTGACTTTCAGAAAAGTACCGTAAAGACTGAAGAGTTAATCACTCGACTCTTAGGATGTAAATGCCATAGAAACACCCGGCTTCAGGTCTTCATAAACATATCTGTCATGTTGACTACTGTAACCTAGAATAGTGTCTGCCACCTAATAAGCATGAGTATTTGCTGAATGAATGAAGAGTCACATACTGCTTTTCATTATGGCTAACTCCTTTATGAGGTATGCCCAATCCTGTCTTGTTTTGCCTCTTACTGTACACTCAGTTGCTTTTAGCCAGAGAAGGAGTATGTGGTAAACGTTGGTCCCTATTATTCATTTGACCAGTTTTTACTATTCAGTTCTAATTACCTTAATAGATATTTAAGTATCCACTAAACACAAAACTATGATGAACATCCCTCCCTTCTTTAAGAGAATTCTTGAGATAGAGAAGCTTATGATTTAATGAGCCCATTAGACGGCAAATGCAGTAAGTGCTGTAGAAATTTAGAGGAGAGATCACTTTGGATTAAGATCTTCATTGAATCAACTTCATGTAAACCATGAAGTGTAATTAGGGTTTGGATAGGGCGGAGATGATATTCCTTACATGGAAAGTACCAAAGTGAAGATTTGATGTCCAAAATGAACAGAGTGTTTGGAGTGGAATGTTTTTGAGAACATTAGGAAAACGTTGAGTAAAAGCGTGATGTGATACAAACTGTCTTTTAAAATTATCTTGTTGTTCAGGGTTGTGGGACCTTGCAAAGAGAACCAGATTTTGTAGGGTTAAGTAAAGTTGATATGAACCTGGGTCAGTATATTTGCAGTGCGAAAAGAAAGGAATAAATTACATGTAGATGGGGGGAAATCGCAGAATGTGGTAGCAGATTTCATGTTGATAAGGGAATAGGGAAGCAAATATGGTAGATTTTGAACCTGGACATTTGCTTATAGATGTGAAAGTTAGGAAAGGGGAATCTTGGAGGAGCTATAGCTGTCATGTTAGTGAATTTAAGCATTTGTTAAATGCCTAGTTTGTCAAGTTCTAGGAATACAAAGATGATTAAGACATGGTCCTACTTTTAATAGGGGATAAAATACAGCTAGCTAGAAAATACAATTCATAAATGCCGTATTTATGAAGTAGAGGGGAAGTGTTAGAGAGGTAGAAATTACTCTTTGCGTGGGGCGGCTGCAGGGAGGGGGCTACTTTACAGAAAAGATGACATTTTAGCACAATCTTGAGGGATGAATTGTAATTTCCTAGGGAGAAGAGAATTCTAGGAAAAGAAGGTTGCATGAACAAAAGCCCAGAGATAGAAAAGTAAACTGGCCAGTGCCATTGTGGCTTGGGCTTAGGAAGAAATATAACATAGTGTCTGGGCCCTACAACATATTAAGGGATTAGCAGCATGGACACTCTATAATAAGCCAAAAGGAGGAGAGGTTGGGTGAAGGTGTGGAGAGACGGAGAAGCAAGCAATTGGGGATAATTGTATTTCATGGCTTTTATATCCTCTGCAAGGTAGATTGTTAAGTCATTTGCAGAGCGGGAGGAGGCTAACTGCTAGACCTGGAAACTGAAGGAGAGTAATAAGGATTTACAACAATAGTCATGGGGAACGGAAAAAGGAATCATCAAATGAGGGATTAATTGCCGAGCAGCATTGAAAGTCTAACTTTCACTGGATGTAGATATTTGTAATGCACGCAATGAGCGTGGATATGTGGCTTTTGAAAGTGGCATTTGGTAGTCCAAGAGAAGTGAAGAAAATAATACAGTTTATGGAGATTGATAAAAACAAGATCAGCTGGTCTACAAACAGGGTGAAATAATTGTAGGGGATAGTTTAGGTATAGGGAAATGAGCACTGTCTCCAGGCTAGGTTGGAAAAGAAGTAAACTTGGAGAGGCCAGATTAAGAGAACAGAAAGAAGGGCAATGTCAGAAGACTAGAGGCTGAGATGAAGTGGAAGTGGGAAGATGTGAATTTTATGAGAAAAGCAATTTTTGGAATTGGAGCAGAGATAGAAGTTTTACAGATTGAGTAAAATATTGGAAAGACTTGTTTTACAAAATAGTCATTGTGCTATAAAAATACGTTGTAAATCATTTATTTAAAAATCATGATTTCTTCATTTTCCCATAGAAAGAAATAGTGTTTTAGAAGTTAGTGTCCTAGGCAAGCTCACATGTATGAAATACTACACATTTGCATTGAAAAATTGTAATACATATCCACACAAATATGTATATGAAAAATAAAATAGAGATTTAAAATTATTTTAAGTTGATGTTTGAAAAGATGCTGAGTTAGATAAGAAAAAGGAGATAAGTGGAAACCTATTTTTATAACAGTTTTATTGAGATTATGTATCATAAAATTTACCCTTTTCAATTGTATAATTGAGTGATTTTTGGCATATTCACAAGGTTGTATAACCATCATTACTATCTAGTTGAAAGACATTGTCATCACCCCAAAAAAGAAACTCCATACCCATTAACAGTCAATCCTCGTTTCCACCTTCCCTTCCAGCTCCCGAAAACCACTTATATTTCTGTATCTATGGATTTTCCTACTCTGGATATTTCATATAAATGGAATCATACAATACGTGGTCTTTTGTGGCTGACTCCTTTCACTTAGCATAATCTTTTCAAGATTCATCAATATTTTAGCATGTTTCATTACTTCATTTCCTTTTTTTCTTTTTTTTTTTTTTTTTTTTTTTTTTTGGAGACAGAGTCTGGCTCTGTCTCCCAGGCTGTAGTGCAGTGGCGCAGTCTCGGCTCACTGCAAGCTCCGCCTCCCGAGTTCATGCCATTCTCCTGCCTCAGCCTCTCCCAGTAGCTGGGACTACAGGCACCCACCACCATGCCCGGCTAATTTTTTTGTATTTTTAGTAGAGACGGGGTTTCACCGTGGTCTCGATCTCCTGACCTCTTGATCCGCCCGCCTCGGCCTCCCAAAGAGCTGGGATTACAAGCGTGAGCCACCGCCCGTGCCCGGCCCTTTGTTTTTTTTGCAGCCGAATAATAATCCATTGTATGGATATACCACATTTTGCTTATGTATCATTTGATGGACATTTCTGTTATTTCCATTTTTTGGCTATTGCAAATAGTGCTACCATGAACATTCATGTACAAATTTTTGTGTGGACATATGTTTTCAGTTCTCCTGGAGTGGAATTGTTGGATTATAAGGTAGCCCATGTTTCACTTTATGAGGAGTCACCAAGCTGTTTTCCAAAGTGGCTGCACCATTTTACAATCCCACCAGCAATGTATGAGAGTTCTGTTTCCTCTCATCTTCACCAACACTTGTTACACCAACACTTGTTATTTTCTATCGTTTTTATTTTAACCACCCTCATGGGTGTAAAGTGGTTGATACCTCATTGTGGTTTTGATTTGCATTTCCCTAGTGGCCAGTGATGTTAAGCATGTTTTCATATGCTTATTGGCCATTTGTATATCTTTGGAAAAATGTCTGTTCAGGTCTTTTATTCAGTTTTTAATGGGGTTATTTGTCTTCTTATTGTTGTAAGGGTTCTTTATGTAGAAAACTATATTAAAAGTTTGAGCAGTGGGTTGAAGATTTTTTTCTTAAATCTTGTGTGTGTGTGTATACTTGGTGAGCATTTCCAAACATTTTAGAGTTTGATAACACTGGTTCTCTAATTTTATTTCCAAACTTACAGCTTTGTATTTTTGTGATATAGGTGTATTCATATATTAAATCATTTTTCCTAGGCTTGTTAACCAAAAATTATTTTCAAATCATAAATTCAGAAGTATAAGATGGAATGATGTTGAGGGTGAGCTTAATATCTATACTCCACATTTTTCAGCTGAGAAAAGATGACAGCAATCAAGCATGCATTACAAAGAGACATTTTTACACCAAATGATGAACGCCTGCTGAGCATTGTGAATGTCTGCAAAGCAGGAAAAAAGAAAAAGAACTGTTTTTTATGTGCCACAGGTGGGTATTTAGTAAGAAAGAGTACTTGTTTTGTATCCTTTTATTATTTAGAAGATATTTCCTCTTTGTTTTGAATATCCTCATTGTCTCTGTAATTGGAAAAATTGTTGGGTCAACACATTCCTAGTTAACACTTGGCTTTGACAGGCTGTTAATTGTTGTCAATCTGGTGGCAGTGAAATAGTATCTCATTGTGGTTTTAAATTATATTTCCCTATAATGATGAGATTGAGCATCTTCTCATGAATTTCTTAGTCATTTCATTCTGTTGTGTATGAAATTTACCTGTTTAAGCCTTTTACTCATTTTTCTGTTGTGTTGCTTGTCCTTTTACTGATTTGTACAAGTTCTTTCTATAATCTGGTTATCAACCTTTTGTTGGTTGTATGCATCCCAGTTAGTGGCTTGTCTTTTCACTTTTTATGATGCCTGTTAATGAAATTTATAATTTAAACTAAATGAAATTAATTAATCCTTTATGGCTTTCCCTTTTGGTGTCTTAAAAGATCCTTCCCTGTATCTTTTGTGCAGTCATAAAAATATTTTCCTAAATTCAAAAGTTTTATAATTTTGCCTTTTACAGTTTAGTCTTAGTTCACCTGTGTTGACATCTGTCATGGTGTGTGTGAGCATTTCTGGTTGTCATCTTATATGTTATTTTTATTTTGTTTTTGTTCTTTATTCCACCTAAATTTTAGAAACAACTTGTCGAGTTTCAGACTTTGTTGGGATTTTGATTGGAATTGTTTTGAACCTATAGTTCAATTTGGAGAGAACTTGCATTTTTATTGTATTGAATCTTTGTGTCCATGAACATGGTACAGTTCTCTATTTATCTAGGTGTTTTTTAACTTTATAAGTTTCATCATTTTCTCTAAAGGTTTGTCATGTATATTCTTGGATTTACTCCTGAGTATTGGTTTATTCTTAGATTTTATTTGATAGTCGTGAAAGCGCTTATTAACATTAATACATTTTAAAATCATATATTGTTAGAATTCTACAATGAATTGTTGGTGTTTTATATGGATGTCTATCAATCTTGCCAAACTTTCTTATTAATTCTAATTATATGTAGACTTTTTGAAAGTAGTGATATTTTTCTTCCTTCCTTTATAGTTTTTATATCTTTTATTTTTGTTGGTTTAGTTTCCTAGTTAGGACTATCAATACAGTCTCCATCTCAAGGAGAATGACTTCATTTTCAAGCATGGTATTTGGTATAGGGTTTTTATAGCTATACTTTACAGTGTTAAGTAAGTTCCCTTCTATTCCTGGTTTCTTACACTTTTTTAAAAAATCATGAATGGGAGTTGAATTTTATCAACTGCTTTTTCATATCATTGATATCATAAAATTTTCTTCCTTGTTAGTGTAGTATATAATTGTACTTGGTTTTTGAAATGATAAATTGACTTTTTAGAATGACCTCACTCAATCGTAATGTATTTGTATTAGGCCATTCTTGCATTGCTATAAAGAAATTCTTAGGCCAGGAGCAGTGGCTCATGCCTGTAATTCCAGCACTTAGGGAAGCTGAGGTGGGCAGATCGCTGGAGCCCAGGAGTTTAATTAAGACCAGCCTGGGCAACATAGTAAGAACTTTATATATAAATGTATTGTTGCTCTTTGAAATGGTATTTTGCTCTTTCAAGCCTCACAGACTTTACTTATGTCAATCATTCTTTAGATTTTTACCTCATACTTTTCTTTAAAACTGGTCTGAATTTATTATTAATATATCATTCCTTTATTTTTCAAGGAATCTCCTCTGATCTTCTAGTCTGACTTAGATGCTTCTATTAGGATTCTGTGCTTTCCTCGGTCATAGCACTTGTTGCAAAGTATTACACCTCTTTTAGTATCAGCTACTAGGCACCTGAAAGCTATACTTGCAATGAGTGAATGAAGAATGAGTGAAAGGGGTAATATTTCTAATAAAAGTGTGCGTTTTACTCAACAGTGACAACTGAACGCCCTGTGCAGGTTAAGGTGGTCAAAGTCAAGAAATCCGATAAGGGAGATTTCTACAAAAGGCAGATTGCATGGGCCCTTCGAGATCTTGCTGTGGTAGATGCCAAAGATGCTATCAAAGTAGGTTTTTCTCAGTTCTTTGACCTGTGTTCAGAAAGCATCTTTCATTTTATAACATGGTATTACATATTCTAAAATGATCTAAAAACAAATTAATATATATGTTTGTTTTCTTATTTTTTTGCTTTTTTTAAGCTATAATTATGTTTGTGCACAAGCTACATAAACTAGAGAAAAATTACTTTGACTGTATACATTTCTGTGTTTAGATTAAGTATAATTTGTATAAAATCTATACATAGTATGGATTTTAAAGTGGTGTGTCATGAGTTTTTTTTGCTTGTTTGTTTGTTTGTTTAATCAAAATCATATAACCAAAGTGATCCTTCCTTAGTCTTCATGAGTAAACATAGAATCACCAGCTGGGGCAGCCAGACTGGCCTTTTGAGGCCACCATGGCTTTGATGTTTGTGGATCAAAAAAAAAAAAAAAGAAATGATAGTGGGTTACATACCTTATTTTAAGGAATGTAGATAATAAGATCTATGAAGATATAAACTTACACGTTATAGATAAACCACACTCAAACTCCAAGAAAGGTGATTAATGTGATAATCACATTAAAGGACCACCTATGTTCCTGACAGTTCAAAGCTTTCACAGCAATACCCTTTTTTCAAAGCAATCAAGTTGGCCTCCTTTGATTAAATTAGGTGCTTCCTCCCCCTGGCCCTCTCTCACTCTGCCCTTCATCTTTCTCTGCAGCCCTAACACACCTCCATAGCACAAGAGAATACTTTGTACCACAACTACTTGTATGTCGATGGGATGAACATAATAGCAAGGCTTATACTAGTGAAACTACAGGTGCTCTTTGACTCTACAAATCTCATACATTTACTAAAAAGGCACAAAGTAAAAACAACAAAAAACAAAAAAACTGCCTGTGTAAAGCAATCTGTTAAAATAAAATTCTGATTTTACCCTTACTTTGGTACAAACCTCCAAGGATCAAAAATCTGGACAAAATGACAGGTAGTTGAGTTGGGTGCAAAAAAAATGAAGTAAGAACAATTTGAGGAGAGCCCTCTATATCTGTATAATTCAGATTTCTTCCAAATGTAAATCATGCCTTTTCTTTAAGTATTCTAGGCTTACTGGCCCTTTGTTTTATCCCTAAGGAGCACCCAATGCTTAGAAAAATGTGAAATGTAGAAACAGGATTTGACAGAAATTTAGAAAGCTAGAGATTGGAAAGAAAATTATAATGGGATGTTTAAAAATAATTTAGGCCAGGCGTGGTGGCTCACGCCTGTAATCCTAACACTTTGGGAGGCCGAGGCTGGTGGATTGCCTGAGCTCAGGAGTTCAAGACCAGCCTGGGTAACACAGTGAAACCCTGTCTCTACTAAAATACAAAAAATTAGCTGGGCGTGGCGGCACACGCCTGTAGTCCCAGCTTCTTGGGAGGCTGAGGCAAGAGAATTGCTTGAACCTGAGAGGCAGAGGTTGCAGTGAGCCGAGATTGCGCCACTGCACTCCAGCCTGGGCAACAGAGTGAGACTCTGTCTCCACAAAAAAAAACAAAAAAAAACTTCTGTAAGTAATTTTTATTACCATGGGGAGGGATCAAGAGTGGAAACTTTTCTGGTTGTTTTCTGTTAAGACAAAACACTTTAAGGGTTTTTAAAACTGCACCTTTATTAAAAAACATTTTTCCCTTCAGTAGTTTTGCACTTCGTAACCCTGTTGACTTGCATAATTCAGTAACATTGCTGAATGCTTATTTGAATGCATTCTCACAGCTGATGCCTCTTGCAGACTTGCTTAATGGATTTTTTTTTTTTGCATTTTATGTAGGCACCTTGGTGTGTGTATGCTATATATGGATATAAAACATAAAATTTTTATACATAACTTAACATTAGCCATTTAGTATCACACATTGATTTGTGAGTGTTGCCACTGGAGCACTCAGCTTCTTTTATGGTATTATGGGAAATATTCCCAGGGAAGAGATTATTTCCCATCAAGTTTCATATTGGTTGCCAATACTCTTGTTGTGTTTTTTTGTAAGTAATAATGCAATTACCTTTTCATTGTATATGCAGGTTTTAAATTTTTGACGCTTCAATTCTGTTTATTAAGCTATAAATTGAACTAATTAGTAGTTCCATGCTGCTGTAATATGATTGTTGTACCAAAGGTCAAGTCCTGATTCCTGAGATACTCCAGTTCTTCACAGTGAAAGTCTGATATAACTTCCCTTACTTTAATGTATTTACATTTCCCCCAAATAACACTTTAAATGAATCAAATATATTATTATTCTTTTACCCTGTAGAACATTAAGAATATTTGAGCCTATTTTTTAATTCCTTGGATGTGAAGTATACATCCATAAGTTTGTTTGTTTGTTTGTCTGCTTGTTTGTTTTGAGACAGGGTCTCACTCTGTCACCCAGGCTGGAGTGCGGTGGCACAATCTTGGCTCACTGCAGCCTCCACCTTCCGGGCTCAAGCCATCCTCCCACCTTAGCCTCCCGAGTAGCTGGGACTACACGTACATGCCACTACACCCGGCTAATTTTTGTGTTTTTTGTAGAGAAGTGTTTTGCCATGTTGCCCAGGCCAGTCTCAAATTCCTGGGTTCAAGCAATCTACCCACCTCGGCCTCCCAAAGTGCTAGGATTACAGGCGTGAGCTACCAAGCCCAGCCTGTTTTTTTATATAATAGTCAAGTAGTTCTATTCATTCAAGGGAGAAATATTAGCCTGATGTGGATTATTGCTATAATGTGGCTTAAGAGACTTGAAGAAACTATAGTGTAATTCTCTCAGATTGGTTGAGCTTCTTTATCACATGAAAGAACGTTAGGCCAGGAACAGGGCTCATGCCTGTAATTCCAGCACTTTGGGAGGCCGAAGCAGGAGGATCAACTGGATAACATGGGGAGATCTTGTCTCTACAAGAACATTTTAAAAATTAGGCATGCTGGTATGTGTCCGTGTCCCCAGCTACTCAGGAGGCTGAGGTTGGGAGGATTGCCTGAGCCCAGGAGGTGGAGGCTGCAGTGAACCATGATTGCACCACTGCATTGTAGCCTTGGCAACAAAGTGAGACCCTGTCTCAAAAAAATAAAGAACTTTGAGACCTAGCAGCACTTTTAGCTTTCAAGATATCTTTAATCATTCCTTATTTTCAAAATAGAAAATAATTAGGCGCAATCTCTGCTTTTCACCTCACTTGTTCTTAGAAAGTACACCAGGATATACATTGCATTTTTCTCAAGTTTTATACTTAGAAGATATAGTCCTTATTAGGGAGTTAGTGTCCAATTACAGTTTCAAATAGTAGTACATTATTAAAGAAAATGTATAACTAAAACTCTATAGGCAATTTAAAAAGAAAAATTAGGTCCATGTCAAAGCTAGAGACCATTGTCATCTTACTGATGAGGAAGCTAAGCCACAAAGCCATTAATGCATCCTATACTTCTACTCATAGACCTAAAGGGCATAGGAAGAAAATGACCACAACAGTATGTTGTTTTTTCATCCAGCTCCTTTGGGGTGGTAAACTTTTTGCTATAAATTGAATTCTCCAAACTCTTCCTTTCCAGTTGCTTAGCTGATTTTTAATACTCTTCATTTTCCAAAAACAGCGTAAATGCCTATGCAGATTTTACATTAACAATGTAAAAGGATGTGATCAAAAATAATATCTTTTGTATATTTTTATTTTAGGAAAATCCTGAATTTGATTTACACTTTGAAAAAATATATAAATGGGTTGCCAGCAGCACTGCTGAAAAGAATGCATTTATTTCATGCATTTGGAAATTGAATCAGCGATATCTCCGGAAGAAAATTGATTTTGTCAATGTTAGCTCACAGCTTTTGGAAGGTAAAGTTAAATAAAAATGTATATGTAAAATCAATTATATCTTTAAGTGAATATATAATTTGACATCATTCAAATTAATTAGAATACTGAATTATCTTATCGTAAAAGAACTTTAAAATAATTTTTCTTATTGCAGAAATTATGCTTGTTTATTGTAGAATATTAATACATTATGATAAATAAATAAAAACCACTTATTCTTCAGCAATAACTACTGTTAGCACTTTGTTAGATATTCGTCTAGTCTTTTTCCTATGCATAAACACCTTTTTAAGATAAAGAAATTTACATTATGTTTTCTAACATACTTTTTCATATAATGTATCATGAACATTTTTCATGTTGTTGAATACTTACCCCAACATTATTTTCAGTAGCACCATAGTATTCCATTATATGGATATACCATGTTTATTTAACTAATCATTTATTTTTTAATTTTCCAATCTTTGCTTCTTTTAAACAGCTCTGGGATAAATACCCTTGTAGCAGTATTTTTGTACAGAGGGTAGATGTAGTGGTTAAGAACATAGCTCTGAAGTCAGACTTCTTGGGTTCAAATCCTGGCTTTGCCACTAACTAGCTATATGACTTTGCATTGATACTTACTCTCTATGTTTCAGTTTCCCTTATCTCAGAACTAGAGATAATAATAGTATCTACCTCATAGGGTTGTTATGAGGATTAAATTACTTAATATATGAACATAGTAAGAACAGTGCCAGGTACATAGTAAGTGCTCAGTAAATATTAGCTATTATTATGTTACCAGTATAAAATCCTTAGACATGAAGATTATTAGAATATTTTTGATCAGTATATCTTCAGGAATGTTACTATGCATCATTTTGTGTTACAAGACAAAAACTCTACCATTAATTAGTGAAAATATGAGATTTTCTCTACTTTTAAAATTTCTTTCCTAAAGATACAAACATTGTAAGATAGCACTTAGTAATCAGTGAGCCTGCTGCTGATTTTAGGCTTGATGCTTGGCACTGGCAGAAACAAGTCACATATGTCAGCCACCAGTAGTGCTGGTCTTATGTAGGAATCCCCAGGGTTGCCATCTCACCAACACTAGTCCCCAACATCTTGGTAATTGAGTGTGTAGAGGGAATGACCTTCAAGAAATTTATGGTAACTTTTCATGCCTTGAATCGTGGTTTAATTTGCTTCGAATGGCTTTTATTTTTTTTAACATTTCAGGGTTGAACATTCTGATGAGTCAGTGATTCAGTGATTCACAAGCTTGCTGTTCTGTCTTCAAATATTATGCATTTCCAGATGTTATTTATTGTGTAAGGTGATTTTAAACCAGTATATTTCAGGACAGTCATATAGAAAAATACATACCCTACCTGGATCTGCCTCATTAAGAAATACTACCAAAATCAGTGAGAAGAGTATTACTGTTTTTGAAAATGAAGTGTCTAACTTAAAAAAAAAAAGGCATTCAATTTTTCAGGCCATAAAACAAGAGTATAGACACGTTCATGTGTATAAACATTAACCCTAACTGAGATCGATTTTAAGAATACTGAGAAGATCCTTAAGGATCTCATTTTGAAAATCACTTGCTATATACGTCAGTAACTCTTGCTTTGGTTTAGTGGAGTTCAGGGAATAGCTTCATTAATGTCTACAAACTTGTTTTATGGACCTTGAAATTACAGCCTTTAATTCCCATTAAAAAAAAATGTCTCTAAGTTTTGAGTGATGTTAGAAAACAAATAAAAAATTATTACCACCCCAGTTTAAGAGCTCAATAATTAAGTAAGACTATTTTGATTATAAATGGTAGCAGTGGCAACTTGGTAGTTTTTATTGTTGACAATTGAATACGTAAGTTAAATAATGGGGCTCCTCAGCAGAATAAGGTTTGTAAAAGAGGACTTTTCAGCAGTTGAAGTAGATTGAAGTTTTTATTTGGCCTTTTTTTTCATTCTTTTACTTGCAACCAGCTTTTTAAAAAAGAATCTTTGACTTGAATCCTTAAATGCTGGCTTGAACTGTTATTTTGTGTAATTTTTTACTTGCCTCAATCTTGTCCTTTCTAACCATGTTTTGTGACTAATCCTCTGTGAGGGAGTGTCTGGGTAAAGCTTTTGGGCCTTAAGTAACATAACTAGGCTACATGCATGAGTCACAACTGACCTAAATATAATCCCCAGGAAATGATTAGTTTGCCAGGTTTCTCCTCTAAGGGTTAGTTAGTGCTGTTTCTTAAAAGACTAAGAGAAATTAGAAAGATAAATATATTTGTAGTCACTATCAGAAAGTGAATAAGAAAAATGAACACGGCAAATTTAGCTTCTTATGGATCTTTCCACTTGGTAGTTGATTTGGCTGTCTTTTGAACTTTAACATGAAGTTCAAATGAGATATGGGTAGTATTTTAAAAATTTAAGCCTGTTTACTTTTCTACCCAGCTAATATTCTTTGCTTACTTTCCTCTGCTTTTTTCATACTTTTTACTCTCCAGAACTGCCTAAAGTTACAGAAGGTGCGTAACACCTTTTCTTCTTCTATTCCATATGTTTTTATTAGTTGCCTTTGTTATATACCGTTGGTTGTATGTTTTATGAAATGATGTACTGGGACAAATTTATTTTAAAAATCTACATAGTAATAAAATTAATGATAGTATTTATTATTGGCTTTCAAGGACATATCATTAGAAAATACTTCTGAAGCAGTTAATTATAATCATGTAAAATATTTGTTTAAGTCTACTTGTGTAAGGACCTGTACAGAATGATTTGGGCAGTCCCTGCCCCCTAGTGGCTAATAAGCTGTCACACATGACAGTTGAACTTTTTCGCAGTGAATTAAATGGACTCGTTGAAAGGACAAGGAGATCGGTAATATCTCTCTAAAGAACTTATATACTAAAATCTGTAATTGCCTGTACCAAAAGTTTTAGTCTTCTTTTTGTTCTGGGACAAATGAACGTATTTCAGGTCATGCTGAATGTAAATATTCATTTTCCTATAAAATAATGAATACTAAAAGCATCCAGAGTTTGTGGTTTAAATCATGCCCCATTAAGTCTGTGAAATTGCTAACTTTATTTAGAGTGATAAAACAACATCTTAGGAGTTAAAAATGATTTCTTTCATTTTACCTCCTAACCTCAAGCTTTATATACAGTGCTCACATGCTAGTGTATTTCCTCAAAAAAAAAAAAAAAATGAACTGAAACATCTAGAAAGCATTTCAGGTTTGACCTCTTGGTCTTTTGTTATAAAGCATGAAGCCTGTTTAACTTTTTATAATTTCAAACAGCCATGTTGTTGTTGCTCTTACTTAGAGTTATTGAGAAAGCTGTAACTTATCTTTAGAAATGTTATCAATGCATGTGAAATTTTTTTAAGCAAAGAAATGGATAATTCAGTTAATATTCTAGTGACCAAAATAAATTATGGATTATAGATGCATTTTTCATTTTAATTAAAAAGTATTTGGCAAAAATATACATACTGAAGATGAAAGTAACAAAAGTAACAAAAGAAAAATTTCACCTGGGAAAAAAAGGAAAGCAAATTGTTTTTGTGTGTACTGAATTCATAGTCATTGTTTTGTTAGAGCAACAGCCACATCAGGTACGAAAAAATGTTTAGGTTTGTTCCCACCTGTTTTTGTATTTTGTTTTTACATTTTAGCTTAATTGTATTTTGGGAAACTGTGGTGAAAGCCTGTTTTAACATTTGTAAGTTAGTGCATTAGACTGCATGCTTTTTATTTATTTTTTAGAACTTTATTTCATTAACATATTAAATTATTTATAAAAATAAAGTTTGATTTTTTCATATCATTTGAATCATTCTATCCTCTTTTTCAGCTGCTAAATGTGACCTGTGCTTATAACTATACCTACCTATATGTATTATGTTATAGTCTTTTCTACTTTTTTGACTATTTTACTTTGAATTTTTACCTCTTTAAGAATCTGTTCCAAGTGGAGAAAATCAGAGTGTGACAGGAGGTGATGAAGAAGTAGTAGATGAATACCAAGAGTTAAATGCAAGAGAAGAACAGGATATCGAAATAATGATGGAAGGCTGTGAATATGCAATCTCGAATGCGGAAGCCTTTGCAGAAAAATTGTCCAGAGAGCTGCAGGTGCTAGATGGGGTAAGACTTTCCTGAATTCTATGAATAAGTGATGTATAGTGGATTGAGAAGGCTAATGATGTTCATATTATACTACCTCAGCACTTAAGCCTTTATAGTGTGTTATTGCCATCTTTATCTATAAGCACATTACCAGCTGCCATCAGTCTTTTACTGTTCTTGTTCAAAAGATGAACTATTCCTGTTAAGCCAATGAAGACAGTTGGCTGAGATTCTGGATTTGGGGAGGTTCTTGATATGAAGTGACTGGAGTAAAAACTAGGCCAGAGAACATCTTGGGAGTTGATTCGCTCAGCCTCTGAAACATGTCTGAATAGTTCAGTGCCAAAGAATAGCATTTGTGTGTATGTGTGTGGTTTGAAAAAAATAAAAATAGGGATGAAGTATAAAGAGAGAAATGTGGCTGAAATATGTGAATCATTTACCAAAGAAGAGTGGAGTGAGTGTGGTGAAAACAGGAGAGCCAGAGAAAAAGATCTGTGACTTCTTTGCTAAAATGTTTTAGAATAGACCTTTTTGTTTTGTGTGCAGTTTTTGAGTGTAATTCAAATGCACAGCACCTGCTGGGGCAGTGGCTTACACCTGTAATCTCAACACTTTCGGAGACTGAGGCGAGCAGATCACCTGAGGTCAGGAATTCGAGACGAGCCTGGCCAACATGGCAAAACCACATCTCTACTAAAAAAAAAAAAATTAGCCAGACATGGTGGCATGCTCCTGTGGTCCCAGCTACTTGGGAGGCTGAGGCACAAGAATCGCTTGAACCTGGAAGACAGAGGTTGCCGTGAACTGAGATCGTGCCACTGCACTCCAGCTTGGGTGACAGAGTGACACTCTGTCTCAAAACAAAACAGAACAAAACAAAAAAATCAAACACACCGCATCTCTTATGCTAGAGTAATCTAAAATCATTTGGGTTTGTTCTGGTTTTAAGAAAAGGTAAGCATTTAAGAAATCCCTCAGAGGATAAGGAACATTTTAAAGACTTAAATTTTAGTGTTGTATACATGAAAGGTACAGAAGTTATGGGGTCTGACTCAGGCCCAGAGAGATTATATGAATAGTCCAGGCTTACAAGTTTACAGAGTTCACTGAAAGCAAAGCCTAGAAATGATTTTAAGATGTTAAGGAAGAAATCCTGGGCAGATTCAAACCCCAGCTCTGTTACTTAAGAGATGTCAGTGGCTTCTGAACCCTTCTGACTCTTAAAGTCGTATTGCACTTACATTTTATTTACTGTGGATAGTATGTAAATAACGTGTGAAACCACAGCGTCAGCTGTACAATGATATCCTTTAAATTTCTGGTCCAGGTTTTTCATCGTACCATGTTACTTGCCTTCTTAATATGGCTTAGTGATTTATATTTTTTGTTCTAATTAATATGGTATATATGTTCCAAGTCAGCATATTGCTTTGCAGTTTAATTTTGGATTTGGCAGTTTCCTTATTTCAGGGAATTCAGAATCAATAGTCAGAATCATTTAGAAAATAGTGATAAGGGGATGGTGGTTTGTTACTGCTTTGCCTGGGGAAGAAAAAAAAAACAGTTGAAAGAGAAAAGAAAAAAGATGATAGAAGGAGCTATCGGCCGTATGCTCTTCTACATCCTGTTACTAGTTCCCATCATACTACAGTTATAAATTAGTTTCATATATCCTTCAGAGTCTGGTATACCACTGCTGCTTTCTCAACTAAGATATCACATAGGTGATTATGCTTTTATTTAGGGTTTCACATAGGTGTTAAGAAAATTTCTAGCTGGTAGAATTGGAGGAAATGTTAGAGATAACATGGCCTAATGCCTCCTAAATGTATAGAAATGAGAATGTGCCATTACCAGTGATACTTTCTGGCACCTTACTTGTGCATTCTGGAACCTTACTTGTGCAGTCTGTGGAAATATAAAATCCTAAGGCATGGTCCCTAACATTGATTTAGAGGCAAGTGTACCTGCATGAAATACTGTGTAAAACATGGAAGAACATAAAGTGATAAACTGAAGTAGATGTGTAGGTATATATCAATTTTTGTTATGCTACTTTCAAGGAAATTTAGCAACATTTCACCTTTATTCTTTTACACATCTAAATAACAAGTATGTTTTTTGTTTGTTTGTTTGTTTGTTTGTTTGTTTTGGTCTTTAACTTTGTAGGCTAACATCCAGTCAATCATGGCATCTGAAAAACAAGTCAACATCCTGATGAAATTGCTAGATGAGGCTCTAAAGGAGGTAGATCAGATTGAATTGAAACTGAGCAGTTATGAGGAAATGCTCCAAAGTGTAAAAGAACAAATGGATCAGATCTCTGAAAGCAACCACCTAATTCATCTTAGTAACACTAATAATGTAAAACTCCTATCTGAGATAGAGTTCCTTGTGGTAAGTATGATCATAAATTACCAACAAAAAAAAACTAGTGATGATATATAAAACCCATTTGTAAACATTTTTTAATTTCCTTGTGAGAACAGGATTTAAAATAATTCCAAAGACCTAATGATAGGACTGAATAGCATCTTGCCTGTAAATTTCCCAAAATTACACATGCAAATGGTGTGTTTGCATATATTCTAGAACCACATGGACTTGGCCAAAGGTCATATAAAGGCCCTTCAGGAAGGAGATCTTGCTTCTTCCAGAGGCATTGAGGCCTGCACCAATGCTGCTGATGCCCTTCTGCAGTGCATGAATGTAGCTCTTCGACCAGGTATGTTCATTAGAAATGACAAAAATGTGACCAAGAATGTGAGACTAAGCCTGTAACTTGTTATAAAGGTTTTGACAAGAAATACATGAGACAAGTGGTTTAAGGGTTACATTATTAGCTATTCAAGTTTCACTGATTTCCCAACTTATTTCTATTGATACTAGGAACTTTTTTACTTCAGTTCCTCCTTCTAATTGTCCTCAATGACTATAGTCAACACCATGATCTTTATTTAGTACTATCCACAGAACCCAGCAGAAAGTAGGTGCTTTGGTTAGACGAGAGCAATTATTTCAAAACTTGAGTGTCCGTCAGAATCCCTAGAGGTCTTGTTAAAAACATAGATTGCCTGGCCCCAGTCCCAGATTCAGCAGATCTGGGCTGAGATTTTAGAATCCACATTTCTAACAGTTCCCAGGCGATGGTGAGGCAAGACCACACTTTGAGAACTACTGTGAAATCCCATTTTTCTCCTGCTTAACTTTTATCATGTAAATGAATACACCCATAAAACTTTTGGGTTCTTCAAAACGTTAGATACGTTTAATGTTCCATTAAACATCAAGGAAATCTTTTTACCCATTAAACTGGTCACAAAATGTCGTTCTGTGTCAGGCCATGACTTGCTTCTGGCAGTCAAACAGCAACAGCAGCGATTCAGTGATTTGCGAGAGCTTTTTGCCCGGAGACTGGCCAGTCACCTCAACAATGTTTTTGTTCAACAGGTAATTTTATTTTATTATTAAAACGAGCATGTTCCTATAGCTTATTTATGTATTAACCTTACATTTCCACAAAAATGTTAATATGTTTAATTGGGGTTGCAGTCAATTCCTTCACATATTTGATTTTAAGATTTTGAAATAGGAGCCTCTTTGCTCATAGATGTACTTTGGGCCTCAGCTGCCTCTTTTGGTAGACAGTCTAGTTCCTTTCAGCTGATGCTCTCTGATTCTAGAAATCAAATAACTATGCATATGAATTGCATATACTACTTAGATATTTTTATTTATAAAGTAAGTCCAAACTTGTTAGATATTTACTATTGGACCTGTTTTATTTTTCAGTATTTTGAGGTGAGACTCAGGACTTGATTCAGTGTTTTAAATGTTTTGTAAGTTCTATGTACTTAGTACATAGTATAATTGTTAAGAAAATGACTAGCTCAACTGCAAATTTCAGTTGATCTAATCTTCATATAAATGCTTTACCTATATTTTTATATGGAAAAGGATGTTATAATTAAGAGTGTGGTAATAATATTGTTATTAATAATATTAAGAGTACCTTTGAGGGATTTGAATAAAAGCCATTTTAATATCTAATACAATAAATTAGGTTTCTTATTTTTTCATCTCTTTTAAAAGTCCCTTTTATTTTATTAGAGTTATAGAATGAAAAAAAATTGGGGGAATATCTCGTTCATCAAGAAATACTGCCTGAAAACAATGGATTTTTACTTTATTTTCACTTTGCAATATTCTAAAACAATTGTATTTACTATATTTTATTTCCAATTAGTTTACTCAGGCCCTCCTTCAACTCTATAACAGGTCCTACTTTCTTTCGGTTCCTGTGAGTACATCAAATTTGGCTCAAGCTTCTCTGATTCTGTTTTTTTTTTTCTATAAAGTTTGCTAAACTTAACAGCAGCCGAATCTTTACAGATTATAACTTACTGATTTAAGCTACCTGTTAACCACATTCGTAGCAGTTTTTAAATGTCCCATAGTAGAGACTATTTTGGCCAAAAAAGCATTTAATCTCATTCTGCTTGCTTTTCTTTCTGTCATTTTTTCACTCCATTTAGTAATAAATAGTAATATTACTCCTTCATTTAGTAATAGTAGTAATATTAATCCTTCATTTATTTAGTATTGCCAGGTGATTGAGGTACATACCAGACATTAACTTGGGATAAATGAGAGACCAATCCTGTCCTCTAGTAGTTCACAGTCTAGGGAAGCGAGACAAACAAATAATATACTCAAGAGGGATAAATGTTATGACAGCGAGACTGTGGGAGTGTAAAGGAAGACCACCTAACTAAAAGCACGGTAGGGGGGAATCAGAGAGATTCCCTTAACATTCCACTTGACTGAAAAGTGTCGAGAAAAAAGTAAGCTTAAATGTCACATAGGAAATACTAATTCATGTTTTTGTTAGGTACTTACTTCAATAACATCTATTTCTATACAATTCCTTAGTTTTTAAAAATGACACTGTTGACAATTATGTTATCCACATTTGTTAGATAGTATTGAAAATACCAGCCAGTAAACAATAGTCTTTTCTGTACCCTTAACTGTTTGTTGTAACATGCAGTTATTTATGATTTTGCTTCTTGCCTTGTAAACTAATGGCCTCGTTTAAAATGAATGCTTCCCATTTCTGAAAAGCTGATATGTGTTATTACATGTGAGTGATGCATGTTAAAAATCAGAACGCTGCGACAACCTGGGGTGTGCCAAAAACGGTGGAAGAAGATATCCCACACATAAGAAAGATTTTCTTAGTGTTGCATTCAGTGCATCAGGTCACCTAGCAAAATTGTTGAGAAACATGGGTATTTCTATTCCTGGTAGGGAGACAAGCTGGGAAAATTGATTAAAATAATATGGTACACCTCTTTGGCAATCACAGAATTTTCATTGTATGCTTATTATGTACTCACTGTCTACCATATATAAGAATAAGCAATAGTTCCTACCCTCAAGATGCTTGTAAGAAGGAATTAAAACTAATGTACTTACTCTTTGTAAGGAGTTAAGACTAATGTACATTAGCAATGTATGTAATAAATTGCTAATTGTAGAACTGTGGACTGTAAGTGCTAAAAAGGTTTAATCAAAAGTGAGTTTATTGAGAATTTAAGGAGTGAGATATGGAAGGAATTGCAGATAAGGTAGGACTTGAACGAGTCCATGCAATACAGTTTATAGCAAATGTATAGTTACAACATTTACAAATATTGTACTGAAGAATCCAGTGAAAATAATCTATTCACAATATAACAGTAATTTCAAAGCATTGATTCTCAGTCTTTTTAAAATTCACAAATTAGTAAAATTAAAAGAAATAAAATTCGGAGACTGACCAAATCACCAATTTTTTTATTTTACCAAATAAAGACCTTTAAAAAGAAATACTATTATCCACTTTCATTATCTTTTCATTTTAAAAATGACATTTTGGCACTAAAAGAATAAGAATTTCCTTTCCGATTTTAAAAATTAATACATTTACCCTTATGAAGGACTCACTTCTTTCATTGTACTTTTTCTTATTGCTATAGGCCAGGAAAAACATCTTGCATTTGGGAATGACTGATCCAGAGCATGCTATCTGTAATGCAACTTTCCTATTAATACTTCTGTGTTATCTATACTTAAGTGAAACTTGAAGTGTATTTTAATATAATAATCACTGTAATATAATATGAGAGTAATGTTACATAAAGAGTAGTTAGCTTCTTTTAGATCTTTCAGATCTTACACACTCAACTTCCCCTGAAATTATAGGCTCTTGCCCATAATTTTTACATTTACTAGGGATTTCTGTATCTAGAAAGATCAAGAATGAGAATCTGGTCAGTTTACACTAATTAGGATTATGATATTGAAAACAGTCAAATTAAGGCTAATGAAATTGAGGAAATATTTGCATAAAGAATATGTCCTTTAAAAAATTGTTTTGGTTGTTTTTTGAAAGATTTATTTTGATAACTACTCTCTGCCTTTTGTTTCCCCCTTTGGTTCTACAGAGACCTCATGATTCTATCTACTTTTGCCTTTAGCAACATGATGAGACTGATTATGTACATAACTTAGAGAAAATGAAAATAAACTGAAATGCACTGAACTAAAAGTACAACCAGGAAAAAACTGAAGTTGTGGAACTTTTTACCATATGCTTAAGTTTAGAAATTTTTCTCTCAACATACATATACAGAAACAAGCTATAATAAAATAAAACCTGTATTGCAGACCACCAGCATTCAATTTCTTTTACAAAAATTGTTTCCTTAAGCATATTTGTAAACACGGATTGATGATCTCTGGTTAAAAGCTTAGAAAGACTTGTGATTAAGATCTATTTTTGTGAGGTTTGTTGGAACTTTGCTCAGATTTTTTTTTTAAGAAAAGAATAAGTAAGTATGCCATAACAGAAAGAAGGAGTTCCAAATCTTGAAAATTTATTCAAATTTTGACCCCAATGTATCATTTCTTTAAAAAAGTCACTATAGCAAAGTGCTTAAGAGTGCAGACACTAGAGCCAAACTTCCTGGGTTCAAAATCCTGACTCTCCTACCTCCTAGCTGGGTTACCTTGAACAAGTTAATTGACATTTGTGCCTGAGTAAACAGTAGTAGAAGAACATAGACAATAATTTTGAGTCTTGAATCATTGAGAAAAATTAATGAGGAAGATTGTTTTGGATAACGATACATTGTTACTAATAAAAACTATTTGGTAAACATTTGTATGATATAAGTCTGTCAAATATTCTTCCCCTTTAATCAGCGTGACCAATTAAGGCACATAGTTTAGGCCAGGCGCAGTGGCTCACACCTGTAATTCCAGCACTTTGGGAGGCTGAAGTGGGCCAATAACTTGAGCCCAGGAGTTTGGGGGCAACCTGGGCAGCATAGTAAGACTCCATCTCTATTAATAAAAATAAATTTTTAAAAAATAAAACACAATTTGGAGACATTTATAGACCTAAAACTATAATATCTATATCTGGCTAGTATCTAATACATGTGATGCTGTAGAATCCTGATTATCCTTCTGGCATCTTGGTTAGAAAACATTTCTGTAATAGAATGTTTATATTGACCTTTGGCAACATAGAAATAGATAATAGTCCAATGGTAATGCCTGTGTATTTTACTTAATATTATTGATTTTGTTCATCTTTATTGTTAGCCCTTACAGAAAAGATATGGTAGCCCAGGCATTCTAAAAATACAGAATTGTTCCATTCTTCAACACTTTAGCTCTTAGTCCTCATTGATTCTTTTGGAAGATGTGATTGTTTTATATTCAGGTAGCCACCCAGAAAAGAATATCCACATAGGTCTACGCTCCGTTATCCAGAATTCTGGGGGTCAGGAGTGTTTTTAGAATGTTTCAGATTTTAGAAAAGCAATACAGTATATATACTGTATATTATATAATCACTCCAAGCACATGTTTTTGCAACAAAAAATATGAATAGTCACTCTAAGCACTATAAATAGGCCCATGTCAGTTCAGGTCACATTTTACCATCAAAATTGTTTTGGTGCCAAGCTTAGTCTGAGTTTTCAGAGCTTTTTGGCTGTCAGAATTACAGAAAGGGATTATGGACCTATTAATATACCTTGTGTATAACATCTGTGGTAGCTGTGAACTTCTGTTGCCCCTGTGTTCTAGTTCTTGTTATTTTGAACTGGTCAGTTTCATTTTGTGATATTTTTCTGCCATCTCTAGTTCAGTTTCCCAAGTTAACCTAAGTAGATATCAGTAAGATGAATCTGAGAAGTGTATTGGTTGTTTTCTACCATTTTATATGTAATTTCTGTATAATGGGTCCTTTTTTCTTTTTAATTTCCATTTTAAATTGGGATATATTCTCACATGAAGAAAATTTTCCAACAGACTGATTTGAAAACATTTATGAAGAAGGGACATGGATAATGATGTGGGTTTTTGTACTTGGCATGTCTTATACTCCCATCTTTCTTTCTCAGTTACCAAGGAACTCCTCATTTCCTCTAGGCCAGAAATGTTTCCTTCTGAATAGTCTGTATTTAAAAGAAAATTTTTTAAAATTCATAACCACTAGGTTATTTTGTGTATATAGTACAGTATATAAATTAGGTGAAAGAAATCCCTTTTAACTTAAAAGAATTTAAATTCAGGACGCTTATTTAGCTAATGTGTACCAACTAGTATGATACACATTCATAATTAGCTTTAGGTAACCTTATCAGGAAATGAGTTAACTAGCTCCAAAACTCTAGCAGTCTGTGTAATTTTAATACAGTTTTCACAAAATGCTGACAAATAACTTCTGGCTATCTAGGCAAATTAGATTGAGTGAAAATTACATCAAATAAATCTGTCTTGGTTTGCCTTTTGCTTGTTGTTGGGAAATTGTATTTTCAATTTGAATCTGCTCCAAGACAGAAGTAAGACTCAGATGACCAAGGTTCCAATTCCAAGCTCTAAGACTTTATATTCTACTTTTTTTTATCTGTTGTTTTAAATATTACAAACTCTAATGGGAATACCATAAATGTAGACTGTTTTGAATGATTTCTCTATTTGTGTTTCTTAATTCAAGCTATATCAAGAAGGTCATTTGCTTGGTAAATTGTGAAATATGGTATGAGAGAGACAAGCTTCATTAAAACGTTCCATCTTCATTCCTTTAAAAGACGGAATGGGTAGTTGATTTATCAGAGTGCCATTCTTGCGTATTTATGATTATCTTATGGTGGTAATGTTCATTTGATATACACAGGATATAAAAGTTGTGTAAGTATTTGGTTTTTATTTTTCTGTGTTCTATTCTTAATTATTTTTCTATGTCTTATTGGTTTGGCTTGGCCACATTTTGGTCATTGTTTAGACTTTTTATTGTAACGTTTCTTTGTACTGTTGATTACATTTATTTACTTATTTTACTCACTTTAGGGTCATGATCAGAGTTCGACTCTTGCCCAACACTCTGTTGAACTGACTTTACCCAATCATCATCCATTTCATAGAGATTTGCTCCGATATGCCAAGCTGATGGAGTGGCTAAAGAGTACAGATTATGGAAAATATGAAGGACTAACAAAGGTATGGATTTGACGTCATTTACTCACTGAGAATAGAGCATTATCTTTTAGAATTAAGAGGTCATGTGTTCAGTTCCCCAAGTTTAAAATACTGTAGTACATTCTTAGCAAAGCAGAAAATGAGTCAGTGCTCTTTACCAGTGATAACATTCATTTTATTAACTTGGATAAAGGAGAGCTAAATTTTAAACTTCAGTATGGAAAAATATTAAGCCATACTGTAGCCTAAAGCATCAATTTAGTTAAATGCTATGCTTATTTCCTGAGTTTCTTTATGTACAGTATAGAAACAAGGAAGTATGAGCATTGCAAGTGAGGTATTTGCCCTCTGTGGATTTATAATCTGTTCTGTTAAGGAAATATAAAGTGCCTCTTTATTAAGCAAGCATTCCACTATTCCAGGCACCTGGGGCCTACCTAATAAGCATCTACTCTAATGCGCTTTAGATCTGACTGGGAAGAATCATACATAAAACAATCAGCAAAAAATTAAACACTAAACTGGAAATGAATTTTAAGCATGTGGCAGTATAGACAAGGAAAATCTCTGTCTCGAGACCATGGGGGAAACTTCATGGACAATATCAGACTTCAGTTGATTTTAAATAATGAGTGCAATTAAATAAACCAGAAATAAGAGAAAGGGCATTCCAGGGATGGGGAGAGAGATGTGCAGACAAAGGTGGGAAAAATACACGCTTGTCCTAGAACAATGAGGTTAAGGGTGACCGAAGCAGAAATTTCCTATTCTAGGGCAGTGAGAAATTATGTTGAAAAAGATGAGCTATGGGACCTACCAGCATTCCTCAAGCATGGGAAAAGATTAAATGAGGGAAATTTAATTAAGAACCTAAAGTAATAATTCAGACGAAATGAAGTGTTGAGCCAGGAAGATGGTGTTGGGAATAGATAGAGAATATAAACCAAAAGAGAGACTCCAACAGCAGAAGGAACAGGTTGATGCCAAACTTGCTGGGCTTGGAGTTTAGAACAGTAGTATATACTGCTGACTAAAATTCTGCACTTGGGGAAGAGCAAAGTCATTTATTCATATATTCAATCAGTAAATGAATTGAGCACCTATTACGTGCTAACACTTGTAAGCACTTAGAGATACAGCATTGAAGGAAACAGGCAAATACTTGCCTTCTCAGAGTACGTATTCTAGAGGAGACAGACAGACAAAAAAGTTAATTATATAGTATGTTAAAAGGTGCTGCTGAGTGTTCTAGAGAAAATAAAGCAGGGAATGCCAGGACTGGGAGAAGGGCGTGGGATAAGGATTTCCAGAGGAGAGCTTTCCAGGCACAGTGCAAGTGCCCTAAGGCAGAGCGTTCCTATTGTGCTTGCAGAGCAGGGAGGCCAGTGTGGTAGGAGCACTGTGAGCCAGGGGCAGACCCTGGTGGGGGCAGGGTGGATCTGGAAGGGATTGTGGACCATGCAAAGATTTGTCTTTTACTGTGCATGACATTGCAGGGTAGGGAGGGGAGATGGTAGACTTTGAGCCATGGAATGACATGGCCTGACTTAGATTTAATAGCCATTGTAGCAGGAAGCCATAGGGACAGTCCTTTTCTGGCATTTATGCTGTTGATCTTTAGTTTAGGAATTGGACATCATATCCCTTTTTAAAAAAATAGAGCTAACGAATTCCCACCTATCTAGTCAAATACGTAAATAGCTAATAGTATTCTAGATAGTCCTGGCTGAAGATCCATTTTATTAAAATTCTGAAATACTCTGAGAAACATCTAAAATCTTTTATCTGTAAGTTTTTGTGAATATGAAGTTTAAAAATAAGAAATCTAATGCATAAGCTGTGTTAATAATTAATAATAATTATATGGACAATATGGCCCTAAAAGATGTTCTAGAATTGGAAATAATGATATGTTTTGTCTCTGTGGAATGAGAATATTGGAATTGCTAATATAAAAGCAACTTCTATCTGGTATCTTAGAGTCATGCTTCAGAAGAAAGCAGAAGGGTTAGGTAGAGATTTATGAAAAGTGTGATAGTAAGAAGGAGGCAAATTATGTATTCCTATCCATGCATTTGTGTTTACGTATTTGACAGTAGGACATTTTTATGTATCAGTTTTCATGTATTTTCTCTTTGAAGTGCCTTTGCCCATTTAAAGTAAAATCTGGCTCTTGGACTTCTAAACTGAGATAATAAGAAAAGGGATATAAACCTTAGTAAAATAAATAATATTTTTAAATTATAATTTTAAAAATGCTTTTCAAAAAAAAAAATCTCCTGAGGTGCTTATATACTTCTTGTCTGGCTAGCTATTTTAGGTGAGATTATTTTAGTTCCTCAGAATTAGTATATTAAGCATTATACACCTCCACTGTTGTGTTATATTTTCTTTTGTCTTGTTTTCATTCAACAGAATTCAGATTTGGAGATATCTTAAGGAAAAAATTTACATTACTGGAATTCTTTGCCTTTTGAAGTTTTAGGAGGATTAATATTCTGAATAATTAAACATAAATTATATTTCCTTAAGAGTTTTGTGCCAACAAGTGCTTTGTCCCCTAGTGAATATTCAAATAAGTAATCAATAAGCTTTTTGCCTAATTGTGTTCCCAGTGAGTATTATTGCCCTATCTTTATATATAATGCAGTATTCATGAATGTAATTTAAAGTGAAGAAACAAGATTAGAGCCAACCTAGTAATGATTTATGGAATCATTCTCTGCTCAGAGTATATTTTTGATTGACAATATTAATGAGCTTTTTAAATGAAATTGACTTTTTCCCAGGAATGTTGCGTCATCCTGTGATTTGAGCTTTTCACAGATTATGTATTTTTACCTCATCATCTAATTTGGTTGCTGAAGAGTTGTCAAAAACAGGAATTTTAAGGAAGAAGAAAGGAATGAAGAAAAAAGAAGGAAACAGACCAATCAGTGTTTCTTTAGTAAGAAATCATAATTCAGAAAGCTATTTGCACTTGGTTAGGTTTACACAGCTCACACTTTTTGGCAGGAACAGGAAAAACTTGTTCAAAATTCTTTGGGAATAAGAATCACTAGCCACTGCCTCTAGCTGTACTGAGGCTGAATCTAAGCAAAGCCCCATTTTTTGGTATACAGAAAATAGTTGTAGCTTGGACTGCCCAGATTCCCTCCTCCCGGGACTGCTACCTTCGTCTGCAACTCTGGGTCATACATGTAGGGTAGTTAGTAGAGATGGTCCATCCATGCTTGGGTAGGAAAGGAGTTTTCCTCTCCTAATAGCCTCCTGAGATTGGCAGTCTGACTTGAAGATGACTCACATGTCTTCTCTCCACCTCAGTTTTACATTTGTAGAATTTGTCTTATTGTTGTGAACCCCAAATGTCTGAGACAAGATCTCAGTCAATTTAGGAAGTTTATTTTGCCAAAGTTAAGGATGCGCACCCATGATACAGCCTCAGGAGGTCCTGACGACATGTGCCCAAGGTGGTCCGAGCACACCTTGGTTTTATACATTTTAGGGAGACATGGGACGTCAATCAGTATATGTAAGGTGAACACTGGTTTGGTCTGGAAAGGCCAAACAACTTGAAGCAAAGGTGGGACAACAAAGTGGGGAGGGGGCTTCCAGATCATAGGTAGACAAGCAACAAATGGTTGCATTCCTTTGAGTTTCTGATTAGCCTTTCCAAAGGAGCCAATCAGATACGCATTTATCTCAGTGAGCAGAAGAATGACTTTGAATAGAAAGGGAGGCAGATTTGCCCAAGCAGTTCCCAGCTTGACTTTTCCCTATAACTTAGTGATTTTGGGGCCCCAAGATTTATTTTCCTTTCACATTGTATAAAGAAAAAGTAAACCATGGAGACCCTACAGCGGACCCAGGTTCCACTGCTTGCTACTCGAAAGCCAAACACTAGAGGCAAGGGTTGCTGTGAGGAAAGGCAGATTTAATCAGCCAGAGAAGCTGAGGTGAGTGGAAGGAAAAAAAAATCAGAGAGCCAGTAGAGAAGATGGTGAACTAGCATTCTAAAGTACCATCTTAAAATTTAAAACTTACCATAGGGTTTTTGTTGTTGTTGTTGTTGTATTGTGTTTTGTTTTGTTTTTGTTTTCGTTTTTGTTTTTTTAGGCAGGGTCTCACTCTGACACCCAGGCTGGAATGCAGTGATGTGATCACAGCTCACTGCAGCCTCAACTTCCTGGGCTCAAGCAGTCCTTCTGCCTCAGCCTCCTGAGTAGCTGGGACTACAGGCATGTGCCACCGCTCCCGGCTAATTTTGCATTTTCTGTAGATACAGGGTTTCACCATGTTGCCCAGGCTGGCATCATAGAGTTTTGGAGAGACACTGATACAGTAAAACCTTCCTGTGGTCTTTCCTATCAGTCAGTTCTGTTGAGTGCCAGGAAAAAAGGTATCTAAGTCATTTGAGTCCCACTGAAAAAGTAATACATCCCAATGAAATAGGAATTTTAATTTATATTTGCTTTTAAAGTTATACAAAGATCATGGGAAATAATTGCCCATTTGACTAACTGTTCTTACATTAGATACAGAGATATGTGAAAAATGTATATGGCATACAAATTGAAAAAGGACAGGATCTATATATATTATGTTTGGTCCAAATGCTATTTTATAAGAATACAGCTATAAAATATTTTAAGACAATCAATGGTAAACTGTGAATCAATATACAAATATTTACACAACATGTACCTTTTGGAAGGTATACCTGATCTTTAAAGCAGGTAAACATGTTCTAAAAATTGACACATTAATTTGAAATAATATAGGAAATTGAAGCTTAGATTTTATGATAAACTTAAAAGAATAGGTACAACTTTTCTGCTTTATTTAAATTTTATTTTCTGGTTTATTTAAATTTAGTCAAATTCTGTTTGTGGCATTTAACTTCATACTTGGAAAAATATACAGTCTCCCACTGTTGAGGAACTCTTCTGGAGAGTATATTTTTATGTGATAATAAGTAGAGATGATGAAGAAATGATTTTTGTATGCCAAAGGATACAAAAATGTTTTTATTTAAGCGAGAATTAATCAAATCTGTTTTAAGAAAATTAATTACTTGATTTTGAAAACTGTAAGATATACTAATGAAGTTCTTATGGAAAATAACCTATTTTGGAGTAATATCCCAAGCTGGCAGAGGCTCAGTGAAACTAAATATTCTTAAGTGCCATTGACACTATTTATTATTGGTCTGTTTTTAAAGCAACATGACAATATAGAGGAAGAGCAATTAAGATTCCCATACACTTTGACCCTGTTATTCCATCCTTAAGAAATTATTTCAAAGAAATAGTTCATTAGAGATGAAAAGCTTATTGTAACATTGTCTATCATAGCAAAACATGGAAACCACTTCATTGTCCTGTGTTAGGGGATTGGTTTACTTAATGGTGCTACACCAACAAAACTGAATACTGTGCTGTCATTAAAATGTGAGACTGGAGAAATGTATTTGTTCTGATTTAGATATTCTGTATAGTGTGATTACAGTGATATTTAAAATATGCAAAAGGTAATATAGAAAAATGAAAATATAAATATGGTTATGTTTGACTTCATATTTTTGTAAATTGTTAATGTTATGATGCCTATTCAATTGTTTTTTAAGACAGAAAGTAACCTATTTTTATATCCTGTGAAATACATCAAAGTTTTGGACTATGAAATTTAAAACAAGCATGAAGGACTTGGGGAATTGAAAAATTGAAATTGTTATATGTGTTTTATTAATAAGAAGTACATGTTACTTTTATTTTAAGAATTACATGGATTATTTATCCCGACTATATGAAAGAGAAATCAAAGATTTCTTTGAAGTTGCAAAGATCAAGATGACTGGCACAACTAAAGAAAGCAAGAAGTTTGGTAAGCTTAGGCATGTCAGTTCATTATCTTCCTATTAAAAATGGCTTTATTTATAACAAATAATTCTAAGACTTCTTAAGCAAGGTGGAGGTAGATCCAGCAGAATTTATGAAAAAAGAGGTCTAAAACGTTGGCTTGATTTATAGCCGTTTCATAGAACAAATATGTATATCTGTAAATTTTCTTTAATTAAAATTCTGCAGTATGTGACTGTGACAGCGATTGTGTATTCATGCTGTAATCAAATATATATATTCATAAGAACAGCAGTTGGTGAGAAAATGAAGTGCAGTCAAGTAGAGAAAGTACTAGACTGAGAGACAGATGTTGGGAGTTCAGTTTAACTGATTCCCTAAAAGACTTTTTATAACAGTTGGGGGCAAGTCACTAATCTCTTAAGTCATTGCTCTCCACATAGAAATGAAACTGGTTCCTGGCTTCTTACTTCTCACTGGCTATTTTGAATCAAAAAGAAAGTTTAAATATTTTCTCCCCTGCCAAAGGGCTATAAAACTGTCACCAAACATTCTCATGTTATTTTACCTTATTTTTCTAAAGAGATGCTTTGATGCATGTTAATTTTTGTTGTTTATAAGTATTTTAAATGGACAAAAACATTATTTGAAAGAATAGCCAGTGACAGTATCAAGTTATGAGGAAGGTGATTTGCCGAGGCCACATTCTGCTCTTGCATGTATCCATCTCTGGAGTTCCTTTTGGATGGAGTTTTGTGCCTATTCAAGTCAAAACCTGGCCTTAAATGGCCACATTGTGTACTCCTCAGTGTGTCTGCATAGCTCCCCTTTAGAATAATGAGTTTAGCATTTGCCTGTTGAAAGGAGCCTATGCCCTAAGCAACTTCAGTAATCAAGAAACATGATTCAAAACTGATAGTACATGTTTCCATTCTTTTCTGTAGGACAGAGAAGACTGTCATTAATGGGTAATTATTCTGTAACTCACTGTTTTTAAAAAAATGCAACACTAATATATTGATTATACTAGTCCAGACATTTGAAATGGTTTGAATTTGTCTGTAAATATGCTACACTTTACAGATACTGATAAGAATCTTGGGACAGTAGGCTTTCGGAAACAGAAATGCTAACTCATCCTAAAGGTTAATTGTTCTTAAACAGCAGTGTGTTTATATCCCTGTTAATGTTTCACTGTGGATATGTTATGCTTTTTTTTTTGAGTAAACAGCATATTATTAATGCAGTTACATGTTTAATGTTTTCATTAAGTATATTTGTCACCACTTGTTAGTGAACCATTTTATTTTGAGAGAACTCCTTCAGTATATGAAAACTGGAGGTAAGAGAGAAATATTTCTAAAATTATCTCCTGAGTAGGTCATTAATCCCAGTATCATAATAGTTTATCGAGTCTAAGATTCACATTAAGATAAATGAAATAATAAGAATATAACTGAAGTACAATAGTATCTTAATGTTATCATTGCATTAACCTGAAACCTAAATTTTTTCCTCCTTGAGAAATTCTTAAATTATCTTGTTAAAAACATTTTTAACTAACATAATACAGGTTAAAAGGTAGTTTTGTAGTTTTATAAGTGTTAAGATCACATATCTTCTATTAAATGTGTCTATTAAATAGCAAGGAATAGGAGAGTTATTTGTGACAATTGAGTGCATAGAAAATTGTGCTCACTTTAGCAGCACATATACTAAAATTGGAACAATACAGAGAAGATGAGCATTGTCCCTGTGCAAGGATGACACACTAATTTGTGAAATGTTCTATAAAACAAATGAAAATTACAGTATCAATTATTTTGATATCAGCTACAGGAGAAGAAAAACTAAACAATTTGGAGAATAAAAATTGGTTCATGTTTGAAAATCCAACTTTTAGCTAGTATTTTAAAATTAATTTCAAGTTAAATGCAAATGACTTGAGAAGTTCTAAATAAGATATAGTGTACATTTTTTTCAAAGATATCTTTTCAGTGATTCAAATTGTGTTTGAATGAATTTTTCATACTGTAGACTGTCCTGGCTTATAATTGTTCAACTTAGGATTTTTTTATTTTACAGTAGTTTGAAAGCAGTCTGCAGTCAGTACGAACCATACTTCAAGTACCCATAGCCATTCTGTTTTTTACTTTCAGTATGGTATTCAGTAAATTACATGAAATATTCAATACTTTATTATAAAACAGGCTTTGTGTTAAATGATTTTGCCCAACTCTAGGCTAATGTGTTTTCACCATGTTTAAGGTAGGCTAGGCCTCTGGTGTTCAGTAAGTTGAGTGTGTTCAATGCATTTTCTCTTTATAATATTTTCAACGTGTAATGGGTTTATCAAAATGTAACTCCAGCCTGGCGCAGTGGCTCACACCTATAAACCCAGCACTTTGGGAGGCTGAGCCGGGAGGATGACTTGAGCCCTGGAGGTCGAGACAAGCCTTGGTAACATGGCAAAACCCCATATATACAAAAAAATCAAAAATTAGCCAGGCATGGTGACATGCACCTGTGGTCCCATCTACTCAGGAGGCTGAGGGGCACGGATCACTTGAGCCTGAGAGGTCAAGGCTGCAGTGAGCCATGATTGTGCCACTACACTCCAGCCTGGACAACAGAGCAAGACCCTGTCTCAAAAAACAAAAAAACAAAAAAACAAAAAAAAAAAAAACAAGAAATGTAACCCCATCGTAAGTCAAGGAGCATCTGTAATTATAATTAAAATAGAAATCTCATTTTAGAATGATGACTTTTCAATGAATGAAAATTAAGTAATTATAAATGAAATTTAAATTAATTTTGCTTTTTGCTTGCTTGTTTGCTCTGAAAATTCTGGGTCACAAATGCTAGTAAGAATAAATGCTGGTAAGAATAGTCAGAATGAATGCATCTTACAAAAAGAAACTATATAGTCAATATAGTGATAGAGAATCAGGGGAATAGAGAATCCTTTCTTTTTCAGCCACTCTTGAGTCAAGTCTTTAACATCTACTTAGCTGAAATAATTCAAAATTATGCTAACGTACCAGGGAAGTAGCTTTTCTTTGTGATAAGACCTTTGTGTAGGTTACTGCCTTTTTAAATAGATTTATTTTGATATTTTCAAAGGCATGGAATTTTTTCCCACAGGATTGATGTTTCAGTGTATTTTTTTCCTTTGTATTCTACAAATTTAATGAAATGACAGGGAAAGGAAATTTAGTAATTTTTTTTTAGTCACCATTTTTACTTTCTACTGTTGAGATATATATATCACCTCTCATTAGTCCCTTAATACATACATTTACATAATCATTGCCCTCCTTCCAATTTAATATTCCAAATCTTTAAAATAGCCAAGATTATTCTATTATTGTTTCTCCGCTAAACTAGGAAACCTTGTTGATTCCAAAGAGTCGTGAATACAATGCTGAATTCAGGGATGGCTGGAAGATTAACTCAATAAATATTTATAAATTACCTATTATCTAATAACTCACTGTTATAAGTACTGGGAATGCAGCAGTAAACAAAGACCCTACCTTTATGAAGTTTACATTCTAGTGGGGATTATATAAAGATATTTAACATTTTACCTGAGTGTTATCACTTGCTGATAAGGGATATAGGCTGTTTTATGAACCTCAAATTATAATTAATAGGCACTACTACTAAGTCTGTATTCCTTATTGACTACTAAAGAAAGAAAACTAGTCAGGCATGGTGATCCACATCTATAATCTCAGCTATATGGGAGGCTGAGGTAGGAGGATCACTTGAGCCCAGGAGTTCAGGTCCAGCCTTGTCAACCTAATGAGATCCTGCCTCAAAAAAAAAAAAAAAAGGAAACCATATAAAGAATTAGATTTTGCTCTGGCACTGCTGAACATAGCATAGTGACACCTTAAGGCACCAGAAAGTACTGTTCAGATTGGCTAGCTAGTAGCTCCAGCGTGATCCCTGTTTGCCACTTTAATGTCCAGCCTTGTTTTTTCATATTCCCTTGAGCTTCAGGTAGCCAAGGCTAGAAAGATATACCTGTCACTGATGAAGATATACCAGTCACTGATGTGACAAGATTTTTGCCTTGAAGCTTGGCAGGGATAATGTCAGTTGACACATCTTTTTGCTGTTTTAAAGATATTTTTAGGTTTTAGTTTTATTCTTTAACATTCTGTTTCATCCTATGATCTTTCTTCACCTTTCACATCAACTTCTAATTTGAGTATAGACTGTTTTTGCAAAATTAGCTCTCATATTGATCTAATAAATATTATAGAGAGAGAAGTTTTAGATAAAAGAAATGCCTAATGACCTAAAAAGAGTTCAAATTCTTATATTACATCTGTTCCCTAAACTTTACCCTTTTATTCATACATCTGATTGTTAGTGTTATGATATATATCTTTCATTCTGAGCACTCACAAAGCCAGTGATTAAGTAATTCAGCTTGATAATTAGTTTTAACTTTTCAGTGGTTTTAAAGCCCCACTCATATAATTTTTTGTTGGATATAGTATAAAATTATTTAGTCAGTGGAGAATCCTTTCAGGAGTTTTCAGGGAATACAAGATTGTTGACATCTAAATCTGCAGCTGCATTCTAATAAATTGCCACTTTATTTACTTGAATTATATTTTCTCAGGAAACCCAAACTTGCAAATTTAGTCTTTTAAATTTAAGTGTACCAGCTTAATAAACTTAAAAAAAAAAAACATTTTAAAGTGTAGGGGGGTTACACATAGATATTTCTACCTGAATATTTGAGTAAAAACAATACATTAAAAGTAAAGTTTTTTCTCTCATATAATTTCTCAAACAGTAGGTGACCAACTAAACATGTGTTTGCACTTCTTGTTACTTGATGCTCATGGTTCTTTGCATGTGTCTTTTAAACTAGAGCTTTAACTTCCTCTTGTGCATGGTTTGTGCAAATTGCAGTTTATTAACTTGTCTTTGTCTTTGATGCTTGCAACCTAATCCATCACAGCTACACTGCCTCGAAAAGAAAGTGCTGTCAAACAGGAAACAGAGAGTGAGTATGCTTAGTGTATTAGTAGGTATTCTCAATGCATGTTTGTTTAATGTCTAGAAATTAGTTGTCTTGAAAAAAGGTAACACCAAAAATTTTGATTGCTCTGAATTGCCAGGTATTGGTGAAAGAAAGCCAACATGATGGTAGTGATATGGCTGTATCCAAGAAATATATGATATAGTTAAAATTACTTGACGAGTAGTAGAACATTGTGTCAGAAATTTGTGAAAAGACTTAACCATTATACTTCTATTTTCAGGCTGTTTAGAAACTATAAAAAATCTTATATAGATATGGTCGGATTTTACATAATGAAGCCAAAGTTTATCTTTAATTGTACCTGTTCTGTCTTCATTTGTCTTTTCTGACCATTAGCAAATAGTACAAGTTAACTGAGAGATATTCAGGAAGGATGTTTTTAAAATATATTAGTTATTGTTTATGTTTAATTCTGAATAAAAATATCACATTTTCTTCTAAAAATCAAATCCTTTAATTCCTTGGTGTATGTGAGCTATTGCCAGCTATATGTTCTCATTTTTCCTCATGGCTATGACGGATACCAAAATTTTACCTAAACACAGATGTCCCATATTAATATGATTAGTGATGTATGTATTACATTTCGGCTGTATTTTAAATATAACGAGTTTTCAGGGTGTTTTTTCTGTTCATTTTATTTAGTTTTTAAAGGACTATAATCAGTTCACTTACTGGAAAAGCAGTTTCAGAGTTTGGAACATACTAAGTTGAATCATATGTAATTGACTTTTTTTGGTAGGGCAAAATGATCAAGTATGGGCAGTTTCATGTGGTTCAACCTAATATATTGATTTATTGTGGAGGTAACATTGAGATGCAGCAGTTTTCTTCTGAAGTATAACAAAGTCATGCTGGCTAATATGCTAACGTGGTCCTCATTGACCTTCATCCATATTCCTGTCCTTTTGAATGGAAAAGAAACCCTCATCTACTTTAGTCTAGCGATATCACCAGGCGACTTTATGAAATGGGCAGGTTATAGACAATATGCTCCTTAAGGTCCCTTTCAGTCCCGTTCTATGGATCTGTGTAGTTTCGCTTCTTTTTTCAATATGCTCAGAATTAGGACACCAATGTTAATGGAAGATAAGGAAACTATACCACCTATCCCTTATAGAAGATTTGTGCACTAACTAATATGAGCCCTGGAAGATCAAGCCAGTAGAAGATAGAAGATCTATCCCTGCTTTATACTTTGGATCATTTATTTGTGAAGATCACAACTTTCAAAGTTTTATTATTTCTTAGGTCTTCATGGAAGTTCGGGGAAATTAACTGGATCTACTTCTAGTCTAAATAAGCTCAGTGTTCAGAGTTCAGGGAATCGCAGATCTCAGTCATCTTCCCTGTTGGATATGGGAAACATGTCTGCCTCTGATCTCGATGTTGCTGACAGGACCAAATTTGATAAGGTAAACTAAAATAACAAGTACTTCTTAAACATTAACATTAGTTTTCTAACAGCAGTTTGTGGTTGCTCTAAGTGTGTTCAAAGATTTGGGTTCTTCTGGCTCTCTTAAGCATTAACCATGTCTTTCCAACTGAATCGAATCTGGGAAAAAAAAAAAAAAAAACTAGTCAAAGGACAAGTAAAATGTGAATTATCAATGAAATGGCATAAAAGCTTTATTAAAATTTGTTATAAATCATAAAATGCTTATATCTCAAATCTAAGTTGTTTGGGCACCTAAAAAGTAAGAGGAAATAAAAGCTTTTGTGATGCTGGCCTTTCTCTGTACTAAATTAAATAAGTTTTTTTGTTTGTTTGTTTTTGAAATGGAGTCTTGCTCTGTCACCCAGGCTGGAATGCAGTGGCACAGTCTCAGCTCACTGCAACCTCCACCTTCTGGGTTCAAGCAGTTCTTCTGCCTCCCTCCCAGGTAGCTGGGATTACAGGTGCCTGCCACCACACCCAGCTAATTTTTGTATTTTTAGTGGAGATGGGGTTTCACCATGCTGGCCAGGCTGGTTTCGAACTCCTGAGCTCAAGTGATCTGCCCGCTTTGGCCTCCCAAAGTGCTGGGATTACAGGCATGAGACATCATGCCTGGCCATAAATAAGTTTTAAAAGTTGATCTTTGTGCTCCTCTTTCCAGATGTGAAGTGAATAACTGTGAGTTTTATTTTAGGTTTATTTTGTGGCCTTGTTATACCTTGCTAATACCATTGTCCTGTAGATCTTGGAAGAGTTTGTTTTTGGGATTCCATTGAGATTATAAATTCATAGATTAGTGAGATTATGGATCCATGGTCTGTGCAGAAAAGAAAATTAAATGTGGAGTGTTATTTTAAGCATTTGGTGCAGTTCTTTCGTTATAGGATCACTTTGGTTTTCTTCAGATCTTTGAACAGGTACTAAGTGAACTGGAGCCCCTATGTCTGGCAGAACAGGACTTCATAAGTAAATTTTTCAAACTACAGCAACATCAAAGTATGCCTGGAACTATGGTATGGCTCACAGTGTATTTTGGATAGTATTTATGATCTGTAATATAATTAGCTTAATTAATATGTGGTCACAATTTTATGATCAGAAGAGAAAAGGAAAGAATTTATCATGTAAGGATTTTTTTATGATGTAAGGATTTAGGATGTAAGGAATTTTTGTAATACCACAAGATGATAAAAACAGTGACAGATGAAGTTTGGGCATCTAATTTAATATTTCAGAATATTACAAGCCTAAATATTCTCTAAATTAGTGGGGGGAGGAATGTCTGAGTTTACTTTGCAAAGAACATTATTTAAAAGGCTAGTTTAACATTTTAGTAGTCATCAAGATAAATATAATGTTTTAAAATGATGTTAGAGTGTATACACTTTGGTATACCAAATAACAATAATGATAAATAAAAGAAAATGAGGCCTCAGATTTGCCTTCCTTGTGGCTTTGTTACTAACTAGCCATGAGATCTTAAGCCAGTTATTCGATCCCCAGCTTTCCTCTTCTGTAAAGTAGATATCATAGTGCCTATTCAGCATGCCTTTCTGGTAGCATACATATAAGAGAATAAGATGAGAGAGTTTCTTGAGTATTTTGAAGAACTTAAAAACAGTGCAAATAAAGTGTTTTTTAAATTATCATCTCAAAATTGTATGCCACAGACAACCAACTTATAAAAGCAGTCATAAAATAAATGAGAAATGGATTATGATAAATGGTTTAGAGTGTTCATTGTTATGGTAGTAATGGTGGCAAATTTGTTTATTTGTTGGCCTCTGTAAGAATTTTTTATAGCATTTTTTTAATGCTGAAGTTCTATTAGAATAATTGATGAGATTTCCTTAATTTTTTAAATTCTCTTTTGAAAGTTGTGTTTGGACGTTTTCTATTTTTGTGGTGGTTGTTGTCAAGCTGCCCCCACTCCCACACCTTGCGTTCAGCTTCCTGTACCTCCCTACTTCCCCTCAGGTGCACACACAAATACAACTTCTCACCCCACAAAAGTTCTTGGATAAAACCTAAGAAGAGTATCTCATGAACATTCTTAAATAGCATACTAAATTATATAGCTAGCTTTATCATAATGCTACCTTTAAAAATATTTTTCATAATGTATTCTTTCCTAGGAATTTTAAGACTGAGCAGGCTTTTGCTATATCAATACTAGTCAAATTGTTGGTCTTTTATTATGTAAAGTGCCTGAATAATTTTTGCAGGCTGAAGCAGAGGACCTGGATGGAGGAACATTATCACGGCAACATAATTGTGGCACACCACTGCCTGTTTCATCTGAGTATGTCTTTGTTACTATCATTGTTTATTTTGGAAAAAATAAACTTTAAAATGTGGAGTGCTGCTCATTGAGGGGTCTAGATGTTTCTCAGTAGCCTGACAGCACTCACAGTACCAGCATGTGTGTCCATTGTCTTATCAAACGTTTTACTGATTTAAAATAGGGCCTATTTTATGGCTCTTCAACTCTTCCTTGCTCCAGGACTTACAGAAGATGAAGTCAGTCTGTTGTTTGCTGGTAGGGGGAAGCCTTTGAATTGTAGTGTATTTCTTAGAAATCACAAAGCACATTTCATGACCCAGCTTTACAAATTAAAACTAATTCAAATGATAAAACCCAACATCAGTAAAATATTTTTATATCAAAAACTACTATAATCATATTTAGACATTTTTATTTGTTTTTTGTTGTTGTTGTTTTCTGAGATGGAGTCTCCCTCTGCTGCCCAGGCTGGAATGCAATGGCGCCATCTCAGCTCACTGCAACTGCACTTCACCTCCCGGGTTCAAGCGATTCTCCTGACTCAGCCTCCCAAGTAGCTGGGATTACAGACATGCACCACCACGTCTGGCTAATTTTTGTACTTTTGGTAGAGACAGGGTTTTACCATGTTGGCCAAGCTGGTCTTGAACTCCTGACCTCAGGTGACCTGCACACCTTGGCCTCTCAAAGTGCTGGGATTACAGGCGTGAGCCACCACGCCTGGCTATTTAGACATTTTTAATTGAAATTTAATTATGGTATTTTTGTCCTTTTGTATATACCCAGTGGATTAAAGTTAACGGTGAATTCACCTGAAGCTTGTTATAACTTTATACTTCTTGTCTGTTTTCTGAACAGGAAAGATATGATCCGCCAAATGATGATTAAAATATTTCGCTGCATTGAGCCAGAGCTGAACAACCTAATTGCATTAGGAGACAAAATTGATAGCTTTAACTCTCTTTATATGTTAGTCAAAATGAGTCATCATGTGTGGACTGCACAAAATGTGGACCCTGCTTCTTTCCTAAGTACTACATTGGGAAATGTTTTGGTGACTGTCAAAAGGAACTTTGACAAATGCATTGTAAGTTTTCTTTTTTAAAAAAATACCTTAGCATCCTAGTCATTGCAAAATATAGGTAAATGTATTTAAAATCGAGGGATTTCCAGCTTTCTGTTGGGGAATCTGTTGTTTATGTCCCTCGAAGCAGGGCATGGCAACAATCTACATGAACAGAGTTAGTTGGGTGGCACTATGCCAGCTAGTTTCCATTCCACACTGTGAATCTTGGCAAGTTCTGGAGGAAGTGGCACAGTGGCACCAGTTGCTTAAGAGATCCACTGGAGGCCAGACGCAGTGACTCACACCTGTAATGCCAGCACTTTTTAAGGCCGAGGTGGGCAGATCACCTGAGGTCAGGAGTTCGAGACCAGCCTGGAGAACATGGCGAAACCCCATCTCTACCAAAAATACAAAAATTAGCCGGGCGTGGTAGCACATGCCTATAATTCCAACTACTCGGGAGGCTGAGGCAGGAGAATTGCTTGAACCTGTGAAGTGGAGGTTGCAGTGAGCCAAGATTGCACCAGTGCTCTCCAGCCTGGGTGACAAGAGTGAAGACTGTGTCAAAAAAAAAAAAAAAAAAATCTACCGAATCACTGACATCTCAGTTTATTAGTCAATGACCATTGATTTAATGAAACAATTGAAACAATCATTTGGGTTTATTGTTATTGTTCTTCTTTTAATACATTCTAGTAAGAAAACTAATTTGATTATTTTAATTATTTAATTTATTTTAATAGTTTAGTAGCTTTAATAATTGTATTTTATTTTAGGAATAAATTGTTATAACTGAGCAATTATCATTTTCCTCCTAATAGAAAAAAATTTGACAACTTTCTTACTATCTGTTACTTTTTTTTTTTTTTTTTTTTTTTTTGAGATGGAGTCTCGTTCTTGTTGCCCAGGCTGGAGTGCAACAGTGCAATCTCGGCTCACCGCAACCTCCGCCTCCTGGGTTCAAGTGATTCTCCTGCCTCAGCCTCCCGAGTAGCTGGGATTGCAGGCATGCGCCACCACGCCCTGCTAGTTTTGTATTTTTAGTAGAGATGGGGTTTCTCCATGTTGGTCATGCTGGTCTCAAACTCCCAACCTCAGGTGATCTGCCCACCTCAGCCTCCCAAAGTGCTGAGATTACAAGCAAGAGACACCGGCCATCTATCCATTACATTTTTTATACTTGTATGTATGAATTGGGCTAGGCCAGGTTAAAAAATGCTTCATGAACACTTCTCAAGGCATGGCACTAGAGAAGGTAATCTAGACAAAGATATAAATTCATATTTTCTCATAAGTTGCATATATATATATAAAGGACATAGGTTTGCCACTGAAGAGGAGGGTGGTTTCTTCTGCCTGTCATACTTCTGTATATCTTATTTCAATAATGTCTTATTTTTGATAAGATCTTATCTCTCATTTATGAACACTGGTCAATAAGATCAATAGACAGCATTTATAAATGAGTGCTTACTGTGTACCAGGCACAAGTCTGGGCACTTTGCACACATTATGTCATCTAATCTTAAACCCAGCCCCTCAATAAGGTAGATTGTTTGAGAGGTGAAGTTACTTTCCCCAGGTCCACAGTTAAAAAATATGGATCTTGTATTCAAACCCAGAAAGTCTGGTTCTAGTACCTGCAATCTTACCACTACCTTTTCTACTGCATCTGTTTTTCACCTCACAGTTACCAATACTGATGAAGTAGAACATTAGTACAGATAATATGAAATAACTGACTATACTCTTAGGGTTTTCTTATACTAATGTCAGAAGCCTAGAGATAATTATTTTTCTAATCCATGTGTCATATGGTTTTTGAGTTATACTCCCCAAATCTCAACACAATGAAATGTTAGGTAGAAGCTGAAATAATACAAAAGTATTTGGCAGTGTAATCATTCCTACTGAGTAGATTTAGATCCCTTCAGAATCATAGAACCATAATTGAATCCGTGGATCGTTTTGAACCTAAGATTCTGTCTGCATGAAACATTTCTTTCGCATTTTGTCATATAATGCACAAGCAGTTTGTGGAACTAAGGCTAAGTGACTAATAAATATATGGAAAATTAAATAATGCAAATCCATATGGAAATGCCTATCCTCCCTCTTTGTTTCTGTACTCTGAAAATAGAGAGTTTGTCTATCCAGACAGAAATTTTAGACTGACGAAAATTGGAAATGACTGTGGTTCTCAAACTTGACCACGTGGCCACCAACCAGAAGTTACCCGGAGGGATCCTATAGGTGCTCTGGAATCTTCTCTCCTGTAACCTAAAATCAGTAATTGCCTTGTACTCATCTTTCATAAATGGTAGAAATGTGTGTTGACTGTTTTTACTTTGTACAGAGACTTGAAGTTCACGGCCTTGATTGTATTTTGTTTTGTTTCATTTTATTTTTTGAGACAGTCTTGCTCTGTCACCCAGGCTGGAGTGCAGTGGCGCAATCTTGGCTCACTGCAACCTCTGCCTCCCAGGTTCAAGCAATTCTCATTCCTCAGCCTCCCAAGTAGCTGGGATTACAGGCATGCACGACCCCACCCAGCTAATTTTTTTTTGTATTTTTTGTAGAGACGAAAATGGCCAGGCTGGTCTTGAACTCTTGGCCTCAAGCGATCCACCCACCTTGGCCTCCCAAAGTGCTGGGATTACAGGCATGAGCCACCGTCCCCAGCTTATAGATGGTTTTAAATAATCTGTATTATTTTGATTTTCTTAAACTTACTGTAAAATGGTTTTATTATCTATAGAATTAGTTTTTCTTAGTTATCCTTGTTTTGATTCATCTTCAATTAGTAAGCATCCAAAGTGTTCTAGGTACCACATAATATCCTGCCTCTATGATATCTATGTATATATCTATATCTCCATCTATATATTTTGTTATGATTATATGTAGTTTTAAAGTTGCTTGGTTATTTATCTCCCTTGCTCTCTGCCTAACTTTAGAGTAACCAAATAAGGCAAATGGAAGAAGTAAAGATCTCAAAAAAGAGTAAAGTTGGAATTCTTCCATTTGTTGCTGAATTTGAAGAATTTGCTGGACTTGCAGAATCAATCTTCAAAAATGCTGAGCGTCGTGGAGACCTGGATAAAGCATACACCAAACTTATCAGAGGAGTATTTGTTAATGGTAAGCTTTTGTTATGTTCTAAAGAATTGTTATAGCTATTGTTTTTATTTCTGGTAACTAAGAAATCGGGAGCAGATAGGTTCATTATTTTGTATATCTTATAATCTTTTTTAGGTTTTCTAACATTAAAGATTTCTTGAATTTGGAAAATAAAACCTATTTGTATTCATTATGAACCACTTACATTTTAGGGTTTATGTGGGCTTATGACTATGCAAAATTGAAAATCTTTTTTTTTTTTTTTTAAGATGGGCCTCACTCTGTCGCCCAGGCTGGAGTGCGGTGGCATGATCTTGGCTCACTGCAACCTCCACCTCCCAGGCTCAAAAGATCCTCCTACCTCACCCTCCCAAGTAGCTGGGACTACAGGTGCACCCTACCATGCCCTGCTAATTTTTTGTAGAAAATCATTTTTTAAACACAAAAACATGACCTTCCAGATTACATTTGCATTTTAACAAGTGGTCTTCTAGAGATGATGGGCTGTGATGTGTGTGTAACCTTAAGCAAATCAATTCACTTATTTAGGACTCAGTTTTTCATATCTACTATACAAGGAAATTAGTACTAAAATACAAGAGAAATTAGTGCTGAAATACTGTAATTCGCTTTCTTCCTGTGTCAGATCCCACAATTAAGTTACAGAAAAGTCTGGACATGTCATTTCATCTGAAATAAATGATCTGATTGCATATATTCAGGAATTGTAAAAGCTAAAAAATTGATAGAAAATGGAATCATCTCACCAATTGTTGCCCAGGTTGGAGTGCGGTGGCATAATCTCGGCTCGCTGCAACCTTCACCTCCCGAGTTCAAGCAATTCTGCTGCCTCAGCCTCCTAAGTAGCTGGGATTATAGGCAGGCATCATCACGCCTGGCTAATTTTTGTATTTTTAATAGAGACAGGGTTTCACCATGTTGGCCAGACTTGTCTCAAACTCTTGACCTCAAGTGATCTGCCCGCCTTGGCCTCCCAAAGTGCTGGGATTACAGGCATGAGCCACCGTGTCCAGCCTTGATTTTTTCTTTTAAAATTCAAAGTAGCTTTGCTTTATCTGATTCTAAAGTAATGTGGCTAGGCACAGTGGCCCACACCTGTAATCGCAGCACTTTGGAAGGACCAGTTGGGGGATCGCTTGAGCCCAGGAGTTCAAGACCAGCCTGGGCATCATAGTGAGGCCTTGTCTGTACAAAAAAAATTTAAAAAATTAGCCAGACGTGGTGGTGTGTCCCTGAGTTTCAGCTACACAGGAGGCTGAGGCAGGAGAATCATTTGAGCTCAGGAGGTCAAGGCTGCAGTGAGCCTTGTTCATGCTACTGCACTCTAGCCTGGATGACAAAGCCAGACCCTGTCTTAAAAATAAATAATAAATGAATGAATGAATTCATTATTCGTTCTTTATAAATCTTTATAAACTAAAACTTATAAAACTTAAGAACAGACAGATATTCCTTTAATTGGATAAAAAATCTATCTCAGGCCTAAAGGTTACATGATACTTAACTGCAACAGTAGAGATATTCCCTCTGAAATGAATTTAAAGCAGAAGTATTGTTAGATCCTTTATTATTTAGCATTGTTATTGAAGTGCTAGCCAGTACAAGACCTGAAACATAAATAACTATTTATCCCCAAAAATCAGCGAATAGAATTTTCAAATCAAGAAGAAAGTAAAGATCATTTTTAATCTTGTTGTACAGAGATAATGTTAAATTTTTATTCTTCCAAACTTTTAAATTCCCTGTCCCTCTCTTCTATATATGGGCATATTGTATGTGTGCTTTCTTTAATATAAAAGTGTTGTCATACCTGACACACTATTTTTGAAGCTGCTGGACTCTATATAATCTTAGTATCTTTCTTAGTTAGTTAATATAGATAAACATAATCATTTTTAATGATTGCATAGTCATCCATATGTCATTATCCATTTACCAAATCTTCTATTAATAAACATTTAGGATTTTTTTAGTTTATCTATCTTTGTATACTTGTCAAATAATTTCTTTAGGGTAAATTACTAGAAATGGAATTACTGGGTCAAAGGATTTATGTATCTCAAGTCTTTTCCCAAATTGTGATACAGAAAGCTTATGTCAGTTTAGTGCTATGAGCAGTTGCATTACAGCTGTACCAATGCTGGGTTTTACTAGGTATTACCAATCTTTTTATTCTTTGTCAACCTGATAGGCTATAAATTATCTCACTATTTTATTTTGCATTTCATTGATTTTGTATATGGTGTCTTTACTTTACATGAATTTTCAAATTTTATCTCCAATTTATTTATCTTTCCCCTTAACAGTCTTCTAAATTTTGGGCCATTCTTAGCAAGGTCACACTATTGCAAAATTATTATTTTTCTATTAGTTATATTTTCTTTAGTACTTATGATTGTATTATTTGTTTGCTTTTTACATTTTAAATAATTTAGCAATTTAGAATTTGACTGCAAGATGTAAAGTAGGAACTTAAATTTCATATATTAAAATGGTCCAGCCGGTTGTCCTAACACATTTTGAATAATTCATCATTTCTCCATTGATCTGAAAAGCTACTTTTATTATATACTGAATTTCCATATACACATGGGACTGTTTTAGGATGACTTTTTATTATGATTAGGTAGATCTGAAGACTCCCATTACAATATATTGTATTAAGTCCAGAAATGTGCTTAATTCTTAAACTTACAAATGAAAAAAAATTAATAGTATAAATGTTTATAGCTAAATATGGTCATACTCAGAGATGTTATTTTATTTTTTCTGTTTTGGTTTTAGTGGAGAAAGTAGCAAATGAAAGCCAGAAGACCCCCAGGGATGTGGTTATGATGGAAAACTTTCACCATATTTTTGCAACTCTTTCTCGATTGAAAATCTCATGTCTAGAAGCAGAAAAAAAAGAAGCCAAACAAAAATACACAGATCACCTTCAGTCTTATGTCATTTACTCTTTAGGACAACCTCTTGAAAAACTAAATGTAAATATATTTTCATTCAGTATTTTTCCTACTTTTGAACCTATACACATAAGTTTGCATATGAATAACCTGCAGACATTTATCTTAAATTTTCTCATGTGTTGGTGCACAGGGGACTCAGTTATTGAAGCTGCCAGTGTGCCAGACACTGCTAGATGCTATATATTTTATTTCTTCTTTCTGTACATTATTTTTATACATTATTTATCTACTATATTTTAATGATAATTGTACTAGTATTCTATTATGCATTATTTCTTTTAATTCTTATAAACAATGATGTGTAAGCTAAGATAATATTATCCCCATTTCACAAATGAAGAAACTGAAAGTAAAAAAACTTGCCCGACATCATAATAGCTTATAAATTACAAAGCTGGGGGATGAACCTAGATTAGGCTTTGCCGTTACTCTTTCCCATTTCTTACTTTATAAATGACCAAGTTTACAATGTCTAGGTGGAAATTTCAAAAATATTATTAAGATAAAAGAAAAACCAAAAATTGCTTTCTACATTGCCTTTTACTTTTCTTTCCCTTCTTTTTTTTTCCTTACTTGAGTCATTTCCCAGAGTAAGTCTGTTAATTAAAGTTAAGAAATGATGATTTTAGGGAACTTTACAAGATAGTGAAAGCTTAAATGAACCTTTTAAACTAACTTTGTCTGCAATATAGTTATCTTTTATAAGCTCTTAACTTGAAGTTAGAGTAAAATAGCGCGGTGACTCACACCTGTAATCCCAGCACTTTGGGAGGCCAAGGCAGGCGGATCACGAGGTCAGAAGATCGAGACCATCCTAGCTAACAAGGTGAAACCCCGTCTTTACTAAAAATGTAAAAAAAAATTAACTGGGCGTGGTGGCACGCTCCTGTAGTCCTAGCTACTTGGGAGGCTGAGGCAGGAGAATCACTTGATCCTAGGAGGTGGTGGTTGCAATGAGTGGAGATCACACCACTGCGCTCCAGCCTGGGCGACAGAGCAAGACTCAGTCTCAAAACAAAACAAAAAAAAAGAATATGTATCTGCTGTCAACAATTCAAAGAAATACTTGAAAGACATTTAATCAAATGCAGAACTAATTCCTTATAAAACTTAAGAACAGACAAATATTCCTTTAACTGGATAAAAGATCTATCTCAGGCCTAAAGCTTACATGATACTTAACTGCAACGTTAGAGACATTCCCTCTGAAATCAATTTAAAGCAGAAATATTGTTAGATCCTTTATTATTTAGCATTGTTGTTGAAGCACTAGCCAGTTCAACAAGACCTGAAACATAAATAAGAGATATGGAAAACAGAGACGAGATTATCACCACCTGTATATGATATGTTGAAATTACTGGTGTTGGTCAAGTGACAAAATTTAAAGCAAATATACTGAAAAACAATGTATTTCCTGTCTACCAATTAAGAGCTTATGTAAAAACAAAATTTTTAAAGCACTAAGAATAACTTCTCAAAGAATGATAATTTAATGAATAATCACTAAGAAAATTTTAGAAAAAAGTAATGAGAGGGAATGGGGTTTGTCAGCATTAATTCTTTGTATCGTGCTCAAATACAGTTATGCCAGTCAATAAAAGTATATATATAAAAGAAGACCTGGGAATAATAGTTACAATAATATAACAGAGTCAGTATATTTAATATAAAAAATCTTACTAAAATCAATAAGAAAAGCACTAAGACCCCAATTTATAAATGGGGCAAGGGGCTGAATCACTACTAAACATATAAAAGCAGGTTAACCTTATTTATAGCCAAAGAATTATAAAATAAAATGACAAACTTTTTTTACTCTGGCAACTATTGTTATAAATTGTCATAATGCTTATGATGGTATAGTGAAGTAGCAACCTCATACACTGTTGACAGAAATATAAATTGGTTGAGCTTTCCTAGGAAGCAGTTTGTATATATACTGAAGAATCTTTCAAATACTTAAAGTTATGCTCTTCAACAGAGTAATTATAGTCCTGGAAATTTAATCAGTAAGATGGGTAAATACTTATATACAAAAAAAATTTATGACAAATATATTTATAGTAGATTTTCTAAAGTCTCACTAGATTTGCCAAGTCCAAAAAAAGAAGGGGGAGTGGGATGTTAAATATCTAGTACTAGAGGAATGAATAATAATTGTGGTTCAGTCATTGTGTGAAATATTATGCAGCCATTAAAATTTATATTTAGGAAAAAACAATATTAAATGTAAAGTGGGACATGAAATTTTAATCTCCTGTATGTATTCACACATCAAAAGATTACAAGGAACTCTACAATATTAACAATGTTCATCTCAGAAGTATGTTAATAAGTGATTGTTATTTTATTGTTTATACTTTCACACACTGATTTTTGCATGGTGATTATACACTACTTTGTAATCAGATTTTTTTAATGTAAATAATAATAAATGCAGGTCTTAGCCATTGTTTCTTTTCATTTCCTTGAAGCATTTCTTTGAAGGTGTTGAAGCTCGCGTGGCACAGGGCATAAGGGAGGAGGAAGTAAGTTACCAACTTGCATTTAACAAACAAGAACTTCGTAAAGTCATTAAGGAGTACCCTGGAAAGGAAGTAAAAAAAGGTCTAGATAACCTCTACAAGAAAGTTGATAAACATTTATGTGAAGAAGAGAACTTACTTCAGGTATGCTTACTTCTTTTGACCATCTGACTTAAAGATCCTTACATATATTGCTTTTCTTTAAATAATTTTCTAGAAATGCTACAGATCTAGAGCAGGAGGAGAGTTCCATTAGAGTACAGACCAGATTAATGAATTGTGAGGAAGAAAGGAATACTGTTTATATAAGCATATATGGCTATTTCTGCTTATTTCGTATTTCTGCTATATTATGGTGAGGCATTAAGTTTGTTTTTCTTTGGTTGGTTGGTTGGTTGGTTGGTTGGTTGGTTGAGTGGTTGGAATTAGAGATGGGTTCATAATCTGGCTCCAGATTAAGCTGTGTGACTTTGGGAAGTTACTTAACCTCTCTGAGCCTTAGTTTCCTTATTTGATAAGTGGAAACGATACATCTCTTGTACAGTAGCCACTGTATTGGGCAACATAGCAAGACCTTGTCTCTACTAAAAATTAAAAAAATTAGCTGGGCATGGTGGCACGTGCCTGTAGTCCCAGCTACTCGGGAAGCTGAGGCAGGAGGATCACTTGAGCCCAGGAGATTGAGGCTCCAGTGAACTATGATCCTACCACTGCACTCCAGCCTACGCAACAGAGTGAGGCCGTGTCTCAATTAAAAAAAAAAAAAAAAAGAAAGAAAGAAAGAAAAAGAAAGAAAGAGAAAGAAAGAAAATCAGCTTAGAGAGGTGGAGTAATAGGACCAAGCTCTCTTAACTAATGGGTAGTGGAGCCAGATTTAAAGTCCAAATTAGGCCATTATTCTTTATAAACCATATTGAAAGGCCCAGATATGAGTGAGAGTAATTCTGATTTCAACATCATGGAAGACTTCCTGAGGGATATTGCATTGTTTGTTTTAACCTCTGAAAGTCAGATGTACTTGAACAGGCAAAGTGGGGATGGAGGGAGTAGCATTCTAGAAAGAAATAATATGAGCTAAACGATGAAAAGTAAAAAGCATAACACTGCTTAGGGAATAGCGATTGGTCTTAAGTTGGCAGGAATTTAGGATTTATGAGATTTAGGATTTACAAGAAAAAATCTTGGAAGAATACATTCCCTCAGCTGTCAAATAGGGAAGATGATCATAATACCCACCCTCACCAGGTCATCATGAGACTTAATACTATAATATATTCATAAAGTGCTTTGTACTGTGCTGATAAAGAGTAAGCTTCAATTAATGTAATCTATTTAAGCCATTATGTCAATGTGTGTATCACATTGTGTCTTGGTAATTGTCTACATATTAGCCTCCACTGTTAGATTATAAATCACATGATTGCAGATAATGGGTCTGAGTCATTTTGCTGTCCTCCAAGGCATCAAGCAAGGTTTTGCATCAACAATTTTAGATAAAGAAAACTTTAAATGTTATAGGAAATGAAATTAAAGCATTACATTTTATGTAATCACTAGTCTTAGTTCTATACATAATTGTGCATATCCACATCTGTGTTGCATATTGGAGTATATAAGATAATAGCTAAAATGTCATGAGTGCTTACTTGTGTCAAACGCAGTTTGAAGCACTTTATGTACATTTCTTATTTAATTCTCACAGCATTATGAGGAAGGTCTTATTATTATCTTGGTTTATAGATGAGGAACTTGAGGCATAGAGCAGTGATGTCATGTACTGAAGGTTACAAATCTTGTAGGTAAAAGTGACTGGGATTCTGGTTTCAGAATGCATGTTCCTAGCTACTATACTACCCAAATTCTTAGAATATGCCTTGGCATTATTTCTGCATACTAGATTACATATTATTTCCATTCATAGCCTAATGACTTTTTTTTTTAATAATAGGTGGTGTGGCACTCCATGCAAGATGAATTTATACGCCAGTATAAGCACTTTGAAGGTTTGATAGCTCGCTGTTATCCTGGATCTGGTGTTACAATGGAATTCACTATTCAGGACATTCTGGATTATTGTTCCAGCATTGCACAGTCCCACTAAACCTTGTGAAAGAAGAAAAGATAACTGAATGAAGCATTTGAGTATAACAGACACTATACCAAAATACCAAGCAACTGTTTTGAGAACCCAGACTTAAAATTTTATGTATTATTAAATGTTAGATAAATGGGTAGTACCATACTACAAATATTTAAATGCAAAATTACCAACCTATATAGCAGTTTTATTTGCCCTATAGGTTGCATACTAACTTAAGCATTCATGTCACCATAAAATGCCTTTAGCATTTCTCAATGACTGGATGGGAAATTTTCCTTTATTGCCTAGCTGCTTGTGTTTGAGTGGTTGTCCTATGAGCAATGCATTTGGAGTTCTTCAGCTTTCACTACTTCTCTGTTGCTTGCTAATCATGTAACTACTAAAATACTGTACAAAATTGTTTTTTCACACTAACAAATGTGTATATGGAGAAGAGGGCTCATGTGATGATCATTTGTGAACTTAGATTTTTGAGGATTATGTGACTAGTAATAAATGTGAAATAAATTTTCAAAAAAGTTGACATTTGATAATATTTTTAGGTCTATCATATGCTGTCTTCTGTATTAAAGCAAGTTCTTACAAAATCCATATACAAAAATTAATTGCAAGTTTATATACCACAAAACACTTAAAAGTTTAATAATAAGTAAAGTAAGCCGGGTGCAGTGGTTCATGCCTGTAATTCCAGCACTCTAGGAGGCCAAGGAGGGAGGACTGATTGAGGCCAGGAATTTGAGACTAGTCTGGGCGACACAGTGAGACCCTGTCTCCATAGAAGAACAATTTTTTGTGGTGGCACATGCCTATAATCTAAGCCACTTGAGAAGCTGAGGCAGGAGGATTGCCCCAGCCCAAGAGTTTGAGTGAGTTGTGATTGTGCCACTGTACTCCATCCTGGGCAACATAGCAAGATATTGTCACTTGAAAAAAAAATAAGAAAAATAATAATATTGAAGATGTTTAGTATTTAGGACTAACTCTAACAAAAGATGTGCTATATCCTGAATTGTGGCCCTACTAACATTTTATGTTGATGCCCTAACCCCCCATGTGGCTGTATTGGAGATAGGGTCTTTAAGGAGACGATTAAGTTTAAATGAGGTCAGAAGAGTAGGAACCCTGATCCAATAGACTCAATGCCCTTGTAAGAAGAGGAAGAGACAGCAGAGCTCACTCTCCCTCTGCTGTGGGAGGGCACAATGAGAAGGCAGCTGTCTGCAAACCAGGAAGAGAGCCCTCACCAGAACCTGACCATGCTGGCACCATGATCTCAGACTTCCAGCCTCCAAAACTGAGAAAATAGTTTGGCAGCCCAAGCTAATACAAGATGTATAAGACATTTATGGAGAAATTAGAACTACTGAAAGATATTAAAGAAAACCAAAATAAGTGAAGAAGTATTTAATGTTTCCAGATAAGAACACATATACTAAAGTAGAAATGGCAGTCCTTTTTGTTTTGTTTTGTTTTGTTTGTTTTTTTTTGAGAGAGACAGGATCTCTCAGCTCTGTTACCCAGGCTGGAGTGCAGTGGTGTGATGATAGCTCACGGCAGCCTCTATCTCCTGGGCTCAAGTGATCCTCCCACCTCAGCCTCCCAAGCAGCTGAGACTACAGATGTGCACCACCACATCTGGCTAATTTTATTTTTTGTAGGAATGGGGTCTCACTATGTTTCTCAGGCTGATCTCAAACTCCTGGGTTCAAGTGAGGCTTCTGCCTCAGCCTCCCAAAGCACTAGGATTACAGGTGTGAGGCACTGCACCAGCTGGCAGTTATTTTCAAGTTTAAAGATTCAGCACAGTTCCAGTCAAAATCACAACTGTCTTTGTTTGGTTTTGTTTCTGTAGGACTTGACAAGCTGATTCTAAAATTTATATGAAAGATCAAAAGACTAATAGCCAATACTCCCCTTGGAAGCTGGAAGGAGTTTCCTTATCAAGAATTATAATTAAAGCAGCATTTTATTGGTACGAAGATAAACAAATAGACCAGTGGAATGAAACTGAGAGCCCAGAAACAGAACCATAAAAAATGGACTATTACCCGTGTGGCACGGCAAGTCAGTGGGGAAACGATAGACTTGGAATAAATGGTACTGAGACATTTGGTAGTCCATAAGAGAAAAGGTGAAAATGGAACACGTGTCTCACACCACACACACAAAATGAATTCCACGTGTACTGAATACCTAAATGTGAAAGGCAAAAACTATATAGAACTTTTCAAAGACAGTGTAAGAAAATATCTTTTTTGCCTCAGGACAGAGAAGGATTTTGTTTAAAAAGACACAAAATTGCAAATTGGAAAAAAATAATAGATTTGACTATATTAAAAATAAGAACTTAATGGTCTTTTGATGAAAGTGAAATAACAGTCCACAAATTAAGAGAATATAACTGCAACACGTCACAAAACAATCAGCATCCAAAGCCTATTTTTAAGCTCCCAAAAATCAGTCTAAAAAAAAAAAACCATAGAACAGAAAAACCCAAAAACCTTACAAAGGCATTTCACAGACGAAGGAAACAGAATGGCTAATAAACATACGAAGTATTCACCTTTATTTGTTATCAAGGAAATGTGAATTCAAAAGGATGTGAAGCCATCAAAACACAAATGCTTCTATAATCACTTAAACCATCTGACATTATCTAGTAAAGATGTGTGTCACCTATGACTCAGTAATTCCAGTCTTAGGTGTGTGCCCCAAAGGAATAGATCTTAAAATCCTGTATGTCTCTGCCAGATACCCTCCCCTTCGTTTCCTGCTTTACACATTAGAATAACCTATGTGCTTATAAATACATGTGGCTGGGCCCCAGACATTACATTTCAATTGGTCCAGAGTGGGGCCCAAGCATCTATGGTTTTTAAAAGCTTCCCACTAATTCTGGTACTCTAAGGATTGAGAACCACTGCCACAAAGAAACTCATGTATTATGAATTAATATTAGGTTGGTGCCAAAGTCATTGCCATTAAAAGTAATGGCAAAAACTGCAATTACTTTTGCACCAAACTAATACAAAGTCTAATGAAAGTTCCCATCACTACTTTTGTTTGTAATAACAAAAAACTGCAAATAACTGCAAAAAACTGCAAATAACCCATATGTCCATAATGGTAGAATGGATAGATTGAGGTATATATTCATTCAGTAGAATACCAATACAGTAGTGAAAATGAAAGTAAATTTCTGCTATACAAACAATGTACATTAATGACAAGAAAATAATGTCAGATGAAAGTAAATCACAAAATACATGCAGTATGATCCTATTAATATAAAAATTCAGAAACCTTTAAGATTAAATAATATGTGGTTTGGGATTACAAATGTAAAACTAAAGAAAAGAGAATGATAAAATTCTGGAGTGATTGGAGGAGCAGGAAAGGAAGGGGATGGTGTCTGGCAGGGACATACAGGATTTCAAAGGGATATTAGAATATTCTTAAACTGGACAGTGCATACACAGATTTTTTGTATCCTGATACTTTATATCCTATATATAGTTTATAATTTTTTTTTTGAGACAGGGTCTCGCTCTGTCACCCAAGCTGGAGTACAGTGGCACGATCACAACTTGCTGCAGCCTCAACCTCCTGGGCCCAAGCAATCCTCCCACCTCAGCCTCCCAAGTAGCTGTGACTACAGGTGCATGCCACCATGTCCTGCGAATTTTTTTTTTTTTTTTTAAAGAAGGGGTTTTGCTATGTTGCCCAAGCTGGTCTCAGACTCCTGGCCTCAAGTGATCTGCCCACCTCAGCCTCCCAAAGTGCTGGGGTTACAGGCATGAGCCATCATGCCCAGTCATAAATCTTATTTTATATCAATTCAACACTTGATTTAAATATTTAAAATCAAATTCATATATGTGGATATGCATATATCTTTACTGATAGATAATGAAACCTAGACATTTATAGATAAGATCTAGGACCAAAGGAGATTTTAGTGCCTTGATCAAGGTCCAAGCCAGGTATTAACAGAGCTGATATTCCACACAACACCAAATTCCCTCTCAAAGTGCCAAACACTTCCTTTTCTCTATTGATATCAGGGATGACACAGATATAAACATATACCACCTCCAAGGACAAAACAGTGTCTGGTATCTTCATTAGCAGGCAATGGTTAATTGTAATGAGGTGATATGGCTCTTACTTAAAAGGTGGTGGATAACTCCCATCAGTTATAGTTTTATAAACCTTAAAGATCTATACTATTATTTGCTAGAAGTGATAACAAGAGAGGAACACAGAACTTTTAAACAAACTGTTGAAAATCATAACTTAGAGAATATTTGTAGATGAGAAAGTACTAAGAAAGTAAAAATAGCTTTTCCAGGAAAGTTAAATGTGTAATATCAATGGTGTCAAAGATTATTAGTTCTCATGGCTATATGCTTTGGGATCCTCTACTTCAATGTTTCTCATTGTATTTATTAAACAACTGGGAATCTTGTTGAAATGCATATTCTGATTCAATAGGTTTTGTGTCGCCCAAGATTCTGCATTTCTTACAAGCTCCCAAGTAGCATCAATGCTGCTGTTCCACAGCCCCTGCAGTTCAAGTTGCAAAGCTTTGAAGTGTAAAGTTACATCATTTGTGCCTCTGAATGACACTAGGCACCAAGGATATATATATCCTTCATATATATGGTATATATCCTTCATATATATGGTATATATATATCAATATATATGATATATATATCCTTCATACATTATATATATGAATGTATATGATATATGTCCTTCATATATATGATATATGTATATGAAGGAATACTAGTCAGCCATAAAAAGGAATGAATTAACAGCATTTGCAGTGACCTGGATGAGATTGGAGACTATTATTCAGAGTGAAGTAACTCAGGAATGGAAAACAAAACATTGTATGTTCTCACTGATATGTGGGAGTTAAGCTATGAGGATGCAAAGGCATAAGAATGATACAATGGGCTTTGGGGACTCGGCGGCAAGAGGGGGTTGCAAGGGATAGAAGACTACAAATATGGTGCAGTGTAGACTGCTCGGGTGATGGGTGCACCAAAATCTCACAAATCGCCAGTAAAGAACTTACTCATGTAAGCTGACACCACCTCTACCCCAATAACTTATGGAAAATTTTTTAAAAAGAGAGGATGGGGGAAGAAAGTCAAAAGGCGGTGGGATAGATGAAACAGGGAAGAAGAATATATTAACATAGATGGAGAAAGCGTTATAGGACCAACAGGCTCATGTGCCTGCTGCAGTAACAGACCAATTACACAGAGATAGCGGAGATGCCACACACAGTTTAATGACTGTAGGTGTCTGGGCACGTGGCTCACGCCTGTAATTTCCACATTTTGGGAGGCCGAGGTGGGAGGATCGCTTGAGCCCAGGAGTTTGAGACCAGCTTGGACGACATGGTGAGACTCCGTGTCTACAAAGTTTTCTTTTAAATTAGCTGGGCATGGTGGTAGGCATCTATAGTCCTGGCTACTAGGGAGGCTGAGGCAGGAGGATCACTTGAGCCCAGGAGTTTGAGGCTGCAGTGAACTGTGATTGCACCACTGCATTCCAGCCTGGGTGACAAAGCAAGAAATATCCTGTCTCTATTTTTGTTAATTAATTAATTATTGCAGGTGCTGAGCAAGAAGATGTGAGGAGACCCTCAAATCCATCTCCCAGAGAAGTTCCAGGCTGGAATTTTTAAGGGGATCATGGAGAGTGAGGGGTTGGAAAATTGGGGTCAGACAAGGGGGATGGATCCATCAGGATGTGAAAACTACATTCTTTGGTGAGTCAACTCCTCATGGGGAGCCTTCAGACCAGCTGAGTCAGTAGCATGATCAGTGTGCAGGACCTGAAGGACTATTTCCAAGGGAAGACTAACATTTCACAATGTGAAAGTTGTTATCTATAGAGCGGTTAAGGAAAATGGTAATCCAGGGTCTAGGTGATTCTAGGACACTAGGCACAAAACCATGAAGAAGCAGGCCAGAGAGCAAGCTGACCTCATGGTTAATGTTGAATATGCTGCAAACTTGGTTTATTTTCCTTTCTCCCCTCTCTCCTTCCCTGGTTAATTTTATAAAGTTTACAGGGCAGTTTCAAAAGGGAGTTCTAGGAGGCAATGGAGAATACAATAAGCAAGACAAAGCAGCAGCAGCCTATGAGCATATTGCTTGCCCAGTGGTCTTGCGAGAACGGCTTCTCTGCATTCAGCATCTCAGTCAACTTCACATGCGTATCTGGATCTCATACAAGATGATGGGTCTTTCTAGAAGTTACATATTTTGCCTAATTGACTAGAAGAGAGGATAGTGAAGAAGTTAAATTGAAGGCATATGTTCTGATCTGAATTTTATACTTGTCTCCATTTAATTTTAAACAGCTTTTCCTGTCATCCTTTAATTTAAATTATGTTGCCCCATAATTCCCACCTAAGAGCCTATTCTTTTCCTTCTTGGCATTTACCTGAATTTGAAATATATTTATTTGTCTCTTTATTTCCTCAGTATCTTGCCTCCCACACTTAGATTGCAAGGTTTATAATTTGGATCAAGACTGTTCTGTTTACTAGTATCTATCTAGCACATGTAAGTACTTAATTAATATTACATTTTGGGGGCTTGGGGGATTTTGTTTTGAGGCAAGTTCTCGCTGTGTTTCCCAGGCTGGAGTGCAGTAGCACAATCATGGCTCACTGCAGCCTCAACCTCCTGGTCTCAAGCGATCCTCCCACCTTAGCCTCCTGAGTAGCTGGGACTACAGATGCACCCCCACCACACATGGCAATTTTTAACAATTTTTTGTAGAGATGAGGTCTCACCATGTTGCCCAGGCTAGTCTTGAAATCCTGGCCACAGGAGATCCTCCCACCTCAGCCTCCCAAAGTGCTGGGATGACAGGCGTAAGCCACAGCACCCAGCCTACTGACAGGCATAAGCTATAGCACCTAGCCTAAATATTAAGTTTAAAAAGACAAAAAGTGAGCTGGGTGCCGTGGCTCACACCTGTGAGCCCAGGGCTTTGGGAGGCTGAGGCGGGTGGATCGCTTTGAGCTCAGGAGTTTAAGACCAACTCGGGCAACATGGCAAAACCCCATATCTACAAAAAATACAAAAATTATGGCTCACGCCTGTAGTCACAACTACTCAGGAGGCTAAGGTGAGAGGATCACTTGAGCCCGGGAGGTGGAGGTTGCAGTGAGCCGAAATGGCACCACTGCTCTCCAGCCTGGGTGACAGAGCAGGACCCTGTCTCAGAAAAAAAAAAAAAAAAAAAAAAAAGACAAAAAGTGAACAGGTCATTAATTCATGGAAAGATGAAATGGCAACTCCTATTTCTTTATACTGCCTTCAGTGTCTAAAGCACAGCCATACTGTCCATCGTCAGTTCCAGTTGGGTGGAGGCTCTGCTCACTTTGTTCCCTGCTTGAGCCCAGTGCCTAATATGCTGCCTTGCTTCAAGAGCTCAGTAACTAGATGTTGAAGACATATTCATGCTAGGGTCTGAGTGAAGGAGTTGTTATCTGGAAGTTGGCCCACAAAGTAAAGAAAATTGTGCTCTGCCTCTAATTCTTACTTCACACAGCATTCAATACAGGATCTTGCACACACTGTAGTATCAATTCAACCTATGCCTGTGGATTGAATTAAGTTCATGAAGGGAACTAAGCGAACGTTATTGCCTGTAGAATTTAGACATGCTCTCTTTGGGAAGAGGATTTTCTAGATCTACTTCTATAAGGCCCTCTGCTAGACACTGTGGGCTGTGGGGACTGCCTACTCTGCCTTGCTAATAGAACACTGCTTTTTTTTAAGTCTCGTTCTGTCACCCAGGCTGGAGTGCAGTGGCGCTATCTCGGCTCACTGCAACCTCTGCCTTCTGGAGAACTTTGCTTTTTATAAGGCAGGAACATGCCCAGACTAAGGTAAAGAATCAAAATTGGCACAAAGCCAATTTTGTGCCAATCTGCTGCATATTAAAATCACTGGGGAAATGTTAAAAAATACTGATATCTGCAACCCACTTCAGCCAAATAAGAATCTCTGACCGACAGCAGTGGCTCGCCCTGTAATCCCAACACTTTAGGAAGCTAAGGCGGGAAGATCATTTGAGCCCAAGAGTTCAAGACCAGCCTAGGCAACATACTGGAAACTTGTCTCTACAAAAAATAAAAAAGAATTAGCCAGATGTGGTGGTGCACACCTATAATCCCAGCTACTCAAGAGGCTGAGGTGGAGGATTGCTTGAGCCCAGGACGTGGAGGCCGCAGTGAGCTGTGATCATGCCACTGCATTCCAGCCTGGGTGACAGAGTGAGACCCTGTCTCAATCAATCAATCAATCAATACATACATACATACATGCATACTACCTCAGGATTTTCCTAAACATAGTAATCATACTTTAAAATCTTGTTATTCAAAAATTACACTTTAGAATCTCCACATACAACTCAAAGTACGAGACCTATAACTGCATAGTGATTTGTCTTTTTGGTTTTTTTTCCTAGAAGTATTCTAGGAAAAGCAAAAGAATATTCAACAGTAGCCTGGCTCTAGCCATTTGCAATTAAAATGAGAAGGTGAAATGTGGCATCACACACTATTGTAGATTAGAACAGTACTTTGTTTCATTAATGGTTTTATAAGCCTGATTTTACTACTCAAGAGTAGTAATGAGTTGTTTCTGTGTTGAATGAACCAGCACATTAGTTTTAAAGTGATGTGCCATTCATGCTTTAGGGCTAATAGAGAACAGAAGCTGTGTCCTTGTTTGGGAAGAAAAGATGAACTAAAAACCTTACTGGATGAATGTACAAATGCTCTGGTGAGCATTTTGAAATGAGAGGTATTAGTTTGGTTTCTTGTGTCCAATATGAGGGGAAAGGTAGGAGGTTTTCTACTGAGGGATCAAAGAAAAATGTAGACCACTGAATGATATGTGTGCATTCACAGCAAATATGTAAAAATAACGTGTATATAAATAGTAGAGTGTGGGCACAGTCATTTAAAATTTTAGAACAGTGGGCTAAAATTTCTTTAAAGGTTATCTAGACGTTGCTTTTAAGCATTAGGGGGTCCTATATAAGTTTCATTGAGTAATGGATTATATAGGATAAATAAATTCTTGCCCAAATTTTACACTCATTTACTGGGTAACATTAGGCAAGTTATTTAACATTTTTGGGTCTTGAGAAGCACAATCATGGTACTTTTGTGTCTTGTACATGACACATCATTATTTGTGCAGAAAAATGTGAGGGTTATTTGGGAGAAATTGTATGTTGTTTCATTCCAATTTAACATATCTGGCATTTGCCATATTTTAAGAGAGATATTTAGCCTTTGGATAGTTTGTGTGGGCCAACAGTTCTTTTTAGTTTATCCCCCAGGCTTTGCCAAGTGGCAACCAAACCAATATCTATTGCTCTTCAACAACTTCAAGGTCAGCATTGACCAGTCAATATTATAGCCCTTAGTCCAGGAGAACTTTCTAAAAGGATTTTAAAGTGCTGGAAGAATACATTTAATCCAAAATACCACATGCTTTCCTAAGAAAGCTTGGAAGCCTTAAATTTAATATGAATGAAAATAATCTTAAAGTAGTATTAAAATTTACTTATGATAACTTTCCTTGAAATTTATAAACCAAGTTTTCTTTAAATTAATGATAGCTATAAATGTACTACGTCTACCCTGTGCTCATAAAAATTCATGTCCATATTTATTTATTCAGGAGGAGTAATCTGCTGTAAGATTGATCAAACCATGAAATGTATCACAGTGAATAGGACTCCAAGTAGAAGAGAGGAGGAGGCTCTGACTTTTATCGATGAAGCCTGAATGATGTGCCTCTCCCTAGGGCACTATTCTAAGCATTCTGATTTTTCTGCTGCTTCTCAGAATCCCTTGTCTTTTAAATAATTTCTTGCTGTCTAGTCTTGTCTTTGGACATATACACATAGTTTATTTTTCTGTCTGAAAAATTATATCGCTTTTCAACAGAAAGTACAAAATCTCTCAAATTACTCTGTACATAAATCAAACTGTCTCTCATTCTATATCACAGTAGAATCATGCTGGATCCTGGTGGGAATATCCACCACCGTCCCACTCTCAACAAGGACTGGGCATATGACAAAACTAACTGGACCAGGCGGACACTCTACTTCTCTGCTAGGAATCGGAATCTTGAGCAGAGTGATGCTGGGTGGAATGAAGGTAGTTGGAGTTAAATCCTTCCTGTGGTCATACCAAAAGAGACTGCCCATAAGTTTATTCTATAAAGACCCCCAAGAGTTGTCCTGGTTTCTATCCCACCTCAAGGTCAGGTGGTTCTGTTTTCCTTTATTCTGTGAATTACCCAATGTTCTTCCATGCTAGGGTGCAGGAGTGGTAGAAAGCACTTAAGTTAGCTGAAGCCAATTTCTGTAGCTTGCAATCAAAGATCTCCAATTGATACAAGCATAAAACATGTATATAAACAAAATAAATAAACTATGTAAGACAATACAGTACATCATAGATGCCAAACAAATAACACAGATAGCAGGGGTTGCAATACTCAGAGGAGCTAGATATATCTATGGTCTGATAAAGTCAAGGAAGATTTTATAAAGGAAATGGGTTATGTATCTTTGAGTTACTGTTGCCCATCCATTGGGCAGCATCTATGAAAGATCAATAGCAGTATAGCATCGAGTTAATAGCTCAGGCTCCAAGTCAGAGAGAACTTGGGCTTAAATCCTGGCTCTGTCTGGCTATATAATTTTATTCAGGTAAGTTAACCGTTAATGTCTTTGCTCCTGTTTCTTTATTTGTAAAACGTAAGGATTAATACTCATATGATAGGTTCACTGTAAGCATTAAATCAGATAATGCTTGTAAAATGCTTAGCACAGTACTAATATGTACTCAATTTTAAAAAGAAATGAGCCGGGCACTGTGGCTCATGCCTGTAATTATAGCACTCTGGGAAGCCAAGGCAGGAGGATTACTTGAGCCCAGGAGTTTGGGACCAGCCTAGGCAACGTAGCGAGACCCCTGTCTCTACAAAAAATTTTAAAAATTAGCTGGGCATTGTGGTGCATGCCTGTAGCCCCTGCTACTTGGGAGGCTGAGGTGGGAGGATCACTTGAGTCCAGGAGGTTGAAGCTGCAGTAAGCCATGTCTGTACCACTGCACTCCAGCCTGAGCAACACAACAAGACCCTGTCTCAAAAATAAATAAGTAAATAATTTAAATTTTAAAAATGAAAATAAATGAATCAATGGTGTGTTTCTTGGCAATGATTGGGAACTCAAACTCAAATACCCAGGGTGAATGGATGAAATTGTACAATATCCTTGATCTGAGAAAAGGACGAGAAAGGAATCCATTTCTCTTGCTGCCTCCTATCCAACCCCCACCCCACCCCTACACCGTCACACACACATACATTTTCTGAGGATAGAGGGAATCTCATCAAGGTTTTTGTGAAGCTTTAATTATCCACGAAGCCTTTAATAGTGTGCCAAAGTTATTTCATTTGTCTTGTAATAACCCTGCGAGGTAAGCCTTCTTATCACTGTTACACACAGAGGATACGATGTCTTCACCCAGGCCACAGTATCACCTGAAGATTAAGAAATGGATTTTTATCAGTTTGCTGCCTTTCTTAAATCATAAGGCCTCTGTTCCTTTTATATTTGGCCAAACATGACTAAGAAGGCAACTATTTTAGCAATTTTGTTTTTGTTTTTGTTTTTGTTTTTTTTTTTTGGAGACGGAGTTTTGCTCTTATTGCCCAGGCTGGACTGCAATGGCGTGACCTTGGTTCACTGCAACCACCACCTCCCGGGTTCAAGCAATTCTCCTGTCTCAGCCTCCAGAGTAGCTGGGATTACAGTCGCCCGCCACCAAGCCCGGCTAATTTTTTGTATTTTTAGTAGAGATGGGGTTTCACCATGTTGGTCATCTGGTCTCGAACTTCTGACCTCAAGTGATCCCGCCCCGCCTCAGCCTCCCAAAGTGCTGGGATTACAGGCATGAGCCACTGCGCCCAGCCAATTTCTTTTCATAAGGAAGCCTTTCAGGATTTTTCAAACAAGATCTACTTTAGCTTTCCTAGAGAGAAAAAATTATCCTCTAAAGTTTAAGATTCTTGAGAGAGATGTAGGCCTATAAGTATAATCAATTTAAAGGTGATATTCTAGAAGTATGCATAATAAGTTGGAGGAATGGATTCTAGCTGGGAGAGTTTAGGGAGCCTTGATACTTCTTTTTCTGCTACTCCATATAATCTATTCTTCTCATAGGAGCCAAAATGGCATTTTAAAATATGAACAGATCATACAGATTTCCTTGTTTATATCCTTTTGTTCCAGTTATTATAGCTATGTAACAAATTACCCCAAACTGCAATGGGGGGAAAACAGCCATTTTGTTTTGCTTGTGTATTATGTGGCCTAGGATTCAGGCCCAGCAGAGATGGCTTTGTCTTTGCTCCATGATGTCTGAAAGCTCAGTTGATGCAACTCAGGTTGGGACTGAACTCAGCTGAACACTCCTCTTGCAGGACTGGCTGTTGGCTGGGAGCTTGAGGTCCCTCCAGATGGTTTCTCTATGAAGACTTTGTGCTTTCTTACAGCGTGGTGGCTAGGTTCCAAGGGAAGATGTTAGAGGAGAGAGAAACACACACACACTCATACACACACACACAGAAAGAGATTATGACCTACCTGCAAAAGTTACATCACCTCACTTCTGCCATATTTGATTGGTCAGAGAAGTGATATGCCCCTTGCATACCTCAAATTGAGGGAACATAGACTCTACCTCTCAATGGAGAGTGTCAGTCACTTTGTAAAAAGAGCATGTGGTTGGGATATATACTGCGGCAGCTATCTTTGGAAAATTCCATCTACCACACCTTTCAATAGTTTCCTAGAACAATGACGCCTGGGTCAGAGTAGGTGTGCAGCACATATTTGTTGAGGGATGAACTGAGTGAATAAGAAGGGATGGTGTTTATTCTGAGCCTTAAAAGGCAAGCTACTGAGTTTTTTTTTGTTTTTTTTTTTGTTGTTGTTGTTTGTTTTTATTTTGACAGGGTCTCCCTCTGTTGCCAAAGCTGAGTACAGTGGCACGATCTTGGCTTACTGCAGCTTCAACCTCCTGGGCTTAAGTGATCCTCCTGCCTTAGCCTCCTGGGTAGCTGGGACTACAGATGCACACCACCATGCCTGGCTTTTTTTTTTTTTTCTAGAGATGGGCTGGTCTCAAACTTCTGGGTTCAAGTGATCTTCCCACTTCAGCTTCCCAAAGTATTGGGATTACAGGCATGAGCCACTGTGCCCAGCTGAGATTTTTTAAAAACAACTTTGCTGAGCTATGTAATTCACATATATTACAACTTAAATGCAAAATGTAACCTTTACAATCAATGGCTTTTAGTGTATTTGCAGAGTTGTACAACCATCACCACTAATTCCAGAACATATTTTATTATCCCAGAAAGAAACCCCATACTCACTAGCATTCACCCTCCATTTCCCTCCAACCCCTAGCAACCACAAACCTACTTTCTTTATAGATTCACCTATTTTAGATATTTTGTATGAGCGACTGGACTCATACAATAGGTAGTCTTTTTCTGATTGACTTCTTTCACTTAACATTATATTTTCAAGGTTCATCCATGTTGTGGCATGTATCAAGAGCTTCACTCCCTTTTATTGCCAAATAATATTTCATTTTATGGACATATATTTTATTCATCTATTCATCAGTTGATAGAAATTTGGATTGTTTTTGCCTTTTAGCTACTGTGAATTATGCTGCTCTAAACATTTGAGTACATTTTTGTGTGGAAGCACTCTTTTATTTCTCCTGAGTATATATCTGGGAGAAGAATTGGTGGGTCATATGGTAAGTCTATGTTTAACTTTTTGTGGAACCGCCAAACTGTTTTCCAAAGTGGCTATACTATTTTACATTCCCAGCAGCCATGTGTGAGAGTTTTGATTTCTCCACATCCTTGCCAACACTTGTTATTACCTGTCTTTTGGATTATAGCCATTTTAGTAGGTGTGAAGTCATTTTTCATTATGATTTATCCATATGGATGATTTATCCATTTCTGAAGAATAATGATGATGAGCATCTTTTGATGTGCTTTTTGGCCATTTATATATCTTCTTTAGAGAAACGTGTATTTAAATCGTTTGCCCATTTTAAAATAGGATTATCTCTTTATTATCAAGTTGTCATCATTCTTCAGCATATCCTGAATTTAAGTCCCTCTTCAGATATATAATTTGCAGAAAATTTTTCCTATTCTGCAGAAAAGGTTTTCACTTTTCTTATGTTATTCTTTGTAGCATAAAATATTTTAGTTTTGATGGAGCCCAATTCATCTATTTTTTTCTTTTGTCAGCGTATGCTCTTGGTATTGTATCTAAGAAAACATTGTCTAACAAGCAAGTGTTTTTATAGTTAAGGAAAATTTGGATGTGGGGGAGAAATAACAAGGGGGAAAGAGCCATGTAAGTTAAGGCATGGGAGAATGAAAGCACCTGGCAAGACGTTTTCAGAATTCAACATATTTGGAGGCAGAAGGGTAGAAAGGAGGGAGTCTACAGTGCCCAGAGCATGAAGGATTTGTATACGGCAGAGGGGTAGAGATTTGAGAGTCGTTACCATAGGTACAGTAGCAGAAATCACAGAAGTCTATTCGGTTGCTCAGTGTATTATACTAAGAAGAGAAGAGCTCTGAAGCTGGAACTCTGGGGAGTGCCAAAATTTAGAGAGGATAAGGAGCTCACAATGGAGGTTGGCCAAGAGTGACCAAAGATATAAGAGGTAGTTGGGAGAGATTGTGTTACAGGGACCAAGAGAAGAACACGTTCCAGAAAGAAAAGTGTGATCCACAGTGTCCAATAGTGGTTAAATAAGACAAGGATGGAAAGAGTCCACTAAAATTGGCATTTGGTTGGTCATTGCTGACCTTGGTCAAGGCATATCAGTGCTTCAGTAGCAGAGAGAAAGCCTGATTGTGGTAGAATTAAGTGCAAAGGTGCATAGGAAGCTTTAGGTATTAAGGAACCACTCTTCCCTGAAGCTCGATCATGAAGAAAAGAACAGTATTCACAGCACTTTGGGAGGCCAAGGCGGGCGGCTCATGAGGTCAGGAGACAGAGACCATCCTGGCCAACATGGTGAACCCTGTCGCTACTAAAAATACAAAAATTAGCTGGGCGTAGTGGCATGTGCCTGTAATCCCAGCTACTCAGGAAGCTGAGGCAGGAGAATCGCTTGAACCAGGGAGTCAGAGGTTGCAGTGAGCTGAGATCACATCACTGCTCTCCAGCCTGGTGACATAGTGAGACTCCATCTCAAAAAGAAAAAAAAAACAAAGAAGGAAAAGAACAGTAGTAACCCAGATTGATACCCAGGGTCAAAGCCAGGATTTTATTTAAATGACCTCAAGCACTTGTATCTGTCAGAGTTCAGTGAAGAAAATCAAAAGCATTCTAGGTATTTGAAGAATTTAGGCCAGGCAAGGTGGCTCACACCTGTAATCCCAGCACTTTGGGAGGCCGAGGCAGGCAGATTGCTTAAGCACAGGAGTTTGAGACCAGCCTAGGCAACATGGCAAAACTCCATCTCTAATAAAAATACAAAAAAAAAAAAAAAATTACTGGTGTAGTGGTGCCCGTCTGTAATACCAGCTACTCAGGAGGCTGAAATGGGAGGATTGCTTGAGCCCAGGAGGTCAGGGTTGCAGTGAGCTGTGATCATGCTGCTCCACTCCAACCTGGCTGACAGAGAAAGACCCTGTCTCAATAATAATAATAATAAAAATAAAAATTCATGAAATATCAGTGGAAGTGCTGGAGGGCCAGAAGTCAAAGGGCCATCACTGAACTTTTGGCTTCAAGATGCCATCACTACTGCTACAATCCATGGCTTCCACCACTGCTACCACTGTAGCTGCCACACCATAGTCTCCCTGCTCCACCTCTGAGATAGCAAAGGGGAAAAGGACGACAGCTGGTTTAGATTTTTTGAGCTGGTTTAGATGACCGTGGATGTGGAAGCAGGAAGTGAAGACGTGCTCCTTCCCATATGTAGCAACCCAAACATATACTGGTTAGAAACAGAGCCCTGTTTCCAAATGGATAGTCGTATGTGATTATCCCAGAGCACCGTGTACCAAGCACTGCAGTCAGAATGTACTCTCTGGTTTAATTTTCACAACAAGAGCACTAGGGGAAGTCAGCTGCCCATGTAAGCAGTTTTCCAAGTCACATGGCTAAGAAGTGATGCAGCCACAATTCCAACCCTGGCTTGTCTGACTTCAGCTGTGCTTCCCTGGCACGGTCACCAAGCAAAGACATTTGCTACCTGCCCACTTGGGACAAAGCAGAGAAGAAGGGCTTTTATTTTCAACCGACCTTCCAAGAAATTGGTTTAGAATACTCCAAAATGACCTTGGAAAGAGCCCTGCTCACCAGTCCTGGAAACTAGACATAAACTGGGTCCTGTTTCTTATGTCTATGCCAACAATTGATTCACTGGATTGGCATTTCTCATCCCCAATTTAATCGGCCTGTCAAAGTTATGTCTTCTTTAATTTAAAAAAGAATCATATTACTACTTTTTAAGACATTGACAAATCCAATTGATCAATCACCACTGCATTCCATGTTACTCTATCACATTAGAGAGCAGAGGCTGTATTGGCTATGCTTTATGACACATCAAAAATAAAATAAGACATGAAAGCTTTGAACATTACTGCTATGGTATCAGTCACATGAAAACAGGAAAGCCGTGATAAAATGCCTTGTCATCATCTAATATCTTCACTCTATTACTCAGTGTAAGGTCACTTATATATGAAGCACTTTTATAGGAAGCAATTAAAAGAAACCTGTAAATAAAACCTCATAGGCCGGGCACAGTGGCTCACACCTATAATCCCAGCACTTTAGGAGGCCGAGGTGGGAGGATTGCTTGAGCCCAGTAGTTCAAGACCAGCCTGGGCAGCACAATAAGACCTCATTTCTACCAAAAAAAAAATTGTTTAATTAGCCGGGCTTGGCAGCAGGTGCCTGTGGTCCCAGCTACTCAAGAAGCTGAGGTGGGAGAAACACTTGAGCTGGAGAAGTCAAGGCTGCAGTGAGCTGCGATTGTGCCACTGCACTCCAGCCTGGGTGACAGAGCAAGACCCTATCCCCAAAAATAAATAAATAAAAATAAAAATAAATGCTGACAATTTAATATCTGTTCTATTTAAACTATTATAATCAGATATAATCCTATCAAGAAAGCTAAAAAAAACTAGGCATCCCAGCAAGTTTATATAACAGTATATTTTTTAAAAGATACTTAATTTACTCTGTATTACTTGATAATTGTGTCCATTAACTATTCAACAATTTATTCATTTATCAAACATTTATTGATGGCTTATGGAACTACCTCTGTAGGTTACTTACTTCAAAAACTCATAGTGTAATGGAGGAGACGGATGAGTGAAAAAATTCAACCAAAATATTTAGTCTTCATCTTTAAGGAAAAGAGTAAAATGGGGGCCAGAACAGGGAAAATGTTCAAAGTTAAGTGAGGGGCCGAGCATGGTGGCTCACACCTGTAATCCTAGCACTTTGGGAGGCCGAGGCAGGCTGATCACTTCAGGTCAGGAGTTCAAGACCAGCCTGGTCAACATGGTGAAACCCCATCTCTACTAATAATACAAAAATTAGTGGGGCATGGTGGTGCATGCCTGTAATCCCAGCTACTCGGGAGGCTGAGGCATGAGAATCGCTTGAGCCTAGGAGGCAGAGGTTGCAGTGAGCCGAGATCCCACCACTGCACTTCAGCCTGGGCAACAGAGCGAGACTCTGTCTCAAAAAAAAACAAAAAAACCCCACAAAGTTAAGCAAGGGCTTTTACTTTGTAATCATGACAGTTGTATATTGTTTGAATTTCTCTCCAAGCATATATGAGTTGATAATTTTGAAATATGGTAAAATGTAAATGTTAATGAGGTTTATATCTTAGAAATTATTAATATGATTTTTCTCTTCTGCTTTTGCTGGAACATATTTTTCTTAGTGGGCCCAAAATACTAACCAGCCTCAGAAGGAGATTAAGTAATTTGTTATACAATAGCAACATTTGTCACTTACTGTGTCCCAGTCACTCTTCTAAGTAATTTACATGTAATGCAAAGAGACAGAATTAATACTCAATTTCTGACCTTTAAAATAAAATTGTGCAACCAAACAATAGCCTTAAAAACCAGGCTATTATAATTTTTTTTCTTTTTTCTTTTTTTTAGACAGGGTCTCACTCTGTCACCCAGGCTGGAGTGAAGTGACAGAATAGTGGCTCACTGAAGCCTCAACCTCCTGGGCTCAATGGATCCTCAGTCTCCTGAGTAGTGGGAACTACAGGCATGTGCCACCATGCCCAGCTAATTTTTTTGAGGAGGGGTAGATATGAGGTCTCACTAAGTTGCCCAGGTTTGTCTTGAACTTCTGGGCTCAAGTGATCCCTCCACCTTGACCTCCCAAAGTGCTGGAATTACAGGCGTGAGCCACCGCACCTGGCCTCAAGCTATTGTATTAGAAGAGGACTTTTCAAATTATTTTATTAACCTTCATCCCCTATCTATTAGAAACCAAGTGTATTAATCAAGTTTCTCCAGAGGAATGGAACCAATAGGATACACACACACACACACACACACACACACACACACACACACACACCTCACATATGTATACTTACATTAATATATTTCTCACATATATTCTACATACTATAGATATATATGAGAATTGGCTCATGTAATTATGGAGGCCCAGAAGTCCCACCATCTGCCATATGCAAGCTAGAGAACCAGGAAAGCTGGTGGTGTGATTCAGTCTGAGTCTGAAGGCCCCAGAACTGGGCACTTCAGTGTGAAGGGCAGAAGAAGATGAATGTCCCAGCTCAAGGAGAGAGAGGATTTGCCCTTCCTCCACCTTTTCACTCTATTCAGGCCCTCAACGGATTGGGTGATGCCACCCACATTAGTGAGGGTGGATCTTGTCTACTTATTCAAATGTTACTCTCTTCCAGAAACACCCTCACAGACACACACCCGGAAATAATGTTTCACCAGCTATCCAGGCATCCTCAACCCAGTCAAGTCAACACATAAAATTAACCATCACACTGAGCCTGGAGACTTAACTCAGAGCATTCTCTCATACTGCAGAGAAGACACCCTCCTGTTATAAGGAGAGGAGCAGGGCCATGGGTTTAACTCCTCTAAGTAGAAGGGCGATGGGTTACAGAGGAAGAGGAGGAGGGAAGTCATTCCTCTTCTGTCCCAGAATTGGGGGAAGGAAAAGGAGAGACAGACAGAGCCAGGGACAGAGACGAAGAAGCAACGCAGTCAGATGTGTGTCCTGACTGTGCATGAGGTGACTGGGGGAAACACCAAGGACAAAAGGGCATCGTTCTCCCCAACTCCCCATCTGAGACTCTGAGAAGAGACTTTACCGCAGGCTACCTCATCTCAACCCTAGTGGGGCCAGCATGGCCAGGTAGAGGGAGGTTATGAGGTTTAACTTGAGAGTCTTCTAAAGTTTCCACAGGGGGCCCTATGACCCAGAAGTCTATGAGAATCTGGCGGGGATCCATAGTGCAGGTGAGGCAGGTGAAGGACTACCAGGTAGGCCAGGACTAAACTGGAGTCACAGCCAGAAGTCAGAGGTGTCCTGCAGGGAGGACCCAGGGGAAACCGAGGGAGTCAGAGAGAGCTGATAAGGAATCGCTCCAGCCCCAGACATCAGCTGCATTGCCAGCCATGCTGAGAGCTACCAGGGGCATAAAAGTCAACAAGGTGGAGGACACTGTTCCCAAGACCTCAGGGTCAGGCAACCCCATTCCTCCGCGGATACAAAACACCTAGTCAACATCTTGGGGCTGAAAGGGTGAGAAATCTGACAGCTGAGCTTTTCTTTTCCTACACAGACTAACCTCTCTTAAGGGATTGCTAAGTGAGTAGATCAGATTAAGTTTAAACCAGGAAGGATTTAAAAGTTAATTGTTTTTACTCCTCACCCACAGGTGGGATTCAAGGAAGAAGGCTGGACTCGTTAACAAAGGGACTATATAATGTCTCCATACTTCTGAGATGCGATGTGAGTTAAATTCACAATCCTGCTAAATAAATTTAAAAATCAATGACAATACAGACGACTATTAAATGCTATGAAAAGAAGCATAGGGTACTATGGGACTTCTAGGCAGCAAAAGTAATTGCTGTATGGCATCAGACCCATGGAGCACCCAGCCTGGGATCTGGTCTTCCCAGTGAAACCTCTGCACATTTGCTGAGGATTGGAGCAAGGGAGCATGGTTGATCCCATTTTGTCAAGTGGAAAATTAAAAGCATTCCCATTCTCTCTTTAGCATCCATTGATTTATCCAACTCTTCTTGAATATTTTAATACATCTGTACTAACTCTTGGAGGCTTCAGGTATCTGTAGAGAATATTTCTGAAAGTTCTGTTTGTTAGCATCCAATTTTGGAGTGTTAGAGAGGTGAAACAGGCCCTGTCTGTGTATCAGAATATTCCTCTTCCAATGCATTTTTCCCTTAAGAAGAAAAATAAATATACTCTATTTATGTGCAAGGTTTAGATAGTATGTTACCGGAAAGGGGTCCCAATCCAGACCCAAGAGAGGGTTCTTGGATCTCGTGCAAGAAAGAATTTGAGGCAAATCCATAGAGTAAAGCAAAAGCAAGTTTATTAAGAAAGTAAAGGAATAAAGAATGGCTACTCCATAGCAGAGCAGCGCCATGGGCTGTTCAGCTGCTTGTACTTATTGTTAGTTCCTTCTTGATTATATGGTAAACAAGGGGTGGATTATTCATTAGTTTTCCAGGAAAGGGGTGAGTAATTCCTGGAACCAAGGGTTCCTCCCCTTTTTAGACCATATGGGATGACTTCCTAACATTGCCATGGCATTTGTAAACTGTCATGGTGCTGGTGAGAATGTCTTTTAGCATGCTAATGCATTCTAATTAGCGTATGATGAGCAGTAAAGGTGATCAGAGGTCATTCTCCTTGCGATCTTGGTTTTGGTGGGATTCAGCCGGCTTCTTTACTGCTAACTGCTGTTATCAGCAGGGTCTTTGTGACCTGTATCTTGTGCCAACCTCCAATCTCACCATGTGACTTAGAATACCCAGCCTCCTGTGAAGGCAGCCCAGTAGGTCTCAGCCTTATTTTACTCAATCCCTGTTCAAGATGGGGTTGCTCTGCTTCGAACGCCTCTCACAAGTATTGTTTCACTCAGAATGGCTCAAAACATGAATTTTATATCCTCAGCCGGGCGCGGTGGCTCACGCCTGTAATCCCAGCCCTTTGGGAGGCTGAGGCAGGCGGATCACGAGGTCAGGAGATCAAGACCATCCTGGCTAACAAGGTGAAACCCCATCTCTGCTAAAAATACAAAAATTAGCTGGGCATGGTGGCAGGCACCTGTAGTCCCAGCTACTCGGGAGGCTGAGGCAGGACAATGGCGTGAACCCGGGAGGCAGAGCTTGCAGTGAGCCGAGATTGCGCCACTGCACTACAGCTGGGCAACAGAGCAAGACTCCATCTCAAAAAAAAAAAATTTTATATCCTCACATCCAATTCTTCCCCTTGCTCCTGGATAATAACTCAGGCAAAATCCATGACTTTTCTGGTTTCTCTGTTGTAAAACAAGCCCTTAATCAGAAATTAAAATATCTAGTTCCATTTTATAACCAAATCTTTAAACACAGCTTATGATCAATATTCTCATCCTTCTCCAGCTTGGGCCTGCTGCCAGCAGAGAAGAAAAGGGAGGTGGTCACGGTCACGTTCTTTACTCTAATCATGCCCACTTCCATTCTTCCCCTCCCTGAATTGCTGATGGAGAGCAGGAGAGCTCTCACTTGACCAGTACTGCTATGACCCAGCCTCTGCCCTCTGGCCCTACCAGGTGTTTAAACCTGTCTTTTTTGCTGTGGGTTCTTTGGGGATCCTCCTCCCTTGAGAGAGAGAGAGACAAGAAACAAGTGGGCAAGCCAGCCTGGACCTAGGAAATAGACCTGTATCAAGCCCAAGTCAACAAGTGAGTATTTTCATGTTTCTGCACAGTTAGGACTTTCTGAGCAAGTTTTTCTGGAGTCCAGATTAAAGAACAAGCTTTAGAAGTTAAATTATGACTATGACTGAATAGGTAATGAGACAACTGTAGAGAGATTTGTCTCCCCAGAGGTCTGTGTTTACACTTCAGAGGAGCAGGGTGGGAGGGGGTAAAACCTGCAACCAAGAAAACATCCCAAGAGCTGTAAATGAGGAGAAGCTTCTCTTATCTTCCCCCAGACACTTATTTGCATTCCAAAAGGTAAGAAGCCCAGACCTTTCCCTTTGCTTCCCCAGCAAAATTGGTGTACACTAGAAAGCAGAGGTTTCTCTGCCTTTCTCAGAAGGGGAAAAGAGAAAGCTGACCCTCTCGTATATAAGCTCTCAGATTCATAATTTTGAGGGGGGCTTTCTCTCCTGCAGTACAGAACCTAGTACATATAAGAGGACATCTGGCTTTCATCATATCACTCTAGGGGGTTGGGGCAAGGGAACTGATAGTTATTGACATGAATTATAATAACTTTGTTCTCTGCTCCAGAAACTTTATATTTGCATTCAGAATAACATAAATAAATACAGGTATTAAAAACCTATCAGCCATTGAAAGAAGACTGTGCATGGTTCTGTCAGAGGTGTGTGAACCAGAGCAACTCCATCTTAAATAGGAACTGGGTAAAATGAGGCTGAAACCTACTGGGCTGCATTCCCAGATGGTTAAGGCATCTATGTCACAGGATGAGATAGGAGGTCAGCGAAGATACAGGTCATAAAGACCTTGCTGATAAAACAGGTTGCAGTAAAGAAGCCAGCCAAAACCCACCAAAACCAAGATGACCACGAGAGTGACCTCTGGTCGTCCTCACTGCTGCACTCCCACCAGTGTCATGACAGTTTACAAATGCCACAGCAACATCAAGAAGTTACCCTGTATTATTTAAAAAGGGGAGGCATGAATAATCCACCTTTTGTTTAGCATATAATCAAGAAATAACCAGAAAAATGGGCAACCAGCAGCCCTTGGGCCTGCTCTGCCTATGGAGTAGCCATTCTTTTATTCCTTTACTTTCTTAATAAACTCGGCCTCACTTTAATCTATGGACTCACCCTAAATTCTTTCTTGCATGAGATCCAAGAACCCTTTCTTGGGGTTTGGATCGGGACCCCTTTCCAGTAATAGTTCTTCACTGGAGCATATGTGATTCATATGCTAAAAAGGCTAATGTAATGCTGAAACTGCCCTTACAAAGATTATGACAGCAAGAGAAATTTAGCATGGCTGACTCTATCTTGCTTGTAGACTCATGGGCTGGCTGTACTCACTCACTCCTGGGCATAGGCCAGGCTAACCATGTGATGAATTTAGTTTACAGTTTAACTATGAAGCAAGGATGATAATAGTCCTTCTCTAAAACGGATTCCCTCCTTGTTGGGGGGCTGAAACTGCCTTTATAAGACTAATGAAAGGCCACAAGATTAGGATTTTGGGAAGGGCCTACATTCTCCTAAAATATAGACATAGTTTCTATAATCCCTTACTGTTCAGGAGTCATGTAGCCAGAGGTCAGAAGATTTGTCACTTCCCCATTTGCTCCTGTAGATAACATCACTATTATAGAACCTAAGATTGGTCTTTTGAGATGTTTCTCAGACTTTAGCATTCTGGAAACCAATTGACCCCACCCAGACCCATGAATTATTACTCAGCTGGTCTTGTGGCCCCCACTCAGAGGCAGAATCAGCACATGAGGACTGTTTCCACACCCTTATGACTTTATCCCCAACCCATCAGCAGCACCAATTCCCTAGGCCCCTGCCCCTGAAATTTTCCATAAAAATCCTAGCCTCTGAGTTCTCTGGAAGACTGATTTGAGTGATAACTCTAGTCCTTCACTCAGCTGCCTTGCATTACGTAAACTCTTTCTTTACTGCAATACCCTGGTCTCAGTGAATTGGTTTTGCCTGTGCAGTGGAAGAAGCAAGGATGAACCCATTGGGTGATTACAGTAATAGACTGTTTGATATACATTGAGTGTGCTGTGCAGGTATAGTAAGAGAAATAAGCATATCTCAATACTCAGCCATAATCTAACACAATCATTTCTGGGAATACATTTTAATAAAAAAACCGAGAAACTAGACTGTTTCTACTCCAGAGGGGTTAGCCAGATAAGGGATGGGCTTGGAGACCATGTCAAGTGAGCAAAAATGGAAGGATCTGGGTTATTTGTTCTGAAGAGTTATCACATGCATGAGACAAAAAATTCATTTTCTTTTGATTGCTTGGAACAAATTGCTCATACTTATGGAGAAACAGATTTTAGCTTCATATAAAGAAGACTTTTTCCAGCAAAGACGTTCAGCAATGCAATGAGCTGCTTTAACAAGTAGAGCACTCTCTTTTGTCATTGGACTTGTTTAGGTGGCAGCTGGGATGGCCATCTGTTGGAGAGGTTGCAGAGGAAGTCTGTGTTCTATGTTGGAGGTTGGTCTAATTGAACTTTTAGGACTCTGATAACTCTATGTCTCCACAAAGTTTAATTGATCTTTGTCTGAATATTTCCATATTTGGTCATTGTCCTTCGGAGCTCCCTTTCTTGGCAGCCTGCTATATTCCCAGAATTGTGTTAACTTCCTGAGTTCAAGTCAAGGCTCTATGATTTACTTCGTGATTTCTGGTAAATTACTTAATCCCACCTGTAACATTGTGAAACCAATACTTCCTACTTTTAGGCCTCTTATGGAGATTAAATGAAATGGTACTTGTAAAACATGAATTGTGTAAAGCAGCACTCACTAGAACCCAGTAATACACAATGGCTATGATTAGTTTATTAGTCTCTTAGCTTCTTGTCTGTCTCCATCCTTCTTTCACTTGGCTACCTACTCACCCTTCACATCTCACTTAGTTTTCATTTATATGCCTCTTATTTCCAGTGAGTTTGAGTCTCTTCTTATGGTAAAGAGCCATTTGGCAAATTATATTTTCATACTTGTGCCTACTGTTAAATTATTTTTCTAATTTATTCTACTATTTGTTAGTCATTTTACTGTCAATTTATAGGATCTCTTTCTATATTAGGTTTACGATATTAGTTGCAAATATTTTCCTGGCTTATTCTTTGTCTTTTGATCATAGACCTTTTGACGTGAAGCAGGCTTGTTGTTCTAATATTTTTATTGATTTTATTTTTTTACATAGGGTCGCTCTCTATTGCCCAGGCTGAAGTGCAGTGGCACAATCCTGGCTCACTGTAGCCTCAACCTCCCCAGGCTCAGGTGATCCTCCCACCTCAGCCTCCCAAGCAGCTGCACACAGCTTTTAGGTTGGTGCAAAAGTAACTGCGGTTTTTGCCATTAAAATAGCAAAACCGCAATTACTTTTGCACTAGCCTAATAATTTTTTTATTTTATGTAGGGATGGAATCTCTCTATGTTGCCCAGGCTTGTCTCGATCTCCTGGGCTCAAGCAATCTACCTGTCTTGGCTTCCCAAAATGCCTAAGCCACTGTGCCCAGCCTGTTGTTTTTAATATAGTAGTGTTCATCAAGTCTTTGATTCATACAAAGGTCGTGAACCTCTACCTCTATTTCTTACTGACACCAAAAAGTGATTAAAAGGTATAATTCCTTGCGCTATCATTATGAAATGAAAATGTCTGCTGTTGTTGTAGACACACAAACTGCTACATCATCAAGATGCTTCAGCGCTGTGCTTTTAAAAGGGACCCTTTCTTGATATAATTTTCCAGTGTCTCTGCTACTAAAGAATAGCTTCTCATAACATCTGATCATTTACACAGCTTGAGTGTCTTTTGTAGCCAAGGTACTACAGAGGCTCCACTACAAGGCTCCAGACAGGCTGGAACTATTGTAACCATTTTCTTTACCTGCCAAGTAATCAGGTTGCCAGTCAAACCGTACACCTATGGAATAGGGAAATTGAGTCCCTGCTGCTTAAATAAAAGGCCCTGAATTAGCTGGCAGTAACACTGACATTTTAGATTCATCTCTGGCCTAGTCACTACAGGGAAGCAACTGTGTTATACTGGAGAGAATACTGGACTTTGTGTCAGAAGGCTTGATTCATTTACTTCAGTGCAGTGCGATTCAATTCAATTCACATTTCCTGATCTTCTATTAAGGCCAGATAGTCTGCTTCGGTTATGGGTACAAAGAAGCTGTTTTGTCCCTTAAAGAGCTCACAGTCTAATGGGAGAAACAGGATCATCAGTGACTACAGTAAACAACATCCAAATACACAGACTGTCTTAAAAATACAGAGAAGAAACCTAAGAAAAAGGAACTTGATTTCTCTCTGTTAATTTCTGTTACATATTATGTGCACACACCCAACTATATCCCAGACATTGCTGTTATATCACCTTCAGCACCTTATATCACAAACCAAACTTACTATTGGTCCCCTGTCCCTTTCCAGCCCCTCTGCCACACCAACAAGATAGCTTCCTGATTATGCCATCTCAGGGTCTTCAGTCTCTGAAACTCTAAACCTTGATGTTTATCTGGATTCCTTCCCCTCCACTCACAGAGGCCCTTCCCTCACTAAGCCCTGCCCATTCTTCCTTTGTAATATTTTGCACGTTTCCTTCAGACCTTTATCATGTCATTAAAAAAATCTTCTGACTCTTGTCCTAGATAACATTGTTTTCTGCACCAGTCACTATTCACCATTCCATGCTTCTACTACCCAGATATATTTCCCGCAAACTAATTTCTTCATGTCATTTTCCAGCTTTAAAAGGTCAATAATTCTCCATTACATATTGGATAAAATTCAAGCTCTGAAATCTAATATTTGGTGGGTCCTTTAGTCATCTGACTTCACTTTTTATTTTCAGTCTTGTCATTATCTATGCCATTCTGCTTGTCCCTGGCCCCATCAGATGGCTGTATTTATTATTGAGAAAAACATTCTTCCCTATCATTTTTTCCCATCCTGTTATCTCCTCTCCTCCCTTTCTTCCATCCCCACATCTCTTGCTTCCTCTTCTTTATGCATCCAAGTTCTAGTCATTTCAAGGTCCAACTCCAAGTCTTATCTACTCCATAAAACTGAGAAGTAGCTCAGTTTTATGCTGAGGTCTTCATATCAGACCTTCCTCTGAAGGTCTTCAGAGCGTCTTTTTCTTTTCTGAATTCCTAAAATATTTATTCTGTGGCCTTAACGGGTATTTAAGCATATATGTATCAGATTGCCAGGGCGGCTTAACCAACAGAAATGTATTGTGAAACAATACATTTCTGGAGGCTTGCTTTCTGAGATCAATGTGTTATCAGGGTTGATTCTTTCTGAGGGCTGTGAGGGAGAATCTGTTCCATGCCTTTCTCCTGGCTTCTGGTGGTTTGCTGGCAATTTTGGCATTCCTAGTAGATGACATTCTCCCTGTGTTTGCATGATCTTCCCTCTATCTCTTTACATGGTGGTGTTCTTTTTATAAGGATACCGGTCATATTGGATTAGGGGCCCACTCTACTCCAGTATGACCTCATCTTAACAAATTAAAGCTGCAATGACCTTATTTCCAAATGAGGTGATATTCTGAGGTATTTAGAGATAAACTTTAAAGTCCCAGGGTGGGGTGCAGTGGCTTGATCACAGCTCACTGAAGCCTCAACCTCCTGGGCTCAAGCTCTCCTCCTGCCCAAGCCTCCTGAGTAGCTGGGACTACAGGCATGTGCCACCACACCTGGCTAATTCTTTTTTATTTTGTAGAGATAGGTTCCTATTTTATTGCCCAGGCTGGTCTCGAACTCTTGGGCTTAAGCAGTCCTCCCACCTCAGCCTCCCAAACTGCTGGGATTTCAGGCATGAACCACTGTGCCCAGCCCATTTGTGATCATTGTTAACAGCAGCTTGAGGAAACTAATACAAGGAGGAAAAGTAGGGAAGGGACCAGATACACTGATGGAATCAGCATAAGTCAGGTTGGAATCAGCTGGGCCATGCACTGATGGAATCAGCTCTGGCCCAGGAAATTCCTGCCTTTCACACCCCACACCCTGAGCAAGCAAATGCCAAGGAGCTGCTGGAAGACAGGTTAGTCTGGGGAGACAAGTTAGCCTACGCATTTCTATCACAGTGTCTAGGAGCGTCATCATCTATCTTTCTTATTGTTCCCTAGAGAAGACCACATTGATAGCAGCCAGAAAAGAGCTTGTTGATGTCCGGCATGAATAATGCCTGTCTGTGCCCAGAGAGTTTGCTCAGCCTGCCATGGATCCTTCCTGCTGGGGGCACCTGCAGAAGTCGTGAAGGTGGGGAAGGAAAGCATCCACCCATGCCTAAGGTGAAACTGCATGGAACCAGCTCACGATTCTCTACAGCAGAAGACGGTGGGAAACACTCCACCGGAGACAATCCTGCTGCTTTTAGCCCCACTTCATTTCCACTTCCAGAGCTACCTGGTGCCACCTGTGCCTTTTGAGGTTTCTACAGAGTCGTTAGGTTGCTCCTGAGCTTTTCCCACTGCTGGATGAGATTCAAAATTTTCTGAGCTAAGTCAGTTTCCAGCTGTCCTTCTGCTATGCAGTCCTCAAATTGTATTGATATTGTCTTCTCTACAATCTCTTTGACCTGATGGTTTTTAAAAAGCACCTTAAAAATTCCTTTATTGGCCGGGTGTGGTGTCTCATGCCTGTAATCCCAGCACTTTGGGAGGCTGAGGCAGGTGACTCACTGGAGCCCAGGAGTTGGAGACTAGCTTGGGCAACATGGTGAAACCCCATCTCTACAAAAAATACAAAAATTAGCCAGTCATGGTGGCACACTCCTGTGGTCCCAGCTACTCGGGAGGCTGAGGCAGGAGAATCACTTGAGCCCAGGAGCAGGCAGGTTGCAGAGATTGTGCCACTGCACTGCAGCCTGAGCGACAGAGCAAGACTCTGTCAAATAAATAAATAAGCCCTTTATTGTAGTTTTAGGGGAGTGAAGGAGGGAGAGAGCTGAAATAACTGTGTATGTTTAACCTGCTCTCCTTAGTTAGATGGTGCAAACTTTTATCGGAAGATTTGTGCCTTGATTCACTTCCGGAAAATTCTTAGCTGTTATCTCTTCAAGCCTGACTTCTCAGCTATATTTGTTTTTCTGTTGCTACAAAAACAAATCACCCCAACCTTAGCAGTTTAGAACAACCCACAGGTATTATATCATAGTTCTGCAGGTCAGAACTCTCTAGGTGGGCTCTGCTCCCTAAATCAAAGTGCCTGGGCTCTTATCTAGAGATAAGAGAATCTGGGGTAGGGCCTGCTCATTCAGATTGGTGTAAGGAATTCATTTCCTACAGCTGTAGGGCTAAGGTTCAGTTAACAGTTGCTGGCTGTGAACAGGCTCTCTCTCAGCCCCTCTAGGATGTTTGCATTCCCCTCAGACTGCCCCTTCCATTTTTGAGCCAGTAAGCCAGCTTGTTATGTCCTTTTTTTTCATCAAGTCCTTCTTATACTTCACTGCTTTTGTTTGTTTTGTTTTGTTTTGTTTTGAAGTGAACCATCTTTCTACTCTCTATCTCCACGAGTTCAATGGTTTTAAGTTTTAGCTCCCACAAATAAGTGAGAACATACAAAGTTTGTCTTTCTCTGCCTGGCTTATCTTAACACAGTGGCCTCCAGTTCCATCCATGTTGTTGCAAATGACAGAATCTCATTCTTTTTTATGGCTGAATAGTATTCCATTGTGTATATGTACCACATTTTCTTTATCCATTCATCTGCTGATGAACATTTAGGTTACTTTCAAATCTTGGCTACTATGAATAGTGCTGCAATAAGCATAGGAGTGCAGATATCTCTTTGATATACTGATTTCCTTTCTTTTAGGAATATACCTGGCAGTGGGGTTGCTAGATCATATGGTAGCTCTATTTTTAGTTTTTGGAGGCATCTCCAAACTTCTCCACAGTGGTTGTACTGATTTACATTCCCAAATATAGTGTACGAGGGTCCCTTTTCTCCATATCCTCTCCAGCATTTATTATTGTCTCACTTTTGGATAGAAACCATTTTAACTGGAGTGAGATGATATCTCATTGTAGCTTTGATTTGCATTTCTCTGATGATCAATTTCATATACCTGTCTGCCATTTGTATGTCATCTTTTGAGAAGTGTCTATTCAGATCTTTTGCTCATTTTTTAAATTGGATTATTATATTTTTCCTTTAGAGTTGTTTGAGCTCCTTATAGTTTCTGTTATTAATCCCTTGTCAGATGGTAGTTTGCAAATATTTTCTCCCATTCTGCAGGTTGCCTCTTTGTTGATGGTTTCTTTTGCTGTGCAGAAGCTTTTTAACTTGATGTGAACCTATTTTATATTTTTGCTTTGGTTGCCTGTGTTTTTGGAGTATTACTCAAGAAATCTTTGCCTAGTCCAATGTCCTGGAGAGTTTCCCCAATGTTTTCTTGTAGTAGTTTCATAGTTCTAGGAGTTAGATATGTCTTTAATCCATTTTGATTTGATTTTTGTATATGAGGAGAGATAGTGGTCTAGTTTCATTCTGCATATGGATATCCAGTTTTCCCAGCACCATTTACTGAAGAGACTGTCCTTTCCCCAATGCATGTTATTGGCACCTTTGTCAAAAATGAGTTCACTCTGGATGTATGGATTTGTTTCTGCATTCTCTGTTCTGTTCCATTGGTCTATTTTTATGCCAGTACTATGCCATTTTGGTTACTATACCTCTGTAGTATTATCTGAAATCAAGTAATGTGATTCCTCCAGTTTTGTTCTTTTTGCTCAGGATAGCTTTGGCTACTCTGGGTCTTTTGTGGTTCCATATCAATTTTAGGATTTTTAAAAATTTCTGTGCAGAATGTTATTGATATTTTGACAGAGATTGCATTGAATCTGTGTTGTGGGAATTCAGGGACCCCGAACGGAGGGACTGGCTGAAGCCATGGTAGAAGAACATAAATTGTGAAGATTTCATGGGCATTTATTAGTTCCCCAAATTAATACTTTTACAATTTCTTATGCCTGTCTTTACTGCAATCTCTGAACATAAATTGTGAAGATTTCATGGACATTTATCACTCCCCAATCAATACTCTTGTGATTTCCTATGCCTGTCTTTACTTTAATCTCTTAATCCTGTCATCTTCATAAGCTGAGGATGTATGTTGCCTCAGGACCCTGTGATGATTGGGTTAACTGCACAAATTGTTTAAACAATATGAAATCTGGGCACCTTGAAAAAAGAACAGGATAACAGCAATGTTCAGGGAACAAGGGAGACAACCATTAGGTCTGGCTGCCTGAAAGCTGGGCAGAACAAAGCCATATTTCTCTTTTTTCAAAAGCAAATAGGAGAAATATCACTGAATTCATTTTCTCAGCAAGAAATAGCCCTGAGAAAGAGAATGCATTCCTAGGAGGAGGTCTCTGAAATGGCTGCTCTGGGAATGTCTGTCTTTTACAGTTGTAGATAAGGGAAGAAATAAGCCCCGGTCTCGCGTAGCGCTCCCAGGCTTATTAGGATGAGGAAATTCCCACCTAATAAATTTTGATCAGACCGGTTGTCTGCTCTCAAACCCTGTCTCCTGATAAGATGTTATCAATGACAATGCATGCCCGAAACTTCATTAGCAATTTTAATTTCACCCCAGTCCTGTGATCTCACCCTGCCTCCATTTGCCTTGTAATATTTTATTACCTTGTGAAGCATGAGATCTCTGTGACCCACACCCTATTTGTACACTCCCTCCCCTTTGGAAATCACTAATAAAAACTTGCTGGTTTTGCAGCTTGGGGGGCATCATGGAAACTGCCGACATGTGATGTCTCCCCTGGACACCCAGCTTTAAAATTTCTCTCTTTTGTACTCTTTCCCTTTATTTCTCAGACTGGCCATCACTTAGGGAAAATAGAAAAGGACCCACGTTGAATATCAGGGGCTGAATTTTAGATTACTTTAAGTATTATGGACATTTTAACAATATTTATTCTTCCAATTCATGAACATGGAATATCCTTCCATTTTTGTGTGTCCTCTTCAATTTCTTTCATCACATGTTTTATAGTTTTGAATTGTAGCAATCTTTCACTTCTTTAATTAAGGTAATTCCTAGGTATCTAATTTTATTTGTAGCTATTGTAAGTGGGATAACTTTTAAAATTCTTTTTTAGATTGTTCACTGTTGGCATGTGGAAATGCTACTGATTTTCATAAGTTGATTTTGTATCACACAGCTTTACTGAATTTATCAGTTCTAATACTTTTTTGGTGGAGTCTTTAGGTTTTTCCAAATATAAGATCATATCATCTGCAAACAAGGATAATTTGACCTCTTCATTTCCGATTTGAATGCTCTTTATTTTGTTCTCTTCTCTGAAATTCTCTAGCTAAGACTTCCAGCACTATGTTGAACAACAGTGGTGAAAGAGGGCATCCTTGTCATGTTCTAGATCTTACAGGAAAGGTTTTTTCTCTCTTTTAGTATGATACAAGCTGTGGCTTTTATTATGTAAAGGTAGTTCCTTCTATACCCAGTTTTTTGAGATTCTTTTTTGAGAAAGGGTCTCACTTTGTTGCCCAGGCTGGAATGCAGTGGTGTGATCTCTTCACTGAAGCCTTGACCTCCTGACCTGAAGCAATCCTCTCATCTCGGCTTCCCAAGTAGCTGGGACTACAGGTGTGTACCATCACACCTGGCTAACTTTTGTATTTTTTTGTAGAGATGGGATTTCACCTTGTTGTGCAGGCTGGTCTCCAACTCTTGGGCTCAAGCAATCTGCCCACCTCAGCCTACCAAAGTGCTGGGATTACAGGTGTGAGCCACTGTGCCTGGCCCTTTGAGGGTTTCCATGAAGGGATATTGAATTTTATCAAGTGCTTTTTCAGCATCAACTGAAATAATCATATAGTTTTTGTCCTTCATTCTGTTAATGTGATGTATCACATTGATTTGCATATGTTGAACCATCCTTGCATCCCTGGGGTAAATCCCATTTGGTCGTAATGATCTTTTAAATGTGTTGTTGAATTCAGTTTGCTAGTAAGTCAGTTGAACCTCTTTTCTTTTTAAATTACCCAGTCTCAGGTATTTCTTTATAGCAATGTGAGAACTGCCTAAAACATCCAGGGACCCTGACCTCAGGCCTTGAAGTTCAGCAGTGACCTTGACTCTGGTCTTCCATGTCACTTGGAACAAAGCTCACTAATGGCTTTCATCCTACTCACCTTTTTGCATTTCTTTTTTGGGTTTTATTTTTACATTTTCTAATTGGTATGTGCTTGGGGCAAAGGGAAGCTAAAGAGTAATCTTGACTGGATGGCCGTTGCACAGCCATTTTGCTATGATATTAATCTATGACTACCTCTTTTCAAAAAAGATATCTGTTGTTCACAAAAAAGTGTTAAATTGTACATGTGCAAGATGTACAAAAGTCATCTATAGAACTCAACTCATTGCCTCCTAGAAATTCCATAAAACAGCTCATTAAGGCATGAGAAAAACAGAGGAGGCATAAAAAGTGGAAACATTAATATATGAATGGGTACAACCAATAGAGCAGTTACATGCTATACAAAGAGTAAGCACATTTTTAGAGTAGAAGTGTTACCAGATTGGAAGTTGGATTTCCAGGTTCTTGGTGTTGCAAACAAAGAATTGGAGGAGACACACAAATAATGACCCCACAAGATGTATTAAGCAAAGAATGTTCCAGAGAGAAGAATGGGCTGATCCGCGAGTGGTATCAGCCCTGGGTTAACATAGCCTTTGTTCTTTTATACCACCTTACTACTCTTACTTAACTTTTAGGGAGGAGGTTGCCTATAATTGACATATCAGTTTTCTTGTTGGTTTTCTCTCTCAGTGCGCCTGCATGTGCTTGCCATTCCATAATTTTAAGTGTATGTATGATATGCATTCCATATGTATGGGCTTTAAGTAACTTATTATAATAAAAGGTTATACCAGATTTGTTTACTGCAGAAAGCATTGGTTCATTGCTTCAGCTTCCTTATCAGATGGTGCCTTATGCTTGTTTTGGTGAGAAAAGGCTGCAGGTTGATTTTCTGACTTCCTTCCCTATTCTCCTGCCTCAATTCCCTCTGAGAGATGTGATCCCCATAAATCATAATAGGTTGCTGAGGGTTGAAGTTCTTTCTTCTATACTTGCTTCCAGCTGAGTGGGACTGCTGGCCCCACCTAACAGGGGACCACAGAACTCTTACCCTGCTCTATCCAGGGGGAAATTAAGAAGTCTGGACTTATTTCTTGTAGGATGATGTCTGGGGCTTCAGGCAACATAGCCATTTGTAGCTTGATAGATTCTAAACATGAAGAAATAAATCTGGTTAGCAAATTTACAGTGTAAGGGCCAAAAATGAACAACCGAAGAATTACAGTTAAGGGTCCTGTAAAATGGGCTATCCAACTTTTTGCAGTTGTTTAAACAGAATTTAGGGTGTTTTGTGCAGTTCATAAATTGGTTATATTAGTTGCCTCAGTCAGATGTCCCACTACCTTGCCTGAGGAGTTAATATAGAAACAACATTCTTCTTTTCGAAAAATGCATAATCCCCTCCGATTAGCTTCGAGGAGACCTAGCCCCCTCCTGTTTTGTAAGACAATGCCTGCCTGGGAATCTATATGTCATTGTTCTTGGATAGCTGCTGTAATTTCTGCCAAAGCCTGTGTTTGTTGTGAAGACAAGTGAAGAGAAATGGACCCAAGTGTGGTTCCTAAAAGTCCTGTTATTGCAGTTGCTAAAGGATGTAATACTGCTGGAACTGCCCTTTTTACAAATGCATGGCTGTGTCTTATATGGAATGGGAATTTTGTACTAGCATTTGCATAAGACAGTCTTGGAAGTAAAGCAGTGATGCCGCAAGTCCCTTTCCATTGGCTCAGAAGACTCATGTACCCTGAATTTCCACATATGAAATAAACTCTTGCCCAGGGTCCAAAGATACTTCATATCCCCATGATGCTAGTTCCAAAGGTGTGTCTGAGCCACTAGAGGAAGTTCCAGTGAGTTGTTCCCATAAAAGTGTTCCAGCCACAGCAAGTTATGCATTAAGCCTAGAGTGGAAAGATAAGCCGAGGTGGAATTTTAAGAATGATCTTTGGACCCCCCAAGCCAAAGCTTGAGCTAGAGGCAAAGATGAATTGTTGATTAACACTGTGGTCCAACCAGTGGAAATATTGGAAGAATTGGTATTACTTGTATATTGAGGTCGCCTTGGATCAGGATACTTAAGGAGGAGGAATTGTTTTTATTTTCCTAGTTTGCAATATGAATTGATTTTTGTTTCTGAGGAATTATAATGTTTCTCTTGATTTGTCCAACTGAGGACAACCTCATATAAACAATTGTTTAGGGATCCCAGAAAGGTCCCATTCGTTTGGTGGGAAGTGAAACAAATTGGGAATTGGCTGTCTGAGGTTAGGTTGTGAAAAACCCTTACAGGATTTGGGGCATTTGTAAAATTTAAATTTGGGTTGTTTCTTATGATCTGAGATAAGACTGTTAGGAATAAGCTTTCCACAGCTGGACTGGGATATGTAACTTCTGACTGGGTGGCAACAGTGACTCTGGCATTGACCTTGACTATATCTTCTAATGGTAATGGTAAAACTTCAGCTGATAGTGATCCTGAGGTACAAATGTAACAAGAAGTTAAGTTAGCGTGGCTAACTGTTGAATCTGTTTTAACACTTGGTATTGAAGCTGGACCCCCAATATTGGTGAAAATAGGATTATGGACATAAAAAGTGGTTCCATTGTGGGGGAAGCAAGCAGTTAAATGATAAATATATATAAATAACTAGGATTACTTACTCCACGGTAACTATGCAACAAAGACACCAGCAAAGTCAGTAGGGATTTACCTATCTTTTGGATGCCTTTTAAACAGGTACTTCAGATCCTCCACAGGTTCACAGGGTAGCGACTGATGGGAGCTTTGGGTTCCAGGTCTGGAGCTTTAGGTATTGCAGGCTTGACCCTGGAAAGATGTATCCAACTATTTAATCCTAACACGTTAACTGCAGAGGGTGGTTATTATAACTTAAAAAGGTCCCTTCCATTGGGTTGTAGCTGCTGAGCAGGTGACCCCTCTTTCCATGTTTTAATAAGTACTCTATCTCCTGACCTAATCTTGGGTTGCTGGTTAGTTCCTCGTATGGAAAGCCTTTCATTCCAGAACCTTTGTAATGCTTGTTGAAATTTTCTCAGATTAATTAGGTATTTTATTAGCCCAGATGTTTCTGGATTAGTTATTCGATCATTAGTTAAGAAGGGTCTCCAGCACAGCATTTCCTATGGGCTCATATTTACTTTTGCCCTTGAGGAGTTACAGAATCTCAAAAGGGGTACGGGTAGTAAACTGACCAAAGTTTCTGATGTTTCCTGGCATAGTTTAGCTAGTGCCCATTTTAGAGTTTGATTAGCTCTTTCTACTTTCCTGGAGGATTAAGGTCTCCATGCTGAACGTAAATAGTATTTAATTCTGAGCACCTTAGCCACCCCTTGAGTTATCTGGGAGACAAAGGATGGGCCGTTATCACTCTGGAGGCTTTGGGATAACTCAAACTGTGGAATTATTTATTTTAAGAGGACTTTTACACCTTCGTTAGCCTTTTCTGCTCTAGTAGGGTAAGCTTCAACTTAGCCTGTAAAGGTATCTATCAGTATTAGCAAAAAACTTGTATCATCTGCAAGCTGGCTCATGGGTAAAGTCCAAATGCCAGTCTTCCCCAGGGTAAGTTCCCCTTCTTTGGACTGGTTCCATTAGTGGAGGGATCTTGTTTCCTGGATTGTTAAATGCACACAGCAAGCAGCCTTGACAGACCTGCTTAGCTACTGAGGCTAAGTTAGACCCAATAAAGACCCTGTTTGCTATGGCCAGAGTGGCATCTCTCCCCATCTGGAAACAGTTGTGCAGGGTTTCTAATAACCTTCCATTGGGCTGCTTGAGGGATATATACTTTTGATCCCATATACTACCAAGATCCTTGTTTCTGTCCCCCTTGCTCCCTTATAATCCGTTCCTCCTGTGATGTGTATTCAGGTTCTACTGGGGAATCATAGAAGGGAAGCAGTGCTAAGATTTTTTGAGATTGCGCCTTGAAGTCCACTGCTTTTGCTTACCTGTCCGTCTTTTTGTTCCCTTGTGCTATAGGAGCTAAGGCCTTTGATACCCTCTACAATGGATTATAGCAATGGCTTTTGGCAAATGTATTGCCTCCAACAACTAGAGAATTTCAGGCCCATGCTCTACAGGCGAGTGGTTCCTAGTTAGTAGTCCTCTTTCTTTCCAAATTGCAGCATTAGCCTTAACCACAAGAAATACATATTTGGAGTCTGTACAGATATTAAGCTTTTTTCCTTTCCCCAATATCAGGACTCAGATAAGAGCAATTATTTCAGCTTTTTGTGCTGACATGCCTTGGGGATAGCAGTTGGACTTCAGTGATAGTGTTGTCATTTACTATTGTATATCCAGCCTGGCATTTCCCATTTGACGCAAAGCTGCTGCCATCTGTGAACCAGTCATTCTCTGAGTCTGGGAGTGGCCAATCTTTTAAATCAGGTCAGCTTACATATGTATGTGTGATGACCTGCTCACATGAATGACCAATTATTGGGCCTGTGGGCAGCAATAGAGCTGGATTCAGGGTATTATGCGTTTTAAGAATTACCTCTGGATTGTCTAGAAGTATAACCTGGTACTTGGTTAACCTTTTCCTCATCATCCAAATATACCTTTTTATTTCCAAGACTGATTTCACCTGATGTGGTGTTAAAATTTCCAGTGGTTGACCTAGGGTGATTTTAGTGTCTTATTCCACTAAAATAGCAGTAGCTGTTTTTGCTTACAGGCAGCCTGGCCACCCCAAGTTCACACGTCCAATTTCTTGGAAAAATAAGCAGTTGGTCTGGGTTCTGATCCCAATTTTTGGGTTAGCACCCCCACAGCTGTGCCCTTCTTTTCTGCTACATGCAAGGAAAGGGGCTTAGTGAGGTCTGGGATGCCAAGAATGGGGGCTTGGCCAAATGCCTGTTTTAACTTGACAAAGGCTTTCCTCACTTCTGGAGTCCATTCTACTAACTCATTTTATGGCCCCCTTGTTGCTTCATAAAGGGGCTTTGCTATGAGCCCAAAATTTGGTATCCATATCCTGCAGAACCCCGCCATTCCTGAAAAGGAACAGAGCTGTTGTTTGGTATAAGGGGGTCCAGACTGCATATGACTTATACCTCTTCTGGGGATATCTGCTGGGCCCAAGGGTTTAGAATATAGCCCATATATTGGACTTATTGGAGGGTGATTTGAAATTTTTCTTTGACATTTTATATCCCCTGTCTTCCAGGAAATTCAAAACTTTTACAGTATTTTAGTCAGATGCTTCCTGGGTTGGGCTACACACAAGAAGGTCATCTACATATTGAAGTATGCTTCCATTTTCCAATAATAATGGAAAACCCTATAAAAATCCCTTTATAGGGTTTGAGCAAAGAAATGGGTGCTATCCCAAAAGCCCTGAGGGAGCACTGTCCAAGTGTATTGTTTTTCTTTGGTATCTGGATTTTGCCTTTCAAAGGCAAAAAGGTGTTGAGACTCTGGGGCCAGAGGAATGGAAAAGAAGGCATCTTTCAGTTTTAGGACCAAGAACCATTTTGCATCCTGTGGCACCTGAGCCAAGACAGTGTATGGATCTGCCACCAATGGATGGATGGGGATAACAGCTTCATTGATTATTCTGAGATCCTATACTAGCTGATATCCCCTGAAGTTTTTAAGATGGATAAAATGGGAGTATTGCAAGGTGAATTGCAAGGCTTTAAAAGTTCATGAGTTAGCAATTCCTGAATTATGGGCCTCCAGCTTGATTGGATATGACTTTCAGTTTGGAAAATAGCTGGAGTCTTTTAAAGCTGTATTTTGACTGGCTTTGCCATTTTGGCTTTCCCTGGTTTCCCGGTATACCAAGCTAGTAGGTTAACCTGTTTGTTAATGGGGTCTGGGACACTGTTTATTTCCCCAACTGTCATCAATCCTGCTGGGCAGTGTTTATATTGTAGTAATTCCCCTATTTTAACCATGACATCTGCCCCTAACAAGCGGACTGGGCAGCTTGGTATTACTAGAAACTCCTATTGGAAAATTTGCTTCTCAAATTGACAAGTTAAAGGAGGATCAAAGGATCTCATTTTTGGCTTCCCCTCCATTCCCATAACATTCATGGACTGGGAGGGAAGTTTTCCTGCACAAGCAATAAGGACAGAGTAATTTGCCGCTGTATCAAAAAGAAACTAAATTTGGGTGCCCATGATGTCCAGAGTTACCTGGGGCTCCTCAATAGTAATGATGATTTTCCTGGACAGGGACAGTGAGGAAGACTCCAGGCCACTTCAGTCTTCATCTAACTCCTCCTTTTACACTGCCAGAGTTTTGACTGACCAAGCCCCTCGGTGGGAGCAGGGGCAGTCAACTGGCCAGTGCCAACGGTCATGACTGGTGCCTTCACATTGATGGCAAGGGCCCAGTGCAGGCTTAGTATGGTCCTTTGCCCAATGCCTATCTTTTTTTGCACTTGAAGCAAGAGTCTTTGCTAGCGTTATCTTTGTAGCCCTTTGTGTTTCCCTTGGATGCTCTTTGGGCATTCAAGGCATCACTAATGATGGCTGCCATAATTCTGGCTTGCTGGGTTTTTTTTTACTCTGTTCCCCTTTTCCTTCCTCCAGTTCATGATTGTTGTACACCATAAAGATGGTGTCAAGGAACTGGTTTTGTCTATGGCCCCCTTTGCAGCTTCTGGAGCTTATGTCTAATGTCTGGGGTAGAGTGACTAATGAAATGTTGTGCCATTAATATCTTGCCTTCAGGAGAAGCAGGATCTAAGTTTGTATATATTTTAAAGGCTTCTTCTAGTCTACTGTAAAACATGGTTGGATTCTCTTCTTTCCCCTGAGTAATCTCCTTAAACTTATCATAGTTTACTCCCTTTGTTACACCTTTTTTCATTCCCCTCAGGGGTGCCTCAAGAAATTTAGTTTGATTATTCATTCTCATGGGGGTATTATATTTCCAAATGGGTTCAGTAGTAGGGACTGTATCTGCTCCCGATCTGTTGCCCTGCAGGCTACATGCAAAATGTTCATCAGTGTCCTGGCGAGCAGCCTCAAATATTCATTCCTTTTCCAGAGGTGTGCAACAGGTGGCCAAAATGAATTGCATGTCTCTCCAAGAAAGGTTGAAAGCCAAAGTCAAAGTCTGGAACCCAACAGCAAATTTCTGAGTAACTGCCCAGTTTTTCCTTACATTGTTGGATATCAGTTATTAAGAAGGAGACCTGTACCCTGATGGGACCCTCAGTTCCTGCCACCTCTCTGAGAGGTAGCAGGACAGGTGGTGTCATTGAATATGGTGTTCCTAAGCTAGTATGGGGAGGGATCGCTAGGACCCGTGACTCTTGTCCTTCTTTTGAAGCTTCAAGTGCACTTGGACCTGGATTATAGGAAGGTGGCTATTGTTCACCCTGACACATATGTACCCCTTGCAAGAGGGGGTTATCTACAGTATTCGGCTCAGTTTTAGGAGTTTCTTTCTGTGGAGAAGTGCTGGGAGCTTTGAAAATGGTAGGCTTTTGGTATAGGGCCATGAAGGCTTGCACATATGGTATTTCTGACCATTTGCCTTGTCTCTTACAAAATAGTTCTAATTGGAGGATGGTGTCATAATTGAGACTTCCATTGACTGGCCATTGCTCTTGACTCCCTAGCTGAAATTGAGGCCAAAAGGTGTTACAATAAAATATTAGGCATTTCTTTCACAGGTTTTCAGGGTCAAATTGATTCCAATGATTGAAGATGCAGCCAAGAGGGGAGTCAGATAGGACTGAAGGAATGTTTCCCAACACTAATCTGTGGAAAAGAAGAAGGGAGTTGTCAGGCCTCTGAGCCCAAGCCAAGCCATTGAATCCCCTGTGACTTGCACATATATGCCCAGATGGCCCAAAGTAACTGAAGAATCACAAAAGAAGTGAAAATACCCTGCCCCGCCTTAACTGATGACATTCCACCACAAAAGAAGTGAAAATGGCCAGTCCTTGTCTTAAGTGATGACATTACCTTGTGAAAGTCCTTTTCCTGGCTCATCCTGGCTCAAAAAGCTCCCCCACTGAGCACCTTGCGACCCCCACTCCTGCCCACCACAGAATAACCCCTTTGACTGTAATTTTCCTTTACCTACCCAAATCCTATAAAACTGCCCCACCCCTATCTCCTTTCGCTGACTCTCTTTTCAGACTCAGCCTGCCTGCACCCAGGTGAAATAAACAGCCTTATTGCTCACACAAAACCTGTTTGGTGGTCTCTTCACATGGACGCGCATGAAAGGAGTCTCATAGGTTCATGAGTTTACATCTAGAGTCTCCCTTAAGGGTGTCCCCTATTGAAGGATCTGGACTGTAATTTTGGTCCATTTGGGCATCCCCCAAATGGACCTGTCCTCTGAGTGCCAGACGTCTCTAGCCATAGTGGGCACCAGTGCCATTTGAAGAAGGATCCTGCCATAATTGGTGACCTATGATAAGTTTCCCTTTAGTTCCTGGGTGTAACCTTTGGCTTCTAGTATCCCTGTAGCTGGCCAAAAGAGTTTCTTCCCAAATGGTTTCCTTAATTATTGTAGTAACTCTAGTTTGAAGGGCAAGGAATTGCAGACTGCCTAGTTTAAATTTGTTATTAGAGACTGGCCTCTCAATAAGATAGTAGAGTGCCCTCTGACTATATGAGATAAACCAGGCACAGTAATTTCCCCATGGATCCACTGTGCAATTTATGCAATGATCCGAGAGTCTCCACCAGGAGTTTTCTTTTAGCACCAGATGTACTAAACTAAAACAATCTAGATCTGATCCCTCACAGAAGAAGCAGGGTACTCTCATTATCCAGGTGGTTGGCCCTAATCTTCAGGCTGATGCTAATCCTTGGGCTCCCCACAGTCAGTTACCTGTTGTCCTGGCCCTTTGGGTTGGGGGGAGATCTCTAATTGGTCAAAACATGATATCCCAACACAAATGAAGAAAAGAAAAAAAAAATAAAACAAGCAGCAAGGCTGGGCACGGTGGCTGGCTGGGCATGGTGGCTCATGCCTGTAATACCAGGACTTCGGGAGGCCGAGGTGGGCGGATCACCTGAGGTCAGGAGTTCGAGACCACCCTGGCCAACATGGTGAAACTCTGTCTCTACTAAAAATACAAAAATTAGCCGGGCATGGTGGTGGGTGCCTGTAATCCCAGCTACTCAGGAGGCTGAGGCAGGAGAATTGCTTGATCCCGGGAGGTGAAGGTTGCAGTGAGCCGAGATCATGCCACTGCACTCCAGCCTGGGTGACAGAGCAAGACTCCATCTCAAAACAAAAACAAAAACAAAAACAAAAACAAAAACAAAAAAACAAGCAGCAAATAATGTAATAATTATAGCCACACAAACATGCACCTCACTGTTGCAGGGATTGATCTTGTACCCCGTGGGACCCATCTGTTCCATTCCCCAATCAGGTTATCCTGTCACGTTGAGGCAGGAATTTAAAGAAAGTTTTGTACTGCATTTACTCACTCTAAGGATAGTAACAAGCAAGGCTATAGGAAGGTCATGGTGACCTAGTCTAAGAAGCCAGGAATGAGCTCCAAACACCCCTGAGCAATGGTTAAGAAAAACAAATTCCTTTACTGTTTCTCTTTCCTTAGACCATTAATTATGATTATTTTTGCCTATGTTTAGAAAGATTTGTAGGTTCCTGTTTTTCTTTTGACGCAGCTGCAAGGCCACCAGCTAAGCAAAGCCAAAAGTTATGCAAATTTCAGCAGTTATGCTATAGATTACAAAACCTGTCACTGTGTGATTTACTGCCTTGGTTCTGCTTTTTTAATTTAGCCTATATAAGCCAAGCTCTGTCTTTGTTCAGGGCTCAGCTTTTTGGATGCAAATCCACGGAGCCAGTGCACACCTTAATAAAATCCTCCTGCTCCACCCATTGGTCTTTCTGGTCCTCTGCTTTCCCGCAACAATGGGAGTCTTCAAGCGGCCAGTGCCTTTTTCGTTCTTAACTGCCCAATCCGTGCCAGCAGAAGGCAGCTTTAAACCAAAGTGAAAGAGCTGAAGCAAAAAAGAAAGAAAATAAAAAGTCCCAGTTCTTCTGGGCTTACCTCCTGGCTGGCTCACCAAAATATGTTACCAGATTGGAAGTTGGGAGTTCCAGGTTCTTGGTGTTATGAACAAAGAATTGGATGAGACACACAAATAACCACCCCACAAGATTTATTAAGCAAAGAATATACCAGAGAGAGGAACGGGCTTATCTTCAAGTGGTGTCAGCCCTGGATTAATATAGCCTTTGTTCTTTTATACCCACTTCCTACACTTCTTTAACTCTAGGGAGGGGATTTCCTATAATTGTCATATCTGTTTTCTTGTTTTTTCTCTCTTAGTGCGCCTGCGTGAGCTTGCCATAATTTTAAGTGTATGTATGATAGGCATTCCATAGGTATGAGCTGGTCAGTCTTCTGACTTCCTTCCCTATTCTGCTGCCTCAGAAGGCCTATTTGGGAGAAAAGTAAACAGGAAAGAATGAAACTCCCTCTGACTGTCTGGGAAATTTTCAGGGGAGAAATGGAATTCTAGGATTTTACTATGTGTTTTCCATCTGTGAGTGGACTATAACGGTTTATTTCAATTTAATTCCACTCACAAATGTTTTGCTGAGTAGAATAGTCTCTGACTCAAGGAATTCACATTTGGGGGCGGCAGAGAGAGACGGATCAACAAATGATTGTATTTTGATGGATGAATTCTATGGTTCTACAGAGAGCCTGCGGGAGATACTATTGTGGGATAATTAATTGCATTGGGTGGTTGTCAGGGAAAGTTGCAGAGACAACGTGATATCTGCGTTTGGGGATTACGTGGTGAGCAGGCGTTCACCTTGCAGGTGAAGGCTACTCCGCTGCAGGGACCGGTACTGGGGCGGCGTTTGTTCCCCGCACGCAGTAGGTGATCCACACCTCCCGCCGACAGGAGGAAGAGGATGCCAGCTCAGGCACCAGCTGAGGTTTGGCATTTGCTGGCCGCGGGCGCCGACCTCCAGGGGGCGCCGTGGCCTCGCGCTGTCCGGGCCGTTGCATTTCCGGGCACTGGGGCTCCGCCATCGTCGCCAAGCGCGTCCCCGCCGCGAGCCGCTAATCGTCCGCCGCTCCCGTTACCGGGGCAACCGCGGCGCCTCCTCCGTGTCGGCCCCGATCGTCCCTCCGCGCCATTTTCAAACTGCTCTAGCGCCGGAGCCCGTGCCTGGACGGAAGGAGCTAGTGGGGGACTCGAGGCCTGAGGGCAATGCGGCTGGAGGCGGAGGCAACGGCGGCTGGAGCTGCCGGTGAGTCCGGATGTGGGAGCCAGAGGGCCAGCTGCGGCGGTGGTGGCGCCTTCGCCTTCTGGGCGGTACCCGCGGGCCGGGCTCGGGCACTGCCGGGAGGCCGCGCGGCCGCGGGAGGAAGTGAGGCCAGGCCGGGTCAGACCGGGCGGGGAGGGGCGCGGGGACTCTTCCCACCCACCCCGCTCCCACACCCCCTTCCCGTCAACACCCGACGGTAAAGTTGCAAACCGGAGATTGGGTGGAGGAGAGCTTGGGCCGACTCGTCAAGGAGCGTCTGTGTGGGCCGTGCAGACAGGCTTGCTGTTGACCAATGGATAGATTTAAACATTAAAATGCCTTCTCAGTGTAGCAGTCATCCATGCTCTTTGTAACAAAAATGTCGCAAAGCGTAGGACGACAGCCTTTAATTAACCTTTGCCCAGCTCCTTTGAAGCCTCTCCACTGCTTTCCAGCCTTTACTACTTTGAGTTCAATAAGAAAGGACTCTGAGATAACCACAGCTAACGGGTTTCTTTGTTGTCGTTTGGGGTTTCTTGTTTATCTTCTTAAGCCCTGTGCACACATACATACAGCATTAAATGTACTGGTTTTGAGACGCCAACCCCCAGAGTTAAGTAGATGGATACTTCTACACATATATGTATGGGGGACCCCCAAACCTAACCTTTTATGTTGCTTTGCTAGAAACTTAGAGTATAGCCACCATATTTGGATGGGGGTTATGGGGAAAGACAACAGTTCATGGGTGGGGACGGCCTAACATGTTTCTATCTGGGAGGATTTTAATCCGTCCTGTGTATTGAGGCCCTGGCCATGATTTATTGATTCATATTCATTCTCATTCTCTCCCCTCCAAAGCAGGATGTGAGGAGGTATTATCTCTGGGTAACTGGAGTTGGTAGCAAAGAGGGGAAATGTTTTGAGTGGTGCACCGCCTGTAAGTTTACACCCTGCTAGTAATACACCTGGATTTGTCAGGTGTATTTCTGATGTCTGCAGGAATTTCCCTAAAAACCCTGCATCACTTAGGTGTCTCTTGTGGAAAGAACCTAGGAAATCTATGAGGAAGCCATTCAAAAAAAGTTAACAAGAGCAAAGAGAAAGATATACAGAAAGGAGTGACCAAGGAGAGACTCAGGAGACCTGGTCTCTGATGACTGCCCACCTACTTTGTGGCCCCGTGGTTTTGGAAGAGTTACTTTCTTGAGGCAGCCTTTCCTCATGTTTAAGTAGGGATAATATCATTGGTCTTTCTCCCTCACAGGGTAGCTGTGAGGATCGACTTTTACATGTATGCTCATGCATGTAATGCATTTTTTATATATTGTGAAGAACAACAGATGTAAAACAAAATTTTTATTTGGCTTAGAAATACGAGTACCATGACTACAGTTAGTTAGCAAAGGTTAGAAAAGAGCAGAGTTTCTAAAGAAATGATCTTTGGGCTGAGCATATTGGCTCACACCTGTAAACCTAGCACTTTGGGAGGTAGAGGTGGGAGAATACCTTGAGCTCAGGAGTTGGAGACCAGCCTGGGCCACATAGCAAGACCCTGTCTCTAAAAAAGGTAACAATTAAAATAAAAAAAAAAAAGAAATGCTCTTTGGATAACTCCATTTTAGGGCAGATTGATAGGAATATATTCATAAATATTTAAAAAGACAAAGATAAAAACTTGAACAGAGGTACTTATGTGTGTCTTTTTTTTTAATTGAAGTGAAATTTACATGATGAAATGCATAGAGTTTAAGTGTACTATTTGAAAAGTAAATTCTCTAAATGTATACACTTGTGTAACCACTACCCCAATCAATGTAATATTTTCATTACCCTAAAAAGTTGTGTCTTAACTCTTAACGGGCAATCTGCAGCCCGCCTCACCTCCCCAGACAACTCTTGTTTTAATTTCTGGCCCCATAGTTTTAATTTTACTTGTTCATCAACTTCATGTAAATGGAGTCATACAGTATTTGTCTGGTTTCTTTTGCTCAAATAATGTTTTTGAGATTCATCCATGCTGTTGATGTGTATCAGTAGTTCCTTTTATCCCTTAGTATTGCACTGTATAAATATATCATACTTTACCCCTTCTGCTGTTGATGGGGGTTTAGGTTGTTTCCAGTTTGGGGCTACTATGAGTAAAGCTGTGAACATTCTTGTAGAGTATTTTTGTGAATATTTTTTATTTCTATAAATACCTGGGAATAAAATCACAGGGTTATAGTCCAGAAGTATGTTTAACTTTATAAAAAAACTGCCAGACTTTTTCCAAAGTGATTTTACATTCCTGTCAGCAATGTGTGAAGATTCCAGTTGCTCCAGATCTTTGTCGACATTTGCTATTGTCGGTCCTTGTAATTTTAGTCATTCTAGTTTGGGAGAAAATGTACCTTGTTGTTTTAATTTGTATTTCCATGTTGACTACTGTTGAGCACCATTTCATATCATCATTCCCATTCAGACACCTATGCGAGGTGTCTGTTCGAATCTTTAGCGCAACTAAATTACAGTTTTAGCCCAAATTAATGTTCTTATTGGGATGTTTGTCTTATTATTGAGTTGTAAGAATTCCTTTTATATTCCCTATACAAATCCTTTGTCAGATATTGTGAATATTTTCTCCCACTCTTTGGTTTGCCTTCTCTATTTTAATTGAGTATTTTGATGAGCAGACATTTTAAATTTTGATGAAGTCCAATTTATCAAATTTATCTTTTATGTTTAGTGCTTTTAAAAGAGGCCTCTCTGAGAAGTCTCTGCCTACTTCAGGCTTAGGAAAAATCTTTGTTTTCTCCTAGAAGCTTTAGGATTTTAACTTTTACATTTAGTTGTATGAGGAAGTATTTATTTTAATGCAGTAACAGGAATATCATAAGCATTGGCTTTAAATCTGAATTTTCCAGAAGGCTACCTACCTGAAGAAAAACAAAAAATAATTGCTTCATATTAAAATAATTTTTTCTTCTTATTGTGAAACAACAATCATAGCTATAATAAGATAATGATGTTTCATTCTTTTCTCTCAGGACTTTAATTTTTGGAAGTGAATAAAACTTGTTTTAGAAGACGAGATGACTACAGCTGTAGAGAGAAAGTATATTAATATTAGGAAAAGGCTGGATCAGCTGGGATACCGCCAGACTCTGACAGTGGAGTGTTTACCTTTGGTAGAAAAACTTTTCAGGTAAAGACAAAAATACAGTTTTCAACCTTTATGATCCCTAACCACTTACCTCATTTCTGATTGAACTTCATGCTTTGGTAAAGAAAAGGGTAGCTTTCCGGAAAGGCTTTCAATCATGAAGCTTATCTGTTTTTTCCCTGTCCTCAATCCAGGCCTTCCACACGGCAGAACTCTAAAGGCCACCACTCACGCTGTACTGTTCAAAGTCAACATTTCTGGGGGTTTTCTCTGTGAATGGAATTACAGTTTTTTGGGTTTCTGATATAATTGAGAGACACTTTTCCCTTAAGTTCTTTTTTTTTCCCCCCCTTAAGTTCTATGTCTGCTTCACTGGTCTTCAAATACAGTCATGGATAGTTTCATGACAGGGATACGTTCTGAGAAACATGTCATCATTAGGTGATTTTTTCGTTGTACCAACATCATAGGGTGTGCTTACACAAACCTAGATGGTGTCGCCTACCACAAACCTAGGCTATATGGTCTGTATCCTATGGCTCCTAGGCTACAAACCTGTATAGCATGTTACTATACTGAATACTGTAGGTAATTGTTAACACAGTGGTGCCTATTTGTATATCTGAACATATCTAAACATAGAAAAGGTATTGTGTTGTGCTACAGTGTTACAATGGCCAGATCTCATGAGGCAATAGGAATTTTTCAGCTGCCCCCATTATAAATCTTACAGGACTACTCTCCTTCCTATATGTGGTCTGTCGTTGACCAAAATGTCATCATGTGGTGCATGACTGTATTTTAAGCCTCTTTAGAAATATGTTTTTAGTTATTAGAAAGTTAATGAAATATTTCCTGGTATTTAAATTTTCTGTTCTTTTAGCGACTTAGTTCATACAACTGAGAGCCTTCGGCAATCAAAATTATCTGCTGTGAAAGCTGAAAAAGAAAGTGCCAATTTTGATTTTGTTTTGGAACCCTATAAACTTGAAAATGCAAGATTGAGTAGAGAAAATAATGAATTATACCTAGAGTTAATGAAACTGAGAGAACATTCAGACCAACACGTTAAAGGTAAGTGAAAATTTGATAATTTTTAAAATGCAATGTCTTTGTCCTTTTTATTTTAGAAGGAAAAGCTAACGTCTAATTTTAAAACTATTGATTAGAAAATATAGTAGTCCTACAGCTGGATGGTGTGTGCCTATAGTCCCAGCTACTCGGGAGTTTAAGGTGGGAGGATTGCTTGAGCCCAGGAGTTTGAGACCAGCCTAGGCAACATAGTGAGAACTTGTTTCAAAAAAAAAGAAAAGAAAAGAAAATATGGTACTCCTTCTGCTAATAGCCCCTGAAATACTATAGGGTATGTTGAAGAGTTCCTGAGAAGGAAAATAAATGTGCATTATATAGCTATGATAATCACTATATGTGGATTAAATTTTTAGAATTAAAAATTTAATTAAAATTTTAGAATTAAAATTGCCATAGGGAATATTAAATGCTGGATTTGAAGAAATGTTCTTGAAACAACTTTTGTTTTTCCCTTACTGAAAATAAAAGTAGTAAATAAGGTGAAAACCATGTATCATGCTGACTGTTTTATAGTCAGTCTTTGAGCTGTCAAGTAGAATAGGATGATTTCAAAGGTACTAGGGAAAAGATAATTATATGGTTATCTTTGTATGAATTATTCTTATATTCAGTAGAAAACTTTATCTAATCCATGGTATGAATTCATAATCCTTTAGCTTCAGACCCAATTTACTGGATCAAAAGCTATGATGTACGTTAGGCTAATACAGTAGCTGAAAAATGAAGATTCTCTTTTGTGCTTAGTGAGTTATTTGCAGTTTTGTTAATAATAGTAGAAGAAGGAATAAGTGTCAACTAAAGCATGCATAAGAAGCAGGTGGAGACTTTTAAATTGATATGACTTTTTGTATTTTGTGAAATGGAAAAACTTCATTGGATTTCTTGATCTTTAAAACGGTCTTTGAATCTTTTTCATTTTAAGAGTTGAAAACTTCATTGAAGAAATGTGCACGTGAAACAGCTGATCTGAAATTTCTGAATAACCAATATGCTCATAAACTCAAACTGTTGGAGAAAGAGAGCAAAGCTAAGAATGAAAGAATTCAACAACTTCAAGAAAAGAATTTGCATGCTGTAGTACAAACTCCAGGTAAATCGATTCCTTCTCGAGACAAATTATACACATTTAATCTTTTAACGATATTAACACCATTGACTAAAATAGGACTTTGGATTGGATTTTCATGCTTAGACTTTAGTGTTTGAAAATATATATTGAATAGACCGTAAACTTCTTGATTTATTTCTAATGATCCGGGTAGTAATTTATACGTGTGCTTAGAAATGTATGTAGTATTAGTTACTTAGATACTAGTCTAACTTTAATGCCCAGAGCTTTCTCTAATCAATATTTTAAATTCTTTTTTCTATTATTATTATCATTATTATTTTAGTTGTAAAAGTAATCCATACTCATTAAAGAATTTGGAAATTATGTACTTTCTTAGTTTATTTTACTATTTTTAGCATTATGCTTAGTAGTTATAGAGCAAGAAAAGGAAATGATGGGTCCAGGTGCAGTGGCTCACACCTGTAATCCCACCACTTTGGGAGGCTGAAGTGGGCAGATCATTTGAGGCCGCTTCAAGACCTGTGTGGGAACGTGATGAAACCCCACCTCTACCAAAAATACAAAAATTAGCTGGGCATGGTGGCGCAAGCCTATAGTTCCAGCTACTTGGGAGGCTGAGGTGGGAGGATTGCTTGAGCCTGGGAGGCGGAGGTTGCAGTGAGCTGAGATTGCACCACTGCACTCCAGCTTGGGTGATAGAGTGAGACCCTGTCTCAAAAAAAAAAAAAGAAATGATGGGCCACATCCAGAGTTGGTGATTGTTCAGCAGGTATGGGTTGGTGGTAGAATCTACAATATTAGTGACAAAATCATTAAGATAGCTGAACCATGGGATCAAGATTATGAAATTAAGTGAGTAACAGGGGGCTGCTGGATTATGAGGCTAGGTCAAGACAGATTAAAGAGCATGATGAGTACCAAAAGTAATTTGTTTGCTATGAAGATTGCAGTCAGAGTGGAATTTTGGAGTTGAAGAACTAGAAGCCAGCAGAGTTCTGAGTGATGACAAAGGCCAAAGTGTATCATCTTATTGTGTGCCTGAAGTTGAGGGGAGAGGAGACTCCTGAGAGTGGACAGATTAGAACTGTGAAGCCAGGTGGGGGAAGACTCAGTGGAGCGTGAGATAGTTTAGTAAATGAGATAGATGGACATGGGGACTGTGAGCAAAAGGCAGAAGAGATAGAGAAAAGTGGGAGTCAACCTTGAAAGTAACTAGAAGATTAAGGCAAAAAAGAGGATAATCAGGTTTCCTGAGGAAAGAATGGGATAGACTCCGGAGAGATTCAAGATGTATAATCAAGATAGTGAGTAAATGTAGATTTGGGAAGCAGAGGAATTCTCAGACTTCTCTTTCGAGTGAATGAGTTAGGTGGAGGGTGATACTATTTCTTAAGTTAGAGAATGTGGGAAGCAGAGCAGGAGTCCACTTTTGGATGTGTGGAGTATGCTATACCCACAAGACATTCATGTCTAAATTTTTGGCAAACAGTGGGATATGTAGATCTGTTCTCAAAAGTGTGGGCCCTGGTGGAGATGCAAATTTAAGAGTCATTGGAGTCTCATGGTAATTGAAGCTATGGGTGTAGTAAGAATTATCTAGTGAGATTATGTAGACTGGGAAGAGAGGAGACCCAGAGTCAGATGTGAGGGAAATTGGTATTTAAGGGACAGGTGGAAGAAGACAGTTTCTGAAAGAAACTGAGGAGCCACCAAGGAGGAAAACCAGGAGGTAAAGAAAGAAGGAATGGTTAGCTTTGTTCAGGTGTGTGAACAAACAGGTCATTTAAATACTTTTGGCCCAGTTTTCTTATCCTTAAAACTCCTTTTGTATACTCCTACCTCTGTAGGAGTATACAAAATTTGTTAGAATTCTAATGAGACAAAATTGTGGATTATGTTTGTTCTTCACAAGGATCTGCTGGTTTTTCAAATACACTTCTAATCTTGGCAAAATCCTTAAAGAGATAAATTGTCCATGTATTTTTGACCAAGACAAGATATATCTAGCCATAAGAAAATTTAGTCCTACTACTTGTAGAGGTTAAGAAAACATTCCCTCCTAATTCAGATTATAGCATGACTTTATATTATAGATGACATTCCATTCATTCTAACTTTGCTACTTACAATTTCAGTTATCTTTTATGTTGATATTAGCTAATAACCACGCATATTTTAGTTCTCACTGCCAGTTTTCTGCTAGTGATAATTTCTTGAGCTCATAATAGTGAACACCACAGGCACATTCAGCTTTTTTTTTTTGAGATGGAGTTTCACTCTTGTTGCCCAGGTTAGAGTGCAGTGGCGCAATCTTGGCCCACCACAACCTCGGCCTCCCGGGTTCAAGAGATTCTCCTGCCTCAGCCTCCCAAGTAGCTGGGATTACAGGTGCCCGTTACCACGCCCAGCTAATTTTTTTGTATTTTTAGTAGAGACGGGGTTTCACCATGTTGGCCAGGCTTGGTCTCGAACTCCCAACCTCAGGTGATCCACCCGCCTCGGCCTTCCAAAGTGCTGGGATTATAGGTGTGAGCCGCCATACCTGGCCGCATTCAGCTTTTAAACTTGCCAAAGTCTTATCCCCATCTAGTGGGCAAACATATTAAGCCTGGGCATATATGCCAAGCTTGCAGGCATATAAAACTTGTTTGATAACCATGTCTTGTTGAGGTTTTTAGGAATGCATTGTTTAGTTAAAGATCAGGGTGGATATTTATATATTGATGGAGAAAATATTTTGTCAATATGTATTATGAACTGCAGACACACTTTATAACCGAAAGGCTAACCTGGAATATTTAATTCTAAGACATGGTTTTGTTTCTTCTTAGTTTTTTAAGACACTCATTCTTTTTAGGTGGCAAGAAAAGAAGTATTGCTTTCAGGCGCCAGCGTATGCAAATTGATGAACCGGTTCCTCCCTCTGAAGTCAGTTCATATCCAGTTCCTCAACCAGATGACCCTTACATTGCAGACCTCCTTCAAGTGGCTGATAACAGGTGCATTAAATAATTCTTTCTTGGCTTGAGTTAATTGAGCACTCAATTAGCTGTAAGTTTCTTGATAGGAGGGCTTTTTTTCTTGTTAACTGTTGTGTCTCCAGTGTCTAGCACAGAACTTTGCACCGGCACTCAGTAAATACTTCCAGATTGATATAAAATGTTTTTACTTGTTTTGAAACTTTGATCAAATGGATCATATATCTAAGGTTTCTGTTCATACTGGCTTAAAAATTATTGCCATCAAGAACCTGTTTAAGTAGAGCTGCTTTGACATTTTGTGTTGTCTCCAAATAAGAGGTATCTTTTGCAAGAATCTTTATTGCTTCAGATTTGTGTCAAATGTCAGTTAAATATGAAGAGATGTGTAACTGGATTTGAAATTCCTTTTTTAATGGTTTCTCTAGCTCTGTGTTTATATTTCCTTACATTTGAATCATATATAAATTCCATTTGATTGAAATGTTATTAAACCTCCTGGGCAAGGCACTGTGTAAGTGTTCTGAGGATATAAAGATGAAGAAGATGGTGTTTCTGTTTTTGAGAAGCTTGTAGTCCAGTACTAGAGATGAGATGAGAAATTCACAAAACACCATTAAGAAAATTATAAGAGGCTCAAAGGAATGGATGAGCACTAGTCTCCACGGTGATAGCTGGAGAAGCATTTCAAACTGTAGAATACACTAATGGAAATAGTTCATGCAGGTAGCTTTTTATTTTGTAGATTATACAGAGAATGTGGGGGGTTTTATTAATCTCAATAGATAAAGCTAAAAAAGAGCACTGGGACCAGGTGCAGTGGATCACGCCTGTTAATCCCAGCACTTTGGGAGGCCAAGGCAGGAGGATCGCTTGAACCCATGAATTCAAGACCAGCCTGGTCAATATAGTGAGACCTTTTCTCTACAAAAAATTTAAAAATTAGCCGAGCATGGTGGCATGCACCTGTAGTCCCAGCTACTTAGGAGGCTGAGGTAGGCAGATCGCTTGAACCTGGGAGGCAGAGGTTGCAATGAGCTGAGATTGAACCACTGCACTTCAGCCTGGGACACAGAGCAAGACCCTTTGAGCTACTGATTAGGATCTCTTCACTCAGTTGTCACATAATATTTTTATATAGTTGTTTGACCTTAACTGGGAAGTGTTTTGTTCTTATTATCTAGGGCTTTTCAGATAATGTGTTTGTATTATTTAGGGAATTATTTGGGCTGCATAAGTGACATTAGTCTTTTTTAATTGTCCTGTTTAATTTATATATGCACATTTTGTTTGTATTCAGAGTCATTCATGCATTTATATGAGTGCAGTTGCATACATACTCTTCTCCTAAACCTAGATTAGTAGAAAATGTTGGTTCCAGTTAACATCAGGTACAAGCCGTATCCAGCCTCATTTACTCCACCCCATGGAAAATCTCTTTTAAAAACAAACCTGGGGCTGGAAGCACTGTGGTTCACGCCTGTAATCCCAGCACTTTGGTAGGCCGAGGCAGGAGGATTGCTTAAAGCCCAGGAGTTCAAGACCAGCTTCGACAATGTGGAAAAACTCTCTCTCTACAAAAAATTTAAAAATTACCCAAGTGTGGTGGCATGTGCCTGTGGTCCCAGGTACTTGGGAGGCTGAGGTGAGAGGATTGATGGAGCTGTGGAGGTTGAGGCAGCAGTGAGCTGTGATCGGGCCACAGGATTCTAGCCCGGGTAACATAGGAAGGCCCTGTCTCAAAAAAGAAAAAAAAGCAGACCTGGCTTCAGGCTTTGTCTTTCCAATATGAAAATGGATTAATTATGTCATAATGTACCTGAACAATTCAGGTAATTTGGACAAAATCTTGATTCTGTTGGAATTAACAAGTTCCAGAAGGAATAGGTTTTTTGCTGTAGTTACATATGATCTTTTTTCCAGGGTTTCAAAGTAGTAGTAGACAATACAGGGTTAGGGTCAGAAAACACATTTTAGTTTCTTATTTCACTTACTAAGTCTGTGAATTGTGGAGTAAACCTCAGTTTTCTAAACCTAAGAATTGGCAGCAGTACCTCAAAGAATTTTCCTGGGGATCAAAATGCAATAGTGAGGTGTTTCTTGCACAGTGTATCTGAGTTTCAAATTATTTACTACTCAGTTTTAAATCTTGTTACAAACCAACTCTCCATGATGTTGTACTATATTTTATATTGATTTGGGGACCCTTTGGCACAGTACGTCCTACCTGTTTGAGAAGCTGAAAGTATAGAATTTATGAAATAACACATCTAGCTTCGTTTCTTATTTTGTATTTCTTAACAAAAGTGTATTGGCATTAATTTAAAGTGCTTTTCAGGATTCAAGAACTTCAACAGGAAGTCCACCAGCTACAAGAAAAGTTAGCAATGATGGAAAGTGGGGTGAGAGACTATAGCAAGCAGGTAGGATTTTTATTTACTTGCATAGTAGGGATTGAGATAGGTATGCTGTGATTGTAAATAGAATTGGGTTATATTTGAAATTGCTGATACTGAGTTTTTATACAGCTTTCCTCTTTTTCATCAGGTTTGTTAATAGAGTTAATAGCTGGAATGGCTTAGGTGGCTTTACTTACTTAGCCTGTCTCTTCAAAAAATTTAAAAATTAGCCAAGTGTGGTGGCATGTGCCTATGGTCCCAGGTACTTGGGAGGCTGAGGTGGGAGGATTAATGGATTGAAGAGCACTTATTTACTCGATTCTCTTCACTATTCATTGAGGTGAATAGTAGTTTTTTGTTTGGTTTTTCTTTTAGCTGAATCATCTATCTCCCCAAATATAATTTTATAACCATATTACCGTTTTCATCTCAGGAGACATTTTATTAAGTGTGCTATGTTTTATAATTGTATTTTTGTGATTTTTCTACTCTTATTATATATTTTGTCATATTGAACACCAGTCTCTTAGAAAGTTACTCTTTTGTGTTGCTAATTTTTTTGTTTGTTTTCTCTATAAGCACAAGTCCTCATACAACAGTTTTCTGAAGAATCAGGAGAATTAGTAGATGCAGAGTTATATTATAACCATAGCAAGCTTTGTCTTTTCATAATTTCTATTGATGTCTTGGCTAAATTTTGATTTGGGTAATTATAGGCTTGTTTTCTTAATATGCTTCTTGAAGGTTAAATTGGGTAACATGTTTTTCATTTTCTGCATTGACTGCATTTTTTTTGAGTGATCTGCACACACAAATATAGATGTAACTTAGGTGTTGGTATAACTAAATCTTTAAAGTGTTTTGAAGATTAGTTGGATAAAAATGGAGTTAAAGAAAATTGACCAGGCGTGGTGGCTCATGCCTGTAATCGCAGCACTTTGGGAGGCCGAGGCGGGTGGATCACTTGAGATCAGAAGTTTGAGACCATCCTGGCCAACATGGTGAAACCTCATCTCTACTAAAAATACAAAAAATTAGCCGGGCGTAGTGGCGGGCGCCTGTAGTCCCAGCTACTTGGGAGGCTGAGGCAGGAGAATGGCGTGAACCCGGGAGGCGGAGCTTGCAGTGAGCCGAGATCCCGCCACTGCACTCCAGCCTGGGCGACAGAGCGAGACTCCGTCTCAAAAAAAAAAAAAAAAAAAAAAAATACAAAAATTAGCTGAGGTTGTGGTGTGTGCCTGTAATCCCAGCTACTCAGCAGGCTAAGGCAGGAGAATCTCTTGAACCTGGGAGGCGGAGGTTACAGTGACCCGAGATTGCACCACTGCACTCCAGCCTGGGTGACAGAGACTCTGTCTCAAAAAAAAAAAAAAAAAAAGGAAATCATAATGTCAACCCCAAAAACCTTACTTCATGAAGAGATGTTGAAAATATCCAATATGCACATGAGTTTAATATTACTGGCATTTTTCATTTTATAATTACACTTTCATTTTTTTCAGGTACTTTATGAACATAAACTTCTTACCATCTCTGTGAGGTGGCTGAGGTGTTTGGAGAAAACAGCTTGACTACTCTGATTAAAGCCACCAATTTATTGTGGTTTGCAATCTTAGTTGAGCTTACTCTGCTGCCTATCAGTTATTTGTCTTTTTTTGCTGGAGTTTATTCTTTCTCAGCACATATTCCAGATTTTGCTGTTTTTAAGCTGTTTTCCCAATTTATATAATACCCATCTTTGGCCGGGCACGGTGGCTCACACCTGTAATCCCAGCACTTGGGAAGGCTGAGGCGAGCAGATCACCTGAGGTCTGGAGTTGGCGACCAGCCTGACCAACATGGAGAAACCCTATCTCTACTAAAAATACAAAATTAGCCGGGTGTGGTGGCGCATTCCTGTAATCCCAGCTACTTGGGAGGCTGAGGCAGGAGAATTGCTTGAACCCGGGAGGCAGAGGTTGTGGTGAGCCAAGATCACACCATTGCACTCCAGCCTGGGCAACAAGAGCGAAAACTCTGTCTAAAAAAAAAAAAAAAAAAAAAAAAAAAAAAATCCATCTTCTGAGAATGTCACCTTGTCTCAACTTTCTATCTCTACCTTTAAAATTAGCCATATTTGTACTCAGGCTATCTTAAGACTTGGTGGGCAGGGTATTGTTCTTCCTGTTTAAGGCTGAGTTGCCTGTGCTCTTGACCCCATTTCCTCTTTTTTCCTTAGGACCTTACTTTAATCAATTATTCTTTTTTTCTTTAACAAGTACTTATATAACCACTTTACAATGATTAATTAATTTAATCTTCATAACAATCCTGTGAAGACGTACTTCTATTGTCATAGCTAACATCCTTTTTAAAAAACTCTTATTTTTTTTTTTGAGACGGAGTCTCCCTCTGTCGCCCATGCTGAAGTGCAGTGGCGCGATCTCGGCTCACTGCAAGCTCTTCCTCCTGGATTCATGCCATTCTCCTGCCTTGGCCTCCTGAGTAGCTGGGACTACAGGCACCCACCACCACACCCGGCTAATTGTTTGTATTTTTTAGTAGAGACAGGGTTTAACTGTGTTAGCCAGGATGGTATCGATCTCCTGACCTTGTGATCCTCTCACCTCGGCCTCCCAAAGTGCTGGAATTACAGGCGTGAGCCACTATGCCCGGCCAAAAAACTCTTTTAACTACCTCCCCCTCTTGAGGATTCCTTCTCCCTCTCTATGCAGACTTCTCCAAAGACTGTCTTACTTGATATCTCCATTTCTGTCTCTGCTTCTCCACCTCCTGCTCACTCCTTAACCTATTGTAGTCTGTCTTCTGCACTCACTATGTGAACTGGTCTAGTTAATTACATTAGTAACATTAATTGCTAGATCCAAAAGGATACTTACAGTCTTTGTTTTCTTGACCTACTCTGTGGTATTTGATATTATTGATAATTGCTCTTTGAAACTTCTTCCATGACTTCATTTTTTTCCAGTTTTCTTTTTTTTAAGCCTCTTTTTTTTTTTTTTGCTTTTTTTCAACTGTCCACTCCCTGAAATATTACTGTTTTCTTGGATTCTGTCTTTGACCCCTTCTCGTCTTATGTATCTTTTTCAAGTGTCCTCATCTGCTCTCTTGGTTTAAAATACTGCCTGTATATTGATGACTCCTTCATCTCTCTGTGGCTCAAACTTCTCTGCTGAACTCCAGACCCATATACCCACCTTTACATTGGGCATTTCCACTTGGGTGGAGTCTTTTTGTACTCATATGCCTTGTACTGAACTTTTTCTCTTCTGGTTTCGACTCCTTTATTCTCTACTTTGGTTGGTAGCATCAATGTTTGCCCAAGTGCACATTCTGTATTCTTTCTAGATCTCTTTCTCTTGCCTTCGCATACCACTCACCAAGTTCTGTCATTTCTCCTGGCTAAGTGCTTCTTAAACTTATTTCTTCTGTTCTATCCTCTACCACTGTTTTATTTTAGTTATTAATTGTTTCTTATGCATTTCTGCATTAGGTCTCCCTGCCCCTGCCTCTGTTTTTATTCCTGTCAATTTCATCCTTTAGTCCAGCATAATCGTAATTAGTTTTGTCCTAGTTCTTCAGACATCTCCAACTACTAGATCCCATGCACATTACATCCAGTCATACCAAGCTATTTCTGCTGTCTCAAACATTCCATGTTTTTGTTGCTTTTTGGTATGTTTGGAATGTTTGGTTATTTATTTAAGAAAACCAAAGCTTGGGCCAGGAGTGGTGGCTCACGCCTATAATCCCAGCACTTTGGGAGGCCGAGGCAGGCGGATCACCTGAGGTCAGGAGTTCAAGACCAGCCTGGCCAACATGGTAAAACCCCATCTCTACTAAAAATACAAAAATTAGCCAGGCGTGGTGGCACATACCTGTAGTCCCAGCTACTCAGGAGGCTGAGGCAGGAGAATTGCTCAAACCCGGGAGGCAGAGGTTGCAGTGACCCGAGATCATGCCACTGCACTCCAGACTGGGTGACAGAGTGAAACTCCGTCTCAAAAAGAAAAAGAAAAAGCCAAAGCTTGAAAGTGTGAGCCTTTCCAAATTCTTACATAAATAACAGATAATTAAATTCACCCCAGTTTCCTATTCTTTTTAATATTGAGGTTCAGTAGCAACTTACTTTTCTTAGTGTGTTACACTCATTCATTTATTCTACCAGGAACTGAAGTAGTTGAGATTCAGTTCTAGTACTTGAGCATGTATGTAATCTGCTAGCAAGTTTCTTTTTATATAAACATTGTTAAATCTTAAAGGAGGGAAAAAAATACAAAAATTAAATTAGGAAGAATCTATGTAGTAAAAATACATATGAAAGATATAGTGACAGCATGTCTGTTGACATTTTCTATGTAATTTATTTTTGTTCTGCATTTATGCATATAATATATGGACACAAATATGAATGTTAATCTCTTGCATACATTGGTACATAAGAAAATATATCCAAATAAATGTTTGTACAGTGTTAATCATTTGGTTGAAAACCAGATTTTTTAAAATGACAGCATGACTATATCTTCAGATTGAGCTAAGAGAACGAGAGATAGAACGACTGTCAGTTGCTTTGGATGGTGGTCGGTCCCCTGATGTCCTTTCTCTGGAGTCTAGAAATAAAACCAATGAAAAGCTTATTGCTCATTTAAATATTCAGGTAATGGCTTTTATAATTATTTCACTGAGTGTATATAATGGTGTTTATAATAAACACTATATGTTTATAATGGTCTATGGGTTTGTAAAAGTGGCAGGAGTTGTTCACTGAGGTATTATTTGCAATGGGAAAAATTTGATAGAACCATAGTATCCAGAAATAGGGTGGAGTTATTGAAAAATCATGTTTTCAAAGACTAATGAGGCAGTAATTAACATGCACCATAACATTAACAATTTAAAGGAAGAGAATAAACTCTGGGCACATGATTGCCAATTTGCTTTTAAGAAAATGTATATATGGACTTGGAAAGAGAAAACGAAGAGAATATACCAAAGTATACTAACAAAGCTTATCTTTCTGTGGTGGGATATTCTCCTTTATGGTTTTCTCTTTTTCTTTTTTAAAATTTTTATGAGTATATATTTATTTTATAATGTAAAAATTTAAAAATATATATAAAAATTAAATACCTAGCTTTTATCTACTTACGTAGTGGATTCCTTTGCCATGCATTTGACCTAAGGCTGAAAGAGCAGGAGAGTTCCATGCAGTATGACACAGGAACTTTAGAAATTTTGGTATGACAGAGTTGCCTGGGCTACAAACAGAATATAGTAAGTAAAAAATATCAACAGTAGCTCTAGAGGAGTGCTGTCCCATAGAAATATGATATGAGCCATATATGTAATTTAAATTTTTCTAGTAGCAGCTTGATTTAAAAAAATAAAAAGAGGTGAAATTAATTGTAACAATATATTTACCCCAGTATGTCCAAAATATTATAATTTCAACCAGTAATGTTTTTACATACCTATTTTTTTGTTTGTATTATCTTTGAAATCCTGTGTATATTTTACAGTTATAGCACATCTCAGTTTACACTAGCCACATTTCAGATGCTCAGTAGCCACATGTGGTTGCTAGAGGCTACTATATTGAACAACACAGTCTATTATCATCTTGATATTCTTGTTGTATAGAACTCTGTATTGGGAAAAAGTTCACACAAATTTCTTGTCCTTTCTATGCTTGAAAATCAAAGTCAATGGATATGTACTTTCATTACACTGCACATGGTCAGTTTTGTAAATAACAATATAAATTTGCAAATATAAAATAGCTGTAGTTTTAATCTTCAATAATTTTTAAAATATAGTTTTTTGAAGTATTATTTGGAAAGTCAGTGTTTAGGATAATTTTCCAATTCATATACCTCATAAATTACAACTCCAATTTAGGTTGACTTTCTTCAGCAAGCTAATAAAGACCTGGAGAAGCGTATACGAGAGCTTATGGAAACCAAGGAAACAGTGACATCTGAAGTCGTTAATTTAAGTAACAAAAATGAAAAACTCTGCCAAGAATTAACTGAAATAGATCAGTTAGCACAGCAGTTGGAAAGACATAAAGAAGAAGTGCTTGAGACTGCTGATAAAGAGCTTGGGGAAGCAAAGGTAATGAATGATATGTGTAGATTGTGAGAGTGTTCATTAATTCTCCTAGCACACGGTAAGCTTGATCCCTTTTGATATCTGCATTCAGGTTTTTGGTTTATTTTGTGTGTCTGTTTTTGTTTTTTTGCTTTGGTAATTCAGGGTTTTCTGAAGTGTTGTTTACACCCTGTAAATGATTGTAGTTGTTTTAGTTGTTTGAGTGTCTCTCTGAAGCACACCTATTCTTAGGATGGATCTCCAAACTCTAGTCTGTTTTCCTTCACGATTTTTATCTCTGCCCCTTTATCTATGCATTGTGAGAGAGCTTTTAAAGTTTCCCCTCTATGTCATTTTTGCTCAAGAATCCTTTTTTTTTGAGACAGAATCTCTGTCTCCCAGGCTGGAGTGCAATGGTGTGATCTCGGCTCACTGCAACCCCCGTCTCCCCAGTTCAAGTGATTCTCCTGCCTCAGCCTCCAAGTAGCTGGAATTACAGGTGCCCGCCACCATGCCCAGCTAATTTTTGTACTTTTAGTAGAGATGGGGTCTCACCATGTGGGCCAGCCTGGTCTCGAACTCCTGACCTCAGGTGATCCATCCACCTCAGCCTCCCAAAATGCTGGGATTACAGGCGTGAGCCACCACGCTCGGCTTGTGTTTTTTGAGACATGGTCTTGCTCTGTTGCCCAGGCTGGAGTGTGGTGGGACAATCATAGCTCACTGCAGCCTCAACCTCCTCAGGCTCAAGCAATCCTCCCATCTCAGCCTCCTGAGTAGCTGGGACTACAGGTGCATGCCACAAGGCCCAGCTAATTTTTTGATTTTTTGCAGAGATGGGATCTCACTATGTTGCCCAGGCTGGTCTCAAACTCCTGGGTTAAGCAATCCTCCTGCCTCAGCTTCCCTAAGTGCTCAGATTACAGGCATGAGCAGCCATGCCTGGCCACCAAGAATTCTTTAAAAGTGTTTTTAAAACTGTGTATGTCCTTGCACATTTTTAAGTTGGTAATTATAATAACATTTTTCATCTTTTAAGTTTAAATGGAAAGGGTGATATTTCCAGTCTATTTTAAATATAATATCTTAAAATAAAACTATTTCATTGTTCTTTTAATTATAGCCAGTAAAATCTAAATGATCCTTTCTCCTTGAAATTTCCATAGAATTTTATCTTATTTCAACTAGTTTTATGCTTGAAAATCTTTTCATGATCATACTATCATACATCTGTACAATAAAAAGAATAAATTTAAAAAGAGTGAATTTTTTTTTATTTAAAAAAAATTCTGACAGCCTGATGGGAAAAAAAGAAATTTTTTATTTTTAAAAATTTCCTGTAACTGTAAGGTTCAAGGTGTTAATATTTTTATCTGAATAGTGTCATCATTACAATTATTAATTATCAGTGGGTTAAAGTGACAAATACACCACAAATGTTGATATTTATGAAATAAAAAAGTAAAATTTTATTGGAAATACATCTCTTAATGAATTATAATGGGAGAAAATAGTGTCTTATTTAAAGCCTTTGGCCAGCCCCAACATTTCAGATTATCTTTTGATCTGGTACTCTAAAAGTTTTTTATATCTTGAGACAGTGCACTATTGGGGTATGAATGATATACATGCCCTTCTTTGAACATTGAGAGAAAGGCATTTATAAAAGGGAGGGTAGGAATGCAGAACTCACATGATAGCCAGGCCACAAACAAATTATTAGGTAGATCATTTTTAAGAAGCACTGAATATGCAGATTAAGGATTCAGATGCTGATTCCTTAGAACTATGTGCATACCATAGTTTTATGTAATACTTGGAAAGTGTTCAATTTATCCCAGGAGTAAGTATAATCCAGTTTGAAGACCACTGCTGTATATCACCGAATTGATTTTATATAGTGCCACCTCTACTAATTAGTGGAATAGAAGGAAATTACCTCAATATTTTAAAAACCATGTGTGAAAGGCCCACAACAAACAATCATACTCAGTGGTGAAAAACTGGAAGTTTTTCCTCTAAGATGAAGAACAAGGAAGGATTCCCACTCTTGTCACTGCTGCTCAACATAGTACTGGAAGTCCTAGCCAGAGCAGTTAGGCAAGAAAAGGCATACAAATTGCAAAGAAAGAATAAAATTATCTCTGTTTACAGATGGCATAATTTTATATGTAGAAAGCCTTCAACATTCCGCAGAAACCAGAACTAATAAACTAATTCAGCAAAATTGCAGGATACAAAATCAGCACACAAAAATCAGATGTTTTTCTATACACTAAGAATAAACTATCCAAAAAGGAAATTAAGAAAGTAATCCCATCTGCAATAGCATCAAAAGGAATAAAATACTTAGAAATAAACTTAACCAATGAGATGAAAAACCCTTACACTTGAAAAACTATACAGCATTGCTAAAGAAGTTAAAGAAGACACAAATAAATGGAAAGACATTCCGTGTCCGTGGATTGGAAGACCCAATATTGTTAAAGTGTCCATACAACTCAAATTCAGCGCATTCCCTATCAAAATCCCAGTGGTGTTTTTTTTTTTTTTTTGCAAAAATAGAAGAAACTTCTAAAATGCATATGGAATCTCCAAGGACCCCAGACCACCAACACAATCTTGAAAAAGGATATAATGAGTACAGTTTTAATTCTGTTTTTGTGGTTTTAGTTTCATTACAACACTCCTATATCTCATCCCTCTCTTTTTCCACCACCTTTTGCATCTTCTATCCTTGTGCACACAGCATGCTAAACACAGCTTCCCATGTCCCATTGCAAATGCTCAGAAATGACAAGTTGGCTCAACAAAATGTTCCTATTGGGTCATAATATTTTGATCTTGGCATTCTGTTCTCTCAGTTGCAGTATAGAGAGGATCCAGGTTGGTAAAAGCAGGTATGGAGAAAGCAAATAGGATAGGAAAATCAGGAAATGACAGTGCCATAGAATTACCCCAAAATTTAAGGCCCAAGGAAGATCCTACAAGATGCTCAAGTGGCCTTCTTCAGATGTTACAAGTAGGCTCCTGTAAACATTCGGGATACCAAAAGATTAAAGAGAAGCCTCAATTTTGCCTCTTCGTTGAAATTGATAGGGATAAAGCCTCAGATCTCACTGGTAAGAGGGAACGTGAAGTAATTGCAAAATTACTTGATCTATTTGCATATGACTTAAGTATTCTTAGACTTTTAAGTATATACCTAATAGGCTTTTTATTCCTAGAAAGAGATTAAAAGAAAGCTCTCTGAAATGCAGGATCTTGAAGAAACAATGGCAAAACTTCAGCTGGTAAGTTGATGTCATGTTGAATTGCCAGCATTTTCAGTAAGAAAATTTTTATGGGAGACTGAGGTGGGTTTATCACCTGAGGTCAGGAGTTCGAGACCATCCAGCCACATCAACATGGCGAAACCCCGTCTCTACTAAAAATACAAAAATTAGCTGGGAGTGGTGGCGCATGCCTGTAATCCCTGCTACTTGGGAGGCTGAGGCAGGAGAATTGCTTGAACCTGGGAGGCAGAGGTTGCAGTGAGCCGAGGTCACACCATTGCACTCCAGCCTGGGCAACAAGAGCGAAACTCCATCTTTAAAAAAAAAAAAAAAAAAAAGAAAAGAAAATTTGTATGCTTTGTTTTATTGCTCAGCTCCTGACAACCACTAATCTACTTTCTGTTTCTGTAGATTTATCTATTCTGGCCATTCCATATAAAGGGAATCATATATTTTGTGTCTGGATTCTTTTACTAAGCATAATATTTACAAGGTTCATGCATGTGGTAGCATTTATGAGTACTTCATTCCTTCTTATGGCTGAGTAATATTCCACTGCATGGACATGCAAGTTTATATTTTTATAATTCCTTAATTTTATGTATAGTAGGTAGCTGCTAGAAATTTTACATTCTTTTAACTACTTTATGATTTGTTAGTTGACTAATATTAAAACCAGGAGTTAATTACTTGAAATATTTGTTGATTAACTTGAAATATTTGTTGATTATTACAAAAGGCACTCCATCCTCTTTTATTTATTTATTTATTTATTTTTTGGAGACAGGGGCTTGCCTTGTCACCTAGACTGGAGTGTAATGGCATGATCATAGCTCCCTGCAGCCTTGAACCCCTGGTGCTCAAGTGATCCTCCCACCTCAGCCTTCTGTGTGGTTAAGACTGCAGGCATGTGCCACCGTGCCTAGCTTTTTTTTTTTTTTAGTAGAAATGAGGTCTTACTATGTTACCCAGGATGGTCTCAAACTCCTGGACTCAAGTGATTCTCCCGCCCCGGCCTCCTAAAGTGCTAGGACTACAGGCATGAGCCACTGTGCCCAGCCCAGTCCTCTTTTAATAGCTTTGTTTGGTAATACAAACCATTTTCCTAGTCACATTTCTTGTTCTGGTAGTCTTCAAATAACAAAGGAAGTAATCATCCCAACAGAAGCCTAAATGTAGCATACAGAAAAAGCATATAGTCCTATAGTCTGCAACTAGCAGAAAGAGTGTCTTGCTTATAAGGTAGAAACTGGGTAGTCACCCAAATGATTGAGGATTTTAAAAAAATAACCTGTTGAATTGGAAGAGTTTTCTCTAAGATTGGAAATAAAGGTAAATACTAATTTCCAAGTTCTTTCATTATGTATACTTTTTATACAGTCTAGCTGCAGTGTCCTGGTGGCATAAGTCAATTAAAAAGGAAGCATGAGAGCAAGGGATTTTTGCTGTTTGTTCACTGCTAGTTGTATGTGCACTAAATGTTGGATGTGATTCATAATACTTGTCTCAGAACTGTGACCAAGTTTTAGTAGTGTTGGCTTACAGTAAGATGTTGCCGTAGTTACTTTCTTACCTTTCTTATTTTTTCTAGTAATGCAAAATTCTATGTATTTTTGAGATAAGAATGATAATATTGATAGCTAACATTTTTTAAGTACTTACCGTGGTGGACATGTTGGATACCATGGAAAGTACTTCATAACCATAGATTCATCCTCGCCAGTAAATCCTTAGTGTCCTGGTCTTATTATCCTTGTTGTGCATATGAGGCTGAGAGAATAACCAGTATAGTTATAGATACACTGTGTGTGGTGATCTTAGAAGAATTTATCTTACTACTGCTCTCTTAAACATGAAAAAGCTTTAAATTTTTTAATCATATAAGTATATATTCATTTAGAAAAAAATAAGACAATATGCTAAACTAACTAGAAGAAAATAATTCTCCCACCCTCAAAGAAGCATTGTTGATATTTGTGTTTTCAGCCACAAATGATAATTAAGTTTAATTGAAACCTTATATTTGACTAATTAAGTATATGTACACACACGTATATGTAAATTGCTGTTATATAAATGTGCTTATAAAAATCTATCTTAAGTGCGATAATATTTTATAAAGTTGTTAGAAATCTTAATTATAGTATTAAAATTTGCAGGAATTGAACTTATGCCAGAAAGAAAAGGAGAGACTGAGTGATGAACTCCTTGTAAAATCAGACCTAGAAACTGTTGTTCATCAGCTTGAACAAGAAAAGCAAAGACTTAGCAAAAAAGTTGAAAGTTTTGCAGTTACAGGTAAGATGTCAAATTTTGATAGCTAAAGAATGATTGTGATTTCCTCTTGATGTATTGTTTTTCTTAGTAGATATTCATTCATTCATTCATTCAATAAATATTTGTTGAGTGCTTACCATTAGTCAAAAACCATAGTAGTTACTGTAGATACAGTAGAAATCTCTCCCTCAAGGACCTTAGAATTTTTATGTTTTGGCTAGTTTATACAGGGAGCCCTGCTTGAATATTTTGCAATAGAAATGTGTCCTTCTTTGAGACAGACTAATAATAGAATTAAGTAAGACTAAAGGGAAGGCTATTTTGATAGTGGAAAATTGAAGTACAGAATCTTTTCAAGGAAATGCAGTTATATTATCTTAAAATACACACACATAAACACACACACAAATTGAAATAGGCTAACTTTCTACAGGTACCAGTTCTAAATGACTTGGCATCAGGAACATATAAGAATTCATTCGGCTGGGCGCGGTGGCTCACACCTGTAATCCTAGCACTTTGGGAGGCTGAAACAGGCGGATCATCTGAGGTTGGGAGTTCAAGATCAGCCTGGCTAACATGGTGAAACCCCGTCTCCACTAAAAATACAAAATTAACTGGGCGTGGTGGCATGCGACTGTAATCCCAGCTACTCAGGAGGCTGAGGCAAGAGAATCGTTTTAACTTGGGAGGTGGAGGTTGCAGTGAGCCTGAATCGTGCCACTGCACTCCAGCCTGGGTGACAGAATGAGATTCCATCTCCAAAAAAAAAAAGAATTTATTCATTCATTAATTTGACCGATGTTTATGAATCACCTCCTGTGTGGGTGTGTGCCAGGCCCTGTTTTTGAGTGCTGGGGTGTATAGTGGCAAACAAAATACATAAGGGCCCTGCTCTTGCAGAGCCTTTTTTCTTGCTAGGGAAACAAACTAATGGCACATAAATTAAGAAGTTAATTTTAGTTGATAAGAGGTATTAAATTAGAATGGGAGGATGTGCTAGAGATTGAATGAAGTGCTCAATGACAATACACCAGCAATATGAAAATCTGGGGTCTAGTTTTCTACGCAGAGGAAATGGCACGTGCAGAAACTTGGTACCATCAAACTCTGTGTGTCTTAGGAAGTGAAAGAAAGCCAGTTACTGTATTAAGAAGAGTCTCTTTCCTAGGCCCATGTGGATAATCTGTTTGAACTCCTCTCTACTTATTAGCATGTAACTTGAGCATGTTACTTAAGCTCTCTGTGCCTCAGTTCCCTATCTGTGGGGCTAATGATGACACCTACCCTGAAAAGTTGTTGTGATAATTAAATGAGTTAATATGTTGAAGTGCTTAGAACCATGTATAAAAGTTTAAAACAGGCTGGGTGCGGTGGCTCACGCCTGTAATCCCAGCACTTTGGGAGGCCGAGGCAGGCGGATCACCTGAGGTCGGGAGTTCAAGACCAGCCTGACCCACATGGAGAAACCCCATCTCTACTAAGAAAACAAAAACTAGCTGGGCGTGGTGGTGGGTGCCTGTAATCCCAGCTACTCAGGAGGCTGAGGCAGGAGAATCGCTTGAACCCGGAGGCGGAGGTTGCAGTGAGCCGAGATCGCACCCTTGTACTCCAGCCTGGGCAAAAATAGTGAAACTGTGTGAAAAAAAAAAAGTTTATTTTTCTTTTTGATAGCTATGTGTGGCCTATCATTTCAGTGTAATCTTTCAACTGTCTCAAACTCTCTTGTTTCCCTGTGTTTTGGGTGCATCCCCCTGCCAGATACCCAGCCATGGATGAGCCAAACAGTTTACCTTCTCCACTTTTATACATGGTCAGCTGTTTGAGTGTGCACCAGGCACATTGAGAGCACTGTAAATTAGATGGTCCTGAACCTCAGCAGACTGCTCAGCGCTGTATGGAAATCTTACACTGTTCTCTTAGCGTTTGATCTTCCATTCTCCACGGGGGATATTTAAAATGTTTTGCACTGTCAATAAACCCGTGAGTCCCATTTCCCACCTTCATTCTGAGTGGATGATCCTACCTCCAGTTTTCCTAAAAGAAGGGAAGCTATGGCAGGGATTCACTCAGTCTTCTGGCCTCAGATTAAAAACGTGTGCATCTTGTTCCTTCCTGTTCAATGCAGGAATGCCCCTCTTATAAAGGGCCGGTGGCTCCATGTATTCTCTGGGCCCTAACTTCTCTAATTTTAAAAACCTTACAAATTAATGATCTCCTCTCCATAGTTTTAATCTTTGTACTGTTTTTTCCCGTTGGCATTCACATGCTTACTCTCACCCATTCCAATACAAAAACTTTGACCCATTCCTATGCAGCCACTCGTTTCTTCTCTTCATAGCATCAGCGTCTTGAAAGGTCAGCCATACTTGCTGTTCTGCTTGATCACCCACTACCCCTTAGCTCCTCAGTCCACTCCAGTTGGCTTCTGTTGCCATCTCTTCAACAAAACTGCTCTTGTTAAAGTCATTCACCTCTGTTATGCTGAATGCAGTGGCTGCTTTTCATTCATTTGCTTATTTGACTGCATTTAATCCAGTTGCCCATTCTTTCCCACTCTCCTACTTTGTTCTTACCTCTCTGGTCAATCCTTCTTGGGACAAATTTGCCAGTTCATCCTCTAGTTTGCATTGCACACTGTCCTTTTGTAGCTTTTATCCTACTACAATTAGAATAGTTGTGCAGCCTTGGCTATGCTTTTTATACTGTATCCTTAGCTGGTGCTGGGCATGTAGTAAATGCTTAATACATATCTGTTGAATGAATGAAAGAAGAGATGAGAATAAATCAGAATACATCAGGAAAATCATTCCATGCCTCAGAGTTGTAATGAACATAAATTAAATTAGGTTCAACTATATGAAATTGCCAGTATTTGATTACTTTTGACTCATGAAGAGGCAATTTCTATGGTAAAAGCTAATAATTATGTTTGAGTTATTTTGCTCTCTTTGTATATGTGTATACTGTATTAAATTCAAACTTAATTTTAAGTTTGTGCATGTTATGATTGTTTATAGATACATTTTCTTTTAGTGCATTTTCAGGTCCCGGGAAAGTACTATGTGGTAATTTATTGCTTCATTTTGTAGTACTGCATAGCACCCATCTTACGATAAGACAAAAGCAGGGAGACTTGGACCTATTGGACTTTATTTAAACTTTTAATTTTTGCTTTTTTTTCCCTTCTTTCCTCTCAATATTTACCTCTTCAATAGATTTGGTACCTACAGGTGTTATGTAGAACAGTTCATGATTTCTAGTAGCTTTCATTCTAAAAGTTATTAATATAATTTACTTGACTAATCAACATTATGTATACAACATTATTTTAAGAGTTAACCACTTTAATTTACAGAACGACAACTTACTCTGGAGGTTGAGAGGATGAGACTAGAACATGGAATAAAACGTCGAGACAGGTCACCTTCTCGTTTAGATACATTTCTGAAAGGTATAGAAGAAGAACGAGATTATTATAAGAAAGAGCTAGAGAGACTCCAACATATAATACAGCGAAGATCTTGCTCTACAAGTTATAGCGCACGTGAAAAAAGTTCAATATTTAGAACACCAGAAAAGGTAATGTCCCTTTATAAGAGTAGGCCAGAAAGTATCTTTATGAATAAATTTTTCTGGTTTATTATTATATTAAATGTAACTTTATTCGTACTTGCTTTGAAAAATCCTGATTTTGATTCTTGTTTTCTTTTATGGCCTGCACTATAGGAACACTACATTAATTAGGAAAATTACTTAAGAACAAACTATAACATATAGATGACTGGAAATTAAAGGAAAGGTTGAATAGCTGAGTTGTAGAAGTGCAGTGGCACCTGGCCTTCCAGTACTCATATTGTTGGACATTCCCTCTCTTTTTAGAATTTACTTTCTGTATCAGCTGCATTTTCTCTCTCATAGCAGAGTGGCTTTGTATGCATGGCAGGCAACATGGTTTCATGTCATTTCCAGCCTTGGACCAGTTAGGAAGGTGTGTCACATTCTACTGACCAAGCATCTTCTCTATTAACCGTACTATGGGAGATAGATAGAAATGGCAAGTGAGTGCTGGGGAGATTGTTTTGTTTGTCCACTACAACCATATTTGTAAGTTGATGATCCAAAGATGTTCTCTCTATGTTATTTTCTAATTGCATCTCCCAATGTGTGTATTATTTAAAGTTGACCATGATTCATGAGAGATTAAAATCATGTGTCTCTATTTTAGGTCTTAATTATTTTTAGTGTTTTATGAGTATCATTTGAGTTCTTCAGATTTTTCTTCTTTTAAGCTTTGGAGTTCAGGAGTCTTGAAGGCTTATGTGACATTACTTTATCTACACACTAGGTAAAATTAGGGGAAATCTGGGAGTGTAGAGTACTCATTAAAACTCAAAACATTTGATTTCAGACTTGGCCGAATTTACTAATTTTGTCATGTTTTTCCTGAAGATCTTGTGTCCATTGTCAAACAGTTTTGTCTTCTGATTAGACTTCATTTTTTAACCTCATAGGCTAATGGCTGAATTTTGATTTACTGTTGTCAGTGTAAGCACTATACTATGTTATCTATTATAAGAATAAGGCCAGGTGGTGTGGCTCCTGTAATTCCAGCACTTTGGGAGGCCAAGGCGGGAGGATCACTTGAGGCCAGGAGTTCGAGACCAGTCTGGTCAACACAGTGAGATGCCATCTCTACAAAAGAAAAATTAAAAAATTAGCTGAGCATAGTGGCATGCACCTCTCGTACCACCTACTAGGAAGGCTGAGGCAAGGGGATTGCTTGAGCCCAGGAGTTCGAGGCTGCAGTGAGCCATGATCTCGTCACTGCATTCCAGCCTGGGTGACAAAAAAAAAAAAAAGAAAGAAAGAAAGAAAGAAAAAGAATGAATTGGTGGGAAAATGCAGTACAGGTTATTAATAATTTATGTTGCTGAGTTTTTTTTAAATTCCGTATATACTTAGGACTCAGGAAAAATAAGTGACTGAATTGATCATTTTTATTGTATAGAGGAATCTCCCACAAAATGATTGATCAGTTTAATTAAGTTTCAAATACCAAGGAGATAAATATCTCAGAGCTTTTAACCAAAATATTTGATCCATTTGCTCTGTGCTGGATTCACAATTGAAAGACAAATGTGTGAGACATATTGGTAAGGCACTAGTAAAATTAAGTGAAACTTTTCTCCCCTTCAACTTATTTACATTCTTGAAGTTATAATGGTACCTGGCATAGACAAAGAATTTATTTTCTAGAGTTCAGAAAGCCAGGATGTTCAGAGCATTTTAGAGGCCCAATAATAAAGTGCAGGCATGAAAGAGGATAGTAGGTAAGTACCTGAATGAAATGGGTGGGGTATAAGACAGTTGTGAGTGCTGGGAACTAGGAAGTGCATTCCCCACCTAAAATTAGCTATTTTATTTTACTTTATTTATTGAGACAGGATATGGCTCTGTCACCCAGGCTGGAGTGCAGTGGCATGATCTTGTCTCACAGCAACATCTGCCTACTGGGCTCAAGCCATTTTCACACCTTAGCGTACTGAGTAGCTGGGACTATAGGCATGTGCTACCATGCCTGGCTTTTTTTTTTTTTGTTTTTTGTATTTTTTGTAGAGATAGGGTTTTTCCATGTTGCCCAGGCTGGTTTCAAACACCTGATCTCAAGTGATCTGCCTGCCTTGGCCTCCCAAAGTGCTGGGATTACAGACGTGAGCCATGGTGGCCGCCCTAGAATTAGCTGTTTTAAACATGTTCAGGAGCACTTGTTGGTAAACCACAAAGATCATTCTACAGCTGGATTTGGTACTAGCTGTGTTTTCAACCCCTGCTTTATGGCAGACTGTTAGGCACAGTGTTGGGATTGTAATAACTCAGAAAAAAATTGACATTTTTTAATATCAATTCTCTATTCCCTGTGTAGGGTGGGTACTATCCTCCTCACCTTGTATTCACCCTGGTTCCCACTGTGAGTTTTGAGTATGGTGTAGGCAGAAGTGCTTTGCAATTGGAGCCTAACACAAGTTCCAACTCCACAAACTGGCTTTATGATGTTGGAGAAGTTACCTAACTTCATGGAACCCTGTTTTCCTCATTTGCAGAGTGGGGAAAGTGACTACAACTTCTTGTGAAGATTAAATGAGCTAATTTGTCAGTTTTATTTTTAATTGACAAATAATATGTATATTTATAGAGTATAGTTGGATGTTTTGATCTATGTATACATTATAGAAAGATTCAGTCAAACCAATTAACATGTCTGTTTCCTCACCAACTTATTTTTTTGTGGTGAGAATGTTAAAAATCTATTCTTTTAGCAATTTTGAAGTATACAATAGTTATTATTAACTGGTAACCATGCAACACAATAGCTCATTAAAACATTCCTCCAGACTAACTGAAACTATGCCCTTTGATCATGAAATAATTTGTGTAAGGACCCAGCGTAACATCTAGTTACCGGTGAATGGTTTATTTCCTTATTATTTGCTGGTTCAAAGCACATCAGTTCTGGTAGAAAGCTAGGGTCAGTTCAGAAGATAAATACTGAGTGCCTGCTCTGAATGAGGCATAGAATACAGAGATGAAGACAGTTCCTGCCCTTACAGCCTTCAGCATTGCGCATGTGTGTGCATGTGCATGTGTGTGTTTAGGGGACAGTGGAGTAGTGAAAGGGCGTTATTCACAATTATACATTAACACTAACAAATATGTACAACAGATATATTTAAAGAAGAGTAGAGTTTCTGCTTAGGGAAGTCAGTCAGTAAATGTTCAGGGAACTCATGTTTTACTGGGTAAACTCATGTTTTACTGGGTACCATACTAGACACTGAAGATGTAATGAAAAAGACCAGGTTCCTACTGTGGCCCTCATGGAGCTTAAATTTTAGTAGTACAGATACACATTAAATGCACAATCATGTACATAACCTTATAACCTCATTTATAATGTGTTTATGAAGAAAGTACAGAAAATATTCAAAATACTATAAGAGTATATAGAAGGAGATCTAAATTAGATTGAAAAATCTGAAAGAATTCCTTGGAGAAAGTGACATTTAAGCTGACACCTAAACAGTAATAAAAATAGATTGTCAAATCTTTGTTTATTGAGCCCTCCTTTTCTAGAATCTGTACAGACTGCCTCTTTCTGGAAGATTATTTTGTTTTTCTTTGGGAGAAAGTCTCACTCTGTCCCTCAGGCTGGAGTGCAGTAGTGCGATCATAGCTCACTGTAACCTTGAACTCCTGGGCTGAAGTAATCCTCTTCCCTCAGCCTCCCAAGTAGCTAGGACTACAAGTGTGCACCACTATGCCTGGCTAATTTTTTAATTTTTTGCAGAGGCAGGTCTTGCTCTTTTGCCCGGGCTGGTCATGAATTCCTGGCCTCAAGCAGTCCTCCTGCCTTGGCCTCCCAGAGTGCTAGGATTACAAACATGAACCACCACACCTGGCCCAGACTTTTTAAATTTAGATATGGTTAGATTACATAGCTTCTTTTATAGTTACATTGGTTAAGTCCCAAAACACTAATCTGCTTTTGTACTATAAAATATCTTGTCCTTTAAAGAGTTCGGATAACTAATCCCATCCATCATGCCTCGGTTTTGCTTATTTAACCAAGAGATTAATTATTTCCAAGTGCAGGTGAGAGGTACCTCACAGATATCTATCATTTACCAAATCTACATTGTATGTGGTATTGGCATAACAGATGTTACATAGTATAGGCCAGGTCTCTTTTCAGTGTATCATATTATCAAATTATCCCTTCTTGGCACTTCTGCATTTAGTGCTTGTAACATTAAGATACCATAGATCCCAAGTCTACATTTGTTATTTTTCTTTTTTTTTAATAGGAAAAAGGCATACAAATTTATTTACATGTGCATGGGGAGAATCAGAGTGCTCTCATCTTTATTTTCTACCATAGTGATGAAGACAGTGAATCTTTTGAATTGTACTAAATTGTAGGCATCTTTTAAATTGCACTAAATTGTAGAAATGTTGGAAGTAGTTGCTTATTCAGTGAATATTCTTAATATATACTGCCTGGTAGAAATATTTGCATTTATTTGACTGTATAAAAAGACCTCCTGTAGGTCTGAAGCTGAGACAGTTGGGGGTTGGTATGCCTGGCGTATTGATCTTAGATTCAATCATAGAAAACACTGAGAAATGTGCTAGGCTGTTACAGTTACCTGTACTGGGCGAGCAGGCACACAAGTACCCTGCTGGCCCCTTCTCTGGAGAAGATAAACTAACTAGTGGCTCTAAAAAATTACCAGGCATCAGAATCACTTAGAGGGCTTGATAAAATACAGTTACTTGGCCCTACCCGGAAGTTTCTTGACTGAGTAGGTCTGGGTTGGGCTTCAAACTCCAAAATTTGCATGTCTGACAAGCTTTTAGATACTGCTAATGCTTCTGGTCTGGGGATTATACTTCAAGTACCACGAGTATGAACAACTTTGGGAGAATAAAAGTTGAAACATCTCATGGGATCTGATCAAGTCACATCATTGGCAGCTAAGTCTCTTCTGGGAACTTGAAGGCCAGGAAATTTGCCCTGGTACTGCCAGTGCTCTCATCTGCTCTCATCATAGATTTTTAAAACTGTGTTCCTTAATTACGTTAAAGGCACTTGTGTTCTTTTTGTCTGGTAGCATCTTTCAGTCAATCTCATCATCAGTATCCTTGTGACAACCATGTGGTGATGATTATATTTTGTTTTTTAATTATGTTTCAGGGTGATTACAATTCAGAAATTCATCAGATCACAAGAGAAAGAGATGAACTTCAGCGTATGCTAGAAAGATTTGAAAAATATATGGAAGATATACAGTCCAATGTTAAATTATTGACAGCAGAAAGAGATAAACTAAGTGTCTTATATAATGAAGTAAGAAATGTATTATAATTAAGCCAATAGATTGTATAGAACCAGTTAACTATAATGGAGCCTGTATATATCTTTCACATTACTATAATATATGGACCTGTGATATTTCTTCATAATTAAAATTATCAGTAGTAGTTTCTACTATCATTCTGTTTCTAAAACACAAATTTCTCTTATTTTTTCATATTTATTCTTTCCCTTTTCTAGCCTATCTATGTGTCAGATCAGTTAGAGATAGTCTTCTTTTTCTAAAACTACCTGAAGCAGGTCTCAGCCTGACTCTGAGCCAAATTTATGCTTGGAATTCAGACGTAGGGAAATGTCTATCAAAACAGTGGGTAGCACCCACTATTTGGATATATTGGCTATTTAGGACTTAGTCTCTAAATACTGTACTCTAGGAAGAGGGAATTGGTATTCAGCTTGGCCCCATTAACAAATCCTCAGTTGTTAGAGGGCAAGGTAAGTCTGAGCAAAGCATGGTGTCTGTCACCTAAATTTGTTCACATACCCATCTCCCATGAAATCCTACTGCTATTTTGAGAAGGGGAAGAGGCATGCAAGTTAAAGGTCACGTTGAAAGAGTCACTTAATGAGTTTTTTGGGGGGAATTCTGCAGTGTAAATTGATCCACTTCTGGGCTTTCCCCATTGCTAGCTTAGATTTCAGCTTTCTTGGGTCTGCCTAGTTACTTCCTGCTTGTCTGTCTGCTGTCTAGTTTCCAACATTTTGTGGCTGGTGCCTCCCTCAATCCCCTTGTCTTTTTTGTTTTATTATTCTTACTATTTTAATCTTTTGTTGGGATTTGCGAAGAGAGTGACGGTAGCATGTGTTCAGTATGCCTTTTTTAACTGGAAACATATCCAAAGTATTTTTTATTTATATCTTTTACTAAAGTGCCTTTTTAATTTATATCTTTTCATTCTTTAAGGCTCAGGAAGAATTATCTGCCCTAAGAAAGGAATCCACCCAAACCACAGCACCCCATAATATTGTTAGTCTTATGGAAAAGGAAAAAGAACTTGCGTTATCTGACTTAAGAAGAATTATGGCAGAAAAGGAAGCTTTAAGAGAAAAATTAGAGGTAAGAAGATTGACATGTTTTTGAAAGGTAATTTGTTGAGAAAAAGAGGTCTTTGTATATACATTTTCCTGTGAAGTTACTATTGGCCAAATCCAGACCACTTTGTTTATGTATGGCCTGTGAGCTAAGAATGGATTAAGAAGAATATTTCATTGTTGATAAAATGTTATTGGATTACCTTGCTTATTTGTTTATGTATTATCTTTAGCTTCTTTTGTAGTATGACCTACAAAACCTAAAATATTTACTGTTTTTTTACAGAAAAAGTTTGCCAATCCCTGAACTTAAGCAGAAGTTTCTCATATGGGAAGACAGTATCTTTGTTTGTTTGTTTGTTTTTGTAACAGCTTTACAGAGATATTCACATACCATACAATTCACCCACTTAAAGTATACCATTTCATTGGTTTTAGCATAGATGCTCTTTGACTTACAATGGGATTACATTCCAATAAACCCATCATAAGTAAAAAATGTAAGTCGGAAAAAATGCATTTAATACCCCAGTAAACCCATTGTAAAGTCTTATATTGAAAAATCTTAAGCCATTGTTGAGTCCACAGGCTCCTCAACTTATACTGGGGTTACCTCCTGATAAACCCATAACAAAGTCAAAAATGTAAACCAGGGACTATCTGTATATTCATAGGCTTGTTCAACCATCACACAGTCAATTTTAGAGCATTTTCATCACCACAAAAAGAAACTCTGAAGCACATTAGCGTCACTCCCCATTTCTCCCATCCCCTCTTAGCCACAGGCAGCCACCTGTGTCTCTATAGATCTTCCTGCTCTGGATATTTCATATAAATTGAATCACTCGATATGTGATTTTTAAATGTCTGACTTCTCTCATTAGCATAATGTTTTCGAGATTCATCCATAATGTTGCTAGGAACTTGTATACAACTTTTTGTCTGGATATATATTTTCATTTCTCTTGGGTATATTCCTGGTCATATGGTAAGTCTGTGTTTAACCATTGAAGCCAAGCTGTTTTTATTCCCACCAGTAGTGAATAAAAGTTCTAATTTCTCCACACTCTCACCATTACTTGGTACTATCTGCCTTTTGTATTATAGTCATTCTGGTGGGTGTGAAATGTCTCCATTGTGGCTTTGATTTGCATTGCCTTGAGGCTAATGAGGTTGAGCATCTTTTCATATTCTTATTGGCCATTTTTATATCCTTTTTTAGAGAAACATCTGTTCAGATTCGTTGCCGATTTTTAAATTGGGTTGTCTCATTATTAAGTTGTAAGAGTTCTTTATATATTCTACATACAGCCCCTTATTAGATATGTGATTTGCAAATACTTTCCCCCATTCTGTGGGTCATTTTTTCACTTTCTCAGTGATGTCTTTGAAAAACAAAATTTTTTAATTTGGATAAAGTCCAATTTAGTTATTTTTTTCTTTAGTTGCTTGTACATTTGGTGCCATATCTAGGGTCAGTACTTTATAATTTCTTTTATAATCTCCAAAAATATAAGTATATTAATACATATAAAGCACTTAACAATGATTAGCACATTGTAAGTACTAAATCCTAATATTATGGAGTCCATAGTTTATTTGCAATCAGTATTATTGAATTAATGCTTTGAAAGTAGCAGCTAAAATTAGAAATAAAAACATTTAAACATTATAAGCATAGTCTTTATGTCACAATGTTCAGTTGAAGTTTCACCCTAAATATAACAGTTTAAGAATACTTTTAATTGGAATCTTTTGGAATACTGCTTTCCAGAAAGTGTTTTCTTATAAAAATAAGTGTTAAAATTGCCAAATGGGAAACTTCTGTGCAGTATGGCAGCTTTTAGCACAAGCTACTGACTTATCCTTTTCCATATCTTTTGAAATGACCCAAGAATGTAAAAATAGGATTTTTTAAATGCAGTAGTACTGAAAACTTGGAAAAAGCAACATTTGTATTATCAGAATCCTTCTGGGTTGTAGGAGGCAGGATTTTGTGAGTTTACAACAGATCTTTTACTTAAAAGTGTAACTAATCTCAATCCTTAAACCTTTTCCAGAGTTTCCCATTATTCCACTATCTAACCAGTTGTCAAATCCAAGCATCATCCATCACTAAGATCTCCCTGAAAGCTCATATCTCTCAATCACCAGGTCCTATCAGTGCTATCTCTTGAAAAATATTTAACATGTATTAAGCCCTTCCCATGTGAGAGGCTCTGTTCTATTAAGTGCTTTTTACATGGGTTGTCTCAGTGAATCTTCAAATCTTCACAATAGCCTCTTTTTTTTTTTTTGAGGGGCAGTCCCGCTCACTGCAACCTCCGCCTCTCAAGTTCAAGCGATTTAGTAGAGACAGGGTTTCATCATATTGGCCAGCTGGTCTCAAACCCCTGACCTCAGGTGGGGTCCACCTTGGCCTCCCAAAGTGCTAGAATTATAGGCATGAGCCACCATGCCCGACCTGTAATAGCCTTTTTTAATAGGTACTGCTTACAGATGATGTCTCCGAGTTACAGTGAGTTTAAATAACTTGCCCAAGGTCATCCAGCTATGAGTTACAAGGAATCTGGCTTCTGAGCTCACATTACTTTGTCTTGAATTTGTTTACTTCTTTCTGTTCCCCTGCTACCATCCTGTTCTGGTCATTGTTCTCCCTCACCTGCATTATTGTATTATTGGCCCCTGTACTAGCCTTACCTCTCTTAAATCGATATTTCACACTGAAGTCAGAGTTATCTTTCAGAGATATAAATCTGATCATATCACTTCCTATTTAAAATCCATTAACTGTTTTCGAGGACTTCAGTGATTGGCCTTTGCCTACCTGAAGGTCTAGCCTCTTTCCTCTAAACTCATCTCCCCTGTTCACAAGACTCCAGGCTTAATGGACTTTTTCTTGCCACCAGCCTTCTACATAGACTATTGAAAGATTCCTTCACATCTTCCACTCTTCTTGTCTAGCTGATTCCTATTTATCTTTAAGTCCAGGCCAAACATCATGTCTTTTGATGGGAAATGAACCCTAGAATCTAGATTCCCTTTTGATATTTTGGCATAAAGTTCCTTTTCCTAGCAGAATATTCATGGATTTTATTTTGAGCTCTTATTTAGGTTTTGTCTTTTCTACTAAGCTACAGTAGCTATGCTGTCAGAGACTTCATCCGCTTTACTCACTACTATATTCTTGAGACCTTGCTTGGTGCTTGGTATAGAGTATGTACTCAATACTAGTTGAGCAATTAAATAAATACATACAATACAGTGACCCTTTCAACCAAATGTGTAATCTGAACATCAGATGTGTCTGTTTCTTTTTTAATGAATAACAAGGATGGAAATGAATCCATGCTAGAAAAACTCTCAGTGAACACCAAGTTATATTGCTTATCCTAGACTTAGCAGCAGTAAGTTGGATAAAGTAATGTAACCAGAAAAATAGTCCCTGTGTTTATACTGTTGACCAGCCCCTTATTGAAACTCGCATCTCTTGCATGGCCTTGTAGTATTGTGTTTCCTGTGTCTTTCTGATCTTGTCTTCCTTTGCATTTTGTTTCTCTTACATCTCCTCTTATGAGGGCATACTCCTGAGCTTTTTATTTAACCTGCTGGTTTTGTCCTTTTATAGTTGTGCTATTATGGATTAATCTGTATAAATCTTTATAAATGAATCCTTACTAATCTATGTCTTCTACTACAATCACACATGGAGGTAGAGAGTGTAAAAGATGAGAACGTATTGTGCCTTTTTTAAACCAAAAACATCATTTTTGTAAAATGTCTAATGATTTTCTTTCTAAAACATTTCTGTGTTTTATGAAAGGACAAATACAATATAATAGAACTGTAGACTTACATTGCTTACTGTGGTGATTTTGTTTTGTTATCTGATACAAATGAACATTTTCTTTAACATTCTTTTTCAGCATATTGAAGAAGTGAGTCTTTTTGGAAAATCAGAATTAGAGAAAACTATTGAACATTTGACATGTGTTAATCATCAGGTAATGTATCAAACTGGATTTGGGGTATCTTGTGTTATATGAATAACTATGTCAATTACAGTTTTAATACACTATTTTTTAATTTTAATTTTATTTTTATTTTTATTTATTTTTTGAGATGGAGTCTCGCTCTGTTGCCCCGGTTGGAGTACAGTGGCACAATCTCAGCTCACTGCAACCTCCAACTCCAGCTTCAAGCGATTCTCCTGCCTCAGCCTCCTGAGTAGCTGTAACTACAGTTGCGTGCCACCATGCCCGGCTAATTTTTTTTGTATTTTTAGTAGAGACGGGGTTTCACCATGTTGGCCAGGCTGGTCTCAAACTCCTGACCTGACATCGTGATCTGCCCACCTCGGCCTCCCAAAGTGCTGGGATTACAGCATGAGCCACCACGCCTGGCCTAATACACTGTTTTATACAATTACAATTACAATAGCTGGGCATGGTGGTGCACACCTGTAGTCCCAGCTGCTTGGGAGGCTGAGGTGGGAGGATCACTGGACCCCAAGAATTAGAGGCTGCAGTGAGCCATGATGACACCACTGCACTCCAGCCTGGGCAACAGAGCAAGACTACAACTCCAAAAAAAATCACAAAATAGTATACTAGAAAAGCTGTATAACAGCAGTTAGGAGTGTGTACTCTGAAGGCTGATTACTTGGGTTCAGATCCATCTTTGCCTCCTATTACCTGCAGGCAAGTTGCTTGACCTTTCTGTTCCCTGATTTCTTTATTCGTAAGTAAGAATAGTGCTAGTACTTACTCCTTAGGGTTTTTGTGAAAATTAAATGAGTTAATACATATAAAGAACTTAGAAGCGTGCCTGGCATATTGTAAGCTCTTAGTAGGTATTAGCTATGATTATTGTTGTTTTGCTGTTATAAAAAAATCATATAGGCCAGGCATAGTGGCTCATGCCTATAATCCCAACACTTTGGGAGGCCAAGGTGAGGCAGGTGGATCAGTTGAGCCCAAGATTTTGAGACCAGCCTGGGTAAGATAGTGATACCCCATCTCTACAAAAAATTTACAAATTGGCCAGGCATGGTGGCATGCACCTGTGGTGCCAGCTACTTGGGAGGCTGAAGTAAGAGGATCACTGGAACCTGGGAGTTCAAGGCTGTAGTGAGCTGTGATCACACCACTGCACTCCAGTCTGGGTGACAGAGCAAGACCCTGTCTCCAAAAAAAGAAAAAAAAAATTATACAGAGGTAGAGTAAAAAGAGAAATTCACTTCCATTCTTTATTACTCTCTCTGGAGATAGGATTTTTAACAATTTGGTATGTTTCTGTTTTTATAATTTCAACTTTTATTTTAGATTCAGGGGTACATGTACAGTTTGTTATATGGGTATACTGTGTGATGCTGAGATTTGGGGTACAATTGATCCCATCACCCAGGTAGTGAGCATAGTACCCAATAGTTTGTCAACCTTTGATGTGTTTTGTTTTGGCTGGCTTCTATTACTATGCCTTCACTGTTTTAATATATTTGCCTTCTAATTCTGTCATCTGAGTTGGTTGAAGTGTCACCTCATCATGGATTATATTTTCCTGTATCTTTATGTGCCTGGTAATTTAATTTTAGGTTGGATGCCAGACATTGTGAATCTTACCTTCTTGGTTGCTAGATAGTTTGTATTACTATGAAATACTGTTGAGGTTTGTTCTGGGATGCAGTTAAATTATATGGAAGTAGCCTGATCCTTTTCAGTCTTGCCGTTAAGCTTTGTTAGGTGGGATCAAAGTAGCCTTTAGTCTTGGAGTAATTTTTTTTCACTACTGAGATAAAACCCTTTTGAGTACGCTACCTGTTGTCCTATGAATTATGAGATTTTCAAATGACTGATGGGCACAGGAACTTTTCCTGGCCCTGCATGAGCTCTGAGTATTGTTCCCTCTAATTTGTTCGTGGTTCTTTCCCTGGCCTTGGGTAGTTTACTCTGTGCTGAGCTCTACTCAGCCGAAAACTTAAAGGGTACCCTTTATAGATCTGTGGAGCTCTCACTCTTTGCACCTCTCCTCTAATACCTGTCCTGCAAACTTTAGCTGCCTTGGCCTTCTTTGACTGTCATGCCTGTCTTCTGAACTTGGGGCAGACCACTGGGTTCCATATCGGTTCCTTTCCCTGTGTCACAGTTTGGAAATTCTCCAGGCAATAAGTTGGAGCAAATGTAAAGCTCATCACATTTGTTTCCTGTCTCTCAGGGGTCACCGGTCATCATTGCCTGGTGCCTATTGTCCTGAAAACCATAGTTTCACATATCTAATCCAACTTTTTAGTTATTTCAGGCGGAAGAGTAAATCTGGTCTCTATCACTCCAGCTTGACCAGAAGCTAAAAGCAGTAATATTAATTACTGGAAAATGTATCTGAAGAAAGTACTAGAAGTCATTGGAAAGAAACAAAGAAATAAGAAAATATTTTAAAAGTTAAAATGTTGGAGAATAGCCTGAGAAGATCTAATATTCAGACTAATATTTAGTTAGGACTCAAGGAGGACATAATAGAATGTGGGAGAGAGAGTATTTGAAGAGATAATGATTGATGATTTTCTAGATATGAAAACACAGGAACCCCCTGATTCAAAATGAATTCCAAAAGCATGACAAATCCCAAGCAAGATAAATAAAAAGAAAATGCATACAATTTTAGTAGTCATGAATAATACAATTTACCTATGGATAAATTTACAGAATCTTTATAGGAAACATTATGCAACCATATTGAAAGTCATTAAAGAAAGCCTAAATAAGTGGAGGATTATATCAGGTTTATAAAAAAGGTATAAAAATAACATAAATTTTCCCCAACTTGATCTATAGAGTTGAGGTAGCTGTAGCTGAAATCCCAATAAGAGTGTGGGGGGCGGGGGGTGAGGGGGAAGAATTGACAATAGATCTTAAAATTTACTTGAAAGCAAAAAGCCAAGAATCACATAGAAGTTTTAAAGAAGAACATGGTGCTAGACTTGTCCTCCCAGATGTGAAGCCTTTAGAGTCATAGTAATACATAATAGGCTGGGCATGATGGCTTACGCTTGTAATCCTAGCTCTTTGGGAGTCAGAGGCAGGAGGATCACTTGAGGTTAGCAGTTCAAGACCAGCCTGGCCAACATGGTCAAACTCCATCTCTACTAAAAATACGAAAATTTGCCAGGTGAGGTGGCACGCGCCTGTAGTCCCAGCTACTTGGGAGGCAGAGGCAGGAGAATCACTTGAACCCAGGAGGTAGAGGTTGCAGTGAACTGAGATCATGCCACTGCACTTCAGCCTGGGTGACAGAGCAAGACTCCGTCTCAGAAAAAAAAAAAAATGGCTGGGCGTGGTGGCTCACGCCTGTAATCCCAGCACTTTGGGTGGCTGAGGCAGGCGAATCATGAGGTCAGGAGATCGAGACCATCCTGGCTAACACGGTGAAACCCCGTCTCTACTAAAAAAAAAATACAAAAATTAGCCGGGCGTGGTGGCGGGCGCATGTAGTCCCAGCTACTCGGGAGGCTGAGGCAGGAGAATGGCATGAACCTAGGATGCCGAGCTTGCAGTGAGCCGAGCCGAGATCACGCCACTGCACTCCAGCCTGGGAGACAGAGCAAGACTCCGTCTCGAAAAAAAAAAAAAACATAATAAAACAACAGGGATTGGGAGAGACTGATCAAACCCAGTAGAGAGCAAACCCACAAATGTAAGAATTTGATCTGTGAAGTAACTCAGATCAGTGGGAAAAGGAATGATTATTCACTAATTGTTTCTCAGACTATTGGCTATTCATATTTTAAAAGGAAAAAATTGGATCCTAACTCAAATATGCCACACCCAAAAATCAGTTAAAGGTTACTTACAGCCTTGAATGTTCAAGATATTACTACATTTTTTAAAGAAATGCAGAAGATCTTTTTGACCTTGGAGAAATAATAATATCAGTCATTTATATAGCATTCACTATGTTTCAGATACTTTTCTCAACATTTTATACCCAATTATTTTAATTTTCATAACAGTCATATAAAGTAAATGCTAATATTGTCCTCATTTCACAAATAAGGAAACTGAGGCAGAGGGGAAACTTGCCTAAGATCACACAGCTAGCAGATGTCTGGTGCCAGAATGTGTGCCCCTAAACAAGACACAAACACAAATAAATTTATTCCTTAAAGGAAAACACTGATAAATAGGACCACATTGGCAAAAAAAAATCTTTGTTTATCTACTTAACTATAAATTGAAAAGATAAGCCACTGATAGAACAGTTTGCTACACATTTAATCCCCCTCCCCTGAAAAAGCCTCAACAGAAGATGTGAATAAACTCTTTATGGAGGAAGAAATTACAAATGGCTAATAAACATAAAAGATATTCTACCTCAATAATGGGGGAAATGTAAATTAAAACAGTAAAATCATTTTACATCAAGGCATTAGAAATTATCAAGTTGTAACATATATTAGCAAATATGTGTAGCTCCTAGGAGTGCAAACTTCATATCTGTTCCAAAAAAATTGGTGTTATCTAGCAAAGGCATACCCTATGAGCCAACAATTCCCTTTCTAGATATGTACCAGATATGATGGAGCTCAGCAAAATATGATCCCCAGGGCAAATGCAGCCTCCAGTCTGTTTTTGCAGCATGGTTTTGCTCATTTATTTACATATTGTCTGTGACTGCTTTTGTGCTGTGATGGAGTAGTGGTGACTGATCCATCTTCTTTTTTCTTGTAAATTTTTTTCCTTTTGTTAGTAATTGACTTTGTTTTGGTTTGCTTTGCTTTTTGTTACCTGGTTTTCATTGAACCTATTGCTAATTTTTGTCAAGAGTTCCATTATCTCTGACTTATGCCTTTAAATATGTTTTGAATACACAAACATCAGTTTCAGTTTTTTCTTCTAAAAACCTCGCTTCTAGAGCTGTGTATTCTTATTCCTTTACTGTCATTTTAGCAATGCTTTCAGAGGGAGGGGAGATAAAATATGTGTGGTCAGTCCACAGTTTTAACTGGAAGACTTACATTTATTACTAATATTTATTGGTTTTAAAATTTAAATGTAGGTCATTTTCCCATCTAGAATTTATTTTTGTATGTAAAATAAAGAAGAAATCCAGCTAAGTTGTTTTTCCAGTGACTGTTTGTCCCTACACTTATTTATTTATTTTAAAGAGACAGAGTCTTGCTCTGTTGCCCAGGCCGGAGTGCTGTTGTATGATCATAGCTCACTGCCTCCTCCAACTCCTGGGCTCAAGCAATCCTCCCACCTCTTCAGCCTCCCTAGGAGCTAGGACTACAGGTATACCATCATGCCCGGCTAATTTAAAAAAAAAATTTTATTGTAGAGACAGGGTCTCACTGTGTTTCCCAGGCTGGTCTCGAGCTCCTGGCCTCAAGCAATCCTCTTGGCCTCAAGTGGTCCTCTTGCATTGGCCTTCAAAGTACTAGGCTTAAAGGTGTGAGCCACCATAACGCCCAGCCCCCTACTCTTATTTTTTAAGTTTATGCTTTTCCTACTTCCCAAAAATGCTATCTTTTCTAAATTTACATCTGTGCATGATATTTTTCACTGTTTTCACTTTCATAAATTTGCTTGCGCATTTGTATGTGAAATCTTCACTGTTCTAATTATAATAACTTTTTTTTTTTTTGAGACAGAGTCTCACTCTGTTGCCCAGGCAGGAGTACAGTGGCGTGATCTCGGCTCACTGCAACCTCTGCCACCAGGGTTCAAGCGATTCTCCTGCCTCGGCCTCCCAAGTAGCTAGGACTACAGGCATGTGCCACCACGCCTAGCTAATTTTTTGTATTTTTTCGTAGGGATGGGGTTTCACCGTGCTAGCCAGGATAGTCTCCATCTCTTGACTTCATGATATGCCCACCGTGGCCTCCCATATAATAACTTTATAGTTTGTTTTGATATCTCATAAAGCAAGTATACTTGTATTTTTTCCAAAAATTTTTCCTGTTTTTTTCTTTTTTTTTTTTTTTGTAAATGAATTTAGAATCAAATCTAAGCCATCCCCATTTTTAAAAAGCTTGTGTTAGAATTGTATTGGAATTCCATTGAATTTACTATTATTTGAGGAAATTTTAGTGTATTTACAATATTGTGCTCCCATCAAGAAACATTGTGTTGCCTGTACATTATGTCAGGTTATATTCTGTGCTTTTCAGGAAAATTATACTGTTTCTTCACATAGATCTTGCCCACTTTGTGTTTGGGTTACAGTGTTTTGTGCTGTGTTTTTTTCCCCTCAATTCAGTCCTATTTACTTATTGTGTTTTAGAAATTCCCCAAAATTTTCACTCTGCCAGTGGTTTCCTTCCTGTTTCATTGCTGTTATAGATATATTCTTTTCTCTTCGTGCTTTTTATATTTTGTTTGTATCTTTAATGGTAGTGAGGAGAAAGAAATTTTACACCCATTCTGACTCTTAGAACCTAAACTGTACACATGACTTATAAAGTTTTTTTAAAAATAAATCTATTTTCTTAGTTTTCTTCCGGAAATATTATTAAAGAGTGCCTAAGAAAAATATCATTAACGTATTAAGATATATACCTACTGTTTTTTTATTTAAATTATAGCTTGAAAGCGAAAAATATGAATTAAAGTCTAAAGTGTTAATAATGAAAGAAACAATAGAGTCGTTAGAGAACAAATTAAAAGTCCAAGCTCAAAAATTTAGCCATGTGGCTGGTGACTCATCTCATCAGAAAACAGAGGTGAACTCACTTAGGTAAGTTTATTCAAAATTTTCTAATTTCATTTCTGGGAATGTGTTTGTGGTTATGTAAAGTTTATAATCATGGCATTTTGGACTGGGCCTTTGTGCAGTAGTTTTAGAAGTTGGCTTTGCAGTAGACTCACCTGGGAGCTTTTGAAAAGTATGAATTTAAGGGGCTGATTTTGGGAGGTTCTAATTCACTGAGAATCTACTGGGGTAGGTTTTGGGTATCTGTGTTTTTTAAAAGAAATTTCACAGATTAATATGATTGCAGGCAAAGTTTTTCAACCTTCTTTTGAAATCCTCTTAAATACTTCAGATCATTTGTATTTCATAGTGTAAGATACTGAAAATTACAGAATTGTTTACTACCTATGCCATTTTCTTTCTCTTTCTTGCCTCTTTCAGTGAAACGTAAAGTCAAAGAATTTACCTCCAATTTTTAACCCTTTCTGACTTAGAAACAGAAGTTTTTAAGTAGGGAGGTAAGACATATCAATAGTGTTCCTTTTAGGAAGCTAACTTTGGTGGAAATATGGAACATGGATTTCAAGTCTTAGAGATTGATGGCAAAAAAAGGAGACCGAGGATCTGGACTGAAGCAGTGGTAATGAACTTAGAGAACAGAGACCAAATTTAAGAAACACTTTTTATATAAAATCAAAAGGTTTAGATGACTAATATGGGGCTGAGAAATACGATAAGTAGAACATTTACCTTAGCATATTGGGTTGTTGGTTAGTCATTAATTAATTTAGAATACAGAAGACTCAAGGAAACAAAAGGCAAACAAAGCTTTTTTTCTGATCAGAGTAGCTGCAATAAGTAACAAGATAATGAAGGTCGGAATAAGGGGACCGCTCTGAAGAATCTGAGGAAATACCTCTCTCTAAATTACATTTGCAGTCAGAATCAGGAAAAGATTTTCAAATGTCAGCAAGACATTACATCTGTGAAACATTTAGTCATGAAACAGTGACAACTTGAGATCAGAAAGGATTATAGTAATGACACTTTAAAAAAAAGATTTAACAAATTAAAACTGAAAAGTTAGTGAATGGCATTGGATATTGGCAGAAAACTGAGTTGGTGAAATAGAAAAAACAAACTGATGAAAGTCACCCAGAACTCCAAAGAACAAAAGTAAATGATGAGAAAAAAGACATAGTTCCAATATACAAAAAACTAGGAATCACAAAAGTATATAGTAAACAGAGCAAATACGAGAATCAAAGGAATTAGGAAAAGAAAAGTCTGAGACTGTAGTTCATAAGGGTTCTCTGATTGTCTAATGACTTAATGAAATAAGACCAAGAACTGGGTGTGTCTAGTTAATTAAGGAATACTATATTAGCGACTCATAAAGAGCATCTCCAGTTTTGTTCTTTTGCTTCTCTGACGATAGTTTTGGTAGGTTAGACCTCAGGAAGAACTAAAGTAGATACTGCTTTTTTCTTTGCTTTTTTCTGTGAGAGGAGAGCTGAATGGACTGGTATCTCCTCTGGCTCATGTCTGGATTCAGCTCTAAAGTACAGATAACATGACATATTCTTGTCATCCAGAATTTCACTTGTCACTTTCGTGTCCAGCTGACTGGATCTAGCATGTAATCCATTTTGTTTTTCCTTGAGATTATGGCTGAAACACCTCTTTTCCTCACAGGAGGCTGTTTCCAGTCTTAGAAGGCAGAGCTCTCAGTGCCCTTTCTTGGATAACCTAGCCTATAGCTCCTTTGGAGTTTTATTTCTTGTACTACTACTAATATCCTTTTCTCTTATGAGCTCAATCAGCCTCTTCCCTCACCTAGGAGTAATTCAGTCACTGGGCTATTGTGAGAATTTTTGTCTACCTTTCTACCAGGTTACCTTGTATAACCTGGGGATATGGCATTATTTTATAACTTTATTTTGCTCTAACAGAAAAATATGACTTATCTTGTCTCTTAGGAAAGTGTATCAATCATATTCTCCATATCAGTAAGTATTGGTAGAACCATGAGTTGAAACCATTGAATCCAAGTCTAAAGCGAAACCAAATACAAACCATGATACCCGGCACTCTTGGGAAGTAAAACTACATTATCTAAACCTTTTGCCACTTTCAGTATGATTAATAGAGCTCTTGCTACCCCTTTGATCACATCATGTTCTCTTTTCCTTGACATGAAGACATTTAAGAAGCTGAGAGTCAGGGCCAGGCATGGTGGCTTATGCCTATAATTTCAACACTTTGGGAGGCCAAGGTGAGAGGATTACTTGAGCCCAGGAATTCAAGAGCAGCCTGGGCAATGTGGTGAAACCTTATCTCTGCAAAAAATACAAAAGTCAACCAGGCATGGTAGCATGTGCCTATATCCCTAGCTACCCGAGAGGCTGAGGCAGGAGGATTGCTTGAGCCTAGGAGTTCAAGGCTACAGTGAGCTGTGCTCATGCCACTGTACTCCAGCCTGGGTGACAGAGTGAGACTGTCTCAGATAGATAAGGCATATGTTCCTTTCCATCCCCCTGAGGTACCCATCTTCTTTTTCCCTATCTTCTTTTTCCCTTCCTGCTTCAGGCTTTTTCCACCACATTTTATTACCAACAAACAGGCTTTTCTATATCAAGCATAATCTTTTTTTTTTTTTTTTTGAGACGGAGTCTTGCTCTGTTGGCCCGGCTGGAGCTCAGTGGCATGATCTTGGCTCACTGCAACCTCTACCTCCCAGCTTCAAGCAATTCTCCTGCCTCAGCCTCCCGAGTAGCTGGGATTACAGGCGCCTGCCACCATGCCCGGATAACTTTTGTATTTTTAGTAGAGAAGGGGTTTCACCATGTTGGCCAGGCTGGTCTCAAACACCTGACCTCATGTGATCCATCCGCCTGGGCCTCCCAAAGTGCTGGGATTACAGGTGTGAGCCACACGCCTGACCTAAGCATAGTTTAATTGTCCAAATAGAGAATCTTTTGTCTAGTTTCTTTGTCTGTTGTCAGAGCACATAATATAAAATCTCACTTTTAACCATGTTTTAAAGTTAAATTACTGTCATCTCCCTTTAATTACAGCATTTAATGAGATCTGGCATTTTATACCCCAGATCAAAGCTACAGAATGCTGTAAAGGAACTTTTGTCTACCCGGGAAGGTTATTCCCCTGGAGCATGCTAGCCAGTCTTTAGAGCTGAGGTCAACAGTCTTTTTTTTCCTTGTAAATAGACAAGAGTCAATATTTTAGACTAAGCTTATCCAACCCACCGTATTTTGTTGTTGTCTGTTTTGTTTTGTTTTAGGCTTTCAGCAGCCTGAAGCCATGGTTTTTAGTCTGTCTCTAGTAATAAGCGAAACAGAGGGTTGAGGAAGAGACTTTACTGGCCCAACCAGAAACAGAACCTAAGAACCTGTGACTGTATTATCTCGCTTGGACACCCTGTTAGACTGTGCCGGCTATATAGTTTATGTCACACCTGCTTAACACTGCCCTTGTAGCTTGAAAGTAGCCCTAGGCAATATATAAAATGAAGTAGTGTGGTATGGACACTGAAATTTTGATTTCATATAATTTTCATATGTCACTAAATAATAATTTTCTATTGAAATTTTTTTTAGTCGTTTAAACATATAAAAACCATTTAAACATGTAAAAACCATTTACACCACTCAGGCCTTACGGAAATTGGCATCCAGCTGTAGTTTGTCAACCCCTGCTCAAGGAAAAATTGTTTCCAGCCCAGTTAGACAACTCAGTTTTCTCAGTCAAGCCCCTAGTAAACATCCTTAAGCCTCACAACTGCGAGCTATGAGGCTCTAAACAATGAGAATCCTGCAGCTGAAAATACTGTCAGACTGTCCTCAGTTCACCTTAGTCTTTATCTGTGTATGTTCAAAACCAGAGGGTATACTCTTATCTAGGATCAAATAGATGCTGTAGCAGATTTTCCTGGAAATGACCCATAAAGTCTATCCCATATATATTAGTTGTTTTACTAGGATTTCTTTAGGTGTATTCAGAAAACCAAATGTAACTAGTCTCCCATGAGAAGTATTTATTTTTTAAGGTAATTGATAACCATTTTATTTTATTTTACTTATTTTGAGACAGGGTCTCACTCTGTCAGGCTGGAGTGCAGTGGCACAATCATGGTTCACTGAAACCTTGACCTCCTGGCTCAAGCAGTCTTCCCACCTCAGCCTCCTGAGTAGCTGGGACTATAGGCATGCACCACTACACTCAGCTAATTTTTAAAAATGTTTGTGGAGACAGGGTCTCACAATGTTGCCCAGGCTGTTCTTGAGCTCCTGGGCTCAAGAGAGGACCATTTTAGATAAGCCAAAGAAGACTCATAAGTTATCTGGATGCTTAAGAACTGTCTTCTGGGCATTCCTAACATTTTTTTTTCTACCAGGACAGGAAGAGGAACCAGAGCCCTGAGTGAGGATGGCTGAGTTTGTGGATCTAGAATTGAAAGGGTCAAGGGATCTAGGGCCACTAGTTACAACCATCATCCCCATCCAGAAATCTAAAAGAAAATCCAGTCCTAATTTCTTTTCCCTCTCTGGCTGATCAAGAGATGATACTTATTCATCTTTCTTAGTGGTAGGCTATAACCATAGACTCCTGGGAGAAATCTAAAATAAAAACAGGGATACCACATCAGTCTCCGTCTTTTTTTTTTTTTTCTAATAGGCCATTAAAATTCCAAACCCATCTTTCCTTTCTTAGATGGTGCTTTAGCTCCATTTTAGAACTTGAACACTTCGTATGAACAGAGGATCCTTTAAGATGCTGTCTTTGTTTAAAATTTACTGCATTATGATGGAAATAATTACCTTTGTCCCCTAAATGAGATCATGTGTAGCTCCATGTAATACAATATAACTGAGGAATTTGAATCTCAAAGAGATGGACCTCTACCCAGTCACATCTGCTAAGTGGAGAGCCAGAACTTAAGTTCATTTTTATTGCTTCACTCTCTGGTGAGAAGTTGTTACTTCCCTTTGCTACGTTTATAGCATTTTCGAAGCTAAGAAACTGGTTCATTTTTCCTAACTTGATTCTCAAAATTTCCTTTCCAAACACGATTATGAACAACTAATAATGGCAGTCACTCAACTATTCTTTCCTATGACTTTTACACCTCAACTGTTTCGTTGAGAGGACCTTTATCTTAGCAAAACTTTGGTCGGAAAAGTTACATTGAAGGTCTGGTATCTAGTCTCTGTTTTCTTCTCTTTCTACCCTAGAATATAAAAAGACGAAGCTACTTTTAGGGCCCACCTAAGGGCTTCCTTTATATGTATATATATCAATCAAGATGTGATCCTGCCTTTGTCAACCCCACTTTCATTAGGACGTCACCCTGCTTTATGAAGTTAGATATAAAGCAGTCTTTACATTTCTACCTGGAATTTCAAGCACTGCCAACTGCTCAGTGTCCTTCATTAAGGTTTCTGCGGGTCATTCTGTTTTTGAAAGGACTCCGTATAGCTTCCTGGCAGGCATTTTCTCTTTCACGTAGAGGAGGTTGGCCTTCCTATATTCTGCAAAGAAGGCATTATGATGTAGTAGAAGAACATTGTTATAATGTTAGACTAGCCTTAATTTGCATATTTTCTTTGCCCTTACTTTCTTTGTGACCTTGGACAAGTTTTTTTGTTGTTTGTATTCAGTTGGGATAACAGTTCTAATTATGGAACCGTCCTAATTATGGTACTGTTCTAGGAATAAATGAGCTAATATGTACAAAGTACCACTCTCTGTTGTTATATCCCATGGAACAGCAGTTCTAGCTTTTAGGAATAGTGTGAATACGGTGCAGTCACCTGAACCTGAACCTCACACATAATTTTAGGAAGTAAGATTGCTTGAACCTAATGTCTTTCTAACTTGGTTTTGTTTAGTTTTGCAAGTCTAAATAAATCAGTCCCAACTTGACTCTCCTCCCTACCTCTTGATCATCATTCACTTGCTGTTAGAACAGTCAGGGTCATGTGTTTTGTCTTTCAGAATACCTCAATACTGCCAGTAAAACTTCTTCATTCCTATAAAGATGTCCCTTCTTATTCGTGGTTTTGGAATTCAAACCTCCTTCCCTTTAGGCGATTCTAAGCTAAGCTACCCTCAGTATCTTTTTCCATGTCTTATTCCTCAAAAGGAAGCCTAAAAGGAATCCATGGAAATTCCTAATAAATACTCTGAGGTGAGAGCCATGTCTTTTCAGCAAGGCAGGATTGTGAAGTCTCAGGTCAGGGCTAAAAGTGTTCTGAAGACTCTGCATGACATGAAAGCAAATTTTTACTGTTAAACCTTCCAGGAACGTTACTTCTGACAAATAATCCTACTGATCAGTAACAGATTTCTCTGAAATCATCTTTGTCGTTAACCATGTAGGCCGCTGTACATCCTTTCTTTTGCTCCCTGAACCAAGTCTTCAATCTGCAGGAAATGCCTACTTTCCCTGCTTTCTGTCACTCCATTTGACTACCCGGCCAAAAAGTCAGAATAAGAAGCAATATTAAAAGTTCACAGGTCAGGGCTGGGAATGGTGGCTCACACCTGTAATCCCAGCACTTTGGGAGACCGAGGCAGATGGATTGCTTGAGCTCAGGAGTTTGAGACCAGCCTGGGCAACATGGTAAAACCCCGTCTCTACTAAAAATAGAAAAATTAGACAGGTGTGGTGGTCCATGTCTGTAGTCCCAGCCTCTAGGGATGCTGAGGTGGGAGGATCACCTGAGCCCAGGAGGCGGAGGTTGCAGTGAGCTGAGATCTCACCACTGCACTCCAGCCTGTGTGTCAGAGGGAGACCCTGCCTCAAACAAACAAAAAAAAGAGCTCACTGGTTGAGATGGTTAGGATTTATGGCTAGTGCTTTGAAATGCCAGGTCATACTGTAAGAACAGGATTTTTCCTTTGCCTCCACTATTGGAAAAAGATTTAAAGGAGAGGGGGTTAACATTAGGAAACTAAGAAGAGCTTTAAAACTACCAAGAAGCTACTAGAAAAGAGCACACAATTAATTTGATTTTTATACTATATTATTTTTAGGAAGATGGAACCATTTTGGAGAAGAATAGTGGACAGCAAGAAATAATAATATATAATGCCATAGATTATACTGGAGGAGCTTTAAAATAAAAAATAGCAAACTTTAAAAATAAGACATCAAAATATTTTTAAGAAATCTCATTTTTTAAACGTATTTCTATGAGAGATAAAGAATACCATTTGTTTTTGTCCATTGATTCTTTAGGATAGTGAATGAGCAGCTACAGCGGTCAGTTGATGACTATCAGCACCGACTTTCCATAAAAAGAGGTGAACTTGAATCAGCCCAAGCACAAATTAAAATACTGGAGGAAAAGATAGGTAAATGTTTTAAAATTTTGTTTCTGCTAATCCTAATGTACTTTGTCTAACAAACATTTCTTTTCATTTGTAGATGAACTAAACCTTAAGATGACTTCACAGGATGAGGAGGCTCATGTAATGAAAAAGACCATTGGTGTTATTGATAAAGAAAAAGACTTTCTCCAGGAGACTGTAGATGAGAAGACAGAAAAGATTGCAAATTTGCAAGAAAACCTAGCTAATAAAGTATGTGATCGTTTAATGTAATTTTCCAGCATCCAAACAGAACAGTTTTTTTTGTTTTTGTTTTTGAGATGGGGTCTCACTCTGTCACTCAGGCTGGAGTGCAGTGGCATGATCACAGCTCACTGCAACCCCTATCTCTTGGGCTCAAGGAATCCCCCAACCTCAGCAATTGGAATTACAGGCATGAGCCACTACTCCTAGCCGGAAAAGTTTATTGTATTTTCACTTATTCATTTCTTTTTTAAAAGGTTTATTTACTTTTGGCAGGATGTGGTGGCTCACACCTGCAATCCCAGCACTTTGGGAGGCTGAGGTGGGAGGATTGCTTGAGCTCAGGAGTTCAAGACAAGCCTGGGCCACGTGGTGAGACTCCATCTCTACCAAAAATACAAAAAATTAGCTAGGTGTGGTGGTGTGCACCTGTGGTCCCAGTTGCTCAGGAAGCTGAGGTGGGAGGATCACTTGAGCCCAGGGGCGGAGATTGCACTGAACTGAGATCATGCCACTGCACTCCAGCCTGGGTGACAGAGCAACACCCTGCCTCTAAATAAATAAATAAATAAAAAGTTTATGTACTTTTATTGGTACATATGAGATGTACATATTTTTGGGTTACACATGGTAATTTGAGACATTCATATAATCAAGTCAGGGTAATTGGGATATTTATCACTTTATTTTTTTCTTTATGCTAGGAATGTGTAAATTACTCTCTTTTAGCTGTTTTGAAATGTGCGCTGGATTGGTGTTAACTGGAGTCACCCTATTGATATCTTTCGAACACCAGGTCTTATTTCTTCTAAGTGTATATTTGTGCCCATTAATCAACCTCTCTTCACGCCTCCTCCCTCATCCTTTTACTGGTCTTTGGTAACTACCAGTCTACTCTCTGTCTTCATGAGATCCACTTTTTAGCACCCACGTATGGGTGAGAACAAATGATATTTGTCTGTCTGTGCTTGACATGTTTCACTTAACATCATGACCTCCAGGTCCATCCATGTTGCTGCAAATGACAGCATTTCATTCATTTTCATGGCTGAATAATATTTCCTGTGTATATATACCGGGGGCAGATATTTCTTTGATATATTGATTTCTTCTCTTTCAGATATTTACTCAATAGTGGAATTGCAGGATCATATGGTAGTTATAGTTTTAGTTTTTTGAGGAACCTTCATACACTGTTTTCCATAGTGGCTGTACTAATTTACATTCCCACCAACAGTGTACAAGAGTTCCTGTTTCTCCATATCCTTTCCAGCATCGGTTATTCCCCATCTTTTTGATAAAAAGCATTCTAACTGGGGTGAGACGATATCTCATTGTGGTTTTAATTTGCATTTCTCTGATAATTAGTCATGTTGAGCATTTTTTCACATGCTTTTTGGCCATCTGTATATTTTCTTTTGAGAACTGTCTATGAAAATCTTTGCCCGTTTTAAAATTGGATTATTTGGAGTTTTTTTGCTATTGAGTTGTTTGGGCTCCTTGTATGTTCTGGTTATTAATCCCTTGTCAGATGGATAGTTTGCAGATATTTTCTCCCATTCTGTAGGTTGTCTCTTCACTTTCTTAATAGTTTCCATTGCTGTGCAGAAGCTTTTTGGCTTAATGTAATCCCATTTGTCTCTTTCTACTTTTGTTGCCTGTGCTTTTAAAGTCTTACACAGACAATATTTGTCCACACCAATGTCTTAGAGCATTTCCCCAACATTTTCTTCTAGTAGTTCCATAGTTTCAGGTCATAGATTTGAGTCTTTAATCCACTTTGATTTGAGTTTTGTATATGGTAAGAGATAGTGGGCCAGTTTCATTATTCTGTATATGGTTATCCAGTTTTCCCAGCACCATTTATTGAAAAGACTGCCCTGTCCCCATTGTATGTTCTTGGCATCTTGTTGAAAATGAGTTGGCTTTAAATGTGTGGATTTATATCTGGGTCCCCTATTATGTTCTGTTGGTCTGTGTGTCTTGTTTTTACACCAATACCATGCTGATTGGATAGCTGTATGGTATATTTTGAAGTCAGTTAGTGCGATCTCCAGCTTTGTTTTTTTGCTCAGGATTGCTTTGGCTATTTGGGGTCTTTAGTGGTTCCAATTTATTTGAGGATTTTTTTTTCTATATCTGTGAGAAATGTTGATCGTGTTCTAATAGGGATTACATTGAATCTGTAAATTGCTTTGGGTATTATTATCATTTTAACAACATTAATTCCTTCAATCCATGAGTATGGAATATCCTTCCATTTTTTTATGGCCTCTTCTATTTCTTTCATCAGTGTTTTGTAGTTTTCCTTGTATAGATCTTGCATATATTTGGTTAAATTGATTCCTGGGTGTTTTCTATTCTTTGCAGCTATTGTAAATGGAATTGTTTTGTTGATTTATTTTTCAGATTGCTGGTGGAGTATAAAAATGCTGTTGATTTTTGTAATCTTGATTTTGTATTGTGCAACTTACTGAATTTGCTTATCAGTTCCCACAGTTTTTTAGTGGAGTCTTAAGGTTTTTCTAAATACAAGATCATGTGGTCTGCATATAAGGCTAATTTGACTTCTTCTTTTCAATTTGGATGCCCTTTTTTTCTTTCTCTTGACTAATTGTTCTGGCCAGGACTTCCAGGATTATGTTAAATAAAAGTGTGAAAGTGGGCATCCTTGGCTTGTTCCAGATCTTAGAGGAGAGGCTTTCAAGTTTTCCCCGTTCAATATTATGTTGGCCCTAGGGTTAGGCCTCTGTTATTTTGAGGTATTTTCTTTCTGTACCCTTTGTTGAGGGTTTTTACAAAAACGGGATGTTGCAACTTATTGAATGCTTTTTCAGCATCTATTGAAATGATTTATATGGTTTCTCTTCTTGCTTCTGTTAATGTATCACATTTATTGATTGTGCATGTTGAACCATCCTTGCATCCTTGGGATGAATCCCACTTGATCATGGTGAATGATCTTTGTAATTTATTTAAAAAATATTGTTGAATTTAGTTTGCTAGTATTGTGTTGAGGATTTTTGCATATATTTGCATCAATGATATTGGCCTGTAGTTTTCTTTTTTTGTTGTGTTTTTGGTATCAAGATAATGCAGGCCTTGTAGAATGAATTTGAAAGTATTCCACCCTTTTCAATTTCCTTGAAGAGTTTGAGCAGGAATTGGTATTAGTTCTTTAGATGTTCAGTAGAGTTCAGCAGTGAAGCCATTAGGTCCTGGACTTTTCTTTTGTGGAAGACTTTATTACAGCTTCTATCTTATTACATGCTATTGGTTTGTTGAAGTTTTCTATTTCTTCATGGTTCAAACTTGGTAGCTTGTAAGTGTCCAGGAATTTCTCCATTTCTTCTAGGTTTTCCAATTTGTTGACATGTGATTGTAATTGTCTTTCATGATTCCTTGTATTTTCTGTGGTCACAATTATGTCCCCTTTTTTGTTTCTGATTTTATTTATTGGGTCTTCTCTCTTTTTTTATTAGTCAACCTTAAAGGTTTGTTGATTTTTGTTTATCTTTTTTAAAAACCAACTTTTCATTTCATTGATCTTTTGTATTTTCTTTTTTTTTGAGACGGAGTCTCGCTTTGTCGCTCAGGGTGGAGTGCAGTGGCACGATCTTGGCTCACTGCAAGCTCCGCCTCCCGGGTTCATGCCGCCTCCCGGGTTCACGCCATTCTCCTGCCTCAGCCTCCCGAGTAGCTGGGACTGTAGGTGCCCACCACCACACCTGTCTAATTTCTTTTTGTATTTTTAGTAGAGATGGGGTTTCACCATGTTAGCCAGGATGGTCTCAATCTCCTGACCTACTGATCCGCCCGCCTCGGCCTTCCAAAGTGCTGGGATTAGAGGTGTGAGCCACTGTGCCTGGCTGATCTTTTATATTTTCATCTCAATTCCATTTATTTTTGCTCTGATCTTTATTCTTTCTGGCCTTCTACTAACTTGGAGTTTGGTTTGTTCTTGCTTTTCTAGTTCCTTTCTAGTTTCTGGTTGAGGTACATCATCACTAGTTTGTTTATTCGAAGTCTTTCTAGTTGAGGTACATCATCACTAGGTTGTTTATTTGAAATCTTTTTTTGTTTTGTTTTTTTTTTTGTTTTTGAGACAGAGTCTCACTGTATTGCCCAGGCTGAAGTGCAGTAGCAAGATCATGGCTCATTGCAGCCTTGACCTTTCAGACACAAGCAATCCTCCTACCTCAGCCTCCCAATTAGCTGGTACTACAGACGTGTACTACCATGCCCAGCTAATTTTTAATTTTTTTGTAGAGACGGTGTCTTACCATGTTTCCCAGGCTGGTCTCCAACTCCTAGTCTCAAGCAGTCCTCTGGCTCAGCCTCCCCAAGTGCTGGGATTACAGGCATGAGCCACCATGCTCAGCCTCAACTTTTTTGATACAGACATTTATTGCTATAAACTTCCCTCTTAGCACTGTTTTTGCTGTATTTCACAGATTTTGGTACATTATATTTCCCTTTTCATTTGTTTCAAGAATTTTTTTAATTGCCTTTTTAATTTCTTCATTGACCCATTGGTCATTCGAGAGCAACTGTTGTTTAATTTCCATGTGTTTGTGTAGTTTCCAGCGTTTCTCTTATTGATTTCTAGTTTTATTCTGTTTTATTCAGAAAAGATACTTGATATGCTTTCTACTTTCTTGAATGTGTTGAAACTTGTTTTGTGGCATGAACTATGGTCTATTCTGTAGAACGTTCCATGTGCTGATAAAAGGAATTTATTCTGCAGCAGTTGGGTGAAATGTTCTGTAAATGTCAGTTGGGCATATTTGTCTAGTGTATAGATTAACTCCAATGTTTCTTTGTTGATTTTATGTCAACATGATCTGTCCATTACTGATAGTGGGGTGGTGAAGTCCCCTACCATTATCGTATTGCAGTGTGTCTCTCTTTTTAGATCTATTAATGTTTGCTTTATATACCTGGGAACCTGGTGTTGGGTGCATAAATATGTATAATTATTATACTCTCTTTCTGTATTGACCCCTTTATAATTCTATATAGTGACCTTTGTTGTCTCTTTATAGTCTTTGACTTGTAGGCTACTTTATCTGATATAAGTAAAGCTACTCCTTCTGTTTTTTGCTTGCATGGAATATCTTTTTCCATCCATTCACTTTCAGTCTTATTTGTGTCTTTATAGGTGAAGTGGGTTTCCTGTAGGCAGTATATAGTTGGGTCTTATTTTTAACCATTCAGACACTCAGTCTTTTAATTGGAGAATGGAGTTAGTTCAGTGTTGTAATTGATATGTAAGGACTTAATGCTGCCATTTTTTTTTTTTTTTTTTGCTTCTTTTCTAGTTGTTTTATAACTCTTCTCTTTCTTCCCTTTTTATTGTCATCCTTCGTGGTTAAGTGATTTTCTCTGGTAGTATGTTTTAATTAATTGCTTTTTATAGCTTTTTACACTGTGGTTACCATGAAGCTTACAAAACGTATCTTTCTAAGTTATTTTAAAGAACTGACAACTTACCTTAGGTTACACACACACAATAAAAACAAAGAAGACCAGGCATATTGGCTCACACCTGTAATCCCAACACTTTGGGAGACAAAGATCAGAGGATTGCTTGAGGCCACAAGTTTAACGTAGTGAGACCCCATCTCTACAAAAATAAAAAAATTAGCTCAGCATGGTGGTACCTGTAGTCCCAGATATTCAGGAGCCTGAGGCAGGAGGATCACTTGAGCCCAGGAGTTTAAGGCTGTAATGAGCTATGATCATACCATTACACTTCAAGTCTGGGTGACAGAACAAGACCCAGTCTCTAAAAAACAAACAAACAAAACAAAAAACCCACAAAGACATAACTAAAAAAAAATTCTACTCTTTATCTCCCTCGCATTTTGACTTGTGGTTGTCTTAATTTACAGATTTGTATATTGCCTATCTCTTAACAGGTTGCTGTAGCTATTATTGTTTTTGATAGATTAGATTTTTAGGCTTCATACTAGAATTATAAGTGGATTGTATACCACAACTACAGTATCACAGTATTCTGGGTTTGTCTCTGTATTTAATTTTACCAGTGGGTTTTATACCTTCAAATGTTTTCTTTTTGCACGTTAGTTTTTTTCTTTCAAATTGAAAAACTCCCTTAGCATTTCTTTTAAGATATGCCTGTTCGTGGTGAATTCTCTTAGCTTTTGTTTATCTGGGAAGGACTTTATATCTTCATATTTGAAGGGCACTTTTTTTGGATGACATATTCTTGTATGGCAGTTTTTTTCTTTTAGTACTTTGAAAATGATAGTCTACTTCCTCTTGGCCTGTATGGTTTCTTTTGAGAAGTCTGTTTCTAGATGAATTGGAGTTCCTTTATATGTTATTTGCTTTTCTCTTCTTGCTTTTAGGATCCTATCTTTGTCCTTGACCTTGGAGAGTTTATTATATGCCTTGGGGCAGTCTTTTTGGGGTTGAATCTCTTTGGTGTTCTCTGACCTTCGTACACCAGGAAATTTATCTTTCTCAAGTTTTGGAAAGTGTTCTGTTATTATTTCTTTGAGTAAGCTTTCTACCCCTTCATCTTGCTCAACTCCCTCTTGAACACCAGTAATCCTTAGGTTTTGTATTTTTCTATATCTTGTAGGCAATTTTTGTTCCTTTTTATTCTTTTGTTGTTGTTGTTCTCCTTTGACTGCGTAATTTCAAATAGCTTGTCTTCAAGCTCACTGATTCTTGCCTTTGCTTGATCCATTCTCCTGTTGAGATCCTCCAATGAATTTTTCAGCTCAGGAAATGTATTTCTCAATTCTAAGATTTGTTTGACATTTTTTATTATTTCAACCTCTTTGTTAAATTTCTCTGATATGAGCCAAGTGTGGTGATGTGCACCTGTGGTTCCAACTACATGGGAGGCTGAGGCAGGAGGATCCGTTGAGTCCTAGGTGGTTGAGTCTGCAGTGAGCCATGATTACACCACTGCACTCCAGCCTGGGCGACAGAATGAGACCCTGTCTCAAAAAAATATATTAAAAATTTTTTTCTGATACATTTCTGAATTTTCTGTGTTATCTTGGAGATCACTGAATTTCCTTGATACCTCAATTTTGAATTCTTGGCCAGAGAGCTCAGGTGTCACTGTCTTGTCAGGATCAATCACTGGTTCCTTGCTTTGTCCATTTGGAGAGTTCATGGTCCCCTGTTTGCTGTTGTTTCTTGCAGATGTATGTCTGTGTCTTTGAAGGATTAGTTATTTACTCCAGTCTTCTCTGTCTGGCTTGTTTTTTGTTGTTGTTTTTGTTTTTGTTTTTTGAGACAGAGTCTTGCTCTGTCACCTAGACTGGAGTGCAGTGGCATCATCTCAACTCACTGCAACCTCCGTCTCCTGAGTTCAAGCTATTCTCCTGCCTCAGCCTCCCGAGTAGCTGGAATTACAGGCACGCAACACCACACCTGGCTAATTTTTGTATTTTTAGTAGAGATGGCATTTCACCATGTTGGCCAGGCTGGTCTCGAACTCCTGATCTCAGGTGATCCACCTGCCTCAGCCTCCCAAAGTGCTGGGATTACAGGCCTGAACCACCACACCCAGCCTGGCTTGTTTTGGTTTTCATTGGTTACATTTGCTTAGAGATTCTTCAAACTTTATTGAATTTCATTATACTTTTTTTCCTAGGTCACTGCCTCCTTTTTGTCACTAGATGGTGGCTAAAGCCCAAGTTTGCCTTGGCTTTAGTGAATGCTCAGACCCCTGCCCATCTGGGATGGGGGAGGTCCCAAAGGGGATGTCCCAGCAGTGTGGAAGGGCTAGCTAAGGGTTTGTGCCCAGGGGACCTGTGGAATGTACCTCCTACAGCATGTTGTTACTGAACTACCACTCTGATTGGGTGTCTTTGGCTGAGTAATAGAGAAGAGTTTCCAGGGATGAGGAGGTAGTCCTACATCCCCACTTAGTCTCTGGGTATCCTCAGGGACAGGTCTCCCTTCAGGTATCCATGATGTTTCCTGTGTGTTGAGGCATGGAACAGGTCTCCTGCCAAATTACCCAAGATAGTAGAAAAGCTGATTGTCCACCTCAATCTCACTTTTTCCGGTGTAGAAACCATGAGTTAGGGGAGATTTTCCAGGTACTTGGTGCCAGCCAGATTGAGAGAAGGGGCATCACAGGTGTGAAAATTCGATTCTGTCACTGTCTGCTCAGAGGTTTTTTACGTCTCTGTGGCCCAGGAACTGACTCGTCCTCATATTTGAGTCCTGGGATAGTGCTGATGATAATGTTAGCATTGTATATTTATTTTTGGTTTTCTTTGTCAGGATTGAAGTCAGCTTGTGACTACACCACCATTTTAGACCCAGAAGTTTCCCAAATATGCAGTTATTATTGGCCATGTAGAAGTTTCTAAGACCTAGGGCCATATTTTCTAATGTTTAAATGTCATTTTTTTCAAATAATGTTAATCTTCAAAATGTGATTTTGTCTATTTCTAGAATGTGATTTTATCAGATCTCATTAAAGCAAACTCAAGAAAACTATTCAAGGGTTGGTCAAAACATGCCAGTATGTGAAGTATGATTGGGACATGGAGATATGTTTACTTGGAGCTTTGTTTTAGGCATACTTTATATAATTGAGCTGTGTATTTGAACTATATGAATATGACAAGTTACATAAATTTAGCTAAAGACATTTTGGTTTAAAATCTTACACATTTTTGTAATTTCTATAGGAAAAAGCTGTTGCTCAAATGAAGATAATGATCTCAGAGTGTGAATCATCTGTGAAGTAAGTCATTAATGAAATTACATCCAGCTTTTTAGGAGATTTTCAGTGAATACAGCTTTATCTATTCAGTAGCATTGCAGCAATAGAAGAATTTCCCTTTCAATTTCCCCATTTTTGTCAATGGTAGCATCATTTTCTCAGTCTCCAGCTTGAAAATGTTATCTTCTTTAACCTCTCCTTTTCTGTCATCCACATCTAAACACTTATGTCTTATTAACTATTCTCCTATATACCTATTTGTTCCTTATTTTTACTATAATTATGCCACTTGGAGCCTAATCATTAAAACCTAAAATTACTTTAGTAGCCAATCTCGAATTTATTCTCCATCTAAACCTATCTTGAGCACTGTCACAAAATTTTACATTTTATGTATAGTCTCTCTAGGCAGATTGTAAGCCACTTCAAGAAAAAAGTCACTTATTATATTTATTTTACATACCCTTAACATTTTATATAATAGTGGGGATTATAAACATTTAATAAATATTTGCCAATTGAATCTATGCTTTACTTTTTGTTTGTTTGTTTTTGAGACAAGGTCTCACTCTGTCGCACAGGCTGGAGTGTAGTGGCGAGATCTCTGCTCACGGCAACCTCACCCTCCCCAGGCTCAGGTGATCCTCCCACCTCAGCCTTCTGAGTAGCTGAGACTGCAGGCGTGTGCCACCACGCTCAGCTAATTTAAAAAAAAATTTTTGTAGAAACAACGTCTCCCTATATTGCCCAGGCTGGTCTCGAACTCCTGGGCTCAAGCTATTCAACTGTTTTTGTTGTTGTTGTTGTTTTTTGTTGTTGAGACGGAGTCTCGCTCTGTTGCCCAGGCTGGAGTGCAGTGGGGCGATCTCGGCTCATTGCAAGCTCTGCCTCCCGGGTTCACGCCATTTTCCTGCCTCAGCCTCCCAAGTAGCTGGACTACACGTGCCCGCCACCACACCCGGCTATTTTTTTTTGTATTTTTAGTAGAGACGGGGTTTCACCGTGTTAGCCAGGATGGTCTCTATCTCCTGACCTCATGATCTGCCCGCCTCGGCCTCCCAAAGTTCTGGGATTACAGGCGTGAGCCACCGCGCCCAGCCCCCAAGCTATTCAACTTTTAACACTTGAAAGTTTTCTGTGTTTACTTGACTGTTGGAATAACATTTTTTTTTAACTTCATTTGCATGTAATTATTGGTAGAGCTCTAAAATACCTGTTCTACCTAATTAATAGGTCTCTTAATGCAGCAGTTATAATTTCTTATAATCACAGTATATTTGTATTCTAAGTATACTTAGACTATAAGTTTTCTTTTAAATGAACTACAGTTTTTAAAAGTTTTCTTTATTAGTTTCACATCACTCATTTAACAGCCAGCTGAAAGAAACATTGGTTAATCGAGATCGTGAGATAAACAGCCTCCGGCGCCAGCTTGATGCAGCTCACAAAGAACTCGATGAAGTAGGAAGATCTAGAGAAATCGCTTTTAAGGAAAACAGAAGACTGCAAGATGACCTGGCTACAATGGCAAGAGAAAATCAAGTATGAACACAAGGCATAAATTTTGATAGTTTTATACTTTCCATTGTTTGCTAAATATTAAAGCTCTAAATATTTTTTCTAAAATCTGATGATATAAAAATAAGTGACATAAATAATTCATTAAGGACAATGGTGTTTATCAGGGTATTAAAAAATGGAGCTTAGGCCGGGCGCAGTGGCTCACACCTGTAATCTTAGCACTTTCAGAGGCTGAGGTGGGTGGATCACTTGAGGTCAGGAGTTCGAGACCAGCCTGGCCAACATTGTGAAAACCCCCCCCCCACCCCCATCTCTACTAAAAATACAAAAATTAGCCAGGCCTGGCGGCATGCGCCTGTAATCCCAGCTGCTCGGAAGGCTGAGGCAGGAGAATCACCTGAACCTGGAGGCAGAGGTTGCAGTGAGCCGAGATCGTGCCACTGCACTCCAGCCTGGGCAACAGAGTGAGACTCCATCCAAAAAAAAAAAAAAAAAATGGGCAACAGCGTGAGACTCTGTCAAAAAAAAAACACATAGCTTAGAATGCTGCTATATATCACAGGGTGTCTAATGGGTGCAACTGGTCTTCTCACCATTTTGGTCTTTGTTGCAAGGAAACCTAAAGGTGGGAGCATGAAATTCTGTATGTCAGAAATCATTGTCACCCTACCGGGCGAGGACATCAGCATCCCTCCCAGAGCAAAGTTTCTGTGTTTTAAAGACTCAGGATAGGTTTTAATTATTTGTGCAAGCTTCTGTCGGCTCCAAAATACACCTGTAGATAAATGAATGAGTGTTTTAGAATGGCAAGTACTGAAAGGTGTTAGTTCTGTTCGTGCTGGTTTCTTAAAAGATTGTACTGAGAAAACCAGTGATTTTACTGTTTTAAACATCTTACGTTTTTAAAAAATTATTTTCCGTATTATTCAGCATAAAGCATATTGATGAAATATGAATGTTTTTTAATGTCAACCCCTGACCATAGCTAGCCTTTAGTGTAAATGCCAGATACATGATCAGGACTATTATGGGAAATGTGTGATAAAGTTTGGTTAAAAAGTCAGTATCAGACCAGGCGTGGTAGCTCACGCCTATAATCCCAGCACTTTCGGAGACCAAAGTGGGAGGATTGCTTGAGCCCAGGAGTTTGAGACCAGGCTGGACATCATAGTGAGACCTCATCTCAGAAAATTAAAAAAAAAAATTAGCTGGTATGGTGACATGTGCCTGTGGTCTCAGCTACTCGGAGGGCTGAAGTGGAAGGATTGCTTGAGCCCAGAAGGTCGAGGCTGCAGTGAGCTGTGATCACGCCATTGCACTTCAGTCTGGGCGACAGAATGAGACTCTGTCTGAAATATTTTAAAAGGCAAGATCAGCCAGGAAAAATATGTGAAAATAACACTTAGGAACAGTTTTCCTTTTGCCCTACTCTATCTTATTCTCCAATTCCAAAGGAATTATTTGAATATAAATAAAATTTATTTGGTGTTGTGTTCATTTTAGATTGTCTTTAATTTTCTGATTTGTAGGAAATCTCATTGGAATTGGAAGCAGCAGTGCAAGAAAAAGAAGAAATGAAGAGCAGAGTTCATAAATACATAACAGAGGTGTCACGATGGGAGAGCTTAATGGCTGCCAAGGTGAAAAATATTATTTAGGTTGGATTTAAGACTGAGGTTTTTTTTTTTTTTAACTTTTTCATGTGCCTCTACAATTAGATATTAAACATTTTAAAGTAGAGATCTTGTCTACTGCCTTTTTCTATTTTTCCCATAGATTTTAGTGTGGTACCTGCACAGATATCTAATGCTTCCTAAATTAGAACAGAATGCTGTGTATGTGTATGTGTTTATGACATAGGTGTTCCAGGAAGTGACAATTACTAATTTAGAAACAATTTTATTGTGATTAAACCAGGAAAAAGAAAATCAAGATTTGTTAGATAGATTTCAGATGCTTCATAACCGTGCTGAAGACTGGGAGGTCAAAGCCCATCAAGCTGAGGGAGAAAGCAGCTCAGTTCGACTGGAACTTCTTTCTATTGACACTGAGAGGAGACATCTTCGAGAAAGAGTGGAGCTATTAGAAAAAGAAATTCAAGAGGTAATATATTTATTTGTTTTGTAAAGATGTTATTTAGTGAAACAGAAAACATTCAAAGATACTTTATTTATTTATTTATTTATTTTTTTTGAGATGAAGTCTGACTCTGTTGCCCAGGCTGGAGTGCAATGGCACGATCTTTGCTTACTGCACCCACCTCCTGGGTTCAAGCGATTCTTCTGTCTCAGCCTCCTGAGTAGCTGGGATTATAGGAGTGTGCCACCACACCTGGCCAATTTTTTGTAGTTTTAGTAGAGATGGGGTTTCACCGTGTTGGCCAGGCTGCTCTCGAACTCCTGACCTTGAGTGATCCACCTGCCTCAGCCTCCCAAAGTGCTGGGATTACAGGCATGAGCCACCGCACCCGGCCTCAAAGATACTTTATTGACCTGAGGTCGTAAACATTGATAAAATCAAGTTCAGTGGTAAATTTCTGTCATTCTCATAATTTGCATAGAAGCCCATTACTTTTTTTTGTAGTAAAAGATACATACATCAAATTTCCCATTTTAACTATTTTTAAGTAGACAGTTCTGTGGCATTAGTACATTCACAATGTTGTGTAACTATCACCATTATTTGTCATTCTGCTTTCTGTCACTATGAATTCGATTACTCTAGATACCTCATATAGTGGAATCACACAATGTTTGTCCTTTTGTGACTGATTTCACTTAGCCTTAAGGTTTACTTTACCTCAAGGTTCATCCATATTGTGTAGCATGTGTCAGAATTTCATCCTTTTTTAAGGCTGAATAACATTTCATTGTATGTATGTACCACATTTTTGTTTAGCCATTCCTCTGTCAATGGACATTTGATTTGTTTCTACCTTTTGGCTGTTGTGAATAATGCTGCTATGAACATGAGTATACAAATATATCTGTTCGGGTGCTTGCTTTCAGTTCTTTTGGGTATATACCCAGAAGTGGAATTACTGGATCATATGATAATTCTGTGTTTAATTTTTTGAGGAATAGCCATGTGGTTTTTCCGTAGGTGCTACACCATTTTACATTTCTACCAGCAATGCACGAGGGTTCCAGTTGCTCCATATCCTTGCCAACACTTGTAATTTTTTTATTTTTTATAAGAGCCGTCATAATGGGAATAGAGCGGTATCTCGTGGTTCTGATTTGCATTTCCTTAATGGTTAGTGATGTTGAGCATCTTTTCATTTGTTTATTGACGATTTGTGTATCTTCTTTGGAGACATGCTTATTCAAATCCTTTGTTCATTTTTTAATCAGATTGTTTTAAATTGTTGTTGTAGAAGTTCTTTACATATTCTGGAGATTAATACCTTAGTGTATACGTGATTTGCAAATATTTTCTCCCATTGTGTGGGTTGCCTTTTCAACAGTTTTTGATGTACAGAAGTTTTCAATTTAAATGAAGTCCAATTTTTTTTTTCCTTTGATGCCTATACTTGTGGTGTCATATCCAAGAAATTATTGTTAACTGCAATGTCATAAAGCTTTTCCCCTATGTTTTCTAATAAGAGTTTTATAGTTTTAGCTCATATATTCAGGTCTTTGTTTCATTTTGAGTTAATTTTTACAAATGATATAAGAGCCCAGCATCATTTTTTTGCATGTGGATTTAAATAAGATTTTGTCATAAAGACAGTCTGATAAAAATCTCATAATAAAAAATTTGAGTTCAGTTAAAATATAGGGACCCTGGGTTAGATTGATATACAATAGTTGGCCATTATTGTCATTTTTGTTTTGTTTTGTTTGTATAGTTTTATAATTTTTATCTTTCAGGAGAAAGTATTGACTATCTGTAGCAGATAGAATTATAGCCTCCAGAAAGATATATTGAGCCCCAGTCTCTTATTTGGAAAAAGTGTCTTTGCAGATGGAATCAAGTTAAAATGAGGTCATAGCGGATTAGGGTTAGACCCTAAGACCAATGGACTGATGTCTTTATAGGACAATGGATATTTGGACACAGAAAACACAGGAGAGAACACCACGTAAAGATGGAGGCAAAGATTAGAGTGATATGTGTAGAAGTCAAGGAGTGTCAAGGACTGCCAGTAGCCATCAGAAACTAGGAGAGAGGCAAAGAACAGATTCTGCTTCAGAATCTCCAGAAGGAACCAAACCTGCCAACACCTGAATTTTGGACTTCCAGCTTACCGAATTGTGAGAGAATAATTTCTATTTTTTTAGGCCACACAATTTGTGGCAATTTGTTACAGCTGCCCTAGGAAACTAATACAGATTATAGCACCAGAAAGTGGGTTGCTGCTACAACAAACACCTGAAAATATGAAAGTGGCTTTGGAATTGGGTAATGAGTAGAGACTGAAAGAGTTTTGAAGTGCTTGACAGAAAAAGCCCAGATTGCCTTGAAGAGATCATTGGTAGAAATAGGGACATGAAAGGCAATTGTGATGAAGACTCAGAAGAGATGAGAGCTGTAAAGAAAACTTCTATTATTTACAGAATACATATGTTGTCATGGATGGATTTTGCCAGAAATATGAATGTTTCCTCTGGTGATGTCTCAGACAGAGTTGAGAAAAGATGTTACTTGTTATAAAGTGACAGAGAACTTGGCTAAGTTACGGTCTACTGTTGGGAGAAAAGTAGAATTTGTAAGGGATGAACTCGGATATTTAGCTGAGGAGATTTCCAAGCAAAGTGCGGAAGAGACATCCTGGTTTCTCCTTGTTACTTACAGTAAAATATGAGAGGAAAGAGAGAAATGGAGCAAGGAACTGAAAAGCAAAAAAGAAAGCAAGACATGAAGCCAGGTGTGGTAGCTGACACCTGTAATCCTAGTACTTTGGAAGGTCAGGGCAGGCAGATCGCTCAAGCAATCCACCTGTGTCCACCAAAAAACTACGCTCAGGAGTTCAAGACCAGCCTGGACAACATGGCAAAACCCCATCTCTACAAAAAATACAAATAATTAGCCAAACATGGTGGCACGTGGCTGTAGTCCCAGCTACTTGGGGGGCTGAGCCCAGGAGGTCAAGGCTGCAGTGAGCCGAGATCATGCCACTGCACTCCAGCCTGGGTGACAAAGTAAGACCTTGTCTCAAAAAAAAGGAAAAAAAAATAAACCAGGACTTGATGATTTTGGAAAATTCTTAGCCTATCCAGATAGTGTGCTCCAGAGTATGGCTAGAAAACCTCTTGGTGAAGAGATTAGATATGTGACTCATGAATCCAATCAATCATCTCAGCAGAATCACTTCCAGCTTTGACTGAAAGGAACAGAAATGGGATGAAAAGAAGGAAGGTTGTTGGACTTCTGGGATCCTACTAGCAGAAGACAGACCAACAGAGCTAGTTGGCTGCAAGTTCACCTTCAAGAAAAGGACAGAATGACTCTTAAGGGTAGCTCAGAGACCAGCAAGGCCACCAAGGGCAACTCAGAGGCTGGTGGGGCTGTGGCTACCACCACAAGCCCAGACATCACAGGTCCAGATGATGGAGCTACTGTCTGTCTGCTTGGTTTCAGAGGGCAAGGCCACTGCCCCTGTGGGACACAGGGTGGGGCCCCCCTGGCTGGCTCAGAGAACAGAGCACCAGAGAATGAAGGCACAAATGATTATTTTTGGGTTTTGAAATCTAATGGATTCAGCCTGCTTGGTTGCAGACTTACTTTGGACTAGTAACTCCTTTATTCCTTTTATTTTCTCCCTTTTACAGTGGGACTTCTATGGTATGCCTATCCCACCATTTTATTTTGGAAGCAGTTTACTTGTTTTCCAGTGTCATAGGTCTGTAGATGGAGGAGAATTTTGTCCCAGTGTGGTCCATATTCAGAGTCTCACCCATATGTGATTCAGATGATGCTTAGATGAGATTTTGGGTTTAGAGTTGATGCTAGAATGTTAGGATGGAGTGAATGTGTTTTGTATATGGGAAGGACATGAATTTTGGGGGATCAGAGGGTAGGAGAATTGTGTCCACCAGAAAGATACGTTGAAATCCTAATCCCCAGTATCTGTCAACATGACCTTATTTGGAAACAGGGTTTTTGCAAATGTGAACAAGTTAAGATGAGGTTGTGCTGGATTAAGGCAGGCCCTAACCTAGTGAATGATGGGTGTCCTTCAAAGATGAGGGAAATTTAGATACAGTACGTACAGAGAAGGCTGTGTGAAGATGGAGGCAGAGATTGGAGTGATATGTCTGCAAGTGAGTGAACACCAAGCACTGGCAGCATCCACCAGAAGCTAGGAGAGAGGCATGGGACAGATTCTCCCATAGAAGCTCTGGAAGAACCAGCCCTGCTAACACCCACATTTTGGACTTCCAGCCTCCAGAACTGTGAAAGGATGAATTTTTGTTTTTTTAAAACACCTAATTTGTGGTAGTTGGTTATGGCAGCCCTAGGGAACTAATACACTATCTCTAAAAGTTTTTCTGTTAAGAAGGGTATAATAACTAATTAAAGGAGTGCCTTTCAACCTTCAAAAGAGTTTTTCAGCAACTGTTCTCAACTAATCTTCAATTATTTTGTTCTTTATTATTGTTCATGTTCGTATGTGGTATATGAAATTGGCTGTTACTAAAGTATAAGCCAATTTCACAATACAATACTAAAGTATTATATTTGTTTAGGGGAGCTTTTATTAATGCACTAAAAAATCTAAATACTTTTCTGCAATTTTTGAAATTGATTAAATCTTCACAGCACAATATTAGATTTTCAATGTGGATTTGTGGAGTTTTTTTTTTAAGAGTCAGGGTCTTGCACCATCGGCCAGGCTGGAGTGGAATGGCTTAACCACAGTTCACTGCAGCCTTGAACTCGTGGGCTCAGGTGATCTCCCGCCTCAGCCTCCCAAGTAGCAAGGACTATAGGCATGTGCCACCACACAGCTAATTTTTGTATTTTTTGGTAGAGACAGGTTCTCACTATGTTTCCCGGACTGGTCTCAGACTCCTGGGCTCAAGTGATCCTCCCACCTCAGCCTCCCAGAGTGTTGGGGTTGCAGACGTGAGCCACCCAGCCGTTTTAATAGCCTCTTGCAATAATTTTATTTTTCAATGCAGAATTCTCCCCAAAACCTAGAAGTAGAGTTTATATCAGTTTGTATTTATTACTCATAATTCAAATTGTGAGAAATTTCAACTGTGGATTCTTCTAGAAAAAAAAATTTATCATTATTTGAAATTTTTTTCATTATTTCAGTTATTAAAATATTAAAGTTGTTTACTATTTATTTAAGTTAAATTTAAATTATCCAGGTATATAGTTTTGAAGTAAACCCCATTTTTGGAATTTAGAATTTAACTGAAGACAGTTGAGGAGTGATATGTATATATATTACTTTTTCTTGAAATGACATTATTATAACAAAGATAATTTTTAAAGGAAAAATTTAATGCAACCTCAAAAATCCCTCATATTCACAACACCCTGATACAATAACTTTCTTTTTTACATTTCCAAATATATAAATATATACATGAGATACTCAGTTACCATGATTAATAATTATACACAATTCATTTTGTTAAGCATTAAATAGGTCATCTTTAAATAGTAGGCAGCTTCCTGAGAGTATTTTAAAATAAGCAAAAATTGGCTGTCATATTTTTCTAAAGTGAGATTGTTGGCTGTACAAATTCAAGTTCTTAAAATTATTGGGTTATTTTAACTTTTTACTTGTTTCTTTTTCTTTTTTCAGCACATAAATGCCCATCATGCTTATGAATCTCAGATCTCATCAATGGCAAAAGCCATGTCTCGATTAGAAGAAGAGCTGAGACATCAAGAAGATGAGAAAGCAACAGTATTAAATGACTTGTCATCTCTTAGAGAACTTTGCATTAAACTTGATTCAGGCAAAGATATTATGACCCAGCAATTGAATTCGAAAAACCTTGAGTTTGAGAGGGTAAGAAAGATAAATTGTCTTGGCACATTGTTTTATTGAGCCCTACTCTAATTATTTTACTTTAGTATTCACCACACCATGCATATACTTGTTTCCTTTTAGAGTAGTTACTTTTTTTTTTGTGATGGAGTTTTGCTCTGTCGCTTAGGCTGGTGGAGTTCAGTGGTGCGATCTCAACTCACCACAACTTCCGCCTCCTGGGTTCAACCAATTCTCCCTCAGGCATCTCAGGATGCCTCAGCATCCTGAGTAACTGGGATTGCAGGCATCTGCTAACACACCTGGCTAATTTTTGTATTTTTAGTAGAGATGGGGTTTCACCATGTTGGCCGGGCTGGTCTCAAACTCCCAACCTCACGTGATCTGCCTGCCTTGGCCTCCCAAAGTTCTGGGATACAGGCATGAGCTACTGCACCCAGCCTACAATAGTTACTTTTGACTACAGGATTTTGACAACCAGATTTGACTGCTTGATTCTTTGCAAGATTTCTCAGGCAAACGTAGTGATGAAAGTGGGTAATGTTTTGGAATAGATGGCTATCTAGGAGATTATGAATTTTCTGATTATAAATCAGCATATCCTAATACATTCTTTCTCTGTTTAAAAGTAAGACTTGAGGCCAGGTACGATAGCTTACACCCGTAATCCCAACACTTTGGGAAGTCGAGTCAGGCAGATTGCTTGAGCTCAGGAGTTTGAAACCAGCCTGGATAGCATGGCAAAACCCCGTCTCTACAAAAAATACAAAGAATTAGTCAGGCATGTGGCATGTGCCTATAGTCCCAGCTACTCGGGAGGCTGAGGCAGGGAAGGTTCACTTGAGCCCAGGATGTCGAGGCCGCAGTAAGCAGAGATTGTGCCACTGCACTCCAGCTTGGGCAACAGAGTGAGACCTTGTCTCAAAAAAAAAAAGTAAGACTTGAATGAAGGATTGAACAGTTCAGTGCTTCCGAAGTAGAATATTTTTCCCGATAAAAATCTCAAGGTGTTTAAATCTTAATTAAACAAGTCTATTTAGCTAGAATTTACCTTTCCCAGATGGAGGCATTACTTTAAATAACCTAGTGTTTGTTTTCAAACATGGATGTTTTCAATTTTCACTCATCTAGTAGTATCTTTATTTTCAGGTACTGAGAAACTATAATACTGGCTTGATTATGTAGTCAGAGTAAGCATATTCAACCAGAAGGGTCTCATTGCCCTTGTGGTTTTATCTTAATGACCGTCTCTTGATAAGGTACCATGACTAAAAATTATTTGAGGATTTGAGTAGATCCTATAGCCAAATAAGCCCATAGTAAAAATAGCAAAGATTATTTTGAAAATAAAGTGTCTTTCTTATACTTAAAGAAACAGTTCATAATCTTTAACCCATACCCAAAATGAAACAAGTGATAGGTGAATAGTTCCACAGAGCTATATTGTCAGATAAATAATTTTTTCAGAGTAAGTTTAAAATTGTACTGAAGTAATCTTACTTTGTTTTTCACGTAGGTTGTGGTGGAATTAGAAAATGTAAAGTCAGAGTCAGACCTACTGAAAAAACAACTTTCAAATGAGAGACATACAGTTAAAAACCTCGAATCATTGTTGGCTACAAACAGAGATAAAGAATTTCATTCTCACTTAACCTCCCACGAGAAGGATACAGAAATCCAGCTACTTAAGGAGAAGTTAACCCTTTCTGAAAGCAAATTGTAAGTGTCTTAAGTCAACTTATGCAAAGACAATTGCTTGTGAAGGATAGTTTTTTAATTTTTTTGAAGTGGAGGAAAGGTTAAGAGTATGAAAGATAGGCCAGGTGCAGTGGCTCACACCTGTAATCCCAGCACTTTGGGAGGCCAAGGCGGGTAGATTGCCTGAGCTCAGGAGTTTGAGACTAGCCTGGGCAAGATGGCGAAACCCCGTCTATACTAAAAATACAAAAAAAAAAAGCCAGGCGTGGTGGCACACACCTATAGTCCCAGCTACTCAGGAGGCTGAAGCGTGAGAATCACTTGAACCCAGGAGGTGGAGGTTGCAGTGAGCCGAGATTGCACCACTGCACTCCATCCTGGGCGACAGAGCGAGACGCTGTCCCAAAACCAAAATATTTGGCTTATACATCTGCTGCTTTTGGAAATTTAGGAGACTGACTCGGGAGAAACATCGTGTTGGGAGGTGCAGACCTGTATATCTTCACTACAGAGGTTGTACCGTGGGAGTAATGAGAAGAGAAAACGTTAGGAAAGCGCCTACAGTTGAGGAATGGACAGAGGAGTCAGTGAAGGAGAAAGTGTTCTCGGGAGAAGAAGAGGTGGCTGTGTCTTATGCTGTAGATTAGGAAAAAGGACTCTAAAAAGGCTATGAGATTTGACCCACATACATGTATTGATTACTTTGGGAGAGACTGATTATGTCATATTTTTAGAATAGAAGGATTTAGACATATTTGTAGGAAGAGGGAAAGAAACCCAGAGTAGAGTACACATGGAAGAATGAGCTTTTGAAAGGTATTAAAAATATTAATATTTCTCTTTCCAAGGCAAGAGTCAAGAAAGAGCCAATGAAGACACTTTACATCTTGGTGTTACCATTTATGTCTCGTTCAAATTTGTATCCCTAGCATTGCTTTAGTGCTTAGCACATAATAGATGTTCAGTACATGTTTCATAAATAAACTAAATGAATGAAAAAGAAAATGTGATAAAAGCTCTAGAAGTTTAGAGAATTCTTGTTGAAAGGTCTTGATCTTCTCTTTATTAATTTAAAAAACCCACAGCACCTGACTCTACAAAACGGAACGTTTATTTCTTGATTTTTTAATTTGTTTTTAAGAACTAGTCAAAGCCGGGAAAACACCATGCTTCGAGCTAAAGTGGCACAGTTACAAACAGATTATGATGCTCTGAAAAGGCAGATCTCAACTGAAAGATACGAACGGTAAGACAAATTTTTTTTACATTTGACAATGTTTTTATGTGTTCTCTATTGTACTTCAGAAAGTATTTAATATGGCTTTACAAATAACAAACTTTTTAAAAAGCTAATACATAAAGTACATTTCTTTGGTAATTCTTCCTTTTAAAAAAGGCAACAAGTGTTGGGGAAGATAATAGCTCTACAGTAACTAAAATAGCAAGTATTACATAGCGGATGCTATATAAATATTTATTGAATAAAATTGTTTAATAATCTGAAAAATAAGGTAAAATAGGAAGTATTGGATAAATATTTCCTATAGCATTCCGCAGGACAAAATTAGAATCCAAAAGTATTTCAAAGAGTATAGAGAAGCAACAACAATCCCTATAAGAGCTCCAAAATGTATGGTTCAAGTAGGATGTTCCACATACAAATCATAATAAAGGTAATGATTTGAAGATAGTAACAGCAGTTAACAAATGTGGACCAGACACTATATAAGTGTCTGATGAATCCCACCAACAATCTATTATTATGCCTACCTTATAGGAAACTGAGATCACATAAATAGTAAGTGGTAGGAAACCAAACAGATTTTAATTCTAAAACCTGTACCCTTAACCTCTTCAATGTATTCCCTACAGCTTGGTAATTTTCATATTCACTCATATTTTGGTTCATTTGCTTTACGTTGAAAAATTTAATCCCCAGGTGTTACTAACCCGGATTGAGACCTGCTTTAAATCGAAGTCTAACTTGAAAATCAGTTGCCAAGTTACTTGTCTTCCATTACTCTTTCCTACTATATTAATACCATAGACATCTGCATTCCTGAGATTTCATTCTCAATTAGTGGCCAAATTGCTTGTTAGATCAGTTTTTGAGTTATTCTTACCTATTTACGTCAAAACTTTGTAGTGATGTGCTATTTGAAGTATAGTGACAATTTGCTATGAAATCAATATTTACGATTTCATAAAGGCCTGGCTTGGTGGCTCATGCCTGCAATCCCAGCACTTTGGGAGGCCAAGGCAGGTGGATTTACTTGAGCCCACGAGTTTGAAATCAGCGTGAGCAACATGGCAAAACACCATCTCTACAAAAAAATTTTTGAAAATTAGCTGGGGCATGGTGATGGGTGCCTGTAGTCCCAGCTACTCAGGAAGCCGAAGTGGGAGGATTGATTGAGCTCAGGAGGTTGAGGCTGCAATGAGCTGTGATCGTGCCACTGCCCTCCAGCCTGAGTAACAGTGAAACCCTGTCTCAAAAAACAAACAAACCAACAAAAAAGTAAGCCGTAGGTAGCAGCAGTGACATGAAAGCAGGATTGATAATTTCTTGTAATTTAGAAGATCTAGTTTCTGAATGTACTAAACTGTACATATATAATGATTTCCATTTCTTAAGGATAACTTAAATTCTCTGCAAATCAAAAGTCCTAAATCAAGCTCTCTATTGCCCAGGCTTATAGACTTCCCCACAGTTCCTCCCCTTGTTCCTTGCCTCAACGAAACCTTGAGCCTCATGACCATGTCTTTCTTGCTCTTTACTATCCACCTACATCATACATTCTCATCGGTGCAGTATTACCCACCATCCTCCAAGGGAAAAAATTGTTTCTTGGGGGTAGGGAATAGAGGTAGCAAAAAAATTTTAGGTTGTATAAGTTAGTAGAATGGTTTATGTCCCTCCAAAGGGCCACAGGACATAAGCAGTGTATTAAAATTTCATGGGATGGAGGGATAATCTGGGGAGGAAAAAGTCTAGAAAAGTTCCTTTGGGAGAGTAGTACTGAAGAAATCTTGAGAAGCACTGAACTAATTAGAAATCTCAGGTACTGAAGAACTCAAGTTCTTTAAGAGTCTAGGCCAGAGACTATGAATAGCCCACAAAGGAGATGGCAACATAATCCCCATTCTTGGTGGGGACATACCCAGACACAGGGAAGGAAAGTATGATGGAGAAAATAGGATTCTTTCCAATCTGACTTTTGGGAGTTTTGAGACAGGAAGACGGAAGAGGGCTAGATATATGTGCAAGACGATATGGTAGGCCTGGCATGGTGGTTCGTGCCTGTAATCCCAGCACTTTGGGAGGCTGAGGCAGGAGGATCACTTGAGGCCAGGAATTTAAGACCAGCCTGGGCAATATAGTGTGACCCCTAGCTCTAAAAACATTCTAAAAATTAGCTGGGCATGAAGGTGCACAGCTGTAGTCCCAGCTCCTCAGGAGGCTGAGGCAGGAGGATCGCTTGAGGCCAGGAGTTCAAGACCAGCCTGGGCAACATAGTATGACCCCTATCTCTAAAAACATTTTAAAAATTAGCTGGCCATGAAAGTGTGCACCTGTAGTCCCAGCTCCTCAGGAGGATGAGGCGGGAGGATCGCTTGAGCCCAGGAGTTTGAGATATGATTGTACCACTGCACTTGAGTCTGGGCAATAGAGCAAGTCCCTGTCACAAAAAAAAAAAGAGAGAATTAGTAACCCTAGCTATGGGGAACATCAAAGTATAGGCAGGAGAAAAGGATCCAGTAACAGAGCTAAGGAGAGATCATCTAGGTAGAAAGAGAACCAGAAGATGTAGTGTCATGCAAGCTAAGGGTGGTTAGTAGAACCAAATCCCACAGAAGGGTCTAGCATCTGGGCATTTAATTTTTAAGAACACATTAAACAGGTTTGTTATAATTTTTTTAAGTATAAAGAAGAAAATTAAATTTATCTGTAAGTTCTACCCTCCATAGTCACCATTAGCCTTTTTGAGTTTAACATCTCGTCATCTAGTTTTTGTGTGTGTCTATCTGTGTGTTCAGTTGGTATCCTATTTATTTTCACTATATATAATATGTATTATAATTAATATAACATAGTAATATGTAATATATAATACATATAATATATAATATACTAATATAATATATATCACATAATATATATATAATATACTGTATATTATATGTAATATATATTGTATCATATATAGTATATCATATATAGTATATTATATATAGTATATTGTATTTTATATAGTATATTTATATATTACATAATATATAATGCATTATATAATACATATATAGACATATAATATATAGTACTTATATATTATATAATATATGATATATAATGTAATATATATAATATATATTATAAGTAGTGGATAAAAGATTTTAATTAAAATGTACTATAAGATTGTTCAAAGCAATTATAAATATTATATAATATATTGTATGTTATATATTTATAATATGTATTTTACATATTATATGTTATATATTGTATATTTTATAATATATGTTACATATATTATATATTATATAATTAGTATATTAGTATTAGTTATATGGTATAGTATATAGTATATTAGTATATATATAATTAGTATAATTAGTATATCAGTATTACTATTAAATTTAAATCCTATGTCTTTGTATGATTTTTAAGTAGCGGATAAAAGATTTCCATTAAAAGAATATGCACTATAAGAGATTGTTCAAAGCAATTAGGTCATTAAAATAATACCTTAGAAGCAAGATGCTCCTCACTATATATATATATTTAATTTTTTAATTGAAATATTTTATCCACTACTTAAAAATTGTACAAAGACATAGGATTTAAATTTAATAGTAATACTAAGTAATTTATTACAAATTAGCTAATAACTCTTATATTTGTTTGCCACTTTTTGATTTTCCCTGGTGCTTGAATATATCTCTCTTGTTTGATCTTTACTAACAGAGAACGAGCAATCCAAGAGATGCGTCGACATGGTCTTGCTACACCACCCCTTAGTTCCACTCTGAGGTCTCCTTCACATTCTCCTGAACATAGAAATGTGTAATTATCAGAAAGGTATGTATGTAACACCAAGGACAGGCAAAACTAATCTGTGGTTGTAAAAATTCAGAAAGTAGTTTTCTGCATCAGGAAAGGGGAGATTGCCTGGTAAGGCGTTCAGGAGAACTTCCTGGAGTAATGGAAAAGTTCTATATCTTGGTGATAGTAGTTATGTGGGTATATACAATTGTAAAAATTCATAAAACTGACCATTTACAGTGTATGCTTTTTTTTTTTTTTAAGAGATGGGGTCTCGGCCAGACACAGTGGCCCACACCTGTTATTCCAGCACTTTGGGGAGGCTGAGGCTGGAGGATCACCTAAGGCTAGGAGTTTGAGACAAGCCTGGGCAACACAGTGAGACCTCCACCTCTACAAAAAATACAAAAATTAGCCAGGCATGGTGGCACACACCTGTAGTCCCAGGTACCAGCTGCTGGGGAGGTGGGGGAGGATACTGAGGCAGGGGGATGGCTTGAGCCCGGAAGGTTGAGGCTGCAGTGAACTGTGATTGCACTATTACAGTCCAGTATGCATGACAAAGCAAGCAGCTATCTCCAAAAAAACAAAGAGTTCTCACTATCTTGCCTGGGCTGGCCTCAAACTCCTGGGCTCAAGCAGTCCTCCCACCTCAGCCTCTTGAGTAGCTGGGACTACAGGCTGGTCCATGCATTTTATCGTATATAAATTATACCTGAATTTAAAAAGAGAAGACATCTACAGCATAACGTTAAATGACAATATGAGCTATCACAGGATATTATTTGATGAAGGGCTAAATTCAGGCTACAAATAATAGGTAGTAAAAATGTAGACAAAGCATAGAAACAGTAGTACACATGGTACAGTAGTAACCTGGCAGGAAGGGCAGGCTGTGGGGGAATAATGAGGGAGAGAGGTTTGGAAGGTAGAGTGGGATATATAGAGTATTATATTGAATGTGAAGCTAAATTAGAGATTGTGGACTTTATTCTGTAAGTCAAAAGGAACGTGAACGTCAGTCCTCCTGTGTATAGGATGGGTACAAGGGAAGGGTCAAGATGAAATAACTGTTTCTGGTAGATTAATTTCACAACTGTGTTTGAACCATATTGGAAAGGATAGGAACTAGAGGTAGAGAGACCAGTAAGTGGTATGAAATGAGCAGTATAATAGTTCAGGATTAGTATAATAACATTGAAAGCTAGGACATAATTTTTAAAGTAAACCATGAAATATATACAGAAAGGTACCATATCATAGATACATAGTTCAATGAATTTTTTCAATGAACAAATTGAACACATCCAGGTAACCTGCATGAAAATCAAAAAAAAAAAAAAATAGGCCAGGCACGGTGGCTCACACCTCTGTAATCCCAGCACTTTGGGAGGCCGAGGCGGGTGGATCACTTGAGGTCAGGAGTTCAAGACCAGCCTGGCCAACATGGTGAAACCCCGTCTCTACTAAAAACAGAAAAATTAGCTGGGCATGGTGGCACGCACCTGTAGTCTTAGCTACTTGGGATGCGGAGGCAGGAGAATTGCTTGAACCCAGGAGGCAGAAGTGGCAGTGAGCCCAGATCGCGCCACTGCACTCCAGCTTGGGTGACAGAGTGAGACTCCATCCAAAAAAATAAAATATAAAGCCTGGCACAGGAGACTGAGGTTGCAGGACTACTTGAGCCCAGTTCAAATCCAGTCTGGACAACAAAGCAAAACCCCATCTCAAAAAAACAAAACAAAAACAAAACAAAACTAACTTCTCTTTGGCGTCAGTCATAAGCCCTGGTCTAAAAGTAACTGTCCTGACTGTTAAAAGTGTAGATTTCTTTTTGCTTACTTTTAGACATTTTATAAATGAAATCATGTTCCTGGCTTCTTTTTCTCAACAGTACATTTGTGAGATCCATCCATATTGTTGTGTGTACTTGTAGATTGTTCACTCTTGTTGCTGTGTATGGAATGCCATTATGGAAACTTACTACAATCCAATTACTCCTCCTTCTGTTCATAAGCACTTGGCAGTTTCCAGTTTGGGCTATTACAAATAGTGCTATGGTTATACTTAGAAGTGAAATTGATGGATCACTGGATATGTGTATGTTCAAGCTCTAGGAGATATGGTAAACTGTTTTCCAAAGTAGTTGTAAAGTGCCAGGATGCATTTGACTGAGGAAGGATCAAAGGGATGTGCTGATTCACTGGAGATGGGAATGAGTGGGAAAGAAACATGAGTCAGACCCAGGCTTTGACAGGTAGTGACTGTGGAAAATGCATACTCATTGACAGAAATAGTTATGCCAGTCTTGTTTAAATTGATACATTTCTTTGCCTCTTTTGATAGAAATATATAGAAGATAATTAAACATTTCCTCTGACTCAGAATCCTCATTGTGAACATTAGTTATGTGCTATTCTTTGACGTACTGATGCCCTCAAGTTTGTAGGGCCTTGGTTTAAATGATTCCTGATTGCTCTGCTTCTGCTTTTGTGTTTGATTAGGGCATTTATTTTTCTCTTTCACTTTGAGGACCACTTCTCAGTGTTCACTGTAGTCACTGTGTCCTTCTTGAATTGCTGTGTTATTTTCATGTGATCAGATGGTGGTTCACCTTCTTGTTACAAAGGATTGTAAGAATGTGACACAGACATTTTCTCATGTTTGATTCACAGCTGCAGTTTAGATCAGGGGTTGGTTGGTAAACTAGGATCTGCAAGCCAAATCCATACCACTGCCTATTAGTGTAAATTAAGCTTTATTGGAGCACAGCCACACCCATTTGTTAACAGATTGTCTAAGACTGCTTTACTACAGTGGCAGAGTTGAGTAGTTTTGACAGACCCCATGTCCCACAAATCTAAAATATTTACTGCCTGTCTCTTGACATCATGTAGCTCTGGAAAACTCAACTGTAGACCTGTAAGAAAATAAGAGTGAAAGGCAAATAATTCCTTGGTTTTATGAAAATAGGCTTGACCTTGTAGAGTCTCTGAAAGTATTGGGGATTCTCAGGGATCCCCAGACTGCACTTTAAGAACTACTGATATGGAACATAGATTCCTGCAGTCCCTGAAACTGTGATGAATTAGACACTGCATTTTTGTTTTGTTTTGTTTTGTTTTTAGAGCCAGGGTCTCACTCTGTCACCCAGGCTGGAAGGATGTGGCATGGTCATAGCTCACTGAAACCTCAAACTCTCCTGAGCTCAAGCAATCCTCCCGCCTCAGCCTCCTGAGTAGCTGGGACTACAGGCACGCCACCACACCCATCACCACTATCTAATTCTAAGATTTTTTTATCTCCCCAAACAGAAATTCTGTACCCATTAAACAATCACTCTCCAATCCCCAGACCTTAACCTTCCCAGCTCCTAGTAACTTCAGATCTACTTTTCTGGTCTCTATGAATTTGCCTATTTTACATTTTCATATAAGTGAAATCATACATGTGTTCTTTTGTATCTGGCTTATTTCACTTAGAATAATATTTTCCAGGTTCATCCATATTGTAGGATATACCACATTTAAAAAATCCTTTTGTCAGTTGAAGACACCTGGGTTGTTTCTATCATATGGTTATTGTGAGTAATGCTGCTCTGAGCATTGGTGTACAAGTATCTGTTTTAGTCCTTGTTTTCAAATCTTTTAGTATATACCTGAGACTAGAATTGGTGGGTCATATGGTAATTCTGTTAAACTTTTTGAGGGACTGCCAAACTGTTTTCCACGTGCTGCACCATTTTATATTTCCACCAGCAATGCATGAGGGTTCCTGTTCTCCACATCGTCACCAACACTTGTTATTTTCCACTTTTTAATTACAATAATTCTAGTACATGCAGATTAGAAAGCTTTTATAATCATCAACAAACTCATAATTTATAACTTTGTAATAATTTACAATTAATTTTTGAGGTATATTAATGAGATTGTTATTTACTAATCCATTTCCCCTCGTATTTTCTAAATATTGTCACCAAAACTAATTTTAAGGGATTTCCCCAAGCACTCAGAAATGAATTGCTCAAGGAAAAAAAAAAAAATGAATTGCTCAACTATAAAATGGCATCTCAGATTAGTGTCTCTCTGATAGTTAAATAGACAATCCAACTTTTATTATTTGTTTTTTGACTATCATATCTAATGCATGCTATTTGAGATAGGAAAAGCCTATAAAAGTGTTTTTCCGATTCTCATACACCACTCAGCATACCACTTCAGACACTGTATTCTCCAGCAGACACCAATTGATCTCAATTTTAACATTTAACTCAATTCTGACATTATCTGCCTGGAGATAGTGTCAGATCCCACAGATCAAGAGCCCAATCCCACAAATCCCTTCCCCTCGACTTCAGATGCCAATAGCAAGTCCCAGGTTGTGATCTGTGCTTCTGACTGAAGAGGTTTCCACAGCCCCCTCATCACATTCTATTAATTTGCTAGAGCAGCTCACAGAACTCAGGGAAACATTTTTACATTTACCTGCTTATTGAAAAGGTTATTATAAAGGATACAGATTAACAGGCAAGTGGAAGGGATGCATAGGGCAAATTATCAGGAAAGCAGCTCAAAGCTTCTGTGCCCTCTCAAGGCGCGCCACCCTGTAAGCATCGCCAAGTGTTCAGCTTTCTGAAAGGTTCCTGAACCCAGTTTTTGGAGGTTTTATGCAGGTATCACTAAGTAGATATGATCGATTAAATCATTAGCCATTCATGATCAATTCAACCTTCAGCCCCTCTCCTCTTTTTGGAAGTTGAGGTGTGGAGCCAGTGGCCCAATTCTCTAATCATGCATTGGTCTTTGTGGTGATCAGCTCCCATCCTGAAGCTATTTAGTGGCCTCTAGCCACCAGTCATCTCATTAGCTTGCAAAAGACAAAATTATCACTCTGGAGATTACAAGGAGCTGTGGGCCAAGAACCAGGGGCAGAGACCCAATATATACAGTCATGCATTGCTTAACAACAGGGGATATGTTCTGAGAAATTTGTTTTACATGATATTGTGCAAATGTCATAGAATGTATGTACTTACACAAACCTAGATGGTATATAGCCTACTGCATACCCAGGCTATATGGTATAGCCTCTTGCTCCTAGGCGATAAATCTGTACAGCATGTTACTGTACTGAATACTGTAGGCAGTTGTAACACAATGGTATTTGTGCATCTAAACAGAGAAAACATACAGTAAAAATGTGGTTTAAAAGATAACAAATGGTACACCTATATAGGAGACTTACCACAAAGGGAGCTTGCAGGACTGGAAGTTGCTCTGGGTGAGTCAGTGAGTGAGTGGTGAGTGAACGTGAAGGCCTAGGACATTCCTGTTCACTGCTATAGACTTTATAAACACTGTATACTTAGCTACAATAAATTTATTGTTTTAATTTTCTCCAATAATAAATTAACCTTAGCTTACTGTAACTTTTTTCCTTTATAAACTTTTGTTTTACTTTTTAAAGTGTTTTTCTAAAAGCAATGACACAAACACACACATTATCCTAGGCCCACATAGAGTCAGGATCATCAATATCACTGTCTCCTGCCTCTACATGGTGCCCCACTGAAAGGTATTCAGGGGCAATAACATTTACGGAGCTGCCATCTCCTGTGATAACAGTGCCTTCTTCCGGAATACTTCCTGAAGGACCTGCCTGAGGCTGCTTTATAGTCAACATTTATTTTTTAATGAGTAAGAGTACACTTTAAAATAATGATTAAAAGCATAGCATAGTAAATACTAAGCAATAGGAAGTTTTCAGTTCTGTTATAATCTTATGGGACCACAGTCTTTTATGCAGTCTGTCATTGACCAAAATATCATTATGGAACATATGACCATATTTCTGTGTGTGTGTTTTGTTTTGTTTTGTTTTAGAGACAAGGTCTCGCGGTCTCGCTCTGTTGCCCAGACTGGAGAGGTGCAGTGTGCCATCAGAGTTCACTGTAGCCTTGAACTCCTGGGCTCAAGCAGTCTCCCACCTTGGCCTCCTGAGTAGCTGGGACTACAGGTGTGTGCCACCATACCCAGCTAATTTTTGTATTTTTTTATAGATACTGGGTCTCACTATGTTGTCCAGACTGGTCCTGAACTCCTGGGTTCAAGCGATCCTCCTGCCTCAGCCTCCCAAAGTGCCGGGATTACAGGCATGAGCCACTGCACCCAGCCTGTGTTTCTTGTTATAATGCAGTATCACACAGACTCACTGAGGAAACATAAAATACAGAGATATATAAATAAGGAAACAAAAATCACTTTTTTAAACAAAAGTATAAGCCAGGCAGGGTAGCTCACACCTGTAATCCCAGCATTTTGGGAGGCCAAAGTGAGAGGATCACTTGAGTTCAGGAGTCTGAGACTAGCCTAAACAACATCGTAAGACCTCATCTATACTAAATACCAAAAAAAATGAGCCAGGCATGGTGATGTGCACCTGCCTGGAGGCTGAGGCAGAAGGATCACTTGAGTATGGGAGATCAAGACTGCAGTGAGCTATGATCACGCCACTGCACTCCAGCCTGGGCAACACGGCAAGACCCTATCTCTAAATAAATAAATAAATAAATAAATAAAATAAAGTACAATGAATAAAACAGTACTTGAACTTTCAGAAGTAGAACAGTACTTCTTAAATATAACTGGATGTGGGGCACAGAGTTTTATTAGATTCTATAATTTCATTTATAACATTATTGAATTTCAGTTTTTTATGAATATGTTGAATAACTTTATCATTTTTCTCTTAACCCACCTTTCAATTTCCTCCCTTTCAGAATAATGGCTTTCAATGAGTTCCTATGTGGATTTTTAAAAGAACAGAACAGTAATGAAATATTTGAAGTACTTGTTGCTGAAAATCATGAACATGGACACAAATTCTACCTCTGTCAACTTTTATTTAAATCAGTGAATATGTTAAAAAGTTTGGTTTAAAAGAACTATATCTATATGTATATTTTCATATATATGACAGAACAAGAATATGTATTAATAGTGCCTAATGTATCTATATTTTTATTATTCATGAATTAAATTACTAAAAGTATGTTTATACTGTGAATTAATATAATGTATTCACATTATTCTTTAATAATCTGTTTATTAATAAGCCATGATATGTGTATGTAAATATTCTTACAGTACTTGTTTTTAGTTGTCATGCCTATGTTTAGACCATATCTTAATGTATTCACAAAGAATTATCAACTTTGATGCTATGCTGTCATGCTTAACTTTTTCTTCTTAAAATTATTCATAGATCTACTGTCTGTTGTCAAGGGGAATATATTCAGGTCTAGTCTTCTTATAATAGCAGAGGTCTTGGTAAAATAACTACCATATATAACGTGTTATTGCCATCTAGAAGAACTATGATGAGAAAGATACATTTATATATTATGTAAAATGTTAACTATCATCATATGGACTCTATGTAACACAAATTCAAAAGCAAACTAAAAGCTATATGCAGAGTTTTGTATAAAACAATAGAACAGAAATTTGGGACATTTTTCTAGGAAATAAAATTCCTCGGTGTATTAATCTAAGGTTTCAAAGTATAAAAGTATATGGGGTAGGCCGGGTGCAGTGGCTCACGCCTGTAATCCCAGCACTTTGGGAGGCCGAGGCGAGTGGATTTCCTAAGGTCAGGAGTTTGAGACCAGCCTGAGCAATGTGGTGAAACCCCATCTCTACTAAAAATACAAAAATTATCTGGGCTTGGTGGCGGGCACCTGTAATCCCAGCCACTTGGGAGGCTGAGGCAGGAGAATTGCTTGAACCCGGGAGGTGGAGGCTGCGGTGAGCCAAGATCATGCCATTGCACTCCAGCCTGGGTGACAGAGTAACACTCTGTCTCAGAAAAAAAAAAAAAGAAAAATATATGGGGTAAATACAGTAAAACGTTTTGTTAAATTCCAATATACATTCAGTGATACCACTCTTTTTCTTCTAAGCCTGTGTGTTATAATTTACCAGTTCCCCAAAATGCCATTTTTAACGCCGAACTGTGTAATATACATGGAAAACAGCTTTTTACAATTAATTTTCAAAGTTGTAATTTTAAAGAATTTGGGTGTATACCTATGTTAATGAAACAACAGAAGTACAAAAAAGAATATCAGATACAAAAATCAATCGTGAAGAAAATCTGTTCTTAATATATTTCATTATGATTGAAAAACATAAAAACTAACATAGGAAAGTGAATGATCAGTTACTTATGATATATTTTGTTTCCTCTTGTGGTTTAATAAAGTGAAGTGTGTGTGTGTGTGTGTGTGTGTATACCTGGGGGTGGGCAGTGCTCTTTTTCTAAAACTAATATGGCTTATATATCTGAATTATGCCCTTTTTAGTGTGTATTAGGATGTGGGCTGGTTTGCTTTTCTACCACCTTTGTAATTTTATGTATCCCATCTCCTTTGTGTGAATTCATATATTATAGCAAAATACAAGAGACATGGGACTGTTTGCAATACCATATGGAAATCTTTTAATAAATATATGTAAATAAAATAAAAAATATTTGTCTCCACCTTTTCCCCAAAAGCAACAGCAAGACATATTTTGTTAGATATTTTATTTTTAATGTTTTCTATAATTTAAAAATGTATAGCCTGCCAAATGTTGTTTTCATAACCATGATATTGTTTTGAAAAAATTTTATCTTAAAATACTGAATGTTCTGACCTTTTATAGATGTTTTTGATTTTGTTTTAAATAATTTTAAATTATGGAGCTTGACCTAGATTTGCCAATAAACTTTCTAGCCTATTTATTTTCTCTTTCTTACAAATAAGGTTTTTATAATTTTATATTAGGGATACTCTTAATTCTAAAATTAAGTAAAGTTTATTCAAATCAAACTTTATCATGGTGGGATATGGACAAATCCCTGAACATAGGTGCCAGGCACCTTTCTTAACTGACTTTTATTTCCATTTAGTTCAAAATAATAAGAAATGAAGCCAAAGTTTATTTTTGTTATCTGTCCACAAAATGGTTAAACGTGTGTGCGTATGAATATACGCTCTTCTCACTTGCAAATGCTCTTTGTTGAGCACATTGACTCCCATTAGACTATGACACCTGTTGCCGTACCTTATTGTAATTCATCATACAAGTGATCTCATACTTCTCTCCCTAATTCTTAGAAGACTTTAGCAAGTGGCTTACTATCTTTCTACCATTAGTTCTATTATCAGCCTTTTTATATCAGTATCTTCTTGGGCCAATGGTTATTGACTATACCTGCACATTGTAGTTATCTGGAGAATTTTAATGAATAACTGATGTCTGAACCCCTACACCAGACCAAATATATCAGAAATTCTGCAATTGAAGTATGGTCTTTTAAAAATTTTTAAACTTAAAATTGACATATAATGTACATATTTATGAGGTACGTAGTGATGTTTCAATACATATATTGTGATCTAATCATTGTAATTAGCATATCCATCATCTCATTTATCATTTTGTGTTGAGAACATTCAGTATCCTCTTCCTAGACATTTGAAGCCATATATTAACTATAGTCACCCTGCAGTGGTAGAGAATACTAGGAACTTCTTCTTCCTATCTAGCTATAATTTTGTATCCTTTAGCAAATGTCTCCCTATTGCTCCCTTTCCCCTATCCTTCCCAGCCTCTAGTATCCTCTATTCTACTTTTTACTTCTGTGAGATCTTTTTTTTAGCTTATACATACGAGTGAGAACATGCAGTGTTTAACTTTCTGTTTCTCACTTATTTCACTTAATTAACAATGTCCTCCAGTTCCTTCCATGTGACTGAGAATGACATGATGGTGGTTTTGTTTGTTTGTGTGTTTTTAAGGTCCCCTACAAGACTGTTATGTTCAGCAGGGTTAATAATGTTAATTTAAGAGGCTGATCCATCAAATTGATTTCATGACCCACTAATGGGACTTAACATATAGTTTTGAAGAACACTGCTTTAGATCTTGTCGTCACCTCCACAGTCCCAATTTCTAGCATCCTACTCACCCCTCTTTCTAGGTTACTGTTTTGATTATGAATATACCAACAATTCTTTGACTCCACTAGGTTCTTCAGACAATTGATTCTATCATCTATCACTTATCTATAATTTCATCACCCTCACTTTCTTTTTTTTAATGTTTGTTTATTTATTTAGAGATGGGGTGTCACTCTGTTGCCAGGCTGGAGTGCAGTGGCATGATCTCGGCTCACCGCAGCCTCCATCTCCTGGGTTCAAGCGATTCTTCTGCCCCAGCCTCCCGAGTAGCTGGGACTACAGATGCGCACCACCACACCCAGCTAATTTTTGTATTTTTAGTAGAGATGGGGTTTCACCATGTTGGCCAGGATGGTATCAATCTCTTGACCTCATGATCCACCCGCCTCGGCCTCCCAAAGTGCTGGGATTACAGGTGTGAGCCACCACTCCCAGCCCATCACCCTCACTTTCTTTAGCATAGACATCATTGTCCTTGCACATCCCCTAAATTCTTATCCTTCTGATCTGAAAAACATCCAGCTGCTTGCATCTATACCTACTGACTCTTTTTACTTTAAATTTATGGCCCTGAAAATCAAAGGCCCGCAGCACTGTGTGACAATCCTTATACACTGTTCTGATCAATTCACACTTAACCTCTCCCCAACAAGTATTCTCCTCTTTATTCAGACCTTCTATGCTTCTCTCACTTTGTTTCTTTTTTTTCTATGAGACAAGGGAAACAATAGAAAAGAAATTTCTCACTCTCCAAATCTATCAACGTGTTCTCTATCCAACTAATTTTCTTTCTTCCTATTAGGACATGAACCATCTCTACCCTTTAGCCATTCTGTCTAGTTGTGATCAGTAGCCATCTCTTCTACTGGAAAGACTTCTGTCAGGTATGGTGGCTCAGCCTATAATTCCAGCACTTTGGGAGGCTGAGGCAGGAGGATCACTTGAGCCCAGGAGTTCGAGACCAGCCTCGGCAACATAGGGAGACCTCATCCAGAAAATTTAAAAAAAATTAGCTGGGCATGATGGCGTTCACCTGTAGCCCCAGCTATTTGGGAGGCTGACGTGGGAGCACCACTTGAGCCCAGGAAGTTGAGGCTGCAGTGAGCTGTGATTGTGCTACTGCACTCTAGCCTGAACACAGAGTGAGATACCCTGTCTCAAATTAAAAAAAAAAAAAAAAAAAACCCACATTCCTGAGTCATTTTTGCTCTATTGGCTTGTTCTCACTTGCATATATACCTCCCATTTTTAATCTCCCATTTTAAAACCTTCCCAGGCCCTACCATTCCATTTTTGTACCCTTTATAGCAAAAATTCCCAGAAAAGAGTTATCTAACTCATGTCATCTCCCCCTTAACACCCACCTTTCTTGAACTACTGCAGTCATGCTTAAATTCCCATTACTCCAGTGAAACAGTCCTCATGTTGTCAAATCTGATGGATCACCATCAGTCTTCTGTTTACTCCATTTCTCAGCAGCATTTGACATACTGATTTTTCCATTCTTTAAAAAAGATTCTCTTTAGCCAGGCGTGGTGGCTTACACCTGTAATACCAACACTTTGGGAGGCCAAGGCAGGCGGATCACCTGAGGTCAGGCGTTCTAGACCAGCCTAGCCAACATTGTGAAACCCCGTCTCTACTAAGAACACAAAAAGTAGCCAGGTGTGGTGGCAGGTGTCTGTAATCCCAGCTACTCAGGAGGCTGAGGCAGGAGAATTGCTTGAACCCGGGAGGTGGAGGTTGCAGTGAGCCGAGGTTGCACCATTGCACTCCAGCCTGGGTGCCAAAAGCAAAACCCTGTCTCAAAAAAACAAAAACTAACAAACAAAAAATGGCCAGGTGTGGTGGCTCACACCTGTAATCTCAGCACTTTGGGAGTCCGAGGTAGGTGGATCACCTGAGGTCAGGAGTTCGAGACTAGCCTGGCCAACATGGTAAAACCCCATCTCTACTAAAAATACAAAATTAGCTGGGTGCGGTGGCACACGCTTGCAGTCCCAGCTATTCGGGAGGCTGAGACAGGAGAATTGCTTGAATCCAGGAGACAGAGGCCACAGTGAGCTGAGATGGTGCCACTGCACTCCAGCCTGGGCAAGACAGAGCAAGACTCTGTCTCAAAACAAAAACAAAAACAAAAAAAAACATATTCTTCATTTTGCCTCCCCAGTACCAAACCATCCTGGTTCTTCTTACTGGTTTTTCAGTTTCTTTTATTGTATTTACTAACATTTCCTGACTTTTTTTTTCATTTGATGAGGGTTTTTTTTGTGGTAAACATACCATACAAATTATCGTTTTACCCATTTTTAATTGTACAGTGCAGTAGTGTTAGGTTTATTCACATGATTGTGAAATATCTTCTCAACTTTTAAAGGAGTATCCTAGGGTCTTAGTTCATCTCTACTTACTCTCTTGTTAACTTCAGAATTTATCTCTTCAGTTTCTGCCTTTTTTTTCTGAATTCTAGGCACATATATCTAAGTACCTGCATTAGCTGTTTCTCACATTGCTATAAAGATACTACCTAAGACTGGGTAGTTTATAAAGAAAGGAGGTTTAATTGACTCGCAGTTCCACATGGCTGGGGAGGCCTCAGGAAACTTACAATCATGGCGGAAGGTGAAGGGGAAGCAAGGCACATCTCACATGGTGGCAGCAGAGAGAGAGAGAGAGAGCACAAGCACAAAGAGGGCAGTACCACACACTCAAACCATCAGCTTGTGAGAACTCACCATTATGAGAACAGCAAGGGGGAAATCTGCCCTCATGATCCAATCACCTCCACCAGGTCCCTCCCTCCATACATGGGGATTACAATTCGAAAGAAGATTTGAGTGGGGGACACAGCAAAACCATATCAGCACCTATTCAATATCTCCACTTAACCCAAAGTCACAGTAAACAGCTAAGTAAATCGTACCACCATTGTATTAGTCTGTTCTCACACTGCTATAAAGAAATCCCTGAGGGGGTAATCTGTGAAGAAAAGAGGTTTGATTGGCCACAGTTCTGCTGGCTGTACAGGAAGCATGGCACTGGCATCTGCTTCTGAGGAAGCTTCAGGAAGCTTTTACTCATGGTGGAAGGCAAAGCGGGAACAGGCCCCTTACATGGCAGGAGCAGGACAGAGAGAGCAGAGAGGTGCTACACACTTTTAAACAGCCAGATCTCATGAGAATTCACTCAATATACAGAACCAAAGGGTAAATGGTGCTAAACCATTCATGACAACTTTGCCCCCATGAGCCAATCACCTCCCACCTGGCTACACCTTCAGCATCAAGGATAAGACTTCAACACCTATTTAATCCAAACAACAGGCTAGGACCAAACCTGTTCAATTTGTCTCATATAATATTTAATTAAGGTGAATATCAATAGGAATCCAAGCAGCAGGAAGAGGCCAGCTAGCAGTATTAGCCTCATTCATGCCTCCCAGGAGTCTAGACATAGCCAACTGTGAATACCTACCATGGTGAGAGCAGAGGGTGTTATTTTATTCATCCAGAACGTAGCCTAAAGCCAATCTGTTACCCGTCATGACGCATGCAGTTTAGACTGATCTGAGAATCTTGGATGCCATTGACAAGCAGACAATAGATGAGCCAGAAAGCAGCACTCATCCACAGTGGAGAGAGTCCATGGCTCCGTCTCCCCCATGTACAAACGTATAACCCAAAAGGTCCCCAGTCACTCCAGTTTGGGTTTTGTGGATCATGGGCTGGTTAAGACACATGGACTATCCAGGTGTGGTGGCTCACACCTGTAATCCCAGCACTTTGGGAGGCCAAGGCAGTTGGATCACCTGAGATCAGGGGTTCGAGACCAACCTGACCAATATGGTGAAACCCCATCTCTACTAAAAATACAAAAATTAGCCAGGCATGGTGGTGCACACTTCTCATTCCAGCTACTCAGGAGGCTGAGGCAGGAGAATCGCTTGAACCAGGAGGCAGAGGTTGCAGTGAGCCAAGGTCGCGTCACTGCATTCCAGCCAGGGTGACAAGAGTGAAACTCCATCTCAAAAAAAAAAAAAAAGACAAAGACACATGGACTATGTCACTGAGTAGTTGCAGCCTTGATAGTCACACATGGCACCACCCAAAGCTGCTCAGCAGAGAGGAGGAGATGCATATGAATTTGTATCCACCAGATTGAAAAAACGCTGTGCTAGTCTGTGTGTCTGTGCATGGACAAGGTGGAGTCCATGTTTGGGGGCTGCCATTGACAGCAATAGGTACAGCAAAATGGTTCAAGAGCAGCCACACCCACGAGTTTGTTTTCATAGCACGTGGACAGGGATGACAGATACGGCAGCAGGTCAGATTGCCAGCCACTGCAGTTTCTTGCCTCAGGCAGACCATATGATTTGTCGCCAGACTGCAATGTAGGATCTAGGGGACAAAGAGAGCATTCATTGCTACTGGTTTGGGCCCTGCTCAAAAAATGCTGATTTGTGGGTTAGCTCATATAAAGGACCAAATAGAATGCCCAAGTGAGACACATACTGTCTCCAACAAAGTCCAATAGGGAGCTCAGCCTCCTTTTTGGTGTTGGGGGCCCAGAGATAAAGGTCTCCCCAATACTGTTACCTGGGTGTCAGAGGCATCATGATTCTGCCTACATTATCCCAAGAAACTTAACTAGGCAAGCAACCCTCTGAATATTGTTGGGGTTTACCAGCCACTTCTGCTGGTGTAGGTATGGCAACACCCCAGCCAGGGGCACTGAGACAGGCTTATTTTATTTTATTTTTTTAAGAGACAGGGTCTTAGCTGGGCACAGTGGCTCACTCCTGTAATCCCAGCACTTTGAAAGGCCAGGGAGGGCAGATCACTTGAGATCAAGGGTTCGAGACCAGCCTGACCAAAATGGTAAAACCCTGTCTCTACTAAAAAATACAAAAATTAGCCAGGCATGGTGGTGTGCGCCTGTGGTCCCAGCTGCTCGGGAGACTGAGGCACAAGAATTGCTTGAACCTAGGAGTGGAGGTTGCAGTGAGCCAAGACTCTGTCATTGCACTCCACTGTGTGCAACAAAGCAATACTCTGTCTCAAAAAAAGAGGGTCTCACTCTGTTGCACACGTTGGAGCCCAATCATAGCTCAGTGCAGCCTCGAACTCCTGAGCTTAAGCAATCCTCCCGCTTCAGCCTCCTGAGTAGCTAAGACTACAGGCTCATACCACCATGCCTGGTTAATTTTTTACATATTTTTATTGAGATGAGGTCTCGTTATGTTGCCCAGGCTGGTCTCAAACTCCTGGCCTCAAGTGATTCTCCCACCTCAGGCTCCCAAAGTGCTGGGATTACAGGTGTGAGCTGCACCTGGCCTGAGACTGAGGCTTCTGACTTGCCAACCAACAGGACATCATCTATATGGAAAAAAATTTAAATCAGAGGGTAGAGGCACTCATGATCACATGCTGGCTACAAATGGCAGGGAGTTTGTCTCACTAGCACATCTCTGCTTTATCTCTTCCCTGCTCGGGAAACCCTCTCTGGCACTTACGGGATGTGAAATATAACACATCAATTCCTACTATATGTTCAGATGTACAAGCAACAACAGTACAATGAATTAATCCAAAAGGTCCTCCCCATAAGGTCACATTAGCTCCCTTACCCCACCTCAAACCCTACCCACATCCCATGAGTTAAATCTGAGTACCACTGGACACGGTAGGATGGCAACTTGGTTGCCTGAATCCAAAAGAGCCAGAGAAATGTGAGTCTCTCCCCTCCTTGAAGTACCTCAGTATATTCATACGGTGTGTATGCCCTCCTTGGGTACAGGGAGACATAGACCCAATCATTTGGTTCCTTAAAGTAGCAGGACTTTCCTAAACTCAGGAATGAGAAGGAGGGAGAGATTTTCTGGCGCAGTGGGAGAAGGTAGCTCCTCCCTGGTAAGCAAAGCTTTGTGTTTACTTTTTTTTTGAGACAAGGTCTCACTCTGTCTCCCAGGCTGGAATGCAGTGAGTGGTGTGATCTTGGCTCACTGCAACCCCAACCTCCCAGGCTCAAGCGATCGTCCCATCTCGGGCTCCCAAGTAGTTGGGGCTACAGATGCATGCTACCACACCCAGCTAATTTGTGTATTATTATTATTATTATTATTATTTGAAGAGATGGGGTTTTGCCCTGTTGCCCAGGATGGTCTCGAATTCCAGGGCTCAAGGGATCCACTCACCTCGGCCTCTCAAAGTGTTTGGATTACAGGTGTGAGCCACCATGTCCAGCTTGTGTTTACTTTTAATTTCAAGTGGCTGGCAATGGTTAATGGTCCAGACTCAACCAAACAAACCCCAAATTTCATATCCTTACTGTTGTCACCATTTATTTCCACTTTGGAAACCCCTTGACACAGCCATATTGTCTTTTGACTGGAGCCACAGGGCTTGCCACCCATTGTCATGATAACATCCCCTCCTTACCCTGTCTGAGGAGGACAGCACCATGAGGCAGCTTGTTTCAATCCTTCCTCTCATTGCTCAACCTCTAAATATTCATTAACAGGTAGGACAGTCGGGGATTCCTATTTCTTCCCCCTCACCCAACGCTTGGGCAATAGCACTCACTACCAGATCCTGCACAATCTTCCCACATCCCCTGACCTTATCCTTTCTCTTCTCAGTAGCAAGTGCTCTGTCAGCAGCCTATCCTTGTTGCCCAAATGGTAAAGAACTATCTGAGATTCTACCCTGCTTGCAAACTAGCAAGGTAGTTTCCTGAATGCACAGTTTCCTGAATGCTAGCAGAAGACACAAGATTTCTGCGTCAGAGACAAAGTTCCTTGCTACTGCACAGCAGGTAGCATGAGTTTTGCACCAGTTCCTCATGTCCCCAGATCCCACAGGGACAATACAAGTCAGCCTAGATGAATGCTGCCCATGTAATGAGTTTACATCACAAGCTAAAGAACTGGAACTTAGGAAAACTCAGCCTTCTTTCTACAAGGGGCTGCAGGCAAACCTGCCCCAACTTTACCCTGGGAGGAGACAGCAAACAAACCTTCTCCCTGCTTGGGGATGACATTATCTCTTTTTCCTAAAACTGTTTGCTGTACAAATATCCTGGAAAAGACAGTCTAGGAAAAACTGCCAGAGCCTTTGCTCAAAAGATATGCAGAAACAAGAGGATTAGCAAAGAAATTTTCCACCCAAAATGTTAAATTTTTTATTTTGGTAAAATATACATGAAATTTACCATTTTAACAATTTTTAAGTGACTATTCTGTGGCATTGAGTACATTCACAATATTATACAACTATCACCACTATCCATTGCCTGAACTATAATATTATTTTTAATGCACTACTGGTTTTTATTTTCTAGTACTTTACTGAGATTTTAAAATCTATGCTCAGAAGTGGGACTGACCTACAGTTTCCCGTTGAGTGCAAGCAGCATGGTCTGGCTTTGATGTCATAGTATCCTGGCTTCCAAGAACAAATGGTAAAACCTTCTCTTCCCATATTCTGGAATTCTTTGCATTACATGGAACTGGCTCATAAAATCACCTGGGTAGGTGTCTTTTTTAGAGGAAACTATCTGACTACCTTTTCAATTTCTTCTACAAATTAGATGTTCTCCCCCTCCTTAAGTCAGCCTGGTAATTAATTTTTTTTTGGAAAATCTTCTATCTTATCTACCTTTTTAAAAGGTCATCCATACCTTAGTTGTCTTTTTCTTGTGAGTTATTTCTTGTATCTCTTGACTGATAGATCAGAAATAAGTCACCTTTCTTCCCTTCCTTTCCTTTTCTTTCTTTCCTTTCTTCGTTCCTTTTCTTCCTTTCTTTTTCTTTCTCTCTTTCTTTCCTTCCCTCCCTCCTTTCCCTCCTTCCTTCCTTCCCTCCCTCCCTCCTTCCTTCCTTCCCTCCCTCCCTCCTTCCTTCCTTTCTTCTTCCATCCCTCCCTCCCTTCCTTCCTTCTCTCCTTTCTTCCCTTTCTCTCTCTCTCTCTCTCTCTCTCTTTCTTTCCCCTCCTCCTCCTCCCTCCCTCCCTTCCTCCCCCTTTCCCTCTTTCTTTCTTTTTTGGTCTTGCTATTGCCCAGACTGGAGTGCAGTGGCTTGATTATAGTTCCTGCAGCCTTGAACTTCGGGGCTCAAGTGATCCTCCCACCTCAGCCTCCCCAGTAGCTGGGACTACAGGTGTGTGCCGCCACACTTGGCTATTTTTTTTTTAATTTTTGGTAGAGACAGGGTCTCACTATGTTGCCCAGACTGGCCTCAAACTCCTGGGCTCAAGCAATCCTCCCTCCTCAACCTCCCAAAGTGTTGGGATTACAGGCATGAGCCACTGCACCTGGCCATGTTTTTTGTTTTGTTTTTTCCTAAGAATCAACTTTTAATTTTGTTGGTAAAATCTACTGTTTGATTTGTTTTCTATTTCATTAACTTCTGCTTTCATTCCTTCCTTACTTCTGCTTTCTTTTTCATTTGTTCACATTCTTGAGTTATATGTTCAGTTTATTTTTAATCTTGTTTTCTAATTTATGCATTAAAGGCTACAAAATTTCCTCTGAGAACCTCTTGGACTGTACTCCCACAGGATTTTTTTGGTCATTAGTTTTTGACATTACTTTCTAAGTAGATTCCAACTTCAGTTCTGGATAATTCTTTATTGGGGTCACCGTGTAACTTATCATCCAAATTGGGACACTTTGGAGAGCAAAATACAGTTTTGCATCACTTACCTACAGGAAACGTGTTGTTCTGAGAAATTTGCCATTAGGAGATTTCATCATGTGTGACCATCACAGAGTGTACTTACACAAACCTAGGTGGTGCCTACTACACACCTAGGGTAGGTATATGGTATAGCCTATTGCTCCTAGGTTACAAACCTATACAGCATATTACTGTACAGAATACTGTAGGCAATTATAATATAATGGTATTTGTGTATCTAAACATAGAAAAGACACAGTAAAAATACAGTATTGTAATCTTATGGGACCACTGTTTTATATACAGTTCTTCATTGGCTAAAATGTCATTTTGCAGTGCATGACAGTATATGTGTTATGTCAGGAAAATAAGTGCTAACTCAGGCTCTCCTAGGTGAACTGGAAAGTATATTCACCCTATTTTTAACAAAAAAAGTTATTTATTTAAAAGGAAGTTTTAAAGTTTTTAAGTAGATAGGATTTTGTTACAAATTTCTAATTTATTGAATTTCGATTAAGGAATGTGGCCTGTATGGATTTTGCTTTTTGAAATTTGTTATGTTTTGGCTTAAAACTTGCTTAACTTTTGTGATCATTCCAAAAACTTTTGTGCAAAATGCATATTTTTTGTTTGTTGGGTATGCACTTCTTATCTTTTCGTTTTGTTTTTTGTTTTTTGTTTTTTTTTTTTTTTGGAGACAGGATCCCGCTTGGTTGCCCAGGCTGAAGTGTGATCATAGCTCACTGCAGCCTCAAACTCCTGGGCTCATGGGATCCTCCCCCCTCAGTCTCTGGAGTAGCTGGGACTACAGAGCTAAAAGATATCAAGTTTGTGAATTCTCTGGATAACTATCTTTGTCTACTTGATAAGTTAATTCCAAGAAAAATTAAAATTCCTCTCATGGTGAGGGCAGAGTTGTTTGCTTTTCCTTTTATTTCAGTTTTTGCCTTAAATATAGTATGTTTCTTGACTTATGATGGGATTATGTCCTGGTACACCCATTGTAAGTTGAAAATATCCCTAAGTTGAAAATGCATTTAATACCTTTAGCCTACTAAACAATATAGCTTAGTGTAGCCTACCTTAAACATCCTCAGAACACTCATATGAGTTGGACAAAATCATCTAACACAAACCCATTTTATAATAAAGTGTTGGCTATCTCATGAAGTTTATTGAATACTATACTGAAAGTGAAAAACAGAATGGTTTCATAGCATCATAAAGTTGAAACAACATAAGCCAAATCATCCTAAGTTGGGAACTATCTGTAGTTTATTAAAGCAAGAATTTTATTAACTTTTTTTTACTATTTAAGGAATTTTAATTAAAGCAATAATTTTATTTTACTGTTCACCGTTTAAGGAATTTTAATTAAAGCAAGAATTTTATTTTTATTCATTTATTCTTCACTCTGTCAGTAATTTAAAAGTTCTGTTGTTAGATACATACATTTCAGGACTGTTACATATTTTTTGTTGGCTTGCACCTTTTAGCACTTATACTTTTTACCCTGAAATCTCTTTTATCAGACACTAATATTGCAACTTATGCTGTCATCTATTTTGTAACAACTTTGTTGAGATATAATTTACATGCCATAAAATTCACCCACTTAAATTACATGATTGGATGACTCAGTATATTTACAGAATTGTGCAGCTGTTATTGCAATTTTAGAACATTTTCATCATCACCAAAAGAAACCCCACACTGGCAGGGCGCAGTGGCACACGCCTGTAGTCCCAGCACTTTGGGAGGCCGAGGCGGGTGGATCACTTGAGACCAGGATTTCAAGACAAGCCTGGGCAACACAGAGAAACCCCATCTCTACAAAAAAATTAAAAAATTAGCTGGGTGTGGTGGCATGTGCCTGCAGTCCCAGATACTTGGAGGCTGAGGTGGGAGGATCACTTGAGCCCAGGAGGCAGAGGTTGTAATGAGCCAAGATGACACAACTGCACTCCAACCTGGATGACAGAGCAAGACTGCATCTCAAAAAAAAAAAAAAAAAGAAACCCTATACCCACCATATCCATTAACAGTCACTCTCCATTTTCCCCCAACTCCTCCTCCCTACAATCATAATCTACTGCTATCTCCATAAATTTGACTGTCTGGACATTGATACAAATGAAATCATATCACATGTGGTCTTTTGAGTCTGGTTTCTTTCACTTAGAATAATGTTTTCAAGGTTCATCCATGTTGCATGCAAGGTTCATACATGTAGCATATATCTATCAGTACTTCATTCCTTTCTATTGCAAAATAATATTCCACTGTATGGATATCCACATTTTGTTTAATACATTCATCAGTTGATGGACATTTGAGTTGTTACCACTTTTGGCCATTCTAAATAATGCTGTTATAAACACTCATGTATACGTTTTTGTGTGGATATGTTTTCATTTCTCTCGGGTATTTTTCTAGGAGTAGAATTGCTGGGTCATTGGTTATTCTACCATCAGAATATATGAAGTTTCCAATTTCTGTATGTCCTCACCAACCCTTGTGATTATCTGTCTTTTTTATTATGGCCACCCTAGGTGTGATTTTGATTTGCAGTTCCCCAATGGTTAATGATGTTAAGCATCTTTTCATTTGCTCATTGGTCATTTGTGTATTTTCATTGGAGAAATGTCCATTCAAATCCTTTGCCCATCATAAAATTGGGTTGTCTTTTTATTATTGAGTGTTATGAGTACTTTATGTATTCTGTATACAAGTCCCTTGTTAGATACATTGTATGATTTGTAAATGTATTGTCCAATTCCTTGCATCATAGTTTCACTCACTTGATGATATCATGTGTAACATAAAAGTTATAAATTTTGATATTGTTTATTTTTCTCTTGCATTGCTTGTGTTTTTGATGTCATATCTTAGAAATCATTGTCTAACCTAAGGACATGATTTATGCCTTTGTTTTCTTCTAAGAGTTTTATAGTTTTAGCTCTTACCTTTAGATCTATGATCCATTTGAGTTAACTATATAGAGAGATAGGGGTCCAAATTGATTATTTTGCATGTAGATTTGCAGTTGTCTCCATGTTTTCTTCTGTTAGTATTTGCCGATTATATTTTTCCATTACTTAATTTTCAGACACAATAATAATGGTAATTTAAAAGATATGGGAACTAGAACAGTTATTCCCATTTTACAAATTTAAGGAAATATCTGAAGTTAATTGAATTATCCAGTGGACTCATGCTGAGGGACAGAAAGTCATGGAAAGGGATGATACACAGACATGGTGGATTATAGAATGGAGAGGCTTTGGAAATCCTTGGTCTAACTCAGCGTTTCTTAACCTTAGCACTATTGTCATTTGGGGCTGGATAATTCTTGGTTGTGGGGGCTGTTCTGAGCATTGTAAGATTCTTAGCAGCATCTCTGGCTTCTACCCAGTAGATGCCCAGTAGCAGCACCTGCCATCCCCAGTGTAGACCACCAAAAATGTGCCCAAGACACTGCCAAATGTCTCCTACAGTGCAAGTATCCCTACAGCTGAAACTACTGGTCTAACTACGAAATTTATTTCCCACATATTTTCTATAACCTCTCACACAGCAGTTAAATGGTTAAGTGTTAAAAAAAATTCTAGATGTTCTGCATCTTTTTTTTTTTTTTTTTTTTTTTTTTTTTGTATTATGGCCTCTGAAAAATGTTTCCACTGGTAGGCAGTTAGCTATCGAAAACGTGGAATAGTAGACTGATACTTGGGGTTAGGGTGCCATGCAATCTTGTTATAGCCCTGGATATAGTTGCTATGAACCAATGTATTTGAAAAGTGAGGGAAAAAAACAGCACCTGTCAAAAGTGGTGCCTGATGGATTCCGATTTCTGAGGCCCATGAGACACTAAGTCTAGTTGTTAGAATGGTCCAATATGAGCATCATTTCTCCAGAACTCCGGCGATATTTTTTGGGTGTATATGAATTGGGGTGCCTTGTCCTACAAAGTGAAAAGATAGTAGACCTACGTTTGACTTATGAACATTTGAATTTTTATATGGACATTTGTTTGTGTTTTCATGTAGTTGGCAAGACTATAATATATATCAAGAACAAGATCTCAGCTATATGTTCTGCATAGATTTGATTTTTGGCTTCTGGGAACTTCTTTTTTTTTTTTTTTTTGAGATGGAGTTTCTCTCTTGTTGTCCAGGCTGGAGTGCAATGGCGCAATCTCAGCTCACTGCAACCTCCGCGTCCCGGGTTCAAGCGATTCTCCTGCCTCAGCTTCCCGAGTAGCTGGGATTACAGGGATGCGCCACTACGCCTGGCTAATTTTTGTATTTTTAGTAGAGACGGGGTTTCGCCAAGTTGGCCAGGCTGTTCTTGAACTCCCGATCTCAGGTGATCCGCCTGCCTCGGCCTCCCAAAGTGCTGGGATTACAGGCATGAGCCACCGCGCCCGGCCGGCTTCTGGGAACTTCTAACGCTACTAAACTCAAATCAAAAGAAATTTGCTCAACCCTTTCTAAAACTCTGCATTATTCTAATTTGGAATAAAGCAGACATAGTTTAGGATATGTGCACACTGAACTAAGTATCTATATTCACGAAAATACAAAGCCATATATTATACTGATATTTAACTTAAATGTTTATCTAGAATAAACCAGTTGGATAAGGTAACATGCACTAGATTCTCCCAGTCTCAAGGTTGCTCCTTTAAGTCATGCAGTGAAATTACTAGTCCTTGGCCAATAAGGTGAAACCTCGTCTCTACTAAAAATAAAAACAAAAATTAGCTGGGTGTGGTGGCGGGCGCCTGTAATCCCAGCTACTCAGAGGGAGACTGTGGCAAGAAAATCGCCTGAACCCGGGAGTTGGAGGTTGCAGTGAGCTGAGATCGCGCCACTGCACTCCAGCCTGGGCAACAAGAAACTCCGTCTCAAAAAAAAAAAAAAAAAAAAAAGAAAAGAAATTACTAGTCCTATTTTTGGCATTTGGGACATCTGGCTCAATACTGGGTATAATTTAGGGCTATCTTTCGTATTTTGCATCTTTTGTCTAGTCATTTTGCTTTAAAATTTCCTGTTTAATAATGATATTCAATTATTTTTAGCATCCTTGCATACATAGTAAACTAAAAAGATCACCAGAAACTGATTTCCAGTAGTTGCACTGGCATAGTCACAACAAAAAGTATGAAGGAAAAGTCTTGTTTTCTTCGTTAGCCCACAAAAGGAGAAGTCATTTTCCTTAAAGCATCAAAATCAATATTTAATTTCATTATGGCTGGGGACAATAATGCACATTGTCAATGTCACTCCGTTCGGATGTACAGGGACTCAGCAATGCAATTTCTAGCCTTTCTATTTCTAGGTGGCATTTTCCAACTTACTCAACTCTCAGGAGTCCCAGTGCCATTTATTGTGGTTGGGACTCTGCAGGGCGAAACTTCTCCTGGGCTCCCGGTATCTCCTATTAGAGAGACTGCTGCGGGTAACAGGGACCGAATTTGCAACCTGTGGGGTGGTGACTGATGGTCCAATGTTCTCGCCACACGCAGGATGAGCCTCGCTGTGAGCCCACCACTGTAACCTCAGACCCCACGAGTTCAGCACTCCCTCGAGTCAGGCTTTGCAGAAGCCGGGAGGGCACTGGTCAACCCCACGCCCCTCCTTGGGGCCCGCTCCTGGTTTCTGGGCACCCCTGGGGAGGGGAGCCATCTGGTGTGCGCCACTCCCGGAGGGCGCGAGAAGGAAGCCGGCGCCTCACGCTCAGCTGTCCCTGGGCGAAGCCGGGCGGGGCGGCGGCGCGGGTCCGAGCGCCCGAGGCGCCGGCGGAGCATGTGACCACGCCGCGCGGGGCCGGGCGCGCAGTGCCGCGCGGTGGCGGCAGTGGGGAGAGCAATGGAGGCCACGGCCGACTGAGAGGCGGGTGCGCTGCTGGTGCTGCTGCCGCGGCGGCTGCTGATGCGGAGGCTGCCGCGCGCAGTGCCGCCGAGTCCGCCGCCCGCCCGGGACCGCCGGTCGCCGGCCAGCCGCTCTGCCAGCCGGAGCGCCAGGCGGGGACCTCAGGTGAGCGCCTGCTCGGCCCGCGGCCGGAGCCAGACAATGGGGACAGGGGCGGGCTTCTCTCCTCCACTCGCGCCCCTCCGGGCCGGGCCCCCGCAGCGCCCCGGGACTCCAGGGGACCTGGCCCCGGGGGCGTGGGCTCGGCGCGGCGGGCGGTGGGCTTCGGGGCGGTGTCCCCATGTGGGAGGCGCGGACCCTCCCGGAGGAACCTGCGCGCGGCTTGCGCGCTTTGGATCCCCGCAGGGGAACCTGCCGCCGGGCTGCACCCCGGGAACTTGCGGAGAATATGGGACCTCGCCTGCCTTCTCCTCTTCCCGCGCCTCGCCATCCTGTCCCCAGGTCCCTGGCTCGGTCCCGACCGCGGCAAGGGCCAGAACCAGACCTCACCGTCCGGGATCGCGGACGCCGTCCGGGCTCAGCCCTCTCCCCACCGCCCCCGGAGCTGCATTGCTTTGTTTAACCTCTGCCAGACCGTTTCGCACAAACTCTTGTTGCCCCAATTCTGATGAGCCACCAGTTTGATAGCTGAGGCAAGACAAAGGTTTCCCCTGTTTACCAAGGGCCGGGGCCAGGAGACTGCGCGCTGCCCGTGGTGTAAAATCTGTTTTCTTTATCTTCGCCCGGGGCTTGTTGCGATGGTTTTCCTGGCACTATAACCGTCCTTTCTTGCAGAGCTCTGTAGTGGCGAGATTGGACCTCCTAACCCTACGGATACGGTGGGTGGGGTATGGCTTTTTTTTTTTCATGATTATCAGTAAACAGAAGCCGACTTTGAATTTTATAATATGTGTTCTTGAGTTAGAGACATCGTAATCATTTTCTGAATTCTGAATTTTAAGAGAATATATATTTCAAGACACATTGATTCAGTGGAGGGGGAGGGGGAAGAAAACCTAGTAAGTACGACCATGTGTTGTGAAATTTTAATATGGTTTTAGGAATAATGGCTGGGAAACTGATCTGGTGTAGGTGAGGGAGTGTGTGTGTGTGTGTGTGTGTGTGTGTGTGTGTGTGTGTGTATTGGGGGTGGTAAGTGGTGGTGGTGGAGAGGGAGTGGTTAGAATACAAAGGATAAGGCAGTTTTAGAAAAAGATTCTTAGTAAATATCCTGTGGCAAATTTTTGATTCATTAAGTTGTGAGTTAAATCAATGTTTCCTTTAAAAATCACCTATAGTAATTGTGGAATTATATAAAAAATGGCTCACAGTTCTTTGGCATTGTTTGTGACTCAGGAATCTGAATAAAACAGTCAGTTTTGAGTAATTTTTAAAAAGTCAACAAAGAGAAGACTCCTTCACTACTGTCTCCTTTATCCTTTGGGAAAAGGGAATCCTTGTTCAGTATATTCAAGAGAAAATTGCCTATATGAAAAAAAATTTCAAAGGCAGCTTTGAAAAAGAAACATTTTGAAAAATATAATATGGTTGCATTACAGATCACTTCAACTCAGAAGTGGGCAGGGAAAAAATCATGTTACTGGATCGCCCTTTCCACTGTTGATTATTTAAAATGCATTGTATTCAAAAGCTTAATTTTACAGTCATCTCTAACACATTGAGAAACTTTCACTCTAAAGACTTAGCAGTACTTACCGACCACTGAATTTGGAGGAGGAAGCTAACACCAACTTGACAATAGGCAATTGGTGTGAGAAACAAAAGCTAGCTCTTGGTAATAGTTCATAGTTCTTCATAAACTACAAAGCACTATAATAAATGTAAGTTATTATTATCGCTAGATGAGGAAGCTGTGTTTTACAGTTTTTCTCTTACCCAATTTCAGACCAATTAATTGGCATTAATTTGAAATTCTCCAGGGAAAGGGACAATCTTTTAGTCTTTTTTTGTGGTCTGTATTTCTGATCTGGCACACAGTAGGTGTTCAGTATGTAGTCATGGAAAGAAAGAATGAATAGGTGAAAAAAATACAAGTGGATAAAACGTGTACAGATGGAATTTGTTTACTTTTTATTCAACGAACATTTACTGAAGGCCTACTGTGTGCCAACAACTGTGTAGAGGTTTTCCACATACAGTTGATGAAAGCTTGGTGACCTCCTTTTTCAGTCATAGTTGATGTGTGTTTCTTCCAAGAATGGGGTCTCTTGGGTGGTTTTTTTCATCATTTTAAATCATCTCCTGTAACTGAGTGGCACAATAGAACATTTCACTTGTTGTATGTGCATATAGTTTCTCACAATGGCCTGTGGGGAGGCAGGGCAGATATTATCATTCCCGTTTTGTAGGTGAGGAAATCCAGACATGGCGAGATTAAATGACTTGCCAGCTCCTTGCCACTAAAGCAACAATGCCAGGGACAGAAGCTGGATCTCACGCCCAGAGCTTTCTCCCCTGAATCACACAACCTTCTCCAAGATACACTGTACCCCCAGAAAATCACGCTGGAATTAGACCCCATGAAAAAGTCTACCTTTTGGATAACTTTTACATAAAGAAAAGGTATATTTTACAACCTAGTACTTAGGGGAGTGGTTAAATACACAAGTTCTCGAGGCAGGTGATTGAATTTGAGCATTGGCTTTACTGGCTACTAGCTCTGCATCCTTGGCAGGTGATTTAATCTAAGCCTCAGTTTCCTCATCTGTAAAATGGGGGAAGTAATCCTATTTAGAACATTTTTGTGAGGATCAAATAAAATAATGTGGGCATAGCACAATGTTTAGTACAAACTAAGCACTCAGTGTCAGCTAATTTTTATTTTCATTATTTTAATGTAAAGCAATGGCTTTTAAACTTTTTAATTTTTTATTTTATTTTTATTTTTTTAAAGAGGTGAGGTCTCACTGTGTTGCCCAGGCTGGTCTCAAGCAATCCTCCTGCCTTGGCCTCCCAAAATACTAGGATTACAGGCATGAACCACTGCGCCCAGCCTAAACTTTTATTTTTGCACAGTAAGAGATGCATTTTACTTTGCCACCCAGTATACAGATACATTGTAAATATCTGTAATTAAAAAATTCATGAAGTAATGCTTAGACTTTGAATGTGCAATGCATTCTTATATTTTTTATTCTATTTTATTTAAAAAATGTTGGTTGAGATCGCTAAATGATTTCACATCCCATTAATGGGTCAGGAACTACGCTTTGAAAAGCACTAATGCTAAGGATAATCAGGTTAAGTGCATTTAAGAAAGCTGTTGTTGAATCTTTATTTCTTTTCTTCAAATGGTTTACAACATCAATTGGAGTTTGAATACTAAATTACATTTAAAAATAAGTTCTTAAACATTTCTTGGGAATTACCATCATTTATTGAATATTTCTCATGGTCACGTTACTGTGTGCTAAGTAGTCTATTTATATATGTTATCTAATTTAGTTCTCACAACAGCCCTGTAAGTAGGCCTTGTGTTTACATTTGATAATTGAAATTAAGACTCAGAGAGCTTTTTATTAACTTGCCCAAGGTCCTAAATTTAGAGAGGGATGAAGCAAAGATTCAAACTGAGTTCTCTCTGATCCCAAAGCCTGTCTGCCCTCTTAACCCCCATGGTTTTCTGATGTTCCCTCATAGTGATTTCTGAAGATGTTTCATTTCTTCCTTAACATAAATTTGAATGTCGATATTGAGAATTTACCCATTGTGGTACATCTTTTGTAGTTTCCTTTGAAATGACTCATTTCAAGTCAGTTTTCAACTTAGGGAAGTTAAGGAAGCATAACGTAATTCTTTCTGGCTTTAGCTGGTCTTTGATGTAAATATTTTGTAAGAGCTTCTCAGGTTTTTGTGATAGAGTCAATTAATTGGTCATTTTTATTGAGCATCCAAAGGTTTAATATATCTTCCTAAGAGACATGAAATAGCTGTGTAACTATAAAAAGACTTCATTACGAATGAATGTCGGCTTTTGTTAAGGCACAAAATGAAGCCTTACAAGCTACAAAAGAGTACTTCATAGTGTATTGATTGGTCTTAAAATCACAAGGTGCTAAAAGTATTTACTTTGTAAAGTACTTTAAGAAACCACCACCAAGTATCCTATTAGCGTTTTTTGTTTTTTGGTTTTTCAGTTCTTTACACGTTTCCTATGTGTATTTGTAGCAGTATTTTAATTTTAATATTTTGATATTTCTAGGACTTCCCTCTTTGAAACACATTGTCAGGAAGAATTAAGGCGTTTTTCAGGAAATATATTTTATAAATAATACTTAGAATACACAAATAGATGCTTTTATATAATAAAGGCAAATTTCACTTTTTTTTTACATTTATATCTTCTACATTAAAACACCTATGGTGTCTGGTTTGCATTATTGCTATTATATGTAGGAGTGTAACTCATAAATAACATGATTACCAGGTGCCTAAAAATGTATAAATATGCCACTGCTCTTGCATTATAGCTTTGGATACTCCTGTGTGCATGAGGCTTTAAACTTTTAACCATATATTTAAACAGTTTATTTGTTGAATTAAGGTTAGTGTTTTCAAAGCTGACAATTTAAAAATCTGAATTTGTGTAGATCATGATGATATGTTAGACAAAGAACAGTAGTTTCATGGTTTATTTATGTGGTTTGAGTAGCCATATATTTCTGTTCATCAGTCTTTTTAAATTAAGATTTGATGTAAACAAATATAGATATAATTGCATTTATTTTTGAACATCAGATTTCATCCTTAGGCTGGCCCTCAAAATATACTTTGCAGCTAATGAAATTGTGTAAAGTTGCAGCAAGCCTGTGTTTTATGCGTATTTATTAATTCTGTCTACTACTTGACCCTTAGTGGATTGTTACAGTTTTTGTGAGCATCAGGACATGGCCCACTTATTGGGTGGTCATTGTAATTTGTATGTTCAGGCAGATACAAAACTTGGCTACCTTTACATTTTGTGTCCTGTTTATTCTTTTATTCATTTATGTTTTTATTTATGTATTTCTAGGGTCTTGCTCTGTCACCCAGGCTGGAGTGCAGTGATGTAACCATGGCTCACTGCAGCCTCTACCTCCTGGGCTCAAGTGATCCTCCTAGCTCAGCCTCCTGAATAGCTGGGACCATAGGCGCATGCCACCACATCTGGTTAATTATTTTTTGTAGAGATGTGGTCTCTCTCTGTTTCCTAGGCTGGTCATGAACTCTTGGGCTCAAGTGATCTACCTGCCTTGCCTCAGCCTCCCAAAGTGCTGGGATTACAAGCGTGAGCCGCCACTCAGTGGCTCCTTTTTATCCTGATGTGAAAATTCATAGAGATAAGAACGAAATCAATTTAGATATTAATTTATTCTGGTGGCTTTAAGGCAGATGCATATGCATATTTTAGGTTTACATAGATGTATGATTTTCACACATATATGAGAAGTACCAGATTATAAACTCTTCTCTAAAGTAAAGAAATACATATTAAGTAACTTTGTGGAAATAAAAAAACTGAGTAACAACCCTGAAGAGATGTTTTTATAGTCACATGTTGTCAGCCTTATAGTCACATGTTATCAGACATATTTAAGAAGCCAAATAGAACAACCATATGTAAAAGCTTTTATATGTGAAAAAGTGATACCATTTAAAATGTCAGAAATGGAAACATAAATATTTCAGTCAGATTTTTAAAGTCTTCACCAGGTCTTTCAGATGTTTCCAGTGTTTTTCAAGTGGCGTACTTAGGGGATTGAGAAGAAATGTCGAAAAACTTGCTTTTGAAACTGGTACTGTATTCAATATGAATTGAGGAAAAGACACAGAAGCTGCATCCCTGAAACACTTTAAAAAATATTTAAATCAGAAGTAAATTTAGCCCACTAGAAACGGTTGTTAGAATAGAGTTTAAGAGCAGGTAGCAGCTGCTAAGAGGAATTAGAAAAAGGAAGGACAAGTTGCTAAAAAGGCATTTTGTTTTTACCAGGGAAGGTAAGAACGATCTTATCTGGAGGCTCACTGGCCTCACCCCACTCACCTGGGGAGGGATTGGCTGGCAAGAAGGAAGATAAGGAGACAGGGAGCGGGAAACAGGTTGTCTGAAAACTTGATTATTATTTAAATCTAGGATAAGCCGGATTCAAGGAATAATCAGCGAAAATTCTTGTATATAATTGTTAACCCCTTGTTAACAATGGGCTGTTTCCTCACTTGGGAGAAATAAAAAGGAGAGGCCATAGTCCCAAGATCACCATTTGTGAAAGAGGAAACATTACTCCAAACCCCATTGCCAATACCATTTATGGTCTCGGGTGGGGGCCACAGCTCATGTTCTTAGGGAAGATTGTGACAGATCCAGCAGGGCTGTTAAGACACTGCTGGTGAATTCCAGGCTGCCCTAAATGATTGCAGTCAGGATTTTTCTTCATTTTGAAAAGTTTTTAATACATTTAGAATGACTTTCTCTCCACCAGAGTGTCACTGTGACAGAGGCAGTGGGCTTTCCTGCTTTATTTACGATGCACCTGGCCATGCAAGTTTGTGATGGGTTAACTGTCTTCTAGAGTTAATGAGGTCAGGGTCACAGGTTCAATTCTTGGGAAGACCAGTTAGCTTTGCTTTGTTCTGTGAGCGCATATTGTACTCTTAACCCAGGCCAGCCATCTGGTGAAGGCAGATCATTGATCACAAAGGCATTAATAAGCAAGACAGTGTGGGAGCAGCAGCATGAATCTTTCTCATGGATGTTGAGTAATTAGAGAAACAATTCCAAAAGCCTGTGCACATTTGTATTATTTTTATAGCATTATCTTAATAGATAGAAGATAACATGGTTATCAAATATTTTTCTTTGCCATTTCTGTTGAACTTTCATCTGAACAGTTGTCTTTTCAAGTTATGATTTTTGAGATGTCTCATTCATTCAGTAGTTATACTTTGTTCTGAGTATTCTTAATCTCCCTGGAGGTTTGTAGGACAGTGACTGTGGCAGTGAGAACAGTCATGCTAAAAGCAGTAGATCAAACCACCTAGTTGTTTACAGATCGAATTCCACTGAGTTTAAAAAGTTTAAAAAAAGCAAAACACCATTTTGAATGAGGGTAAACAGACTAAGAAATTTAGGAAAATGCTTTATACTTCTTCTAAGTAGACCTTGATCTGAAAATCTGTCATTCCCTTTATTAAAATAACTTCTAGTGTTAAGAGAAATATCAGAGATCATCTAGGCCTGTGCTGCCCTATACGGTCCTGCTGGTCCCATGTGGCTAGTCCGAATGGAGATGTGCTATCAATTTAAAATTCATACTAGGGCCAGTGCTATGGCTCACACCTGTAATCCCAGCCTTTGGGAGGCCAAGGCCAGGAATTCCAGACCAGCTGGGCAACATGGCAAAACCCTGTCTCTATAAAAAAAAAACCAAAAAAAAAACAAACAAAAAAAACACCCTCTCCCCGAAAAACCAAAGTTAGCTGGGCGTGGTGGCACATGTCTGTGGTCCCAGTTACTTGGGGCTGAGGTGGGAGGATTGCTTGAGCTAGGGAGGTTGAGGCTACAATGAGCCTGTCTCAAAAATAAAATAAAATAAAATAAAATAAAAAAGTACATACTAGTGCTGGGCCTGGTGGCTCATGCCTATAATCCCAACACTTTAGGAGGCTGAGGCAGGTGGATCCCTTGAGCCCAGGAATTGGAGACCAGCCTGGGCAACAAGGTAAAAGTCCTGTTTCTATTTTCTTCTTTTAAAAAACCAACATACTGGATTTGAAACATTTGGTGTGAAAAGAGAATGCAAAATATGTCATTAATAGTTTTTTAATGTTGATTACACGTTGAAGTAATAGTTTTGACTATGTTGGATTGAATAAAATATTGTTAAAATTAATGTTACCATTTTTTTACTTTTAAAATGTATCTACTAAGAAATTTAAAATTACATATTTGGCTCACATTTGTGGCTTGCATTATGTTTCTGTTGGGCAGTGCTGGTCTAGTCCAACCCTCATTTTACTGATGAGAAGGCTAAGGTTCAGAGGTGAGTAACTGAGCTGAATTCTTTCCATTGCCTGTAGTCTCTCCCTGCTAATAGGTTAGGGGCTCAGGAAGACTGAAACTCTGAACCACAAGAGGACCATTTAGTGCATGGCAATTGTATGTTGCAAGATCTGTGCCTAAGCCATTGCCTGTTAGGTGTTTACTAGTTGTGTGTGTGTATGTGTATATTCACCATGCCAGTTGTGTGTGTACACACATACACCTAGTGGAGGGCTTTGTTTATTTATAATGTAGATGTTTAGGCTTAGTTTTACCTTCCTCTGTAGGTCAGAGGTCCTGCATTAAAATATTAGACATTAACAGTTGTGACAGGGGTAAATAAGATATGGTGCTCATTTAAGTCAGCACTTTCATATGTACTTCCTATTACCAGAGGATTTCAGATAGGTTGGGTTTTTTTTTTTTTTTTTTTGGGAGACGGAGTCTCTGTCATTCAGGCTAGAGTGCAGTGGCACAGTCTCAGCTCACTGCAACCTCTGTCCCCAGGTTCAAGGGAGTCTCCTGCCTCAGCCTCCTGAGTAGCTGGGATTACAGGTGTGCGCCACCACACCTGGCTCATTTTTTGTATTTTTTTTTTTTTTGTTTTTTTTTTTTTTTTTTTTTTGAGACGGAGTCTCGCTCTGTCGCCCAGGCTGGAGTGCAGTGGCGCGATCTCGGCTCACTGCAAGCTCCGCCTCCCGGGTTCACGCCATTCCCCTGCCTCAGCCTCCCGAGTAGCTGGGACTACAGGCGCCCGCTACCACGCCCAGCTAATTTTTTGTATTTTTTTAGTAGAGACGGGGTTTCATCATGTTGGCCAGGCTGGTCTTGAACTCCTGACATCAAGTGATCCACTCACCTCAGCCTCCCAAAGTGCTAGGATTACAGGCATGAGCCACCGTGCCAGGGGTGCAGTGGCACCATCTCGGCTCACTGCAGCCTCCACCTCCCAGGTTCAAGCGATTCTCCTGCCTCAGCCTCCTGAGTACCTGGGATTATAGTTGTGTGCCACCACGCCTGGCTAATTTTTGTATTTTTAGTAGAGACGATGTTTCACCATGTTGACTAGGCTGGTCTCGAACCCTTGGGCTCAAGCAATCCCCTGCCTCGGCCTCCCAGACTGCCAGGATTACAGGTGTGAGCCACCGCACCTGGCCTCAGATAGTTTTGAGTGAGCCTTGATGGACAAAGCAGCAATGCTTTCAGGCTGAATCATTTTTGGAAGGAGGAGAACTGAGATGAAGGGAGGTCTTTTGCCTGTGTTCTGAAGAAAGCATACGAACCGTGAGTGACTGTTTCTTAACCACGGATGCTCCTGACGTTCCAGTCTGGAAAGAATGGCCAGGGTTGGCTGGTGCAAAAGCCATGGCCTCAGAATGTAGGCTTCCTGTCAGTTTTGTGAGCATAATGGTCTTTAACTAGCAAAGATAAAAAGGAGGAGAACTTCATGATCAAAATTTTTTGTCTGCTATTTTTAGTTGAGATTTGTATTTCCTAATCAACATAGGCAGCTCAGATGTGACTGTAGTGATTAGCATCTTAAAGATGTTTACTTTATGCAGCTTCTGCACTAGCCTTTCCTTTTGGCTCATGCAGTGTCCCAAGTCACTTAATTTGTCATCGGTGGCCCAGTGACAACTAGTGAACAACAATTTTGTCAGGGAACCTCCGACACTTCAATTAATTTCATAATCCATACTAGAAATTAACCTTTATGAATCTGTCCATTGAGAAGGGCCACTGTGCATTGTGAAGGTTGGAGGAATGTTGGTTTATAAAAATATTTACAGATTATCATTTTTCTTTTTTTTTGTCTGTTACAAACAACCCCGGTTGATCCTAGATACAGACAAATAAAGCAAGACAGCAATCTCTGAATGGTTACCTTCAAGCAGGCAAAATAAGTAACTGTGTCCTTTGTTTTGAAGTTTAATGAAGATTTCCAGCAAGGCTTGGTGGCGCCTGTCTGTAGTCCCAGTTACTCAGGAGGCTGAGGTGGGTGGATCACTTGAGCCTAGGAGTTTGAGATCGGCCTGGGCAACAAGACCAAACCCCACCTCTACAAAACAAACAAACAAACAAACAAACAGAAAACAAAGACTTCCCTCCCACAAATTAGCTGGGCATGGTGGTGTGCACCTGTGGTCCCAGCTACTCAGGAGGCTGAGGTGTATGGATTGCTTGAGCCTGGAAGTTCGAGGCTACAGTGAGCCGAGATTGTGCCACTGAACTCCAGCCTGCGTGACAGAATTAGACCTTGTCTCAAAAAAAGAAAAGAAAATTTCCATTTCCATCCACATTCCACCCAGCCAGTCATGATAAAACCATTTTCTCTCGTGTCAACCAACCTGTACTGAACATATACCATGTATTGGGTACCATGGGCATAGTATGACAAGAACAGGAGTTGGAGAAGTACAGATTGCTTGAATGTGACAATGGTAGGTCTCGGCCCAAACTATTTTGTTGTGCTTTGTTTTTTTCTTTTTTGAGACAGGTTCTCACTCTGTTGCCCAGGCTGGAGTGCAGTGGCATGATCTCAGCTTACTGCAACCTCCACCTCCCAGGTTCAAGCGATTCTTATGCCTCAGGTTCCCGAGTAGCTGGGATTACAGGCATGCGCCACCACACCTGGCTAATTTTTGTATTTTTAGTAGAAAAGGGGTTTTGCCATGTTGGCCAGGCTGGTCTCAAACTCTTGGTTTCATGTGATCCACTTGCCTCGGCCTCCCAAAGTGCTGGGATTACAGGTGTGAGCCACTGCACCTGGCCTATAACTTCTAACTTGAAAAAAGAAAATGCAGCATTCTTGCATAATTGCCAAACAAGTACATTATGATGTATGCTTTTTCAGAATTTCCTAGCTGATTTCATGGGCTGCCATGTTTAAGGGCATATCCCCTTTCTAGCAGTATCAGATTTTGTTCCTTTGGGTCATCGGTGCAGTCAGTTAGGATGTTGGGAGTCGTACTGAACGTGGAGGAGTGGTGCGTGTCCCCTGTTTCCTTCTCGCCTCCCTACTCCAGCTGTTCATGCCAGTTACTGTGGAGTTTCTAGAGAATGTAAAAATAACGAACTCATAGTCCATCTAGTATAGAAGAAAGACAGGGCTGAATTTAAAGTGGACTGCAATGGACAAAGGTGCTGTGAGAGCACAGGGGAGGGAGTGAATACTCGTAACAGGGTAGAATAAGGGAAGATCAGGAGGAAGCTCACAGAGGAAGTGATATCTGAGCTGGGTCTTGGAGAAGGAGTAGAAATGTAACAGATGGAGGCAGGGTGGAAAGTTATTCCAAAGGTAGGGGCAGAGTGAGCAAAAATGTGGGAAGCTTGGTAGCTATGGTGTGAGGTGGCAGGAACGTCAGGCATGGAGGGGAGGGGCAGGAGACAAGACTAGAGAAGTGGGCCAGGAACAATTTGGAGAGATGGAAAAGACTAAAGGGTGCCGCAATGGACTGAATGTTTTTGTCTCCCCAAAATTCATATGTTGAAATCCTAAACCCCAAGGTGATGGTATTAGGAAGTGGGGCATTTGGGAGGTGATTATAATGGTCGTGAGGGTGGAATCCTGATGAATAGGATAAGTGCCCTTATAAAAGTGACACCAGAGAGAGCTCCCTCACCCATTCAACCATGTGGGACACAGCAAGAAGACACCATCTATAAGCCAGGAAATGGACCTTCACCAGACATCAAATCTGCCAGCTCCTTGATCTTGGACTTCCCAGCCTCCAGAACTGTGAGAAGCAGATTTCTGTTATTTATAAGCCACCCAGTCAATGATACTTTGTTACAGCAGCCCGTATAAACTAAGACAAGTGCTGACACTTGGGTAATGGAGAGCTGTCAGAGCAGGGAGCAGCATAATCACATTGACTTTGAAGGGTGACTAGGAGTTAAGAGACCTGGCTCTAAGGCCCGGCTTTTTCTCACTCCACTTTTCTGAGCATCAAATCTCTCTCACTCTCTCTTTTTTTGAGGCAAGGTCTTGCTCTGTCACCCAGGCTGGAGTGCAGTGGCGCAATCATGGCGCACGGCAGCCTCGACCTCCGGGGCTCAAAGGATCCTCCTACCTCAGCCTCCCAAGTAGCTGGGACTATAGGCGCTCACCACCATGCCCACCAGTTTTTGTGGTTTTTTTGTAGACATGGGGTCTTGCCATGTTGCCTAGGATGGTCTTGAACTCCTGGGCTCAAGTGATCTACCTGCCTTGGCCTCCCAAACTGCTGGGATTATAGACATGAGCGCCACTATGCCTGGCCCAAATATCTCATGTATTAGGTGAAAGAGTGGGGCAAGTGTTATCTAGTTGGCCAGTAAACAGATGACAGTAATTTCCATGTCACTCTGCATGAGGCACTGTCGTGGGTATTGAGATACAGACAGGATCCCTGCACCGTGGAGATGACATTCTGGTGGGAGAGAGAGACAATAAACAGTGGCAAATTGTGTATGTATACATAAGTATATAATATACCATCAGATTGTGATGAGTGCTATAAAGCAAGTAAAGCCAGGTGAGTGGAGTAAAAAGTAGTTCTGTTTCTAGATAGAGTAGCCCAGAGTGCTTTGAATAAAATAGATGCCACAAGAATATTTGGAATGTCTTCCAGATCCAGCATTGTAGGTCTAATTAAGTGAAAAGCTATGGGAATTCAGTCTCTTCAGCATTGATTAAAATCAGTTTCCAAATAGATGTAGTTCTTACAGTTTTGATTAGTTCCACCAACGTGGTTGTTGATGGGCAGAATCTTTTTTGCACTCCATCTTTCAAATAGCTTAAGTACAGCATCATCTCATTTTAAAAAACAGTTTATTCGATGTCATGAAAATATGCCACTTGTGTTGGTAATTTGTATCCTACTTCTTTTTTCTCAGCACATTATTCATCCCCAATTCTGAGGCTTGTGGAAGGAGGAAGATGCTGACGTTTAAGCAACCAGATTTAAGGCAGTTGTTCAATGTATCAAATAGCTCTTCTAAGTTATTTTAATATAAATTAAAACTAAATGGGAGCTCTGGGACAGCCCTGTTTTAATTACAATTGGAATGCATCTTAGGAGACCATTCTACCTCTTATAATCATAACAGTGTCATTATGATTTTTTTAAGAAGAATCACTAATTAGCCAGGTCTATCCTGAGGTCTTAGAGTTTGGTTTATAGATGATTCTTGTTGAATTAAGTGGAAGGCTGAGGCATGTGAACATTCATCTTGGCCCTAAACCTTTTTCCCTGGTGATACGAAATGGTTCAGCAGTAATCAGCAGCAGAAAGGTATGCTTAAAACCGGCTTGTTCTTTATGTGAGATACCAGGTTGAGCAAACTGGATTTACCTTTCATTGAGGATTATTCACATGGAATTTTAAACTGATTTCCTGCAAATTCTGTCCACAGTGTTGGGAAGCTAGAGTGGTAGACTGTAGTTTCTGAGCTAACATAAGATCTGATCTCTGACCTTCTGCTGACGTGGAATCCAGGTTATGTTGCCTTGTTTCCTTGGATGGGAGTTCACAGCCAGTGAAACTAGCCCTGACTGAATTATTTAATTCATCTTCTCCTTGAAGACGGTTGCAAGGAGTTTTTATAGAACCGAATGCCTTACAAATTTGGGGCTTGCAAATGTATTTCTGTTCTTTCTTCATTTTCCCTTTTGCTGAAGATAGAAACACCTCCTGGGTCTTTGGTTCAGCCTGCTGTTGTTTACAGTCCCTGCTGTAGATTACCTCACTCTGCCAGTCCCTGTCGTAATGTGATTTATCTTTTTAAAATTAAATTCTCATCATAATTCCCTCAGGCATCTGTCTTCCTCAGAATGTTTAGTTATTTCATATAGAACTTAAGCAAGGAAGGAAGAAAGGAAAGGAAGGAAGAGAAGAAGGAAAGAAGAAAAGAAGTTCTGTTTGGATACTGTGCTAACAGGTCATATTGGGCTTGCTTATTAGATCTGCATTTCTAGTATTCTTGTTTTTTCCCTTCAAATAATAATTTTTTTTTTTTGAGACAGGGCCATGCTCTGTTGCCCAGGCTGGCATGCAGTGGTGCGATCATGGCTTACCACAGCCTCGACCTCTTGGGCTCAAGTGACCTTCTGCCTCAGCCGCTCAAGTAGCTGGGATCATAGGTGTGAACCACTGTGCCCAGCCAAAAAAATTTTTTATTGTGGTAAAATATATATAACAAAAATTACCATCGTAAACATTTTTAAGTGGACAGTTCATTGGCATTAAGTACATTCACAGTGTCAAGCAGGCATCACCACTGTCCATTTTCAGAACTTTTTCATCATCTCAACTAGAAATTCTGAACCCATTAAACAGTAACTCCTCATTGTTTACCAGGGGCAGCCCCTGGTAACTTCTGTTCTATTTTCAGTCTCTGTGAATTTGCCTATTGTATAACTGGGATCTCATGTAAGTGGGATCGTAGAATGTTTGGCCTTTTGCGTCTCATTTCAGGTCACATGCTTTTAAGGTTCATCCATGTTGTAGCATCAGATTCCATTGTATGACTTTTTAAAAAAAAATGAAATTTTCTGTTGATGGATATTTGGGTTGTTTCTGCCTTTGGGCTACTCTGAGTAATGCTGCTATGAACATTGGTGTACAGGTATCTGAGTTCTGCTTTCTATCCTTTTGGATATATATGAAGGAATGGAATTGCTGGATCAAATTGTAATTTTATGCTTAACATTTTGAGGACCTGCTAAAGTGTTTTCTGCAGCAACTGCACCATTTTACCTTCCCAACAGCAATGCACACACAGCATTTCAATTTCTCTATATCCTCACCAATTCTTGTTGTTTCCTGCCTTTTGATAATAGCCATCCTAATGGATGTGAAGTGGTGTCTCAGTTTGGTTTTGATTTGCAGTTCCCTGATGACTAATGATGTTGGCATATTTTTGTGTGCTTATTGACCATTTGTATAGCTTCTTTGGAGAAACGTCTGTTCAAGTCCTTCACCCATTTTTGAATGGGGTTGTTTATTTGTTGTCGAGTTGTGGGAATTGTTTATGTATTCTGGGCATCAGTCACTTGCCAGATACATGATTTGCAAATTTCTTCCATTCTGTAGGTTGTCTTTTCATTGTCTGGATAGTGTTCACATGTTTTCTTAACTATAATATTTAGTTATCCATGAATGTGAAAGAGGATTAATGTAAAAAGCAAGCAGCAAACACAAACTTAGCTGTTCTAGTAGGCTTTATAATGATACCTTGCATTACGGTGGACCAGCACACTTTTCAAAGCTCTTTCATATACCTGATCTCATTTTAGGGTTAGCCAAGTCTTCTTCCCTACTCCTGCAGAAATTTGCCTTTTTCCAAAGCCAGACATTTTGCTTGTTCTTATAACCTTCTTGTCTCCCACCTTCTCTGGGAACTGTGGTCTGAGATTATCTCCTTTCTCTTCACTGTTTCTTTCCCTTTTCATTATGAATATCCTTAGGCTTCACCTATTGTTAAAAAAATACTCCTTGATCTTACTCCCTCTTTTTTCTTTCACTCCCTCACACATTGTTCACATGTGTAGCTTCGAGTCTCTACCTTAACTTTTAAATTCTCTACTAATTCTTTGTTTCATTCATTCTCTCATCTTGAAGTGAAACTGCTTTCTACAGATTCATCGAAGTTTCACCCACAGCCCCCAAAATACAGTGCCCTCTTAGTGATCTGTATCTGGACATGGACGGGTCCCAAATGTCTGCAGTGATTCTTCCCCCTCGAAGATGGCTAGTCATGGGAGTTTTGGCCTTGTAGTTCAAGATGACCAGCTGTGGTTGCAGGGCAGTGGGTGGAGGAGAAAAGCCACGTGCAGCAGGATTAGAACTCTCAGAAGTGCCTCTGGAACCTCTTGCCATGAGTCTTTTTTAAATTTTTTTATTTTTTTTTTGAGATGGAGTCTTGCTCTGTCGCCCAGGCTGTAGTGCAATGACATGATCTCAGCTCACTGCAACCTCCACCTCCCAGGTTCAAGCAATTCTCCTGTCTCAGCCTCCCGAGTAGCTGGGACTATAGGCTCATGCTACCATGCCCAACTAATTTTTGTATTTTTAGTAGAGATGGGGTTTCACCATATTGGTCAGGCTGGTCTCAAAATCCTCACCTCAGGTGATCCACCCACCTCAGCCTCCCAGAGTGCTGGGATTACAGTCGTGAGCCACTGCGCCCAGCACCATGAGTCTTTATGATCACTCAGGGACTGTTACTTTCCGAGATTCACCACCTGCCCTCTGTAGTTACTTGTTTGTGGGGCGAGGCTTCTGGGAGAAGTATCTTAGCCTTTTCCTTGTTGTCATGCAGGTAAGCCCTGACTCCTTGGTAGTATCTGCAACCTCCGGTGAGGTACAGGGTATACCACTTCAACTTCAGCTAAGTGTGCACTGACTGTCTTGGTTTACTTGCTGGGCTCATGGCCAGCTGGTTTTTTTGTTGTTGTTGTTATTGTTATTTTTAATTGTGGTGAAATATACATGACATACACTTTACTATTTTACCCATTTTTAAGTGTACTATTCAGTGGGATTAAGTATGTTCAGTGTTATCTAACCATCATCACTGTCCATCCCTGAACTTGTTCATTATCCCAAACTGAAACTCTATACCTGTTAAACAATGGGTTTACCTATCATCCCCTCCCCTCAGCCCCTGGCAATCTCTATTCTACTTTCTGTGTCTATGAATTTGCCTATTCCTGATTCCCTCATGTAAATGGGGTCATTCAATATGTGTCCTTTTGTATCTGACTGGTTTCATATGGCATCATCTTTTCAGGGTTTATTCACGTGGTAGCATCTATCAGAACTGTATTCCTTTATTCATGGCTGAATAATATTCCATTGTATGGATATATCACATTTTATTTATCCATATTCATCTGATGATGGACATTTGGGTTGTTTCTGCCTTTTATCAATTGTGAACAGTGCTTCAGTCAGCTAGTTCTGAGGATGCTCCCAGGATGCTCTACATTGCAGGGCAGATGCTGTGGCTCTCCGTAACACCCCCAGGCAGCCACTGCGTTGGTTAGTTTTGAATACCCCAGCAACAGATAGGAAATCTCACAACTGTATTATTACTTCTCTTTTTAAGGGTTTTTTGGAGCATTCTTAAGTACATCAAAACTCAGCATTCTACACGAGGAGTTTTTCATCATAGCTTGTGGTCAGAAGCTTATCTAAAATCACAGGTGTGGTGGCTCATGGCTGTAATCCAAGCACTTTGAGAGGCTGGGGTGGGAGGATCACTTAAGTCCAGGAGGTTGAGGCTACAGTGAGCTATGTTCATGCCACTGCACTCCAGCTTGGGTGACAGAGCGAGACCCTGTCTCAGAACTAACTAAATAAACAAATACATGAATTAAATAAATAAATAAAATTGTAATTGCAGTCCTCATTCTGTCATATGGGGAAGAGAAGCAGGTGGCAGGTAGAGAATAGTGGTGGTGACACTCCCTGGTAAACAGGATTGTTCTGCTCTGGCCCTATATGTCTGCCTAGAACCCTTTAGCTCTCCCCACCACACCACACAGACAGTACACAAAGTACAGGGAAGGCCTGTCTCAGTTCTATGCCCATGGAAGAGGCTGTATAAATAGCCTGCTGAATCCTGCAGGAAATAATGAATGAATGAATGCGTGTTCATGGGGTAGGTGGGTATTATATGTGACTGAAAAACAGTCTAGAAGAGGAAAGAAGATGGTGATAGGAGAAAGCAGGGAAAAGTAAATGGCTTAAGACAATGGAGAGTAAAGATCAGAGCCAGATGCATTTAAATTAATTAATTAATTCTTAATTAATTCTTAATTTAAAGAATTAGCCAAGATGGTTCAGAGGGAAAGTTGCAAAATAGAACAGGGCTTGCCTAGGTCCCAAGATTATACAAGAGCCTTTTGCATTTTCAGGAAAGAATGGAAGTCTTCTTCTAGGAGCCTCTGTTTCTTATAGAATATTAGGAATAGAAAATGGGAATCCAGAAGAGAAAAAAAAAATAAGACAAAACTAAGATAGATGATTCTTCTGCACAGAAAATCCAGAAGAAGGAGAAGAGGATTTATTAGAGGTGGGGAAGGTGAGAAAGGCTGAGTATTACAGATAAGGAGCTCTTGTGGGCGGCTAGTGCGACTTTGTGCTGAAGAATCTGGCCTGCCCCAAAACATGCCACATAATATTCAAATTTTGATCATTTGATTCACTTCTTTGGATCTGGATACCTGTCTCTAAAGGGTTCCTCTTAAAAATCTAATTCTTTGCCTGGGCAGGATAGCCTGTTATTAGCATGGATTCATGTATATAATTAGCATTCATCAGCTAACAGAAAAACAGGTCTTGGTTCTGCACTTCATTTGCATGACAAGTTCTCTCCCCTTCATTTTTTATTTATCTATTTATTTTTGCTCTGTCACCCAGGCTGGAGTGCAGTGGCATGGTCTCGGCTCACTGCAATCTCCACCTCCCGGGTTCAAGCGATTCTCCTGCCTCAGCCTCCTGGGTAGCTGGGATTACAGGAGTGCGCCACCATGTCCAGCTAATTTTTGTATTTTTAGTAGAGATGGGGTTTCACCATGTTGGCCAGACTAGACCCGAGCTTCTGACCTCAGATGATCCACCTGCCTCGGCCTTCCAAAGTGCTGGGATTACTGGTGTGAGCCACCGCGCCTGGCTGTCTACTTCATTTTTCAGACCAAATGGTTGCATTGCATTCTCATTCATTCAAAAATAAATATTTATTGAGTGTTTACTATTTGGCCAGAGGTCATTTTAGATCCTGGAGATGTCCTTGCCCTCGTGGAGCTCACATTCCAGTGTGTGTGTGAGGCTGCAGGCAGCAAATGGATAAGAGAGGTCATATTTCAGGTCATGGCCCAGAGTTGGGGAAAGAAAGGCAGGGAAGAAGGATCAGGCATAGGAGGTTGGGAAGATGGTGGTGGTGGTGGCTTTGGATAGGATGGTCAGGAACAGCGTCTCTGAGAAGCTGACATTCGAACAAAGAGCTGCAGGCAGTAGAAGAGCAAGAAGTCCTGTGGTGATATGGGGAAAAGACACTTCAGAGGGAAGAGACAGCAAGTGTAACGGGCCAAGGCCAAGCCTGCCTGCCAGATCTAAGCAACAACACGGCCGCTGCAGCCTGAGGGGAGGGAATGGTAGGGACAGATGGAGAGGAGGTCTGAGGAAACCAGGATCAGACTCTATAGGGCCTGGAGGGCCATCAGAAGGACTTTGACTTTTACTTCAGATGAGACAGGCAGACTTTGGAGGGTTTTAAGCATCAGAGTGACATGATCTGACATATTTTCTAAGGATCTGTCTAGCATTGAAAATGGACTTTAGGGGAAGGAGTATAAGAGCAGGGAGTATCCTTACTTAGAAGGATACTGGCAGCTTGGATCAGAGCAACAGTGATAGAGAAGGGTCAGATTCTGGACACATTTTGGAGTTAGAGCCAATAGGATTTACTTGCAGCGTGGACGTGGGGTGTGAGAGAATGAGGAATCAAGGATGATGCCAAGGTTTTTGCCCTGACTGAGGTGGTAGGACTACAGCGGGGGATGGATTTTGTGCATAAAGATCTGGAGTTTGATTTTGGACAGTTTAAGTGCTGTGGTGGGCTGAAGAGTGACCCTCGCCCCCTCCCCGAGACTCATGTCCACTTGGAACTTTAGAATATGGCCATATTTGGAGGTAAGGTCTTTGCAGATGTAATTGGTTAAACATCTTGGGATGGAATCATCCTGGATTTATAGTGAGCCCTAAATCCAGTGACTAGTGTCCCTGTGAAAGGAGAAGAGGACACGGAGACATAGAAGGGAGAAGGCTGTGTGGAGACAGAGGCAGGGATTGGAGTGATGCTGCCATAAGCCAAGGAATGCCAGGAGCCGCGGGATGTGGAAGAGGCAAGGAAGGGTCCTCCCTTAGAGCCTTTGGAGGAACTGTGGCCCCACTGACACCTCGATTTCGGACTTTTGGCCTCCAGAACTGTGAGAGAATAAGCTTGTGTTGTTTAAGCCACCCAGTTTGTGGTCACGTGGCATTGCAGCCCTAGGACACTAATACAGATACCTGTTAGACATTGGCGTGTCCATGTTGAAATGACAAGTGAGCTTGGATTTCATGGAAAAGATTGCTGTTGGGGTTACAAAGTTGAGAGTCTTTAGTTTAGAGATGGTGTTTAAAGTAGTGAGAATGGCTGAAATCCTCAGGGACAGCGTCTGGAGAAGAGAATAAGTTTATGGACCCAGTCCCGGGACTCTCCTGTCTGCAGAGATTGGGCCAGTGAGAAGGAAGACCAGCTCATGAGCTCATCCTGGCAGTTATCTGGTGGAAAGCACTGAATCGTTCTCCCTTCCTAAGTATCAAGGAGAAAAATTAGGTATGGGTTTAGAGAGCTCCTACTTTTAAGGCACTCAGTTACTTTTGTTCTAAACTAGCCTCAGATGACTTCCCCCCAGGGAACATTATATATCAGGGAAAGAAGAAAGGATAGGGAGGACCCTTTGTCCTGTTAAAGAATGAGCAATAGAAGAAGGCTGCCAGAATAGTCCTGGAGCAGCAAAGAAGCTGTCTCAGTCTTTCTCCTTCCCTGCTCGAAAAAAGAGACTATACCAGATCAAAGGAGGAATGAGAATCAATTAGAGAGATGGACTCTTTCAAATAGTCATAGCAGGCCGGAACTAGAAGGGGCTTAATTAAATGTGATAATGTTTCTACAAGCTTAACCTACAGCTCTGCATATAATGGGTGAGCAACTTCTGTAATTATTATTGGTTAATAGCTATTTCCTAATCCTAAATTTTCAATGTGGAGATAAGGAAACGGAGAGTCAGATGTTTTGGAGCCAACGGGTGATTTCCTTCAGCTACACAAAAAGAAAGAAAAATCGAGAAAGTCGGTAGCTTGGCATTTAAGGCCTTCTTTGCTTGGTTCACGGTGCATTTCTGGTCCATGCTCTTCACCCAGCACTCTCAGGTGTGATCTCTGCTCAGGGCAGCCAGCTCCGTCCCTCTCCTCTCCTCCCGGTTCCACGCCTTCTCCACGTTGTGCTTTGCCTACTCTCCTTCCACTTCCTCTCTCCCTATCTGAGTCCTTGCCCATTTTTTTTTTTTTTTTGAGACGGAGTCTCGCTCTGTCGCCCTGGCTGGAGTACAGTGGCGCCATCTCGGCTCACTGCAAGCTCCGCCTCCCGGGTTCACGCCATTCTTCTGCCTCAGCCTCCCGAGTAGCTGGGACTACAGGCGCCCGCCATCGCATCCGGCTAATTTTTTGTATTTTTAGTAGAGACGGGGTTTCACCGTAGTCTCAATCTCCTGACCTCGTGATCCGCCCGCCTCGGCCTCCCAAAATGCTGGGATTACAGGCGTGAGCCACCTTGCCCGGCCCGAGTCCTTGCCCATTTTAACAGCTCTAGCACCACCTGAGAATTCTTTCCTGACTTGTCTAGCAACACAGCTCTCTTCCTCTTTGAAATTCTCCAGCGTGATTCCCAGGACACTGGGTGCTAAAGCTGCTCTGCTCGGGGTGGTGATGGGGGGTCAAACACTTTTAGCTTCCAGCCCCCCTGCCGTTTCTGTAGACTTTTCCTACCTGTGTTGCAGAAGGAGTCTGTTGGGTAAATACTGCAGGAATGCCAGGGGCTATGCTGTGTGTGTGTGTGTGTGTGTGTGTGTGTGTGTGTGTGTGTGTCCACAGGCAGGTATACCTTTTTAGGTTCTCAGGAGGAGAGGCAGAGAATTGTCTTTTTTGCCTAGCAGCTGCCCTGGTAAAACCCTGATGACAGAGGTTGTGTGTTGTGTCTGGCATGGCCTCTTTGACATTTTGCCATCATTGACTACCTTGCCGTAAAAAGAGCTTGTAAGCCTTTTAAAAAGTTGGATCCTCCTCATGTTATCTGAAATAAAATAGATGGCATGATAGCCCTATTTGTACTGACAACTTCTGAGAATCAAATAACTTACTTTGGTAAGACTTTTATTCTCCTAAAGTTTTTGCCCTAGGATAAACTTAAGATAACACAGGAAGAGGGCAAATTGAGTCCTTGCAAGAAAGACACTGGTGACAGTGGAGTGTACCTGCAGTAACCAGTATCCTTTCAGATAGACACTTTTTTACTTCATGGGCAGAAAAGCATCAATTTCCTGTGGTGAAAGTAATGGATGATTATTCTTCTTGTTTTTGTCTTGGAGCTATCTGTCTAAAATTGTATCTACCTTGTCAATGGGAGATCTGTGGTGTATCCTCTGCCTTAATATGTTGTGATGTTAACAATTGCTGTTAGCACAGGTTGTATTTCTTTCTTTCTTTTCTTTTTTTTTTTTTGGAGATGGAATCTCACTCTGTTGCCCAGGCTGGAGTGCAGTGGTGCGATCTCAGCAGCTCCCTGCAACCTTTGCTTCCCAGGTTCAAGCAATTCTCCTGCGTCAGCCTCCTGAGTAGCTGGTATTACAGATGTGTGCCACCACGTCCGGCTAATTTTTGGTATTTTTAGTAGAGACAGGGTTTCACCATGTTGGCCAGGCTGGTTTCAAATTCCCAACCTCAGGTGATTCACCCACCTCGGCCTCCCAAAGTACTGGGATTACAGGCTTCAGCCACTGCGTCTGGCCAATCTCTTTTATACTTATAAAAGTTTCAGAATTGGGGCCGGGCGCGGTGGCTCACGCCTGTAATCCCAGCACTTTGGGAGGCCGAGGCGGGCGGATCATGAGGTCAGGAGATCGAGACCATCCTGGCTAACACAGTGAAACCCCGTCTCTACTAAAAAATACAAAAAATTAGCCGGGCGTGGTGGCGGGCGCCTGTAGTCCCAGCTACGCGGGAGGCTGAGGCAGGAGAATGGCGTGAACCCGGGAGGCGGAGCTTGCAGTGAGCCGAGATCGCGCCACTGCACTCCAGCCTGGGCGACAGAGCGAGACTCCGTCTCAAAAAAAAAAAAAAAAAGAAAAGTTTCAGAATTGGGACATTTGGGCCCAGATAAAGTGTGAACTCTAGCTAATCTAGTATAAGAAAGATAAATTATGCTTCTGTTTATCCTTATACTCTCATAAATTCTTTTGACATAAGGCTTTCTACCTTTCGTGCTATAAAGGTTTTCATTAAAACTGAGTGAATGAATAGATACCTATACTAGTGAAAGATGGTTTATGGCAATGCAGACTGATTCGCTTTGTCAGAGTTGCTTCATATCTGGTAATGAACAAGAATAGAGACAAAAATTTGCTTTAATTCCATCATGTATCTTCTACTTTTCTCCTTTCAAAAACACAGCCTTATTGAGATATAATTCACACACCGTAAAATTCACCCTCTACTCTGCACAATGCAGTGGTTTTTAGTATATTCACAGAGATGTGCAGCCATCACTGCTATCTAATTCTAGACCATTTTCTTTCTTTCTTTCTTTCTTTTTTTTTAAGTATTCTTTAAGTCCTGGGATACATGTGCAGAACGTCCAGGTTTGTTACATAGGTATACATGTGCCATAGTGGTTTGCTGCACCCATCAACCTGTCATCTATGTTAGGTATTTCTCCTAATGCTCTTCCTCCCCTTGTTTCCCCACCCCAGACAGGCCCCCGTGTATGATGTTCCCCTCCCTGTACTCATATGTTCTCATTGTTCAATTCCCATTTATGAGTGAGAACATGCAGTGTTTGGTTTTCTGTTCTTGTGTTGGTTTGCTGAGAATGATGGTTTCCATATTCATCCATGTCCCTGCAAAGGACATGAACGCATTCTTTTTTATGGCTGCATAGTATGCCATGTTGTGTATGTGCCACATTTTCTTTATCCAGTCTATCATTGATGGGCATTTGGGTTGGTTCCAAGTCTTTGCTATTGTGAATAGTGCTGTAATAAACATACGTTTGCCTGTGTCTTTATAGTAGAATGATTTATAATTCTTTGGGTATATACCCAACAATGGGATGGCTGGGTCAAATGGTATTTCTGGTTCTAGATCCTTGAGGAATCACCACACTGTCTTCCACAATGATTGAACTAGTTTACACTCCCACCAACAGTGTAAAAGCTTTCCTATTTCTCCACATCCTCTCCAGCATCTGTTGTTTCCTGTCTTTTTAATGGTCACCATTCTAACTGGCGTGAAATAGTATCTCATTGTGGTTTTTGATTTGCATTTCTCTAATGACCAGTGATGATGAGTTTTTGTCGTGTGTTTGTTGGCTGCATAAATGTCTTCTTTTGAAAAGTGTCTATTCATATAATGGGTTAGCAACTTCTGTAATTATTATTGGTTAATAGCTATTTTCTAATCCTAAATTTTCATTGTGCAGATAAGGAAACGGAGAGTCCTTATTCATATCCTTTGCCCACTTTTTGATGGGGTTGTTTTTTTCTTGTAAATTTGTTCTAAGTTCCTTGTAGATTCTGCGTATTAGCCTTTTGTCAGATGGATAGATTGCAAAAATTTTCTCCCATTCTGTAGGTTGCTTGTTCACTCTGATGATAGTTTCTTTTACTGTACAGAAGCTCTTTAGTTGAATTAGATCCCATTTGTCAATTTTGGCTTTTGTTGCCATTGCTTTTGGTATTTTAGTCATGAAGCCTTTGCCCATGCCTATGTCCTGAATGGTATTGCCCAGGTTCCTTCTAGGGTTTTTATGGTTTTAGGTCTTAATGTTTAAATCTTTAATCCATCTTGAGTTAATTTTTGTATAAGGTGTAAGGAGGGGTCCAGTTTCAGTTTTCTGCATATGGCTAGCCAGTTTTCCCAACACCATTTATTAAATAGGGAATCCTTTCCCCATTTCTTGTTTTTGTCAGGTTTGTCAAAGATCAGGTGGTTGTAGATGTGTGTTGTTATTTCTGAGGGCTCTGTTCTGTTCCATTGGTCTATATATCTGTTTTGGTATATACTGTAGTCTTGTAGTATAGTTTGAAGTCAGGTAGCATGATGCCTCTAGCTTTGTTCTTTTTTGCTTAGGATTGTCTTGGCTATACGAGCTCTTTTTTGGTTCCATATGGAATTTAAAGTAGTTTTTTTCTAATTCTGTGAAGAAAGTCAATGGTAGCTTGATGACAATAGCATCGAATCTATAAATTACTTTGGGCAGTATGACCATTTTCACGATATTGATTCTTCCTATCCATGAGCATGGAATGTTTTTCCATTTGTTTGTGTCTTCTCTTATTTCCTTGAGCAGTGATTTGTAGTTCTCCTTGAAGAGGTCCTTCATGTCCCTTGTAAGTTGTATTCCTAGGTATTTTATTCTCTTTGTAGCAGTTGTGAATGGGAGTTCACTCATAATTTGGCTCTCTGTTTATCTATTATTGGTGTATAGGAATGCTTGTGATTTTTGCGCATTGATTTTGTATCCCGATACTTTGCTGAAGTTGCTTATGAGCTTAAGGAGTTTTGGGGCTGAGACGATGGTGTTTTCTAAATATACAATCATGTCATCTGTAAACAGGGACAATTTGACTTCCTCCCTTCCTATTTGAATACCCATTATTTCTTTCTCTTGCCTGATTGCCGTGGCTGGAACTTCAATACTATGTTGAATAGGAGTGGTGAGAGAGGGCATCCTTGTCTTGTGCCGGTTTTCAAAGGGAATGGTTCCAGTTTTGAGCCATTCAGTATGATATTGGTTGTGGGTTTGTCATGAATAGCTCTTATTATTTTGAGATACGTTCCATCAATACCTAGTTTATTGAGAGTTTTTAGCATGAAGGGGTATTGAATTTTATCGAAGGCCTTTTCTGCATCAATGGAGACAATCATGTGGTTTTTGTGATTGGTTCTGTTTATGTAATGGATTACATTTATTGATTTGTGTATGTTAAACCTGCTTTGCATCCCAGGGATGAAGCCGACTTGATCGTGGTGGATAAGCTTTTTGATGTGCTGTTGGATTTGGTTTGCCAGTTTTTTATTGAGGATTTTCGCATTGATGTTCATCAGGGATATTGGCCTGAAATTTTCTTTTTTTGTTGTGTCTCTGCCAGATTTTGGTATCAGGATGATGCTGGCCTCATAAAATGAGTTAGGGAGGAGTCCCTCTTTTTCTATTGTTTGGAATAGTTTTAGAAGGAATGTTACCAGCTCCTCTTTGTACCTCTGGTAGAATTTGGCCGTGAATCCGTCTGGACCTGGGCTCTTTTTTGGTTGGTAGGCTATTAATTACTGATGCAATTTCAAAACTTGTTATTGGTCTATTTAGGGATTCGACTTCTTCCTGGGTTAGTCTTGGGAGGGTGTATGTGTCCAGGAATTTATCCATTTCTTCTAGATTTTCTAGTTTATTTGCATAGAGGTGTTTATAGTATTCTCTGATGGTAGTTTGTATTTCTGTGGGATCAGTGGTAATATCCCCTTCATCATTTTTTATTGTGAATTCTAGACATTTTCATCACCCTAAAAAGAAACCATTAGCAATCGCTCCTGGTTACTCCCTCCCCCAAACCCCTAGCAACCAAGTCTCCTAGCAACCACTAATCTGCTTCCTGTCTCTATGGAATTTGCCTATTCTGGACATTTTATATAAATGGCATCGTATAATATCTAAATATGAGGTCTTTCGTGTCCATGGGTTCCTTTCCCTTAGCGTGTTTTCAAGGGTCACCTACATTGTAGCATTTATTAGTGCTTCATTCCTTTTAATGGCTGAATAATACTCTGTCATATGGGTTTACCCACTGTAGTTATCCATTCACATTTTGCTGAGTTTCTGTATGTTCATTGTGGCTGTGATCAGACTTACTGTAACCCCAAAGAGAGATTTAAACTTCATGGGGAAGGGAGCTGATTAGGAAAAAAAAGTCTAAAAAGCTTCCTTTGGCTGGAAGAATGTTTCCCTTCAAATTCGTATGTTGAAATCCTAACCCCAAGTACCTCAGAATGTGACTGTATTTGGAGATAGGGCCTTTAAAGAGATCATTAAAATAAAATGAGGTCATATGGGCAGACCCTAATCAATATAACTTGTTTCCTTATAAGAGGAAATTTGGACACAGACACACACAGAGGGAAAGACCACATGAAGGTAAAGGGAGCCATGCCTAGTAGAAAGGAACCCTGCCGGCACCTTGATCTCAGACTGTGGCCTCCAGAATTCAGAAAATACATTTCTGTTGTTGAAGCTTCCCATTCTGTGGCACTTTGTTATGGCAGCCCTTGTAAACGAATACAGGGGTGATATAGAAAAAAGGCTGAGGAGCACTGAAGTAGAGTAACTACCTTATTTTTTTTACTTCAGCTCTACTTTCTGATTCTCTGAATTATTGAAGAATTGCAAAACTGGTTTTTAATGTTAAAGTCTTATGAATAAGTACCATTTGCAAAAGAATTTACCCTTCCACATCAACATCCAATTTGAACCTCAGAATTGCTCTGTAAGGTGATTAGACAGGATTCCTATTCTATACCTGCCACTGGGCCTTTATGCATATCATTCCCTCTGCCTGGAAAGACAGGTCCCTACCCCTGCATGCCACCTTTTTTTCTTTGCTAAATTCTTTCAGGACTTAACTTCCTCCAGGAGGCTTTTCTGGCCCTCCAGTGTGCTTTCTTAGTGCCAGCCATACTGCACTGTGATTGCCTGTTTTATTGTCTGTTTCCTTTGTCAGACTGGAAGCTTTGTGAGGGGGACCCTATCTGTCATCGCTGAATTTCCAGCATCCAGCAGAGTGCAAAAATGTTTTGTTGATGGACAAATAATATCATATAGCTAATAACTTGAACATAGGTTTTTTTTTAAACACCTAAATGCAGTCATTTCTGAACTCTACATGCTGCTTCTTAATTCCTCCTAATTACTTGTCCTAATGGACATGGTTTTATCTCTGAGTATAAGAGTATGCTAGTGGGATCTGCACCCTGCACTGTGCTGTAGGCCCCTTCACATTTGAACAGTGTGATATTAGTCCATTCTCATGCTGCTAGAAATGTGCTACCCAAGACTGGGTAATTTATAAAGAAAAGAGGTTTAATTGACTCACAGTTCCGCATGGCTGGAGAGGCCTCAGGAAACTTACAATCATGGCTGGAAGGCAACTCTTTACAGGGTGGCAGCAGAGAGAATTAATGCCAGCAGGGGAAGTGCCAGATGCTTATAAAACCATCAGATCTCATGAGAACTCACTATCACAAGAACAGCATGGGGGAAACCGATTCAGTTCCCTCCTATGGGTCCCTCCCATGATATGTGGGCATTATGGGGATTACAATTCAAGATGAGATTTGGGTGGGGCACAGCCAAACCATATCATTATGTATACGTGCACATTTGTGTGTAATTGACACCTTGTCTTGTTACCAAAGGATTTAATGCTGCCTACCAAAAGCCTCATGTAAGTCCAAGTCTTCTGTAGTTTCCTAGTAACCTTTTATGGGAGACCGTTATGCAAACAAATTTCTTCCTTCTAGCAGTTCGTGGAGATGGGTAATAGATAATGTTTTTGATATAACATGAACTTAAAGCTGAATCCAGATTTTATGTTCACCATGATCATAATTGTTTCATTCCTTCTTTGCACGTAGACTTAGCAGCTCATATGTCAGGCCTTGGGGATATAAAGGTGAAGAAAGAAAGGTTTTTACTCTAATGGGGTGTACAATTTTTCAGAGGATAGTCATGAACACAGATAAATTCTACCACAGCAGGGTTACTGCTGCAATAGGGTTATGAACAGACTGCTGTGAGACCTTAAGAGCTCAGCAGCTGCTTTGCCTGCAGGTATTTGGGGAAGGCATCATATCTGAGCTGGGTTTTGAAAGGAATGCAGGAATTTGCCTGATGAAAAATGGGAAAGGAGTACATAAAGGCACCAAATTATGAAAAGATCTTGTCTCACAATGAATATGTACGTGATAAAAGACTGAAAAGGAATATCCCCAAATCAGTAGTTGATGTTTTAAAAAATAATTATATATTTTTAATTGACAGATAATAATTGTACTTATTCATGTGGTACATTGGTGTTTTATGGTTGTGGAATTGTAAATACTTTTTTTTCTTTTTAAGAATTTCCTTTAATATTGTTGTTTTATTGGTTTCATAACTCAGTAACATGAAACTGGCGCCTGTGACTATTGAATCAGGAAATTAAAGTGAGTTAATTTATTTTTATTGCTAATGTTTGTACTGAATTTAACATATAGATTAAAACATGAGTATTGACTGATTTACTAAATTGTTACTAGGTTTTAAGGAAAAAGTACAGAACAGGATACCATTTGGTCCCTTTTTTCCTTTCTTTTTGAGACAGAGTCTCACTCTGTCACCCAGGCTAGAGTGCAGTGGTGTGATCATAGCTCACTGCAGCCTCAATCTCTTAGGCTCAAGCAATCCTCCTGCCTCAGCCTCCTGAATAGATGGCACTACAGGCATGCGCCACCATGCCTGACTGATTTTTTTAAATTCTTTATTTTTAGTAGAGATGGGGTCTCACTCTGTTGCCCAGGCTGGTCTTGAACTCCTGAGCCCAAGCAGTCCTTCCGCCTTGGTCTCCCAAAGTGCTAGAAGTACAGGTGTAAGCCACTGCACCGGGCACCTTTATTCATAAACAGACTCCAAGTTTCACTTTTCCCTTGAGTCTCCATTGACCAGTTCTCATCTGGGAGATCAGGATATGCCTGGTGGGGGTTACCCTTGGCTGAAATATATGGATAAAGGGTGTCTCTTAGCCTGGTTGAGCAGAGAGAGTTCACCCTGGAGGCAAGTAGTGGAGTGTGTTCAACCAAGAAGGCTACACAAAAGGGTGGCTGGGAGGGATCTGGGAGAGACTGGATTATTTATCAGACCAAAGTTATAATGGAGTAATTCACATATGGAGCTCTCAGAGGGCACTGCAGGTCCAGAGAACGGAGCAAGAAGTGCTGAGCAAGGGATGTTCAGGAAACGAAGTCTGCAGACACTTGGCTGGTGGTGGAAGGTGCCTTTTATGTGGAGTCCAGCGTGTCCTGCCAGGGAAGAGGAGGCCATTTAAAGGCACCATGCTGTCCCAGACACCAGGCTTGGACGTTTTCCCAAAACAACTTTAGAATGAGGTCAAATAGGCTTTTCATTTCACTGTGTATACCAAAGGTTATGACTGACTCTGAAGATATATATGTAAAGATGTCTCCTTTCTGATTTTATTTCTGGAAGGAAGATTTCAAAAAAATTTTAATTGCTTCATGTTTGAATCATCATTCTGTATTTTTTTCCCTCCAGGGGATGTTTATTTTATCAGAGTCAAAACCAAACTTATTTCTAACATCGTCCTAGTAATTTTTTCTTCTTTTCTTTTTTTTTTTTTGAGATGGGGTTTTGTTCTGTCATGCAGGCTGAAGTGCAGTGGCATGATCTTGGCTCACTGTAAGCTCTGCCTCCTGCGTTCAAATCGTTCTCGTGTCTCAGCTTCCCGAGTAGCTGGGACTACAGGTATGTGCCATCATGCCCGTCTAATTTTTGTATTTTAGTAGAGATGGGGTTTCACCATGTTGACCAAGCTGGTCTTGAACTTCTGACTTCAAGTGATCCACCCACCCAATCTCAGCCTCCCAAAGTGCCAAAGTGCAGGCATGAGCCACTGTGCCTGGCGTAGTCATTTTTTCTTTTAATCTTCTTTTTTGTTTTTAAAATTGTAAAAAACTTCAATGAAAACCGTGCAGTAGCAGATCTGTCTTTTTTCCAACGACGGAAGGCAAGTGTAGGTTTACCATTGGGCCAGTTTAATCATTTGAATGATCAGAACATGAGCATTAGAAGAATGGCTTGAGGGGGGATATATGTGACAGGATAAGGAAGATTGCAACATAGAAATACTGCTTTCTAATGGCTTACAATTAGTGTTATTAGCTGAGCGTTTCATATTTTAGAATACCTTTCAGAACAATGTTAAAAGAAATGGCGGTGGCATGTGTCATTGCTTATGTCCATAATCCCAACTACTTGGGAGACTGAAGTGGAAGGATCGCTTGAGGCCAGGAGTTCAAGTCCAGCCTGGGTAACATAGTGAGAGCCTGTCTCTAAAAGTAAATAAATGAAAATAAATAAATAATCTTTTTTAAAAAACGGTGGTAAAAAAACTGAACTGTATGGGGTTATCTCAAAATAGTAGTGTTTGCTTACCTCTGGAAAGATGATCATATGTTCTGGCCCATAAAACGGTATTTTTTTTCCAGAGATGATTTAAACAATTCTAAATTTGATGTCCATAAACCATTTTACATTCTTTATAGGCAACCAAGTACACACAATCAGATATTAAATTGCACCAGATTTTTACTTGTTTTAAGGGTGTTTTATGACGCAAGTCCAAAGATCAGATGTCACGTCTGCCAGGAAGTACTACATCATTTTTACTTTTTCTGCAGTGCTGTTACAGCACACATGCATGCTACTGCATGGGCAATGAAGACTTCTTGTTTTGTTTATCAGTTAGGCTCGGATTATAAACTGAAGAGTGGCTCCCACTTTTATGGAACCTACTTTGAACTTGAGTATTGTATGTGCTGTGGTAAATGGTGATAGCTTGCCAACTCATTAGGAAGGTCAGCTTTCTAGAAGATAGAATTACAAAATAAAGGCCCCTCTCCCTTCAGCAGATTGTTTCAGTGGCAAAGCAAGGTGACGAGACCTAAAATATTCATTACTTCTAAAGACACCTACCCTTTAGTGACCAGCAACCAGGGCACCAGACCGTTATTAACAAAGGCAACTGATACATTTGGAGAAGCAATGCCTTTCTCCCTAAAAACAAAATTCTAAGTGGTTTCTCAAGCTACATCAGATCTATCCACTTACTTTCTCTTTTACTCCAGTTGTACCTTAGATTAAATGAAATACCTGCATAACTGTTTTTTGTTTATTTATTACTAAATTTTTTTTGTAGAGATGGAGGTCTCACTATGTTGCTCAGGCTGGTCTTGAACTCCTGGCCTCAAGCAGTCCTCCTACCTTGGCCACCCAAGGTGTTGGGATTATAGGCATGAGCCCCTGATCCTGGCCCTGTCTTTTGTTCAAATTATCTCATATCAACAACAATTTGCACGTAGTACTACTTTGCCTAGGACCCACCTGGATGTTCTGTGGAGAATGTATCATGAATAGTTTTATTTTTAACCATCCGGGCAGCTGTACCATATGACACCCAGAAATACAAGGATCCCACTGAGATAGCGCACTCAGGTAAATGGGCTAATTAATTTTCTGATAAAAGCATTTTTGTGTGTGTGTTGTCTGCCCTTATTCATTCAACTCTAGGAGGTACGTATTTAATATTTGTGGTTGGTGGTGATGTCATGAAGTGTTAAATAATATTTAAAGCAGCTATGAGCTATATAAGAGTTGTTGCAAGACATTAAAAGTAAAATTAATGCTGCACATTTGTAAAGGAAAATTATCATTGTAGGATACATTGGTAAGGGAAGACTGTGGGATTTTCATTCAACCATTCATTTATAAAATGTTTATTGAGAACTTATTAAGTTCCTGGAACCTCTCTGGTTATTGGGCATGGGGTAGTGCATAAGATAGGCCAGGTTGGCTGGGCATGGTGGTTCATGCCTGTAATCTCAGCACTTTGGGAGGCTGAGGCGGGTGGATCGCTTGAGGTCAGGAGTTCAAGACCAGCCTGGCCAACATGGCGAAACCCCATCTCTACTAAAAATACAAAAATTAGCCAGATGTAGTGGTGCACGCCCGTAATCCCAGCTACTTGGGAGGCTGAGGCAGGAGAATTGCTTGGACCCGGGAGGCAAAGTTGGAGTGAGCTGAGATTGAGCCATTGTATTCTAGCCTGAGTGACAGAGCCAGACTCCGTCTCAAAAAAAAAAGGCTGGGTTTCTGCTTTCAAGGTGCTTACATTCTTTTGGGAGAAGAAGAACAAAGCAATAAGCAAAAAGTTTATTTCGTAAGAAATATTTGATAGTGGCTCTGCAGAACCTTAGTATAGGGTGGTATGATAGAGTTGCCTCTAGAGACTACTTTAGATTGTAAGTCAACATAGGCTGCTGTGAAGAGGTGATATTTAAGTAGAGGCCTGAATGATAATAAGGAACCAACCATGCAGCAATCTGGGCATTCCAGACAGAGGGGTGGACCATGCCCAGGGCCAAAAGCAGGAAGGAGCTTGACATGTTTGTGGAACAAAAAGATGAAATCCAAAAGATGAGTGAGGACCAGATTGTATAGGAGTTTGGATTAGGTGCTAATTGCAGTGGTAAGCCACGGGAGGCCTTTAAGCAAAGGAGGGCCATAAGTTTATGTTTTCAAATTTCATTCTGGCCACTGTGGAAGGAAGGCAAGAGTAGAAGCAGTGATACTAAGGTGACTGCAGAAGAGATTCTGGTGCCTTTTATGAGGGGGATGGTAGGGTAGATGGAGTGAAGTAGATAGATTTGTGTATGTTTTGGGTTGATAGCCTATAGGCCTGCCAGTGGATTTGAAATGGACGTAAGGAAACAGAACTCAAAGATGACTTCTAGGTTTCTGGCTCAAGCAGCTGGGTAAATGATGGTGAACTTTGAAGAAAGGATGGGATTTAGAGAAAAGGAGCCAAGAATTTCAGTTATAGAGCTGGGACTAGATGTGGCTTATGGAGAAAGTGTTTAAGATTTGGCAAAAACAAAAAGCTTTTACTCAGTGCCCCCAAGAACAGAGGACATCAAATTCTGTTTAGTAAATTAAAAAAAAAAGTATTATAAATGTATAGTTGTTTCCATAAGAAGGGCCCATCAGGAGAAAAAGTGCATTAGAAAGGTTGGGAATTGAAGGAGTAGAAAATAGAAACAGGATAAATAAGTCAGAGAAAGATACACAGATAAAGAGCTAAAAAGAGGAAATGCAGACAAAAGAGACAGATGTGCAGAATTAGAGAGAGAAGGGGCAAGCACACTCACACAGACTCTTCACTCTCTTCCATTCTAACCTGGAGCCAGAGAGACACTAGAGGCAGTTGTGAGATCAAAACTTTTTTCTTTATTATAATTAACTATGGAGTGATAACAAGACACAGACCAAAAGCAAATAGGACCAAATCTTTATCTGAAACAGGAAAGTTGTCTTTATTCTGTTGTTTGTTATTAGAGTGGATCTTCTGTCCTGAAATATTTCCAGGATGAAAATGGTTTTTACAATTTATTAGCTAAGCAGCAAGTTGAATAATGGCCAGAAAAATATATTAGTGACTGTGCACAATTACTCACTTTTGTGAAGATAAAAGGCTGCCAAAAGTGGTTATTTCTCCTAAATGAAAACAGTGAGAAATTAACCGTCAATTAACTGGTTAGACTGAACTTTGAGAATAAACGCAGAAACAAATGCACAATTCATCCATCCATCCATCCCATACCATACCCCACCCTACCCTACCCTACCCTAAACTTACCTAAATTTCTTGATGTCATAAATAGGCTCTATTTAGAATAGAAAAACACTTCACATTTTTTTATTTGTTAGATTTTTGTAAATAATATCTATAGCTACCCTAGACTAATTGTTAATTTTCTTAAAATTGGTTATTGGTTAAAAATATGTTTCCTAGGCTAGGTATGGTGGCTCATACCTAGAATCCCAACACTTTGGGAGGGTTGAGGCAGGTAGATCACTTGAGCCCAGGAGTTTGAGACCAGCCTGGGCAACATTGAGAAACCCCATCTCTACAAAAAACAGAAAAAATTAGCTGGGCGTGGTGGTGCACATCTGTAGTCCCAGCTACTCTGGAGGCTGAGGCAGAAGGATCACCTGAGGCCGGGAGGTCTAGGCTGCGGTGAGCTGTGATTGTGCCACTGCACTCCAGCCTGGGCGACAGAGTGAGACCTTATCTCAAAAAATATATGTATGTATTTACTAGAAATCCACAAGAACCTACAAATGAATTGATTCAACAGTGAGGTATGAGGAGCAAGGTTTTAGATTAGTGCATTATTAGAATACCAAGAAACATGGCAGGTGTACTATAAGAGGCAACATTATTGGGACCTCTACTGTGCATCACCCCAAAAGACCAGTGAAACTCTCTAACAAATAACAAAAATAATACTACATAGTTTAAAAGCTGTGGAACAACCTTGGACTGAAAAGTCACGAACTACGTTTGGCTGAGCGTTTTTCTTATTATTTCACTCTTTCCTTTTTCCTTTTCTTCTTCCTTCCTGCCTTCTCTTCATTTTCTAAAAAAATTCTTATATGGATTTTCCTTAAGAGGATGTGGAAGGAACACTCAATAAAGACACTGAACCTGGATTCTGTTATTTAAGATTATGTCTTAGTAGTTCTGTGAAAAAAAACTAAACTAGTTTCTAAAATCTATTTTAATATAACATTCTAAAATAATACTTTATATGAAATTTGTATTTATCTTTTTATTTTGACTTCTTGCCTTTTAGGATATTAATGATGTTGTTAATAATATTGTTACAGTTGGGGTCAGTGCCAGCCAGCACCAAGACAGAACAAGGCCGTGGGCACTGAGCTATGTCTGATGAGATGATGGGGAATGTGTTATGATTTATAAAGACAGATAAATTATCACTGCCCTTTCCTAGTAATTGATATTCAATATCTGCCACAAGAGGAGTTTTTTGTTTGTTTGTTTTAATGAATGATCATTCAAAGTAGAGAGCTAACATGGAGAATAGTCTGGTTAGTGTGGGAAGTTCTGTACTGGGGTTATTACCATTTGGATTTTCCTTGGAAGTTTCTAGGTGAGTTTTGATTAGGACATATAACTTCATCAAAGGTTAGGTGATCGGATTGCATATAAAGCTGCTTTAAGTATTAAAATAGAGGCATTTTGACTTGGATTACCAGTGAAACCATTTTGGGCATAGTCTTAACTGTATGTGGTGTGATTGAGATGTCTGTGGGTTGCCATGTAACTCCACAGTTTGCTTTTATGTGTGTGATTGTGAGTGGGAAGGGTGGAGTATGGGCGTTTGGCATGAACAGATCATACTTCCTGACATCTCTTCTCCACAAGCATTCTTTTCCAGGTGACAGAGACTAGAACACATTTCAGGAGACACTTTAAGAGTGAAAGGTGAGAGGAGGAACGGACAGTGGAGAGGTGTGTGCTGCGCATGACTAAATATTTCCTTCCCGTTTGACATTACTCTCCCGGGAGTCCTTAAAACAATATTAGTAGAATCTTTATTTTAAAGTTTATTTATGTGGGTCTTAAGGAAGACCTAAAGTCTCCCTTTATTTTTTTTTTACCTTCAAGTGGAAATTATTTCACATCTATGTTTGATGTGGTGGTGGGTAAAGCACCCTGGACTTAGAGCCAAGAGAAACGGATTCTTGTCTGAGCTCTGCTGCTGAATAGCTCTGTAGGCTCAAAAACATCTCTGCCTTACTGGGCAGCAGAGTCTTCATCTGTCTTAGAGGTTGGCAAAGTTTTCCTGTAATGGGCCAGATAGCAAATTAATTTAGGTTTCCCAGGTTACATACGGTCTCTGTTGAGTATTTTACTTTGGTTTTGTTTATTTGTTATAATCCTTTAAAAATGTAAAAACCATTCTTAGCTCCTGGGCCACACAAAAGCAGATCACGGGCTGCATCTGCCCCCTTGCCTTCATTGGCTGACCCCTGTTCTGTATGAAAGAAAAGGAGGGGAAGAAATGTAAAAGAAGGAGCTTGAACTGACAATTTTTAGATATAGGACTCTGATCAATGTTCTGAGGAGCACCAGGCTAAAGAATAGATTCTGGAAGCAAGAGTTATTTATTTATCTTTTTCCCTTAGATTTTTAATATTATGTATTTATTCATGGTATAGTTTCTCTTTTGTAATTTGCTCAGTTTAAATTAGATTTCACTATTTCCTATTCTTCAATTCTCCCTGCATGTTACTATTTACCATTCGTAGCACTCCCCAGATTTCTTATTGCATACTCATTCCTAGAGAAGCAAACAGATGAGAGGAATGGCTTTCTTTGCAGATGGAGACGTGACCTTTCACTTACAAAAAGGGAAGCAGCCAGTTGATTGCCCCTGGAGACCTAAGCAGGGTTGTGAGTGCTAAGCAGGCAGAGCCCAGCAACTCTGAATCTTGGGAGGGAGCCAGGAATTGCAGGGGGTCGGGGAGTGCATGCTAATAAAGACCTGCGTCCTTCCTTTCTGTTAGTGTTTGTTTGTTTGTTTGTTGAGACAGGGTCTCACTGTGTCACCCAGGCTAGGGTATAGTGTTGCAATCATGGCTCATTACAGCCTTGACCTCCTGGCCTCAAGCAATCCTCCTACCTCAGGCTCCTAAAAGTGTTGGGATTATAGGTGGTGAGCCACTGAGCCCAGCCCTTTCTGATAGTGTTGAATCCTATTACTCACACTGAACCAACAGTCTGAAGTTCTATCTGAAGTGTCCCCTTAGCTCATGTTGGAATATGCTGACATTTTTGTTCCTGAGGTACCCCGGACACCTCCTTCACTTTCCCTTCACCTCTTCCCTCATCTAATCCATGCAAATCCAGTGCCCCATTCTATTTGGATCCTCTTCCCTACCCCTCCTATCTGATTTCCATGGCAGTCAGGAAGTGTCCAGGTGCGTCACTTTCCCGGCACCGCCCAGTGAGTTTCCTCTTATCGTTTCTCCATGGAGGCTGTTGGCTGGTGAAGTTGGTGAATCAGCCTGGCCCCCATCAATGCCACGTGGTCTTATGACTGACTTTGGGGCTTTGATCCTAGAACCACTTTGAACACATTTCCTCTATTCTCAGGCAGGCACATCTGAGAAAGAAACTGTCACCGCTCCCCTCTTTCACCTTCCATTCACTTCTCTACCACAGGTACTGGGTACCAGCCCTGCCATGCCACACAAATGCTCTCTCTCCCTCTTCTTCCTTTTTGAAGGAGTACTAGGGATTTTGTCTTTTTTTTATTTTGAAACGGAGTCTCCCTCTGTCACCCAGGCTGGAGTGTGGTGGTGTGATCTGGACTCACTACAACCTCCGCCTCCCGGGTTTAAGCAACTCTCCCTGCCTCAGCCTCTGGAGTAGCTGGGATTACAGGCATCCGTCACTATGCCCGGCTAATTTTTGTATTTTTAGTAGAGATGGGGTTTCACCATGTTGGCCAGGCTGATCTTGGACTCCTGACCTCAGACGATCCGCCCACCTGGGCCTCCCAAAGTGCTGGGATTACAGCCGTGAGCCACCGCGCCCAGCCCTAAAGGAGTACTAGTGATTTGGCATTGAGAAATAGGATGGATGCATTTTCAGTCCTTTCCTAACTCAATGACTTTGTTGCAGAGACACTGTTGGCCATTGACATGTGGAAATGTTTCATCCCCACATTTCTTGGATCTTCCTCTCGCTTCTGTCTGCTCCTTCTTGCGGAGTCTCCTCCCTGGGCTGGTTCACCCCTTTAATGTTGCAGTTTACCTGATTCTTTCTGAAACCTTCTTCTTCCATATGCCTTCTTTAGCTGGTTTCACTCATTCCTGTGGCTCTGTCACCTCTATGCTTATTGCTGCCAAGTGTGCATCACCATCCCATCTGAATATTTTCTCCTACACATCACACTCTTTTATCCAGATGCCTACTGGACATAACTGGTTCAATGCCCACAGACATCACAAAATTCAATGTATACAAAACCGACCTCAGTCCCTTCTCCCTAAAACCTGAAGCTCCTCTTTTTTTACTTACTTATTTCAGTTACCCAAGTCACTGAAGCCATAAACATGAACATCTTCCTAAGGAGTGTGTCATCACTCTTTCTTCTCCTCCTGTATCCTTCCTTCACCTGTCTGCTACCATGTCGCTAATTCAGGCCCTCATTACCCCTCTCCACTATCTCTTTCTCTTTTGTTTCCCCTTAAACCCATCTCTCCTTCTGTCACCATGTCTAAAATTTAAATGCATTATCATTTCACACACTTGAAAATTCTTTCAAGAATTTTCTAACACTTACAGAATAAAGCCCCAAATCTCCAGTGTGACTAATGACTCTATGATCAGGCTCCTCCATCTCTCTAGATTGTTTCTTTTTTTTTTTTTTTTTCTTTTCAGCTTTTATTTTAGGTTCAAGGGGTACATGTGCAGGTTTGTCACATGGGTAAATTACCTGTCATGGGGTTTGGTGTACAGATAATTTTGTCACCCTAGTAAATAGCGTAATACCTGATAGGTAGTTTTTTCAGTCCTTACTGGGGCCACCCTCAAGTAGGCCCTGGTGTCTATTGTTCCCAGCTTATTTATTTATTTTTGAGACAGAGTCTTATTCTGTCTCCCAGGCTGGAGTGCAGTGACGTGATCTCGGCTCCTGCAATCTCTGCCTCCCGGGTTCAAGCAATTCTCCTGCCTCAGCCTCCCAAGTGGGGAGGCTGGGACTGCAGGTGTGCACCATGATGCCCGGCATTATAAGTTTAAGAAATACTTACTTATACCAAAATTATCTGGTTTCTCAGGCAGTAGGAAGAATAATGGATTTAGTATTAAAGACCTCAGTTGAAGTATTCTTTTAGCCATTTTTAGCTAAACTGATTTGTGCCAAGTTACTTACTGCCTCTAAGGCTCTCATCTTTAAAATGGGCACACTACTACTAATAATTGAATAATTGAACAAATTATATACTGTACTTTTTTTTTTGACGGAATCTTGCTCTGTTGCCCAGGCTGGAGTGCAGGAGTGCAGCAGCGTGAGCGTGGCTCACGATAACCTCTGCCTCCCGGGTTCAAGCAATTCTCCTGCCTCAGCCTCCTGAGTACCTGGGATTACAGGTACCCACCACCACGCCTGGGTAATTTTTGTATTTTTGGTAGAGACAGGTTTCGCCATGTTGGCCAGGCTGGTCTTGAACTCCTGACCTCAGGTGAACCACCTGCCTTGGCCTCCCAAAGTGCTGGGATTATAGGCATGAGCCACCATGCCCAGCCTAGTTTTTCTGTAGTATTGTACCTCAACTTTTTCACTAACGAGTTAGAGATATTTTACTTTGGGTTTGAGTAAATGAATTAATATTTAATATCACCAGTAAAGTGTAGCATTTAGAATGTCCCCTAAAAGTCTGGGACCACAAATTTGTGCCCTGTGAAGATCCTACCTTACCCGGAATTTGAATTTCCTGTGCCAGCTAAATTGGGTCACTTTGTTAGTGAAAGCTTGTGTTGCTGCAGTCCCAGGGCATCTTGCCCTTTGTTAGGCTGTAAACACGATGCTGTCCTCTTCCCTCCTACTCCTTTGCTGCTTTTATTACTTGAGGGTTCACTTTGCGGATTTGTTTTTCTGAGCCCTATCACTTTTCTTGATAGAGTGTCTACTGTTAAGTTGCCGCCTACGGCATTGCTTCCTGTGGGGAACCTAGCTAGTGTGTGTGCAGGAACTATTTAGACAAAGTAGTTTTGGTCAAGGTATTATAGGATTTTTTTTTTTTTTTTTTTTTGAGACGGAGTTTCGGTCTTGTTGCCCAGGCTGGAGTGCAATGGCACGACCTCAGCTCACCGCAACCTCCGCCTCCCGGGTTCAAGCGATTCTCCTGCCTCAGCCTGCTGAGTAGCTGGGATTACAGGCATGGGCCACCACACACAGCTAATTTTGTATTTTTTAGTAGAGGCGGGATTTCTCTGGTTGGTCAGGCTGGTCTTGAACTCCCAACCTCAGGTGACCCACCTGCCTTGTTCTCCCAAAGTGCTGCGATTACAGGCATGAGCCACCGTGCCTGGCTATAGGATTTTATGGTCTGTGACACTAGGTTCCCGACTGAATTGTTCCAGGTGCTTACCTGTGAATGGGAGGAGGTTTTATCAACCATTAAGAGTTTTAATCCATCATTAGTCTGTATAAAAAGTTCTTAATGAGGAGTATTACATTGACTGTATAGTTTCACCTTAAAATTTCATTTTAAAATAGTTTCATTTGCTTAACCAAAATATTCTGAGGGGCATCTAGGGGCCAAAAACTACTCCTCATGAGGGGATAACAGTGGAGAGCAAGAGAAATACATATTCTGCCTTCCTTAATCAGATGCCTTAATATGAAAGGTAAACTTTATTTTCCTTTTTTTTAAAAAAAAAAAAAAACTGGCAGGATCAACTAGTTAAGAAAGGTAAACTTTACACAGGTAGTTTCACAAGTGATGAAGATAATGAACGTGAAGTACAGTATTTAAGGGGAGCTGGAAAGGACTGCACTGGGGTCGTCTGCCTGGCACCCCTTTTCTAGGAATCTCCTCTTATACCCAGGCGTTCCTGTGGTTATTGTTAGTGCAGCTTGACCCGAGGCTGGGTCCGAGGATGAGCACCTGCCAAGCTGGGCCAGGGATTTTTTTGAGACAGGATCTCATTCTGTCGCCCAGGCTGGAGTGCAGTGGCACTATCTTGGCTCTCTGCAGCCTTGACCTCCCAGGCTCAAGCAATTCTGCCTCAGCCTCCCGAGTAGCTGGGACTACAGGTGCGTACCACCACACCCAGGTAATTTTTGTATTTTTTGTAGAGACAAGGTTTTGCCATGTTGCCCAGGCTGGTCTTAAACTCCTGAGCTCAGGTGATCTGCCCGCCTTGGTCTCCCGAAGTGCTGGGGTTATATGTGTAAGCCACTGCGCCCAGTCAGGGCCAGGGATTTTTGAAATGGCTCAGAGGCTAGAAGACCAAGGAATTTCTGGGTGTCTAAACAGCAGTGTGAAAGTGTTGGTCCTTTTAGGGGCCATAGTTCCAACCATAAGTCCTGAAGGAGTGGAGGAAGCCACAGTTAGGGGATGGGAGGACGTGACTCTGTTACGCAGAGGTTTGGATCCTGGAGATGGAGTGAAAGTTCTGGCAGTGTTTGGGTTTTTGGTTAGAGTTCTTTCTGAGATCCAACTGGGTTCCTCAGAATCTTTACAATAAATTTCCCTTATTTATTTAAGCTAGTTTGGGTTGAATTTCTGTTGCTTCACACAATAGTAGTTTTTTCTTTTCTTTCTTTTTTATTTATTTATTTATTTTGAGATGGGGTCTATCTCTGTTGCCCAGGGTGGGGCGCAGTATTGCAATCCGGGCTCACTGCAGCCTTGAACTCCTGGGCTCAAGCAATCTTTGTGCCTCAGCCTCCTCAGGACTATAGGCATGTGTCACCATGCCAAGCTAATTTTTTATTTTTAGTAGAGACGAGATAGAGACACTATCTTTTCCAGGCTGGTCTCAATGTCCTGAGCTTAAGTGATCCTCCCATTTCAGACACCCAGAGTGCTGTGTCCTGGGATTTTAGACCTAAGCCATTGTGACTGGCCAGAGTAGTTCTTTTTTTTTTTTTTTAAACGCAGGCATATGTAACAGGGGGACCTCACCTAAATTAAGGAATCAGGGAACACCACTTGCAAAATATTTTTACAGCAGTGCTGTAATTGTTGGTTGGATTCCCAGGATAGCCCATAAATGATCATTTAACTCATAGTGTAGCTGGAGTTTCTCTTTAGAATCAACTCATTTGTTCATATTGAAAGCCTGCTATGTTTCAGGGGCTGTGGGAAAGTGAAAGGGATGATCCTGCACTGGGCGTTTGAGGAGGTTTTGCTTTACTAAACCACTTGCTGCCATTGTCATGTGCTCTGTTATCTCCTCCTAGGTTTTGTTACATTATGGGTTAAGTAGACTTTGGTGGGCGAGTCTGGGAAACGAATTTCCATATGATATTGTTCTATGGAAAATGCATTTCCTAGTTTGTGGGGGAGGAAATTTATACCCTTTTTGCTATAACAATTCATTAATGCAACCAATATTTATTGAATACCTTCTGTGTGTCAAACACTGTTGGAAAGAGAGTAATGAAAGATACAGAAAAGGATCTGCTGTTATGGAGCTTAAATTTTAAACTTTGAGAGGCTGACACGGGAGACTCGCTTGAGGCCAGGTGTTTGAGACCAGCCAAGGCAACATAGTAAGACCTTGTCTCTATAAAAAGAAAGAAAAAAAGTTTAGTGGGCCACAGAGTTGGGGAAGATTGTCAATGAACAGTGAACAAATAAATGAACAAAATAGTTTAGTGATAAGTGTCAAGAAGAAAATAGAAGAGGACCTGTGGAGGAGGGTGACAGGTTGGGGTGATGAGTGACTTTGTGCCAGGGAAGGCATCACTGAGGAGGAAACTTTTCAGCTGACATGCACTTGACTCAAGGAAAGAAGGTGCATGGTGCTTCCAGGAATGTGCTTCTCTTTTCTACCAGCTCTGAGGCAGAGGATATCTATCCATCTTGGGCCCCGAGGAATAGTCCTTTTGCTTATGGGAGTCGGTGTGGTAGAGACCTGTGCTGTCCCAGTACCAGTGGCTGTTAGCCAGAAGTGCCTGTTGAGCACTAAATGTGGCTAGTCCAAATTGAAGCATTCTGTAAGTGTAAATTTCAAAGATTTAGTATGAGAAAAAGAATGGAAAGCTTTTATATTGATTGCACAATGAATTGATAGTATTTTGGGTACATTGGTTATATAAAATATATTATCAAAATACATTTCACTGGCTTAATTTATTTTATTTATTTTTTAATTTTTTAATTTTTTTTGAGACAAGGTCTCACTCTGTCGCCCAGGCTGGAGTGCAGTGTGTGATCATACATCGTTGTAGCCTTAAACTCTTGGGCTCAAGTGATCCTCCCACTTCAGTCTTCCCGGTAGCTGAGACTACAGAATGGCACTACCACACCCGGCTAATTTTTAAATTTTATTTTATGTAGAGTCAGAGTCTTGTGATGTTTCCTAGGCTCGTCTCGAACTCCTGCCTCAAGTAATCCTCCTGCCTTACAGCAGGAGAGCAAAGTGTTGGGGTTATAGGCATGAGCCACCACGCTCGGCCTCTTTTTAACTTTTTTAATGTGACTACTAGAAAATTTAAAATTACATATGTTGCTCATACTGTGTTTCTGTTGGACATCACTAAATATATAGATGAATTAGTGCGGGTGCTTTGGAATCAGACTGAAGTGGATTTGAGTGCTAGATCCACTACTTACTGGAGTTTTTTCATAGTTTCTGTGCTTGTTTGTTTTTCTTTGGCAGTTTATTTGGTTCTCCTTAGTCCTTTCTTATCTGTTAAATGAGACCCATAATGCTACCTAGTAGGGTTATTTTGAGGATTAAATCAGATTTGGTTGAGTGCCTTACTGTGTGCTAGGCACTGAGGAGTCATGCTAGCCTGTAATTCACAAATGTTAGTTTCCTTTCCCCACTTCCTGATGCGATGTTAAGTCCTGCCTCCTGTAGGTACTTGGGGATGTGTCTGGAACTCAGAGAGCCAGGTTGAGAAATCATTGTGCAGGTTCATGACGCGTATTCATTTGCATTTTTGCTTCTTTTCTCTTAAGGTTTTGGAGGTCTTTATTAGATGATGAATATAATTATTTCCGTTTTACAAATAGAGATGTCATTATAGCCAAAGTGGCCCTGTAGAGTTCCCTGGGCACATGGAACCTGGCCTTGTGTTTCCTGCACCCAGCTACCTTCCCTTCTTTTAAAGGCTGTCATCTTCTTCCACGAGGTAGGCGAGTCCTGCCACTGAAAGTCCTGAATAGGAATTCTGATGCCAGGTTCCATTTGAGATCTTCAGTGCCAATGTGATGCCTTATCTTCTAAATGTTTTCAATGCTCTTGTTCTACAAAAGTGACAATATCAGAATCCTGAAGACCTTGCTTATGCTTCAAGAGATTAGGTAACCAGAGGCCCTTCTGGCCCAGGGCAATTTTAGATAGTGATTCATTGGAAGAAAACTCTGATGCCTTTTATTTTGGCAGAAACGCAAAGGCCTTTCCTTCTCAGGTGGTCTCTGTTTCCCTGTCAGTAATGTATGCACCAGGGCTGGCAGTTTCTGGGCCTCAAATTGGGACATAGTTTTGATAATTGGCTTGAATAAGGAAAATTTAAATTGTTATCACTTGGATGACTGCATTTGGGTTCTTGTTAGATAGTCACTAGAAGTCAGATGCATTGGATGGAAAGGTTCGCATCAATTTTAATTCAAGTCATATTGATTGAGTCCAATGTTAGAAAAAATGTTTTACTGTTTTATTAAATATCTGAGGGATTTAAAAATTGTAGTTGAAAGGAAACTATTCAAGATGCAATGAAAACTACATTGGTTGATATGTATATTTTCTTGCAATAATTACTTGTTTCTTTTGAATCCTTGCTGTCTCAAGGAGCTTATGTGCTTTCTTCCCTAAGTAGTCATTATTTTAATGTTTATGATGTCTGCTCCATTGGCTACTGCAGTCTTTCAGTTGGAATTATATGCACAGGAAAAACTAGAAAGAATTCATAAAATGATTTTTATATATTTACTTATGTATTCCATAGTTTCATATAGATTCTTTTTTTTTTTTTTTTTTTTTGAGACGGAGTCTCACTCACTTTGTCACCTAGGCTGGAGTGCAGTGGTGGGATCTCGGCTCACTGAAACCTCCATCTCTTGGGTTCACTGAAACCTCCATTTCCTGGGTTCAGGCAATTCTCTCACTTTAGCCTCCCGAGTAGCTGGGACTACAGGCATGCGCCACCACACTCAGCTAATTTTTGCATTTTTAGTAGAAACTGGGTTTCGCCATGTTGGCCAGGCTGGGCTTGAACTCCTGGCCTCAAGTGATCTGCCTGCCTTGGCCTCCCAAAGTGCTGGGATTTCATGTACATTCATTTTTATATGTTAACAGAATTATCTGACAGATCTTATAAACTACATTTCTGGTAATAAAAGCAAAGATATGTTATTGATTTTGTCAATTCTAGTTTTTAAAAAACTGTAAAATATTTTCAGGTTTATTGATACATTGTCATCCATACACTTACCACCTAGATTTAACAATTGCTAATTTTTGCAATATTTACTTCAGCTATTTCAAGATATAGATTATTTAGAATGTATTTAAAATCCCTTTTGTATTCCTCAGCAATACATTTACATCCCTTCCGCCCTACTGGTAAACACTATTTTAATGCTATATCCTTTTCATTTCTTAAAAAATACTTTAGGCTGGGTGCTCGCGCCTGTAATCCTAGCACTTTGGGAGGCCAGGGTAAGAGGATCACCTGAGTCCAGGAGTTTGAGACCAGCTGGAGCAACATAGTGAGACCTTGTCTCTACTAAAAATAAAAAAATTAGCTGGGCATGGTGGCACCTGCCTGTAGTCCCAGCTACTTGGGAGGCTGAGGTGGAAGACTTGCTTGAGCCCGGGTGGTTGGGGCTCTTCTGAACTAACATTTTAGTTGGGGAAGACAGATAATAAACTAGGAATCAAGAGCATGCAGTTTATCAGTACTATTGTTATCGCAGTGGAGAAATAGCGACGGCAGTAGAGACAAAGTGGGGGAAAGGGAGTAGGGAATACGGCAATTATAAACAGAGTTGCTAGGGAGGCCTCATTCAGAAGGTAACATCTGAGCAAAGGCTTGAAGAAATCGAGGTGGTAGCACGCGGCTATCAGCGGGAAGAGTGAACCAAGCTGAGGACACAGTGTGTGGAAATGCTCCAAGGTGGGCTGCGCCTACCTTGGTCAAGAAGCAGTAAGACCAGTGTGGCCAGGGCAGAGTAAGTTGGGGGAGGAGTGGTAGAAGATGAGGTAACCTGGTCCCTCATGTAAGGCCTTATGCAAAGACTAGCTTTTGCGTCAGAGAGATGGAAAGTCACTGGAGGATTCTGATGAGTGATATAATCCAACTTATCGAGGTCACTCTGATGTCTGTTGAGAGTGACAATGTGGGGTGGGGAGACCAGGTAGGAAGCTCTTGCTTATCCAGCTGAGGCTCATCCAGCTGAGATAGGATAGTGTTAGTTGTGGAGTAGTGAGATATGGTTTTTATATATTTCATATTTTCAAAGATAGAACCAACAGGATTTGATGAAGGATTGGATGTGGGAGATGAGAGAAAAGAGGAGAGTCAAGGATGATGCCAGAGTTTTCTGTCTGAGCTATTAGAAGGGTGGAGTTGGTTTGGTATATATTGAGGTGAGGAGGATTGTAGAAGGAGCAGGTTTGCAGGGGAGGATCAGAGGTTCAGTTTTGGACATAGTAGGTATTTAAGTAGAGATGTAGAAAAGGCAGAGGAATATATAAAGCTGGAATCTTAGGGAGAGATCTGGGCTGGAAACATACATTGGAGAAGCATCAGTATATAGTTGATATTTAAAGCCATGAGACTGGATGAAGTTACCCAGAGAGCAAGAATCAATTGCAAAGATGTTCAAGGACCAAGTTCTGGAGCACTTCAATGTTTACAGGCTTGGGATATGAAGAGGAATCAGCCTAGACTGAGCAAAAGCCTGCGAAGTAGTGATGATGAAGTTCTGGAGCCTAAAGATGGAAGTGTTTCAGGAATAGAGGATATGGGTTGGGCGTGGTGTCTCACATCTGTATTCACAGCATTTGGGGAGGCCAAGGCAGGTGGATTGCTTGAGCCCAGGAGTTCAAGACCAGCCTGGATGACATGGTGAAACCCCATCTCTACCAAAAAATGCAAAAATTAGCTGCACGTGGTGGAGTGCACCTATAGTAGATCCAGCCTGGTCAACAGAGTGAGACCTTGTCTTAAAAAAAAAAAGAGAATAGAGAAATGACCCTCTGTTTCAGATGCTGTTGAGAGGTCGAGTGTGATGAGGACTGAGAAGTGACCATTGGATTTAGTGGTATGAAGGTCACTGGTGACAGTGACAAGAGCAGTTCGATGGAACAGTGGTGGTGACAGATGGCCTGGAATTAGCTTAAGTGATAATAGAAGGAGTTGAATTGGAGATAAGTAGAGAAAACTTTTTTGAGTTTTACTGTAATGTGGAACAGAGAAGTGGAATAGAAGCCATAGAAGGGAAACAAGGGTCAAGAGTTATTTTTTTAAAGATGGAAAACAACATGTTTATTTGTTCCCATTTGCTAGTGGTTGCTTAAGTGGAGAAAGGAAATTAATGATGTAGAAGAATTGGGTAGAATTTCTGGAGCTGTGCCCTTGAATGGATAATAATGGATGAGGCCTGGTGCACAAAGTTGGAGGTTGGCCTTAGACAAGGAAACAGACGTGCCATCCATAGTGATAGGAGGGAAGGCAGAATACTGTCCATGGGCCCAGCTACAGGCAGATTAGTATAAGTAGTGGTGAGGGCTTTTGGCTCTATCATCAGCTGAGAGTGAGGATGGAGGAGGCCCTGTTGGGGATTTGAAACAAGAGGGTGAGGTACAAAATAGTTTTCTGGGAGAGTGGAAGATGAATGGTGTGGAAGGGTGTTAGGATTGCTTAACTGCAGTAAGGGCTCTGCTGCTTGAAGTTAGTGACTGTGAGTTGAGAATGTGACCTGTCCTCTACGGCCATACCACCGTGAATGCGCCCGATCTCGTCTGATCTCGGAAGCTAAGCAGGGTCGGGCCTGGTTAGTACTTGGATGGGAGAATGTGACCTGTCAGTCTAGTTGAGTGTGTTTTTCTAGCCATGTTCAAAAGCACTTGTACAGTTGTGGAAGAGGTAGGGATTGGGTTTGGCTAGGTTTAGTGTTTAGACAGGTAAGCCAGATGGAATGAGAAGAGAGGCTAGGGAGGTGAAGGTGTGTGCAAGGACATGATTGTGATGATAGACTATGGATCTAAGCTGGCTAAGAAATTTGAGGACAAGAAAATAGTGAACAATGGTGAAAGGGTCAATGGCATGTAGGTCCAATGGGATCAAGGAATTGTTAGATGGAGAGAGTGGGAGGGAAAAAAGGAAGGGATAGAGAACAGGATGGAATGATTGCTGTCGTTAATAATTTCAGAGAAGTAGCATTTTCATTTATGGTCTGGTTTTTAGTTGGCAACTGTTTTAAAGAATTATCTCTTTGGTGTATCCCTCTCCTGAAATTGTTAATATTCTGTAAATCAACACTTAAATTTACTAAAGGAAACCCAGAATGAAAAAAAAATTGGTATGTATTTTTAGTTTTCCAAAAAGTTTTTAAAACTATAAATGCTTTGCTTATAGGTTTGATTTTTGCTGTTTCTGTAAAATATTTTTCTAAATGCTCTTTGGGAAATCCAGTGAACTTAGACTTTCCAGTTTGAAATTCTTGTGCTTTAAGCACATTGACTTGACAAATGTGTTACTGTAGACATTGAGGGGACTTAGTAAATTTACTTTGAAATTGAAGTCAAATTAGCTGGCACCAAAAGCATAATAGGAAAAACAGGAAGAACTTAAGGTTTTCTGGTACAGTAGAGTGATAGATTCTGGTATGGACAGGTTGAAAATTCTGCCTTGATTTTTTGTGTTTTCATATATGAAATTTTGAAATTTTTTGAAGGTTTTATTTTCATATGCGATAGGTAAGTCTAATGTTAACTATATATACATTTACACTACTTCGGGAAAATGTAAATAAATATTATGGTCTTGGGTGATTCTACAAAGTGTGATAACTTTAAAAAAGCAAATTAATTACTGAAGGTTTTTCTGATGTACTCTGTAAGAGTAATTTTAGTTGTCACAGATTTAAAGCATTATTCATTTTTAAAAACTGGTATAAACTCTACTTCTTCCACTTACTAATAACAAGAACTTAAAGTGCCAACAGGATAATTCCCAGGGGTTAACACCTTGTTTCCCAGGAGACCTCCACATTGAAACTTGGTGCAATCTATTCTTTTTTTTGAGACAGAGGCTTGCTCTGTCACCCAGGCTGGAGTGCACTGGCATGATCTTGGCTCAGTGCAACCTCTGCCTCCCGGGTTCAAGCAATTCTCGTGCCTCAGCCTCCAGGTGTGCACCACCACGCCCGGCTAATTTTTGTATTTTTAGTAGAGATGTGGTTTCACCATATTGGCCAGGCTGGTCTTGAACTCCTGACCTCAGGTGATCTCCCCACCTTGGCCTCCTAAAATTTGGCTTGGGATTACAGGTGTGAGCCATGGTGCCCAGCCCGGGATCTATTCTTTACCAAGGTAAACAGCATGAACTCTCTGCTGAATTCCTGTTAATTACATTAGAAACAGCATTTGTGTAGATTCAGTGACCATTCATTGAGGAACAGGTGACAGTTTAGATTTCACTTGAAGAATGGGTGACTGTGGACCTCTGAATAATCAAAGTTTATTTTGAAAACTTTGTCTTTCAAGAGTATTGTAGCTACCTTCAGAGTCACATGGAAGATGTTGGTACACTGGACTTGTATTTGTCTACCAGTGACTACCTTATTCAGGTACAATTTTGGGGGTCAGGATCTGTCATGAGTATTTGATGTTCCCTGTTTCCTCTGACTCCTTTATTTTTTCAAATGAAGTTGGACCTAATAGATACCTGTTCTTTTGGGACATGCTTTGATGATGTACTCACTTGCCTTTGTTGTAAGGTATGACTTGGCCAAAACCACAATTTCCCCAAGCTAAAAATAGATATGTCTGTGGCTTGGAGGAACAGTATCCTTCAGCCGCTCACACTGGGGCATTTTAGGCTTTTGGCATACTGACTGTTCCGAAATGGCTGGTTTCCATGATTCCCAGTGTCCTTTGATGGTTTTGCCCTAATGAGACCTGGCTCCCATTCCCATGACTTACAGGCTCAAGAAAGGAGGCTCTGTGTGGGTTAGCAGACATTGAGACTTTCGTGGGCCAAGCCAACAGAGTTCAATTTGTCACTCACTGGGCTAAATTAAGTGAGCACCATGCTGGAAGTGGGACAGGCTGGCCAACTGTGCATCATACAATGCTGCATGTGTTGCTATGGACTAACTCTGAAACTGCGACATCTCTCTGTTAGCAGACACCATTGAAATAATATCCTGGAGAAATCATATGTGTGTCATTTTTGGCACCAGATGTTGGTCCTTGAAACCAGTTGTGTGTTGTTTTTCCAACAGGATTATTTCTAGAAAATGAATGAATTTCTGTTAAAATAAAGACAACTGGCCAGGCACGGTGGCTCATGCCTGTAATCCCAGCACTTTGGGAGGCCGAGACGGGCGGATCACGAGGTCAGGAGTTTGAGACCAGCCTGGCTACCATGGTGAAACCCTGTCTCTACTGAAACTACAAAAAAATTAGCCAGGCATGGTGTCAGGCATCTGTAATCCCAGCTACTTGGGAGGCTGAGGCAGGAGAATTGTTTGAACTCGGGAAGCGGAGGTTGCAGTGAGCCGAGAGCATGCCAATGCACTCCAGCCTTGGCGACAGAGCAAGACTCCATCTTGCGGGGACGGGGGGGAAGGGGTGGAAAGACAACTATTTAATTTCAACATCAGAAAGAATTAATCTCGCTTGAATAGCATACATAGCTAAATTTAATAAATTACTTCATTCTGAGCAGCTCTATATAATAATTGTGCCTTTGTTAATTGCAAAAAAGGTTGACATTTTAGTGACAAGAAGCAAATAGTTACAGAATTAGAGTAACTTTACTGCCTCCCTTCACAAACCTTCATAAAACTGTCAATAGGAAGATTTTAGGGCCACCCTATTGTTAGGGGCTGAATCTTGGTCCCCACCAAAATTGGTATGTTGAAGTTTTAACCACCAGTACCTTAGAATGTGGCCATATTTGGAGATAAGGTCTTTACAGAGGTAATTAAGTGAAAGTGGGATTATAAGAGTAGGCACTAATCCAGTATGAGTGGTATCCTCATAAGAAGAGGAAATTTGGATGTAGCATACACAGAGAGGAGAAGATGGCCTTCTGTAAGCCAAGGAGAGAGGCCTCAGAAGAAACCAACTCTGTTGGCACCTTGGTCTTGGACTTCTGGCCTCCACAATTCTGACAGAGTACATTTCTGTTGTTTAAGCCACCCAGTTTGTGGTAGTTGGTTATGGCAGCCCCAGCAAATGAATATCTATATCAAGTGTGAGCAAGAGAATGAAAACAAGATTTTAGAGGGAAGTAAGTAAATGCAAGTTTTAAAACCTCAACTTGGATTAAATGTGATCTCTGTGGGGAAAACCATGTCTTAGTCCCTCTATTGCCAGTGCCAGACCCCCAGTTGAGGTGGGGAGGCAGTAGAATAGGGAAGTGGAATTTTCTATCTGGAAAGGATCTTAGGCATCATCTGTTGCAGTCTCCTTATTTATAGAGAAGCCTCTTGCTTTCTAGTTAAAGGCAGGGTCCAACCCCTTTTCTTCCCAAGTATATATTTATATATAATTAGGCTCTGTTGTTTTGGCAAAATTGACTTAGGAAAACAACCTGATTTTCTCCCCTTCCTCCTGTCCTTGTTGTTGTTGTTGTTGCTGTTATATTTTCCAGATACAAACAGCCACATTAAAAAAACATAATTATCTGTGTATCCCCCACCTACTTTAAGCTATTAAAATATTATAAATTAAGCCCTTTCCCTGGTCACATTTCTCTCCCTTCCCCTAGAGGAGACTGCTGTGTTGAATTTGGCACTTGGCGTCTGTGTATATCTTTGTACTTTTATTAAAAATGAATGTGTTGGCCGGGTGCAGTGGCTCACGCCTATAATCCCAGCACTTTGGGAGGCTGAAGCAGGTGGATCACCTGAGGTCAGGAGTTTGACACCAGCCTGGCCAACATGGTGAAACCCCATCTCTACTAAAAATACAAAAATTAGCTGGGTGTGGTGGTGGGCATCTGTAATCCCAGCTACTTGGGAGGCTGAGGCAGGAGAATCGCTTGAACCCAGCAGGTAGAGTTTGCAGTGAGCTGAGATTGCGCCACTGCACTTCAGCCTGGGTGACAGAGCAAGACTGTCTCAAAAAAAAAAAAAAAAAAAGAATGTGTTACTAAACAATGTATGATACGATTGTGCATATATTAAACATTTTATAAAACATATGTTACATGTATCCTTCTCAACCTGTTTTTATTCCACTCAGATTTGTTTAGGGATTTGTCCTTGTTGCTAAATATATTGCACCATTTCATTCATTTCAATTGTTATATAGTTTTTCATTTTATGAATATACTACATTTCTTTAATCTCTTGCTGATATTTAGGCTGTTTCTAGCTTGCTCCTACTAAAAATGATGCTACTGTGAATATTTTTGTGTATGTTTCCTTGTGTATATATGTTATTTAGGGCATGCATTTGTGGGTGGAATTGCTAAGTTGGAGCGTGTACATTTTCAGCCTTTCCAGATACTGCCAAATTATTCTGCTGCAAAGTGATTATACCCATTTACACTCCCACTTCATAGAATGAGTTCCTGGTGTTCTGTATCCTTGCCAGCAATGATTTTTTGCCAATCTTAATGCATTTACATTTTTCTGATTATGAATGAATATCAGCATTTCTTTTCATGTTTATTAACTACTTGGGTTTTTTAAAGTTTGTCTTTTTTCCGTTCTAATCAGAGCCAGCATGGATGAGTGGTCCTAGCATTCACCTTCTTCATTTTACAAATGAGGAAATGGGGGTAGAGAAACGTATGACTAGATCAGTGTTCCCAAACAGATAAAAACCCAGGAGCCTTGACTCCCAATCCTCTAGTCTTCCTTTTATACCAAATAGTCAGATCATCCATTTGAACGAATTACCTTTTTGGTGCTGTTAAGGATAGGGTCCAGGCCTAGAATGACAGACCAGAAGAGTTTAACTAGAGAGTGTGTGCCAATTACATATGTGATCTTGTATCTGAACTTTCTGAAAACCCACATCATCACCTCCTTGTTTAAAACCCTTCTGGGTTTCCCGTTGCCTGTAAGTGAAAGCTGTTTAACATCGTCTGCTGGATTCGACCCCTCCTGCTCTTCACACTCTGCTGATCCCTCTCTGCCAGCCACACTGGCTTTTGGGACTTCATAATTGCAGAGCTCCTTTCTCAACAGGCACTGACGTTCTCTCTGTCTGAGCTCTCCCTCTTTGTCTCATTCTTGAGTGCTCAGCTCCAGCTGTCACTTTCTCAGTGAAGCCTTTCTGGACTCCCCTACTTTGTGCTCATAAAGCCTTAGCACTCATCACAGTTGCAAGTTTACGTTGTGTACCATTATTTATTAGGGTCTCTCTTCTGTACTAGCCCTTGAGTCTGAGAAAGTCGGAAACCGAGTCTGTTTTTGCTTACCATCCTATCCCTCGCTTTTAGTAGTGTGCCTGAACTCAATAAATATTTGTGGAATGAATGAATGAATAAATGGTCAGAGTTTTTAAAAAGCCCATTTTATGTAATTCCTTGGAGGTGAAAGGGTTCTCAGCCTAGACGTACACATATTCTTCAGGAAAAGAACAGTACCATATGGACTGTATTGAAGATTTATATTCATTGCTCAAAGACATGGCAAAGGGATAGGTAGGAGAGGAGTGAATAAAAAAGAGGGCTGGGTGCAGTGGCTTGTGCCTGTAATCTCAGCACTTTGGGATGCCATTGCAGGAGGATCACTTGAACCCAGTGGTTTGACACCAGCCTGAGAAACATAGGTTGTTATTAACTTAGAGGGGAAAACCTCTGAATAGATCTTAGCTGGGTCTTTTCTGCTAAGATTCTGGTTTGAATAATTCAAAATGAGGGTACAACATAAGAATAAGAAGCAGTTTTCGTTCCCTCCCTCAAGTGATTACTTTTACTTGCACAAGACAAACATGCATTCTATCTATGACTAATTATTTTGTTACATTATTCCATAAAGGATAAGGGAATTGGCAGAGTTCACACAGTGAGATTCTCTGTGTCTTTTGTAATTCCAGCATTACCTAGAATGAGAGAAAAGAGGAGATATCTTTACCTTTTTGTGTGCATAACTGTGATTCTTAAAACACAAAATAGCCACAATTCGTTGATGTTATTTATTTTTTTGAGACAGAGTTTTGCTCCTGTTGCTCAGGCTGGAGTGCAATGGCACAATCTCAGCTCACTGCAATCTCCGCCTCCTGGGTTCAAGTGATTCTCCTGCCTTCCAAGTGTCTGGGATTACAGGCATGTGCCACCAAGCCTGGCTAGTTTTTTGTATTTACTAGAGACGGGGTTTCACCATGTTGATCAGGATGGTCTCAAACTCCTGACCTCAGGTGATCCACCCGCCTTGGCCTCTCAAAGTGCTGAGATTATAGGCTTGAGCCACTGTGCCCAGCCCGTTGTTATTATTCTTAATTCACTATCGAAAAAAATAAATTGTCTTCGCGCAGTAGCTCATGCCGGTGATCCCGGAGCTTTGGGAGGCCGAGGTGGGAGCATCGCTTGGGCCCAGGAGTTTGAGACCAGCCTGAGCAACATAGATAGACCTCACATCTACAAAAAATAAAAAAATTAACTGGACATGGCATGCGCCTATAGTCCCAGCTGTTTGGTGGGTGGAGGTGGGAGGATTGCTTGAGCCCAGGAGGTCAAGCCTTCAGTGAGCCATGATTGCACCACTGCACTTTAGCCTGGGCGACAGAGAGAGAGACCCTGTCTCAAAAAACAAACACAAAAAAACAAACAAAACCAAAAAGAGACAAATTATCTCTGGATTGTTCACTTAGCAACAGGGAGCAAATACACATTTTTAAGAGGGATGATAATGAGTTGTCACATTTTCTGTTTAGCTTTGACATTTATTTCTTAGGCAGGGAGTTCAGAACTTCGAGGTCTTCACTTTGCTTACCACCTTGGGAACTGCACGTTCCCAGTGGGTTGTGCTCCACGAGCTCTGTGCTTTCCCTGAAAGCAGGGATGCTGGACAGAAGCTTTAAAACTAATTAAATAGGCCGGGCGCCGTGGCTCACGCCTGTAATCCCAGCACTTTGGGAGGCTGAGGCGGGCGGATCATGAGGTCAGGAGATCGAGACCATCCTGGCTAACATGGTGAAACTCTGTCTCTACTAAAAATACAAAAAATTAGCTGGGCATGGTGGCGGGTGCCTGTAATCCCAGCTACTCGGGAGGCTGAGGCAGGAGAATGGCGTGAACCTGGGAGGCGGAACTTGCAATGAGCTGAGTTGGCGCCACTGTACTCCAGCCTGGGCGACAGAGCAAGACTCCGTCTCAAAAAAAAAAAAAAAAAAGCTAATAAAACTACCTGCCCCCAAGTAAGTAAAACTATTCTGCTATAAAATTAAAATAGAAAATACTTGCCTGTAGAATATTATTGATCTTTCAAATGACTCTTTACAGTAATTAAAAGCGTCCAGTTACTTCCAATTCTGAGTAAAAATAACAGATTCAATGAGGCTAAGTTGTTTAATCTGCAAAGTATAAATTCAATCTGTTCTCATTTTTAATGAAATAATGTTTGCTGGCAGGGCAAAGTGGCTGACGCTTGTAATCCCAGCACTGTGGGAGGCCAAGGCGGGTGGATCACTTGAGGCCAGGAGTTTGGGACCAGCCTCGGCAGCATGGCAAAACTCCGTCTCTACAGAAAATGAAAAAATTAGCCGAGCGCGGTAGCATACCTTTGTAGACCCAGCTCCTTGGGAGGTTGAGGTGGAAGGATCGCTTGAGGCCAGGAGGTTGAGGCTACAGTGAGCCCTGATCATGCCACTGTGCTCCAGCATGGGCAACAGAATGAGACATATATATAGATATACTAATCTGTAATTTAGGGACGTATCTTATGGTTGTATGAGGGTTAATGAGGTTTCATAAGTGAGTTTATAGGTTTAGAATTTGTTTTCTCCTACATTATAAGCCAAGGTTAAGCGTTGGCTATTATTATTTATGTTGTTATTATTATTATCTGATGCCTTTCAATGTAGCAAACCTAAGTTGTCTTTTTCAGGTGGAGACAGCATCCTTTCTGACCTTTAATAGCTTTGTTTTCCATCAAAATTTATTGAGTTCACAGATTAGCTGGAATATGATTCTAACTGAAATATCTGTGATGTTTGTTGTGTGTTTATTACATTTTTTTCCTGCTCTTGCTGTTCTGCAAATTCATTCCTGTAAAATGTAATTGCTTCTTTTTGAGCTTTTGGTTGGAGCTGGCCTTTGGCAAAGTTGAGAAATAGATTTTTTTTTTTTTTTTAGTTTCTCTAAGTAATCCCTTTTGTGACCTTCTTCCATCCCCAAGCTCTGTCTCCGTTAAAACCTGCTTTCTGCAAAGTGGCTGGGTGTGTATCGAAGTTAACTATGCTGTAGCTTAGTCTCCTGTTGTAGAACTTCCAGGCGCAGGTGAAAGGGTGCATAAAGCATTTTGCTGGGCAGTGTCCTTCTCCTTGGTTCCCATTCAGGGGCCTGGATGAGGCAACTGTACTTGCAAGTCCAGACTTCTTGTCTTTTTAAAACTCTTTATAATCTGATTTGTCCCCAGGCCACACTTCTTCAAGCTAAATCCTCTCCTTTAGACTTCCCCTGCATGAGGCAGAAACGGCCCTAGGAAGACTCTGAATTATAAACCGTAAACAACTGAAAGAGCACAGTAAGAGGAGACACAGAGTTCAAGTCTCCAGTGTTGATCCTACGCTAAAGAGTTATAAAAATAAACTCTGGAGACTGCTAGTGTTTAAAAGCACTCATCCTTATTGAAGGAGACTTTTACTTCTCTTGGCCTTCTGTCACTGTCAATCTAAATAGTATATGTGGAAAGTTCCAAGGCTGGCAAGATTGATTTATTCTGCAATCTGCCATCCCTTTCAGTGTTAGCTATGTGGAATTTTCTCATCAGCCATAAGAAAGCTGTTTAATAGTCAGAGCAGGTCACATAGTTCCCTAAAGCAAATAGCAGACCGGCTTATCTGAACACTGTGAGGGAAATCATTATTCTTTTTCCTTGGTTCCTCTGTAATAGTTTGGTCTTTAATAATCAGATCTCATTTGGATTGTACAAGAACGTGAGGCTATTTAATGAACACCATTGAGCTGTGATAATTGTCATGGTGGAAAAGCACAAATATATTTACTAGAAAAGCACACGGCGTACTGAAAGCCAAGCTCTGTTTTCATGCTAAGGCTGTACAACTTCTGATAATAGTGCCTTAGGTGGCACCAAGGATAATTGATGAAACTTGCCAGCTGTGCACATGAGCATCTGTTAGAGGCAGTGAACATAATATTTATTTATTTATTTTTAAGAGATGGGATCTTGCTCGGTCACCCATGCAGGAGTGCAGTGACGTGGCCATAGCTCACTGCAGCCTCAAACTCCTTGACCCAAGCGATCCTCCCCCCTTTTAGCCTACTGAGTAGCTGGGACTACGGGCATGTGCCACCACATTCAGCTAATCTAAAAACATTGGGTTTTTTTTCAGAGATGGAGTCTTGTAGTGTTACCCGGGGTGCTCTTTAACTCCTAGCCTCAAATGATCCTCCTGCCTCCACCTCCCAAAGATTTGGGATTACAGGTGTGAGCCACCGGCGCCCAGCCTGGATTGGCCATTTTCTATGTGACCTTGAACAGGTTATCAGCAATCTTAGTGCCTTCATGTTCCCCCTCTGTGTAATGGAGGCAGTGATAGTACCTACTTTAAAGGGATATTAAGTTTATGATGCACTTAGAACAGTATCTGCCACATACATGCTTAGTAAATTTTAGCTACTATTAATCCTTTTTTTTTCTCTCCTCTTGTTTCTAACCTGATACTCTTGCTCTCTTCTTTACTTCAAAAGTTTTCTGTCTTGTCATTTCTTTGGCCTTTGGACTTTCCAGGGCCGGCCACCACTGGCAGTCCCATTGGTCTTTTCAGGGCTACCCCATGGAGTGGCAATGAGCTGTCCTTCTTTTCAAGTTTCGAAGGTAGAGCTGCTTCTTCAGATCATCCAACCCAAATCTTCATTTTACCTTAGGGAAGGAGAGTGCACTTGGTTGTCCTGGCTGAGATGGGCATTTACTGCTGGGGTACAAGGATGGAATGTGCTGATTCAGATGGAGGAAATGCTACAGGTTGTGGAGCTGACACATTTGTGTATCAATCCCTTAATCCACAGAAAGGTACCTGCATTTCTGTCCAAGTTGGGATTCACACATTAGGCCATCGCTAGTTGCTTACAACATTTTCATTTCCTCTTTAACAAAAGGAGCCATGCACATCAACACTGTGTACGCAGATCCCAGACTATGTTAGATCTAAGCATGTGGGGCATCCTGTTGCCCTGGAGAACTACTCATTTTTGCAGCTTTCAGAGAGAAAAGAGCCCTTTTTGAAATGTTGTTTTAGATGGGATACGTGAAAACCAGTAACTAGTTAATCCAGAGCAGTTACTTTTGGTCAGAGTGGCTAGTTAGTTGCCTGCCTGCCTGCTGTCTCTTCTCAATTACAAAGGGAGAAAATACGGAAAATACTATTTTTACAGTTGAGAAACATGGCAGACACCACTTTAAACAAATGATTAAGATTAGCACCACCACCGGTATAATCCTGTATCATTAATACCCCTGATATGATACATTGTGAAGGACACAACATCACTTCTCTGGTATTTTCCCCAAAATGCACAAACCTCAGTCTGTGCATGAGAAAACACCAGAAAAATTCAAATTGGGAGAATATAAAATACAATGATTGACTAGTACTCATCCAAAGTTTCGAGGTCCCTGTCATGTAGGGACAAGCCCTACGGGGCTTAGCGGGTGTTCTCCCCGTGTGCGGAGACGAGAGATTGTAAAAAATAAAGACACAAGACGAAGAGTTAAAGAGAAAACAACTGGGCCCAAGGGACCACTACCACCAAGACGTGGAGACCGGTAGTGGCCCCAAATGGCTGGGCGCGCTGATATTTATTGCATACAAGACAAGGGGGGCAGGGTAAGGAGGGTGAGTAGTCCAAGTAATTGATAAGGTCAAGCAAGTCATGTGATCATGGGACAGGGGGCCCTTCCCTTTTAGGTAGCTGAAGCAGAGAGGGAAGTCAGCATATGTCAGCGTTTTCTTCTATGCTGCACTAATAAAAAAGATCAAAGACTTTAAGACTTTCACTATTTCTTCTACTTCTATCTACTACGAACTTCAAAGCGGAACCAGGAGTACGAGAGGAACATGAAAGTGGACAAGGAGCGTGATCATTGAAGCACAGCACCACAGGGAGGGGTTTAGGCCTCCGGATGACTGCAGGCAGGCCTGGATAATATCCAGCCTCCCACAAGAAGCTGGTGGAGCAGAGTGTTCTCTGACTCCTCCAAGGAAAGGAGACTCCCTTTCGTGGTCTGCTAAGTAATGGGTGCCTTCCCAGACACTGGCATTACCGCTTGACCAAGGAGCCCTCAAGCGGCCCTTATGCGGGCGTGACAGAGGGCTCACCTCTTGCCTTCTAGGTCACTTCTCACAATGTCCCTTCAGCACCTGACCCTATACCCGCCGGTTATTCCTAGGTTATATTAGTAATGCAACGAAGAGTAATATTAAAAGCTAATGATTATTAACGTTTATACTAATGGTTGATAATTGTCCATGATCATCTCTATATCTAATTTGTATTATGACTATTCTTATTCTATTTTCTTTATTATACTGAAACAGTTTGTGCCTTCACTCTCTTGCCTCGGCACCTAGGTAATCCTTCGCCCACACTGTCACAGGTTGGAGGAGACTGAGGGGCCAGAGCAGCTAAAAGCAATGTGGGATACTGGCTTGGATTCTGGAGCAGAAAAGGGTTATTAGGGGAAAAACTGGTGAAATCTGAATAGGTCTATAGTTCATAGTTAATAGTATTGTAACAATGTTAATTTATTGGTTTTGCTAATTGTATTATGGTTATATAGGTTAATATTAGGAAAGGCTGAGTGAAGGAATACATGAACTCTGTAAAATTTCTGCAAACTTTTTGTAAATTTAAAATTATTTAAAAATTAAATATAAAAACATTAAAATTCCATAAGTAAATGAAAAAAAGTAATCAACAGTTTGGAAGATACAGTGAGGAAACCTCTTACCAAGTAGAGAAAAAAAAAGACACGAGATGGAAAATAAAAGGGAAAATATAAGAAAATTAGAGTATCAGTCCATGAGGCCCAACATTCAAATAATGGAAAATCCACAGAGAGGGACAAATGGGAGAGAGTAAGTTATCAAGGAAATAATTCAAGAAAATTTCAGAAAACTGCAAGGACATGCATTTTATATTGAAAAGGTCCATTGAACGCTCAGCATAATAGATGCAGAAGGATCTACCCATCCTGAAGCTTCCTGGTGTGACATTGCAAAATATTTGGGATAAAGAGAAGATTGTTAAAGCTTTCAGAAAAAAAGGGGCAAATCAGGTTACATACCCAAAGTTAAGAATCAAAAGCATCAAACTTCTTGCCAACACTGTTGAAACACATAGATATAAGAAGGCAGTAAAAAAATATAGTAAGAAAATGGAGCAGTGCCTTCAAAATTCTGAGGGAAGTGTTTTCAACCGAAAATTCTGTCTTTAGGCAAATGTGTCTGAGGGTGGAAGAAGTATGTTTTCACATATTCAGGGCCTCAAAAATTTTACTTCCTAGGAACTTACTGGAAGATATGCCTCATCAAAGTAGAGATGTCAAAAGGAAGAGGAAAACATGGAAACCAGGAAATAGTGCATTTACCATGAAAGTGAGGTGAAGGGCATCCCCAGGATGATGGTGAAGGAGAATCTCAAGATGATAGCTTTGCAGTAGGCTTAGACTAGAGCAGGGTAGTCCATATTTGAGCATATTAGGAGTCTTCAAGGGCCATATCACCAAGAAGATGAAATTGACAGAATTATTGGTTTAACTCAGTACAAGATTTTTTTTTTTGAGACAGGGTCTCATTCTGTAGCCCAGGCTGGAGTGTAGTGGTGCAATCTTGGCTCACTGGTACCTCCGTTTCCCACGTTCAAATGATTCTTGTGCCTCAGCCTCCCGAGTAGCTGGGATTACAGGCACCCGCCATCACGCCTTGCTGATTTTTGTGTTTTTAGTAGAGACGGGGTTTCACCATGTAGGCCAGGCTGGTCTCAAACTTCTGACCTCAAGTGATCCACCTGCCTTGGCCTCCCAAAGTGCTGGGATTACAGGTGTGAGCCGCTGCGTCCAGCCTAATTCAGTAGAAGATTTAAACAATTTGTGGAGAATTTTGAAGATAATCGGTGTTGCATACATAAAAAACAAAACTGAAACAATTAGTCACTCAGGGTGCAGTTTGGGTGGAAAGATGAGTTGTTCAAGAAAAGGAAAATATGCTTTTCAGAGTAGGGGATTAAAAGAAAAATTAAAAAAGGAAAATAGTATACCACATGGCTCAGTGGTAAGCAGCATTTATATAGTAATGATGTAAACACTGAATATAGAACCGTACAAAATGATGGAACAACTAGCAGGAGGGTAGGAGGTATGGATGTGGACGGGGGTGGGGGTAGCTTCCATAGTAAAAAGTCAAAAAATAATACATCTTTATTACTCAAAAATCGAGAGTTGCAATACAACACTGCATTCGAAGATATGGAAGTCAGTGTTGAAAGAAACAACTAAAAGATGTGAACGTGGTTGCCTCTGGGAAGTAGGAAAAAGGGATGGAGGAGGGCACAGCTCTTTGTGTAATGAGCCATATAGAACTACTTGATTCTTTAAACTGTGTGTTTATACGACTTTGGTGTTAAGGAAACATACATATAAAAAAGTAAAGTAAGTAAATAAAAGTGAAAATGAACCCCCCAAATGTAAGTCATTTGAAAAGTTTAAAAACTATATGTATATATTTTTGAGACGAAGTCTCGCTCTGTCACCCAGACTGGAGTGCAGTGGCGCAATCTTGGCTCACTGCAGCCTCTGCCCTCTGGGTTCAAGTGATTCTCCTGTCTCAGCCTCCTAAGTAGCCCAGCTAATTTTTTTTTTGTATTTTTATTAGAGATAGGGTTTCTCCATGTTGGCCAGGCTGGTCTCGAACTGACCTCCAAGTGATCTGCCCGCCTCAGCCTTCCAAAGTGCTGGGATTACAGGCGTGAGCCAACGCACCCAGCCTGAAAAGTTTGAAATATTAAATTCACCCCAAGATGTGAATTAATTTTGGTTCTTACATGGTAACCCTAAGAGGGGAGAAAAAGGGTATAAAAGTGACAGAAGGATGTATAGTAGAGGAAGCACGACCATGCATACATTACAGTTTGCCAGCTGTCCTGGTTATCAGACCTTTTCAAAAACCTTTTTTCTTTGAGATAAAAGACACTTATGAGCTGAAGTAGAAATTGCACCTAAACAATACTGCTTGAAATCTTTGATTCAGTTCTTCACTCTTTCTCACCCATTTCTTCTTGCTAGGCGGGAGTCAGGCATGGTGGTTGCTGGTATTGGGTTATTATTTGTTGAATCAAGCTGAATTCTGCTTGCTTCGTGCAACGAAGCCAAATGCTGACATCTAGATAGCAGCGAGAGAAAGTGAGGCATTTATAGCAGGGAACCAAGTGAGGAGAATCGGGCAGCTCATGCTTAAGACCCCAACTCCCAGATGGCTTTCAGGTAAGGATTTTTAAAGGTGGGGAGGCAGCAGTTACAGGCAAAGTCGTAAATCAGGTTGTTCTGACCCAGAAAGGTGGGACATCTCTAAGCAGCGGGAGAGAGGTGGAAACCCCCAGATCATAGAAGGATTCAAAGATTTTTGGATTTGCAATTGGTTGAGGAGGCTTTGTCTAAAGATTTGGGATCAGCGGAAAGGAATGTTAGCTCTGGCTAGTTGGGGGGACCTCTTCCAGACCCCTCAGGAAGGAATTTAGAACAAAGAACACCATTCAGTTCATCCCTCGGCTCCCCCTGTCTGAGGTCCACTGCCAGCACACCTGGGTTTCTGAAAATTAACTCAAGGACATATGTTATAATAAGATGTTATCTTTAGTTTCTATGGGGTAGAAAACATCCCCTGACTCTCCTTGGCTATTGTTTTAAGTTACTATTACCTTTTTGCTTGTCAGCTTGCCCGTTTAGTTTTCAAGGCTAGCTAGGTGCCTGGCATTTCTCTTCAGGGAATTCAACATTTTCCTTTATTTCTATGCTTGGAGGGCCCCATGGGCCGCTAAGGGGTCCTGCTGCATCACATTATTGGATTTTAGGTTAGTTTCAATTTCAACAATTAGGCTCCATTAATTTTTGGTTTGAAAATATAATCGCTGTAACTAAAGGTGTTTTAAGACTTAAAAAAAAAAAATTCCCAGATAGACTTCAGTAGGCCTAACCGTCTATCTGTTCAAAAAGTCTGGTTGTAATGTTAAACCACTGTACTGAGGTCAGTGGCATCTTAATATGGACTTTGCTCTAATAGCTTGATTCAATTAACTTAGTCAGTGTGTGAATAAAAATTCTTGTTTCTGGTTTGTGTTCTTTTGAGTTTCTGTCTTTATCTTTTAAAAATTTGACACAGTTTACTGTCTTATTGCTGTAGTCTGCTGTTTATTGTTCTATTGTGTGTTGCTGACTAAAAATATCAGTTATATTTGTTTGTGGATCTTTTCAAAGTGCTAAAATAGAAGTCAGTTAACACCCACAATTGCACCAGTTTAACTGACAAATGCAAAATAAATGTGATGTCTAATGATAGGCAGTAAGTCTTTTTCCTAGTTTGCAAAAAGCTGTTCAGAAATTTAGTTGAAAAAAATGAACTTCTTTTCTATGGGACATTTTTAGTGATTATAAAAGGATTCCATTGGAGGCCATGGGAAGATACTTCTCCACATTGTTCCACTTGAAAAATGATATTTTAAATGTATTTTTAGAGGGGAAATGAGGGAGCTAAGACGATTGAGCAAAATCTGCTAGTTTTTGTTCCCTGTGACACTCTATGTCATCTTGGTGGCCTGATAGCACTTCATCATAGCGTTTATCTCAGAGTATTGGACAAATCTGATATATTTTTGCTTCTCCCACCAGACTGTCAAACCTCTTAGAGATGGGAGTTGGGTTCTATACTTAGTGGTGTCCTCAGTGACTAGCACTATGCCCAGGGATGAAATTAAATGAATACATGATTAGAATTCGCACAAAAAGAATTCTTTTCCTTGGACTGATCACTAGAAGCATTTTTTTAAACTGGAGATCTCCAAAGCTTTCTTGTATACATAAAAGCATTTGAGGCCCTCCACAGTTAATCTCAGAAAAGGCAGTCTTCCTTTTTAAAAAATTTACTTCCTGTGAAGGATAATTGACTTAAAAATATTAATTATATATAGAATTAATTTGGAGTATGTTCATCATAAGTAACCAAAAACTTAACAGTGACTTGAACAAGTAAGGACTTTATTTGTCTCACATGTAAAGTGTCTAGAGTAGGCAACCCATGGCTGATCTGGTGGCTCAATTATGTTGCCATGGATTTAGGCTCTTTCTGTTCCTTCATTGCTCCTTGTAGGCCCGGTTCTTACGCTTGTCAATAGGTGCTATATACACACCTATTGTAATATAGGCACCTATTGGCAAGCATAAGAACCGGGCCTGCAAGGAGGAATGGCATCACCTCCACTTTTCATGCAAGAAAAAGGGAAAGAAAGGCACAGGGGTTGAAGGGCATGCCAGAAGAATCTGGCCCCTTTAAAAAAAACTTTCCTAGAAGATACTCCAATGACTTCTGCTTACATTTCATTGGCCAGAAATAGGTCATGGCTGTGTATAGCTGTGAGGGAGTCGGGGAAGATAAATATTTAGCTTTTCAACATCTATAGGAAGACATGGACAAAGTAGATTGTGAGTGACTTTGGATAGATTATCTATAAAATAAATTTCAGAAAACAGACCTTTTCTTAATTTTTTTTTCTTTTAAAATAACTTTCCTGGGGCACTATTTCAAACTGTAGGGCAGGACTCATTAGAGGTGCATAATCAATATAGTCAGTTGCTATCATTATTAAAAGAATGAAATAAAGTAAAATAGAAAAGACTAGAGTATATCAGAGTGCATCTCATTTGGTTAGGACTTGTATTTTGTGCAACACTTGTTGCATTTACATATTTATATTTATATATGTAGTATATTTACATATGCAGTATACTGTGTCACAATATAAAATATTTCTTGCCTGTGCATTATAGTAAAAAATCTGAAAGCCATTGTTCTGGAGAATCATTCATTTCATGAGTATTTATTATTCCAAGCAATTTGGGGGATATGCAGGAAATGTATAATAGAGGAGATAAAATGTACAAATATTTATAATAAGGAAGAAAGCTGTATATGCTATAAAAGATATCAATAAAATGTTGTGGGAGGTCATTGGAATTGACTTATAGTAATTCCAATGGGTATAGGAAATGGGGTGAGCAGTGACATTTGAACTGAGACTCAAAGGATCAGAGATTCTTCCTTTTTTGTCTACCTCTATAAAGGGACTGGAAATTGTTCACAGTTGTGTTGAAGCTTTCAAACCCATATCATAACCCTAAGTTACCTCACGACCAAATTGTTGTAGAACTATACAATTTTAAGAGTACCTTTATTTCACTATGGACCTATTAATTTTGCCTCTTTTAAAAATGACTGCATTTTCTAAATCCCAGAATATCAATGTGGCTTTTGGACAAATCATCTTTACCTCTTGGTTTCAGTTTCCTCCTTTGTAGATGGAAATAATTGCTGCCCTTGTCTTATTAGAAAAATATAATCATATAGGTGCTCCTAAAAGCAAAGCCATTATATTAATAGAAATGTGAGATTGGCATTGCTAATAAAATGAAATTCATTTAAAAATCAAAATTCTCCTAGACTCAGAGTTTTAGTATTGGAAGATTTTTCAGAGATCATGTGGTCCAATGTCACCTAATCATACGGAGGAAATGGAGATTCAAAGAGGTTACAGTAATGAAGCATATGCCAGAAACCCAACTTGGGTCATCAACTTCCCAGCCCATTGCTGTTATTTACTACCCTAGTTAGTAATTTTAAGAAGAGTGAGGAAGTGAGGACCCAGGAGAATGCTATTTTAGAAACTTCCTTTCTTACTAGAAACAAAATTATTTCAGCCCTTGCAAATCATTTGTCATAAATGTAGCTAGAACGACCAGTGTTAATTGTTTTCATCCCTACTGCTCTGTTAGTCTGGTCAGCATTATCTGGTTTATAAACTGGATTTTTCAGTCATTAGAATTCTGAGGTTACTGCTGAAGATACAGTGACCCATTTTCAGAATCAAAAAGATCAGCTCATTTGTCTTCTTGCCAGTTAGTGTTAGGTGTTTGCAGCTCCTTGTTTTTCTCTGCCTGCGCTCTTAAATAATTGCTTTAACTAACAAGCCTAGTCATCTTCTCTGCGTAGTGCAGAAGGTGATAATAAATTGCACCAGGCTTAAGCTGTAAGAGATTGTAAGTCTTCTTTCTCATGTGGATATGTCTATTTATTTAATCCAGGTTTGTGAGTGACATGACTCCTGCTCTGACTCAGAAAGGGTAGCCTTGATGTTCTGGTCTCCTAATGGCATAAGGGAAAGGGAACTTTCCTGAGGAAAAAAATAAATGGAAGAATTTTTTCTAGAGCCTAGACATGGCAGGATAGACCCTTTACACAATCTACACAATCACTGTAGGCATGTTTGTCTTCATTTCTATGGGGTAGATATTATTCTGTTCATTTTACAAGGTCAGAGTAAGTAATGGAGATGCACTTCAATGATAGATCCTTCTCCTTTCACTCTGTACTGCACCATGATGATTATATAGAACATTATAGAGGGATCTGTGCTTCATAGTAGATTTCTTAAAAGGACTGGATGTTCACAGGCCCTGGTGCATCAATTTCAACCCTCATCAAGTTTGTCAAATCTGTGCTCTATCTTTTTAAAGCCTCCTTATTGTAAGTAAACTTACGCATTTTAAATGTAAGTGACATAGTGCATCTTCTTTTTGTTTTTTTCCAAGTGACAGAATTTTTTATTTTTTCATTTATTTATTTATTTTTTAGACGGAGTCTCACTCTGTCTCCCAGGCTGGAGTGCGTGGCACGATCTCGGCTCAGTGCAGCCTCCGCCTCCTGGGTTCAAGCGATTCTCCTGCCTCAGCCTCCCCAGTAGCTGGGATTACAGGCGCACGGCACCACGCCTGACTAATTTTTGTATTTTTGGTAGAGACAGGGTTTCGCCATGTTGGCCCGGCTGGTCTCGAACTCTTGATCTCAGGTGATCCGCCCACCTCTGCTTACCAAGATGCTGGGATTACAGACATGAGCCACCACACCTAGCCGAATTTTTAATTTTTTTTTTTTTTTTTTTTTGAGACGGAGTCTTGCTCTGTCACCCAGGCTGGAGTGCAGTGGCACGATCTCTGCTCACTGCAAGCTCTGCCTCCTGGGTTCACGCCATTCTCCCACCTTAGCCTCCTGAGTAACTGGGACTACAGGTGCCCGCCACCACGCCTGGCTAATTTTTTTGTATTTTTAGTAGAGACGGGGTTTCACCGTGTTAGCCAGGATGGTCTCTATCTCCTGACCTTGGGATCTGCCCGTCTCGGCCTCCCAAAGTGCTGGGATTACAGGCTTGAGCCTCCGTGCCCGGCCCGAATTTTTTATTTTTCAAATTACTTTTCCATAATGAAACTTGAGGATATTATGCTAAGTGAAATAAGCCAGTCACAAAAAGACAAATACTGTGTGATTCCACTTATGAGGTACTTAGAGTGGTCAAAATCATAGAGACAGAAAGTCTGATTGCCAGAGGCTGGAAGGAGGTTGGGAAATGGTGATTGCCAGAGGAGGGGGTGGGGGGAGGAAAATGGGGAGTTATTGTTTAATGGATACAGGTTTCAGTTTTGCAGGATGAAAAGAGTTACAGAGATGGATGATGGTGATGGTCACACAGCATCATGGACGTGTTTAATACCACTGAACTGTACCCTTGAAAATGGTTAAGATGGTAACTTTTATTTTAAGGGTATTTTAACATAATACAAAAATTGGGCAAAATTATTTTCCATAAAAGTCAAATATTTTATGAATGTTTTTTGTTTGTTTTCGAGACAGAGTCTCGCTCTGCTACCCAGGCTGGAGTGCAGTGGTGTGATCTCGGCTCACTGCAACCTCCACCTCCCAGATTCCAGTGATTCTTCTGCCTCAGCCTTCCAAGTTACCTGGGATTACAGGCGCCTGCCACCATGCCCAGCTAATGTTTGTATTTTTAGTAGAGACGGGGTTTCACCATGTTATCCAGGCTGGTCTCGAACTCCTGACCTCAGGTGATCCACCCGCCTCTGCCTCCTAAAGTGCTGGGATTACAGGCATGAGCCACTGCGCCCGGCTGCTTTATGAATATTAAAACTGCTAAAACAAAGCCTGTCCTCTGTATCATTTGTTTCTACTCAACTGATGGACTTTTATCACTAATGACAGAGGAGACGAATGTAATGGGTTAAGATAATACACATCAGCCCTAGGCTAATCACTTACGAACCAGAAGGGACCTCAGAGATCACATGGCCCACTCTCCTCATTTTGTATATCCAAAGGCTCCGTTTCCCCACCTACATGCTTCTGAGCGCTTTCATTTGTTTGTTCAGTCACTTAGGAACACTTACTGGTACTATACTTACTGCATGCTAAGTGCTGGGTTGGATCCTGAGGACACATTCTTTGATTTCAATAATCCTACAAATCTATGAGAAGGAACAGACTGACATACTGCGAACTACATACAAGTGAGTAAGTGGGGCAGTCGAGCCACAAACTACAGGAGCTTTGAGGACACATTGTTAATTCTGCCTAAACATTTTCATCTTTCATTGCAATGGATGATTAGGAAGCGCAGAGTTTCACTTTGGTTTTGTTCATGGATGTTTAGAATGTTTAAGTAGGAAAAGAAGCCAGGTGCAGTGGTTTCTACCTATAGTCCCAGCTACTAGGGAGGCTAAGGTGGAGGGATTGCTTGAGCCCAGGAGTTTACTCAGCCTGGACAACACAGTAAGACCCTTTGTCTAAAATATATATAAAATAAAATAAAAATAAAGTAGGAAAAGTATCAGAGGCAGCAGTTTTCTTAATGGGGGAAGAATACAAGAGTATAGTTTTCCTTCTGTGCAGTAATTTCTCCATCAAGTTCTTTTATACAGTGGCAATTCTATGTACATATAATCAGAGAAAGTGTTCCATCTATATTTTACAGTGGATAATTTTTTACTTACATCAACAAAATACTCCTTATATGGGCCATCCATTGAGACATGAAAACATACAGAACAATACAGCCAGTATTTATTAAGTTCCTGCCATATGGTCAGAACTGTAGTAAACTTTATGGAGGATTCATCGTCATCAACATAGTAGCTAGCATTTCCTGAGTGCTTTCCTTGTGCCAGACATTGTACTAAGCATTTTATATGCATCATCTCATATAATTCTCCAAAAAACACGGCAGAGTTAGAACTATCTCCAGAGACCATGCTCTTAACCACTACTCTGGACAAAAGAAGTGAAAGATAGGAATCTATAGTTTAGAAAGTTTTAGACTTTTTACAATGGGGTAAATTTTCAAGGAATGTTACAAAGTGATATGTAATTGAGTTCTATTCTCAGTCTTTTTTTTTTTCTTTTTTTCTGAGACAGTCTTCCTCTGTTGCCCACGCTGGAGTGCAGTGGCGCCATCATGGCTCACTGTAGCCTCCACCTACTGGGCTCAAGCGATCCTCCCACCTCAGACTCCCAAGTAGCTGGGACTACAGGTGCATGCCACCACACCCAGCTAATTTTTGTATTTTTTTTTTGTAGAGATGATGTCTCGTCATGTTTTCCAGGCTGGTCTTGAACTCCTGGGCTCAAGTGATCTGCCTTCCTTGGCCTCCCAAAGTACTGGGATTACAGCTGTGAGCCACCGCACCCAGCCCTATTCTCAGTTTTTTCCACTTATATATCTCATCTAGTTTTACAATTTTAATCCTCATCTCTCAGTTGATGACTTCTGGAAAGATATCCACAAGCCACACCTCTCTTATGACTCCACACCTGCTTTTCTAGCTTTAATTGGACGCTTGCAGATAGTTGTCCCAGAGGCATTTCATACATAATATGTCTAAGGAGAAATATCTGAGAGTCTCATCCATATCTGCTCATTCTCCCTGCTCCATACTTTGTTGATGACATTGCTCTCTGTGCTCTTCTCCAAAACACAAGCATTGTTGCCCCTCCTTTTTTTCCACCATCCCATAGCTGACTCCACTTTAATCTACTATTTGCACTACCCCTTGTCGTTTATCTAAACCATTCTGATTTCAGGATTTTGTGATGAAATTAATTAAATAGGTTGTGTGAAGGTGAAACTAGTCAAAATGATCAGACTGCTTGGATGTGAAGAAAAAGTGGATGCTAAATCAGTGTTCACTGGTTACATACTTAATTCTGACATGCATGCCAGAACTCTGCAAGACAAGGAGGTTGGGAGCTTACTTTGAACTGCTCCTTTTTGCTCCTGTAGCCTTTTTTATATATCTCTGTGATGTCACTGGTCATGTTTTCATAATTATTTGTTTGTGCTTGTCATTCCTTTGAATAGCAGAGACTCTGATCCTATATGTCTTTGAAGCCCACCCCACAATGACAAGCACACTGCCAGGCACAGAACAAAGATTTATTAATGTTTGTTGATTAAAGGAATGATTCCCTTAGTTTTAAAATAAAAAAAATTAACTACAAATATGCTGAGAAAGCATGGTTTAATTTTCTAAGAAATTACCAAATAGTTATCTATTATGACGCAGCCAACCAAATAATTTCAGAAAATCTTAGCCTTCTTCACATCAATTCACACAAGTTGTTAAATCTCAGAATATACGATTTCCCTGCTTAAATATCTTTACCAACTTCTCATTACCTAATAATCAAGTGTCCTTTCAACTCTGATTATAAAGCTTAGGTCTATGATTTCTTACCTGAAAAAATTTAAATCTAATGTGAAAATAAGATAGATAGAATCCCATAGTAACTAGCAGAATGGTTTTAAATATCCATGTATAAATGATGATTCAATCACATTAATGCCAACAGTTAGCAGTTTGGGCCTTGTTTCATATTTCTTTTGTGAAAGATAATTATCTATTTGATTTGGGTTGTCCTGCCCTTTTAAAAACATTGGTTTAAGCATGTGATATCACGGAATAACAGAGGTTTGTCAGTTCTTGCATTTCACATATAGAACACAGCATCAGTCAGCGCTACTAGTTCTGAGACTTATCAAGGTCTTGGATTTTTTTAAACTACTGCTGATTAATCTCAGAACAGAAGGGTATCAAAGACAGTGGTATACCTAGAATATATAACCTGGACTGGATCATTCTTTAACACTCCCTCTTCATATAACATTACTATTTTTGCAAATAGTCATTTAATATCAGTACTAATCATTATTGTCTTGATATTTTAGTTTTAGTTTTAGTTTAATTAAAACAACAATAAATTTCAATTGTAAAGATACTCATATTCAGTAAAATATTTCCTGTGCAAAATAAAATTTGCACTTCTCAAGCAAAAATACTGCGCCTTACATTTTGCAATATTTCACTGTTTTAAATGCAAATAAAAATGTCAAATGGTCACATAAATGGCAGGAATGAAGTAACTGAAATTTTATTTCTTCCTATCACAATACTGAGCCATCATTGTTTATTTGGATATGCTGTTTACGAGGTCAGGAGTTTGAGACCAGCCTGGCCAACATGGTGAAACCCCATCTCTACTAAAAATTCAAAAATTAGCCGGGAGTGATGGTGTGCACCTGTAATCCCAGCTACTCTAGAGGCTTAGGCAGGGGAATTGCTTGAACCTGGGAGGTGGAGAGTGCAGTGAGCCACTACTGCACCACTGCACTCCAGCCTGGGCGACAGAGCAAGACTCTGTCTTGAAAAAAAAAGGAATATGCTGAATAAATGCAGGACTATGTAGCATGATGGGTTACATGAACAGAGGTCTAAAACTAGATTAAAATGAATCAATGTAGCTGAATCCACTTCCACAGATGTATCAGTGGGCATTCTGCAAACTAACTTATCTGTAGAATAAATGTTTATTAGAGATATAAAATTAAAAACATGCTCATTTGAAGCTTATATGTATATGATTAATACTTGACAGTGATTGCAGCAATTGTTTAGAACCTAGACCAACAAAAGGTTTTTTGGGGGAGGAATATTTTATCATGGACATTGTTTTCTATTGCCAGTGCATGATGATAATTAAAAGCAGACTGGGTTTTAGTCAGCTTTTCATGTTTTAAAATTCTCTATAGGCAGGCACAGTGGTGTGCACCTGTAGTCCCAGCTACTGGGTAGACTGAGGTGGAAGGATTGCTTGAGCCCAGGAGTTCCAGGCTGCAGTGAGTTATGATCACTTCTGTGAATATCCACTGCACTCTAGCCTGGCAACTTAGTGAGATTCCATCTCTTTAAAAAAAAATGTCCTTGTATTGTGCAAGAGGAGATTAGCGATACTAAATTTATTAAACAAGTTAAAATATAAGTGCAGCCACTAAGAGAAGAAATAAAGCATATAACCTCCAAATTGTAGACCAAAAAAAAAAAAAAAGAATTTTTAAATTCAAAAAAGAAAAAAAAAGTCAGGAAAAGCAGGGAAGGGGAAAAAGAAGCAAAAAATTTGCAAAAATTAAAACCTCCAAATTCTCTATAGACATTATATCCCCTTACTGCCTGTACCTGGACAGCATACTTCCACTGCCCTGGGCTTGATACACCACTGATTCGAGTCTTGTTTTTTGATTTCTGCTTCATGGTTTCATTTATTTTAACTGACACTGATAAACATGCATTATGCACTGTTACTAGGTGGATCCTGACTTGTTTCATGGATGCACTTATCTCCTTCTGCCCCCAACATCTACCACTGTCTTCATTTCCAGTCCTCAATAACATCAGCAATTTTTCCAAACCCTCACTCTCAGACAGGCAGGAGAGCCTCCTTGTTTGTTGTGCTTTAGCTTTATTATATTTCAAAAATTCAATAGTAGAAAGTGTGATTTGCATTTTCCAGCCCTACTCATGGTAGTGTGACCTTACATCCATGGATGAATATCAGTGAAATATTGCTTGAGGACAGAATGCATTTCCAAATAAATTGGTTCACTAAAGGGCAGCTGGGGTGACTTCTTGCTATTCTGCATCTTGGTATCTTTTTTGTCAATTAATACGATGGAACATAATGTTTCCTCAAACTGTTATGAGCATAGATGTGTCACAGCTAAATGCCACATCCGTTAAATTTTAGGAAATCTGGAATGGCATTAAAATGTTTAATAGTTATCGAAGTAAGATAGTCTTTTTAATGAAATTTTCAATGGTAGTAGAGTGTAAATTACAGATTTCCCTTTAATATGATCAACGGATAAATGTTAATAAGAGCTGACATTTGCTGAGAGCTTACTGTGTGTGAGGCACTGTTCTAAGTACTTCACATGCATCTGCTGAGGGAGTGGATTAGTTGGCTTAGCTGCTATAACAAAGTACCATAGTCTGGGCGATTTAAACAACAGACATTTATTTCTTATAGTTCCAGAGGCTGGGAAGTCTGAGATCAAGGTGCTGACCTATTTAGTTTGTAGTGAGTAATCTCTTCTTGGCTTGCAGAAGGCTGCCTTCTCTCTGTATCCTTATAAGGCAGGGAGAGAATTATCTATCTTCCACTTCTTGTAAAGCCCACCAATTCCATCATGAAGCTCCCCTCTCTTTGACCATGATCTTATCTAATCCCAGTTGCCTTCCAAAGCCCCATCTCCAAATACAGTCACGTTGAGGGTTAGGGACTTCAGCAAATCAATTTCAGAGGAGACACAATTTAGTCCATAGAAGGTAGGCAGTCTTATTAATCTCGTTTTATAGATGAGGAAACAGAAGCATAGAGAGGTCAAACAATTTGCCCCAAATTACTCAGCTAGTAGGTGAAAGGCCTGGGATTCCAGTCTGGGCATCCATCTTCAGAGACCACAGTAGTACCCCCCCTACACTGTCCATGGTGCTTAAAGGGACCCTTGGATATTCCTAAGTTCTAGAGATGCTGGAACCTAGACTGTATTCAGTAAATGGTTTCTGAAATAAAACACTTATTTATAAGTCCAGAATCTGAACAACCATGTTTCCTGACTAACCACACCTTGTCCATATCTGTAACTAATAGGGCTTCCTTATTTTAAAATCATTTTTTTTTATACGGAGTCTTGCTCAGTTGCCCAGGCTGGAGTGCAATGGCGTGATCTTGGCTCACTGCAACCTCTGCCTCCCAGGTTCAAGCCATTGTCCCGCCTCAGCCTCCCAAGTAGCTGGGATTACAGGTGCCTGCCACCACACCCAGCTAATTTTTGAATTTTTAGTAGAAATGGGGTTTCACCATGTTGGCCAGGCTAGTCTTGAACTCCTGACCTCAGGTAATCCACCTGCCTCAGCCTCCCAAAGTGCTGGGATTACAGGCGTGAGCCACTGTGCCCGGCCAAAATAATTTTTTAATGATGGAAATGTCTGTACATACACAAAGGTAGAGAGAGATAGTATAATAAACCCTTGTGAATCCATCACCCAGATTTGACAGTTATCAGCATGTGACCAATCTTGTTTCGTGTATATCCCACCCCTGCTGGAGTATTTTAAAGCAAATTCTAGACATTATATCATTTTATCTGTAAATTCTCCATTATGTGTCTTATCAGAACAGGACTCTTTTAAAATATAATCACAGTCCTGGTATCACACCTAAAAATAATAATAATTCCTTAATATCTAATATCTAGTCAGTGTTCAGATTTTCCTATTTCACAAATGTCCTTTTATAGTCCAATTTTTCTATTTTATAGATGTCTTTTTATAGTTGCTTTGTTTAAATCACGGTCCAAATAAGTTTCTTACATTGCATTTGGTTGAGATATTTCTTAATTCTCTTTTAATCCATAAACATTGCCTCTCTTTTTTTTCTTAACATTTGTTGAAGAAACATGGTTATTTGTCCTGTAGAATTTCTTATGTTGTCTTTCCCTACTTTTGGTAGAGGAAGAGTTGCTTTTCATTCCTGTAAAGTCTAGGAGGGGATAGTAGAACAATTGTGGGCTCTAATATCCCTAAGTGGAGCCGCTGGCCACTGGGAAGCAGAGAGAGACAAAAACCAGCTTGAGAATCCCAGTGCACTATGTGAGGACCTTTTTCTGTGATGCTGAGTGTATATTTAATGATATGCTTTAATTTTTTGAAAACATAAGTTTACAGGTGTTCAAAAAATTAATCTCCTTTAACCAGAATATCATTTAATTAGAAATATCCAACGTTATGTTCATTCTAAAAAGCTAGGTTTGGGGAATGGATACTTTCATAGTAAAGAAGATGTTGTGTGATACTTTGGGACCATGTGACTATCTTTGTCCCCATGTAAAAATCACTTTCACCCAGTGACTTTTGCATCCACTGATGATTCTTGCCTAAATGAGTTATGACCTGAGGATTGCAAAATGTTGATTTTTTTAAATTGTATTGTTTCTTCTACATTTATTAGCTAGTATTCTCCTGTAAAGAAAAGTCTTTGGTATTTTTCTCCCCTTGCTTTTATTTGCCCTCTGATTACCCTGCCTCTTTTTCTTTCATCATTTTATACTCATGGATTTTAAATTTTTTTATTAAAAACAATTTTTTTTTTAGAGACAGGGTCTTGCCCTGTCACCCAGGCTGCAATGGTGCAGATGGTGCAAATGGTGCATGGCTCACTGCATCCTCAACCTCCTGGGCTCTAGCAGTCCTCCCACCTCAGCCTTCTGAGTAGCTAAGACTACAGGCATGTGCCACTATGCCTGGCTTATTTTATTTTTTTGTGGAGATGGGATCTTACTGTGTTGTCCAGGTTTGTCTTGCATTCTTAGCCTCAAGTGATCCTCCTGCCTTGGCCTCCCAAAGTGTTGGGATTACAGGTGTGAGCCACTGCGCCTGACTGGATTTAAAATTTTTAATGTTTATAATCTATTACTGTCATTCTTCTTCTTTTTTTTTTTTTTTTTTTTTTTTGAGATGGAGTTTCGCTCTTGTTGCCCAGGCTGGAGTGCAATGGCACGATCTTGGCTCACTGCAACCTCCGCCTCCCAGGTTCAAGTGATTCTCCTGCCTCAGCCTCCCGAGTAGCTGGGATTACAGGTGCGTGCCACCACACCTGGCTGATTTTTGTATTTTTAGTAGAGACAGGGTTTTACCATCTTGGCCAGGCTGGTCTCGAACTCCTGAACTCAGGTGATCTGCTCACCTCGGCCTCCCAAAATGCTGAGTGGCATGAGCTACTGCACCCAGCCTCTTTATTCTTTTTGATGCTTGTATTGTCCCAAATTTGGCCAGTGGGAAACCCTTCAAGCCAATTCCTGTCCACTTTTAACATGATTTCATTTTGTCTTTGAGCACTTCCTTACTTTTTAGCCTAATAACGTATGCCAGGCTACCTCGTATCTTTCCTGCCCCACACCAAAACTCAGCCATATCTTTAAGGATTTCCACCTTTTAGTGGGGAACAGTATTTAGAAACCAAGATCTGGGCACTAGGTGTACTCTTCGCTTACTTCTATGGCTGTTTATATGTGGTCCTAAGTCTCCAGCTGAGAGTGGAATGCACGTATCAGGCCCTTCAACTTTGCTTAGACAACCCCTTAATCTCTTACAGATCATTTAGGCTTGTTGAAGGTTGAATGAACTGTATTTTTAGTTTCTCCATTCTCTAAGGATAACAATTTGTAGGCTTTTTCCTCTTCTAATTGACTTAGAATTTCACCTGCACTGTTGTTAGCTAAAGAATCTTAGAACTGTAGACTCTCCAGTTTATATCTTTGTACTTTGAAATTGTTTTAACCAGTAGTTCTTTACTAATTTTGAGTCTTAGCCCATTTTGAAAATCTGATGAAAGTAGATTGTAGACCTAGAAAAATGCTTGTACACCAAAAATTTTTACATACAATTTTATTGGGTTCTTCGACTTCTAAAGCCCAGTTATCTCTATGAAATCAAAATATTATGATCCCACTTGTGTTCTAACCCTATTATTTTATATATAAGGAAGCTTGGGATCCATGAGAGTTGGGGTGACTAGCAGAAACAAGACTAGCATCTAGGGCTGGTTGGGTTTGTTTTTTGTTACTGTTTGTTTGTTTTCTATTCTCATGAAAAAGAATTGGTTTGCTCTCCTGCTATGCTTTGAATGTTTGTATCCCTTCCAAAATTTATAGGTTAAAACTTAATCCCCAATGTGACAGTGTTGGGAGATGGGGCCTTTTTGGGAGATGTTTATGGAACTTGGGAGGCGGAGCCCTCATGAGTAGGTTAGGTGCTCTTATGAAAGGGCTTGATGGAGGGAATAAGCTCTCTCTTGCCCTTCTGCCTCCTGCCATATGAGGACATGGTGTTTCTCCCCTCTGGAGGACACAGCAGGAGGGCCCTTGTCAGATGCTAGTGCCTTGATCTTGGACTTCCCAGCCTCTAGATCTGTGAGAAAATAAATTTTTGTTTCTTATATATTACTCTATCTCAGATATTCTGTTAAAGCAGCACAAACGGACTAAGACACCCTCATTTATATCTCTGCATAAGCTCTGGAATTTAGGGAGAAAAATAACTTTATTAGAAAGAATAGCCTGTAGAGGAAAGAGAGGAGTGCATTTTTTCTTTTTTTAAGAACAAGAGTTCATAGAAGCAGGGTAACTGAGTTTTCCAGTTTAAAAAGGATAAATTTTTTTGTTACTGAAATTATGTTTCCTAGAATTCCTTCTTCTCTCTTCTTCTGCCTTAATATTTAACTTCAAAGGTGGCTGATACTTTTGGAGGCAGAGGCCAAAGATAATGTTTTCGGAAGGTAATAGATTATAGAATTTTCTACCTGTGAACAAGAGCATCCTCTGTTGTATAGCACCTATTTCCCTAGGGTCTCATGAGATAGATGTCTGGGTGTGCATGGCTGGTGTTGTGAAATGCTGTCAGAGGTCATTCTCAGTTGTCACTGAGCCATATGCAGTTCTTTAGGATTGATGTGTGGTTTCCTGCAGAGACCCTGTTATTCAGCACACCATTGTGACCTTCAATATGGAAAGCCTCATTAAATCTCGGCCTTGCTCCAGAAAGCCAGAGCCAGCTCCAAGGCAGCACATATGGAAGCTGTCTGTAGGCTTTGCTTGCACAAAGGGACACTCCTATTGCATTGTCCTTAGTATCACAATGGGTGGAAGGGGAAAATATGACTGTTTTCTCTCTAGAGTTTTCTTTTAGTGGAAGACATTGATTGAAGTACAGGAAGGCACTAGAATTTGAGCGAAATAAAATGGGAGTCGTCACCATGTCCCCATCATATCAATATTTCCTGATGTGTGCTTGAATGAATGTGTGTGGGGGTGTGGTCTAGGGAGGGGGCTGAAAGTTTTAAAAAGCTGGGAAAATGTAGTTCTATTAAATGTAACTGAACCTGGGAATGATTTTAACCCAAACTGCCTAGATGGAGAGAGTCTATAAAATAATACATGACTTTAATTTAGTGCTTTCCATAGAGCATAAAGTGTCTGCAAAGCATGACTTAAAGACTTCTGAGAACACGATTGAGAGCTTATGAGGATGAAATGGAGTTCCTCTCTCTCTCTTTGTATGAACAGTAATCCTTAGTCACTGCGAATTCTGAAATTTTTTTGGCCTGGTGCCTTGTGTTATAGTTAATTTGTGGCTGGGCAGAGCTTTCATTCCATTGTTGTAAATGCTTCTTGACAAGGGTGACTGGATCCTTTTCTATTATTTTGATTGTTCAAAGTGGAAACACAATTAGGAAGGTGCCTCAATTTTTATTTTTATGAAATTGATGGATAAATGATGTTCAAATAAGATGTAAATGAAAATACTGCTTAAGAAGTTTCTGTACGTAGGAGGCTGAGGAGAGAGGATGCTTTGAGCCCAGGAATTTGACGCCAACCTGGGTAAGATAGGGAGACCCCCCACCTCAGAAACCAACAAAAGGAATTTTCTGAACCTCCCGCATAAAATGTTCTTTTCTACATTAAAATAAAAAATCAAAGACCATATTCTGTGATAACTGGAAAATCCCTAAAGATAGTTTAAAATCAATAATAAACTTAGCTATATTCACTAATATTGTTTGGGTCAGTAAGAAAAAATATTTCTGGGTAAAATTTCTTCAGCAAGTATTTATTCTTTAATAGCCAAGAAGATATATAAACAGTTATTTTTGGGACCTATTTTTAAAAAAACTAATCGTACTGTGAAAATGTTTTACCTATTTATAAAACCTTTTGTTTTTTAATTTAATTTTTATATTATTTAATTTTAAAAATGTCTTTGAGACAAGGACTCACTCTGTCACCCGGGCTGGAGTGTGGTAGCATAATCATGGCCTGCTGCAGCCTCAACCTCCTGGGCTCAAGCAATCCTCCCCCCTCAGCCTCCTGAGTAACTGGGACTACAGGCGCATGCCTGGCTAATTTTTAAATTATTTGTAGAGATGGGGGCTCCCTAGGTTGCCCAGGCTGGTCCTGAATTTCTGGGCTCAAGTGATCCTCTTGTCTCAGCCTCCCAAAGTACTGGGATTACGGGTATGAGCCCCACACCGGCCAAAATTTTTTCTTGTAATTTTCATCAGTGATTGATTCTGAGAACACAAAGGCAAAAAGCCTTAGGGCCTCGTGTGAACTGGCTTCTTTGTTGTCTGGATTTAGATTTTCAGTACACAGATTTGCAATGACTTTACAGATTCAGGCTTTTAAGACCAACTCCCTGGAAACTGTTAACTTCCTCCTTGATGTGCTGCACCGTGGGGCTGCTGCCACCAGGTGGATGCTGGTGCCTAGGTGATGGTCACCTGTCCACACTGGAGGGCACTCGATGATGCAGCAGTTTAGCACGCTTTTATGGAACTGACCATGCGTCAGGCACTGTGCCCGGCACTAGGGATACAAAGATGGATAAGACAGAATCCTGGCCCAGAAAAAGCTTACAGTAGAGAGTGGGAGGCAGATACAAAACCCAGGGATGTGATAGGATTATGCGTACAGTGCTACAGAAGCACAAAGAAAAAATGTGACCATGGAATGTGTCCTGAAGGGAACTTCTGTCTGAGCTGTACCATGAGGGATGACTGTGAGTTTGATTCAAGTGAGAATAGTCTTGAAGATAATGGATTTCAGCAGAACATAACTTACTTATGCTATATAGCTATGTTTTTCTATAAAGCAGTAACCAGGCCAGGCACAATGGCTCATATGTGTAGTCATGGCACTTTGGGAGGCTGAAGCGGACAGACCACTTGAGCTTAGTTTGCGACCAGCTTGGGCAACATGGCGAGACCCCGTCTCTACAAAAAATACAAAAATTAGCTGGATATGGTGGCACCCACCTGTAGTCCCAGCTACTTGGGAGGCTGAGGTGGGAGGATTGCTTGAGCCCAGGAGGTTGAGGCTATAGCAAGCCGTAAACTGTACTTCAGCCTGGGTGACAGAGCAAAACCCTGTCTCAAAAAAAACCCCTAAAAACTGTAACCATAATCTCAACAAATCTAAAAATCCTAAATCTCCAATTACTAACGATAACAATTAATGTAATGTATATAGGAAAATAACTTGGAGCAAGATTTAGAAGAATATAAATATTTTAATATATTTATCTTCTGATTAATCCTCAGTTGTTATCAAACAATTCTTATTCCAATATTGGCTTAAAACCCTCTTAAAATTACCCTAAATCTTTTAAGATCAAAACTCAGTGTAACCTTCCTTCCCTATCACTCCTTATCTTTCTATTTTATTTATCCGTTTATCATCTATAATTTCTCTTATTTATCAGAATTAAGGACTTCCAGCTAAGTTGAAATTTTAAAAAAAGGCTTTGCATTCCAGCTTATCCACTTTATTTGATTTGCTCATCTACTAGTTGGTTAGTACACAATGCTTAGTAATGTCATAGTTGTTTTTTTTCCTGTTTCTTTTCATGGGACAAAATTGGCTTTCTGCCAACCTTATTTACATTTTCCTTCTATTCCACCCCATGAAGCTGCCTTTTCCTGGGCACTGTCTCCTTCTCTCTCCCTGTCTTCTCCTCTTCCCACTTCCCCTCTCCACCTCTCCATCTCCCTCTCCCTCTCTCCTTTTTCCTCTGCTTTCAGAAAAGGGTTAGAGATTAGTCATTTGCCACTTCTTGTGGTTCATTTCCTTATATGTAAAATGGAGGCAGTGATGCTTGTCTGACTGCTCATAAGCTTGCTTGTTATAAGCAGAAAATAAAACATAACCTGGATGAAAAATGCTTTGTGAATCATAAAGCAGAACATATGTTAAATGCATTATTATAGCCTTTTGTCTGTACACTAGTATGAATTTAAATCAATATACTGCTATTAATTTAAATTCTTAGGTTCTTAAGTCCCGGTTGAGCTACAACGTGGTATAACCTAGGCTCTGGAGTCTGGTAGATTGGTCCAAGTCACTTAATGTTTCTAAGACTCTGTTTCCTCATCTCGATTAAGTGCTATAGTATCCATTTTACAAAGTTGTAGAGTTTGAATGGGTTGACCTAATGTGCCACAGAATGCCACATTACAGACGATTAAGAGATTATCTTTTCCTTCTTTCCTTCCTTTTTCCAGTGAGAGCCAGAGATTGCTTTTTGGTCAGGTCATCTAAAGATGTTGCTGAAATCGTATATAGGCAGGCACAAATGGTATCTTCTTTTGCCCATGAAGGTGGAACAATAAAGCTTTAAATGCAGTTTGATGAGCTCAGGTTTGTACTTGTGTAGTATGGAGCTTTCTATAGGGCCTGCTCTTGTGAACAGCAATCCCAGGGGATTCTGAACATAATGGATCTGGGGAGACACTGTTCCAAACCTTCCTTTGTGGTCTCTTATTTTATTGAGTAATGCTTTCTTTTAGAGTATTTAATTTTTTTCATGTTGTAGAAGTAATACAGTCTCATCATAAATGCAGAAACATAATATGGGCAGTGAAAAGATTCTTATAAAGCCTTCCCCCTAAGTTAATACTATTAATACAGTTTGTAGTTCTCTAGATTTTAAATGAACATGTCATAATGCATTTATATATGTTAAAATAGTATATATAACAAATACATCATTTATTTTACAAAATTTGGGTTATATTATAAATATTGATACTTTGCTTTTCTGATGTAACTATATTTTTGGATCTTTTTCCATGTAAATACGTAGAAAACTTCTGTAACATTCAACAACTTTGAGGGAGTTCTACATGATAATAGTGAAGAATATGGCTATACATTCAATTATATTTTATTATTATTTTTAGACAGGGCCTTGCTCTGCCTTGGCTAGAGTGCAGTGGTGCAACCACAGCTCCTGTAACCTTTACCTTCCAGGCTCAAGCAGTCCTCCCACCTCAGCCTCTCGAGTAGCTGATACCACAGGCATGTGCCTGGCTAATTTTTTTTGGTATTTTTAGTAGAGATGGGGTTTCACCATGTTGCCCAAGCTGGTCTCGAACTTCTGGGGTCAAGCGACCCGCCCACCTTGGCCTCTCAAAGTGCTGGGATTACAGACATGAGCCACCGTGCCTAGCCAATAATTTTGTTTTCTTTTAAGACAGGGTCTCACTCTATTGCCCAGTCTGGAGTGCAGTGGTGTGATCACGGCTCACTGCAGCCTCAACCTTCCAGACTCTAGCAGTTCTCCCAACTCTCAGCCTTGCCAGTAGCTGGGGCTACAGGGGTGCACCACCACATTTGGTTAATTTTTTTGTATTTTTTGTAGGGTTTCACCATATTGCCCAGGCTGGTCTCAAATTCTTGGGCTCAAGTGATCTGCCTGCCTTGACCTCCCAGAGTGTTATCTGTCTTCTCTGTTCTGATTGGCTATATCACAAACTCCACACTTCCTCATATTTCACTTCATCTTGCTTGGTAATGGTTTCTGTATAAATTGACCATACTGTAAGCTTCTAGAGGGCAGACACATCATTTCCAAAGGACGCAGCATAAGACAGGATGATTAGTAGTCGTGGTAACTTGCTAGACACATATTTATTTTTATTAGATGCTCTCCTGAGATTTCTTTTTCTCCCCTCCCGTTCTCATCAATTAGCTAATAGGCCTAAATTTGAGCATCTAAAATAAAAATATATCATATAGTGCTACTTAGCTATTGGAGGTAATTCAAAGGACCTCTGTGAGGCCAAGAGGCACCAATTTCTGTTGTGCTGGACAGCAGAGCACTCCAATATCTGACCTATTTTTTTGCAATAGCAGACAACACAGCAGAAGCTGTTAGAGGTCTGATTGCCCTTGTAGTTTGCACCCTCGCTGAGTCACTATTTCAGAACTCTTTTAGATTGGTTGGATCCTGTCACCCAGATTTTCTTACGTCTGCAATGTGAAAAACCTGTTTATAAAATTAGAAATTTATTATTTTAAAACAAGAGCAGTCAGTGATGATGCAAATTGTGTTTTATTTTATTCTTTGTCCTGAACGCACTAAATAGAGTAGTAATATATAGATGTGAAAACTCCAACGGGCAATGTGTAGTGTGGGTAAGGCAATAATTTTTATCTTTTTAACATTATCTTCAAAGGAAGCATGAATTTGCTGTTGTTGTTTTGATTGTGGTTATTTTGCAATAAATAAGATGGCACTTTGGTTTTAGAGTTGTCTTCTGCATATCACTGTCTCCCATCAATCAATCAAGCTATCAATTGTCACCCAACAAATATTTAATAAACATGGATTTAAATGTGTAAGAGAAAGTATTACTCAGTTCAACAATATTTACTGAGCATTTATTCTGTGTCAAGCCCCATGCTAGTGGAAGAGATACACTAGTTAACAAGAAGTGAATGTCTTTCTTGTCGAACCTACAATCTGCATGAAAACAAACCTTAAACATGAAATTACAAGGACAATTCAGATTAAATGTACATAAAAATTAAGCTGAATTGGTTGAAACAAGGATATGATTTAGTTCTTTCCCGTAAGGACTTAATAATTTAGTGTCAAAAGATACATATATACATACACATATTTACTCGAATGACAAGTAGAATAAATACCATGGAAGGGGTACAAAAATACTTTGGGGCAAAGACTAGAAAATGATTAATCAGGGCCTCAGGAATTGTGAAAGACTTCATGAATAAGAAATCAGCTTGGCGGGGCGGGGTGGCTCACACCTGTAATCCCAGAACTTTGGGAGGCTGAGGTGGGTGATTGCATGAGCCCCGGAGTTCGAGACCAGCTTGGGCAACATGGCAAAACCCCATCTTCACAAAAAATACATAAATTAGCTGGACGTGGTTGTGCACACCTGTAGTCCCAGCTCCTCGAGAGGCTGAGGTGGGAGGATCACCTGAGCCCAGGAGGTGAAGGTTGTAGTGAGCCGAGATTCCCACCACTGTACTCTAGCCTGGGTGGCAGTGAGACCCTGTCTCAAAAAGAAAAAAAAAAAGAAATCGACTCAGAAGGGTAGACATTTTGGACAGTCAAATAAAGGAAGGAAAAGCATTTTGGATGTTAGTGGCACTAATTAATCATACCCCCCATTCCTTCCTGTTGATGGGAGATTAAAATGTATTATCAGTGGTATTGTTGACCAAGCTGGTTGAGGAATGTGGCTTGGACCCAAGACCAAACTGGGGCCTGTAACATTCCTGCCCTCCCCCGCAATTTCATGTGTCTACACCATTGGAGGCAGAACAGCTGGAGAACTGCATGCTGAGCTCCAGAACGGATGTGCTCTGCTTCTGGGCAAGCAGCTCTGTCTGAGAGAAGGAACTAGCCAGAGTCTGGGTCATGCACCAACACCAATCTTCTCCCCAAGCATTGTTTATATCTCTTAAAGGGACAGGAGGAGATATGAGTAATGATTAGCATGAAAGCTTCTTCCTCAGTATTTCCCTAAGAGAGTAGACTGTGGGCAGAGGTTATTATAGGCAAAGCCAGGAATTTGGGGAGAAGAATAGAAGAAATCTCACTATAGTAGGTAAGAAAATTAACAATTATAATGAGAAATTGTGTGGTACAAACTAAGAATTCTGTATAGATCAGATGTCAGGGAAGAAGGGAGATGAGCAGGTTCTAGAGGGGTCAAGGAAGGCTGATTGCCTGGAGAGAGTAGAACTTGACCTGTATCTATGATTCAGATGGAAAGAACAGATTGATACTGGCTTTTTTTTTTTCCCCTAAATAGCAGGTAGTGCCTCAATAGAAAACAAGCTGAGTTATATGCTTTTGGGCCGGGCGCGGTGACTCACGCCTGTAATCCCAGCTCTTTGGGAGCCCGAGGCGGGTGGATTACAAGGTCAAGAGTTCAAGACCAGCCTGGCCAAGATGGTGAAACCCCATCTCTACTAAAAATACAAACAAAAATCAACCAGGCCTGGCGGTATGCGCCTGTAATCCCAGCTACTCAGGAGGCTGAGGCAGAGAATTGCTTAAACCTGGGAGGTGGAGGTTGCAGTGAGCTGAGATTGTGCCACTGCACTCAGCATGGGTGACAGAGTGAGACACTGTCTCAAAAAAATAAACCAAAAAACAAGCTGAGTTATATGCTTTTGCTAAAAGCCATGTGACAACTCAAGCAGTTTCTTGGAACAGTGCATTATTTGATGAAGATAGGTTGACTTTGGGATTTCCAAAGCAATTCCAGGTAAGGGACTAGGCCAGGTGGCATGACAAAGAACAAGGAAATGTCAGATGTCAAGGAAATGTCAAATGTCCATTTTCAGTGCTCCCAGCGTCCTCCAATTAGTGTTATCAAATACCTGCTCTGTTGTTGCCTGACCTCTTCACATCCATCTGTGTTTTCTGTTAGAAGAAAATGAGTATCTTTATTTGATGGATGCATGCCAGACTACAAAGACAGACGTCTCATCTTTTAAAACGATGTTGTTGAGTGGGTTGTGAATGAGGAAATGTGGTTGAAGGGATAGTGAACAGTTCCACGCGCAGGTAACTTGAAGTTTCCTTGAGGTAAAATTGACACAGAATGAACTGCACATATTTAAAAAGTGCAATTTAATGAGATATGACATAGGAATAGACCTAAGCTGTACTCTTTGCTCTTTTGAAACTAATAAGGAAACCGTCACCACAATTAATAGAAAGACTATTTCACTCTCCAAAGTGTGTGCATGCTCATTTGAAACTCATCCCGCCTTCTACTCACACCCTAGAAAACAACTGACATGCTGTCACTATAAATTACTTTGCATTTTATAGAATTTTATGTAAGTGGAGTTATACAGTATGTACTCTTTTTTTTTTTGGTGGAGCTTTTTTTCACTCACCATGGTGATTCTGAGATTAATCCCTGTTGTTTTGTATATCAATAGTTTGTTCCTTTTAATTAGAGTAATATTCTATTATATGGCTATACCATTTTGTTTATTCTTCTGTTGATAGAAATTTAGAATGTTTCCTGTTTTGCTGTTAAAATAAAGTTGCCATAAACATTCATGTACAAGTCTTTGTCTGGAAATAAGCTTTCATTTCTCTTGGATAAATACGTAGGAGTGAAATGGCTGTGTGTGTGGTAGGTGTATGTTTAAGGTTTTAAAAAACTGATAAACTGTTTTCCATAGTGTCTGTGCCATTACACATTCTCACTAGCAGTATATGGAGGTCCGGTTGCTCCACATCCTCACCAATAATTGGTATTGTCAGTCTTTTAAATTTGAGCCCTTCTAGTGGGTGTGTCATGGTATCTTTTGTGATTTTAATTTGCATTTGCCTAATGGCTAATGATGTTAAACATCTTTTCGTGTACTTGTGTGTTGTATATCTTCTTTGATAAAGTGTCAAGTCTTTTGCCCATTTTCTTACTGGGTGCTTTGATTTTTTATTATTGAATTTTAAGAGTTCTTTACATAATCTAGATACAAGCATTTATTGGAAAGATATTTTACAAATATTAATATTTTCTCCCACCTTCTGGCTTGCCTTTTCATGTTCTTAACTGTATCTTTTGAAGAGAAAAAGCTTTTAATTTTGAAGTCTACTGTATTGATTGTTTCTTTAAGTTTTGTGCTTTTTAAGTCCTATTAAGATATATTTGCCTAATTCAAGATAACAAAGACTTTCTTCTACATTTTTTCTAGAAGTTTTATAGTTTGAGTTCTTTCATTTAGATCTGTGATCCACTGCATATTAACTTTTGTGCGCTGTGTGATGTATGGATTGAGCAAGGTTTATTTAATTATTTTCTTATACATATCTTCCATGAATTGCCCTCACACCATTGTCAAAAATCAATTGGCATACATTTATGGTTCTATTTGGGGATTTTTTGTTCTGTTTCATTCATCTGTAGGTCTGTCTTTACACCAACACCTGTTACAATGACTATGATGTCACCAGGCAATAGAAATTTTTCAGCTCACATCAGGCATGTGGTAGTGCATGCCTGTAATCTCGATGACTTGAGCCCCAGAAGGTCAAGGTTGCGGTGAGCTGGAATCATGCTACTGCACTCCAGGCTGGGCAACAGAGGGAGACCCTGCTTCAAAGAAAAAAAAAAAGAAAAGAAAATTTTCAGCTCCATCATTATCTTATGGGACCACCATCGTATATGCAGTCTCTTGTTGACCAAAACATTGTTATGCGGCTCATGAGTATAAATGTATAAAGCAAAAATAGTAACAATAAATTATAGGATTTATAACCAAAAGTCTTCTAGAAGTAAAATGTATGACAACAGTGGACGAGGGGCATTCCCAGGGCTCACCTCCTTTATCTCTCTTCTCTCAGGGGTCACTGCCCTACACACTGTTGTCTAGTGCCTAAAAACATTGCTTCAGATATTTTGTCCAATTTTTAAGTTTAAGTTGAGAAGACAAATCTGGTATCTCTCTTACTTCATTATGGCCAGAACTCAGGTAACTTTTTAAAGAATGAAAAATGTTGAAACAAGATTGTAGATTTAAAGCATGTTGTTATTTCACCAGCATGGTGGTGCACGCCTGTAGTCCCAGCTACTCGGAAGGCTGAGGCAGGAGGATCACCTGAGCCCAGGAGTTCAAGGTTGCAATGAGCTATGGCAGCACCACTGCACTGCAGCTCAGGCAATAGAGCAAGACCCTGTCTCTAAACAAACAAGCAAACAAACAAAAGAGAATGTTGTTATTATATTTCAGATACTCTGATTTTCTGGATTTAAGGGTAAGGATAAGGAAGTGGGTAAGGCCCTTATCTTCACTTTATTGGATAGCTTTTGCATTAATACACCTTAGCTCCTGAAAGCCTTTTCTTTGGTTATACCTTTTAGAGGTTTAGACATGCTAGTGTAAAAGTGACATTGACCAACCCCCCCACCCACTCTCCTACCTTGGTGACTTTCTCTGAGATTGTGATTCAGAGATTTAAATGATTGAAACAGGAGATAGATGGGATGATAAAAGGGATAATATTAAATCTGGCTGGGTGTGTTGGCTCACACCTGTAATCCCAGCACTTTGGGAGGCTGAGGTGGATGGATTGCTTGAGGCCAGGAGTTCAAGACCAGCCTGGCCAACATGGTGAAAACCTGTCTCTACTAAAAATACAAAAATTAGCTGGGTGTAATGGTGTGTGCCTGCAATCTCAGCTTCTTGGGAGGCTAAAGCACGAAAACTGCTTGAACTTGGGAGGCGGAAGTTGCAGTGAGCCAAGATTGTGTCACTGCAACTCCAGCCTGGGTGATAGAGCAACACTCTGTCTCAAAAAGAAAAATAAAATAAAATAAAAAGTAAATCACTAACACAGCAGCAGAAAGAGACCAAATCTTGGGAGCAATGGGAAAAATGCACTATTGAATGTTTCCATTAAAATTGTTTATATAACTTACAAAAAAAAATCACTAACACTTCAGTTCTCTGATTCTAAATTCAGACTTTATCTATTAACTATCCTGTACTATGAGACTGTACTGGAACTCCTGTTTGTAAAAGGACAGGTTATCATCCCGCATCAGGAGAGGATGAAACATGAGATTTGTGAAAAGGTTTTATGACCCTACCTAAGACTAGAAGAAATGCCTCTTCTAGTTTCAAACCTTTTGACCTAGAAAACTGAAAATAACCTGTCCCTCTTTTAATCCACAAAGAAAACACATTTGATGATTCAAGGTTTCCATCTTTTCCAGAAGAGATCTTCTATTTTCTCAGCAGATTTTAAAAAGCTCTGATTATTAGAGCCTCCAATAAGTATAACTTTAGTAGGTTTCATAATTAGGGCCAGTGTGTATCATAATTCTTCTTATGAAAGGCCTACTGATGACATGAAGAAAAATGCTAATGAAGTTGTCAAAGGTGTCTATATATGGTTCAAATTCAACCAGAAAAGTTATTTTTAAGTTTGTTTTCATCAAAAGGTGCTTCCATATACTCAATTCCAAATATCTTTAAGCAATAAAATCTTTCTTCTGCTACTTGATTTGTGAGATTGCTTCAATATTTAATAATCATTATATGTCATAATATTACTGTCATACCTCTAAAGCTTAGGAGCAAGAAAAAACCTTGGTTTACCTCTTTCTCTTCTTTTCTGAGTCTGGAAATAGTTCTCTCTCCCTTCCTCTCTTCCTCTCTCTTTCTCTCTCTCTTTCTTTCCCCTCTCTCTTCACCTTACTTTCTCAATCTTCTGTCTTTTTCATTGCTACTTGGGAAACAGCCTTGTTCTTTCCTTTCTACTGCATCCCCAGAGGCAAGGATATGGAGGAGAAAAGGTTATTAAACCTTGCAACTGGCAAGCTTAGAGTGGTTCTTCTGTTTTTGAGTAGATAGTGAAAGAAAGAGGAGGTTCTGAAGGGAATGCTGGGGCAATGTCTGCTCAGTTTCATTTGTGTCATGGCATCTGAATCTGTAGCCTGCCTCAGAAGGCGTGCTTGCAAATGAAGCAATGACAGTGTGAGAGGAAGAGAAATGCTTCCATATGCTGAGATGATTAACATCTACCATGATGGGAGAAGATGGGTTTATGTCCCTGGGAGTACAAGGAATTTGAAAATTCTTACTTAAGAGAAAAAAAATGCCTTTTTTGCATTTTTTTCTTTTTTGCACAAATATAATTACATTTATATAAATAAAAAGGAAAAAAATCCGTAACTATTCTCCACATATTTAAGCTTTGCATTTTTTCCTGTTCCCTTTCAATACTTGCCTACCTGCACAATGATTTGGAAGTTAAAATTGTAACATAGATACAATTTGGTATTTAGGTTTTTCAAAAGACAGCCTCACAGAAATTTTGTATGTTTTCGCAAATTTTTTCCTGGATTACTATAAACTTGTTTAGTTTTGTCTTACTATATGTATTTATAAAAGTGTAGTCATCAGAGGACACAGTCAATTTTCTTCTCTCTTTTTGGAAATGCATGTTTTAACTTCTTTTAACATTTTATGCCTCAGCTCCCTTCCCCTTTATCCCTGCATCCACAGTGACTCTCCACGGTTCACTTCAACTGAGATGTTGAAGACCTGCCCGTCTCTCAGGCATAGTCACTGTGCAGGAACAGCACCTTCCTGTTCTCTAGTCTTTGCTCTGGATTGTAGCAGAGGCTGGAAATGATTCTGAATGAGTTTGGGGAAGGCACATTGGCTGATACATACTGCTTGGTTATTAACAAGCTCTTTTTCGTGTCCCATGCACCTTCTATTAGAGTTGTCCTTTGCTGGTTGCATTTGTATTGCTATTTTAATAACTTCTTTCTCTCATTCTCTGAAGCATGCATACACACATCAATAAAGAGAAAACATCTTTCTTTAAAAAGTGTGATTGAAATTCCTTCTACTATGAATTTTTATTTCTTATTCCTGATAGAATGACATAAATATTCCTATATTATATAAGTACTTGTGCACACAGACATACCTATTCTCTGGAAACGTGTATTCATAGTCTCAGATCATGAAAGACAAACAAAAAACAATCCTGAACAGCGTTGTCAGCATTGCACAGGGCCAGTTCTTTGAAACATCCGCTTTTGCCCTGTCCATCAGGTCTCTCATCCTCACTTTCATTGCACCTGTGTTAAAGTCCATAATCTATTTTAACAACCACTCTTTTGGCAACATCCTGAGCTTTCTTGTCCTTCCATAATGCAGTCCCAGCAAAAACTAAACCCTGGGTATATCCCAACTCTTGGCTTTCTCCATGCCTGTTTCCAGGCTGCTGGGTTCATTTAGAAAGAGTCAACTAACCAGGGATGAATGAATGAGAGAATCAGAGAAACATACTGTTCTCCAGTTTATGAACAAATGAAAAATTATGGAGGCCCAGAATAACTTCTAGGAGTCAGTGAAAGAGGAGGGCTTGTGGATTGGAATACCTGGAGAAGCCATGAGGCTTAGCTTCTCTTCAGTGTTCTGCCATTACTTCTGGTAACTACCACCAAGTGGCATGTTATGAGAGACAAACCCAGACATTTAACAACAAAACCAAAATTGCTCAAACCCTGCATACCAGAGATACACACCAAACAGACCTTCTGTTTCCCACTAAAGAAACAGAGACTGACTGGAAGATGCAGTGGGGCAAGCTGATGGGAAGGATTGAAATGCCAAACAGAGGACTGACTGATCGTGAAACCCCGTTGAAAGGATGTTGTTGCAGTTACCTGTGATCTAAGAGTGATTTGCCTGTCACCATTGCTTTCAAGATATACTCCAGAACTTGAAATAAAGGTTCCTTAAAGATTATCTTTCTTGGCTGGGTGTGGTGGCTCACACTTGTAAGCCCAGTGCTTTGGGAAGCTGAAGTAGGAGAATCACTTGAGCCCAGGAGGTCGAGCCTGCAGTGAGCTGTGATCGTACCATTGCATTTCAGCCTGGAGGACAGAGTGAGACTCTGTCTCAAAACTTAACAAAAAAAGCAAACTCAAAACAAGAGATGCTGAATATCTCATAAGTAAAAGTAAGTATCTAAACTAAGGAAGTACTATTTTTTTTTTTTTTTTTTTTTTTTTTTTAGAAACAGAGTCTTACTCTATCACCCACGCTGGGGTGCAGTGCCATGATCGCAGCTCACTGCAGCCTTGACCTCCTGGGCTCAAGTGATCCTCCCTCCTTAGCCTCCCAAATAGCTGGGACTGCAGGCACGCGCCACCATGTTGGCTAGTTTAAAAAAAAATTATAGAGATGGGAGTCTCACTGTGTTGCCCAGGCTGGTCTCCATCTCTTGACCTCAAGTGATCCTCCTGCCTTGGCTTCCCAAAGTGCTAGGATTATAGCCATGAGCCACTGCACCCAACCGAATTTGCTTTTATTACCTTCTCCAAATTGTGAAAGTAATAGGTGTTCATTGAAGAAAAATAGAATGTAAGAAGTTTTAAAAAAGAAAATTAAAAAACCACACAGTTTCTTATACCCAGAAATAATCATTGTTAATATTTTATTGACTTTCTGTTTTTATACATTTGTAAAGTTTTAACACCAATGGGATTATCCTACATTGATTATTTTTTAAACCATTTTGCTTTCTAATATACCATGGGTGTTCTTTCACATCAAGAAATCTATATGATGTTATCTAGTGACTAGATAGTATTTCATGGTTATGCCATAATTTAATTAGCCACTTCTGTAATGGTGGCATTTAGGTTGATTTATTTCTTTGTCTTTATTTTTTTGTGGAAATGTTGGCAGAGTGCCCTTCTGAAAGTTTGTGCCTTTTTGTACTGTCCGCCTTGTCAGAAAAATACCTGTTTCCCTATATCCTGGAGAAATCTGGGAATTATGATTTATCTTTTCAAGATTTATCCTTTTTTCTTTTTACTTTTATGCTAGGTGTTATAGGCTATGTGAAATTTGAAATGTTTATGTAATTCTACCTACCAGTCTTTTCTTTCATGTTCTTGGCTCTGTTTTCATGCTTATAAAAGTCACTTCTTTCAGCTATTTATAACATTTTCTTTTAGTATTCTAATGAGTTTAAAAAATATTTCCTCTTTTAATCTGCATGGGATATAGTTAGGTATGAATTAAAAGTAGTGATCTATCTTAATTTTTCCCAAATGTTTAGTTGATTGTCACAACAGCAATTATTAAATAATATAATTTCTTCTATGCTGATTTAAAAGTCCAAAAATTCCTACACTAAATCTCAATAATTTTTAGATCTATTTGTGTATTTCCTAACATGCCTCTATGATTATTTTGGATATTACTGTTCTGGTACCACATTATTTAAATTTCAGTGTTATATTCCATTTTACCATTCGGTAAGACAAGCTCCTTTTCATTGATTTTTCTCTTTCAAATTTTTTTTTTTTACATATTATCAATCATTTACCTTGCTAGAAAAAATTTTAGAACTATAATATCTAATTCTAGACATAAAAATTGTTTGGCTTGATTGGACTTGAGTTAAATCAGAGATTCATTTGGAGAATTTTTCCCCATGTAATCTCTGTTTTTTTTTGTTAGCTTTATTCTTGGGAATTTTATATTTCTATTGTTGTCATGAATAGTCTTCCCCTGCCCTTTTCTAACTTGTTAAAGTGGGAAAGTTGTTTTCTTGAAAAACTTAATGAAAACTTATTCTTATTACTCCTAGTTTAAGGGTAGATAATCGTGAGCTGAAATAATGATAATTTTTGTCTTTTTCTCCAATACTTTTACTGTGTCTTTTTTGTCTTACTGCATCTCAGCTAAAATATATAAAACAATAATAGCATTTTTCACAGGTCTTCTGTCTTATTCCTTGTTTTCCTTCTGTCGATTCATGAAGGAGGATATTTTTTGTTCTCTTGCAATAAATATCTTATATAAAGTTGAATATTAATATCTATTTTACATTTTTGATGATTATGATGAATTTTGAGGTCGTGAAATGTTCATGATCATTTATCAAAATTATATATTTTTTCTTCTTAGGTTTCCTAATTTTGTGTCATCCTTGCAGTCTTCAAGTAAACCCATATTGGCCATGATTCTTTTATTAGACTGTGGGTTTTGACTTCTAATATTTTTGCCTACAGTTTTATTGTGGGTGCTATGTTTTTCATCTTTATTGTCAATGTTATACTTCATTCATTATTTTAATAAACATATAGAATTTATATTTTGTGCTGGAATGCTGTTAAATATTAGGGATTAAATGGTGAGCAAGATTATGAGATCTCTGCTCTCTTGGAGTGTGTAGTTTACAGAGGGATGGAGTTAAGAAAAGAGGAAATTAAAGCACAGTGTTGTAAATGCTACAATGAGGGAAATATATGGCGTGTGGGAAAAAATAAGAGGAGTCTCTGTTACAGAGTTGGAGAAACCAGAAAATGCTTTCTGGAGGAAGTCACCTTAAACTGCCATTTAAGTAGGAATATCCATTTGAGAATCAGGCAGGAGTGGAAAGGAAAGGGAGGGAGACAGAAGAACTTGTGAGAAGACCTACAGGTGAGGGAGCACATGGTGCTTCTGAGCAAAGGAAAAATGTTAAGTAGAACTAGAGCAAAAGTGGAGAAGGGGGGAGAGTTGAGAGATGAGGCTCCAATGCTTCCCAGAGACCAGAACTTCCAGCACCTTATAGAACATGTCGTGGAGTTTGGATTTTCTTCCAAAATTAAGGAGGAGCCATGAAAGGATTTTAAACAGAGAAATGATATGATCAGATTTCTCTGTTAATGGAATCTCACTCATTGGATAGGAAGAGAGGCAAGACTGGAGCTAGGAGACTAGTTTGTGGAAATCCTTGCAGAAGGATGACAGCGGTGAGAACGAGGATAACCGGAAGCTCTCATGTTCCAAGAAATAATAATAGATTTTGACTATACTTGGGCCAGGGTTTCTAACTGGGATGTTGAATCATAAATTTTTGCATTTTTCCTGGTTATTTTTTATTTTTCTACCTCTTTCTGAAAACATTTTGGTAAGGCATATTTTTCTTAAAAATTACCCATTTTGTGTATATTTTCTTTCTTCTTCTTTTTTTTTTTTTGAAATGGAGTCTTGCTTTGTTGCCCAGGCTGGAGTGCAGTGGCACAATCTCAGCTCACTGCAAACTCCGCCTTCCGGGTTCAGGTGATTTCCTGTCTCAGCCCCCCAGTAGCTGGGATTACAGGCACTGGCCACCATGCCTGGCTAATGTTTATATTTTTAGTAGAGACGGTGTTTTGCTATGTTGGCCAGGCTGGTCTCGAACTCCTGAGCTCAAGTGATCCACCTGCCTCAGCCTCCCAAAGTGCTGGGATGACAGGTGTGCACCACCATGCCCAGCTAATTTTGTGTTTTTAGTAGAGATTGGGTTTTGCCATGTTGGCCAGGCTGGTCCTGAACTCTTGACTTCAAGTTATCCCCCCGCCCCAGCCTCCCAAAGTGCTGAGATTACAAGTGTGAGCCACTGCGCCTGGCCACCATTTTTTGTATATTTTCAAAAATTTTAAGTATAGAGCTTACATCCAATTTTCTTATTTTAAGCTCATCCATATCTGTGTTAAATCCCATTTTTTATTCCAAGTGCTCCATATTCATATTTTCTCATTGATTCTTGATTTTACACACCAGAGATGTACTCACGTCAGCATTTCCCAAATGAGTATTTCACGGAATGCTATTCCAAAGAATGCTGATAAGTAAGTGTTCATGCACAAATAAGTTTGTGAGACTGAATCACACAATTTAAAACAGTTATATCTTTTAGGACTTTTTAGAGTCTTTAATAAACTAATATGCATTATGAGTCCTTAAGTAGAAGGTTTAGTATGTAGTTTTCAAAACCTTTTTCTCCCCATAGACCATCTGTTAATATCTCCTGAAATGAGTGTTCAGTGGAACACAGTTTGAGGGTTTCAAAGAATCAGCTCTTAGTTTTATTTAATAAATCTCTTTGTTTTCTAATTTATTAATTTCTGCTTTTATTTTCATATATTATTTTTTCTTTTCATTTTTTTCTTTGAAACAGGGTCTTACTTTGTCACCCAGGCTGGAGTGCGGTGTTGTGATCTCAGCTCACTGCAACCTCCATCTCCCAGGTTCAGGCGATCCTCCTGCCTCACTCAGCCCCCCAAAGTAGCTGGGACTAGAAGTGTGTGACTCCACACCCAGCTAATTTTTTTTTGTATTTTTTGTATTTGAGATGGAATTTTGCCATGTTGCCTAGGCTGGTCTTGAACTCCTGAGCTCAAGTGATCTGCCCGCCTTGGCCTCCCAAAGTGCTAGGATTCTAGGCGTGAGTCACTGCACCCGGCCTATTTTTTCTTACTTTTTTTTGGTTTATTTTGTTGTCCTTTTTCTAGTTTCCGAGAGTTAAATACATAGTTTATTCATCAGCAGCTTCAAGGTTGTTTTAAGGAATGTTTTAAAGCTATTAATATTCCTCTGCATATACCGTTGACTTCATCCTATACATTTTATTATTATGGACTATTTGTTGTTAATTTCTGAACAAGCTGTCATTTCAGTTTTGATTTCTATTTTGATCCAAGAATTATTCAAAAGAGTATCTTTTAATATCCAGCAATTCATTAGACTTTGCTTAACATTTTCATTTACAGTTGATTAGATATAAAGGCATTCGTTTTATTATTCTTTTGTTATAAACATGATCAGCTATTTAATTTATTAGTAATATTGACAGTCTTTTTAACTTTTCTTTCTTGTATTTGTCTGATATGTATTTTTGCCCGGTATTTTGTTTTCAAGTTTTCTTTGCCATGTATCTCTTTTTTATTTTATTTTATTTTATTTTATTTTTATTATTATACTTTAAGTTTTAGGGTACATGTGCACAATGTGCAGGTTAGTTACATATGTATACATGTGCCATGCTGGTGTGCTGCACCCATTAACTCGTCATTTAGCATTAGGTATATCTCCTAATGCTATCCCTCCCCCCTCCCCCCACCGCCATGTATCTCTTTAATTAATATATAAGATTTTTAAAAATCTCACCCTGACGGCCCTGCTCTTTTAATATAGGAATTTAATTCATTTACATATATTTGACAATGATATATTTGTTCTTTTATAACAGCATTATTGAGATAGAATTTATACACTATGCATTTGCCTTAAAGTGTGTAATTCAATGATTTTTAATCTATTCAGGCTTTTGCAACTATCATTGTAACTGGCTCAGTTGTGCTGCTCACTGCTCAGAAGTCAAAGCATGAGAAGCAAGGTGTAGTAAAAGAAAAGCAGCTTTTATTGGTCAAATGCTAGCAGATGGGAGAATGGCTGGGCTGGAGACTCAAAGGAACCACCTGCTCCTTCTGGGCTGAGCGAAGGGGTTTAAGAAAGAAAAGGTGTGGGAAATATGCGGGAGTGGTGGCAAGGTGGGCACGTCTTGTTCCAATGGTTATCTTGAGTAATTGCCCATCCGGAGGTCCAATTTGCATCATCCTGACTTAGGCCAGTAGCGGTGGGCTAACTGTTCCCAACTCCCCTTGAGTAAGAGGATTCTGCAGCTGGCCCTCTCTGCCTGGTTTGTTTCAAAATTGGCCCCTGGAATTTCTAAGCAAGCACATAATTAGATAAGCGAGCACTGTTCATGGAAGGGCCTGGTGGGAAAAAGAGAAACAAAGCGTTTCAAAGTATGTTTCAAGGCTGAAAGCAAGAAACGAGCAAAAAGAGTTTTAAAATGCATTTTGAGACTGGGATACTCGGTTATATCATCACAATCAGTTTTAGAACATTTTCATCATCTGGAAAGAAACCCTGTACCTATTAGCAGTCCACTTGCATTTTTTTTCCAACCTCCTTCCACACCTAGCCCTAGGCAACCACTGACCTACATTCTGTCTGTATGGATTTGCCTGTTCTGGACATTTTATATAAATGGGATCATATAATATGTGACCTTTGGTGTCTGGCTTCTTTCACTTAGCATAATGTTTTCAAGGTTTATCAGTGTTGTAGCATGAGTATTTGTATGCAAGTTTTTTGGTGGACATATGTTTTCATTTCTTTTGAGTGTATGTGTAGGAGTAGAATTGCTGAGTCATGTGGTAGCTCTATGTTTAACCTTTTGAGAAATTGGCAGACTGTTTTCCAAAGTTTGTTGCACCATTTTACAGTCCCACCAGCAATATATGAGGGTTATAATTTTTTCACATTCTCACCAACTCTTGTTATTGCCTGTCTTTTTCATTATAGCCATCTGTTATGTGCTTGTGTCCCCCAAAATTCATATGATAAAGCCCTAATTGCTAACATGACTGTATTTTGAGATGGGGCCATAATGGAAGTAATTAGAGTTAAATGAGGTAGTCGGTTGGGCCCTAACCCAATATGACTTGTGTCCTTATAATGAGAAAGGTCAGAGACACAAGGGATGCACAGGCACAGGGAAAAGGCCATGTGAAGACGTAGCAAGAAGGTGGCTGTCTGCAAGCCAAGGAGGGAGGCCTCAGGAAAAACCAAACCTGCCAACACCTTGATCATGAACTTCCATCTCCCAAACTGTGAGAAAATAAATTCCTGTTGTTTAAGACATCCAGTCTGTCTGAGGTTAGCATCCAGTACTAAGGTTGTTATGGCAGCCTCAGCTAGTGTACTATCCTAGTGGATATGAAGTGGTACCTCATTGTGCTTTTGTTGTTTTTTTTTTAAAAAAAAAAAAATTTATTTTTTCAGAGACAGGGTCTCCCTGTGTTACTCAGGCTGGAGTGCAGTGGTGTGATCATTGCTCACTGCAGCCTCAAACTTGTGGGGCTCAAGGGATCCTCCCACCTCAGCCTCCTGAGGAGCTGGGACTACAGGTGTGTATCGCCATGCCTGGCTAATTTTATTTTTAATTTTTGTGGAGATGGGGTCTCACTATGTTGCCTAGGCTGGTCTTGAACTCCTGGCCTTAAGCAGTCCCCTGCCTTGACCACCCAATGTGCTGAGATTACAGGCATGAGCCATTGTGCCTGGAGCTCATTGTGCTTTTGGTATGTATTTCCCCAATGACTAATGATGTTGAACAACTTTTTATATTTGTTACTATCCCTTGCATCATTTATGTTTTTCATTTATAAGGATTTCAAATTGTTTCTTTATTGTTCAGTTTATTTTCTTTACTACCTTCTGCTGAATTGATCAGATTCTGAAGTTAAATTTACTATTTCAACTGTAGTGATGTTTATCCTTAGATTTTTTTTTTTTTTCCGGGGCAGGGTGAGGAGTTTCGCTCTTGTTGCCCAGGCTGGAGTGCAGTGGCGTGATCTCGGCTCGCTGCAACTGCCGCCTCCCAGGTTCAAGCAATTCTCCTGCCTCAACCTCCCAAGTAGCTGGGATTACAGGCGCCTGCCACCACACCCAGCTAGTTTTTGTATTTTTAGTAGAGATGAGGTTTCACCATATTGGCCAGGCTGGTCTTGAACTCCTGACCTCAGGTGATCTGCCTGCCTTGGCCTCCCAAAGTGCTGGGATTACAGGTGTGAGCCACCGTGCCCGGCCTATCCTTGGATTTTAATAAATGTATGTAAACATATATATTCTGTCCATGGCAAGAATGAAACAGTGAGATCCCTGTCTTTTTCCTCTTTTCTCTAGCACCACTACTGCCACTCTCCCCTCCCCCATCCTCCTGCTAGGCCAGTGCTGCCAATTGATCTCAACTCTGTTTCTATCCCATTGTAAAACTGATTAGAGTTAAATAGGAGATGAAGCCTATTGCTGTATTATACTACAAATCAGTACAAAGATCTAGCCTTTCATGAAGAAAGATAAAATTCTCACACTCCTCAGATTCTAGTTTGAGATTAGTAATAGAAATGGAAAGAAAAGAAGATTTCTTTTGTGACATTTCCTTATTCAGTTCCTTTTAAATATTCTACATGTGCTTATCTGTAAATTTGCACATAAAACTCCTGAAAAATGGGAAATAAATGAAATAATGTTTGAGCCAAACAAAATGTAGAGATTTGGGGGGAGAGCACATTGTATAATTTCAAAGCCAATAAATTAAAAGCGATGATTTTTGTTCAAAGTATAGTACAGTGAAATAGTCTCAATAGAACTTTGTCAAGTACAAAACCCTGATTTTCAGAGCTAGTTTGAATTTTTATGGCTACACATAATTCTTTCAGATGAGCTGTGCATGTGTTGCTATCTCAAGCCCATTGGTCTCCTGGAGATTGCTGTAATGTACTTGTGTGCATTCTTGATGTCAAAGTCATGTAAATTTCTTAACTTCGGTTTCAGCATGAGTGTTTTCCTAGTTCTGATGACTTTTTAAAGATTTTTGCCTTATAATTGAAAACTCAGTCTCTCCATATTGATTGGAGGACTGAAAAATATTTCTATAACATTTGTTATAGAAATGACAGATTGTTCAAGTAGTCAACAATGTTTATCAAGCCTCACTTATAAAGCACTATATTAAATGCTATGGGAACTTACAGAGAAAACCCTCAAGAAGCCCAAATTCTGAAGCACACATTGAAACATAGAGATCAATCAAAGTAATACTTGCAAACCACTTAGTGGTTACATTTGGAAGCTCTGAAGTCAGCCTAAAATAGATTAATGTCCCCATTTGTTAGTGCCATGATGTTAGATGTCATGAAGCTTCACTTTGTACATATGTAAAAGGGAGAAAATAGTAATAGTACTGCCTCATAGGTTTGAGAAGTTTAAATAGGATAAAACATGTACATGTGCTCAGTGTAGTAGCTGGTACGTAGTAAGCATCTGGGAAGTAGAAGCAATCATTTTTAATAGCTTTACAATTATGAAATATATATATCCAGAAAACACACAGATCATGTATTTACTCTTTAACAAACAGTGATAAAATGAGCCCTCATGGAGCCACTACTCTAGTGGCAAGAAATGAAACATTGCCAGCATCCGGAAACAACACCTACCCGCTATGCATCTTCCCAATCATAATTTCTTCCCTTCCCACCACCTACTGTCTTGACTTTTGTGATAATAATTACCTTAAAGTATTACCAGCTAAACAATATAGTTTTGAACTTTATTAAATGGTTGTATCTTGCTTCTTTCATTCAACATTGCATTTGACATCCATCCTTGTTGGTGAATGTTGCTGTAATTCATTCATTTGCATTACTATATGGTAGTCCACTACATAAACAATCGACCTAGTCTGCTATTGATGGATATTTAAGTTATTTTCAGTTTTTGATTCTTACGAACAGGGCTGCTATGAACATCCTGGTGCTGATATTCAAGAGATTCTCCAGGAGTGCAATTGTTGAGTCATGGGGGATGTGTGTCTTCAATTTTATTAGATAGTGCCGAACAGTTGTCTAAAATGGCTCTTCCAGTTTTCACTGTCAACAGCTCTGTATGAGGGTTTTCTTTTTTATATATGTATATATATTTTTAGAGACGAAGTGTCGCTCTGTTGTCCAGGCTGGACTGCAATGACATGATCTCGGCTCACTGCAACTTCTGCCTCCCGGGTTCCAGCAATTCTCCTGCCTCAGCCTCCCGAGTAGCTGGGACAAAAGGCGCATGCCACCAAGCCCAGCTAATTTTTGTAATTTTTGTAGAGACGGGGTTTTGCCATGATGGCCAGGCTGCTGGTCTCGAACTCCTGACCTCAGGCGATCTGCCTGCCTCAGCCTCTCAAAGTGCTTGGATTACATGCGTGAGCCACCTCACCTGGCGGGTATGAGGGTTTTCATATCCTCACAAATAGTTGGTATTGGTCAGACCTCTAATGTTTACCAGTCTGATGCACAGGCTTATTATTATAACGCATTGCCTTTTTTTTTTAACAGTCTCAAATTTACAGAAAAGTTGCAAATACAATACAAATAATGTTTTTTCTTGAGCCGTTTAAGAGTAAGTTGCCAACTAGATACTTTAATATCTTAGAATAGTTTGTGTTTTCTATGAATGAGGATATTCTCCTATACATTCATAATGCAGCCAACAAAAAACAAGGAATTAACATTATTAGTTTGCTACCATTTAATCTACAAACCTCATACAAGTTTTGCTACTTGTCTGAATCATGACCTTTCTAACGAAAAGATTCAGTTCAGGTTGCATGTTGTATTTAGTTGCCATGTCTCTGTGGTCTCTAATCTGGAACCATTCCTCAACCCTTCTTTGACTGTGATGACCTTCACATTTTTGCAGATTATTTGCCACTTATTTTGTTGCATATCTCTCAGTTTATGATTGGCTGTTGTTTTCTCATGATTAGATGCAAGTTAGGTATTTTCCCAGGAATCTCACAGAAGAGGATCTGTGTTCTCATTGCACCCTATCAGGTGGCTCTTGATTTTGAGTCATCCCGTCACTGATGATGTTAACTTTGAACACTTGATTAAGGGGGTGACTGCTGGGCTTTGGCACTGAGCAAATAGTTTTTTCTTTTTTTTTTTTTTGAGATGGAGTTTCACTCTGTCACCCAGGCTGGAGTGCGGTGGTGCGGTCTCGGCTCACTGCCAGCTCCACCTCCCGGGTTCACTCCATTCTCCTGCCTCAGCCTCCCGAGTAGCTGGGACTACAGGTGCCTGCCACCACGCCCAGCTAATTTTTTGTATTTTTTTTTTTTTAGTAGAGACGGGGTTTCACTGTGTTAGCCAGGATGGTCTCGATCTCCTGACCTCGTGATCCACCCGGCTCGGCCTCCCAAAGTGCTGGGATTACAGGCCTGAGCCACCGTGCCCAGCTGCAAATAGTTTTTTCTTTTTGTAATAAATATTTTTGGCCATGTGTGGTGGCTCACTCCTGAAATCCTAGCACTTTGGGAGGCTGAGTCATGAGGATTACTTGAGGCCAGGAGATTGAGACCAGCCTGGACAACATACCAAGGCCTTGTCTCTACAAAAAAAGAAAAAAAAAACATTAGCTGGGCATGGTGGTGCACACCTGTAGTCCCAGCTACTGCAGAGGCTGAGGTGGGAGAATCTCTCTTTCTCTCTTTTTTTAAAAAAAGCATTAATGCAGTATCTGTCCAAAGAGAGGCTCTCTTGCACCCAGGAGTTCAAGGGTGCAGTGAGCTATGATTACACCTCTGCAACTCCAGCCTGGGCGACAGAGTGAGACCCTGTCTCAAAAAAGATAAAATAAAGTGAAGTATTTTTGGCCAGTGAGAGGCACTTCAAGCTGGCTCTGTCTTTTTGATATGTCACCCTTTTTCATGTATAATGTCTTTACTTTCTGGCACTGACATCCTGTGCTAAGTCATCTTCCCATGGGAATGCCCTCTTCACCTGTAGGAGGGAAGATTTATTGCTTGCTCAGATCTCTCCTCTGAATTCCTTCCCTGTCTTTTCTGTTGCCCACCTGAGTACTTCCAGTTGGATATCTTATAGGAATCTTAAATTTTCTTTGTTCAAAATACAATTCCTGGCCAGGTGCAGTGGCTCACGCCTATAATCCCAGCACTTTGGGAGGCTGAGGTGGGCGGATCACCTAAGGTCAGGAGTTCGAGACCAGCCTGGGCAATGTGGTGAAATCCCCATCTCTGCTAAAAATACAAAATTAGCTGGGCACGGTGGCACATGCCTGTAATCCCAGCTACTCGGGAGGCTGAGGCAGGAGAATCGCCTGAGCCTAGGAGGCGGAGGCTGCAGTGAGCTGAGATCACACCACTGCACTCCAGCCTGGGCGACAGAGTGAGACTTCATCTTGGGGAAGAAAAAAAGCAATTTCTGACTTCATTTATTAACTAGATTCCTCCTCTAGTCATCTCCGTCTCAGTAAACTGCATCATCACCCTCTTCAGGCGAGAAACCTTGATGTCAGGCCTTATTCTTTGCGGTCTTCTCCACCAACCCCAGCTTCACTCTGTCAGTAAATATTCTGTATTTTACCTCCGAGATGTGGTGTATGTCTTCACGCTTCTCTCCAAATCCTCTTGGCTGAGCCCTCCTTCCTCCTGTTTCTCCCAGTAGGCTCTTCATGGCTTTCACCACTCTCGCTTCATCTAGTCCGTGTCCATGCACTTTTATCCATGAAAATCAGAGCATGTCACGTCCTTGCTTAAAATTCTCTGCAATGCCTTGTAATTCCTCTCAAAATGAAATGTAAAGTCCCCCATGATCTGACTTGTATTTCGTTCTTCAGCCACATCTCATGTTCCTCTTTCTCTTGCTGAAATGTAGACAGCAAGGGAAACATAACTTCTTTTGGTTCCTTAGACATTCTGAGCCCTTTTCTCCCTCAGGGCTTCACCTGGACAGGTGTCCTTTTGCCCTTTACTAGCTACACTCATCTTAATTGCCCCCTACTCAGATGGGTCTTCCCCAATTATGCAAGTTACATTTATCTCAGCCCATACCTCGTTATTCACTATCAAAATCCTGTTTCTTTTCTTCCTAGTACTTAACTAGGCACTTGGTTATTTACTTGCTTATTTTACTTTCTATTAGAATAGCAGCTTGGACTAGCTTGTGCCAGAGTGCAAGCAGACTATTAGAAGAGAGTCACTGTGGTTCAGTGCTTAATACCACCAGAAGTGAACATGATGCATTTGCCTAAAGGAGGATCTGCAGCCTTTTTGAGGTATGGAGAAGAAGATTTAAATATGATTGTTGGCCGGGCATGGTGGCGCATGCCTGTAATCTCAGCACTTTCGGAGGCTGAGGCAGGTGGATCACTTGAGCCCCAGGAGTTTGAGACCAGGCTGGGTAACATGGCGAAACCCGTGTCTACCAAAAATACAAAAATTAGCAGGGCTCAGTGATATGCACCTGTAGTCCCAGCTACTCGGGAGGCTAACGCAGGAGTATACCTTAAGCCCAGGAGGCAGAGGCTGCAGTGAGCCAAGATCACGCCGTTGCACTCCAGCCTGGGCAACAGGAGTGAAATCCTGTCATAAATAAATAAATAAGATTGTTGATGTAAGAGAATCAAATAATTTTTATAAGCTATTTTTTTTCTAAAAAATACAAAGGGGTGAGACAGGAAAACAGAATCTGTGAGAATCTATTAATAAACTATGAAGAAATCTGCATTATGAATTCCCTTATCTTTAAAATAAAAAAATAGCTTATTTTTACAAGGACATTTAGCTCACAAGAGTCCTTTGAAAGCCAGTCTCCTGACTTCTGTTTTCCATCTTGTAAATCATGGCTCCCAAGGAGGACAGAAATGTAGAGTGGGAAAATGAGTCAGCAGAGATGCTCATCATTGTCTTTTAGAAGGTTTTGTTAGGGGATACAGTTGCTAGATAGAGGAAAAAAGAAGCAGCAATAAAGAATAGGAATCTAGTTACTCACTTTTCTATGAGGTATTTGACCAAATATCTAAGAGATATTTTAGACCAGTTCACATCTGTCATAAGAAATCTGTTGTGAAAACTTGGGATTCTTTTTTACCTATTGATTTTTAAAAAGTTTTTCAAAACTAAATGTTTTGTGTTAAAATTGCAATTCAGTCCAATCATCATCATCATCATCATAGCAGCCCTTTTAGTCAGCTATTTTGTGGCAATAAATAGCCCTTAAATCTTAGTGGCTTGCAAGAACAGAGGTTTGTTTCTTGCCCACATTGTACATCTGTGGCAGATTGGCACAAGTCTTTTCATTTCAAGATCCAAGCTGAAGGAGGGGCCCCTATTTGGGACATACTATGCTCATGTCTAAGGGAAAAGAGAGAGTCAGTGGACACACAGTGGCTCCTAAAACTTCTGCTTTGACATTGCGTATTTCATGTTTTCTTACATGCTGTTGGCCAAGGCAAGTGACATGGCCAACCTCATTGTCAATGGGTGGACGTAAATAATTCTCTTGTAGGATCCTGCAAATGACATGGAACCCGTGGGTATATCAGGTGATATTCTGGGGATACATGAGGAACCAGGAAGGAGACTGAGTATTTGGAAAAAATAATACAAAACATTGCATTGGCAAACATTTACTAAATGCAACTATTTGCCAGGTACTGTTTTAAGCCTTCTACGTCGATTGAATCCCCATAACTATCCTATCAGGTAGGATTATTATTGCTCCCATTTTACAGATGAGGAAACTGAGGCCCAAGCCAGATTTCAAACCTACGCTGTCTAGCTCCTGGGCCCTCACTCAAGGAAATGCAAGAATGAGCACAAGTTTTCGGTTGAAACATTTGTGTGCATGCTTTCTGAGGAGAGCAGTGCTGCATATGAATTAGTAATAAACTGTATAGAATACAGTTTGTGTAGGAATAGCATATTTTCAAATAACTAAAATTTTAAAGAGATACTAATTGTGATAACTAGATGGGCCTATCCATTGATCTCTAAGGACCTGAGAATGTCTTTTCATTCAAATTTGCCTTTGGAATCAGCATTCTGATTTGTGAACCTATGGGAAAAAATGTGTTTTGGTTCAAATATTTATTGAGTTTTTTTTGAGACAGAGTTTTGCTCTGTCACCCAGGCTGGAGTGCAGTGGTGTGATCTTGGCTTACTGCAACCTCCACCTCCTGGGTTCAGGCGATTCTCATGCCTCAGACTCCCAGTAGCTGGGAGTACATGCAGGCTACCACGCCCAGCTAATTTTTGTGTTTTTAGTAGAGATGGGGTTTTTGCCATGTTGGCCAGGCTGATCTTGAACTCCTGACTTCAAGTGATCCGCTTGCCTTGGCCTCCCAAGGTGCTGGGATTACAGGCATGAGCCACCGCACCTGGCCGAATGTTGTCACTTTAAAAGTCCCACTCACTGTCTTCAAGGTGCAGTTCAGTGGCCCTTCCTCTGAGAGGCTTTGCTGGGCGCCTCCAGCTGAGTTGGCTGCTGCCTGCTTCTCAGGTGTGTTAGAAAGAGCACAGGAGATCTGACTTTACCACCCGCCAACCGTGTGACCAGGACAGGCTCTGGGCTCAGTTTTCTTCTCTGAATAATGAGAATCAGAATACATGCTGTAGAGAGTGGTAATGAAGCTTCAATAACATTTCATTTGAAAGTACTTTGTGACCATTTGGGTTTTCTGCAGAATGTAAGATTTGATTAATCTTTACAACATTTTTCCTGACTTCTTCTCTAGCCTTTCTGTCCTCCTCTCTTCATTCATTCAACCAGGTTTTTCCTGAGCAGTTAGGGACAGTCACTGCAGTGCTTAGGTACATGGACTCTAGGACCAAACTGCCTGAGTTTAAATCTCTGTTCTACACTTAATAGTCGTATTACTTTGGTATTTAAGCTTACTTTGCCTCAGCTTTCTGATCTGTAAAATCGAAACAGTAATAGCACCTTATCCTTTGGGTTATTGTGAGGGTTACATGAATTAATATATGTAATTATTTTAGAACCTTCTGCCTGTACCTATTACCACTAGAATGTATGTTCTGTATAAGGGCAGAGATTTTTTGTTGCTGTTTTTCATGACTGTAACTCAGTGCCAAGAGCAGTGCCTGGAAATAATGGGCACTTAATAAACATTTGTCAAATAAACTAGTAAATATGATAAACCTTGTGGAGAAAAAAATTAAAAAGACAAAGAATGAAATTATATAATGAATGCTTTTATTAAAGTATGGTAAATATTGTATCATCCTTTTCAAGTTGCCATGAAGGGTTGCAGTAAAAATTTATGGAGATAAGATTCCTGATGGAAAAAGTATCTTTGAAAATCAAAGGGCCTGTAATCCCAGCACTTTGGGAGGCCAAGGTGAGAGGATCACTTGAGGCCAGGAGTTCTAGACCAGCCTGAGCAACATAGCAAAATCCCATCTCTACAAAAAATTTAAAACTAAAAAGAAAATCAAAGTTTACTAAACGATGAGGTTGTTAAGAATTGGGATTATGTCTTCGTATGATTTTGGATCCATAGCACCTAACTTGATTCCTAATATCTAGTAGAAGATCAAGAAATGAAGGAACAAATGAGTGAATGAATGGATGAGGGTCTACACTCTGGAAGATTGACTGGAGGAAATGTCATCCATCCACTATTTTTTGAATTTCTTGTCAGTTAGCTAGCAAATACCATCGCTGAGCAAAATGATCTCAGTGGGTTGCCTAAAGAATCACCTTCATGGAGTCGGTCTTTTACGTCTTACACTATGCTATTTTTTTTAAGTCAAGGATGATACTATGAAAGAAAACCATATGGAGTCGTTACTGCATTTATTACAGAAGTTTTCAGGGGAGTCCCATTTCAGTGTTGTTCGAAGAATGCTCTGTTTGAGAACTTCCTTTTAAAATTCAGGGCCAGGATAACTTTGCCTTCCTGAGGCACTGTATGCCTCTCCCTTTTTGCTGATGAGAAGGATGGGACTAACTGGGTCTCTCTTTTCATTTTGAGTGCCTGGGGCCCCAGAGTCAAACTTGAAGTTCAGTGATGGCATACATGTATGTGTCTTTCATTTTAGTAGTCTTGAATTTCTACTCTCATTTAAAATATTTTCCCTGCCTGGATTTTTTAATTTCTACCAATGTTTTGCTGTTATTTGGTTACATATGTACCTGCTGAAAGCTATGTCAAATCCATGAAGAATGAGGCAAATTATAAATAAATACATATGCATGGATGCATTCTTGCAATCCTAAAACAACTACTCATACTGAGGCCTCCAGATTTGGTTGCTGACACCAGTGGGAAGAATCCCTTTTCCACAGATCAAGTAGAAATACCAAATGTTCTGTATCTCTATGTTGTGCCTGTGGTTCTGATGTATATATGTTCTTTACAATGTTCAGATCATGCAGGGGTGGCTTTCTGAAAATGAAAGGCTGGTTTATGTTCAGTTTGCTGAAATAGCGCTTTTGCCTGAAAATCTCTTGACCCTTACAGAAAATGCTGTAAATAAATTTATGGTATTTTTTTTTAAAAATAATTCCTCTAAAGGAAAGAACAAAGATCATCCAGCAAGTTCTTGCCTTCTTCCATCAAGGTAGACCTTGTTTGTGCTCTGCCCTTAATCTCAAAATAGCATATTTCTGAGGAGTTGTAATTATTGCACCTCAATTGGCAGTCACTTTATGAGTATTTTGTAGACGGTGATAAATCTCAGCATAAGACCGCCAGCCTGATATTTGTTTTAGGGCAAAATAATGCCTTACCTTTATGGCTGGCTGTCATGTGGGCGATGATATGTCAACACAGAGAGGAGAATGTGTGTCACAAGGTGACAGCAAACGACCACATCTGTCAGGGTGATGTCACAGAGCTGACGCAGCCATCAATCAGCTCTTTAAGGATCCTGGCTGAATTCTGAATTTGCATATTGATGAAAGGTAGAGAACTATTTCAGCACAGATCTTAGAGCACAACATTTTCAGCATTGTCCTGTGAACTCCAGAGAAATACAAGCCTGCACGCTTTCTCCCCTGAGCCTTTGAATGCTCTTTTCTCCTTTTTCACTTTCCCATGTGGCAAGAATTGGACTCTTTCTTCATCTCCAACTTCAAATCATTTTCCCTGTGGAGCATTTCCCAGCTGTCCCATGCCAGAGTGGTTGCATGTTGTATGTTATGTGATGGCAGTTATTACTTTATAGTGTTGTGACGACGTCTCACCCCTCTGGGGAGGAATCACTACTCAAGTCCTGTTATAAAGTTATAGAAAGGAAGGAAAAGTTACTTAAAGGAAAAGTATTCACAGGGGAAAACATTCTAGCACTGACTGCTATATCTCTAGTACATTTTTACCGTTTCTTGGGAACAGGTCTCTTTTATCGATTGATAAATAAAAATTTATACATTTATAGAGCGGGTCTCTGTAGTCAGCTATATACAACCTTTCTGTGCATAATTGCACTGTCCAAATGCTGAGGTCATCAGTGCTAAACCAATAGTCTCAGCTGGACGCGGTGGCTCACGCCTGTAATCCCAGCACTTTGGGAGGCCGAGGCGGGTGGATCACGAGGTCAGGAGATTGAGACCATCCTGGCTAACACGGTGAAACCCCATTCTACTAAAAATACAAAACAAAATTAGACGGGCGTGGTGGCGGGCGCCTGTAGTCCCAGCTACTCGGGAGGCTGAGGTGGGAGAATGGCATGAACCCAGGAGATGGAGCTTGCAGTGAGCCAAGATCGTGCCACTGCACTCCAGCTTGGGTGACAGAGCGAGACTCCTTCTCAAAACAAAGCAAAACAAAAAACAATAGTCTCTTCTGACCCCCCTATAATCTGCTGGGCATGGTCCTACATAGTACCTACAGTCTCATCTCCTTGAGTTAAAAAATATTAAAATATTAAAAATAACTTTATTGTTATTATTATTTTTTGAGACGGAGTTTCACTCTTGTTGCCCAGGCTGGAGTGCAATGGCACAATCTAGGCTCACCGAAACCTCCACCTCCCGGGTTCAAACGATTCTCCTGCCTCAGCCTCCTGAGTAGCTGGGATTACAGGCATGCGCCACCACGCCCGGCTAATTTTGTATTTTTAGTAGAGACGGGGTTTCTCCATGTTGGTCAGGCTGGTCTTGAACTCCCAACCTCAGGTAATTCGCCCGCCTCGGCTTCCCAAAGTGCTGGGATTACAGCCGTGAGCCACTGTACCCGGCCAAAAATGACTTTCATTGGAATTTTTTTTCTAAAACTTAATGCATATTTGTCTAATGTAAGCAATTATACCAGAAAAATCCTAGCTAAGTCACTCCCATATTTTGATTTTTTTTTTTTTTTTTGAAGAAGTCTCATTCTGTCGCCCAGGCTGGAGTGCAGTGGCGCGATCTCCACTCACCGCAACCTCCAATTCCTGGGTTCAAACAATTCTCCTGCCTCAGCCTCCTGAATAGCTTGAATTACAGGCATGTGCCACCACATCTGGCTAATTTTTGTATATTTTTGTAGAGACAGGGTCTTGCCATGTTGCCCAGGCTGGTCTCAAACTCCTGAGCTCAAACAGTCTGCCCGCCTCAGCCTCCCAAAATGCTGGGATTACAGGTGTGAGCCACCGTGCCTGGCCACTACCTGCTTTTTAAATCAAGCTATTTATAAAGTTTATATTAATATGAACAGACCCTCGCCTCCTGCCTGCAGAAGACAGATGCTGCATGATGGATCATTAAGGCACTAAATAAAAGGGCACTGAATGCAGGTTTGACTTGGGCTTTTGCCCCATCAGCTATGTTGTCTTTGGGCAAGCTGCTTAAACCTTGGGAGTCCCAGTTTCTTAATCAGTAAAGTGAGGACAGTCATGCCTACCTTTCCCAGGTATTAAACAAATGAAATGATTTGACGTGCGTATGCGCACCTGTTACGTGATAAACTCTGAGCCTGTTCACCTCTGCCTCTGGTGCAGCTTCCTGCTCAGTGCTCCTTGTCCCCTGGACTCCTGCCATTTGAACCTCCTGCACTTTGTTAATAGGCTGGAATACCTTGTGCGTGTTTCCTCAGTACCTTTTATCTTGAACCTGTTCACCAATGCAGGAGGAAGATGCAGAAGAAGATAAAGCATTCCACACAAAGGTTTTATCTGGGCGTTCTGGATGTAGTAAGAAAACTACAGAAATATTCCTCATCCTAAATAAGATTTGTAGTTTTAAAAAAACTCATTAATGTCTTTAAAGAAAGTAATTAACTGAAAAGTGTTCATTATTCTTGGTAATGGTAATAACTAGTTCTCGGTCTATGGATTTGTAGGGGTAACTCAGCGAGATGTTTGTTTTTATAGGAAGATCACTTAATGAAAGTGATTCTATCAGAAAGGACTAAAATAATATTTTGCTTTTGCATAAATTTACATGTTTAGGCAATGTGTAAAATTAGGAGGGCCTGTGGAAAGAAAGAACTGTTTCATTCTGGTGTTTGAGGTTAAGGAAAAAAAAAGCAACCCAGATTGATGTAATTTGGAGCTTGAGAATGATTTTTTTTACACATGCCCACCAGACTATTCACATTACTAGCAAATGAAATCTCTTCATTTTTAAACTCTTAATTTTTTTTTTCCCTGAGATGGAGTCTCACTATGTCACCCAGGCTGGAGTGCAGTGGCACAATTTCAGCTCACTGTAGCCTCCGCCTCCTGGGCTCAAGCGATTCTGCTGCCTCAGCCTCCCAAGTAGCTGGAATTAAAGGCACCTGCCACAACTACCCTACACTCTGCTGATTTTTATGTTTTTAGTGAAGATAGAGTTTCACCATGTTGGCCAGGTTGGTCTCGAACTCCTGACCTCAGATGATCCACCTGCCTCAGCCTCCCAAAGTGCTGGGATTACAGGCATGAGCCACTGCACCTAGCCAAAGAGCATTTTTTTTTTTTTTGAGATGGAGTCTCGCTCTGTTGCGCAGGCTGGAGTGCAGTGGCATGATCTCGGCTCACTGCAACCTCTGCCTCCTGGGTTTAAGTGATTCTCCTGTCTCAGCCTCCCGATTAGCTGGGATTACAGGTGCATGCCACCATACCCAGCTAATTTTTGTATTTTTAGTAGAAATGGGGTTTCACCTCGTTGGCCAGGCTGGTCACGAACTCCTGACCTCAAGTGATCTGCCCGCCTCGGCCTCCCAAAGTGAATTGTGCTTTGGCACCATTCCGCTTGCACATTCTTTTAGCTAATGTTAACCACAGCCTAACCAGGGCAGGTGAGACTACAAGCACCACTTTGTTGAAAAGCACAATTTTGGATCAGAGATGGGTAGATTTTTATTATTAGGCTCGAATTTTTATTTTTAAAAATTATTATTATTTTTTTTTAGAAACAGGGTCTCACTTTGTTGCCCAGGCTGGAGTGCAGGGGTACAATCATAGCTCACTGTAACCTCTAACTCCTGGGCTCAAGGGATTCTCCCGCCTCACCCTCCCAAGTAGCTAGGACTATAGATGTGCACCACCATGCCCCTGCTAATTCTTGTGGTTTTTTTGTTTTTGTTTTAAGAAATAGGGGTCTGGCTATGTTGTCCAGGCTGGTCTTGAACTCTTGGTCTCAAGATCCTCCCACCTTGGCCTGCCAAAGCACTGGGATTATAAGCATGAGCCACCATGCCTAGCTGGGCTTGAATTTTTAAATTGCATCATTTGGATTTAACCTTCACAATTCTTTCTTTTTCATAATATCCTTTGAAACAAGTAAGTAGTTAAGAGCCAAGGCTAATACAGATAAATCCTTAACTTGGAGCCCACCTGGTACAACTTCACTTTCCATTATAGGACATAATTACTGAAGCCTGCCTTGTCCAAGGTTTTGTACTGTGCTTTTCACAGTGGGGGACAGCAGAGATGAGGCATTCAACATCCCACCTGTCAAGGAGTTCAAATTCTAGTAACAGTTTACAATTTAGAAATAATCAGGCAAAATGTTGTTTAATTTGTTGGTTGGGGTAGAGTGCTCTGCCTTAGGGATTGGCAAACTTCTTCTGTAAAGGGCCAGATGGTAAAGGTTTTAGGCTTTTGGGCCAAGTGGTCTCTGATACAAGTACTCAATTCTGCTGTTGCAGAGGAAAAGCAGTGTAGACATTACTTTAATGAATGGGCATGGCTGTCGTCAGTAAAATCTTGTTTGCAAAAACAGACTGTGGGCTACATGTGACCAATGGGCTGTAATTTGCCAACTCTGCTCTGGGGCATGGCCTCTTCACCCTCCACGCTATTCTGAGACCTCTTTCAGCCTTAGGAGATGCCTCATGAGCATCTTCTCTGTGCCAGGTAGATGAGGAAAATGAGTCTCTGCCTTCGAGACGTTCCAAGGAGAGAAAAAGATAGAGTAAGACATTTAACCTCTGACAATGACTCAATTTTAAAGCTATAAATATTCAGCCTGGGCAACAGTGAGTCCCGTCTTCAAAAAAAAAAGCTAAAAATATTGATACATAATATTTTTCCTCATACAGCACAGATGTGCAGATTGATGAGATGGTTTGTGTAAAATATTTTGATTTACTCAGCTGAATATCATTTGTAATGTGAAATTGATGCTTGTCCTTTAACAATCTCAAAGGAAATGAGTAAATAAACCAATCTATCCTTTGTTCATATAGAGTCCCCTTATGTTAAAAAAAGTAACAATTTTTATCTAGTTTGATTGCTTCATTTTATTTTTATGAAGCACTTTAAAAATTTTTGTTTTATGACATTTTCTAATGGGACCAAATTGCTTTTAAAATTTTATTTCTTAATACAATGAGAAAAAATATCTGTATAATTCAGGAACACTGTGGTATGCACTCAGCAAGTTACAAATCCACGATATCTTCCTGTTATTTTGATTTTCTGAGTTATGCAAGTTCTTTGTGTGTATCTTTTTTTTTTTGAGACAGAGTCTCACTCTGTCTCCCAAACTGCAGTGCCATGGCACAGTCTCAGCTTACTGCAACCTCTGCCTCCTGGGTTCAAATGATTCTCATGCCTCAGCTTCCAGAGTAGCTGAGATTACAGGCCCATGCCACCATGCCCAGATAATTTTTTTGTATTTTTAGTAGAGACGGGGTTTCACCATGTTGCCCAGGCTGGTCTGGAGCTCCTGGCCTCAAGTGATCTGCCACCTCAGCCTCCCAAAGTGCTGGGATTACAGGTGTGAGCCAGTGCCTGACCTTTGTATCTAATGGGCATTCTGACACTTGTAGAGCTTCTGTAAAAATAGACGGGAAGTTTCAGACATATACTTTTGCTGGTACAGGAGATAATTTTTTTTTTTTTTTTGAGACGGAGTCTTGCTCTGTCGCCCAGGCTGGAGTGCAGTGGCGCAATTTCGGCTCACTGCAAGCTCCACCTCCCAGGTTCACGCCATTGTCCTGCCTCAGCCTCCCCAGTAGCTGGGACTACAGGGGCCCGCCACCAAGCCCAGCTAATTTGTTGTATTTTTAGTAGAGATGAGGTTTCACCGTGTTAGCCAGGATGGTCTCAATCTCCTGACCTCGTGATCCACCTGCCTCGGCCTCCCAAAGTGCTGGGATTACAGGCGTGAGCCACCGCACCTGGCCCAGGAGATAATTTTTTAATTGCTCAAAAAACTATATATTCAGAAATAAAAGTGAGCTACTGATACGTGCAACAACATGGAAGAATCTCCATAGCATTAGGCGGAGTGCAAGAAGCTGGGCACAAAAGGGAGCCATACTGTATGATTTCATGTATATGACATTTGGGAGAGAGCAAAACTATAGGGACAGAAATCAGATCAGTGGGTACCAGAGGTTGGGGACGGAGGATGGGATCGACTACAGAAGGAGTCTGAGGGAACTTTTTGGAGTGGTGGAAATGTTTTATACCTTGATTGCAGTGTGGTGACATTATTGTGCATGTATGTGAGCTGTATACATAAGAAGGGTGGTAAGTTATACCTCAGTAAGCCTGATCAAAACTGTTATAGAGTTTCTCAGGCAAAGATAAATGGAGAATCGACCTAAAAGGTTCTAATAAATTGCTCTTCAGGTTAAATTCTGAATGCAATTTGGTTCAGAGTCCTCCATTTGTTTCCTTTCAAAGACAGACCTAGTGAGAACATCTGGGCAGGACTGATCTCTGAAATCAAGTGGGAGGAAAGAGAAACAACTTGGGCAGTTGGAATGTCCTGACCCAGATGGCAGTTTCTGGCCATTCTTTGCAGATTCCAGAGCAGCTCTTGTTTCACTGTGTTAAGGAAGTTCAGGTGAATTTTATCACTTTCTGCCATCGTCAGTCTGACCTACCCGCATCTTTACCTCCAACTGCCTGGGAAAATGAAAGGTGCAGACTGCAGGCACTTTAGCAGACACATTACTGCCTTCAGTGATGTTTCTCAGCCTAGTGGTTTAAAGAACATCCACTGAGAGTCTGTTCTCAGCTGGGCACTGACGTAGCAGCAACAGACAGAAATCCCTGCTCCTCTGGAGCTCACATCTACAGGATGGCTAACAGCTCTCATTTATTAAGTGCTTACTGTGTGCCAGGTGCTATGTGTACTGACTCATTCAATCCAGGAAACCATTGATTATTAATAATGATTATCACCATTGCCATTTAAAGGTGAGGAAGCTGAAGCACTAAGATTTAAGTAACTTACCCAGGGACACACAGTTAGTATGCAGCAGATTACTGCTAAGTCCATGCTTTTAGCTACATTGGCTCTCTGAGCAGTGTGCCAGTCAGCCAAAAGGTTATACCTTTAAGAGACCCAGAATCTCAGTACTTCATGCATTAGGGAATAACTTTAAGGTTAAATAAAGCTATCCTATTTATGTAGAAAGAGTTACCTCATGAGAAAAAAGTCAAATAACATTAATAATTTACCAAGAAAGAAATGCTACTCAACATACATACAGAAAAATGTTTACCTTACAAAGAAATTAAAAAATAATATTTTGCTTATTAAATTAGCAAGCAAAGAGTTCAAATGGAGAGAGCAAAAACTAATTCATTGCTAGTGGAAATTGAATTTGTTTTGTAAGACACAGGGTCTCAATCTGTTGCCCAGCCTGCAGTGTAGTAGCACAATTATAGCTTACTGTAGCCTGGAACTCTTGGGCTTAAGCAGTCGTCATTTCTCAACCTCCAGAGTAGATAGGATTATAGGCACACAACACTACACCTAACTAATAAAAAAATGTTTTTTTGTAGAGATGGGTTTTTTTCTATGTTTCCCAGGCTGGTCTTGAACTCCCAGCCTCAAGCGATCCTCCCTTCTTAGCCTCCCAGATTACAGGTGTGAGCCACTGTACCCAGCTGGAAATATAAATTAATATAGTTTGGAAGGCAGTTTGCATTCTGAGCCTTAACCATATTTATTTCTTTTAACCCAATTTTTTCACTTATATGATTTTATCTTTTGGAAGTAGTCCAAAATATGGAAAAAGTTATGTGCAGCAAAGATATTTGTTGCAGTGCTATTTTAAAAAATGAATACAATGGGAAGATCCTAAGTGTCCAACAACAGATGAACAGATAAGTAAATTAAGAAATACTCATTTGGCTGGGTATGGTGGCTTAAACCTGTAATTCCAGCATTTTGGGATGCTGAGGTGGGTGGATCACCTGAGGTCAGGAGTTCAAGACCAGCCTGCCCAACATGGTGAAACCCCGTCTCTACTAAAAATACAAAATTAGCTGGGTGTGGTGGTGCATGCCTATAATCCCAGCAACTCGGGAGGCTGAGACAGGAGAATCGCTTAAACCTAGGAAGCGGAGGTTGCAGTGAGCCACACCACTGCACTCTAGCCTGGGTGAGACAGAGAGACACTCTGTCTCAAAAAAAAAAAAAAAAACCATTTAATGGAGTATTACACAGGCAATTGCAATGATAGTAGCAGCAAGGACAATTTAGTAGCATGGAAAAATACAAAACATTAGCTGTAAAAATTTTTTTTAAAGGAAGAATGCAACATTGCATGTAAAATATAATGAAAACTTTTTAAGGCAGAGAAAAGGGCCTTCAGCTACAGTTTTCAAACTTCATCTGTGAATCTTCCAATACTAAATAAAGCACCATACTCAGAAATTCTGACTTAATAAGTATGGGACAGTGCTCTGAAATCTGCTCATCTGACAGGCACCTGAGGTGATTCTGGTGTGAATGTCCATCCATCAGACTCTAAGAACACTGTCTTGAAAAAACTACACTGACAAAGTTTTAGTGGGATTGTGGGTAATATTTTTCACTTCTTGATTTTTCTTTTGTGATTATTTACTACTTTTATAATGAGAAAAGGAAATTTTAAGTTTACCTTTATTATACAATTTATGAAATTATCAATAGATTTATAAGTTATTTCATTTTTTTCAAAAAAGCTGTGTTATATCTGTAGAACTATTAAAAAGCACGTGACAGATCCACATTGTACTGATATGCAACAGATCTCCAAGTTATTTTAAGAGAAAACAGAAATGTGTAGGACAATGTGTATCTAACTTATTAAACTGGATATTGCCAAATTATAATTGTATATATGTATGGGCTATAAAGTGGTGCTATGATATATGTATACAATGTGGCATGATTGAATCAAGCTAATTAACATATCATCATCTCAAATACCATTTATTCTTCCTGTCTAACTGAAACTTTGTACCCTTTGACCAGCATCTGCCTGTTAGCTCCCCTCCCCAGCTTCTGGTAACCACCATTCTGCTCTCTGCTTCTATGATTTGGATCATGTTAGATTCCACATATAAGCAATAATACGTGGTATTTGTCTTTCTGTGCCTAGCTTATTTCATTTAACATAAGGTCCTCTAATTTCATTCAAGTTGTCGCAAATGATAGGATTTCCCTCTTTTCAAAGTCTGAATAGACTATTCACAAAACCAATATGTGGAAACAACCTAAATATTCACCAACAGATGAATGGACTTAAAAAATGTGACATATGTATACACAGTAATATTATTCAGCCTTAAAAGAGAAGGAAATCCTGCAATATGCAACATGGATGAACCTTGAGGAAATTATGCTAAATGAAATAAGTCAGTTAATTTTATTTATTGACCTAGTATCCTAAAACCCTGGGAAACTCACATATTACTTCTGGTTACCTTTGATAGATTCCTCAGGATTTTCTACATAGATTATCATGTTGTCTGTGTATAAAGATGGTTTTACTTCTTCCTTTCCAATCTGTATCACTTTTATTTCTCTTTCTTGTCTGTTTCACTGACTATGACCTCTACTACAATGTTAAAGAGAAGTAGAGAGTATAGACAATTTTGCCATGTTGCCAATCTTGGGAGGAGATCATTCAGCCTTTTATCAAGTAGGATGTTAGCTGTAAGTTTTTCATAGATGCTCTTTATCAGGGTGAGGAAACTGTCTTGTATTCCCAGTTTTTAAATCATTTTTATTAGAAAAGGATGTTGTTTTTTGTTAAATGTTTTTTCTGAAACTCTTTAAGATTTTTCTTCTTTTTGTCTGTTAATATTGTAAATTACACTGATTGTGAACCGACCTTGCATTCCTGGGATAAGCATCACTTGGACATAATATATTATCCTTTTACCATATTGCAGAATTCAAATTACCAATTTTTAACTTAATGCTTGCATTTATGTCCATAAGGAATATTGCTCTCTAGCTTTCTTACCATGTATTTGTTTTTGGTATTAGGATTATGCTGGTCTCATAAAATGAGTCTCATTGAAAAAAATAAGAATAAAGGCTTAACAGTATTCACATATATATGTCATTTTATTTATCTTTTTGTCCACTGATGGATATATATAATATTATCTGCATATTCAACTATATATATAATTATATATAACTATGTAACTACATATATAATATAAATTTATATATATAAAACTATAGTTGTATATGCAAAGGATCCCTAGAAAGACACAAAGACACAAAGAAATTGGAACCATTCATTCCTTTCCTACCTTTAGGTCAAGGGGATTCAGGAATGCAGAAAGATTTTCCCCCATCATACTACTGCTGTGATACTATGGATGAGTAGGTGAATGGGCATGAGAGCTAGCCTGAGAACCTAATGACCGTTTATCACATGGCTTCCATAGAAAAACGTCATCAGTAGTTCAGCAACAAACTTCACAAGCCAATATATTAAACAAGTCAAATTATTTAAGGTTACAGACTACCTTTGTTGATGGGGCTCACTACAAAGGCATTCCTGAAGTGGGTAAGATTCATTAGGGGCTGAGGTGTGGAGGGATCAGTGGAAATCTGTTCCCACTGCCAGAGAACAAACAAATAGGGAGTAAGTTGTTTCTTCGTAGCTAAATCAGGAAGAATCTCTACTATATTCTGAAATCCCAACAAAGGAGCCTAGGGATGAGCTGATTTAGAGGAAATGAAAATATGAGAATGGAAATTCAAGACAGTTCCATATGGAAGGCCATATGGTTACAGTTTTGGGAACAAGCATCATATCTAAAGTATAAATAATTTTTATCATCTAATCAGGAGCTTTGAGTTTCTAGCATTAGCTCAGGGAATAGTACTCTCAAAAGGAAAGGCTCCTTGGTGGTCCGTTTACCTCCCATGCCCAGAGAACAGGTTCATGAACCCTTGCCAGGCCTATCTTTTCATGCCTGAACTTTAGAGTTTCCTTTAAGTGTATTGGTTTTGTTTTGAGACAGGATCTGGCTCTGTCACCCAGGCTGGAGTGCAGTGGTGCTATCTTCGCTGATGGCACCTCTACCTCCTAGGCTCAAGCAATCTTCCCACCGCAGCCTCCCAAGTAGCTGGGACTACAGGTGCACACCACCACACCCAGCTAATTTTTGTATTTTTTTGTAGAGACGGGGTTTTGCCATGTTGCTCAGGCTCGTCTCGAACTCCTGAGCTCAAGCCATTCACCTGCCTTGGCGTCCCAAAGTGCTGAGATTACAGGCACCACGACTGGCCCGTTAAGAGTATTGTTAATCTTTAACCATTTGTTCTGCAGCCAAGTATCAGGGAGATGAGTTTGTTTCCTAAGATGTGCTTGTGAACAGTTGCCTTTGAGAAGTTGAAAATAAAGAAGCAGATCAGTTTACTCATATGTAATTCAAACAACCAGCAGGGGTATTTATCTGGTGAGCTACTTTACTGAAAAGAATTGAATGAGTTCAGTTTATGATACTTAGGTTCTGTTTGTACTTTCACTGAGTAGCAGAACAACAACAACAACAACAACAACCACAACAAAAAACCCTCCTTTTTCCTTCCTCCTCTTCCTCCTCCATCCCCTGTAATGGAATAACATTCGAATGCCGACATCACAAACACAGAGGACCCTTCACTTCTTGGCTTGCCACTCCCTGCCTGTCACATGCCTTCTGGTTTGACTGGAGTAATCCTGGTAGAATCCACGTAGCTCTGAAGAGTGGGTATTCTGAAGAGCGCAGGTTCTTTGAGGGGATGATACATGTTCAGTTGCTCTGTTGGGAGTGGGAACCATGAATCACAGTGGTAGTGGCAATGTTAAGTGGAAGGTCCAGGGAAAAACCAAGAGTTCTCTGTGCTGCTCATTGAAAATAGGGAGGCTTAGAGATCTGGGTATCATTTTGGATACTTTTGGTATAGTCATTTTATATACTTTTGGTATTGGGTATAGCAAATCTTGGCTAGGTAAAGAGGGGCTGGATTTTGGGGGAACTTGAATGGCAGACTCAGACATTTATTCTGTGAATAGACTGGGCGCAGTGGTTTGCACCTGTAATCTCAGCACTTCAGGGAGGGAGAGAAAGGAGGGTTGCTTGAGGCCAGGAGTTTGAGACTAGCCTTGACAACATAGCAAGACCCTATCTCTACAAAAAATTAAAAATTAGCCAGGCATGGTGGTGTGTGCCTGTAGTAGTCCCAGCTTGAGGCTGAGGCGGGAGGATCGCTTGAGCCCAGGAGCTCGAGGTTACAGTGATCTGTGATTGTGCCACTGCACTCCAGACTGAGCAGCAGGATGAGACCCTATCTCTTAAAAAACTATTACATGAATAATGGGGAGTCATCATGTGTTTTGTAAATAGGGAGTAATTTAACACAAGGATAATTGGCTGAATTAATCTGGCAGTAATGTTTAGGGTTCAACAGAGGCAGACAAACTAAATAATAGGATGCTGCAGCAAGTCATGCATGAGTAGGTGGGATTCTGCATCATGGTGGTGACAGAAATAACAGATTAAAGGGACATTCAAAGAAAGAAACAAATAAGATTTTTAAAAAAACTAATCGGGCATGGAAAATGACAGAGAATGAAAAAGCAGAATGACAGAGATCGTCTTAGAAAGACCATGATCATTATATGACGAGTTAATGGGTGTAGCACACCAACACTGCACATGTATAAATATGTAACAAACCTGCACGTTGTGCACATTTACCCTAGAACTTAAAGTATAATAAAAAAAAAAAAAGAAAGACTATGGTCATTATAGCTGACGAGGAACAGATACTTACTGTGAATAGTTATCAGTGGAGGAGCAAAAGAGTATGTAAAAACAACCAGGAAGACACAGTATCGAAGAAACTAAAGGAACAGTTTCAAGTAGTGTTGTCCAGTTAGCAGCATCATAGATTAGGGGGGCTGTAGATCAGAGACTGGTGGGTGTCAAGACAAAAGCAAATTGAGCAACAGTTTTTATTTTGGGATTCACAGGTTATTGGTGACTTTGAAAAGTGCAATTTGAGTAGAATGATCAGATCAAGGTAAGGTGGGGGGTAAAGGAGTGAACAATGCTGAGATGGTGGAGATAACAAGTATGGACAATTTGCCACTGAAGTTTCACAACAAAAGGAGGATGATAAATAATAATGAATAGTGGTAAGCTTACAGACTATCAACATTGTAGCTTAGCTAAGAAATGTTCCCTGTGCAGACAAATAGTAGAAAATTATAAGATCTAGGGGCGGTGGTGGGGAATTTCAACCATATGCCTGCCTCCGTCCTGTGGGTAAGGCACCTGTGAATATGTTTCCATGTGCTCATGGTTTCAGATTTTCCACCTTTATAGCTCCAAACACACAGCTTTAAGGAGGTCTGTTGAACCTGCATGTTCCCAGAAGTTCTGTTGGGGAAGAGGCTGGGGAAGGCAGGAGATGGAGGAACAGAATTTCTGTACTCCTGCTGGTGCGTGGAGGTATCTTTTGAGGGTTTCTCTTTTTTTTTTTTTTTCAACTTTACAGTATAACTTTAAATCTAGCCAAGGCTGGAAATGGGTCTCCTGTCCCAAAGTTCAGATCATTCCTGCAGTATCCTTCTGTTAGTTGGGGAGTCGCAGAGGAATAAAAGGAAGATAGTATCACTATTTAGGTCCCACTGTCCACTAAAACCGCTTCTTTTGCCAATTGCTATTGAGAATGGGCTGAGAAGACACTGCTCAAAGTGACCACATTGTATTTGCCTGAAAAACTGAAGCCATCTTGATGGGAACCTAATTCTGCATGGAGGGAAACAGCAAGCAGCACAGTTACCGCTGCTGGGCAGAAATCTTCTGAGTAATTCAGCTGTATTTTCTCTGTTACAATCTGTTCTCAAGTGCCAGGTCACAGGCATCATGACTTGCAGAAGTGAACGAATCTTGGAGATGTGGTTCTAACACCCAACCTTTCTTTTTTTGAGACAGAGTTTCGCTCTTGTTGCCCAGGCTGCTGTGCAATGGCATGATCTCGGCTCACCGCAACCCCTGCCTCCCGGGTTCAAGCAACTCTCCTGCCTCAGCCTCCTGAGTAGCTGGGATTACAGGCATGTGCCACCACGCCCAGCTAATTTTTTTTTTTTTGAGACAGCATCTTGCTCTGTCACCAGGCTGGAGTGCAGTGGCGTGATCTCGGCTCACTGCAACGTCCACCTCCTGGGTTCAAGCGATTCTCTTGCCTCAGCCTCCTGAGCAGCTGGGACTACAGTTGCGTGCCACCATGCCCAGCTAATTTTTGTATTTTTAGTAGAGACGGGTTTTCACCATGTTGGCCAGGATGGTCTCGATCTCCTGACCTCATGATCTGCCCACCTCAGCCTCCCAAAGTGCTGGATTACGGGCATGAGCCACTGTGCCTGGCCTAATTTTGTATTTTTAGTAGAGACGAGGTTTCTCCATGTTGGTCAGGCTGGTCTCGAACTCTCAACCTCAGGTGATCCGCCCGCCTCGGCCTCCCAAAGTGTTGGGATTACAGGCGTGAGCCACCGCACCCGGCCAACACCCAGCCTTTCTGACTGTTAGACTGAAAATTTGAAATGCAGGCAACTTTCTCTTAGCACTTGTTTTTTAGGGTGACCCCACAGATCGCAGGAGCTGTGAAACATCCTGTACACAACTGTAGCAAATGGAAAAAGTCAAAGAAGTTTACCTTTGACTATACATGCTCTGAGTTCACTGAGGATCGCATTGCTCTTCCTTCTCCTTCAAAACATGCATTGCCTCATTCTTGCTGATTTTGTTCCTGTATTTGAAAAAGTGCCCAGATACATTCATTCTTGAATTACAAATTGTTAACATTTCAGGTGTTCTGTAAAGTTATCCCTGAGGATATGAGAAAGGAAATTAATAGAGATGGGTGTTGAACTCCAAATATGAGTGTTCAACAGAACAAGTTGTAAATTGCTTTCTCATCAGCAAATGGGTTTCCATGAAGCTACTTCATTTTAGATGACACCTCGCTATATTAAATATGTTTAGAGCTTCATCAGGCCTATTTTGTCTAAATGAGAAGAAACTGAAGAAAGGAAAACCAGATTTCAGACTTGAAACCATACATAGACATACAGTCAAAGCTCATTATTTATGGATTCCATATTTGTCAATTTGCCCACTTGTTAAAATTTATTTGTAATAATTGGTAAAAATTTATTTGCTTTCACTTCTTTTGCATATATGCCCAGAAGTGGAATTGCTAGATAATGTGGTCATTTTATTTTAAATGTTTTTAGAGACACCATACTGTTTTTTTGTGTCCACTGTACGTTTTACATTCCTACCAACAGGGTACAAGAAGGGCTTCAATTTTTCTGCATCCTCACCAACACTTGTTATTTTCTGTATCTTTGATAATGGCCATCCTAGTAGGTGTGAGGTGGTATCTCATCGTACTTTTGATTTGTATTTCCCTAATGGTTGAGCAACTTGTCATGCACTAATTTGGAATTGATGTATCTTCTTTGGAGAAATATTTATGCAAATCCTTTGTCCATTAAATAAATTGGGTTGTTTGTTACTGAGTTGTAGGAGTCACACTAGAATGGTTCAAACTAAAATCTGGCAACACCATTTTTTTAAATACATGCTTCTTTTTTTGATTTTTAAATTTTTAATGGATACATAATAGTTGTACATATTTATGGGGTACATGGGATATTTTGATACAAGCATATAATGTGTAATGATCAAATCAGGGTAACTGGCACATCCATCACCTCAGACCTTTATCAGTTCTTTGTGTTGGGAGCATTTCAAATCCTGTCCTCCAGCTATTTTGATATATACAATAAATATTGTTAACTAAGTTGCCCTATTATGCTACTGAACACTTATTCTATCTAACTGTATTTTTGTACCCATTAATCAACTCCTCGTCATCCCCCTCTCCCTGCTTCCCTTCTTAGCCTCTGGTAACTATCATTCTACTCTGTAGGAACATGAGATCAATTTTTTAAATCCCACATGTAAGTGAGAATGTGATATTTGCCTCTCTGTTTCTGGCATATTTCACTTAACCTAATGTCTAGTTCCATCCATGTTGCTGCAAATGACAGGATTTCATTTTTTATGGCTAAATAATATTCCATTGTGTGTATATATAACACATATTCTTTATGCATTCATCTGTTGATGGACACTTAGGTTAATGCTGTATCTTGGCTATTGTGTGAATAGTGCTTCAATAAACATGGGAGTACAGTGTATTAGTCTGTTTTCACACTGATATAAAGAACTACCTGAGACTAGGTAATTTATGAAGAAAAGAGGTTTAATAGACTCACAGTTTCACAGGCTTAACAGGAAGCATGATTGGGAGGCCTCAAAAAATTTACAATCATGACAGAAGGTGAAGGGGAAGCAAGGCATGTGTTACATGGTGGCAAGAGAGAAAGAGTGAGGCGGGAAAGTGCCACACTTTTAAACTATCAGATCTTGTGAGAATTCACTCACTATCACGAGAACAGCATGGGGGAAATCCATCCCCATGATCCAGTCACCTCTCACCAGGCCCCTCCCCTGACAGGTGGGGATTACAATTTAACATGAGATTTGGGTGGGGACACAGAGCCAAACCATAACATACAGATATCTGTTTGATACACTGATGTTCTTTTGGATATATTAACATATGCAGCAGTGAGATTGCTGGATCATATGGTAGTTCTCTTCTTAGTTTTTTGAGGAACCTCCATACTGTTGTCCATAGTGGTTGTACTAATTTACATTCCCACCAACAGTGTACAAACATTCTCCTTTCTCTGCATCCTTGCCAGCATATGTTACTTCCTATCTTTTTGTTAATAGCAATTTTAACTGGTGTGAGATAATATCTTATTGTGGTTTTTGATTTGCATTTCCCTAATGATTAATATACCTACTTGCCACTTGGATGTCTTTTGCCATTTTAATTCAGTTTTTTTAGCAGAAGTTCTGTTTTTTAATTTTTTAAAATTTTTTAAATTTTTGTGGGTATGTAGTTATGAATTACATGAGATATTTTGCTTCAGGCATGCAATACATAATAATCACATCAGGGTACACACACAGGGTATCCTCTTTTGCCATTTTTAAATCAAATTATTTGTTTTTAGCTGTTGAGTTGTTAGAGTTCTTTATATATTCTGGTTATTAATCCCTCGTCAGATGGATAGTTTGCAAATGTTTTCTCACATTCTGTTGGTTTTCTCTTCGTTTGTTGTTTTCCTCGCTATGCAGAAGCTTTTTAGCTCAATGTAATCCCAATTGTTAATTTTTGCTTTGGTTGCCTGTGCCTTTGAGGTCTTACTCAATAACTTTGTCCAGGCCAATGTCCTGAAGCATTTCCCCAGTGTTTTCTTGTAGTAGTTTCATAGATTCAGGTCTTACATTTAATCTTTAATTCATTTTTATTTAATGTTTGTATATGGTGAGATATAGAGGTCTGGTTTTAGTCTGTATATGGATATCCAGTGTTCCCAGCATCATTTATTGAAGAGACTGTTTTCTCCCCAGTGTGTGTTCTTGGTGCCTTTGTTGAAAATTATTTTGGTTATAAAAGTGTGAATTCATTTCTGGGTTGTCTATTCTGTTCCATTGGTCTATGTGTCCATTTTTAAACCAGTACCATGCTGTTTTAGATATTATAGCTTTGTAGTATATTTTGAAATAAGGTAGTGTGATGACTCCAGCTTTGTTCCTTTTGCTTAGTTTTCTTTAGCTATTCAGGGTCTTTTGTGGTTCCATGCGAATTTTAGCATTGCATTTTCTATTTCTCTGAAGAATGTCATTGGCATTTTGATAGGGATTCCATTGAATCTATAGATCACGTTAAGTAGTATGGGCATTTAACAATATTAATTCTTTCAAACTATGAGCATGGAATATCCTTCCAATTTCTTTTTTTTTTTTTTTGAGATGGAGACTTGCTCTGTCGTCCAGACTGGAGTGCAGTGGTGCAATCTCTGCTGACTGCAAGCTCCACCTCCCAGGTTCACACCATTCTCCCGCCTCAGCCTCCCGAGTAGCTGGGACTACAGGCACCCACTACCACGCCCGGCTAATTTTTTTGTTTTTGTATTTTTGGTAGAGATGGGGTTTCACTGTGTTAGCCAGGATGGTCTCGATCTCCTGACCTTGTGATCCACCTGCCTTGGCCTCCCAAAGTGCTGGTATTACAGGCATGAGCCACCAAGCCTGGAGCAATTTCTTTCATTGGTGTTTTATAGTTTTCATTGTAGAGATCTTTTAATTCTTTGGTTAAATTTATTCCTAGGTATTCTTTTTGTAGGTTTTGTAAATGAGATTACTTTCTAGATTTCTTTTCCAGATTGTTAACTGTTGGCATATAGAAATACTACTGATTTTTGTATGTTAATTTTGTATTCTGCAACCTTACTGAATTTATCAGTTCTAACAGTTTTTTTTAGAGCCTTTAGATTTTTCTAAATGTAAGATAATGTCATCTGCAAACAAGTACAATTTGACTTCTTTCTTTGCAATTTGGACGCCCTTTATTTCCTTTTCTTGTCTAATTGCTCTATCTAGGACTTCCAGTACTATGTTGAATAAAAGTGGTGAAACTGGGCATCCCTGTCTTGTTCTAGAGCTTAGAAGAAAGGCTTTCAATTTCCCCTGTTCAGTGTGATGCTGTCTTTTGGTTTGGTTTTGTCATACACGGACTTTATTGTCTTGAGGTATGTTCCTTTTATACCCAGTTTCTTGAGGATTTTTATCATAAAGCAATGTTGAATTTCATTGAATGCTTTTTAGGAGGCATCTATTGAAATCATCATATAGTTTTTGTCTTTTATTCTGTTAATGTGATGTGTTGATTTGTGTATGTTGAACCATTTTTGCATTCCTGGGGTGAATCCCACCTGATCATGGTAAATGATCATTTCAATGGGATGTTGACTGTGGTTTGATGGTATTTTGTTGAGGATTTTTGCATCTTTTTTATGTCTTTGGTTTTGGTATGAGGGTAATGATGCCCTTGTAAAATAAGTGTGGAAGTATTCCCTTCTTTCCAATTTGTTGCAACAGTTTGAGTAGAATTGGTATTAGTTTTTCTTTAAATGCTTGGTAGAATTCAGCAGTGAAGCCATCAGGTTCTGGGCTTTCCCTAATGAGAGACTTTTTATTGCTACTTCAATCTTATTACTTTTTATTTGTCTGTTCAGATTCTCTATTTGTTCAATCTTGGTAGGTTGCATGGATGTAGGAGAGTAACCATTTCATCTAGGTTTTCTAATTTATTGTTGTACAATTGTTCATAATAGTCTCTAATGAGCCTTTTTATTTCCATGGTACCTGTTGTAATGCCTTCTTTTCTGTCTCTGATTTTATTTATTTGAGTCTTCTCTCCTTGTTTCTTAGCTTAGGTAAAGATTTGTCAAATTTTTTTATCTTTTAAAAAAGCCAACTTTTTATTTTGTTAATCTTTGGTGGTTTATTGTCTCAATGTTATTTGTTTATGCTCTAATCTTTATTATTTCTCTCCATCTACTAATTTTGGGTTTGGTTTTTTCTTGCTTTTCTAGTTCTGTAAGGTGCCAATGCCAAATGTTGATGAGATTGTGTAAACTAGAACTCTCATATATTACTGATGGGAGTGCAAAATGATACAACCGCTTCTGAAAAATGTTTCACAGTTCCTTACAAAGTTAAACCGAGGCAGAATGTTGAGCTCATTTCTTTGCATTTCCCTTCTCTCTGGGATCGCCTCAGCCTGTAAGTTGGACAAAAGGTCCGTTCACTTTATGTTCCTCTAAATAGCCACTTTCTGCTAGGTTTCTCAGTAGTTTTGCCCTGTGCCTCCTAAAAAACCAGTGGGTGTCTCAAAAGGAAAAGTGGTACAAAATGTCTGACTTGCCTCAATTTTATTTCCCTTCTCCCTTAAGATCGTGGCCTTTCATGCCCTGGCTGTCTTGGTAGTCCTCCGAAGCCTTTAAACAGATTTTAAAAATAACTTTTGTCCAGCTGTTCTAGTTGTATTCAATGAGAAATTGGTCTGCTAGAAGCTAGTCCCTCATAGCCAGAACTGAGAATTCTTCTCTAAGCCCATACAAGCCAACCCCCATCAGGGCTTGACACCCTTGTCCATCCTGAGATTTGGAGTGACTTCATCTTGTATTGTTGCCCCAGAATGTTGTCTTGTTTCACAGAGCTTTGCAAAGGGCCTGTGTTAATCTGAGGTTGTTTCTTGGACATTTTCTACCTCCATTCCAGCTAAAATCTACATTCATTACATCCTGGTTTTCATTCAGGCAGCTTTAGAAGGGATTGTGCACTCTCTTCCCACAGGAAGCTCATTAACCTAGTTAATTCTGTGATTTGTATTAGAGTAAAAAGGTGCCTTCACTAGGAAATAACCTAATGATTACTGCCTTCACGTCTGCTAAATTGGATTTGTGTCTTCTAGCTTCTTGAATTTTAGTTAAACTACATGAAGAATATGTGTGCAATCCTATGTGTAAGCATATGGAAGTCTCAGTATTCAGGGATGTGATTCTTTTAGTCCTCTCAAAAGGGGGAAAGTTAATAATAAATGCTTTTAAAGCTCTATAGTAAATTTTGGCTAAACAGTGCAAATCGAATGTTGGTAAACCTAATTGGAAGACTCATGGAGGGGGAAGAAACCTCTTTTGTGCTGACTTCTGCCAAGGATTGGAAAAGAGATTCATTTTAAAGGCTCCCCAAGAGAGGATTGAAGACATAAAGTTCTTAATGTTTTTTTTTTTTCTCAACAGCTTACAAGAGCAGTGATTCCCAGGCTTTCTCAGCAATGTACCCCATTTCCTGACATTTACAGCTGAAGGTGAAGTTTCCCTTTTGCAAGGAGAAAATTTTGGTGGAGAATTATCCAACAAGAAAAAGACCTGTGGCTATTAAGATAGGTAAGTCTTTTATGTAGAGTATGGAGAGGGAAGTAGCTTATGGAAAAAATGCTAAGGAATGTTTCATTTGTTGTAAGTGGGATTCTAGGACTAGTATGTATTTCACTGAATATCAGGACAAGTGATCCTTGTCATCAGTGATCTAATCCTAGATTGCATTCCCAACTCTTCTACTTACCAGCTGAGTCAACTTGGACAAGTGACTTAAATTCTCTGAACCCCAGTTATTTCATCTATAAAAGAAAGTTTCATGGGAAAAGGTTTTGTAAATGGGAGAGGACATGTAATACAAAAATGTGGTTATCACCCGGGTGCAGTGGCTTGCACCTGTAATCCCAGCACTTTAGGAAGCTGAGGCGGGCGGATCACTTGAGGTCAGGAGTTCGAGACCAGGCTGGCTGACATGCTGAAACCCATCTCTACTAAAAATACAAAAGTCAGTCAGGTGTGGTGGTGGGCACCTGTAGTCCCAGCTACTCAGGAGGCTGAGGCAGGAGAATCGCTTGAACTCAGGAGGCAGAAGTTGCAGTGAGCCAAGATTGTGCCACTGCACTCCAGCCCGGGCAATAGAGCGAGACTCTGTCTCAAAAAAAAAAAATGGTTATCATTGTTCATTGTTTTCTTGCTATTAGAAAATTCAATGGAAACAGTGGCCTTGTGTCTCATGGTGCTTTTGAGCCATAGAGCTTGGTCCTGTGAGTTTGGGGAACTTTGTCTTCTGAATGCTGGGAGTGGGAGGCATTCCTCATCTGCCTCCCCTGTAAAAATAACATCATATCAGCCGGGCACGTTGGCTCACGTCTGTAATCCCAGCACTTTGGGAGGCCGAGGTGGGCGAATCACAAGGTCAGGAGTTCAAGACCAGCCTGGCCAACACGGTGAAACCCCATCTCTACTAAAAACACAAAAACAGCTGGGCGTGATGGCGGGCGCCTGTAATCCCAGCTACTTGGGAGGCTGAGGCAGGAGAATCGCCTGAACCCGGGAGGGAGAGGTTGCAGTGAGCCGAGATCTCACTGCTGCACTCCAGCCTGGGTGACAGTGCAAGACTCCATCTCAAAATAAATAAATAAATAAATAAATAAATAAATAAATAAATAAATAGATAGATAGCATCATATCATTATTTTGGCTGCAGATATCCGCCACTTACTTTTTGTAAGTTGTGGGAAGAGATGGAAGTTAAATATGAGATCAAAGGAAATAAAATAACAACTACCTATCAACAGTGACCTATTACGATAACTACCTGTTAATAAAAACTACTCATTAGTTGTCTTAGTTGCTATGATAAGCATTGTATTGACTATTTGGTTACTTTATTTCATTAAATTCACATACCAAGCTTTGTAAGATGCATGTTACCTCTACCGTGAGAGTTCTCCTGGATTGTCAGCACCCCTTAGGGAGTCACTTAAAGAAGATAAAAGTCAGTCTGATTTCTTGTAATTTGAGAGGTTTTATTAGATGGTGGGAGTTTGAAGCTTTTAATTTTTTTCTAATTTTTTACAGTGAGCACATACGGCTTCTGTAATAATTAAAGTGGTCATTTGAAAATGAATGATGGATTTTTAGAAAATTTTTTCTTAAGCACCTACAGTGAACTAGGTACTATTTTTGATGTTTGTTCACATCAGTGCATGGAGCTTAATGTTGTAGCATGGATGGAGATGATAAATAATGCATATAATAAACACGTTACTAGGATATTAGAATCCACTGAGAACATGGAGAAAAGAAAAAGTAAAGTAGAGCAAGAGAAGTTGGTTAGTGGGGTGGGAGTGCAAATTGCAGAAGGGGCCTCATCGAGGAAAGGCAGGAAGTCAGGAGTTGGCCCTGGGCCTGTTCCAGGTAGAGGAAGCAGTGGGTGTAAAGGCCCTAAGGAGGGAATGCAGCTGGGGTGTTCCAGCCACAGCCAGGAGCCAGTCAGTGCTGGAGCAGAGTGAGTGGGAGGGTTGATCCACAGGAAATGATGACACTTCTTGGTTTAGATGCATAAGATAGGTTGCCTTATTTTCTTCTGCAGTTAAAGAACACGTACTCCCTCCACCCAGCACACACACAAAATACATACATTAGGCCTCTAGCACCATATTAATTTGCTAGGACTGCCATAAGAAATTAGGCAAACAGAGCTTAAAACAACAGAAGTGTATTGTTTCACAGGTCTGTAGGCTAGAAGTCCAAAATCAAGTTAGGGCCATGCTCCCTGTGAGACACATCAAAGGGAAACCTTCCTTGGCTCTTCCTGGCTTCTGGTGGTTGTTGGCAATCCTCGGCGTTCCTGGGCTGCAGCTGCATCCCTCCAGTCTCCGCCTCTGTCATCACCTGTCATTCTCACTGTGTGTCTGTGTCTGCACATGGCTGTCTTCCCTCTTCTTATAAGGACACCAGATATATTGGACTAAGGACCCACCCTACTTCAATGTGACCTCATCTTAAACTAATTACATCTGCAACAGCCCTACTTCCAAATAAGGTCAAATTCAGTGGTACTGCAGGGTCAGGACTTCAGCTTACTTTTTGGGGGATACAATTCAAACCATCACAGCTACCTTAAATAATAAGTAATAGATATTACTATTCCCATCTTACAAGTAGAGAAACAGGCTCAGAAAACTCAAATAACTTGCCCAAGATCAGAGTCAGTAATCAAAACAGCCAGGTGGGCTTGACACGATGGCTCACACCTGTAATCCCAGCACTTTGGGAGGCTGAGGCAGGCGAATCACTTGAGCCGAAGAGTTCGAAACCAGCCTGGGCAACGTGGCAAAATCCTGTCTCTATAAAAATCACAGAAAATTAGCTGTGTGCCTGTGATCCCAGCTACCCAAAAGGCTGAGGTGGGAGGATCACTGGAGCAGGGGAGGTTGAAGCTGCAGTGAGCTGAGATTTTACCACTGCACCCCAGCCTGGGTGACAGAGTGAGACCCAGTTTGTCTCAAAAACGAGCAAACAAAAAAAGCAGAACAACAACTCCAAAACACACAACAACAAAGAAACAAAAAAAAAAAACCAGCCAGGTCTAGGCCAGGCATGTCCTAGCTATCTGCAGTCCCAGCCACTCGGGAGGCTGAGGTGGGAGGATCGTCAGTGTGATTTCACCATGCTGCTTATGTGCTACTAGGGCCGTGATATCAGGCTGGAGCTGACAAGACACTGCCCTGACACAGGGTAGGAGTTGCACACATACGACGTTGCAGTCCCTGTCCAAATTGCTTAACTCCAAGAGAGCTCACAACTGATGTTCTACCTCAGCTTTCCTATCAGAAGCCATTCCTCCTTCTAGCATGACAGACTTAGGAAATAGATGCTTTTTTCCTCTTTTAGGAAGTTTTCCAGGGAAGTAATACTGTAATTTTAAAAACATATGTAGAACATTTTGTGATGGAATTAAATGATTTTTTCTCATACAACGTAGAAAAAAAAGATATGTGTGTGTGTGTGTGTGTGTGTGTGTGTGTGTGTGTGTATGGCTCCCTGATTCCGTTGGTTTCTTGCAATAGAATTAGGGGATTTTGGCTGGGTGCGGTGGCTCATGCCTGTAATCTCAGTACTTTGGGAGGCCAAGGAGGGTGGATCACCTGAGGTTGGGAGTTTGAGACCAGCCTGATGAACATGGAGAAACCCCGTCTCTACTAAAAATACAAAAATTAGCCGGGCATGGTGGCGCATGCCTGTAATCCCAGCTACTCCGGAGGCTGAGGCAGGAGAATTGCTTGAACCTGGGAAGCGGAGGTTGCGGTGAGCCAAGATTGCGCCGTTGCACTCCAGCCTGGGCTACAAGAGTGAAACTCCGTCTCAAAAAATAAAATAAAATAAAATAAAATAAAATAAAATAAAATAAAATAAAATAAAAAGAATTAGGGGATTTTGAAAGCCTTGAATATATTTTGGCTTTTCATTATGTTTAAAGATTCCCTCTAAACGTGCAGCCGTCTAGCCATTTGTGTTCCTTGGCCTGCAGCTGCATCACTGCAGTCAACTCTAGAACCTTATTTTAGGCATGGTCTTGAGGACTGCACGCGAGAAAAGGAAGGCTACACCAAAACAGAGCTGAGCACTTTTCCATGCCTGCACAGGCACGTGGTGTAGAGGGACATCCTGAGTTAGGCTGAAGGTAGAAGAAGCGACCACTGGCGGTCATGCTAGAGAAATGTCTAAATCCTGGTCAAGGAAAGCAAGTGCTCAAAGCTAAGTGTTGTGTTAAGTCTGGGAGGTGAGACAAAGCCATAGTAGGAAGACCATACCTGACCTCAAACCAGGAAGATTCACGAACTAGAGCATGAGGCAAGGTGCGTGGTTCGGAGGTTGGTTGGTGAGGGCTTCAGGGGCCTGTTTGTCTTTGGCTCTGACTGTGCCATGTGGAAGTGAAAGGGGAAGGTGTCATGTGAGCCTGGGCAGCCCGCATCTGCTTTTCCTCAGTTTGCATTCAACCATGTTTTTGTTTACATAGCCTTGTAGTTTCCTTTCAAGGTCCTTTTTTTAACCTCTGTTCTAAATGTGTTTTTATTCCCTCTAAGCTTTTGTGCTTCTCTTTGCGCTTAACAGCAAATTGCTTTGGATCTTCATCTTAGTATAAAGAAGGGGAAAAAAAGCTGCCTCTCATCTAAAGATCCTCCTGCTCTCTGTTAACATTTCTTTCTTTTTTTTCCCCCAAGACAGAGTCTTGATCTGTCGCCCAGGCTGGAGTGCAGTGGCGCGATCTCAGCTCACGGCAACCCCCGCCTCCCAGGTTCAAGTGATTCTCATGCCTCAGCCTCCCGAGTAGCTGGGACTACAGGCATGTGCCACCATGCCCAGTTAATTTTTGTACTTTTAGTAGAGATGGGGTTTCACCATGTTGGCCAGATTGGTCTCAAATTCCTGGCCTCAGGTGATCCACCCACCTCAGCCTCCCAAAGTGCTGGGTTTATAGGCGTGAGCCACCACGCCTGGCCAACATTTATTTTCTTTGTCCTGGAAGTGTGTGGAAATAGCAAGGTCATCATATTCTAGTGAATTAAAACGACACTTAGTCTTTGTCTGATGTTACTGCCACCAAATGCGACTCCCTGGGACATACCTCCATCACACAGGTCTGGCTAGGGTTCTAGAGTCTAGTTAACACAGGTCTCCTCGATTGCCTTTTGGTTATCTAGCTGGCACTTCGTAGCTGCAGATAAATAGTTGCTGCTCTTGCTACTCCTGCAGCTGTTGATTGTGAAGTTAGACTACATGGGCCAGGCAAATCTGGGGTCATTGGTTTGAATTACTTCTCTGCTACCAACATTCAGGTAAGTACTCGGCTTTTCACAGGAAAGCCCCAAAGATGACTGATACTAGAATTTAAAGACTTATTTAATCCCTCTTATCACTATGGAATGGAAACAAGATCCTCCTTTTTCCCCAGTAGTGGTAGATTGTTGAGCAATGAGAAATAATTAGTCCTTTAATTGTAACACTTTTAAAAATAATCAGGTGAAATTCACATAGCATGAAATTAAACATTTTAAAGTGAACAATTCAGTGGCATTTAGTTTATTTATTTTATTTTTATTTTTTGAGACGGAGTCTTGCTCAGTCGCCCAGGCTGGAGTGCAGTGGCGCGATCTCAGCTCACTGGAAGCTCCGCCTCCTGGGTTCACGCCATTCTCCTGCCTCAGCCTCCCGAGTAGCTGCGACCACAGGCGCCCACCACCACGCCCGGCTAATTTTTTTATATTTTTAGTAGAGACAGGGTTTCACTGTGTTAGCCAGGATGGTCTCGATCTCCTGACCTCGTGATCTGCCCACCTCGGCCTCCCAAAGTGCTGGGATTACAGGCGTGAGCCAGCGCACCCGGCCTTCAGTGGCATTTAGTATATTCAGACTGTTTTGCACCCGTCACCTCTGTCTCTTTCCAAAACATTTTCATCACCCCAAAATAAAACACTGTACCCATTAAGCAGTTACTCCCCATTTCCCCCTCCCCTCAGCCACTGGCAGCCACCAATCTTTCTGTCTCTATGAATTTACCGTTTCTAGATACTTTATATAAATCAAATTGTACAATCTGTGATGTTTTGTGACTGGTAAAATGCTTAATTGTTATTACCAATCATTTATTTTTTCAATCTTCTCCTGTCATTTTGCTGGGAGAGCTGGGGTGCTATGGGAATATTATCTTTCTAATTAGGACCTCCAAAAAGAAAACCCCTTCAGAACACCTGCTTCGCTTTAGTTGCTGGTGGACTTCTCTTCATGAGACAGATAGCAGTTTAGAATTTAGTTACTTAATCTGCAAGGATATGGAGAATTTGACTTCACCTTATTTCACTTCTACCATGGGGCTCAATCCCCTTGGGCACCCTGTCTCCCCACCCCTGACTTATGTCATTGTTCTAGTGGTCTGAACTTCAGTTTATCCCATCATCCAGATGAACCTGTAATTGATATTTTGGCATTGGGATAGCTGGAGATTATATTGCTAGCCTAGGCAACAAAGCAGTCTCTCCCAAGGGAGTTAAATGATACTAGCCGTTGAAGATGAAAATTTGAGGAATACTTTACACTGTCATCTCTTGGGGAGGCTGATCACACCCATCCCTCCTTTCTTCTGTCCTTGGTGAAATAGAGGCTGCTCCGGGAGGGCTCTGGGATGCAGACAGCAGCGACTTGAAATGAGATTCCTCTCTCCATCTGCCAGACGTAACCCAAGATGAGTTGCACAGATGAAGCTGGCAGAGAAATGGGAAACTGGATGGCAAATGAGGTTCTGAGGGAAGCAAAATTCTAGCTAAATCCTTTTGTGATGGTAGAAGAGCTCTTGGTCTAATAATACAGAACTTAAGAATTAGGTTGGTGTAGTGCTAGTGGTTCAGCAAATGCAACCTGTCTGCAAGTCTCTTTCCTGTAGACTTCCTGGGAGTGTAGTGTTTATGAACAGGTGCCATGGGACCACAGTTAAACACAGGACAAACGATGACTTGTCTCCATCAAATGTGATTGTTGTATACTGTACTATATGCTAGGGAGGACTGAATCATCAACTCTATGCTCTAAGATATCTCTTCCAGGAGCTTGAAAACACCAACTTTAGAGTAACTAGTTTGACAAGAAATAGCAGAGAGATGGGGATGGGGTAGGGGCATTTTGTTGATTCCTTTCCTCTTCCCTCCCTCCATTAACATGCATGGAACTTTTTACATGCCAGACATTGTGCTGAGGGGTGAGGATATGAAGTAAGCATACTGTTCAGGAGTTCATGGTCACTTCCTCCTTCCTGTCACCTCTCTGCTGCCTCAGGTTCTCCTGCTCTTAACAGAGAACTGTAAGTAGTTGTATCTTGTCTGTCCTCCATGATAGGATGTAGCTTCTAAAAGCCAGGGGGCCAGGCACGGTGGCCCATGCTTGTAATCCCAGCACTTTGGTAGGCCATGGCGGGAAGACTGCATGAGCCCAGGAGTTCAACACTAGCCTGAGCAACATAGTGAGACCTCATCTCTAACCACAAATTTTTAGAAAATTAGCCAGGCATGATGGCGCACCCCTGTGGTCCCAGCTACTCACAGGGAGACTGAAGTGGGAGGATGGCTTGAGCTTAGAGGGTTGAGCCTGCAGTGAGCCATGATCATGCCACTGCACTCCAGCCTGGGCAACAGAGCAAGACCCTATCCAAGAAAAAAAAAAAACAACCAGAGGCTTTGAATTTGCCATTGAACCTTTGAATCTAGCATTGCCCTAGCAAATACTTAGGGCATTGCAATGGGAATTGAATTTTATCAAATTGAATTCAGATATGTAAACAGATAACCGGGTGAAGTGTGATTAGTGATATTTGAGAGAGTTTTGCACAGAGTGCTGGGGAACACAAAGGGCAGCATAAACAACTGCCACAGGGAGCCTGCGGGCCTCCCAGAGGTGTCATTCGAGCTGTCTTGAAAGATGAGAAGGTGCTTGCCAGACACTCGAGGGGGGCACACAATCTCCGCAGGTCACATTTATGTCAACGTGTTTCTTAAGAGAGGCCCTTGGATCCTCTAAATCCTGTCGTTTCTTTCATTTATGTAACTTTAGAAAAATGAATGCTTGATTTACCAGCAGCTTTGGATCAAGCCTATAGACTGTACAGGCTTCTCTTCCAGCAAACGATCATCTTAGTACTTCTAGGGGATAAAGCCAAAAAATACCCCAAACCAACCAAACAAACAAACAACAACAAAAAAGCTATTGAATTTATTACCCCTACAATGTCCATTTTAATCTTCTTTTTCCTTATTAAAATAAATAAATTTTTTTTTCTTCTAAATTGGCCCAAGTGAAGCCAAGATTTCGTTCCCATGATCCTTTCATCATTTCAACAGACGCACACTGAATGCCTCCCACGGATAAGGCACTGCTCCGGACTCTAGGCTGACAAAGAACAAACAGCAAGACAGTTTCTGCTCCCACGGAGACCAAAAATTGACACCAAACAGAAAGCTAAAGTCAGCATGGAAAATGTCCTCCACTACTGTTTACTGTTAAAGCATAATCTATTGTTTACATACATGCACACAGATTAAGTGTTAAGCTTCTTGAAATAAATGACTAATTCTGAACTGCAGTTCAGAGGTCCAAGGAACGATGAAGAAGGCTATCCTATGACTGGAAGATTTACCAGGAAAAGGAAAAAGCATCCTTAGTCTAAACTTCACTGGGCACATATTTTAAGAAGCCTCAGAAAGTTCATTCCATGCAGAAAAACATCCCCCAAAAGGAGCATTTAAAACAGAACTTAAATTTTATATTAAGGACTTGGATATGTATATGTATTTTCAAAAATCGATATCATTTTATTTTCATTTCTTTATGGTGAATTTTGATGTTTTACTGTCATAGAACTGGAACCCCAATTTCTAATAATTCTTATTATTGGTCTAATAATATAGAACTTAAGAATTAGGAGACAAGGACATAGTTTACCAAGGCTTGACATGCTTGGCCCATCTAGGAACTACTTAGTGCTTGAGTTGGGGAGGGCCTATGATAGATGAGATTGCTCACCCTGATGCTGCCAATTCCAAATGCCCATCTTCTCTTCTCCATCTCTTCTGGTCAATAGCTTAGCTGTCCTTAAAGGATAAATTCAACACCAACCCAGTTTATTCTCTGATACCTCCCGTTCCTGGAAATGAGTGTTTTATTTTTTCCCTCCAGACTCCTACAGCAGCTCATTTGTATCTGTCTAGCCTCTCTCTCTCTCTCTCTCTCTCTCTATCTCTCTATTTCTCTCTCTCTCTCTCTCTCTCTCTCTCACACACACACACACACACACACACAGAGAGAGAGAGAGAGAGAGAGAGGGGTTAACATTTTCCACCTGGCTTATAATTTTTGGTAAATATGTCATATCCCCTACTAAGTGACCACCTCCTTGGAGTCAGTGCTATTTTCCTTCATTTCTTTATATCTCATTTCCTCCACCCTCATCTGAATACCTATCTCTAAACCATAATGGGCTGGGTGCGGTAGCTCACGCCTGTAATCCCAGTACTTCGGAAGGCCGAAGCGGGTGGATCACTTAAGAATGTGCATCACCTAAGGAGTTCGAGACCAGCCTTGCCAACAAGGTGAAACCCCATGTCTACTAAAAATACAAAAATTAGCCAGATGTGTGGCATGCATCTGTAGTCCCAGTTACTGAGGAGGATGAGGCATGAGAATTGCTTGAACCTGGGAGGGAGAGGTTGCAGTGAGCTAAGATAATGCCATTACACTGTAGCCTAGACAATGGGAGTAAGCCACTGTCTCAAAAAAAAAAAAACCAAAAACCATATTGGACACTCAGCTGTGATTCAGTGACTTCAGTGATTGGGATTTCAGGCTAGATAAATATATGCAAGAATGTCTGCCTCTCTTCCCACTGCCATTATCCATAGCATAACTCCTTAAACATTATTTCCTAAAGTAGTTCCATGGAACAGTAATTCTAAGGAATATTTAAAAAGTATTTCTTTTTTTAAAAAAATTTTATTATTATTATACTTTAAGTTTTAGGGTACATGTGCACAACCTGCAGGTTTGTTACATATGTATACATGTACCATGTTGGTGTGCTGCACCCATTAACTCGTCATTTAGCATTAGGTATATCTCCTAATGCTATCCCTCCCCCCTCCCCCCACCCCACAACAGTCCCTGGTGTGTGATGTTCCCCTTCCTGCGTCCATGTGTTCTCATTGTTCAATTCCCACCTATGAGTGAGAACATGCGGTGTTTGGTTTTTTGTCCTTGCAATAGTTTACTGAGAATGATGGTTTCCAGCTTCATCCATGCCCCTACAAAGGACATGAACTCATCATTTTTTATGGCTGTATAGTATTCCATGGTGAATATGTGCCACATTTTCTTTTTTTCTTTTTTTAAATTTTATTTATTATTATTACTATTATTATTATTATTATACTTTAAGTTTTAGGGTACATGTGCACAATGTGCAGGTTAGTTACATATGTATACATGTGCCATGCTGGTGCGCTGCACCCACTAACTCATCATCTAGCATTAGGTATATCTCCCAATGCTAACCCTCCCCCCTCCCCCCACCCCACAACAGTCCCCAGAGTGTGATGTTCCCCTTCCTGTGTCCATGTGTTCTCATTGTTCAATTCCCACCTATGAGTGAGAATATGTGGTGTTTGGTTTTTTGTTCTTGCGATAGTTTGCTGAGAATGATGATTTCCAATTTCATCCATGTCCCTACAAAGGACATGAACTCATCATTTTTTATGGCTGCATAGTATTCCATGGTGTATATGTGCCACATTTTCTTAATCCAGTCTATCATTGTTGGACATTTGGGTTGGTTCCAAGTCTTTGCTGTTGTGAATAGTGCCTCAATAAACATACATGTGCATGTGTCTTTATAGCTGCATGATTTATAGTCCTTTGGGTATATACCCAGTAATGGGATGGCTGGGTCAAATGCTATTTCTAGTTGTAGATCCCTGAGGAATCGCCACACTGACTTCCACAACGGTTGAACTAGTTTACAGTCCCATCAACAGTGTAAAAGTGTTCCTATTTCTCCAGATGTGGAGAAATAAAAAGTATTTCTTGAAAATGTTTATGGTTAAATACTTTGGGCGATTCTGAATTAAACAAAGTTAAATAAGATTTTTTCTTGCAGGATGTATTAGTCTGTTCTCACATCTAGGTCATGCTGATATAAGAGGTGGGCTTCTATGGCCTTGGACAGCTCTGTCCCTGTAGCTTTGAAGGGTACAGCCTCCTCCCTAGCTGCTTTCACGGGCTGGCATTGAGCGTCTGCAGCTTTTCCAGGCACATGGTGCAAGCTGTCTGCGGATCTACTATTCTGGGATCTGGAGGACGTGGCCCTCTTCTCACAGCTCCACTAGGCAGTGCCCCAGTGGGGATTCTGTGTGGGGGGAATCCAACCCCACATTTCCCTTCCACATTGCTCTAGCAGAGGTGCTCCGTGAGGGCTATAAAAAATAAATAAATGCACTATCCTGAGAACAGCATGGGGGAAACCACCCCCATGATGCAATCACCTCCTACCAGATCTCTCACTAGATACATGAGGATTATGCGGATTACAATTCAAGATGAGATTTTCATGGGGACACAGCCAAACCATATCATGGGACTTCTCAAATTGTAGGCATTGAGGAGATAAAGTGAATAATGTATCCCAAAATTATTTGACCAGAGAAACCTTGATAATTTTCCTAGAATGTGTATTCATTTTCTATTGGCACTGTAACAAAGTATCATAAACATAGTGGCTTAAAACAACACAAATTGTAGTTCTAGAGATCAGAAGTCTCAAATGAGTCAGCAGGCCTGGCTCCTTCTGGAGGTTCTAGGGGAGAATCCCTTTCCTTGTGTTTTTCAGCTTCTAGAGGCCACCTGCCTTCCTTGGCTTGTGGCCCCTTCCTCCCTCTTCAAAACCAGCTGCATAGCATCTTCCAGTCTTCCTCTCTCCCTCCCTCCCTTCCTCCCTCCCTCCCTCTGTTCCTCCCTGTCTCCCTCCCTCTCTCTCTGTGACCTCTGCTTCTACCATCACATCCTCTCCTGTGATTTTGACATTTCTGCCTCCCTCTTATAAAGACCCTTGTGAATATACTGGGCCCATCCAGATAATCCAGGCTCATCTTCCAACTGCAACATGCTTAACTTCAGCACATCTGATCCCCTGTTCACAGTTCTGGGAATTGGAAAGTGGACGTCTTTGGAGAGCCATTATTCTACCTGCCCCAGGACATGTGTTCTGCGGCAGCACTGCCTGCAGTCAGGGCGTTTGCCTCCATTCTGAGACCTGTGTGGAACGCCCAACCACCATGTACGACGTTATTTCTAAGAGAAAGTGAATTCTGAGTTGTGAAACAAAACAAATTAACATCTGTGATACACAGCCATGGATAAACTGTGAACTCTTTTTATAGTAACCTTGGCAGTGATAATCAAATAAAGACCAGTAAAGGCTTTCTTGTACATGAATCTGCTTAAACTCCCTTCTCTCAGTCCCAGATGTAGAGCTCTTGTTTTCACAATACATCAGACAAATTGTGTGCTAGAACTGCCCAGAAGAATTATTTTCTGTCAAAATCAAGACCTTTTAAACTGTATATAAATATGAACCTACTGTATATTGAAGTAAGAACAAAACTCATCATTTTGTGATAAGTTTACTCTTTATTCAAGAAGGTATACTGGCCAGGCGCATTGGCTCACACCTGTAATCCCAGCACTTTGGGAGGCCGAGGCGGGAGGATCACCTGCGGTCAGGAGTTCGAGACCAGCCTGGCCAACATGGCAAAACCCCATCTCTCCTAAAAATACAAAAATTAGCCGAGCATGGTGGTGCACACCTGTAATCCCAGCTGCTAGAGAGGCTGAGGTGGAAGAGTTGTTTGGACCCGGGAGGCAGAAGTTGCAGTGAGCCAAGATCGTGCCAATGCACTCCAGCCTGAGTGGCGACAGAGCAAGACTCCATCTCAAAAAAAAAAAAAGAAAGTATACTGTGCTGGGAATTTTAACTTTTAACAATGTCATATCCAGTGCCCAACAGATTTCAGCAACATATATCTAATCCTGTAGTTACTAAATAGGGCGTGATACAAATGTGAAATCTAATGTGAAGACTTGTGGGAAGAGGTTCATGATGAGGAACAGTAGAGAAATGAAATGAGTTGAAAAGAACTCAGACCAAGAGATAGAAAAAGGATTAAAGTCTAATATATACCATATCATGAAAATTTTGTTTTAAAAATAAGCTTTGGGAAAGAAAAAAAACCATAAACATTTTCCCATGCAGAAAAAACAAAGTACTCAAAGGAAGACCCCGGATTTTAAGTAGAATGAGAAGACCTTTTCCTGATCTGAAAAAAAGTGAACTTTTCCCTGCAAAACACAGACATGAAAGATCTTTGAAATTCCACATAGATTCATGATACCTGAAATTAAATGGAATGGGATAAGATTGATTAATATTAGCTTCTCTTCACCCGAAACAGACAACACTTAACACAAGACTATGAGTTCCTCCATGGCAGGGACAGTGTCTGATTCATCTTTGAGTGCCCAGCTGATTAGTCCATTCTCATGCTGCTAATAAAGACATACCCAAGACTGGGTAATTTATAAAGAAAAAGCGGTATAATGGACTCACAGTTCCACTTGGCTGGGGAGGCCTCACAATCATGGTGGAAGACAAAGGAAGAGCAAAGGGATGTTTTACATGGCGGCAGGCAAGAGAGCTTGTGCAGAGTCACTCCCCTGTATAAAACCATCAGATCTCGTGAGACTTATTCATTATCATGAGAACAGCAGGGGAAAAACCTGCCCCCATGACTCACTTACCTCCCACTGGGTCCATGGCATGACACGTGGGGATTATTACAATTCAAGGTGAAATTTGTAGGGGGGCACACAGAGCCAAACCATGTCACCAGCCTCGGGATACACCCACCACATAAAATGATCAAAGTTTGTTATCATAGCACTGCTTCATTTGGGGGAGACTATTTAAAAGAAATTGGCAAAAGAAAGGGTGTGTGAGAAAAGAAAAATAAAAAGTATGGTATACTGTAGACTGTTGAGATTTTCTGAGGACATGTCTAGAGATTTTCTTCCTTCCCAAATTGTTCCTTTCACTCCAGCATATAATTTTCCCTAAAAGAAAAATGCAGTATGAGTAGAGAATAACAAAAGTATATTGAGATTCAGATGTTGATATTAAGTTATGAGAATCATTCTTCAACAAAATTGCAAATTGCTACTTGTTGTATACCCAGTGTCATACACATAATCAATCTCAGAGACTCACTTACAAATAGTCAAATTGGTGTATACTCAGTCAAAGAATGCTTATAGGCTATTATGTTTTATTTAGAAGATCAGGAAAAAAGTTTCTGTTTTTTTTTTATATTCCAATACTGGAGCATCCTCTATCCTGCTTTTGTTGAGGTTGTAAAATCACTGAGGACAGCCTATGACTTCTTTTTCTATCCTCTGTTTGTGTAGTTTGATATTATAGGCTTTGTGGGCACTCAGTGAGTAGTTGATGACTTGGATTAAATGGAAAAATATAGCAATAAGAGCACTATAAAAGTCAGCATAGGTAGGCATAAAATGCTTAGGAATACATTCTTTTACATAGTGAACTATCTTGATATATTTTCCTATCTCTTTACTAGTATTCCATTATTAGATGGGCCGATTGTAAAGGACAAAGTCACAGGCAAGACTTTGCAGTATACAGTGGCAAAAGATTCTATAAAAGAAAATGTGTAACTGATTTCAGACCAATCCAACAGCGGGCATTTGTAAGCCAGGCCCAGGAAATTTCAATCAGAAGCAATAATGTACCATTCACAGCAATATGACAGTGGTAAAGAAAAAAGTGGTGAAGCTTCAAAATACCCAATTCTCTAGGGTGATGGGATTTAAGTGAGCAACATGGAGCAATTAAGCCAAGGAAGCAGCTAAGAGATACATAAAAGGAATCAAAATTGAATAAGGAACAACTAACGTTATTGCTTATGTTTCAGAGGCAAACAAAATGAAAAGTAAAACCATGATCTGAATGTTTGCATCCCCCCCTGAAATTCATATGTTAAGATGCTAACCCTTAAGGTGATAGTATTAGGATATACAGCCTTTGGGGGGTGATTAGGCCATGAGGGCAGAGCCCTTATAGATGGGATTAATGTTTTTATGAAGGAGACCCAAGAGAGTTCCCTCATACCTTCTGCCACATGAAGACACAGCAAGAAGGCACCATCTAAGAACCAGAAATTGGACCCTCACCAGACACCAAATCTGGAGCCTTGGAATTTCCAGCCTCCAGAACAATGAGAAATACATAAATTTCTGTTGTTTATAAGCTACCCAATTTATGGCATTTTGTTATAGCAGCCCAAATGGACAGGGACACCTGGGACATAGAGATAGTTCTCTGGAAGTGGCTTGACCCTCTCCAGTAGTTTGAACCTCTGGGATAGATCTGGCCAAGTCCAAATGGAGACATGACATTTATGTGGAGACTGTGTTGTCACAGCAATAAGTTCAGTAATATTAAGAGAGGGATGGAAGTAATACATTTAGGACTTTTAAAAGTGAGATACTTTTTGTAATGTTAATAGAAAGTATTGAGTTTGATCTTTTCTACTTGAGGTTCTTCATGGATAATGTGAGTCTTTAACAGATTAAGACTTTGGGATGGAAGAGGTCAATAAAAGGATATTTTGAGTTTAAGGAAATACTTTATACTGTGATGTGCAAGTGGGAGGACACATGGCTCGCTTAATACAAACAACCAGCATTCCAGAATACGGGAGTTTCCAGGCTTAGAGGGGAGGGCAGTCAGAACATGGCTATAAATATGCGGGGAAAAGATGCGTCAATTTTCATGGCAAAATATTGTAAGAAATAGCTGTAAAAGCTACACAAATTCCAAAAGTCAGAAGTTTAAAGTTTATGGAAATGCAGATAAATGAATGCTTCAAAAATGGGGTTAATCCTAGAAAAAGTGTAAGAAAGACTAAAAAAAAATGACATGAAGGTATTAAGACAATTTAGGTGATTACTCATATCAAGTAGGAAGGTGGGTCTCAGAGAAACCTATGGGCATATGCTAGAAAAGCACATGGAATTTAATTTTTCTAAGGAAACAAAACTTAAAAATGGAAATGTTTCATAACTGACAATACAGAAGGGCAAAAATTGACTTTATATAAATGTAAATGTTTCAGAAATTATTTTTGCCTTTGGTCGTGAATCCAGAATATATTTTTCTAATAAACAACCTCTGTAAGAATGAGTATCTGTGAAAACTTCTGCGTTATTGGGAAAATAACACAGGAACAATAGAAAACATTATCATTATCTTGTTTTATCAACCTGTTCTCTTATCCTAAGAATATGATGAGAAATTATACTGTAATAACACAATACAAATCTTTGGGTATTAGAGATCATTTTGAAATAGAATAGATGCAATGTGAGAGGGTTGTAAATTTGGCAAGATATATTTTTCTTACGCATAGTTTAGGGATTAAGTAGTTTCATTCAGTATAAACATTGCCTCTGTTAATACTAAAAAGGAAAGCGTCCCTGAAATAACCCTACCTTTCCTTTTCAGGTAGGTAAATTTCTCCATCAGGATAAGAGTCAGGAATTTGATGGAGACTGTAATTCAGTGAATGTGCAGTTTTTAGAGAGTGTGAAAAGCAATAATAATGTCAGTGTTTTATTACAGGTATCAGTTTGTTTCCTCCATCTCTTCCATTTTTTTGCATATTATGTGATGACCATGATGAAAGGTAATGTACTTTCTTTCACAGAAATGGAGGATACAGGACAGAATTGATAACAGTGGGACACTCCCCCTGCCAATTTCATAAGCTTTGTGCTCATAGATTTGCATGCTGTACTTTTTATTTCAGTGACGTTTAACAAAGTCATGGCCATGGAGGAAAGTAAACTTACAAAGAATGTCCATAATGAGGCTGTGAGTGCTGATGTTTCAGGTATGGTACAAAGTGGTGACTCTGAGTTGCAAATTAAAGAGACAGAAGCCCCCTATTCTATATTCTTTTTAGTGTAGAAAAATACCTGGATTTACCAATAGATAAATTGTACAATAACCTCATCTGTCTAGGACACATCAAAGCACCTAGATATAAGCAAAAGCAACAGCTAAAGCAGCTTAAACAGATGCCATCCGTCCTCTGCACTAAACTCCTTTTAGGCTCTTGCTCAACATCTAGTGACTCTGTCTTTACTATAATTCTATCATGCTTGATTATCTAATTTTCTATCTCATAAGCACAAGAAGCAATAAATTAGAAAGGAGAAGCAATTATGAAAATCAGACTCACCTAACTAATAAGACACTTGAAATGTGAAAGGAAGAGGCAGAAAACTTACTTTAAAATAGGCACCAAAATACTTTAAAATAGAGGGCCATCGAGAGGGACAGACTGTTGTATATTTACTTCAGTTTCTCCTCAAGACATCATTTTATTGCATCAAAGCTTAATAGCAATGGCCCTGAAACGTCCAGTATTCCATTCAGTATATCATCTATTATAGAAAAATTCCCATCAAAAATGCTTTAATTTTCAAAAATGTTGATACTGATAGGGATAGGGGATTTAGTTAACATCATCCTTCAATAATACCAGATAAATAAGAATTATCATAATATATTACATTGAATAAGTCCTAAAATATATGTTTTTATTAGTAGTGATCAGAACATTTTGATTTTATATTCCCATTTTATTTTTTTTCTTGCAAAATTCCTTCCAGTAACTTACAGGGAAACTGTCGATGATTGGATTTATCACACTTTCTTGGCAGAGATTAAAAAAAAAAATGTAGCTAATTCATTCTTGCCAGTTAATTTCCTCTGTGGGGTATTTTTTGCTCTGTTTTAGTTAATTCAGAGCAGAGTTTCTCTCCCTTTAAAAAAAATAGTAGGTTGAAAATAGCTTATTTAGATGTTACACACTTTTCTCTTTAGGAAAGTAGAAATCAAAGTTAGGAACAGGAGAGCTAGGAAGACATTCTCAACATGCTAACACCAAACTTCTCTTTCTTCCCTCCCTCTTTCCCCCACATCACCAACACACACCCTCTGGCCAATATATGATTTTACAGTGTGTTTGTGAAAGCCTGGCCCAGCATAATTTTCTGTGACTCAGACAATGAGGCTTTTACCACATCTCTAGGGAGGTTACAAAGTCTATTAGACCTCTCTATTTCCTTGTTGTGCAGGGTGATTTTTTTTTTTTGAAACGGAGTCTCACTCTGTTGCCCCGCTGGAGTGCAGTGGTGGGATCTCTGCTCACTGCAAGCTCCTCCTCCCGGGTTCACGCCGTTCTCCTGCCTCAGCCATCCAAGTAGCTGGGACTATAGGCACCCGCCATCACGCCCGGCTAATTTTTTGTATTTTTAGTAGAGACGGGGTTTCACCGTGTTAGCCAGGATGGTCTCGATCTCCTGACCTTCTGATCCGCCCGCCTCGGCCTCCCAAAATGCTGGAATTACAGGCGTGAGCACCTGCACCCAGCCGGGTGATTTTTTTTTAATTTAAGAAATGCATCCTATTTTTCTTGATTCTGTGACTTCTTCGACTACATTATTTCTTATCTTTCCTCATTAGAAATCACTAATTTACTTTGCTGTGTGATTCATCTGCACAGTTCCACAGTTACTTGTTGGTATTTAGGAGCATAAAGGAGTTGATCTCTTATTTAAATCCCAAATCAGATTCCATTTTCAGAAATCAAAAACGTACATATAAAATGGCGGTACATCCACCATACGTCTTAAGCTATCATTTCTTTGAAATATAAGAAAATGTGCAGCCCATTGACCATGAACTTCAAAAAGAAGAGAGGAGGTGCACTTTGTCCTGAGGGAATTTGTGGTATCATAGGTCTTTGAAGTTGGCTCTAGCATTCATCAGTGAAGAAGCAGACCCATAGTAGTCTCATTCTTACCCTTGTATAATACAACAAGATATTCTACCCATCTGGTCCTGGAGTAGGGCGGAGGCTAGTGTTTAGTATGGAAATATTAATAGGAGGAGACAAAACAATTAGAAAGTATGCACTGAACTACTTAGTACTTGTGAAGAAGTAGAAGCATAAAACCCAGAGAAGAGGTCTTATTCTCTATGTATGAGAGTTTTATTATCTACTGTGTGCCAGGTACGATGCTCTGAGTTATTTCACAAGTACCATTTTTCTTAAGAGTCAGGGCCATGTCCCTTTATTGTCTGTAAGATGGAAAGAGAAAATGTGTCCCTTCCTCACGCTGACTGAAAGTAAACAAAAAAAAGACAATATAAATTTGTGCTCTTAAAGTTGAAGGGGAAAATAAACGGTGTAGAAAAAATAATATATTTAAAAATAAGACCAAAGTATTAACGTTAGAGGGGGGACTAGTTTTCGTTTTGGTGACTCGTGATTCAGATTTCATAAAATCTGAGGAGCCATCGATTATGTAGTGTTCAGTAGTCAATTTCCTGTTTTTCTTTCATTATTTACTTCCTGACTTTTTTTTACCAGCTTCTGGGTTTTTGTTTATGTTTTGGTGGGCTCCTTTTCATCTCCTCTGGAATGGAGTGGCATTTTGGGGGCAGTCAACCCTGACAGCTTGGTGCATATACAGTAGGCAAGCCCACGAGTTCTTTAGGAGTGGTCTTGCCTGATACATATGTGTCACAGGTGTTCCTCCTGAGTTACACTGCCGTGGAAGGATGATCAGGGGAAAAATAGCCACTTAAATGAGATGTTGCCCACAAAAATACTATCAAAGTAGCAAACTGAAAGTAGAAGTGCTGAAATGTTGTGGCAAATATTGTATAAAGCAGGCCACTAGCTCCAATTTGCAAATGTTTGGTTATATAGATATTTTCACTCTAATAGCATCTTTTTCATGCTTTTATCAGCAAGTTAATTTAGGTGTGAGTAACAGACTTAAAGAGAACCTGCCTGGGCGCAGTGGCTCATGCCTGTAATCCCAGCACTTTGGGAGGCCGAGGCGGGTGAATCACGAGGTCAGGAATTCAAGACCAGCCTGACCAACATGGTGAAACCCCATCTCTACTAAAAATACAAAAATTAGCGGGGTGTTGAGGCGTGCACCTGTAATCCCAGCTACTTGAGAGGCTGAGACAGGAGAATCGCTTGAACCTGAGAGTCAGAGGCTGCAGTGAGCCAAGATGGTGCCACTGCACTCCAGCCTAGGCAACAGAGCGAAACTCCGTCTCAAAAAAAAAAAAGAAAAGAAAAAAAAAGAAAAAGAGAACCTAATATTTCTTTATGCCCTTAGTTTGAAATCTAACCAATATTGTTCTGCTTTATGCCTCACTCCCTAAGAACTTGTCAAGTTTCCTTCCAGAAAGACATTTTCTCTTCTTTGAGCTTCCAAGGACAGATTTCACATTACTGCAAGTTAAACTTCTGACTTTTAGGATCCCAAGCTGGGAATAGTGTCTCTTTCCATAGACTAGACGATAACATAGAAATATTCTTTTGTTGCCATTTAGTTTGGGAATAAAAATGGATTTCATTTTTATTTTTTTTTCAAAAAGTAGAAACTTCAAATATTCAGAAGTCTATTATTTTTTACCAAATTCATTATAGCAAAACAGTTTCACCTTTATGTTGGTGATCACACTGGCTTCTCTTTGAGCATCCTAGATGCAGTATTTGTTGTAAGTTCTCCCTTTCTTTGTGGCTTAGTCAAATAGAAAGTTCTAATAGAAATGCCAGTCCCCAGAGAGCTCTTGTCCGTTACACTATGCTGTTGATAAATGGAATTAATTTATCCTCTGTGGCTTTTTAATTAAACTAGAACCTCATTTTTTTATATGAAACAGTTCAACACAATGAAATCTTCACTAATCATCAGTTGGGAACCCAGAACCTGAGTCAGATTAGAAAGAAAAAGAATGGACATCTCTAACTATGCTTTCTCTCTCAATATTAACACTGTTAGTTCTAATAAGCATAATGGGAGCATTGATCACTCTACACAGGGGCTCTGTAAGTTGCCATAGGATATGAGTCACCCTTCAGAAGTTTTTTAATATGCGACACTCATTTCACTGATGCTTTAAGAAGCCACTTTCAACTGTATGCTCCTCAAATATTGCCAAGAACAAGAAATTGGAAAGAGGCTTGTCCTGCTATAGCTTTTATATATTCTACTACCTTCCAGAATTTTTAATATAAAATTACTGAGAAATTAACAAAGAATACACTGTAGTATTTTTTAATAGACTTTATTTTTTAGATCAGTTTTAGGCTCACAGCAAAATTAAGTAGAAAGTGTAGAAAGTTCGCCTAAACCCTCTGCCCGCACAGTGTAGTATTTTACTTTTTAAAATTCACTTTCAAAAGTAAAACAACCTTATTGAAACATAATGCACATACCATAAAATTCATCTTTTAAAGTTTTGTAATTCCGTGTGTTCCAGTATATTCACGCAGTTGTCCAATCATCACCACTAATTTCAGAATTAAAATTTACTTTTAAAAAATGAAATTAAAATATCATTGAGGAAGTTTAAAGAGAAGGAGAAAAAATACTGATTTCTAAAACTCACCATTCAAACCAAACTCTTGTTCTTTTTTGGTGCATTTTATTTCAGCTTTTCTTAACATCCAGATATTTTTATATGGACTAATGAGATAATTAATTATTTTTAAAATTTCTTATGAGCGTCTTTGGCTCTGTCTCTTTAAGGCTACTCAGAGTGTGCTGAGGTGTGCTGTGATTTTACTGCTGTGTGTACACATGAAAATATTAAAGTGAAGAAAATAACTTAATGGCTATGTATGCGGTGATGTGATGCTTTCTAAAATAAACCGTCTCTCTTTATACTTGAACTTTCCAGAGCACTGTTAAAGCTTTAGACTTTTGGTCATTAGTAGTTGATAGATATCTTTTGTTCCTGCATTCTAGGGCATGAAAACAGTAAAAGCTTAAATTAATTGATAAAACTGGCATGTCTTTAGATGATGCTCTTCCCTTAAACTGAGGGCAAACTTGGCACTGGGCATTGTGGAGTGATTTCCAGTAGCATTGATGGGAGGACTGAGCAGTGAGCATGTAAGAGGGAACAACAAGAGAAAGACAGTCAATGGGAAAATAGACGGTGGGTATGAAATGCATTTACGGAAGTTTCACAGATGGCCAAAAAAATACTTGAAAAGATGCTTGGGGGATGTAGATGAAAACAGTTTTTCAAGTCCATGGAAACAGTTTTGAAAATTGTTTTTCAAGTCCATAGAAACAATTTTGAAAATTGATAATGTTGAGTGCAATGAAGGATTTTGGCAAGTGGATACCCATGAACTATGAGAGTGTAATTCATTGACCCTATTAAGAAGCTTAATAGCATGTATTAAGATTCAACATCTCTAGTCTCTTAATTGAGGAATACCACTCTTAAGAACTTTGCAGAGGTAAGAGCATATATTAAAACACATGTACAAGTTGTTTATTGAAGCCATATTTGCAATAGTAAGAAGTTGGAGACAAGTTATTGTTCAGCATTAGGAAAACTCGCTAAATAAATCAAGATACAGATGGCCCTTAAAAAGTATGTGGTACCTGTCTGTGTACTGCTTAGCGCACATGTGCATGATATATTTTTATGTGATTGAGTGGAAATTACAATTTTCCTTTTATTTACAAAAAGTGCATTTGTAGCTAAAGCTGTTTATGTGTAGGGAAACTGGGGTGGAAAATATTTCACTTTTTATTTTATGTTTTAAAAAAATTGACTATGAGTGATTTTTACTTGTTTTCTTTTTCCTGTTTTTCAAGTGACATCCTTTTTTTTAGACGGAGTCTCGCTCTGTCACCCAGGCTGGAGTACAGTGGCGTGATCTTGGCTCACTGGCAACCACCACCTCCCGGGTTCAAGTGATTCTCTTGCCTCGGCCTCCCAGGTAGCTGGGACTACAGGAGCCTGCCATCACACCCGGCTAATTTTTCTATTTTTAATAGAGATGGAGTTTTGTCATGTTGGCCAGGCTGGTCTCGAACACCTCACCTCAGGTGATCTGCCCACCTTGGCCTCCCAAAGTGCTGGGATTACAGGTGTGAGCCACCGCGCCCAGCATCAGCAACATTCTTAAGCTTTCCAAAGATGAAAGATTACAGCAATTTGAGCTAGGCTAACAAAGTATTGTCAAGTAGAAGTCTTTGAGGAACAAACTTTAATGAATAGGTTTTAAAAAATTCTAATTAGTATATCAGCAGCTTATATAGAAAAAGATGTTTCTAAAGTATATGGAAATAGTTTTTACTCAGATTAAACCTTCTGAAATAACTTTTATTTTTTCTAATAAAAGTATTTTATGATCACTATAAAACATTTTGAAAAGAAATAGGAATATAAAGATTATAATAAAAATCACCTGATTCTATCACCTAGAGATAATAGTAGGCTAAATCTTAAGACTAACTTATGGTATCAATTTGAAATTTAAGAAGATTTTATTTTCACTACAAGAGTTTGCTTCACCCTAATCAGTTTGTCTAATTGCTGAATTAGTTGAGGGGATATGTATGATATTAATGAAATTTCCTGAATGATTCTTATAGAAAAATCAGCTTTGATAATGCATATTGCAATAAGAATTAGGACAGAAATGCTGCAAGGTAAAAAGAGGGAAAGAAGAAGGCAGTCAAGTATGTCAACCAGATTCTAAAACTTCACATTATTAAAGAAGACAGTAGACATGTCTGTAATCTAGCCAGCAAGTAAAGAAATTTCCCTTTGTTTCTTTCTCCTGCTCTTTTGCACTGGCAGCCAGCCATAATCAGCAAGGGTCTGGCCAGGTATGGAAGGGACCAGCACCGACCACCTGGAGCACTTGTGCTATTTTGTACCTGGAGAGTAATTCTCTTGAGTGACTCCTCACAATATACTCATACTTGTAAGAGGACCAGTTGGATTACAGAGTTAACCACCAGAACCAAAGCTTCTGACGCTGCAGGATGACTTCAGTGTTCCTCTTTTCATGATGGACCCTGGGTGCTCTGCCATCATCAGTCCATAGATTACAGGCAGGTCTGGGCAGTAGCTTCTTGAGGTTCCTTCCTTCCTTCATTCCACTGTCCAGAGTTGCATATTGAACTGTGCTTCCAGAGGTTACAGCATTGAGTAGTTTCTAACTCCTCAGCACTTTACTCTGGCATCCTCACCTCCAGGAAAGGCTACATAATTTGCAGGGTCCAGTGCAAAATGAAAATGTGGAGCCATTTGTTCAAAAACTAAGAACTTAATGAAAGCACAGTGTGGAAACAAGCACTTTGGGACCGCATTGATTCCATGCCCATGAAGCTGGCTCTGCCCACCTTAACCTTACCTCCTGACCAGAAGTAACCTATCACCAAGAACAGGCACATAGCTAGTACCTCCAATCCTCGTTTTCTTTGCTGAGTTCATCTAGTACCTGCCTCCATACAAGGCCACTGGCCTTCTAATCCCTGGGACAAAACTGCTGTTTGAGAATGAAAGAAATGTGTCCTCTGTAGACAGATGCAGCCCCCTGGGCCCATGACTTGAAGCCTTGTGCATATTCAAAAAAGACTGCCCTTCTTTCAGATGGACACAGCCCTGTGCTGGGGCATGTAGCTGGCACTTGGTGAATGGCAGGCAAGCTGGATTCTACCTGCCTCCAGCATTCTTGGCTAGGCATCCTCATGCAGGGAACAGTCTACATGATCCCACACAATCGCCTTGAGCAAGGAACAACCTGGTTGGTCCATTGCCATGGAGTGGCCAGATTGCTGAGCTAGTAGAGATCCATTAGACTCTCCTTCTGTTTTTCCATTCCAAGTTGGTGGGTGTCTTGGTCCATCTTGTGCTGCTATAACAGAATACCCACAGACTTTAACTCGAAAAGAAAAGAAATTTATTTCTTACAGTTCTGGAGGCTGGGAAGTTCGAGGTCAAGGGGCCTGCATCTGATGAGGGCCTTCCTGCCGCATCATCCCATGGTAGAAGGCAGGTGGGCAAGAAAGCACATGAGCAAGACAGAAGGGGTGGAACTCATCCTTTTGATCAGGAACTCTCTTGATAATGGCATTAGCCCACTCATGAGGGCTTAGCACTTATGACCTGATCACCTCTTAAAGATCCCACCTCTTAATGCCATCACAATGGCAATTTAAACATGAGTTTTGGAAGGAACATTCAAATCATACCAGTGGGGTTTTAGGTTTCACTCCTAGGATGATATACTTTTCAAGAAAGAAAAGAACTTAAAGAAATAAAAAGAGCAAAGTGGATCATTATAATCTTTCTAATCTTTTGCAGTTCCTGGCTAGCTTTACTTGAGAGTAAGCAGGGAAAGGTGAGGATTGAGGTAAGAGAAGAAAAGAAGTAAAGTCAGGTCTTGAGAGGCTTTTAAAACTGGATTCTGACATTAAAAATTAAAAAGACACCCAGGTACAGTGGCTCATGCCTGTAATCTCAGCACTTTGGTAGGCCGAGGCGGGAGGATCCTTTGCACTGAGTTCGGGACCAGCCTGGGCAACATAGCAAGACCTCATTTCTACAAAAAATAAAAACTTAACCGGGTGTGGTGGCATGTGCCTGTAGTCCCAGCTACTTGGGAGCCTGAGGTGGGAAGATTGCTTAAGCCTGGGAATTTGAAGCTGCAATGAGCTATGATCACACCACTGCACTCTAGCCTTGGCAACAGAGTAAGACCCTGTCTCAAAAATAAAGAAATAAATAATTAAAAAGACATCAGATTCCCTTGCTTTCCCATGCCCCCCCCGCCAAATAAGTAATGCGTACACCCAGAAAGAGTTATGAGAGCTAGGATGCTGTTCATATGGGTCCTTTAAAACCCTGTATATGTTCCTACTGTGAAATTATATTAGGGTAGCAGGAGAGTCATGCTGAGTTACTATTTGACCATCTGGCCTGGTATTCAGACTGCAGTAAAGCCAAAGAATGGGTTGAGGTGGTACAGAGACCACTGGGATATACCTTAAAAGAGCCACAGTTGTCCAAAATGGAATACCAAGCGTGCCCCGATAAACTGTTCTAAGCAATTTTACAATCCGGTTAAATGTTTTTTTTTTGTATGTGTGTGTGTAAGTACAAACATGCATATATGTGTGTGTGTGTTGGGGAGAAGGCTGAGAGTTGAGACCAGTACTCCATTTTAGAAAAAAGTACTTGTTTATTTTTTAAAAAGTATTTATTTGTTTATTTAGAGACAGGGTCTCACTATGTTGCCCAGGCTGTTCCTGAACTGCTGGGCTCAAGTGATCCTCTCGCTTCAGCCTCCCAAAGTGCTGAGATTACAGCCATGATCTACCATGCCTAGCTGAAAAAACTACTTTATTTTATTTACTTAAGTCCTCAGATTTGTTTGTCATTTTTAATGTTAAAAATTCAGAATCTATGATTTTGAAACAGATTTTGGTAATCCCGTAGCTCAGTATTCTACCCATGGACTTAGAGATATTCTGTGTGAACAGATTGATATAAAAAGATATATGTGTGTATGTGTGCTTGCTTCCCTTTTCTCTAGATCAATCTGGAATTTATAGAAATATGGGACTTTCACCATGAAAAGTATTTAAAGCCGACTAGAAAGATATTTTCTTTGATTTTTATTTGGAAGCATCCTTTTCCTCTTCCATATTGCTTTGTTCCTGATAAAATAACCAGTTCTCTAGGTTAGAATGAATTAATATGTGCCCGTTTTCCCTGTTAGGCTGTAAGCTTGACCATGAAGAGCAGAGACTGAAAATAACAGTAGCATAAATAACATAATTTATTTCTCTCTCTTATAACAGCTCAGGGACAATCTGGTGGCTTCACTCCATAAGGACATCTGGGACCCAGGTTCCTCACTCATGTGGTCCAAAATGGCTTGCCACTGCATGCGTGCCCTGAGAAGCAGGATGAAGCAAGGGAGGAAAAACAATATATGCCTTCCTTTAAGCACACATCCTGGAAATTGCCTGTATCCCAGTCATTGGAACTTAGCCATAAACGTAATGGCAGACAGCCAGGTGCCCAGCTATAAATCATGGGTGTTTAACATTATTGACAGCCGTCCATCTCTGTTACACTTATCTTTGACAATATGTTCTGCTCATCACATCACTTTTTATAGGAGATAAACAAAACCTGGTCTGTTTTGGACCTATTTGCTTCCTTAAAGTTCCAGTTAGATGATGTTGCATTTAACGTGAGTCCATTTTGGTTTGGTTTTGTCTGTCGGGGCCTAGTGCACAAGCTCAGTCCAAAACAGTGGCCTCCCATACTTTTGTTTAAAAATTCTCCCCTTTTGGTCACGTTGTCCCTTAGGTGAGAGTGTAACCAAAACTGAAGGCTTTACTGCCACTCTCATGTATCATCATTTTGGGTTTACGGTCTCAGCACATCATTCATAAGTTACAGTGTCCTCATGGTCGCACATTTCTTTGTTTTTCTTTTTCCAGTTGAAGAGACACCATTTAACATTCTGGAGATGGCTACATGCAAACATTTAAAACTTGTAAGAGAATACAGTGCACCAGGGGGACTACTATTATGACTGTCTGGAGGATAATACCACGAGTTTGGAGTATGCTTCTTAGCCAGGGTCCCCTTGAACTAAACCAACTAAAATAAAATAGATCAAAGAATGAGCTAGATAAGGAGTCTGCTCATTAAGAAACAAAAACAAAAACCAGCCTGTTCAATTCCTTACAACTGAATCTCTGTAACACCCAACATATTCCTCCATGTGCAACTATAAGTATCAGCAACTGTACAGACACCTCTGTTTAGCCAGTAAGTAATCTAGAGTAATTCTATTATTTAGCACAACTTTAGCAAAAGAATTTAAAACTATAGCCTTTACAGTAGAACCTGTTATGGAGCCTATGATGAGAGGTAAATTTCTAATCATTGCTTCATTTACTCCAAACCATGGAGAAAGAGACCTAACATGTGCTGCCTATCCAGGAGAGTGAAGGCCTCCTGGCAATGTTCTCTTTAACCTGTGATGTGGGTTAAGGGGAGTGGACCAGTATTCTTACTGATTATGAAGCAATAAAGGTACCATTAAAGTTTCTTGGCCACAGTGGCCCTTTATCTCCCATCTATCAAGGCATAAGGTTGTCCATGTATACAACTGGCTGCAAAATCCTCCACAAATAAAAGTATAATCCATGAGTACACACACGAGACCCCTTTTTCAGGTCTATTCATAGAGGCTAAGCAAGGAAAAAATTGAGAGATAAGAGTTCTCATGATAGCAGAGAAGTCTTTTGTTGATACATTTTTAAAACTTGTTTTCTCATATATATATATATATATATATATATATATATATGCTTATTTTATTTTATTTTTTCATTTATTTTATTTTATTTTATTTTATTTATTTATTTTTTTGAGATAGGGTCTTCTTGCTCTGTCACCCAGACTGGAGTGACACTGTCTTGGCTCACTGCTGCCTTGACCTCCTGGGCTCAAGTGATCCTCCTGCCTCAGTCTCCCAAGTCACTGGGACTGCAGACACACCATGCCTGGTTAATTAATTTTTTTTTTTTTTAGAGATGAGGGTCTCACTATGTTGCCCAGGCTGGTCTCTTGGCCTCAAGCAATATTCCTGCCTCGGCCTCCCAAAGTGCTGGAATTACAGACGTGATCTATCATGCTGACTGCAGAGAAGTCTTGATTCATGATCTTTGGAAAAAGCTGTTCATGTCTGGGATGCCATCTGCTTCTGGGGAGAAGCTTCCCTGGTTAACTTTACCTTAAGGTCTCCAATGGACATACAGTTCCTAGAGTCTGGATGGGCCCTTCTGAGCTGTGAGATTACAAACCCAAGGTTCAAGGTCCTGAGTTTTGCTGCAGTGTGAGTAGCAAGGGCAGTCTTTCTCTGATGACATTCTCAGAAGACCCAATCTCCAGGTTCTAGATTGTGAAGGGATTCGATTGTTCTCAGTCAGTGGACCATAAAAAGCTTTCTTTACCTGGTGAAAATACACTTTGACATATGCATTAAAGCATTCCAGCATTTTGTTATGTCAGAGTTTAGTAGCAGAAGGTACAGGAGAATCTATTATTAGGTACACAGGCCTTCTACACATATCAGAATTTTAGGAATCTCATATAGTTTTGCAACATATATTAACAACGTATTCACTAAAATACACCTTAAAGAAGGTTAAACATCATTTATTATTTGGCAATGCTTTCCATATGATTTAACATATCAATCCCGTTAACTCTCTTATGGAGGCTTCAGGGGCTCTCTGTAGTATTCTAAAATTCAAGGTCAAAAGAGACTTAATTTTGAAGTGGAAATTTGATTTTGGGAAGCCTGTCAAACAAATATAAAAGGTTTAAAACACTTGATCAAAATAGGGTCACAGGTCATCATAAAATAGTAGTCATTTATTTAGGTAAAGTGATAACGAAAAGATTTTAAAAAGCAAAAACATTACTCTCTGATAGAGGAGACGCAGTTTTCCAAACAATCTAAAGACCTGAGAAAGACAGCGTGAGGCAGAATCTGTCTCTCTCTCTCTTTTTTTATTTTTTGCAGTTTACTCAAAAGGTAAACAAAAATATCTTGCTATCACTATTAACACTATAAGAAATTTTTGTTCAAAAGAGAAAACCAAATTTTACTTTTGCATTAGTGTATTATCAATAAAGCTAATTTTAATAAAACCTTATAAACAAACTCATTCAATGTCAGTCAGCTTTTGACCACACCAGATTCCCATAACCCTTTTATAATCTCGTACAATTAAAAATTTTTTCAACTTTTTATATTTTAATTTTATCTACATTCCTTTTATTCCTTCAATTTGAAACAACCTTTAAGTAACTTAAGTAACCTTTAACTAACTTCAAACTGGACAAACTTCAAACTAGGCAACTCTAGTAACTTCGCCTAGACAAATTTTTTTTTAACAAACATACATTTTATGCCTTTATAACTTCCATCATCAAAAGCATATCTTGCTTTTATATACTATACAGAATTGTTTTTCTTACATCTAGTTGTTTTAATTACATATATTAACTACATGAACTCTTTAACCCTAGTTTTTAGTGAAATCCCTAGGAAGTAATTTTGAACTGTTTTATATCAGTATTTGCAGATAAAAATTATTAAATTATTCTATAAATTTTAGAAAGATGTTTCTTCCTATATTTTATTAACAGACGTAAATATATTTAGCTTCTCTATACCATACAAAAATAAGATGCCAAACTATATAAACTTAAACTTAGGTTTGGTAATTAATGTTTTAATATTTTTTAACTTACAAATGACTCCCATTTTATGATTATGCTTTAACATAACATCACTTTAAGATTTAAAATTACTGAAAAACATTTTGAAAGTAGGACACAGGTACCCTCCCTAATGTCTTTTCCAGTCCTCCTGACTCACAGGTAGTCACGCAGCATCCAAGGTGGCTATGAAGGGCAGGGCTTATCTGAGTCCTGAATTTACATGCCAGGAGAAGAGCTCAGGACAGAAGACAGAGCTGTGAGGTCGATGCCCTGGAGGATCCAACCCCTCTCAGAATATCTGGGGCCAAAGCTCAGGCAGGAAGAAGGGGTCATAATGGGCTTGACTCTGACTTGTAGCTGCTGGTTGAGGCACTGAGAACGTGTTTCCAGACTTCACCATGGCTACCTATGCAGAACTCTTAATTCAGAGGCTAAAAACTAGAAACACAAGATCACAGTCAAATCAAGCAAGTATAAAATTATGTTTAACAGATAATTTTGAAACCATTCCTATTTTTAAAAATACCTTAACCTTTATTTTAGGTTCAGGGATATATGTGCAGGTTTGTTATATAGGTAAACTCGTGACTTGGGGGTTTGTGTACAGATCCATTCCTGTTTTAGCAACAATTTAAAAACTAGCTATATTTACCACATATAATCACATATGCATAACATGTATAGACATAACAGACACATAGACAGAAGCAGATCTTACAGATTTGTAAGATTCCTCATTTGCCACTTTTCAAAGTTTCTTCCCACTGTCAATCTCTTGATTACCTCTTTTATGCTTAAAACAATTGTTAGGGAGGCAACTCTAAGTTTGCAGCTTTAAAGAGAGGACACAGGCAAAACAAGGTAAAAGTTTACATCTCAAAGCACAGAACTTAGATTTAAACAAAGGCAAGGTTTGTTAGGTAAACATTAATCCATTGTCTTCCCCATAACTAAAGTTCCTAGTAGTTTAGGTTTAGAGACAGAGATACCCTTACAAATGAAGATTTCCTTTATAGATGTAAATTTCTTTTACAAAACGATTTGAAGATTGCCAGTTAGATGAGTTAAAGGTGTATTTGAGTTCTATAGGTGGTCTCTTTAACTTAGCTGTAATTACTGAGTTTAGGGTGGTGCCCATTAAGGAACAGAGCAAAGGAAGAGTTCTCCATGCCTGGTCTCTGCATGTATAGATCTGAAAAAGAAGCAAGCTCACTTTACCCTAAGGGCTACCTTTTATGAACACTTTATCTAGAATAAAGCATTTTATTTGCCTTTCTTGAAGAGTCTTTAAAAAATATTAAAAATATTGAAATCTTTTTAGACACTTCTGCATATCAGTAGGCATCCCTAGATGAGACTAATTTGGGAGCCCTCGTTTTCAAATGCATTTCTTCAAGTTCAATGTTGTGCATTTGTAACATTCCATTGTAATTTTAAATGACCTTTAGTAAGATTTTGCCATTTCTAAAGCAATTACTGCTTCCAGGGCCTACTATAATACTTATGTCAGAGGCATTTGGACCAGAGCAACTCCATCTTGAATAGGGGCTGAGTAAAATGAGGCTGAGACTGACAAAGGATTTTTCCCAGTCACTTTGCAAGCTGGGAACCTCTGGCCAGCAATGCCCCTGCCCAGGCCTAGCTTGGCCATACTGCCTCCTGCAGGAGGAGGCCTGCCCACTCCGCCTGCCCAGGCCATGCCTGGCTTGTGCACCAGCTCAGCCCATGGCTGTTCCAGGTGTGCCCCAGCCTGCCTTTGTTATAGCCTGTACCCAGCTTTGGCAGTTCCTGAGTTCTTGTCCCACATCCAAGAAGAATGAGTATACGCTGACAATTGAAGAGTTAGGAAGGTAGAGAAGAATTTTATTGAGCAAGGAAACAGCTCTCAGCGGAGAGGGGATGTGCAGGGGTCAGCCACCCATGGTCGGGTGGTTTCTCCCCCAGTGCAGCTGAGTCCGGGGCTTTTATGGGCTCACAATTGGGGAGCGCGTGCTGATTGGTTTGTGAGTATGCAAGAAAGGTTAAAACAAAGGCACAACTAAATGTGGGCATGACAGTATAAAACACCAATTAGGGAAGGATAGGTATGTGTAAAACAGGGGAAGGATGGGGATTAATTAGAGGAAAGCATGACAAATGGGAAGACAGGCTCTCAATCTGGTCCATGGATTTGACTTGTAGCTTGGCTTTCAGGCTTTAAACTGTCTTTGGCCTGGAGGTGGGGTTTCACTGGGGACCTGCCCCAATCTGCCTAGGTATTTGAGTGCCTCCTGCCACTATCAAGACCTGCTGGGCTGTATCCCCAGGAGGCTATTCATTTTTAGTCACAGGATGAGCTAGGAGGTTGGCACAATATACAGGTCACAAAGACCCTGCTGATGAAATGGGATGCAGTAAAGAAGCCAGCCAAAACCTGCCAGAACCAAGATGGCGATGAGAGTCACTTCTGGTCATCCTCACTGCTCATTATATGCTAATTATAATACATTAGTATGCCAAAAGACATTCCCATCAGCACCATTATAGTTTACAAATGCAATAGCAACATCTGGAAGTTACCTTATATAGTCTAAAACAGGGAGGAACCTGCAGCTCCAGGGATTTCCCACCCCTTTCCTGGAAAACACATGAATAATGTACCCATTGGTTAGCATATAATCAAGAAATAACCGTAAAAATAGCCAACCAGCAGCCCTTGGGGCTGTTCTGTCTATGAAGTAGCCATTCATTTACTCCTTTACTTTCTTAATAAACTTACTTTCACTTTACTCTGTGGACGTGCCCTGAGTTCTTTCTTGTGCAAGAGGCAAGCACCTTCTCTTGGGGTCTGTATCAGGACCCCTTTCCAGTAACACTTCCACATGTAAATGTAGGCATAGCTGGACAGTGGAGTAGTTAATTCTTTTGAAATTATGGATCTCATTTTTACCTTGAATCTTGGCTTGGGCTCTCAGATCCCCTTGATCAACTTAGCCAATGATTTTTCCCTACCAAAGTACACACAAAAAAAGAAACAAAGGGGGGAGAACACAAAAATACCTGCAGATTTCCAAAGCCTAAGTTTGCCACCCCTGCAATATTGCCATTTACTACCAGTTTCTGTCTGACCCAGTTAGATATCTAAGGCCTATAAATGGATCCAAGCCAGTTAATTATTGGATCCAATCTGATCCTGGACTTAGTCCAGTTTCTGTCATGACTTCCAAACCCAGTTTGCATCAGAAGTTTGCTCAAACAAACTCAGAGAACTCACAACACAAATCTGTGGAGTTTTGGAATCCAAGAGAGAGCTTACCGTGCCCCAGTTGCTGCACAAAAGCAGTGGACACCATGGGCCTAGCAGGTAGCCTGTCTTGGCCATTCAGTGCTCCTGGAGGTCTCTGTAAGCTCCACTTTGGATCTCACTTCAGATGCCATCTGTTAAAAGACAAACCTTAGACAAATTAAAGAGTTTAATTGAGGCCGGGCACAATAGGTCACACCTATAATCCCAGCACTTTGGGAGGCCGAGGCAGGTGGATCACCTGAGGTTGGGAGTTCAAGACCAGCCTCACCAACATGGAGAAATCCCATCTTTACTAAAAATACAAAATTAGCCAGTCGTAGTGGCGTATGCCTGTAATCCCAGCCACTCAGGAGGCTGAGGCAGGAGAATCGCTTGAACCCGGGAGGCAGAGGTTTCAGTGAGCCAAGATCACGCCATTGCACTCCAGCCTGGGCAACAAGAGTGAAACTCCACCTCAAAAATAAAATAAAATAAAATAAAAGAGTTTAATTGAGCAAAGAATGAGTCTTGAATCTGGGATCACCTCCACTTCCACAGCCCCTACACCCCCAATCCCCAGGCCAGAGTACATTCAGAGAGACTCCAGTACAGCCACATGTTGGAAGATTTATGGACAGAAAAAGGAAAGTGACATTAGTAAATGGAAATGAGGTGCGGAAACAGCTGGATTGGTTACAGTTTGGTGTTTGCCTTATTTCTGGATTGGTTACAGTTTGGCATTTGCCTTATTTGAACACGATTTGAATAGTTGGTCACCTTTGATTGGCCAATACTTGGTGATTAGCAGAAGAGTAGGTTATGCTCTGTTTACACATATAGTTAGGTTACAGTTTACTATGGAGAAACCTTTTGGCTGAATTTAAAATATGTAAGGAGGCAGCTTTAGGCTAAACCTAATTTAACAACTGAATGACCAACTGAAATACGTTTTTAGGAGAACATCCAGTAAACCTGAAGATAATAAGAAAGCCTGAATGGTCTCATTCAGGGTAGAAAGGGTGAGAAACAGATTGGTAAGACTCAGGTAATTTTCTCCTTGCTGTGAATTTCTTGTCTTAGTCCATTCAGCTGTTTTAACAAAATACCATCCTGGGTGGCTTATAAACAACAGAAATTGATTTCTCACAGTTCTAAAGGCTGGAAAATCCAAGATCAAGGCACTGTCAGATTTGGTGTCTGGTGAGGGCCTGCTTCCTTGTAGATGGCCATCTTCTCACTGTCACTCCACATAATGAAAGGGGTGAGAGGGCTCTCTCAGATTTTTTTTGTAATTAAAAAAAAATAACAAACCTGCACATGTATTTTTTTATTTAAAAAATATAGGCCGGGTGCGATGGCTTACGCCTATAATTCCAGCACTTTGGGAGGCCAAGGTGGGCAGATCATGAGGTCAGGAGATCAAGACCATCCTGGCCAACATGGTGAAAACTCATCTCTACTAAAATACAAAAATTAGCTGGGTGTGGCGGCACTTGCCTGTAATCCCAGCTACTTGGGAAGCCGCGGCAGGAGAATCACGTGAACCCGGGAGGCGGAGGTTGCAGTCAGCTGAGATTGCACCGTTGCACTCCAGCCCGGGCAACAGTGTGAGACTGTCTCAAGGAGAAAAAAAAAAGAGACATATCGCACCACTGCCCTCCAGCCTGGCGACAGAGCTAGACACTCTCTCTCTCTCTCTCTCTCTCTCTCTCTATATATATATATATCAAACAGTTATTTTTTTTTAAGAGACAGTGTACTGGCCAGGCACAGTGGCTCACGCCTATAATCCCAGCACTTTGGGAGGCCAAGGTAGGCAAATCATGAGGTCAGGAGTTCGAGACAAGTCTGGCCAACATAGTGAAACTCCGTCTCTACTGAAAACATAAAAAATTGGTTGGGTGTGGTGGTGTGCGCCTATAATCCCGGCTGAGGCAGGAGAATCATGTGAACCCGGGAGGTGGAGGTTGGAGTGAGCCGAGATCGCACCATTGCACTCCAGCCTGGGCAACAGTGCAAGACTCCATCTCAAAGAGAAAAAACAAACAAACAAAAAAAGAGACAGCATACTGCTCTTTCACCCAAGCTGGAGTGCAGTGGCGCAGTCATAGCTTACTCTAACTTCAAACTCCTGGGCTCAAGCATTCTTCCCACCTCAGCCTCCCAAGTAGCTAGGACCACAAGCACATACCACCACACTCAGCTAATTTTTTTAATTTTTAAATGTTTTTGTAGAGATGGGGGTCTCACTATGTTGCCCAGGCTGATCTTGAACTCCTGAGCTCAAGTGATCCTCTCACCTCAGCCTTCCAAAGCATTGGGATTACAAACGTGAATCACTGTGCCTGGCTCATATGTCTTTATAAGGACACTAATCCCATCCATGAGAGCACTGCCCTAATGACCTAATCATTTCCTGGAGGCCACACCTCCTAATACCGTCACCTTGGCAGTTAGAATTTCAGCATATTAATGCTGGGGCAACATAAATATTTAATCCATTGCACTTGTGCATATGATTGAATTGGCAGTTTATCATAATGCATATTTACTGCCTTGTTTTACTTTATCTTTCTTTGTATCTTGTCTCTTCAACTGGACTATGAGCTCTTGAGAAACGAGTCTAAGTCTGTCACCTGTTTATGCCCCTGACAGTCTCTAGCACAATGTTACACATAGAGACAGCATAATAGATATTTGTTGATTGCCTGATGTTTGCTCACTGAGTAGTATTACTATCCTCAATTTATCTTTTGGATGCTGAGGTTGAAGGTGACTAAGAGAATTGTACCATTCTTCCGGTGGTTCTAAATGCATTATTGATTAGTAACAGAATTGACTAGCATAAATGGCAGTTGAGGATTTTCTTCCTCTCTTTTATCTTGTGTCATTTTAGCAGAAAGTGAAGGACGATTTCCAAGCCTCCTAAGCTGCATGATAAATAACTGCTGGATAAATTAATATGCTCTTATAGATGAGAACAAAACAAGGGACCAGGTCTGGCTGTCCTGATTTTGCTTTCCTTGTTCAGCCCACTGACGGGAGTAGCCCTTGCTCTTGGTTCAGGTCCCAGCTCCTCCCTTGCTTGTCTGTAGCTGTGGGTGAGTCATGGCAACCTTGCTGGCCCTCCCTTTTCCAATTGTAAAAGAGAAATGCGTTGCCACCAGATGATGTCTTAAAGCGCCTCCAACTTCTGGAATGGAAGACCCTCTGGAAACACAGAGCTGTGTGGTTGCAGGAAATGGGCTCTTTGCATGATAACTAACTCATCTTCCTCTCTCCCCCAACCAGATTTCCTGCTGAGGTAAGTAATGTGGAGTGGGTTTTTTGTTCTTTTTCTTCAGCCTTCTGTTCCTTTTGTGTATGTCTGGCCTTGTAAATATGGTGAATAAATGCTATAATTATAACCCTTTTTGACAGCTCTGTAATTTAATTGTAATTCATTCTGAGCATCTATTTAAGACAATGATGTGTATTGAAGATACAGCTGTTCCAATCTCATCTGCTAAACTGACAGGCATCGGTTGGAATCATAGTCCCAGTAACTGTAGGAACTTCCGATCTATTCAAGACCAAATAGAGGGATACACTCTCTGTGGGGTGTGTGTGTGTGTGACTGTGTTCCATATCCTGGTTTGGCAAAAGTGGTAATGTAGTATTTGGAGAGAAGCGGCATTTAAAATCGGCCTTTGCAAAAATATGAAAATTATTCTGAAGTAGAAAATGTCAGGCCGGGCGCGGTGGCTCACGCCTGTAATCCCAGCACTTTGGGAGGCCGAGGCGGGTGGATCATGAGGTCAGGAGATCGAGACCATCCTGGCTAACAAGGTGAAACCCCGTCTCTACTAAAAATACAAAAAATTAGCCGGGCGCGGTGGCGGGCACCTGTAGTCCCAGCTACTCGGGAGGCTGAGGCAGGAGAATGGCGTGAACCCGGGAAGCGGAGCTTGCAGTGAGCCGAGATTGCGCCACTGCAGTCCGCAGTCCGGCCTGGGCGACAGAGCGAGACTCCGTCTCAAAAAAAAAAAAAAAAGAAAAAAAAAAAAAAGAAAATGTCTCAGGTTTACTTTTTGCAGAAAGCTAAGCTGAATATTTTTGATTAACATTCAGAGGGGTCCCTCTGTAAACCTGGAATTGATTCCTGGTAGCACTGGCTGGGGGTCATTGCTCATCAGATGTCCGAGTTTCCTAGGGATGCCCTAACAAAGTACCAAAAACTAGATGGCTTCAACAACAGACATACTGATTATGTAAACCAAGAAGTATCTGAGGCAAGTCTCAATCAATTTAGAAGTTTATTTTGCCAAGGTTAAGGACATACTCATGACACAGCCTCAGAAGGTCCTGACAACATTTGCCCAAGGTGGTTGGGCTTCAGCTTGGTTTTATACATTTTAGAGAGACATAAGATATCAATCAATACATGTAAAAGTACATTGGTTCAGTCCAGAAAGGGGGAGGTGGGGTGGGAGGGGGAGGGATTCCAGGTCCTAGGTGGATTCAAAGATTTTCTGGTTGGCATTTGGTTGAAAGAGTTTATTAAAGACCTGGAATCAATAGAAGGGAGTGTCTGGGTTAAGATAAGGGGCTGTGGAGACCAAAGTTCTTCTTATGCAGATGGAGCCTCCAGATAGCAGGCTTCAGAGAGAATAGATTGTAAATGTTTCTTATCAGACTTAAAGAGTCCGTTCTGTCAGTATTAAAGTCTCTGTTTTAATGTTAATGCTGGTAAGCTGTGCCTGAATTGCAAAGGGAGGAAGGTATAAATAATGAGGCATATTTGACCACCACTTTCCCTCGAGGCCTGAATTAGTTTTTCAGATTAACTTTGGAATGCCCTCGGCCAAGAGGAAGGGTTCATTCAGTTGGTTGTGGGAGCTTAGGATTTTATTTTTTGTTTTACAATTGTGTCACAGCTATGGAGGCTAGAAATCCAAAACCAAAGTGTTGGCAGGGTTGGCTCCTTCTGAGGGCTGTGAGGGAGAATCTTCTTCTTGCCTCTGTCCTGGCTTCTGGTAGCCTTAGGTGTTCCTCGGCTTGTACATGATGTTGTCCCTGTGTCTTTACGTTGTCTTTCTCTAGGTGTGTCTTTGTCTCCCAATTTCCCCTTTTTACAAGGACATCAGCCTTATTGGATTAGGGCCACCCTACTGACCCCATTTTAACTTGATTACTTCTAAAAAGACACTGTCTTCAAATAATGTTACATTCTGAGATAGTAGGGGTGAGGACTTCAAGATACCTTTTGGTGGGGGACACAATTTAATCCCTGTCAAATGTCTGCTTGAATATGAAGGAATTTTCTTCTTTTCTTTTTTTTCAAGTAGAGACAGGGTCTCACTATGTTATCCAGGCTGCTCTCAAACTCCTGGGCTCAAGCAGTCCTCCTGCTTTGGCCTCCTCAAGTGCTGGGATTACAGGAGTAACCACCTCACCTGGTCTGCTTTCTTTCCCTCCCTTCCCCTCCCTTTCCATCCCCTCCCTTTCCTTCCCCTGCCTTTCCTTCCCCTCCCTTTCCTTCCCCTCCCTTATCTTCCCCTCCCCTCCCCTCCCTCATTTCCTTCCCTTCTCCCCGCTTCCCTTGCCTTCTCTTCACTTCTCCCCTCCTTCCCCTCCCCTCCCTTCCCCTTCCCTTCCCTCTTTTCTTTCTTTTCTTTCAACAGGCTCTCTCTCTGTCACCCTGGCTGGAGTGCAGTGGCATGATCATAGCTCATTGTAACCTCAAACACCTGGCCTCAAGCAATTCTCTCGCTTCAGCCCCACAAAGTGTTAGGATTACAGTCATAAGCCACCATGCCCAGCCTAGAAATTTTCTTCCTATGACTGCAAATAATTTCAGTCCCAAAGGCTTTTAGATGATTGCAGGAAGAATCTCACAAGAATTATTTATTTCATAATGATATTGTTCTTCTCATTTATTTTGGGCTATAACATAGAGCAATACATTTACCATCTTTCTTGCTATTTGGCCAGGTAGTTGCAGAGTAGCCTGTTGTGCCTTTTGACCTTCAATGCCCTGAATATAGCTTACAGAATGTGAGATGTTATGAAAGAATCTATAATGGGGGACCTCAGAACTTTCTAACTGGTAGATGAATTGAAGATGGACTCATCTAATTGAAGATGAATAACTTGCCTCTTCCCCAACCCCCAGTTCTCTTCTTACCTTACTTTTACTCCCTGTTGCAAGAGGGAGTTTGAATATAATTCAAGAAGATGCTCCTAGTAACAGGAAATTCCTTCATTTGAGGATTCTGGTGGGCTAGACCACAGTAGGTTATGAAGCAAATTTGAGAACAGTAAGATTAAGGAAATGGAATGGAGATAACTCAATGTGATAGAAATAACAGTGAAATGAATATTAGGTTTTGTTCGTTTGTTTGTTTGTTTGTTTTTGAGACAGAGTCTTGCTCTTTCGCCCAGGCTGGAGTGCAGTGGTGTGATCTCAGCTCACTGCAACCTCTGCCTCCTGGATTGAAGCGATTCTTGTGCCTCAGCCTCCCGAGTAGCTGGAGATTACAGGTGCATGCCACCACACCCAACTAACTTTTGTACTTTTAGTAGAGATGGGGTTTTGCTACGTTGGCCAGGCTGGTCTTGAACTCCTGGCCTGGAGAGAACAGTCAAATTGTTATTTCAGCCTCCCAAAGTGCTGTGATTACAGGGGTGAGGTACCATGCCCTGCTGAAATCAATATTAGGAAAACATCCTGGTCAAGGTTATGCAACTCATGTGATCTTGGAGAAGTATATTCACCTTTTGTTTAGTAAGTGTTCATTGTGAGCATTGGGTCACTAGGTGATTTCTCAGATACCTTCTAGCTTAAAGTCCCATGATTTCAGGGACAGTTAGACAGTAATGATTTAGGTCAATGCTTAAATGTGTGTGTTTAGTAAGAAGTTGTAAAAGGTGTTGGGTAAGATATTTAATATAATCTATGAAAACATAAATGACCATTTGGTGCATTCAGGCTTACAGTATAATACTGCAGGCAGATAATATGAAGAAACTAATTGGGAGTATTTGGTTGAAAGAAATACAAGAAAGGAAATAAGATTATATTTGATTGAAAGAGGAAAAAAGGAATAAAATCACTCAGAAACTTACCTTTGGTAACGTAGGCAGGGCAGTGGTCTGGAGGGCCAGTTACACTAGCTCCTTCACTGCAGCTTTGATCAGCAACCATACCTGTATTCTTATTACTGATCAAGTGTTTTTCTGCAGCCAAATTCTTACTTTCACCATAAGCTGAAATACTCCTAAACACAGAAGAAAAAAAGATTAGACTGAAGTCCTTTGTTTTCTGGGAGATTAGCACAGGGATCTAATTAGGGGAACTTGTGATTTCCAGTCTCTGCTCTTGTAACCAACTGTTGCCTCTCCCTAAATAAGCTTGTGGAACTTCACTCTGCTCACTAGGATATGAGACAGTGGGATTTTCATTGGTGTATGCCCAAGGATAAGTTGGAGTTCTTTGAAGGAGTCAGATAGCCTGCTGGGGCCTGCTGGAAGAACGGTACAAGCCTCCCTGCAGCTGTTGGTGTGCTGTGTGACTAATACAAGATGTTGATTTCAAGGACCATCTGGAATGGAGGCAAACCAATAAATTCATTTTAGCGGACTGGTAAAATTCTTTGCAAGCCCGGCTTTTGATTTTTTTTTTTTGGAATTCCATTCTTTGAAGTTAGAATTCTTTGGGGAAGGGGTTGGGTTGACCATAAGGCATGATCTTTCATTTATTCACTACTGACTAGTACAAATAATAATATGGTACACTGTGACATGCAGTGTATTATAGCCTTGAACAAAGGACTGTGGGCATAGTGGATAGCAAAATTGATTAGTCCTAATAGGGGAGCACAGTCCCTGGTAGTTCTGCTTGTGACAAGTGAGGGCAGGCTTCCAAAAGGATATATCATTTAGCTGGATCTTGAAAGATAGATAGAAAGTAAAAACTCACCAGATGGAGAAGTGAAAAGAAGGTCCAGGTAGAGAGAGAATCATGTACAAAGAAAGCATTTGGTGTATTCAGAATCCAGCGTCCTTGGGGTTTGGGATTTGTAGTGAGGAGTGGTAAGCCAAACCCCTGGAAAGAGGGTAGGTTAGGGCTAGATTATGAAAGATGTTGAATATTGTGCCAAGCTAGGGAGTTGAACTTGATCCTGTAGTTAAGAGGGAGACACTGTAAATTTTGAAGCATGATCAGATCCGCATTTTAGAATGATCAACCCGACAGCCACATGAAGAATGGATTGGAAAGTACAAAATTGCAGTCAGGAAAATGAATTTGGAAGCTATTGAAATACTTCACGGAAGAAAAGCCACAACAGTATGTTTGGTGTACATATTTGTTATTAAGGGGAAAAAAGAATATAAGTTAAGATTTTCTTGTAAATGCATACAAATATATTGAGAGGTTCACATAAAACAGCAGTATTTTGAGGAAGGGGAAATTGGCTTGAGGAATGGGGTAGGAAGAAGAATTTATTACTAATACTCCAAAAGCAAATGCAGCAAAAACCAAAATAAATAAATGGGACATAATTAAACTGAAGATTTTCTGCACAGCAAAAGAAATAATCATCAGAGTAAACAGACAACCCACAGAATGGGAGAAAATATTTGTAAACTATACATCTAAGAAAGGACTCATATTCAGAATCTGCAAGGAACTCAAACAAATCAGCAAAAAAAATTAAAAAATAAAATAAAAAAACTCCAAAACCCAAATAATCCCATGAAAAAGTGGGCAAATGACATGAACAGACATTTCTCAAAAGAGGATGTACAAATGGCCAAGAAACATGTGAAAAAAGGCCCACTATTACTAATTATTAGGAAAATGCAAATTAAAACCACAGTTCACCACCTACTACCTTACCCGAGCCAGAATGGCTATTATTAAAAAGTCAAAAAACAGTAGATGTTGGCATAGATGTGGTGAATACAGAACACTTTTACACTGCTGGTGGGAATGTAAATTAGTACACCCTCCATAGAAAACAGTATGGAGATTGTTTAAAGAACTAAAAGTAGATATACCATTCAACCCAGCAATCCCACTACTGGCTATCTACCCAAAGAAAAAGAAGTCATTATATCAAAATGATGCCTGCACGCATATGTTTTTTGCAGCACAATTCACAGTTGCAAAGATATGGAGCCAATCTGAGTTCCCATCAACCAATGAATGGATAAAGAAACTGTGGTATATATACATATCACAGAATACTACTCAGCCATAAAAAGAAATGAAATAATGTCTTTTGCAATGACTTGGATGAAGCTGGAGGCTGTTATTTTAATTGAAATAACACAGGAATGGAAAGTCAAATAATGTATGTTCTCACAAGTGGGAACTAAGCTATGGGTATGCAAAGACATACAGAGTGGTATAATGCACTTTGGAGACTCTGAAGTGGGGAGAGTGGGAGGGAAGTGAAGATTAAAAACTACGTATTGGGTACGGTGTATGCTACTTGGGTAAGAGGTGCACTGAAATCTCAGAATTCACCACTATATAATACATCCATGTAACCAAAAACCACTTGTACCCCAACAACAATTGAAATAAATATATGTAGACATATAAGGTAAATAAAAATAAATTTAAAAGAATTCACTTTATGCCTTTTTTAACTTTGAATTTTTTCACCTCTGGGAATATCTTACCTGTTTAAAAATTAAATTAAAGGGCCAGGCGTGGTGAGTCATCCCTGTAATCCCAGCACTTTGGGAGGCCGAAGCTGGTGAATCACTTGAGTTCAGGAGTTCGAGAACCTAGCCAACATGGTGAAACCCCATCTCTACTGAAAAACAAAAACAAAAACAAAAACAAAAAAGCACCGCAAAAATTAGCTGGGCATGTGGGTGGTGTGCGCCTGTAATCCGGCTACTTGGGAGGCTGAGGCAGGAGAATCACTTGAACTTGGGAGGCTGAGGTTGCAGTGGGCCGAAATCACGCCATTGCACTCCAGCCTGGGTGACAGAACAAGACTCCGTCTCAAACAAACAAACAAAAAAATTAATTAATTAAATTAAAGAAATAAAAGTTAAGAAACCAGTAAACTTAAAAAAAAAAAAAAGCAGCAGATCTTCACCTTATAATGGCCATGGTAAAATCTCCTGAGTAGAAGTTCTTGAAGATGTTGACAGTAGGCAAGAGATAATGAGCACCTGAACTAAGGCAGTGTGGCTTTAATCTCTTTTTAAACCACAGGTTCATCTCTTTTTCGTTTTTCTTGATTCTTTTCTCTTTTTTTTTTTTCCTAATAACACCTTGAGTTTGTTCTCTTGAGTCTCCCACAGTCTGGGTTTTGCTAGTTGCATCCCTGTGGTGTACTTTATAAATGTTCCTCTGTCCTCTTTATTTTATGTAAATTGGTAGGGATTGAGGTGCTTTCAGATTTAGATTAATTTTCCCTTTTCAAGACTATTTCATATGTGGTGTGTTCTTCCATCAGGGACAGATCATGTCAGGTTGCCTCATTTTTGTGGGTCTTCTAGTACTTTTATGGTTTCATTTTTAATATTTTAGTCTTTGTTCCACTTGGAGTCTATCCTGGTGTCTGGTGTGAGTGTGGTTCCAACTTTTTCTTTTCCAGTTGGCTGTCCAGCTGTCCCAGCAACACTTATTGAATGGTCTTTCTCCACTGACTTAAAATGCCATTTTTATCATATATGAAATTCTCAAATGTATTTGGTCTGTTTTCTGGGCCTTCTGTTCTATTCCATTGATTTACCTGTCTATTCATACAACAGTTTCACACTGTTTTAATTGTTACTGTTACTATCTTTTTAAATTTTTTTAGACAGGGTCTCACTCTGTGCCCAGGCTGAAGTACAGTGACGCAGTCTCAGCTCACTGCATCCTCGAACTTATGGGCTCAAGTGATTCTACCACCTCAGCCTTCCAAGTAGCTGGGACTACAGGCACTTGCCACCAGGCCTGGCTAATTTTTTAATTTTTTGTGGAGACAGGGTCTTGCTACATTGCCCAAGCTGGTCTTGGATTCCTGGCCTCAAGCAATCCTCCCTCCTTGGTTTCCCAGTGTTGGGATTACAGGTGTGCACCACCAGGCCTGGCCTGTTTTAATTGATGAGGTCTGTAAAACATCTTAATATTTGACAGAGCTAGTTTCTTTTTATTACTCTTTTTTTTTCAGAGTTTTCTTCGCTATTTTTTTTTATTGGAATTGCATTTGATTTCCAAGTTAAGAAGAATGACATCTTTATGATGTCAGTTTTTCCTATCTGAGGCCACACTATGCTTTTCCATTTGGTCACTTGTCTGTCCTTTAAAAATGACTTGAAATTTTGTTCATGTATCACCTTCACATTTCTATTAAGTTTACATCTAGGTCTTTTGTTGTGTTGGCTGCTATACTTGAGGTCTTTTCATCCATTATATCTTCTGTTTGTTACTGGTGGAAGCCATTGCTTCACATTGATCAGGCTTACTAAATTTTCTTGTGTTTTAATAGTTTTTCAGGTGATTATCTTGAGTTTTTCATCATATCATCTGTACATAGTGATGGTTTAATCTAGTTAATTAGGAAAATGCAAATTAAAACCACAGGGAGGTACCTACCACCTTGCCCCAGCCAGAATGGCTATTATTAAAAAGTCAAAAAACAATAGATGTTGGCATGGATGTGGTGAAAAGGGAATGCTTACACATGGCGGGTGGGAATGTAAATCAGTACAACCTCTATATTGTATAGTCTTATATTGACCTAATTTCTTTCTGTTTCTTTGGCTTAACCATGTACATACTTAATCCTGCTTCAAACATGTTTTTTCTTCAGTTGCTAGTTCTAGTTTACCACATAGTGTCTTTTGGCTTAAAGCCAGCTCTTCCAGCACAAGACTGCTCCTGGAAGCAGGTGACCTCACTATCTCCCTTACCTTGAAGCTGGGAGCCAACCCTTTACCCTGAAGTTGGGAGCCAACTGTCCTCAATTGGTAAAAGATCTGGAGAGGGTTGAGTGTCAGAGGATACAAGCCTTAGCCCATGTGCCCTTCAGTGTCCACCTGAAGTCTTCACTCTTTGGTCTCCACACACTTATTCTTGCAAGGAGATTAGCTCTTCATTTGTGATCTTCTCTCAACATGGTTATTTATTTATTTATTATTTTGAGATGGTGTCTTGCTCTCTTGCCCAGGCTGGAGTGCAGTGGCACGATCTTGGCTTACTGCAAAAACCTCTCCCTCTCGGGTTCAAGCAATTCTCCTGCCTCAGCCTCCCGGAGTAGCTGGGATTATAGTACGTACCACCATGCCTGGCTAATTTTTTTGTAGTTTTAGTAGAGACAGGGTTTCACCATGTTGGCCAGGCTAGTCTCAAACTCCTGACCTCAGGTGATCAACCCACCTAGGCCTCCCAAAGTGCTGGGATTACAGGCGTGAGCCACCATGCCAGCCTCAACATGGTTATTTTTTGAATAAAGACATTTTGATTGAATATTCCTCTTCTATGTCTTTCTCATCTTGATCTTTATCTGTTCTCTTTCCTCCATCTCTTCTGCCTCCCTGAACCCGTTTCTTCTTATCTGCCTTCCATTTATTTCTCTCATCTTCTATTTCTCTTCCATATTTCTCTTTCCCCAAGTACCCCTTATTCTTTGTATAATATTTGATTTTGAGTCTTAGGGGTGCCTAAAATCTTATTATAAAGGGAAAAAATCATACAGCTTAATTACTAGGCTTGATTAGGTAGAAATATTTAGGACTTCCCTTTTGTTCATCATTGTGAAAGTGAGACAGGAATGACCAGTTAGTGAAGCGGGATTATCATGCCCAGTCTATCTAATGTCTTCCTGGACCTTTAGGAAGTAATTCAAGATCATAACATTAGCTGTGAAATAATTTTTGAGATATTACTGTATAATACAAGGAAGTCTCCATTTTTAGGTAGAACCCATTCTTGGAAGTCACATCTTCAAGCTGTTGCTGTAAGGCAGAATCCTAAATTTGCTTTCTATCCTGCTCTTCAACTTTCTCCTTATCCATTTAGATATTATTCAGTGTCACCAGAAAATGCAATGAATGTGTGAATGGAACCCTGAAAGTGAAATATTGGGCCTGAATGAGCAAAATAGCAAAAGTGAAGTCGTAAGAAGTGGGGCCTTCTTATCCACATACCATTGGGTCACGTTGGGTTTTCTACCAAGGTTGGAGTCATATTCATTAAGGGCAGGAATCATGCCTTAATCATCATTGAATGTAGGACTCTGACTATCCCAGAGGAGGCACGTTATAAATATTTGATGATTTGGTGAACTAAACTAGACCAAACCATCTCATTAGATGGGCACATTGTTTGGGATCTAGGAATTGTGTTGTGAGATTGGTGGTTGATTTAGATCACCTTTCAGTCCTGGTATATTGCGCTGCAGATCAGCTGCTGAGAATGAGAGAGGAGAAACGCAGATACAAGAACTATGAAGTGAGTTTTCTTGGCCCTTTTGCGTTGGCTCAATTAACCTCCATTCCTTAGGGACTCCAGAGGACTATAGTGCAATAAATTTCATTATGATGATTCAGAGTCAGCAAAAAAGGGTAAAATTATGTTGTGTATGCTCTGTTGCTAAGAGAAAATTTGAGAAATCCATTTAAGATAGTGCTATAGTTTTGATGTTTGTCCCCCAAACCTCATGTTGAAATTTGATCCCCAGCATTGGAGGTGGGGCCTAATGTGAGGTGTTTGGGTCATGGTAGGGGGTGAATCCCTCATGAATAGATGAATGCCCTCCCTGTGGGGCAAGGGAAGGTGAGTGAGTTCGCTATTTGTTCCCAGGAGCTGGTTGTTAAAAAGAGCCTGGCACCTGCCTTCCTTCCCTCTTTCTTTCCCTCTCCTTCACACCTCTCTCTCTCTGTGTGTGTCTCTTTCTCTCTCTCTCTCTCTGTCTCTCTCTCTCTCTCTCCCTTCCTTCCTCCCTGTGGCTTCTTCTCCTTTGCCATGTGATCACCACACTTACCAGCGTCCCTTTGCCTTACACCATAAGTGGAAGTAGCCCGACACCTCACCAGAAGCCAAGCAGATACTGGCACCATACTTCTTACACAGCCTGCAGATCTGTGAGCCAAATAAAGCTCCTCTCTTTATAAATTACTCAACCTTGGATGTTCCTTTATAGCAACACAAATGGACTAAAACAGGATTCCAGTAAAAGTGGTCAACATAATGTGAGAGATGTACTTTTGTTAACTCAAAATCTGCTACTTCCTGCAGTCAGATAAGCAAGTTGTTGCTGTAAATACTGTGACTATTATATAAAGAACTCATTTTCTTTTTCTGCTTGTAACATTTCTTCTGAACATGAACATTATGGAATAATCATAGCCAGACACAGTACAAAAGTGCTGGAAAATTTCAGGTGTGGGACACAAAGGTGGGTAAAAAGAATCTCACCTTCACTGATAGATACACTAAGTTAGAATGTTAAGTGATAAAGTCATACAACAACATATCATCAGTAACAAGGAAACTTCCTGGTCTTTCTGAATCTACTGGCAGCTTCTGGGTCTCCCTTGCCAAAAATTACTTTACGATCCCCTTATAAAAGGCAGAACTAGATTTTAGAGCAGAGATCGACCAACTTTTATAAAGGGCCAGATAGTAAATATTTTAGGCTTTACGGGCCACATAGACCGGCTGCAGCTGTTCAACTCCATCTTCGCAGTGCACAGATAGCCACAGGCAGGGCTTAAACAAATGGGTATTCCAACAAAACTCTATTTACGAAAACAAATATGGGCCACACTTTGATTTAGAGAATCACCTGGGTTTTTGAAATGAGTGCTCTTTCTCATGATCAGCAACAAGTGTGTTATATCTGGCAATACACACTGCCTTACAGAAGGTAACTGTGTTCTAGGACACAATCCACCAGTGGTCTACCTGGTCGTATTCTCTTTCTTTTTTTCTTTCCCTCTCCCTGCCTCTTAGGAAGCGCTTAACCTCTACCTGTAGTTTAGACCTGGCTCAGTATTGAGGCTAATTCTTTACAAAGCAGGATATATGTAAGGAGCATCAGGTCAGTCATGCTGCGTGTTCTCCTTTCAGTGTATACCCAATTTCAGGTCCTAGGCCCCTACCCTGTCCCTGCCTTGGAGCCTTCCTGGTACCCCCGTTACTCCAAGACTGAAATTCTGCCTTTCCCCCTAACCCCGGTCATTTCAGGGACCGTGTCCTCATATGATGCTAGGCAGTGTATAGAAACAAAAATATACCTGACTTTTGTTACTGTGTACTTAATCTGTACTGGACAATGGTGTATGTGCATGGATAAAAGTATATTATAACACTCTTTATGAGAAAAAAATTTGGTCTTCTAACAGAAACAAGACTTCAGTACGTTAAACTTAACAACTATGATTTACTGTAAATTATATTGAGTACAATTAAATGTTAAAATATATAGTTCAGTCATTAATTGCTTAGGTGGAAGGTTACATCTACCAGACACATGTGCTGAGCCTTGAAGGTTATACAGAATTTGCCTAAGTCGGCCAGGATGGTAGCTCATGCCTGTAATCCCATAATCGCAGCACTTTGGGAGGCCAAGGTGGGAGGATCGCTGGAGCCCAGGAGTTCAAGACCAGCCTGGTTAACATAACGAGACACCATCTCTACCAAAAAAAAAAAAAAAAAAAAGAATTCCAGGTGAGGGTGTTACTGTTGTTATGAGGGAAGCAGCTAGTGTGGGTTGCGGAGAAATCGGAGAGAAGGTCAGACAGATGAAGGCACCAGATTGAGGAGGACCTGAAAAGCCACACTGAGGTTGTGGAGTTTTATCAAGAGGACAGCAGAGAACATCTGATGATACTTTATGTAGGTTAGTGAAAAGTATATTGTGATAGAAGAATGATGGGCTAAAACCCAGAAGTTAAAGGTTCCTGTTTCAATCCTGCCATTTATTAACTAGGAGACCTTGGAGTCATCATATAAAATCCTTGAGCCTATGTATTTGACAAACGACAAGTACATATCACAGAGATGTCATGAGGATAAAGTGAGAAAATAGTTGTGAAAAATGTTTTGAAAGTCATACATAAGGTTCTCCACAAATGTAAGAAATTGCAATGATATTATAACAGTGGTGATGCAGGAAGATTATGCTTGCAGGCATAAACAAAATGAATTGTAATGGGGGAAGTTAAACAGCAGAGACAGCTCGTTTCAGTAGCACAGTGGGGTGGTTTGAATGTATGTGTTTCTCCAAAATTCATTATGTTGGAACCTAATCCCCAAGGTGATGATATTAGAAGGTGGGGCCTTTCGGAGGTGGCTCTGCCCTTATGAATGGGATTCATGCCCTTTTTGCCTGGAGCCCCTTTTGCCCTTCCATCTCTTCCGCTCTTCGAGGACACCATGTTTGTCCCTTCTTTGCCCTTCTGCCATATGAGAAGGCAGCAAGAATGGGTCATTTGTGAGGAACAGGGCTTTCGCCAGACACTGAATATTCTGGCACCTTGATCTTGGACTTCCCAGCCTCTAGGACCATAAGAAATAAATGTTTATTGTTTATAAATTACAAAATCTAAGGTATTTTGTTTTAGCAGCCTGAATGGACTAAGATACGTGTGAATGAACGGAAAAGGGCCTCTACCATGCTATGTATGGATTACCAACTGAGGAATAACTCAAGCACAATAAGAAATCCACAGTAAAACTGTATTGAACATATATCCTGATGCTTCTTAGCTGTTACAAATACCACCTCATGATCATCATTGTAAACATCCTTTCTAAATGTACTGTATGGTACCTTCTGAATAAAGGGAAGCTTGCCTTTTTGCAAACTCAGCCAGGGATAAGGTGTATAGCAGAATGCAGGAGCTCATTTTCATCTTCATTGCTTCCATTGCTACCCCTGCACAACTCTGTGATTTATCTCTGAATGTCTTATTATAGCTCTCCAGTACTCAGTTCCTTCTTAATGATGGAAAAACAACTAACAGGGTAAAACTTTGAGCAAATATTACTGCTTAGAATTAAATATTGCTTGGAAAAAGAAAAGCATGTCTTTATGTTTGCCCCTGCACTATGGATTTTCTGCTTATTATTTCCTTGTGTCTTTTATCTTCCCATTAAAGCATGAAAATAGTTCATATCTCTCCCCATCTGTTCACCACATTAATTGCCCTGGGCAGGAAGAACTTTCTTCAGTATAGGTCTTCTTCCTCTTTGTGGTTTTAAGTCCATTACATGCCCCAGCTGCTTTACTGTTTGACATCTTAATCTTCTTATTGGTTTTGGGGTACGTCCTTGGTGACAGCTAAGCAGGTTAGGTATGGTGACTGAGGTGACCCTTAGCTCCTTTGATAAAAAGCATGCAGGCTTTTTCTGCACATAATGAATCTTGGGTGGTGATTTGGCCTTTTCAAGTTGAAAAGCAGGTATACATCAATTGTTCTATTAAACAACATGTACTGAGCACTGCTATCTGTCTGTGGTGGCCCCGGTGGAGGACACAAGAGACACAGGGCATTGTTCCTACTCAAAAAGTAGTGATGTGTTAGAAAAGATGAAATTGAGTCAGAAGGTCTAGTTCTGCGCTAACTTGCCTCATAGCCTTGCTTTAGCTTCTTTTTCTAGAAAATGAAGGGATTGAACCTGAACAATGGTTTTCGAGCAGTGTTTCTGAAAGATTCTTGGCACTTAGGACCTGTCACAGAGGGCTGAGCTTAGGCTCCTAAGGTCTTCAAAGTGCTGCAAGTCTCTCTCTTGTATATATTAGGTTTCCATATAAACTTTCAAATAAAGGTCTTCAGAGCTGAAAGTATTTGCAAGCAAGTGGACTAAATGGGTTCCAGCATTTCTTTCAATTCTCATTTTCTGTGAGCCTACAACTACAACAAAATATAACAACATAAATAAGTTTGTGCAAGGTATTGTGACATAGAATTCAGTATCAGTTGTTCAACAAGTACTGACTAAATTCCTTGTCGATTGGAGAATGTCATCGCCTCTGAACATCATAGCTGTCTTCAGGTAGGTAGCTTATGGACTTGGATCACCATATATATGTGGAATTTAATATGGTTGGTTGTCCTGGAAAATATAGAAAAGTAAAAAACAAAACAAAACAAACAAACAAAAAAATTGTTAACAAACACTTTACCTAAAGAGAATCACTCTTACACTTCTTCTGATTTATTTTCCTTCTAGGCTATGTTCTTGTACATCATGATATTTTAACATAGTTTTGAAATACACACACACACTGGGTTTATCCTGGCTTTCTGTTTAACCCTAGAATATAGATTTTTTTCTAAGTGTCCCAAGAGAAGAGGCAGTATCTATTGTCCAGCAATATGTATCCAACACATTGCTCGATGCCTGGACAATGGTAGGTGCTCAATGAATATTCACTAATGAAATTACTTGTTAAATAAATATCATGCAAATATAAAAATGTATGTTTCTGACTGTTCTCTAATATTAAAAGCTTCTGTTGCTTATCTTCTAAAGCTGACTGTAGGCTTGTGTAACCCAGCAGCTCCACTCCTGTGAATACTCAGCAGAAATGCATGCATTTATTCACTGAGACATGCTGTAGAGTGTTATAGGACCAATACTAATAATAGGAAGAACGAGAAGCTACCCAAATGCCTATCAACCTAAGTTGAGATAAATAAGCGGATTCACACAAGGAATGCAAAGTAGCAATGGTAATGAGCAGTCCACAAGCCAGATACAAAAGAGTGCATGCTACGTGCTTCCATTTACATAAAGTACAGGAAAAACCAAGTCAGGATAGGGAGCATGAGAAGAATTCTAGATGCTGCTGTTGGATTTCTTGATCTGGATGCTGGTTTACTTGGTTGTGTCCATTTTTCAAAAACTCATCAAGTGTTAAAATGTGGCTGTTCTTTGACCCAGCAATTTAGGTATTCAGACTTTATATACAAGCAGCTATAAAATGGACCTTCCAATGATTAAGTCACTAAAGAACATGTGTTGTGTATATGCTATGCACCATGAAGAAATACCTAAGGATGTACAAAAAATATTAGTGAGTAATGGTGTTTATTGCAGTTATAATAAGTTCCAAACATGGAGAAAAATGCAAGCCAACTCAACTCTCCCACAGTAGGAGCATATGTACAGTAATTCCGCCTTCCTGCTCCTTATCGCTTCGTGTTTCTGCTCCCCTATTCATTGCCAGGCAACCACTAATCTGCTTCCTGTCACTATAGATTAGTTTACATTTTCTAGAATTTTATATAATGGTATCATACAGTGTATTCTCTTTTTTATCTGCCTTTTTTAACTCAACATAATTATTCTGATTAACTCAGATTCCTCTATGTTATAGCATGTACAAATGCTCTAACATTCCTTTTTATTGCCAAGTTAATTCCTTTTTATCGCCAAGTAGTATTCCATTGTTTGGATATACCACAATTTGTTTATCCCCTCTTGATGGATATTTGGATTGTTTCCTATGTGGAGCTTCTGTGAATATTCTAGATGTCTTTCATTTTTGTTGGGCATGTTTTCATTTCTCTTGGGTAAATACCTAGGAGTGAAATGGCTAGATCCTAAGGTAGATGTATGCTTAACTTTTTAAGCAATTACCCAAGTGTTTTCTAAAGTTGCATTCCCGTCAGCAGTATATAAGGTCCCCTTTTGCCACATCCTTGCCAACAGTTAGCATATAGTGTCTTTGTAGTTTTAGCTAATGCAATAGGTGCTTAGCACTATAGTTTAAAACATGTATCTTTATTTATTTATTTATTTATTTATTTATTTATTTATTTTTTGAGATGGAGTCTCACTCTGTCACCCAGGCTGGAGTGCAGTGGCGCGATCTCGGCTCACTGCAAACTCTGCCTCCTGGGTTCAAGAGATTCTCCTGCCTCAGCCTCCCAAGTAGTTGGGATTACAGGTGCCCGCCACCAGGCCCAGCTAATTTTTTTTTGTATTTTTAGTACAGACGGGGTTTCACCATATCGAACAGGCTGGTCTTGAACTCCTGACCTCAAGTGACCCACCTGCCTCAGCATCCCTAAGTGCTGGGATTACAGGCTTAAAACATGCATCTTTCTTAATAACTAGTTTTGCAGAACATTTTTTTGTGTGCTTATTTACCATTTGTATATCTACTTTGTGAAATGTTCATTTCTTTTCTCAGTTTTTAATTAGATTATTTACTTATATTAAGTTGCGTTAGTTTTAAAATATATTTTGGACTCAAATGCTGTGTTAGGTATAGAATTTATCAATATCTTCTCCAAGTCTATAACTTATAATTTCAGTCTCTTAAAAGTATCTTTGGAAGGGCAGATTTTTAAATTTTTATTTCATTTTAGTTTTAGAGACAGGGCCTTGCTATATTTCCCAGGCTGAACACCTGGGCTCAAGAGATCCACCTGCCTCAGTCTCCCGAGTAGCTGGGGCTATAGGCATGCATCACTGTGCATAGGAATATACAGTTTTTTTTTTAACCATCATTTGTTGAAAAGTCTAACATTTCCTCACTAAATTGCCTTTACATCTTTGGTCAAAAATCAGTTGTCAGTATATACATGAGCTGGACTCTGTACTGTTTATCTTTCTTGTCTTCTGATTTATTTTTTATCTGGTTATTTTTATGCCAATACCACACTGTATTACTTGATTCTGCACCTTTATAACACTTAAAGTCAGATAGTGTTATTTCTCCAGTTTTGTTCATCTTTTAAAAACCTGTTTTGGCAACTTTAGATACTTCGCAGTTTCATATGAATTTGAGAATCAGTCAACTTCAGCAAAACTGCCTGATGAGAATTTGATTGGGATTGTGTTGAATCTATAAGTCAATTTGGGTAGCATTAATAACAATATTGAGTCTTCCAACCCATGTATATGGTATATCTCTTCAATTATTAAGTTATTTTTTATTTCTCTTATAATTGTTTTGTAGTTTTCAGTGTACAGATCTTTCACATCTTTTGTCAGATTTATCCCTAAGTATGTTCTATTTTACAAATGATATCATTTTTATAATTTCAGTTTTCAGTTGTTTGTCTCTGTTACATAGAAAGAAGTTGATTTTTATATATTGATGTATCCTGCAATCTTTCTGGACTCACTAGATCTAGTAGACTCCATCATTTTTAATAATAGCTTTATTGAGATATAATTCACATACCAAAAAATTCACCCTTTTAAAGTATACAACTCAGTGTTTTTTACTATATTCACAGTGTCGTGCAACCATCCCATTATCCAATTTTAGAGTTTTCATCACCCTTGAAACAAACTGATACTCAGTAGCAATCACTCCCCATTCCTCCCCTCCAATAGCCCCTGGCAATCACTGACCTGTTTTCTGTCCCCTGGTTTTGCCTTATCAGAATATCAGAATAAATGGAATTACTCTGGCTTCTTTCACATAGCATAATGTGAAGGTTCATCCATATTCTAGCATGAATGAGTACTTAATTCCTCTTTATGACTGAATAATATTTTCCATTGTGTGGATCTATATAACATCTTGTTTATTTATTTATCAGTTGATGGATATGTATTTAGGTTGTTCCCACTTATTAACAATGATAGATAACACTGCTGTGAACATTGTGTGGTGATTCCATCAATTTTTAAACTCTGTTTGTTATAATAAAAATATTATTTTTGTAAAAAGAGAAAATAGTGAAACAAAGCTTAGAGAAGAATGATTAAAGAGTCAACCAAGAATGGTTAAAGAGCCAGGATTTGATAGGGTAAAGGAAAGGCAGGGAGTAGGACAAAGGTAACCACAAGGTTTAAAGCCTTAGTGGTACTAGAAATTGGGAAACGGTGGTGGTATTGATTAATTCCTTTTCATATGACAATTATATATGATGGGACTTCAAGTGAAAATGTTTCAGTAGACAACTGGAACATAAGTAGAAGACTAAAGCTGAAAACATAGGCTTAGAAATTAGTATAGTGGTGCTATAAAGCCAAGGGAACTGATTTTCTGCTAAGCACAAACAGGAATTTAAGCAAGATACACCTTCTGTTCCACCTCCAATCTAATTCATAGGGTAGAGTCCTGTTGTGTTTAAGGGCATGTTTTCAACAGTTCATTGCATTTGTATGCATATTGCGATATAGTAGACTTTAACGTGTCTACAAACTATGGATTTTAAAAGAAATAAAATGCCTTACCCTATATTCACATGATTGTATCCTTAAAGATACAGTGGGAGTAGGGGAAAAAATTGTAAAAACACCTGTTAAGTCTTATCTGGCCAAATGCCATAAAGCAATATATCTTGGGGGTGTTTGTCAAGTCAGAGCTTTCATCAAAAACAGATAAGACATCTAAAGACATCCAAACCATTTAAGGATTCTGTTTAGGAACAATGAAATATTACAGAACTTAGAAACTTTCATTTTGTGAGATGTCTACGGGAAGATAATTTTAGAGGTTATTTTTATTTCCTTGGGGAAACAAGAAAGAGATTAGCATGTTCTGTTGTGCTACAGAGTCATTAAATACCAGCTCACATCTCTATCAGTAAAAGCTAAGTTTTTTGAGTAGTTGAATTGCTCTCTTTGAACAAAGGTATCAGACAAACCATTTTTCTAAAACTCACAGTTGCACAAGTGTACAGTCTCTCAGGACAGTGGCAGCAAAGTACTAATTGAAAGTCATACGCTACATGCTCAGAGTAGAAAGTATGATCATGTCCAGATTAGTGTGTTAACTGCTCCCACATCCACAAATCCTCATTGTTGACAGTAGATTCAGCTTTTGAAACAAAGGTCTAAGCAACCGTACAGGGAAAAATGGATTGGTTTGGCTATAGAAAATTTAAAACTTTTATGATACCATTCACACAGGAAAAGAGAAAACTACATGTATCTATATCTGCGTAGATGCACATACAAGACAAGGGTTGGGAAGGAGGAGTTCAAGAGGGCATGCTTTCTCTGGCCAGAGTTTTAAGACAAGAACATGTTTACCTACTGTGGGTGTGCCCTGCCCACCATCCGTGCATGAATCTGGGCCTCCACCACAGCCTGAGTTATCTGCGCTGGGTAGCTGGTGGCTATTAAGAACTGAATTGTATCCTTGAAAAATGCTATGTTGGAATCTTAATCCCCAGGACCTCAGAATGTGACCTTACTTATTAAAAACAGGGTCTTTACAGAGGTGTTGCAGTTACAGTAAGGTCATTAGGGTGGGCCCTAATCCAGCATGACTGATGTCCTTAAAAGGGGGACTTTGGAGAGAAAAACATGCTCAAGGAAGAGGATGTGAAGGCCACGTGAAGAGACTGGAGTGATGTGTCTGCAAGCCAAAGAACACCAAAAATCGTCAGCCACCACCTGAAGCTGGAAGAGGAAAGGAAAGATCTTCCCCTAGGGCCTTCAGAGGGAACACGGCCTTGATCTCAGACTTCCCCTCTAAGAACTGTGGGAGAATCAGCATCTTTTGTTTAAGCCTCCCATGTTGTGGTACTTTATTGTGGCAGCCTGAGCAAACACAGTGGCTAAGGAAACTAATTTCAATCAGAGACAATATTCAAAATTCAGCACTGGATATTGGCAGGACTAGGCACTAACCAGTCAGAAGAGATGACAGCTTTGAACTACTCACACAGGTGGGCCACTGTGGGGCACAGAGATGATGTATGGAAACCAGGAGTCACATAGGACGATGGCTCAATGACATGAGAAAACAGGGTGGAGGGAAGGAAACTAAAGAATGCTCAATACCTTGAAAATGGGCAGCAAAAGAAAGATTAATTTAGATGCAACCAATAAAAATATTTTCAAAGACTAAAAAAAAAAAACAAAACTTTTGTGCTGCAAAATATGCCATGAGAAAAGTTAAAAAGCCAACAGAAAAAAATATATTTGCAACGTATTACAAATGTTTATATTTTAAATATGTTAAAAATGCATAACTTCAGACCATTTTCCACCAATCAGAGATGGAGAGGCATGTGTTGTTGGTGAAGATTCAGAGAAATCTCATGCATCACTTTTTGGAGTATGAATTGCTATAACCCCTTTGGAATGTAATTTAGCCATGTATATTAACATTTCAATTCACACCGACCCAGCAATCCCATCCTTTGGAATTTATGCTATAGAAATAAAAGCATCAGTGCCTAAGATGTATGAACATCTTTATTTATTTTAACATTGCTTATAGTGATATAAAAGAAAAAACCTGGAATAGCTGAAATGTCCATTAATAGGGGGAAAGGTTGGAAGAATGAGTTAAATTTAAGTATGTGGCCTGGAGGGATATCTATGATATATATAATAAAATGAAGAAAACAAATTATAGAATGAGTTATAGATTATAATTCCTTTTTATTAAAATGAAACCAATATGCATTAATATATTCATGTAAATAAATACATAATTTAAAGAGACCCAGGCATGAGCCATGATGAGTATGATTAATCTAGCTTTTTATAGATTAAATCCACTTGTATGCATTTAAGTCCTATAAAAAATTAGTAAGAAAGATGGACCTTAGGTTCAAAGAATTGGGCTGATTATAAATTTTGATTCATGACTCACTAGCTTGTCAGTAAATGCAGCTTCATGCTATCACTTTTTTTGACTACCTATTATTGATTATGTGCATATAAAATATTTAATCATTTGCCTGTTGCTGAACATTTTAAATGGTTTCACAATATTTAGTTTTAGAAAGAATGCCATGTAACCATATTTTTGTAAACTCTCTAGGTGTTTTCCTAACAGTAATTCCTAGAACTGAAATTTCTAGGTTAAAAGATATTACATACACACACACACACACACACACACACACACACACACACACAAACACATACACATACACATATGTAGATAGAGCGATGGATGAATCAGTCAGTAGATATAAATATAGGCATGCATGTGTAGTATGTATAGATATAGGAGATATGTATAGATATAACCCAGCAATATATACTTTCATATATTATAAATATTATATTTATAACATGAAAATATATGTGTTATATGTATTGTATAATCTAGTTATCTAGTGCTATATAACAAACTACCTCTGAACTAATTGTTTATCTATCCATCCAGATATATAAATATCTTTTAACCCAGCAGCCTATATAATTTTCTAGTTACCCAGTGCTACATAACAAACTGTTCCAAAACTGAGTACTTAAAACAACAACCACATTTAATTTACTCATGAATCTGTAGTCCAGATAGGGCTCAGTCAACACGACTTATGTCTACTCCAATTGACATTGGCTGGGGAGGCTTGAAGGCTGCAGGCTGGAATCTTCTGAAGGCTCTTTCACTCACATGTGTGTTGCCAGTGCTGGGAAGAGTTGAATAGCAGGGAGCTAGAACAGCTAGGACAGCTGGCATCCCTCTGGCATCTTTCTCTATATGTGGTCTCTCTACATGTTGGCTTCAGGATAGCTGGACTTCTTACATGGCCACTTAGGGCTTCAAAGCCTTGTGTCCCAATAGAGCTGCAGGTGGAAGCATTGTCGCCTTTTCTAACTTAGCCTTGGAAACCATGCAGCATCCCTTCCACCACAGTCACAGGCCCACCCAGGTGGAGCAAGACACATAGACTCCCACCTGTCAATGGAACAGCATCAACAACTCATTGTAGGAACATGGAGAGGATGGATATAGCGGTGCAGCCATTTTTGGAAAATACAATCTGCCACGTCATTTTAGGACTTTTGATACATATTGCCAAATAGCCACTCCAGATACTGTACAGTGATGAAAATAATTCTTCCTGAAACTGCTAAAGAAGGATGTTATTACTCTTTTTCTGTCTTTGCCAATCAGATTTTTTTTAAAAGATGGTATTTCATTTTGTAAATTTACTTTTTTGGTTGCTACTGATGTTGAAAATATCTGTACCTGTGTACTGGCCATTTTGATTTCTTTTGTGAGCTGCCTGTTTACATCCTTCCTGAAATTTGTAGTTAGAGTTTTAAAGATCAGTTAGTTCAAAATCCCTCCTTTCACTGATTAGGAAATGGAGTCACCAAAAGCCCCAAGTTCAGAGTTTTCTAAACTTATGTAAAGATTACATCGGCACTTCAGGCGGGGTGCAATGGCTCATGCCTATAATCCCAGCACTTTGGGAGGCCGAGGCGGGCAGGTCACTTGAGGTCAGGAATTCGAGACCAGCCTGGACAACATGGTGAAACTGCGTCTCTACTAAAACTACAAAAATTAGCTGGGTATGGTGGTACGTGCCTGTAATCTCAGCTACTCAGGAGGCTGAGGCAGGAGAATCGCTTGAACCTGGGAGGCGGAGGTTGCAGTGAGTCAAGATGGTGCCACTGCACTCCCGCCTGCATGACAGGCTCAAAAAATGATAATAATAAATATTATTATTTAATAATAATATTATAGAACTTAGAAACTTTCATTTTATGAGATGTCTATGGGAAGATAATTTTAGAGGTTATTTTTATTTCCTTGGGGAAACAAGAAAGAGATTAGCATGGCCTTGTGAAGTGGGTGTCATCATGCCCCATTCGCAGGCATGGTGACTGGCCTTTAATGTCAGAGTACATGTTGACATGTTTTATCCAAGAATGTTTTTATCCAAGAATGATACAGAGAGCCATCAAAACCTCCCTCTCCCCTAAGTTTAGCTGAAATGAGATGACCTAGATGTCATCTCATTGCATTTAATAAGCAGGACTGAACCTGGAGCAAATTCAGGTTGTCTTTGCACCTTAAAAACAAGTGTCTAAATCTAGAAATAGGATAGATATTGTCAAGTTAAATAAACCTTTGTGATAACAAAGTTAGCCATCTTCAGAGTCAGTGAGCATTCAGCTTCCCCGTGTCCTGGGACCCCCGCTCCCACCCCCTGCCCCAGACTCTTATGTGTTAACACCACCAGACTAACACAAAAAGCTTTATCTTATAATTACCTCAAAATTACAGACTTCTAGAATATGCACACTTTAGACAGTACAGATGAACATCTGTTCTGCTGATGTTTGTGTGTGAAATGAATGAGATGAGAGTCAGGAGGAATGATTAAGCCTATGACAGGTTTTTTTTAACAGGACTTTTAAAAGGACATTAAATTCCAGATATTTTCATTTCAATTATTCTTTTTTTTATTCGTCCATCTCATATGCTCCAGACACATACTAGACACTGATAATACAGAGCTATAAGACATAGTATTCATTTATTAAATATGTATGTATACTTTTCCTTGTCCCAAAAGGCATATGAAATGGGTTATAATAAATGGCATTATTTCCCACCTCAGGAAATGGGGAAGATCAAGGAGGACGTGGACAAAAAACACCGTGATAGAGATATGCCAAAGGATTGCCCTGTAGCATGTGGAGGTTAGGTAGGGGGATTCCTAACACAGACTGGGGAGGGGGAGTAGGGTACCACAGAGAAATTCCTTGGAGGAACAAATTACACAAAACTCATCAACGCTGTTTTCTGTATTGTACATTTTTTCCTGTTTGCCTTTTTTTCTGGCATTAGGAGGGCATCACAATTTTAAGCAGAGCTCAGACACAGTTGCTCTTCTGTTTAGCCAACTTGCATGCCTGATCCTTTTCTTTTTCTTAAATTCAAGGCCTCACTTTGTCACGCAGGCAACAGTGCAGTAGCGTGATCACAACTCACTGCAGCCTCAAACTCCTGAGTTCAAGTGATCCTTCTGCCTCAACCTCCCTAGTAGCTGGGACTACAAGCATGCGCCATCACACTTGGCTAATTTTTTCTGTAGAAACAGGATCTTGCTGTATTGCCCAGGCTGGTCTCAAACTCTACTTCAAGCAGTCCTCCCAAAGCACTAGGATTACAGGCATAAGCCGCCACACCTACTTGATCTTCAAAAAGAAGATTCTTAGGTTTGTCTTCTGTGACTTCAGGCCATTCCTTAAACTTATTTCAGAAACTTATTCTTATGTGTCTGGTGAGCTGTGCTGCACCCCCAAGAGTTCCACTGTGCAGCTATGATTAAGTCCATCCGCACACCCACCAGGTTTGCAGATGCCCTGCCACGCTGTCAGCATGATGGATGGGCCTGCATTACAGTGGCTGCAGTGAGGGAAAGCAGGAAAGGAGCTCAGAGCGTTATCAGCTGTCCAGCCTGCAAAGTCCGTGTTACAGTAATTGCCATTTTCTTTTGAGTTTCTGGTTGACATATGGAAAAGGGCAGACTATAAAGTGCTCATGAAATTTTCCTTAGCTCTTCACTGCAGTGTGGTTATTCAGTACAGGGCTTGTGTGCTTTCTGGATCCATTAGTCCTCATTTCTAACTTGAGTGGATTTCTGTTTATTGCAACCAAAGGGTCTTGAGTAAAAGAAATACTGAAAGCACAAGTTTATACATCTTTTTATCTGACCATCAATCAGTGGTTCAGTTCTCCAAGATAAACTTTAATTTCTGAAATTCTGTTTCATTGAGTCTTGTGGAAGTTTTCTATGCTTGCTCAATTAATAAAGTCACCGAGAGAATGAGTGAATAAAAGCAACTAGGGTGAATTACCCCTCCCAATTCCTCTGCCTCTAATTTCGTCAAGGGACTTCTGTTTCTCTTTGGAAACCGGCATTTCTCTTATTCATTTAATAAGTGAATACATAACTAGAGACTGCTATGTTCCAGGCATGGTTAATAGATGCTAGGAATGTAAAGATAAGGAGGACATGGACCTTGCCCTCCAGGAGTTCATGGTTTAGTGGGGGAGACTGACAAATAAACCAGAGATGACAGTACAGGAAATGCAGTTTAAGGGTAACATTGGGTGCCGTGGAAACACACAGGTGCAGTACCTGCTCAGCCTTTTTAAGAGCTCTTGGAGGTGATCAGGCGATCAAGGAAGGCGCCTTGTAGGAGACAGCACCTGAAATGAGTTTGGAAGGATGAGTAGGAGTGAGCCAGAGGGAGAAACTGAAGGGCGTGTTCTATGTACATGGCCTCACGTGAGCAAAACTAGGAGGCTGTAAGAAAGTCTGGTTCTTTCATGTCAAAATATAAAGTAAGTTTTGTTCCCTAAAAATATCTCAGAATAAAGAGAGGCCTTATAGATTGTTAAAAATTTTTTATATTACAGGCTACTCTCTGATTTACTTTATTTTGAATGACAAAGTAAGAAGCCTGAAACTACCTCTGTCACTGCTAGTTTGTATGCCTATGGAGGTCACCCTAAAAGGAAGCAAAGAAATTCTGTACAGATTTAGTTAAGTATTGGGGTGGGGGATGACTTCACAATCGCAAGTCTTGAATATCGTTGCCAATAAACCTTCTAAAAATCACTTGAAAATGAAATAGAATTAGTGTTTACTTTGTGGAGATCATGAGTATACAGCCACAGGATGAACGGAAAAATAAAACCATCCTTATTTTAAGCAAATGGATATTTGTGGCTTGAGATAAAATTTCCAGTAATAGCATCATATACAGATGAAAAAAATGTTTCCAGTTTCACGATAATAGAGTAAAGCTATTTTCACTTCCTTCTGCTCTTCCAAATCCCCTACATAATAAAGAGAACAAGATATAGACATGCAAGCTTTGGTGACACTAGGAGGCGTGTAGCCCTGAACTAGGATTTATGAAGACTGAACAGTGGTGCAGGAATGGCGAGAAAGTGGTAAGGTCAAATCTGCGTTCCTGCAAGGATGAGCACCCCAAGAACCCCTGAAAAGCTCAGAAAAAGACGTCGGGGGCCACAGGAGGCAGAGGCGATGGGAGGTCAAGGACAGGGATTTTAGGAGAAAACCTGTCCATGGAGCACTTGAACCCCATTTTCCTACTCCCATTCCAGATTAATAGGGAACTAAGCCTCCTCTGCCACTGCATAAAACCAGAAGTTTATCCCCTGGAAAAACAAAACCAGAGGACCACCAGGCTCTGAGATAGCAGGCGAGGGAGGGTAGGAACGAGGACCCTATGTGAAAACAAGGGAGTACGTGGAAGTTTGTACACTTCACGGTGACTACGAGCAGCCTGGCGCACCAGGTAAAGGTTAGAGGGATGCACCCCTAGAGCGCATGAGCCGCCCCAGAGAAAATCCTGTAGATACTGTCATTTGAGAGTCCCGAATTTGGAGAAGCTCCTGATGTCCCCCACTGTCTATTTTCCCTTTATCCTTTTTACTAATAGAACTTCCCCAAGTTTTGGCAAAGAACATGGATGACTGGGTAGAGTCTGCCTCTTCCAGATTCCCCTACAGTGGGCTGTGTCCACCAGCTAAATTCTTAACAGTGGTGTGAGCAGTTTCTGCTTCATTCTCTTAAAAGAAATCTGTTTGTCCTTGTCTTTCTCTCGCTCTCTTCAAGAGTAGGCTGTGGATGTGGTGCCTGTGAGGGAGCCTCAAACATAGATCAAGATCAGGCGTTAGGAGATAGTGATCAACCAAAGATCAAGGCCTTAGGGGATGGTGGAACAACAAAATAGGAAGAATAGAAAGAGTTGCAGCATCTACTTGTCCTGTGCCACTCATCAATGTAAGGAATGTTAGAAGAGAGAGAAATGAACTCCTAACTTGTTTGAGTCACTGTATTTTGGAGCCTCTTTTTTGTAGCAACTTAGTCTATAAACAAATACACTATATTAAAAAACAAAACACCTGGCTTTTTGCTCAAATACTGCATTATAATTTTCTCCAAAATAGCATATTATCCAGTGTAAAATAGCATTGGATTTTTTTAAATGGCTTTCTTTTTTTATTTTTAATTTTTGTGGATACATAGTAGGTGTATATATTTTTGGGGTACATAAGATGTTTTGACATGGGTGTGCAATGTGAAATAAGCATCATGGAGAATGGGGTACCCATCCCCTGAAGCATTTATCCTTCGAGTTACAAACAATCCAATTACACTCTTTAAGTTATTTAAGAATGTACAATTAATGTTATTGACTATAGTCACCCTATTGTACTTTCAAATAGTAGGTCTTATTCATTCCTTCTAACTATTTTTTTGTACCAATTAACCATCCCCCTCTCCCTCAAAGCCCCTTACTACCCTTCCTGGCCTCTGGAACCATGCTTCTACTCTCTATGTCCGTGAGTTCAAAGATAGTGTATATTTAAATTGATCCAAAAGTCTTCCAAAGACTTTTCTTTTTCTCTTTTGCTGGGAGACAGGAGGATTGTCTTACTGGGAAAATGGGAGACTACCTGAGATTCAGGACCACCTTATATTGGTTTCTAGTCTAACGTTCTGGGAACTTGAGAAGATTCTGAAGGCAGAAGTATAGAGTGTGAAACAGGGAGTAGCCCTGGCTCCCATCAAAATTTACATAATGGAGTTTCCCTAAAACCAGGGTTCATATGCTGGCAATGATGTTATGGGCCTGATAATGAGGGGGCCTGGAAGGGGGTTCATATGCTGGCAATGATGTTATGGGCCTGATAGTGATCCCCAGAATTTTGGTGTGAGCACCTGGATGACTTATGCTACCATTTTGTGAAGTAATCATAAAGTGTTACACATTTAGGAAAGAACATGATGGGTTCAGTTTTAGACATACGGAGGTACCTACGGACATCCAAGTAGAGGTCCAGGCTACAGATCCAAAGCTTATATTGGCTTTTGATATAGATGTATTTTTTACTTTATTGCTAAAATTCAGCTAGTATATGTCAGGGTGGCTGTATCAGTTGGTAAAATTCTGAAATGCTCTGGACTCATTGATAAATGGTCATTTCCTTCAGACTCCCACGTGCGTCCCATTTCCCACACACCAGCTGTTCTAACCCTTCTTGGGATACCCCCATACCACCCTACAGTCCATGATGAAAGGGTTAATACCTGGCCCAGAAGTGGGCCTCCAGGACCCTGCCCAGCCCTGTGGCTGTCCTGTCTGCTCTGTTTGTTAAAAGTTTTGAATATAACTCCTGCTCACAAATCATGAAGGTGGAACACATTTCCCACATAGCCATGTGCTTAGTCTGTTTCACAATCTTCCACAAATCCCATCCTAAGCTGCCCTTCCAGTCTAATTGATATCTCTCCTAAGTCCCCTCTGCTGCAGGCAGCATTAATTACCCACTGCTCCCTGACTCCCTGCATTTTCTCACCTTCATTTCTTTGTGCTCATTTCTCAAAATTTTCTCTGATTTCCAAATATTCTGTGTTTTATTCATCTTTCAAGGCCAATTCATTTTCCCTTCTACAAGAAAGCTGCCTTCATCTAGAAATGTTAATTCCATCCTTGAAATAACCACCCCCTTCTCATGGAGTGTATCACTTCCTATCTTATTTAATACATTAGGAATATATTACATTATCTTAGTATTTTCTATGAAGTCTTTCTCATAGTGGATAGGTAATAAATAATTGTTGAATGAATTCAAGTATGAATCTAAATCAAAAGACTCTCTACCAGTTACCATTGGTCTGTGGTTGCTAGCAATTTTATCACTTCTTTAGAATGTCTAATCTCAGAATCCCTGAAAATCTCCCTGGCTGTGATACCTATGGTATCTTTTGTCACATGCCAAAAAAACAAAACTAAACAACAATAACCGAAAGCAAACAAATGCAGAAATGTTTACTGGTTTTCTGAACTAAAGCCTTTGGTACGTTCAGTTGTGTTTTGGTCATCTCTCTTTAATGTAAAATGGTAAAAGTGATTTTCCATTTCCTGCACTGACTTTAATTAATCTTCCAGAAATGCTGGAGCAGAGCTTTTCTAAGGAGTGTTGCACTATTTGTTCTACTGCAGCAAATCAAGCTCCTATTGTAACACTGGTGGCATAGGATGAATCATTGCTTTGGCTGGGACAAACTGTTTCCTGAAGTCAGATACAAGAGCAGAATACCTAATGGTACCTTAGTACCTATATTCTGTCTCAAACACTCAGTCCCCTATTGCCCTTCATTGAAGTAAAGGAAAAATCGAACTTCCAATGTTTGGTTGAGATAGCAAATAATTTGCACTCAAGGTCACTGGCATGTAAACAGATTTTATTCTCCTTGCAACACTGAATTGCTTTTTCTGTCTCTTCTTTTACATAAGATTCAAGCAAAATGTAGACTATGTTATGTACCGTGTGCCTCATCTGTTTTATAAAGAAGGATTGTCTGGCATTTGTCCTAGGTAGATACTGATGGGGAGGAGGATGGGCAGGAGGCATTGGCCACAGCCTGAAGGGTACCTAAGGCTGTGATTTTGAGCCCCAACCTACTGGCCTGTGCTCTCAGCCAGCTCTCATGATATGCAGTGTGGTTCTCAGTGAATCTTTGTCAGATGTGAGGGAAGAGACACTTCCTTGAGTTGCCATTTTTCTATCCTCTGAAAGTAGAAAGTGCTGAATGGAACTAAAGCTTCTCATCTCTGCCCTCTCATCTCCCTCCTTTTTAATTGATATCTCCTAGTGAAAAGATTATATATCTTCACGTGGGGCCTTAGGTGGAAGGTGATTACAAGTGAGGTTACTTGCTGTGTCTGTAACTGCAGGGTCGGGAGGGATGCATGCACAGTCACAGGGCGGGCAGTTGAGCTCCTTCACACAGGGGTTCTCAGAGCAACTGTCAGGGCAGAATCCTGGGTTGGATCCCCCACTGGCTGTTTTCTCCTTACTGGAATTAGAACTATGTCCAAAGCCAATCTAACAGTACCTGCACTCACCTGACTCATACTGTAGGAGCTTTTTGTCATAACATACCAAGTGCCCTACTGAGCTTCTACATGGGGCATGCACACTCCCATGGCATGGTGTTTCTGAGGGGGGATAATTTACCAGGTGGAAGAATCTCATGTTTGATCGGGAAACTGTAGGCTTCAGGCAGCCCAGAAGGTAAGTGTATGGAATGTAAAGAAAAAGGCCCTGTACTTCCCTCTGAAATTGGGAAATGGGGGAAGAAACAGGCATCTGTTGTCACCCTAATGACATCAGAATATAGCTTGCAGCTTCCTGCCTTCATGGCAGCAGTTTTCTAAGACAGTGAATCCCCCAACATTGTTATTATTAGTAGTACTTAGGCACTGGTATTAGTGCTAGTACTGGTATGGCTAGTGCTAAGAATCAGTACTTGGGTACTGCTGTTAATATTTAGATACTGAAAAAAGTTCGAGTACATTCATAGTTGGCCCTCTGTAAGTCATTCTCTCCTGCACTTTTATAAGCTTTGTTGAGTGTGAGACAAAGAGTTGTGGTATTACTAGGACAAGGGAGTTGCAAATAATCCAAGCTTTGAGCTCTGTGATCATCCTCTGTCATGGGGTTGTGGGAGAAGCAAGGCTAAAACCCACTGTGGCATGAGACCCTTTGCACACTACAGCCTCTCCTTCTGCCATATAAGCTAAGAGTTGGGGCCCAGGTGTAGACTGTATCTTTTGAAGCTCTTGAGTCTGTCTTAGTAGATCAGTCTTACAGTGAATACAGTGAAGCAGTATTCTTATGATAGTCTTTTCTTGCCGTGGCTTTATTTCTTCTGTTAGGAGTAATTGATGATATATTAGCTACTTTTCCAGATGTGTGATTTGGCAGTGGTTGACTGGCAGCTGATAGTAACTCAGGAATCTAAAGAAAAGTCCACTTTGGCTTTCAGAGTTACATAAAGGATCTCTGCCTTCCTCTCTTCCAGTAGTTGGCAGCCTTCCAATTAATAAATAGGAGAGAAAACTCACCTAGAGAATCCTGTTGTGAGCTGGGCACGGTGGCTCATGCCTGTAATCCCAGCACTTTGGGAGATTGAGGCAGGTGGATCACCTGAGGTCAGGAGTTCAAGACCAGCCTGGCCAGCAGGGCAAAACCCCGTCTCTACAAAAAATACAAAAATTAGCTAGGCGTGTTCATGTATGCCTATAATCCCAGCTACTCAGGAGGCTGAGGCAGGAGAATCACATGAATCCAGGAGGGGGACGTTGCAGCGAGCCAGGATTGCACCACTGCACTCTAGCCTGGGCAACAGAGTGAGACTCCATCTTACAGAAAAAAAAAAAAAGAGAGAGAGAGAGAATCCTATTGTGAAGCCTGGGAGTGGACTTTGCATGGGATGCGTCATACTTACAGTACTCCACAGTATTTTATCACGATAAATAACATGGGAGAGTGAATTCTACGAGGCTGAAGATTCTGTATGGTATACCCAAGGAAATGAATAAAACATCACAGCAGCACCAGAATGTGGAATGAATCTTTCCAGTGGTGGGACTGTGGGATCCCACTAGAGAATACTCAGCTTATCATTCCAATACAGGCTCTTCTTACAAACTAGCAGCATTATTTGTTTCCCACTGAAGAATCAGGAGTGTTACAGAGAACAGCACAGTGCAATTTGTCTTCAGAGAGTTTCCTTCATTCAAGTGGTTAGAAAATATTTCTCAAAATAATTTGTCCTGAGTCAGAGCTGACATCTTACTATGGAAAAATGCGCATTTGAGGGACCTGGTGCCGCTCATACCTGGAAGACTCTGTGTTTTAAACTTTTAGTAATTAATCTGCTCACTTTTGGTGAGCTAGAACTAGAACTCAGCCAGCTAAGTATTTATTAAGTGCCTATTTTGCTCCCATCATAATTAGGTAGGTCATAGGCATATATTTTTAAAAATTAAGATGCCATCAAGGCTCAATGCATTATTTTTTTTTTTGAATGCACATTTTCTTATTTATTTATGAAATAGTTGTGAATTATCTCTATATTAACCTTACCTATGTGTTTTTTTTTTAATTATACTTTAAGTTTTAGGGTACATGTGCACATTGTGCAGGTTAGTTACATATGTATACATGTGCCATGCTGGTGCGCTGCACCCACTAACTCGTCATCTAGCATTAGGTATATCTCCCAAAGCTATCCCTCCCCCCTCCCCCCACCCCACAACAGTCCCCAGAGTGTGATATTCCCCTTCCTGTGTCCATGTGATCTCATTGTTCAATTCCCACCTATGAGTGAGAATATGCGGTGTTTGGTTTTTTGTTCTTGTGATAGTTTACTGAGAATGATGATTTCCAATTTCATCCATGTCCCTACAAAGGACATGAACTCATCATTTTTATGGCTGCATAGTATTCCATGGTGTATATGTGCCACATTTTCTTAATCCAGTCTATCATTGTTGGACATTTGGGTTGGTTCCAAGTCTTTGCTATTGTGAATAATACCGCAATAAACATACATGTGCATGTGTCTTTATAGCGGCATGATTTATAGTCCTTTGGGTATATACCCAGTAATGGGATGGCTGGGTCAAATGGTATTTCTAGTTGTAGATCCCTGAGGAATCGCCACACTGACTTCCACAACGGTTGAACTAGTTTACAGTCCCACCAACAGTGTAAAAGTGTTCCTATTTCTCCACATCCTCTCCAGCACCTGTTGTTTCCTGGCTTTTTAATGATTGCCATTCTAACTGGTGTGAGATGGTATCTCATTGTGGTTTTGATTTGCATTTCTCTGATGGCCAGTGATGATGAGCATTTTTTCATGTGTTTTTTGGCTGCATAAATGTCTTCTTTTGAGAAGTGTCTGTTCATGTCCTTCGCCCACTTTTTGATGGGGTTGTTTGTTTTTTTCTTGTAAATTTGTTTGAGTTCATTGTAGATTCTGGATATTAGCCCTTTGTCAGATGAGTAGGTTGCGAAAATTTTCTCCCATTTTGTAGGTTGCCTGTTCACTCTGATGGTAGTTTCTTTTTCAATGCATTATTTACAGGCAATAAATCTTACCAGAATACGAGGCACCTGCCTTGGCAGTTATCTTTCAAAGACTATGAAAGCCTCCATCTCCACAGAGACCCCTTGGAGTATTTTGGAGAAAGGGAGATGCCTCCCTGAGCCTATCTATTAGCTCTTTACACCAGAGCCTTGCACCCACCTGCCGAGTTTTGTGTCATTATTAGGAAATAGTTTGGTTTCTGGCCATCTTAGAAAAAAGGAAAATTCCTTGTCTCATGGTTCTTTGAACTGTAGTTTAAAATTGTATGTGTGCCTGTTACTGCCTTTGTATCTGATTTATTTCCAACATTACTAGTTTATGTGTTTGTCCAGAATTGTAGGCAACCTGTGGGAGAGTTAACATTGTTTTCTCACTACCCAGAATACTGCCATCTGCCAGTGAGATCTAATAAGTCCTGGGATTTGGGTAAAACAAGATAAAGAAACTTATTCCATCTTCGAAGTAAATCTGAATTGCCCTGTAAAATATCTAAAGGTCTTTAACTTTCCTTCTCATTATGTACTTCCTAATATTCTTTTTCCTCTTTATTTTTTTCTTTCTCACGTTTTGATTCTCTATATTCCACTATTCTCCTTTCCCTTCTTTTCTTGTTCCTAATTTCTTTTCTCTTTTTTGATAATAAGTAAGAAATGCCATATAATGGTCAAAACATACCCATTCATTAATTTTAAAAATTTCTTTTTTTCTCTTGTTCCATCACTGGTATCTAATAAAACATTTCTTAATACTAGCTGGCAATATAATAACTAATGTTTTTGCTGGACATTCTACTAGGTGCTTTATATACCATATCTAATTTATTCCTTACAAGTCAATAAGCTGTGTATTATTATCACTCCTATTTTACAAACAAGAGAGCAGAAACTTAACAGATTATGGAACTTGCCCAAAGTCTCCTAGCTAGTAAGAGAATTGAGACTTAGGACAAATGTCTACCTCCAGAGCTCAAATGCCTTGCAAAGAATGAGCTCTCAATCTAGTAGTGTTCCCAAGACACACTTTTGAAATGCAGCAAAATGGTTAAGAGCATGGTACTTGGAATTAGACAGACTTGGTTTGAATCTCAGCACTGCCAGGGATTAACTGTGTAACAACGGGCAAATCATCTCAGCTCTCTGAGCTTCCATTTTCTATCTGTAAAACGTGGAAAATAATACCTCACAGAGTGGTCGTGAGGTATTACATGTAAAACTTTAAGCCTGGCACATGGCCTAAGTTTAATACAGTATACTAATATTACTATCTATGGAAAAAATAGTATTTGTTCCCCTTGCAACCAACTTCATTTAATTACAAGCATATTTCGAAATAACTGTTCTCAGTAACCACTGGGAATTTTTCCTTGATCTAAAGATTCCTTGAATCCATTCATGTCTTTATCCTACACAGCTGCTGGCAGTTAGTAACAAGTTCTGGAATTTCCCATGTGATGTATGAAGGAGCGCAATATAGTGCTTCCATTTAATGGTTCCAGAATAGTCTTCTTCCATCTTTTACTTAATACCCTGATGGCATATAAATACTTTGGATATTTGGTCTAGGAAGGGAAGCCCTGAAAAACTGATAGAGAGGAATAGAGTATGCCTTGACCGCCTGAGTCTTCTGGTCTCAGCGCCTGCCTGGTCAAGTGTGTAGACATCAGGCTGAGAGTCGAGAGGCCTGGTTTCTTCACTCATTTGGCATCTAACCTTGTTCAGTTAGCTTAACTTTTCTGGTCTCACGTAGAAATCAAATAGTGGCTTCACTGTCACTTCCAGCTCCTTGAAATTGATATTTGAAAGGCACTCAAAAAATATCAGGTGATGCGATTCAGCAGAGACGTGTCTGGTGTGTGCAGATTTTATTTCCTTTAGCCCAGGCCAGAATTTTATATTGAAAGTGAAGCATATATGAAAAGTAAAGCATAATACTTTCTTAAAGTTCTACCCCAAATTATGAGTATTTAGGTTATACTCAAAACCAAGTTCAGTGGCCACTAAGGCTCATGTTTAATGAAGCGTTCTTTTTTCCTTAATTGAGAAGTGGAAGATTTTGTGAAACTCTGGTAGAATTTTGGTACTTGAGAAGCAAAATGATCAAAGCCAAAGTTGAGATCTCAGCAGTATGAACATCGGCTCTGGCTTTGGCAATGTCAGAGAGCTTATTTAATCGCTCTGGCAGCTCTCAGCTTGTTTTTGCATACAATGCTTTTGCTTCATTTAGGCAGAGTGACTGCCACATATGCAATGGAGTGTAGATAAATCATTGTTGACTCTTGCATCTAAATGCCTAACTTACTGGGAAATGTGGCCATTTTTCTTGATCAGTATTTCTCAAATATTTTTTACTTCATCCAGAGCAAGAAATATGTTTTATATCAGAACATATGTATGCATAAAGTTGTGTATATATACGCATATAAACTGCAAACAGAATTATCAAGAAGTAGTGCCAACATTATGTTATATTTTACTCTATTATCTTCTTTTCTATTATACTTAGTGTTACTAAGCAATTTTGGTCATGACCCACTAAATTGATTGCAAGGTTCACTAAATGGGCTATCACCCACTATTTGAAGAACACCGGCCTTAAGATTCCTCTTAGTCCAAAAAACTGCTTTACTTATCTGGGCTTTACATACCCTCAAGGAAAAACTTCACACACTCTTCCAGTTCACTCCCACTACACACACATACCACCATCACAACCATCTCTAACACCACCAAACTCTTTGAACGCCTAGGTACACATAACTCCATCGGCTGCTACCAGGGATTTTTTTTTCCCCTAACAGGCTCCATCTTCTTACATGAGGCCAGAATTAGGAAAACTGTGAATTGTGAAAAGCAGCATACTCTCCTCCTAACTTTCTGTGGGTTCACTGGCATCAGGAACTCAAGAATTTCTGTGCTGTGCCAGTGCCAGCTCAAGGCTATAGTATTGACTGTAGGACTGCAGTAAATACTCATTGGCTAGCCATAGTCCCAGATCTGTACTGAATAGAGTGGAAACAGGGATCTTGTGAAGGTAGCATTGAATAGCACTGGTGATCCATAGATAGGCTGAGTTTAGCATGCAGGATATAAAGTTACAGGATTATTGAAGCAGGAGTCCAGGCAGAGTGCATATTCCTCAATACACACAACACCAAGAAAAGCAAACAGACAAACACAGGTTAGCACAGTCTGGATATACTGGGGCAGAATTGGTCAGTGACTGAAGCTGTCTCTTTGCATCATTGGCTCATAAGTCCAAGGCTGTCTGAGGCATGACTTTGCCCCTAAGAGTAGAACCTCAGGACTTAAAAGGAACCCTGAGCGGTTCGTGTAATTCCCTGATGTCTTAGAAGTGTGTCTGAAGGCAGGTTCACATATTTTGTGCAGCTTTGAGGTTCACATGTTAGTCACTCTTCTCAGAAAACCTCACTGGGCCTGACCCCAGGGTAGCAGTGGGATGACAGGGGTTGGGGATTCGGGTTATAGGACTGTGACCTATTCATTCTCCATGAGCATGTTCTTCCCTAGGAGTAGAGACCTGCATCCTGATGTAAAGAGGAGACATGAAACGACTTGGCTCTCTTTTAGCAACTTACAGACCATACTCTGGCCTCTCCCAGGCCCTGAAGGTCATTTATTTTGCAAAATAAGCCACAGTAATAACACCACTAGCAAAATTTGGCAAACAGACCAGGAATGGAGAAAATATAATGCATATAATTAATAGGTAATTGATAACGTTATAAGTTTTATGAGCCAGATATGTTCTAAACTTCCTTAGTTTTTCAAAGAAACAGTTCGTAGAATTTATATCTAGGAGGGACCCTCGATAGTTCAGTCACCTCATTTTGCAGATGTGGGAACTGAGGTCCTAAGAAGCTAGAAAATGGCAGAGGTGGCCAAGCCCAGATCTTTAAGACTCCAGGGTTTGTTTCCCCACGCCTCATAGTCTCTTCAAGTAAAAAGGATTTCTCCTCATTGCTAAGAAATAGTACACAAAAATGTCATCGTTTGAGCCACTGTTCATGGACTCAGCCATGTTAAAAGCAAAAAACAAAACAACAAAGCAAAACCAAAAAACACAGCAATAGTTTCCCAAAGGGGCTGCATTTAGGTCATAGAAATTTGAACCATAATATGTGTGCTTCAGATTTCCTGAGATTTCTTGATGCCAGCTGTGGGGCTCCTGTGGCTGTCTTTGAGGACTTTGGACAGTGAAGGGTTGCATAGCTAACACGTGCATTTCTAAGTCACCTGTCACCATAGAGCCCAAATTATATCACAAAAGCAGTTTCCAACCATAAAAGGACAGAGGACAGCTCTGGGTTTTTTTCCTTTACTCCTACATCACATGAGTCAGTGGTCACTATTCAAAGAGGCAATACATCAAGATATGGGTGGAAACTTCAATCATTGACCCTTCGAATCTCAGAATTGGAAGGTCATCTGTTCCACCAGTATCTGGTGCATGAGTTAATTGAAAGATTCTGCAGAACATGTAGCAATTGTTATCTCTTTTGTCTCCCCAGAATAGGACCATGCCAGCGGGAATCTATTACTGGTCTGAGCTATTGTCTAAGATTTAGTCTGGGAAAGAGGAATGTGGTTAGAGGACAGTGACTGTCACAGGGCTGTTTCATCTACATGTAGTGCTCTCCAATGAGAGCAGAATAAGAAGCCAAAAGACATAAACTGTGTCAGTGCAACGGAGTAAGTCTAAGATCAAGGAAGAATAGCCAGACAGGACTGTCCCACCCAGTCTGGAATCCTGAGACAGACTATAGAATTTCATTAAAAATCTTTTAAAGCAGAGTTTTGTGGGGGTTTTTTTTTTTTTCTGTTCTCAGGTATCATATCAGTGTAGCACTATTCACAGATCGGCACAAAGGACAAGGCGACTTCTTATTATTTTCCTCAACCATGTGAACACTAAGGTTTTCATTCTGCTACCTCTTGGGTTTGTACTTCATGGATCTCATCTATTCAATAAGCAATCAAGCACTTTGCAATGGGTCCAGGGAAGGTTAGTGTCACTTTGACCCTGGCCCACTTCCCACTGGCACCATCTAGAACCCCTGCTAAACTTGTCAAGAACTGATACTCACATAGTAAAACTAGTGACTTCTGCCCTACATCTCTAAGAGCTTTTACATACTCCAGCATGGTTTGAGAATTTGACTTTAAACTCACCTTTTATCCAGCAGGAACTATTACTGAACCTGCCCCTAGCTTTAAAAAAAAAAAGATCAGCTGGCCGCGGTGGCTCACGCCTGTAATCCCAGCACTTTGGGAGGCTGAGGTGGGCGGATCATGAGGTCAGGATTTTTGAGACCAGCCTGGCCAACATGGTGAAACCCCATCTCTACTAAAAATACAAAAAAATAATAATAATAACTAGGAGTAGTGGCAGGCACCTATAGTCCCAGCTACTCGGGAGACTGAGGCAGGCAAATCACTTGAACCCAGGAGGCAGAAGTTGCAGTGAGCCAAGATTGTGCCACTGCACTCCAGCCTAAGTGACAGAGTGAGACTCCATCTCAAAAAAAAAAAAAAAAAAAAACTAAAAATTGGCCAATGAAATCATTTTGAAATCTATAACTAAACAGTTATTTAATTAACCTGTATTGAGTCTCTGTGTTATCAATAATTACTACAATTTTTCTCATGATTTCTAGCTGTCTAACTGATTAGCCCATTTGCAGTTAAACCAGTGGTAGCCACAAAAGTTACTAAATGTCCTCTCCTCAACAATCCTCAATAAACACTCTTTTCTTCAGGGCTCATTTCTGGTTTATCAGCACCATTCTGCTCTCAATTTAATGAAGGCACTAATGTAAAGACATAGAAACCTTGAAATTTTTAACAGTTCATGGTTCAAAGAGTACCAAATGGAGACACTGACTCTTTAAAAAAAAAAAATCAGTTAGCTTGTTTTTAAAAGAAATCAGTGTCACTGCAATAACATCACAGAGGCCACAAACTTGCAAACATGACTCCTGGACCTGCTGAGAAGAAAGTAACAATTACATATTGGTAAGACCTGTACTGGCCAAAAGATGAGAAATAAATCCCACTAAATTTTACGGGCCATCCATGTCAGTGAAATTTCTAGGGGTCTAGGGCTGTGAGGCATGTTGAGATGTCCCTTCTAAGGTGAAAGATAAGTTGTTGCATCTGACCTCTCCTTTTAACCAGAAAAAAAGCATCATGTCTGGTGGCTTTTCTTTGGATTTTGGAGGCAACGTATTTCTCATTTGTGTGTGTTACTTTGGCCCATTTACCTTGTAACCAAAAAGCTGCTCATTTTGAATAGGGCCCAGGACAAGAGAATGTTCTGCAACAGGTCCAGACTGCTGTTCAAGTTGCTCTGCCATTTGGGCCATATGACCCAGCAAATCCAATGTTGCTTGAAGGGTCCTGGCTGATAGGGATGCTGTTTGGAGTACTTGGCTGGCCCCTATAGGTGATTCACAGCTCACACACTTAGAATTTTGGAGCAAAACTCTGCCATCCTCTGTAGAGAACTACTGATATGGTTTGGCTATGTCCCTACCCAAATCTCATCTTGAATTGTAGCACCCATAATTCCGACATGTTGTGGGAGGGACCCATTGGAAGATAATTGAATCATGGAGGTGGGTCTTTCCCATGCTGTTCTTGTGATAGTAAATAAGTCTCAAGAGGTCAGATGGTTTTATAAAAGGGAGTTTCCCTGCACAAGCTCTCTTCTCTTGTCGGCCACCATGTGAGATCTGCCTTTCACCTTCTGCCATGATTGTGAGGCCTCCCCAGCCCCATGGAACTGTAGTCCATTAAACCTCTTTCTTTTGTAAATTGCCCAGTCTTGTGTATGTCTTTATCAGCAACATGAAAACGAACTAATACAACTACTCTCCTTTTAAGAAACAACTTTGGCCTAGTTATGAATATTAATAGAAACTGAATGCTTAACCATGGGCCACCAAGTTTCCATGAAGCCTGAGCTGCCTACTGTGAACTGGGCATTGTCTGAGCCACTACACCATGAAGTTAGGAAGGTACAGCAGTACTCCATCATCAAATGGAAGTGGTGTATACATGAGATCTGGCTTGAGCAGGCCCCGAGGGCACATTTAAGCTGAATAGGAAGTGGCCCAAATGCCCATGGTCCTCATTCTTGCTACATTATCTTCTTTCTCTCAGCCCATATCTGTGGAATGTAAACCAAAAATAAAATTCTAAGTCCCCCAACAGATTGAATGGACCCCTACTTGGCCAAGGGCATTCCAAAGTAAACCTGAAAAACTAGTTCAGGCCATTATGGGAAGGGAGTGGGGGTCAGTCATACCTCATTATACCTTTCTCCCTTTGGAATTCAGGCACAACTGACCAGCGTTAACATTAAAACAGAGATCTTAAGACTGATGGAACAGACTCTTTGAGGCAATAAGATACATTACAAAATAACAGGTAGCAGGCTCTGAAAGAAATGGAAGTATTTTACCCTGCAGTATATTTTGATGTTCTTTTTTTTTTTTTTTTTTTTGAGATGAAGTCTCACTATGTCACCCAGTCTGGAGTGCAGTGGTGCGATCTCGGCTCACTGCAACCTCCACCTCCTGGGTTAAAGCAATTCTCATGTTTCAGCCTCCCAAGTAGCTGGGATTACAGGTGCCCACCACCATGCCTGGCTAATTCTTATATTTTTAGTAGAAATGAGGTTTTGCCATACTGGCCAGGCTGGTCTCAAATTCCTGACCTCAGGTGATCCACCTGCCTTGGCCTCCTAAAGTGCTGGGATTACAGGCGTGAGCCACCGTGCCTGGCCTTGATGCATTTTTTAATGGCCCTGTGGGCTGGGTGCAGTGGCTAACACCTGTAGTCAGTACTTTGTGAGGCTGAGGCAGGAGGATTGCTTGCACCCAAGAGTTTGAGACCAGCCTGGGCAGCATAATGAGAACTTGTCTCTACAGAAAAAAAAAAAAAAAAAAATTAGCTGGGCTTGGTGGCACACACCTCTAGTCCCAGCTACTCCAGAGGCTGAGGTGAGAGAATTGCTTGAGCTCAGGAGGTCAAGGTTGCAGTAAGCTGTGATTGTGCTGCCACATTCATAAAGTGTAAAGCCCTGCAAAACTGTCTCTTGTGGGGGCAACATAGTAGATCTTCCAGGTCTTTTTCTGATTCTGGAGAGATTAACTAAGAGTCTGGTACCTTTTTAAGTCTGATAAGAAACATTGGCCGGCCATGGTGGCTCACGCCTGTAATCCCACCACTTTGGAAGGCCAAGGCAGGCAGATCACAAGGTCAAGAGATTGAGACCATCCTGGCCAACATGGTGAAACCCCGTCTCTACTTAAAATACAAAAATTAGCCGGGCATGGTGGCGCGTGCCTGTAGTCCTAGCTACTTGGGAGGCTGAGGCATGAGAATCGCTTGAACCCGGGAGGCAGAGGTGGCAGTGAGCCTAGATCGCACCACTGCACTCCAGCCTGGCGACAGAGTGAGACTCCATCTCAGAAAAAAAAACAAAAAAAAAAAAGAAAAAAGAAAAGAAACATTTACCATTTAGTCTATGAGGAGGTTTCATCTGCATAAGAAGAAACTTGGCCTCTACAACTCCTTATCTTAACTCAGACATTCCTTTCTATTGATTCCAAGACTTTAGATAATAACTTAACTCTTTCAACTAATTGCCAGTCAGAAAATCTTTGAATCCACCTATGACCTGAAGGCACCTCCCCACTTTGAGTTGTCTGCCTTTCCAGACCAAACCAATGTGCACTTTTAATGTATTGATTGATGTCTGCTTGTAACTTCTAAAATGTATAAAATCAAGCTGTAACCCAACCAGCTTGGCCACATGTTCTCAGCACCTCCTGAGGCTTTGTCATGAGCATGTTCTTAACCTTGGCAAAATAAACTTCTAAATTGATTGAGACTTGTCTCAGATACTTTTTGGTTTGCAGGCCTTGTGGGGAGTTCCCTATGTCTAGTTGACTGAGGGAGAGAAAACTCAGGCCTGTTTAAAGTTGGTTCTGCACAATAATGCAGGCACCACCCAAAAGCAATAATGCTGTAGCCCCATTCTGAGACAGCCCTGAAGGACAGTGGTGAAGGGAAATCCCCCCAGTGGGTAGAGCTTTGAGCAGTGTATCTGATTGTTCATTTTGCTTGGAAGGAAAAATGACCAGAGGTCAAGTCTATACCAATTCATAGACTGGGTAGTCAGAGATTTGGAAGGAATACAATTGGAAAATTGTGACAGAAAGGTCTTTGGGAAGAGGTATGTGGATAGATCTCTCTGAATGGGCAAAGAATTTTAAGATATTTGTGTCCCATATAATGTTCACCAAAATATTACCCAACCATATATGCTCTAAAGTCTGAATCCAGTATATGGCACTCTTTCTCTCATAGTCAGGATTCATGGGTCTGTAACTAAAATGCAGATTCAGTCGCTCACACTCTTGTTCAATTAACAAGAGCGAGTCTGGTATAAAGAAAGTGACTTTATTCCAAAGCTTAGCTTAGGGGAAGAGACACAAGCTCCTGCCTTTAAGGGTACTGCTTCACTTTTGGGGCAAAAAGCAGGGGCTTTTAAAGTGGGACTTGGCATGAATGGCATGCAGGGGAGGGAGCAAGCAGATGTGAGGTCTGCATGACTCACTTCATCTACCGGATGGTCAAGCTGGCACCATTGTGGGCAGAGCTAGGTTGTAAGGGGGCTGTTGCCTTGAGATCCTCTCTAGGTGGGAGAGAATTCTGTTGAGGGCACACTTCAGGTTGTAAATTGACGGTTGTCTCTTGAGGCCATCTCCTGGTGGGAGAGTTCCAATTCTGGAGTTTCTAAGTAAGCGCATAGATAAGCTTGCCCTGTAGGGAGTGCCTGGTGAGGGGAAGGTAAAGGTTATAACTCATTTCTAAAGCACTAAGTAGGAGGTGGGGAACAGGGGGAAAGGAGGAAAAAGAAAAGAAGTTATTTAAAAACATAACTCATTCTCTTTCTCTTAGAAAAATGGAGTACTTGGTTACAGGTCCAGGAATCAAGGGGTAGAAATAAGAGTGGCTCCCTTTACTATCACTCCAGTGATCCACTGTGAAAATTGTTGTTTTCCATCCTTAGAGACTTAGTTCCAAAGGGAGGGACAGTGATTCCATTGAATTGGAAGCTGAGACAGTCATCCGACCCCTGTGGCTCCTGCCTCTCAATCAACAGGCAAAGCAGGGGGTTGCTGGACTGGCTGGGGTGATTGGTCCTGATTACTAAGGGTAAGCTGCTGCTGTACAATGGAAGTGAGGTAGAGCATGTCTAGAATACAGGAGATCCCTCAGGGCCTTTTAGCACTCCTAAGTCCTGTGATAAAATGCAATGGAAAACCATAACAATCAGAACCCAATTGAGGATGACTAATGGCCCAGATTCCTCAGAGATGCAGGTTTCAGTCTTCCCACCAAGCAAAGAATCACAAGCAACCGAGGTTTTTGTGGAAGGATAGGGAATATAGAATGGTTAGCAGAGGAAGATAGCTATAAGGATCTGCCATGACCACATGACTGGTTGCAGAAGCAAGGACTCTGATAGTTATGAGTGTTTCTTCCTTATTTTGTTATGAATGTGTTTGCATATATATTAACCCAACATTTTTGTTTTCTTCCCTTTGTTATCCACTTATCATCTAACATAAGATACGATAATGATAGTTAACTTTCTCTCTCCGTATTTAAGTTGCAGAATATCAGAGAAGTGTGAACGCCACCCAGGGACTTTGCATCCTCTTCTGGGGGAACGGGTTAGTGTGATTTCAGATGTAGGTGGGATACTTGTATCTTGTTAGTGAAAGGATGACTTTCTTATTGACTTTATTAAAAACTTGGAGATTAAGTATCGTTTAAGGACATGTGTATAGATGCCAAGTTGACAAAGGGTGGAGTGTGATGATCTTTTCGATGTGTCAACTTGGCTAGGATATAGTCCCCAGTTATTTAATGAAACTGTAATGTTGTTTAATTGAGCTCTTGTGAATGTATTTTATAGGTGTAATGAAAGTCCACAGTCAGTTGACTTTAAGTAAGGGAGATTACTTGAGATAATCTGGGTGGGCCTGATTCAATACATTGAAAGATTTTAAAAGCAGAGCAGAGGCTTTCCTGAGAGAATACATTCCGCCTTTGGACAGCAGCTTCAGTCCATGGCTGTGAATCCAGCCTATTCTTCCTGATAATTTTGCCCTATGGATGTCAGACTTGCCTAGCCTGGCCTTGGTATGAGCCAACTCCTTGCAATATATCATCTGTCTGTCTGTCTTTCTGTCTATCTGTCTGTCTGTGTATCCATCCATCCATCCATCCATCCATCCATCCATCCATCCGTCCATCCATCCCTCTCTCCCTCTCTACTTCCTGCTGGTTCTGTTTCTCTGAAACCCCTCAGATGTCCTTGAAAGTTTTGTCCATCAGTGTAGCCAGCAGGGTCCAGCACTGATCCTACAGGTGTTGGGTGTTCAATACTATGTGTAGAACTGACATGATTTTAATGTGTTCAGCCTTTGTGTAGGGGTATCCTTTGCTGAGGTAGTTAGGTACCACACTGATGCTGCAAGGCGAAGTAGCAGGCAGCTCCCCTGCCAGTATTTTCCACCCAAAGTCAGTCATTGATTCACGGCACCCTCTGAAACTCAAGCGGTGGCGGAAACCGGCAGTGGAAGGAAACACAACCCACACATCTTCTAGCATGTGGGAGAAATGTGGCCAAACACTGAGGCTTCACATTAAAAATATCTCCGCCTCTGTTACTGCTTCTTCTTCTTCTTTTTTTTTTTTTTGAGACAGAGTCACTCTCTGTCACCCAGGCTGGAGTGCAATGGTGCAATCTCAGCAACCTCTGCCTCCTGGGTTCAAGTGACTCTCCTGCCTCAGCCTCCCCAGTAGCTTGGATTACAGGTGCCCACCACCACGCCCAGCTAATTTTTGTGTTTTTATAGAAATGGGGTTTTACTATGTTGGCCAGGCTGGTCTTGATCTCCTCACCTCAAGTGATCTGCCTACCTCAGCCTCCCAAAGTGCTAGAATTACAGGCATGAGCCACCACACCTGGCCCTCTGTTACTGTTTCTCAATATTATTTTATTTCTCCTGTGAACTGTGAAACATATATAAAAGGAGGTTGTAACAGACCAGTGGAAAAAAACTAGAAAAACTAAAAATTGATATGGTTTTGAGAGGTGGGGGAGGAGAGGATAAGAAACAGCCAAAGAGTTGTGATTTTTATTGATAAGTCCTTGCCTAGACCTAGGTTAAGTAGAAACCTATTTCAGGAGATTCTATTTAGGTGCATATAGTCAGCTCTGCTATAAAGCCATATATGCATTGCTAAAAATCCACATACTTTGCAAAATCATGAAATGAAAACCACAGGGATTATGGGGAAATGGGGAATATAGCATTATACCCAAAAGAGTCACCGTACTAAAAAGAGTCACATACTAAAAAGGATAGAAACCTAATGAAAAATGTAGCTCAGTTTTGTACACGTCAGATGGTTAAGAAATACATCAATACAATAAATATGACACTTTGCCTTGAAAAAGTCCTGAAAAAATTTGCCTGTGGACTTGGATGTCGGAGGGGTTGCAGCTTGTGCAATATTGTGAGGTGATGGAAGGAGAGTCATCTGAAATTGGACGGAAACCTGTAACACTGCGTGTTGATGGGCATAGGCATATTTCATAGTCACTGGATACCTCAGCGATCTGAAGTATCCAGAAGGTCTTTGGGGTTATGTATGTATGTGTTTTGTCTTATTTCTACACACTTCGGTTCAGCTGGGTGCGGTGTTCTACATTCTCCTAGTGTAAGCTTGTTCAACCTGTGGCCTAGAGGCCACATGCAGCCCAGAATGGCTTTGAGTGCAGCCAGCCCCACACAAATTCATAAACTTTCTTAAAACATTATGAGATTTTTTTGTGATTTTTTTTTATAGCTTATCAGCTATCATTAGTGTAAGTGTATTTTATGTGTGGCCCAAGGCAGTTCTTCTTCCAGTGTGGCCCAGGGAAACCAAAAGATTGGACACTCCTGACCTACTGTTTCTCACAGGGTGAGATAACATATACCAATCACGTTGAAACAAATTTGCACTTTCAGAACAAGGGTGATTGCAGGACTGACTGTAGAGCATTAAGAGATCACTGTCCTTTATCTGTACTTTCAAAATCCCAAAAGTTCTTTGTAAGTTTAGCACAAATTCATTTGTTAGCAAAGCTTAATGTGAATACTGATGTTTTCCTAAAATATTGCACTTCGATTATTAAAGTGCTGTCACAGACCCCATGAGGGTCTGAATATACCTGTATAGAGTTGTAAAAATTCTGATTTCCAAAACACAGCTGGCCCTAAGGGAAGAGGGAATGGTAGGTCTATGTTGTTGAGCATCTGGTTTGTGTCAGGCATCACGATGGGTGTTGCAGATGCAGAGACACACAAGGCACAGTCCCTGGGAGACCCAGGGAACTTGAAGTCTAGAAGGGGCTACCACACTCTTTGTGCTGTTGTAGTAGATGTCTGTACTATGCACAAGCAGAGAACAGAAGAAGGAGTCATTCTTTCTAGCCAAAGTGTTCAAGGCAGGCTTTCTAGAGAATGTGACACCTGGATTGTGTTTGCGGGGAGTGGTTAGGAGTTCTCTAGGCAAAGGAGAAAGTCATTCCAGGTAGAAGAAAATGTGTAAAGGTGTGAAGGCACAGTTACAAAACAGCAGGTCCAAGGTGATCTCTTAAATGTCACACAACTATAACATGGTGTATTAGTTTGTGAGGGCTGCCATAACAAAGTACCACAGACTAGGTGGCTTAAACAATACAAATTTATATATTTGTAGTTCTGGAGGCAAAAGTTCAAGATCAAGGTGTTGGCAGCAATGATTCCTTCTGAGGCCACTTTCCTTGGTTTGTAGATGGCCATCTTATCCTATGTCTTCATATTGCCTTCCCTCAGTGTATGTCTGTGTCCTAATCTCCTCCTCTTATGAGAGAACCTGTTGTATTGGATTGTGGCCCACCCTACTTAGCTTATTTAACCTAATTACCTTTTAAAGACTCTATCTCCAAATATTCGCATTCAGAGGTACTGGGAGTTAGGACCTTAAAATATGAAATTTGGAGAGAATATTTAAAAAATATTTTTTAAAGATCAATTCACACATGGGCTGGCACAAGAGAAACATGAGCAAAGCACACAGAAGCTGGAGGAAGGTGTGATGAATTATCACTGGAGTTGGGGGCTTGGGAAAATTTTAAGGACATAGGTCTTGAAGAATGAGTAGAATTTCATCACGTTGAGTTGTGCCCGATCTCTCTCTCTGTATTAGTCTGTTCTCACACTGCTATAAAGACATACCTGAGACTGGGTAATTTATGGAGAAAAGAGGTTTAATTGACTCACAGTTTTGCAGGATGTACAGAAGGCATGGCTGGGGAGGCCTCATGAAACTTACAATCATGGTGGAAGGCAAAGGGGAAGCAGGCACATCTTCACATGGCGGCAGGAGAGAGAGAGCGAAGGGGAAAATGCTACACACTTTTAAACAACCAGATCTTATGAGAACTCACTCACTATCATGAGAACAGCAAGGGAGAAATCTGCCCTCATGATTCAGTCATCTCCCACCAGGCCCCGCCTCCAACACTCGGGATCACAATTCAACATGAGATTTGAATGGGGACAGAGCTAAATCATATCACTCCCCTACTTCAAAACCCCATTATAGTAGTCCCCCTGAATAAAGTCTACCTTATAATCCTTAAAAAAAAGAGAGAGAGAATTTCATCACATTGAGAAGGAAGCAAATCCAAGTTTTAGGCCTGCATTAGAAGCCTAACCACATATACCACATATACCACATATGCCACATATGCCATAGCCTATGTACCTAAATGTCCAGGACCTGGTATTCCCTGAAAGGGGCTGGTCCCCATGTTCTCTGCCTCTGACCCCTGGGCCTCTCACCATCTGTTCAGGGATCTGAACAAACACACATGCTTTACAAACAATTTGTGCAGTTAACACAATCATCACAGGGTCCTGAGGCAACATACATCCTGAGCTTACAAAGATGACAGGATTAAGAGATTAAAGTAAAGACAAGCATAGGAAATTATAAGAGTATTGATTGGGGAAGTGATAAATGTCCATGAAATCTTCACAATTTATGTTCAGAGACTGCAGTAAAGACAGGCATAAGAAATTATAAAAGTATTAATTTGGAGAACTAACAAATGTCCATGAAATCTTCACAATTTATGTTCTTCTACATGGCTTCAGCAGGTCCCTCTGTTCGGGGTCCCTGACTTCCCGCAACAAATATCTTCTTTCCTCCACGCTTCCCCCAGAAAAAGAGAAAACCGTTTCTTCTTTCCTCTTGTCACTGGACAAGCTGCCATGCTCACCTTACCTCATGCCTCCTGGAAGTAAAGTCTCAGTCCTCAGCCTTGTCATAGCATGGCCCTGGGGAGCACAGCCTATCTGACATGTGGCCAGCTCCTCTGTCATAATGGAAATGTGCTGGGATTATGGGTCCCAGCAAAACTCTGACAGCCACAGAGGACTTGTGCATGCCAGTGTGTGTCTAGTCATTTTTCTTAGCAGTTTCTTCTCAGAAATATTCAGATATTCCAAAGCTAAGAAAAGGATCACAAAATTCTCCTTAACTTAGTAAAATTATGGGATTCAGGCCATTGTTGTATACATGTTTGAAATCAGAAGTTGAAATAAACATTATTTAACCAAAGTAGCCCAAAATGCTTGTCAACTCACTCATCTTTACTGAGCAGTGTACTCAGGGGTATAGAGGAGGGGTGTGTGTGTGTGTGTGTGTGTGTGTGTGTGTGTGTGTGTATGAAATATATGGTACCAAAGAAAAGAAAACATGTTTTAAAGAAATAATGAAGGCTGTTTCCCAAAGTGTGTTCACAGGAACCCTAGTCTCACTGGTTGTTGAGAAAGTCAAGTTTCCAAGGCCAAACAAGGCATCTGAGGCTGAAATTCCAAACAAGTTTAGGAAGCCCTGCATATCCTCTGCTCTTTTGGAGAGCAAATGCGATAACAGCATATTAAAGACTCTGAAAGGTCCCATAGTAAACAAACAGATTTAATTTTATTTTGCCTGGATTCTCAAAAATGTGCTGGTACCAACCCATAGGGCACATTCTGATAAATCCTGGAGTAAGACATTTATGATGCTTAAAAGGGACTATCATAGCACATTTCTGTTCTTCACTCGGAAGCATATCCTAGAAATCCAATGCAGAGGAATTGGATGCTTTTATTATTGTAGGTTTAGAAATGAAAATGTAGGAATTGCATCCTTATGACAAATGGAAAATGAATCAGATTTGCTTGACTTCCCTAGTGATTTTTAATTTTTAGAATCTTCTATATAAACTAGTAATTATGATGATGCAGCCATCAAATGGTATGTAATCATACCCTTGAAATAATGGATAATGAGCACTTTTTTAAATGAAAAAAAAAACCTGAAGTAATTATTGGATGATGAAAATAAATTAATTCAATTCAGTACTTAAAAAATGAAAATTACTATGATCCCTGAAGCAGTATAGATGCATATGTAAGTTCTTTCATAAGGAAAATTACAACAGAAAAATGCTGAAATATTAAGAAAATGTGGCAAACACTGCCTTTTTTCCTATAAATTCAGTCTTACAGCTTAAGATGGCAAATTTCTAGAGAGGCTGGTAAGCAGATGTTTCATAGCTAGTAAAAGATGGGATCAGGATTTGAGGCAAGTCCTCTTGTCTCTGGGGCCCACATATTTAACCCTTAACTAGAGCTGCAGTGAGGAAAAATAAATTGATAGTAACATTTCTTCCCTCCTGTCCCCTTCTTCCCACTGCCCAACCACCCAGCAAAAGTAAATTTTGTGTTGTAAAAGTCTAAAATGCCATCTTAAATAGTACAGTGTTGGAGAACACTTTGCTAAATTATACTTCTATATGGCAGTTGTTCCGGAATATTTCCCATTAGCATTGCAGACGTGCTCTGTTTCACTACATTGTTAAAATTGCTTCTATCTTTTAGGCCCCATCTGTGTACCACAAAAACATTCACATCAGCAGTTGTTATTTATCAAGAAAATAGCTGCTACTGATGACCATGTACTTAATCCAGTTGATTCTGTGGAGATAAACTGCTAATACTGCCCCAGCATCATAAACTGACCATAAAATAGTTTATCTAGTGGTTGCTAATAGACATATGCTCAGGTTTTCATAATGGTCATGCAACATAGGATTGTAAAGCTTTGAGAACTTGCTTTTTTGACATGAGAGATCTTATATTTGAGATTATCAATTGGGGAATCAAATAAGAGTATAACTCCTTACCTAGTTTATAAAATTTTATTTCCTACTAATGTCACTTAAGTTTGCCTTCCTGAATGTAGGATGGGCTAAAATGTAATTTCTGAGTCTTTTCAGGAAGTCAATGCTAGAAAATTGATCAAGTACCACAGTCAATAATAAAATAACCATTAAATACACTTTTAAATTTATTTAAGTTTTTTTTTTTTTTGAGACGGAGTCTCGCACTGTCGCTCGGGCTGGATTGCAGTGGTGCGATCTCGGCTCACTACAACCTCTGCCTCCCGGGTTCAAGCAATTCTCCTGCCTCAGCCTCCCAAGTAGCTGGAATTATAGGCACCAGCCACCACGCCCAGCTAATTTTTTTTGTATTTTTAGTAGAGACGGTGTTTCACGATGTTGGCCAGGCTGGTCTCAAACTCCTGACCTCGTGATCCGCCTGCCTCAGCCCCGCAAAGTGCCGGGATTACAGGCGTGAGCCACCACGCCTGGCCAATTTATTTAAGATTTAAAGATATTTCTGGTGGAAAGTGTATTACTGATTTTGGAAATGAGGAAGGGGAAATTAGTTTTCATAAATGAGATGTCACCATACACTAATAAGACTTTGGAGCAGACTTTTAATGATAGCATCTATGTTCTGAGTCCTCCTTTGAAGGGAAATTGGTGTTTGTAGGACTTAGGACCTCTTTTTTTCTTACGGTAAGAAGAATTGGTTGTTGGGTGGAGAATCCAGTTAGGTTTTACTGTTCTTTCACCGTCCTGATAATAACTAAGGCATTGCTGAAACAGCGTTCCCATGTCATTATAAGTGCACTGTCTGACACTTGGACTTTGTTCCATTTTCCAGGGTGATGCGTGTGTACTTGTGTCAAGTTATTGCCCATATTAAGTGTGGCAAAGAATGATAGGGTACCTTTTTGATAAACAGTCTTCAAGTAGGCTAGCTCTATAAATGGGCCACCTGAAGGAGGCCATTCTCTGCTGCCAAAACCCTCCCAGTTCTCAGAACTAAGGCTTCCAAATGATGGCACCCTCTCCCAGCCTTTTTCTCATCCTTGTGTGTATTCAGCTCCTTCCAGAGCCTGTTCACTTGCTGTTTCCCCCAACAATGTGACCAGTGCAGCAAATAATTTATATAGTAGATGTCACCATTCACAACAGTGAGGTGACACAGAGGACCTCATCAACCCTCTTAGCTGACGTGCAGAGATTACCTGTTGGTTAAATAGATGAGTAACCTGTTTAGAAAACTATAATTTAATATCTTTATTTAGAGTTAACTCAAATTAAACTTCAACTGAACATTATTAAATTCCCCTGACTTTATGGCAGTGATGAACTTTTTTTCTAATCAATAAATTCTAACATAATCTACAATTCTCTGCTTATCTCGAAAGCTAAATCTGTGGACCCAGGCTGGGATAATGATGTCATAATTGATATTCTTATAATGTTGCTATTGTATTTTGGAATGTTTCTGATTAGAAATTTTGGGGTTATAGTCAAGGAGCAGTGTTGGGTAAAAAAAGCAACTGTAAAAAAAATTATTTTTAAAAAGATAGAAATTTGGGGGTTTGATATTTAGTGGGGAAAAGGCAACTGATATAAAAGGAAAAAATAATTTTACCTTGGAAATAAGTGGAATATAATATAAATAGCCATTTGACCACTTACTGTGATGCTGCCAAACTAGAAATCAGGCACTGTTTACATATTTTCAGCCTTGGACAGTCGTAGAGAAAGTTTTCAATTAATACAGCAGTCATTGCCAAAGATCAGTTATAGAATAGTGCAATAATGATACCTGTGGTGCCTTACAGAATGTTTTTACATTTAAATTTTAAAAAATCAACCTTTGTAAGGACATTCTTTTAACACATGCCTAGTGCTCTTGGATGATCTTCAGAAACTACTGATTATAGTTCTTAAATATTATTCATTGGAGATTTTATTGATAAGAACCTAAAGTAGGTGTCATGAAAATCACTGGCCTATATTCACTTCTGAATAAATAACCAATGAAAAGATACAAACATTCTGAAATCAAACCCTCTATTTTTTGTAAACCATTTTTAAATGATATCTCAATTGTATTACATGATGTGTTAGGCCATTCTTGCATTGTTATAAAGAAATTCCTGAAACTGGGTAATTTATGAAGAAAAGAGGTGGCCGGGCATGGTGGCTCATGCCTGTAATCCCAGCACTTTGGGAGGCTGAAGTGGGCAGATTAATTGAGGTCAGGAGTTGGAGATCGGCCTGGCCAACACAGTGATACCCCGTCTCTACTAAAAATATAAAAATTAGCCAGGGGTGGTGGCCCACGCCTGTAATCCCAGCTACTCAGGAGGCTGAGGCATGAGAATTGCTTGAACCCGGGAGGTGGAGGTTACAGTGAGCCAAGATCGCGCCACTGCACTCCAACCTGGGCGACAGAGTGAGACCCTCTCGCAAAGTAAAAAAAAAAAAAATTTAATTGGTCCACAGTTCTACAGACTGTACAGGAAGCATGGCGCCAGCATCTGTTTGCCTTCTGGGGAGGCTTCAGAGAGCTCTACAGGGCTGAAAGGCAAAGTAGGAGCAGGCATGACACATGGCAAAAGCAGGAGCAAGGTCGGGGGAGGTGCCACACTTTTTTTTTTTTTTTTTTTTTGAGACAGAGTCTCCCTCTGTCACCCAGGCTGGAGTACAGTGGCATGATCTCTGCTCACTACAGCCTTCGCCTCCCAGGTTTGAGTGATTCTCCTGCCTCAGCCTCCTGAGTAGCTGGGACTACAGGCACACGCCACCACACCTGGCTAATTTTGTAAGTTCCACACTTTTAAGCAACCAGATCTCACAATAACTCATTCAATATCACGAGGACAGCACCAGGCCATGAGGGATCCGCCCCCATGATCCAGTCACCTCCCACCAAGCCCCACTTCCAACATTGGGGATTACAATTCAACATGAGATGTAGAGGGAACAACATCCAAACTATATCACACACTTTCCTGTCTTTCAAATAATACACAGTAAAAATAATTTAACTCTTTTTTGTACCTAGCACAATGCGTATGTATAGCAGGCATCTGATATGTTTTAAATATCCTTTCCTTTAAATGTGATCTGACACAACGTCGTTTCAGGGGACCACTGATGTTGGAGGCTCTGTTTGCACCTGTACTAATGTTCCCAGATGATTGTCTTTTTGTAATTGGTTATTATTCTGTCTGCGTCCTCAGCACCTTATGCCGCTGCTTAGGATGAAATAGTTTGAACCACTTCTTCTCTTCAAATTTTCTTTTTCTTTTTTTTTTTTATTTTTTAGAGATGGGGTCTCATATTGCCCAGGGTGGTTTTGAACTCCTGGGCTCAAATGATCCTCCCACCTCAGCCTCCCGAGTAACTGAGATTACAGGCGTGAGCCACCACATCTGGCAGCACTTCAAATTTTCTGTGACATCTCAGTAAGGCCAGAATTGAAGATCACAGAGGAAATGAGACGTCTGGCTTGTTTCCTCACTGACCTCATTTGTGTGCCTGGATTCCTCTATGGATCTGGCCAGCAGAGCTCTGGGGCCTCTGATAGTCAGCTGGGTGGAAGGTGGGGGAGTTGTATCTGTGCGTTTTGTGCAGGTGTTTTTCACTTCTTGTTGCGAGCCTCTATCTTTACTTCTCTCTCAAAACTTCTTACTCCCTGTTCAAAGATATGTTTCCTGTGATGTAGGCATGCTATTTTATCTCTTCGTGTCTCAGGTTCCTCATCTGTAAAATGGGCATGTTAATAGTGTCAATGTAATAGGATTGTTGTGAGGATTGACTGAGTTAATATTTATAAAGTTCTTAGAGCCGTGGTACATAGTAAGGGTTAAAACATGTTTTTAGGCCAGGCCCAGTGGTTCACGCCTGTAATCACAGCACTTTGGGAGGCCAAGGCGGACGGATCATTTGAGGTCAGGAGTTCAAAACCAGCCTGGCCAACATGGTGAAGCACCGTCTCTACTAAACACACACACACACACACACACACACACACAAAGTTAGCCAGGCGTGGTGGCAGGCGCCTGTGATCCCAGCTACTCGGGAGGCTGAGACAGGAGAATCACTTGAACCCGGGAGGCAGAGGTTGCAGGGAGCCAAGATCGTGCCATTGCACTCCAGCTTGGGCGATAAGAGTGAAACTCCATCTCAAAAAAAAAAAAAAAAAAGTTTTTAAAAATAGTTGTCAGACCACTAGAAAGGTGGCTCTTTAAGCTTCTTAAAGAAAAACGAAACATCCAGGAAGATGCTGCTTCTGGTAGAGGGTGACTTACACTTTCTTTTCCAAGGAAAGAGTGGAATAACATGAAGGAATTTGTATCCAAAGGCGGAGGACTGAAAGGTATTACCTAAAATACCTCCAACAAATGTTGGCAGCAAGCCTAGTTCCTGACTAATGAAGTAATATATGGGAAGATGTTCATAGCAACTCCTTTGGGGCTCTTCATAGTAGATTTTAAAAAGAGACAAGGGAAATAAACTGGAAATATATGGGGATAGAGGGAATTAGGGGGCAAAGCTTATGTCAGGAGTTGGCAGTTATCTTCTGTATCTAATAAAGGCCAAAACAGAATGACCCTCAAACTGGAGATATGTATAGATAGAGATAAAAATATTAAAAAAAAAACAAAACTATCTGACTTAAGTGTTTTTCTCAGCCTCTTCAGTGGAGAAGGGCATTTGGCTATCTGCTTTGTTAAAGAAAGCAGGCACTGCCTTATTGCATGTGCAAAGAGGTGCTGTGCTGGCCACCATGAAGCTTGAAATCTTTTCTTTTTCTTTTTTATTTTATTTATTTATTTATTTTTTGAGACAGGGTCTCACTCTGTTGCTCAGACTGGAGTGCGGTGGTGTGATCACAGCTCACTCAGCCTCAACTTCCCAGGCTCAATCAATCCTCCAGCCTCAGCTTCCTAAGTAGCCAAGACTAAAGGCGTGCACCACCAACCCGACTAATTTTCTTATATTTTATAGAGATGGGATCTCACTGTGTTGCCCAGGCTGGTCTCAAACTCCTGGGCTCAAATGCTCCTCCCACCTCAGCCTCCCAAAGTGTTGGGATTACAGGCATGAGCCACCATGCCCTGGCCACTTGGAACCTCTTCTTGTTCTCCCCAGATGTTTCTTGGGAGCCTGGGGGACAGACGATTCACCATGCCTTTGGCTCGTGCTCTGCCTCCCTGTGCATGGATCGCGCTGGGGCTGGCGCCGACATTCCTGGCACAGGGCTTGGTCGCTCATTCAGGCTGATGGCCGCCCTTTGCCCTGTCTCCTTTGGCCGGAGGCAGCTGGGTTATAATTTGCTCCTTAGGCTTGGAAGTGCAGCCCTGCCACACTGCAGCATGTGTTTGTTTTACAATCCACAGACAAGAAGAAGGGAGGCAAATTCCAGCCTTTTAAAAAGTTGTTTGGCAAAAGGAAAAAGAAAGACCCTTCGTTGTTCCGGGTGCCGTCGTTGGGGAAGAAGAGTTACTCTCACCAGAGTGTCAGCAATGGGACCTTCTCTTCGGATGAGGAGACCCTGGAAGACAATCTAAGGTAATAACTTGCACTTTCCTTTCAGATCTTTGGTGGAGTCCCAGGGTGGGGAATGGGATCCCAAAGGAAGTAGGTGCTGTTTTTGGTTCCAGGAGACAAGAACAGAATCCCAAACGGGGCAGGGTGTTGGGATCACTCCTGTAATCCCAACGCTTTGGGAGGCCGAGGCGGGCAGATCACTTGAGGTCAGGAGTTCAAGACCAGCCTAGGCGACATGGGGAAACCCCGTTTCTACTAAAAAAGTACAAAAAAATTAGCCAGGTATGGTGGTGTACACCTGTAATCCCAGGTACTGAGGAGGATGAGGCACAAGAATCACTTGCTTGAACCCAGGAGGTGGAGGTTGCAGTGAGCTGAGATCATGCCACTGCACTCCAGCCTGGGTGACAGAGTGAGACTCTGCCTCAAAAAAAAAAAAAAAAGGATCACAAATGGGTTCCATCTCTGGGAACGTGTAAGACTTGGTGTATTCTGCATGGAGAAGTCACCTTGGGGAGTTATCAAATGAGTCTGACCTCATTTTCTGGGAGTGCACAGGAATTGGGCATTCATTTCGCTGCTCTTGTTTGTGGAAGGAGGCAACATTTCACTGGCTTGGCTCACCAGGGTTCCTCAGATTGAAGAAGACTGTGTTTCCTTATGCCATTGCTTTACAAATAGAAAGGTTGTCATGGGCTAGACTTTACACCCTTGTTGAGGATGCAGGTTGCTCAGGCACAGGTGGTCACCCTTCATACCCCTGGCCATCTCTAGCAACTTCTGGAGCCTGTTTATGATGGAGCTTTTGCCTGCCTGCCTGCCTGCCTTCCTTCCTTTCTTCCTTCCTTCCTTCCTTCCTTCCTCCCTCCCTACGTCCCTCCCTCCCTCCCTCGTTTCTTCCTTCCCTCCCTCCTTTCTTCCCTCTCTCTCCCCCACTTCTCCCTTTCTTCCCTTCCTTCCTTCCTTCTTTCTTTCCCCGCCTCTTAGAACACAGGCACTAAATCTGGGTGTGACAGTGTCAGGAACTCAGAAAAGTAGGGTCAGGAAGTACTTTCTTACCTGAGTGCTTGGAATTGAAGTCAGTATCAGAGCTGGTTAAACTCTGATACTGACAGCTTAGAAACCAGCTCCTCTGAGAAACCTTTTCCGACAACCCCATCTGATTTGTTTGCCCTTGCCTGTGTTCTTGTAGCATTGTGTGCCTGGTTTCAGCAGAGAACTTGTCACTTTCTATGGAAATTATTGATTTGCTTCTGTCTTCTTCACTTGACTGTCAGTTTCATGAAGTCAGGGACTAGGTTTCATTCAGCCTTGTATTACGTGCTCAAAAAAATGTTTTCCATGAATGCCTGACACTGCATAAGCTAAGCGGAAGGAATAGATGGTATCATATGTGATATTCTCACCGTGCTTCAAGGACAGAGACAAAAATATCCTCTGTGGTGTGTGTCAGTAAGTAAATTCTAATGAACACTGCTGTTGTGTCTAAATTACAAAACCCTCAGACCAGTGGTACACATTAATTTTACAGCAAATATTCACCAACAGCATTTGTTAGTCCTGATACTGACTCTTTTCCTTGACAGCCCTGTGTTTATTTTCTGTTGTCTTTACTCTGTAGGGTAAGAAAATGATTTAATTTGACGCAGGGAAAGATGTAACTGAAAGGAGAGCACAGCTAGTGCTAACTCACTCAGCTGTTGGAATGTTGTCCCAGTGGATAGTCAAGGAGTGTGCAGTTTGAATCCATTTTGATTTTACTTCAGGTTTTCAATTGTAAAATAAGAGCGTGAACTTTTTGGCCTCACGGTATCAGGATGAGGAACAGATAGTAAAATGAGAGTAAGTGGCAGTTTAATACAAAATGAGGTCAAGTCTGGAAAGTTCTCCCTTAGAGGGACAGTTCTATGGAAACACAACCCATCCTTTTTGTAGTATAGTAGGTATAGCATAGTTTTGCCAAGTCTGATTTCATATTGAGCCATGTTGGACTCTTACAGGAATGTGGACCCTGGAGGTTCTCTTCCCATTTAAGTCTTATATTCTGTTAACTTCTTGGGGTTTTCCTTAAGGTTTCAGGTTTTACAAAGCCTTGGGAAATTCCACTTTGGATCAAATAGCTGCATTTCTAATAATGTCACCTGTCCTCGTTATTGACTCTTGTCCACAAACCTGCATTTATGAGACGTGTACTATATTTTAATTAAACCTTTTTATAATAAACACATCTCTTAAGTAAGGATATAAAAGGATAAGCTTTGGACTATTAATTTTTAAAATGTCACTTTAAATATTTAAAAAATTAGTGGGTATATGCCCAGAGGAGTATAAAGCATTTTACCATAAAGCCACACGCATGCAAATGTTCATTGCAGCACTGTTCACAATAGCAAAGACATAGAGTCAACCTAAATACCCATCAGTGACAGATTGGATAAAGAAATGTAGTGCATATGCACCATGGAATACTTTGCAGCCACAAAAAAGAACAAGATCATGTGTTTTGCAGGAACATGGATGGAGCTGGAGGCTATTATTCTTAGCAAACTAATGCAGGAACAGAAAACCAAATACTGCATGTTCTCACTTATAAGTGGGAGCTAAATGATGAGAACTCATGACACAAAGACGGTAACAACAGACACTGGAATCTACTTGAGTGTGGAGGGTGAGTGGGGGGAAAGGAGCAGAAAAGATAATTTACTGGGCTTAATACCTGGGTGATGAAATAATCTGTACAGCAAACCCCTGTGACTTGAGTTTACCTACGTAACAAACCTTCACGTGTACCCCTGAACGTAAAATAAAAGTTAAAAAAAAATTAGGATAGAAACACAGCAAGGTGTGGCAGCAAGTGCCTTTAATCCCTGCTGCTCGGGAGGCTGAGGCGGGAAGATCATTTGAGCCAGGAGTTCAAGGCTATAGTGCGCTATGATCATGTCTATGAATAGCTACTGCACTCTAGCCTGGACAACACAGAAAAAAAAAGTTAGAAGCACAGGAAAATAGAAGTAATTAAAAAATACATATTTCTCTTTTCTAGGGAATTGACAATTGCAAAGTAATTTCACCTACAAAGTAAATACTACATATGTTGATTATGGTATAACTGAGCTTCTAATTATTTGCCTTATTTACAGATGGAGAAAATGAAAAATGTTCTTTTCAGAAATTCTTATTTTTAGTTCATGGTTCAATTAACAGACTGTTACTTTACATTGTGTAATGATTCAAAAAATTTTCTGTACATTTTATTTGCTATCTCCAAAATGGACAGTTCTCACAAAAGCACAAAACTCAAAGCTCCATTAACGTGATTTTGGGTAGAGGTTACAAGAAGGTAGATTTCAGCCCAATGTGAGGGAGAATTTCCTAATTAGAACTGCCTGAAAATGGGAGGCTTGGCATGTGCCCACAAAGGTTGAGGCCAGTGAAGGTGGGATTTCGGCACTGGGTGGGAATTGAAGGGAGCTGAACTTTAACATCCTGTCAAACTCCCAAGAATCTGAAATTCTAGAAATGTTCCCATGACTGAGAATAGCTCCTTATTGATCTGCTCCTTCTGCCTGAAAATTTCCATTTCCTTTGGGTTTTTAAAGCATTCTTTTCTTTCTCTAGGTTAGAAGCCTTTATCTCTCCTAGGCTGCTGCTTGTAAATTATACATTCCTTGGGAAAAGCAAAGCAATAAAACATGATCCATTTTTAAGAATCTAATGTGATTTCTTTTCTTAATTAAACACAACTAATATTATGTTCCCAAAGGCGTGTTAAAACAGTTGTTAAATTTTAAAAGAGGGAGAGGGTCATCTTGGTAAATAGGTTTGGGGAATTCTGAACAAAAACAAATTAAATAGGATTCTTTATGTGGGACTCGACAGAACTTTTACTATGCGAATGTGTCCTGTGAATCCCTAGGAAGAAGGATGTAGTATGCAGTATTTCAATATTCCTTTGACCGTAGACCCTTTTTCCACTGAGAATATCCAATGGCATGTATTAAAGGTACCACTAATTGAAGTTATTACAGTGTATTCACTTTTGCATAGGTGAACTCATATAATATTTACCACAACTATTTAAGATTGATATTATTATCAACAGTTCAAAGATGAGAAAACTAAGGCTAGCAGGTAATTTGCCTAAGGTCATATAGCTTATAAATCCCTGAGCCACTATTCAAGCAATAAAGAGTGCATTCTTAAACATCCACTACTGTGCCTCTCAAGGAGGCTGCAGCCTCACTAGGGAGCTACTCATATGGCCCTGAATCATCATACTGGTCCTGAGTCACTAGGCTCAGATGTCTGCCTGCCTCCAGCTGCCTGATTGAGGCTCTGATACTTACTGGGACTCTACTTGTCCTGCTTCCAGTTTCTACTGAACACCCAGTGTTTGTTACATCATGCATAAGTACAACACTTTATATTAAGTGCCAGATGTAAGCACAGTGAGATGTGAAGGAGTTCTGGAGAATATGAGCTCACTTGGACTGGAACAGTCGGGAAAGGGTTCAGGAATGAGGGGGCCTTGAGCTGATTCCAAATGATGGGCAGGACATGGAGTAGCTGAGAGGGAAGGCATGAACCTGTCAGATAATGGCATAAGCAGAAATTTTCATGGAAGAAGGAAGATGACAAATAGAATAGGAGGGAACTTTCCAACTCTGTGAGGCCAGTGTTATCCTCATATTAAAATCAGGCAAAGATATCACAAGAAAAAAACTCCACAGACCAATATCCTTTATGACAATAGACACAAAAATCCTTAAGAAAAAACTAGTAGCCTGAATCCAACAACATGTAAGAAGGCTTAAGTAACATGACCAAATGGGATTTATCCCAGGAGTGCAAGGTTGGTTTAACATAAAAAAGCCAATCAATGTAATATACCATATTAATAAAATAAAGGATAAAAACCACATGATCATCTCAATAAATGCAGAAAAACTATTTGACAAGATCCAACATCCTTTCATGATTTATAAAAAAAAAAAAATAGACAACACTGGAAATAGAAGGAAACTCCTTCAACTTGATAAAGAGCATCTGAAAAATCCACAGCTAATATCATATTTAATGATGAAAAATGAATGTGATCCCCTTAAGATCAGGAACAAAACAAGGGTTTCTTATCTCATTCCTTCTATTCAACACTGTATTCTACAGTACTATACTGTTGGCTATAGCTGGGACATTTAGAAAAGAAAAAGAAATAAGAGGCATTAATCTTAGGAAGAAGTAAAACTGTACTTGCAGATGCCATGATTGTATATATAGAAAGTCCTAAGGAATACACACACAGAAAGCTATTAGACTAATAAACAAGATTGAGCAAAGTTATAGGATACAAGATTGGAGTTTTTGTATATCAATTGTATTTCTGTACTCTAGCAATTTATAATCTAAAGATGACCCTAGGAAAACAATTCCATTTACATAGCATCAAAAAGAATAAACGACTTAGGAATAAGTTTAACCAAGAAGTGCAAGACTTGTACACCAAAAATGACAAAATATCATTGAAAGAAATTAAAGAAGATTGAAATGATGGAAAGACATCTCATGTTCATCTATTGGAAAACATAATATTGTTAAGATGACAGTACTCCCCAGATTGAGCTACAGATTCAATGTGGTCCCCATCAAAATCCTAGCTGTCTTTTTTCCCCCAGAAATTAGAAGTGGATCCTAAAATTCATATGGAATTGCAGGGGACCCAGAATAGCCAAAACATTATTGAAAAAGGAGAACAAAGATGGAAGACTCACACTTTCCATTTAAAACACTTACTACAAAGCTGCAGTAATCTAAACAGTGAAGTACTGGTATAAGGATAGATATAAAGATAATGGAATTGAATTGAGAGTTCAGAAATAAACTCTTACGTTTGTGGTCAATTGATTTTCAATAAGAGTGCTAAGACAATTCAATGGGCAAAGAAGAGTTTTTCAACAAATATTTCTGGGACAATTGGATAGCCACATGCAAAAGAATGAAATTGGACCCTTTTTTACATCATATACAAAAATTAACTCAAAATGGATCACAGACCTAAATGTAAGAATTAAAATTATAAAACTCTTAAAAGAAAAAGTAAATTTCCATGACCTTGAATTAGGCAGTGGTTTCTTAGGTACCAAAAGCACAAGTGACAAAAGGAAAAACAGAAAAGTTGGACTACATCAAAATTAAATTTTGTGTTACAAATGATATCATCAAGAAAGTTATAAAACAATCCACAGAATGGATGGAAATATTTGTAAGTCATATTTGGAATAAGTAAAAATAAAAAACAAAACTCCCACAACTCAATAATAAAATGACCCCCTCCCCAAATTTTTTTTTATTGGGCAAAGGATTCTAATAGACATCGCTCCACAAAAGATATAAAAATATCAATTAACACATAAACCATACTTGCTCAACATCATTAGCCATCAGGGAAGTACAAATCAAAACCACAAATGAGATATTATTTCACACCCATTAGGAAGGCTACAGGCAAAAAAGATAGACAGTAACAAGTGTTGATGAAGATATATAGGGATTGGAACCCTCACACATTGCTGGTGGGAATATAAAATATTAATGGTTTAGGGTAATGTTTAGTTCTGATCCCATACCTTCACTTTATAAATGGGGAAACAGGCTCAAAGAGGTGACAGTGCTATTAGTGTTAGAAATGTGACTACACCCACTGTCCTGCACCCAATGTCCGACAATCCCCAGTGAGATGCACCTGGTACCTCAGATGGAAATGCAGAAATCATTCATCTTCTGCGTCGCTCATGCCGGGAGCTGTAGACTGGAGCTGTTCCTATTCGGCCATCTTGGGTAAACTAAAGAGCTTCTGCACAGCAAAAGAAACTACCATCGGAGTGAACAGGCAACCTACAACATGGGAGAAAATTTTTGCAATCTGCTTATCTGACAAAGGGCTGATATCCAGAATCTACAATGAACTCAAACAAATTTACAAGAAAAAAACAACCCCATCAACAAGTGGGCGAAGGATATGAACAGACACTTCTCAAAAGAAGACATTTATGCAGCCGAAAGACACATGAAAAAATGCTCATCATCACTGGCCATCAGAGAAATGCAAATCAAAACCACAATGAGATACCATCTCACACCAGTTAGAATGGCGATCATTAAAAAGTCAGGAAACAACAGGTGCTGGAGAGGATGTGGAGAAATAGGAACACTTGTACACTGTTGGTGGGACTGTAAACTAGTTCAACCATTGTGGAAGTCAGTGTGGCGATTCCTCAGGGATTTAGAACTAGAATACCATTTGACCCAGCCATCCCATTACTGGGTATATACCCAAAGGACTATAAATCATGCGGCTCTAAAGACACATGCACACGTATGTTTATTGCGGCACTATTCCCAATAGCAAAGACTTGGAACCAAGCCAAATGTCCAACAATGATAGACTGGATTAAGAAAATGTGGCACATATACACCATGGAATACTATGCAGCCATAAAAAATGATGAGTTCATGTCCTTTGTAGGGACATGGATGAAGCTGGAAACCATCATTCTCAGCAAACTATCGCAAGGACAAAAAACCAAACACCGCATGTTCTCACTCATAGGTGGGAATTGAACAGTGAGAACACATGGACACAGGAAGGGGAACATCACACACTGGGGCCTGTTGTGGGGTGGGGGGAGGGGGGAGGGATAGCATTAGGACATATACCTAATGTTAAATGACGAGTTAATGGGTGCAGCACACCAACATGGCACATGTATACACATGTAACAAACGTGCACGTTGTGCACATGTACCCTAAAACTTAAAGTATAATAAAAAGAAAAAAAAAAAGAAAAGAAATGTGACTACACTCCAAGCCTGCCCATTTTGCACATGGTAGTGCTTGTTTCTTGAATAGCCCCATCCCCCATCTCCACCTCCTTCCTTTGTCTAATTCCTCTCCATCCTTGAGTTTTCTGCACAAATGTGCCTTCCTTAGGAGAGCAAGCTTTCTTTGATTCCCTCAGCCTAGATCAGGCCCCTTCCCCTGACATTGTTCTCACAACTTCCTTGACCTTTCCCTAAAAGTAAGCTTTGTGACTTGCCATTCGTTGTATTTCCCGCCTCTAACGCTGGGCCCGGCACATAGCAGGTATTCAGTAAGCATTTATTCAATGAATGAATGCATTGATTACTGCTCTTCCCCATACTGACTTTTCCCACTGGACAAGTCAATATTCATCTAATTTGGCCTCCAGTTTCCCACCTTGGTAAAGAGTATCACTGTCCCTCAGACCTGCTGGAAAAGGAAGAATCCACAGTTGGTGCCATGAGACTTCATGTTACCAATGAAGTTATACTGAAGTGCAGGCTCCCTGCTTACCGTTGTTTGCATTGATTCACCTGACCTTGCTGCGTTTCAGAGGATGAAGTCAGAAAGGACCTGTTTTACTTGACTGTTTATCCTCTATCCTTAGGAAGCTGGGATGTGCTGAAATTGAATAGGGAATGGTGAAGAGGTGCAAAACCCATTAAATAAAAATTAGGTACTAAGCAGGAAAATCAACAGAGCTGAGCTGAATATGTCTAGAGAAAAAGAAGGTTGATGAATCAGTTATAGCAGGGGTCCCCAACCCCCAGGTGGTGAACCAGTACCGGTGTGTGGCCTGTTAGGAACCAGGCCGCACAGCAGGGGGTAAGTGGCAGGCAAGGGAGCATTACTGCCTGAGCTCCACCTCCTATCAGATCAGCAGCTGCATTAGATTCTCATGGGAGCATGAACCCTATTGTGAACTGTGCATGCGAGGGATCTAGGTGGCGTGCTTTTTCTGAGAATCTAATGCCTGATAATCTGAGGTGGAACAGTTTCATCCTGAAACCATCTTCCCAGCCCCGTCCATGAAAAAATTATCTTCCACAAAACCGGTTCCTGGTGCTGAAAAGGTTGGGGACTGCTGAGGTATAGCGATTCTTAGAGATACAATATGTGGTAAATGCAGCAGAACAGGAGCTAGGGACCTCTCAGGAAGCCAGGTGTCTCACTCGAGAGCTGTGTGACCCTCACCTAGCTAGCGCCTTCGTCTCCCAGGATTATTAGGAGGACAAAAATGCATATGACATTGCGCTATCTGCAATAAAGCACTTTAAAAAGCAGGTTAATATTAGTATTGAGATAAAGAGGATATTGATGACTACTATTTCCAGAGCATGAACCAGAGGAAAATTGATTCAAATGACAGCTACAGAGGTTTATGGAAAGATCTTTCTCCACATGGGGAAACGTAGGAGTGGAATAAATAGCATGGAAGCCTGTGAAGTGGGCTTTAGAGGCAAGTTAGAAGATCGTTTGTCTTAGGTGGTGTCTTAGGACTGAGCTTACAGACCGGAGTAGATGACCCTCTGACTTCAATTCTAAGATTCTCCATTTGAGATTCCAAACTTTCCTCCTCTTCCTTGAATTTGTATGACGTACCCTGTTTCTTTTGTAATTAACAGGTAATTTGGTACACTATAGCCTATCAAATAGCGTATATTTTGATAGAATACGGAAGTTCAGGATGAGCCTCTAAGTCAGATAATCTGACTCCAGTCTCTTCCAGCAACTCTAGTTTGTTTGATGAGGATATTTAATTGCTCTTTAACATTTCATTTGAATGAGACTCACGGATCTGTTTAGGAAGAAAACTGCTGATCAATTGCAATTGCCCCTGTTGTCATGGAAACAAGCTGAAATGGGACTATAATTATATTTCCTTATTCCTGAAGTGAATCCCTAATCATTGCCATAGTAATTACCCAATATCTATGGTCCCAAATTACATGATTCTTGTCCAAAAAAGACAAAGGATAAGGAATAGGAGGGCTGGCCTGAGGCATGCATTCACTGTGCAGCTGCAGAAAGCCTTCTCCTTTTTTGGATGGGAAGAATTTCCCTCTGTAGGCTCACACTCCACAGTTGGATGATGTCAGCAGGTCTTAGATTGTGCCCAGTGCTTAGAAGAGTGGCTAGAAAGCTGTATCAGGTAGGATGATTGCAGTTTTAACAGAAATCAGAACTACTAGCATCTTCAACAGGAATGAAGTATATTGTCTGATGGACCAGAAAGTCTGGAAGACTTTCCAAGTTCCAAGGTTGGTTGACGAAATGGCCCAGCAACATCACCAGGATCCAATCTGAGTCCCTTTTTCTCTGGCATCCTCAGGGAGTGGCCTTTTGTCCTCAGGTTTGTTCCCTCATAGTCATCACAAGATGGCTGTCACAGTTCCAGGTGTCATAGGCGGATGACAAAGACCACAGACAGAAAGAAGGCAGTCCCTGTCTTGTATGATTGTGAATGAGGAGAACTTTCTCAGAAAGGCCTCTGCCTACCAAACTGCCTCTTGCTTTTCATTGTTCCTTTCGCATAGATGCTATCTTTCGCAGATAGTGGCACCAGACGACAGAGCTTAAAATAGAGATAGCTCTTCCTGACGCCTCTCCGCTCTCCTTAGCTCTAAGTGCCTAGTGTGTGAGAGATGGAGTAGTGTGGCTGCAGGGCTAACTTAGTTTGTTTTGCTTTCCTTTGCAACCTCTCTCTTTGCTCTGACCTTCAAGTGTGCTGAGCTCCAGGTCACAGACCCAGCATACACCTCTGTCTCATCTCTCCCATTCCTCCAGATAGGTATGAGCATAGAGCACTGGGCCTGGGTTTCAGCATCCCAGGACCATGGGGTGTGACAACCTTTGCTCTCAGGCAGCAGCACATGCCACCAAGAAAGAAGGGCAGCCTCCTGGGGAGAAGTAGAATCACAATACAGGGAGTTGTGCAAGTGAGTCATCCATCCAGGTGGGCTAGACTAGAAGAGAGAATCCAGACGCAGACCTAGAAGCATAGTGTGGTAGCTGTTTTTTTGGTCACTTAGCCATTAGCATCCAGTTCCCCTTCTCAAGTCAAGGTGACTCCCTGAAAGCTCCTTCCCTTTTAGGGAGTTGTCTTTACCTTGCTGTGTGTAGCTCTGGTAGGACATAGTGCCTGCTTCCTAGGGCAGAAATCAAAAGGATCAGATCTTCCCCTTCCCCTCCCACTGCAGCCTGGTGTAAGCCTGCAACCCAGCCTGGCCAATCACATGTTCTCCCCTAGGACTTTGACTTGGCAGGTGAGTCAAAGATGTAGGGAACACAGCTTCTAGGAGGAGCAGTTACTGGCTCACTGTGCGGCCTAATGGCGGCTGTGGCTCCTGATGCCTAGGCTCTAGAGCTCTCCTACCTAACTCCAGTGTTTTTCCAAGCCTGCAGTCTGGTTTCTTTTGTTCTGTGAGCCTCAACTGTACTTCTAGTACATTTTCTTTAGGTAGAGTGAAACAAAGTTTCTGTTGCCTACAGATCAGACTGGTAACTGACACATGTAGACACCAGGAAAACTAGGTGTGAGAGAGAAGGTTTGAAATAGAAAGTGGGAAGCAAAGCCTGGAGCAGCTCCCTGGTTTAAGTTGAAAAGAAGTCTCAAAAGAAACCTTGAGAGAGGCTGAACAGCCTCCTGACTTGCCACCCGTTGGCTTCTTGGAGCTTTCTGCAGTGACCTCCTGGAAAACAGCCATGATCTGAACATATTCTGCGTTTTCCCATAACACATCTGCCTCACGCTTTCCATTGTGATCTCTCTACAGAAAACCCACCTGGTAAACCAACTCACCCTACAGTAGTAATCATTTTCTTATCCTTTGAAAATGTTTGGTGGGGCACAGCGGCTCATACCTGTAATACCAGCACTTTGGGAGGCTGAGGTGGGAGGATTCCTTGAGCCCAGGAGTTTCAGACCAGCCTGGTCAACATAGTAAGAACCCATCCTAAAGTAAAAAAAAAAAAAAAAAAAAAAAAAATTGCTGACAAATTTGATAATAGAAAGCACTATGGGAAAAACAAAGATAATAGATGTGATCCCTGACCTAACATAGTACTGGGGTGGAGATAAGATGGTATCACTATTGTCAGTAAAATCACATTGGCCAGGCATGGTGGCTCACGCCTGTAATCCCAACACTTTGGGAGGCTGAGGCAGGTGGATCACCTGAGGTTAGGAGTTCAAGACTAGCCTGGCCAACATGGTGAAACCCCATCTCTACTAAAAATACAAAAATTAGCCAGGCGTGGTGGTGGGTACCTGTAATCCCAGCTACTTGGGAGGCTGAAGTAGGAGAATTGCTTGAACCCAGAAGATGGAGGTTGCAGTGAGCCGAGATGGTGCCACTGCACCCCAGCCTGGGCTACAGAGTGAGACTCCGTCTCGAAAACAAAAAACAAAAAAAAAGAATCACATCTGTGTCGTACTTTACAACATGCAAAGCACTTTTATTTTCTCTCTCATTAAAGGCTTGATTACAGTAACCGTAAGGTCAAACAGCATGAGATTCATACAAAGAGATTCCTGAGGGACAAAAGGGAGCAAGAAAAGGTTTGTGGGGCTGATAAGGTTTGAGCTGGATCTCAAAAGATGGTGTATTAGTCTGTTTTCACACTGCTATAAAGAGACTGTGTAATTTATAAAGAAAAGAGGTTTAATTGACTCACGGTTCCACAAGCTTAACAGGAACCATGGTTGGGAGGCCTCAGGAAACTTACAGTCATGGTGGAAGGTGAAAGGGAAGCAAGCATGTCTTACCATGGTGGAGCAGGAGAGACAAAGAACAAAGGGGGAAGTGCCACACACTTTTAACCATCAGATCTTGTGAGAACTCACTCACTATCACAAGAACAGCATGAGGGAAATCCACCCCCATGATCCAATCACCTCCCACCAGGCCGCCCCTCCAATTCAACGTGAGATTTGGGTGGGGACACAAATCCAAACCTCATCAATGGGTAAGAACCGAATTTCGAGACTGGCACTGGGCAGTCCATGCAGCAGAAGACCCTATGCGGTAATAGAACCCAGTGATGGTATTTGAGGAACTTACAGGTCAGGTTTGCCTCATGGGTGCTTGAAGTAGGGTGACATTAGATAATAACTTTTTTTTTTTAAGAGACAATGTCTTGCTCTGTCACAAAGGCCGGAGTGCAGTGGTGGGATCACAGCTCACTGCAGCCTCAAACTCCTGAATTCAAGCAATCCTCCCACCTGAGCCTCCTGAGTAGCTGGGACAACAGGCACGGGCCACCACGCCCCATGAATTTTTTATTTTTTATTTTTAGAGACAGGGTCTTGTAGTGTTGTTGCCTAGGCTGGTCTCAGACTCCTGACCTCAAGCCATCCTCCCGCTTTGGTCTCCCAAAGCACTAGGATTATAGGTGCCCAGCACTGCTTACACCATTCTTAGTGTTTTACATATCATAAATTTAATTCTAATGAAAGCCCTGTGAGGTAGGTCCTATTATTATCCCCATTTAACAGTTAAGGAAACTGAGGCACCTGGAGGTTTAGAGACTTGCTGAAAGCCACACAGCTGGTAAATGGTAGAACTAGGTTTCAGAGGTAAGAACTAATCCCTAAGAGGTAAGAGGTAATCCCTACACTACACAACCTCTGTTTCATAGAGCCAGAGTACTTTAGGGCTCTGGCATGAAGAGCCTTAAATGCCAAGCAACCACTGCAGCTTTATCTGGGAGGATTTTGGCATGGGAAAACACCAGTGGTTTCTGAGCTGGCAAATTAACTCCTTTAAGATTAATATAGGGGGCTAGGTACAGTGGCTCATGACCGTAATCCCAGCACTTTGGGAGGCTGAGGTGGGCAGATCACTTGAGGCCAAGAGTTTGAGACCAGCCTGGCCAACATGGCAAAACCCCATCTCTACTAAAAATACCAAAATTAGACGAGTGTGGTGGCACGCGCCTGTAATCCCAGCTGCTTGGGAGGCTGAGGCGTGAGAATCTCTGGAACCCCAGAGGTGGGAGTTGCAGTGAGCTGAGATTGTGCCACTGTATTGCAGCCTGGGCAACAGCGTGAGATTCTGTCTCCGAAAAAAAAAAAACACAAAAAACTCGGGAGGCCGAGGCAGGAGAATGGCATGAACCCGGGAGGCAGAGCTTACAGTGAGCCGAGATCGCGCCACTGCACTACAGCCTGGGCGACAGAGCGAGACTCCGTCTCAAAAAAAAAAAAAAAAAAAAAAGATTACCGTAGGGTTTCAGAGAAAGCTGAATTGGAAAAGATGCAACTTGGAGATCATTTACAGATGTCAATTATATTGCAATAGAGTGGAGGTAAAACCAGGGCAACAGTAACAATTATACACTCATTGATTTTTCGACTGCTCTCGGGGTTCCTGCATTTATTTCTGCAGATTCCCGTTAACATCTTACTGTGTGTTCAAGAGCAAGTCCTCTGGCTCCCACTGCTGCCGTGGTCAGGGTGATGAGCATCATGCCAGTGACTTCCTCTCAAAAGGTCCGGGAAAACAAAGTCTGCAACGGCTTCAACATAAAAAGTAATAATAAAAATAAAAGCTTCACCTGAGCAAAGGTTACAGTGTGTGAGCCCTAACCATTGCTGCTGGCATGCTTATTAGCATAATCATCCTATCCATATAGTATTCCAGCAAATTGCAATGACTCATCCAGGCCTCCGCTGAGTTTCCTAAGCTCTTGACAACTTTAAGCACAGAAACAAGCCCTTCAAAACGCCCTGTATTTTGATGTATTTGCTGCCAAAGTGAGCCTGACAGTACTATGTTTTTATTCTATAACAGTCTTTTATTCCCTTTTATTTTTAGAGGCAAGGCCTCTGTCACCTAGGCTGGAGTATGGTGACGTGATCATAACTCACTGCAGCCTCGAATTCCTGAGCTCAAGCAATCTGCCCGCTTCAGCCTCCTGAGTAGCAGGGACTGCAAATGTGCAGCACTATACTTGGCTAATTTTTTTTTTTTTGATACAGAGTCTCTGTCACCCAGGCTGGAGTGCAGTGGCATGATTTTGGCTCACTGCAACCTCTGTCTCCCAGGTTCAAGCAATTCTTCTGTCTCAGCCTCCTGAGTAGCTGGGATTACAGGCGTGAACCACCATGCTTGGCTAATTTTTATATTTTTAGTAGAGGGGGTTTCACCACGTTGGCCAGGCTGGTGTTGAACTCCTGACCTCAGGCGATCTGCCCACCTCGGCCTCCCACAGTGCTGGGATTACAGGCAAGAGCCACTGTGCCCGGCGAACCTGGCTAATTTTTTATTATTTTTTGTAGAGATGGGCTCTTGCTATGGTTCCCAGGCTGATCTTGAACTCCTGGGTTCAAACTATTCTCCCTGCTCAAAGCGTTGGGATTATAGCCATTAGCCACCATGCCTGGCCCTAAAGTCGTTGTTTGGAGCCTCTGGGTAAAATCTTGGAGTTTAATTCATCTGACTCTGGGTAAAGGAAAGGAAAGAGGAGGTGGAGTAAAGGAGAAATACCAATGTGTGTTTCCTGCTGTCTTTCTAAACCCATAATGAGTTAGATCAAAGGGCTTAAATGTTTTAAGATGTAGGTAGAACAGGACCCTGTAAACCTCTGTGAGTTTTTCTTAGTGCTAAACGCATCTTCCCTTAGAATTGACTAAGCCTATTCAAAGCCTCTAGTCTGTAGCTAATGGTTCCTGGAGTGGGTTCATGGTATTTGAACCTTCTTGGGTAGGAGTGGCATGGATGGAACCCTATGGGCTATTGTTCTGTGCATCAGGTACCAGGATCAGGTTTTCGAGAACTGACCTCAAAATTTCCCATGATTTTAGGCAAATGTCAAGGATTTTTCCTCTTCTTCTCCTTTTTTCTTCCTCTTTTCTTAATTTCCTCCTCTTCTTCTTACCTTCCTCCTCCTGCTCTTCTTTTTTTAAAAAATTCCATTTTTATTTCAGATTCAGAGAGTACATGTATAGGTTTGTTACAAGGGTATATTACGTGATGCTGAGGTTTGAGCTTCGTTTAATCCAGTCACCCAGATAGTGACGAAAGTACCCAATAGGAAATGTATCAGCTCTTGCCCCCCGCTCCCTCCCTCTCTCCTATTGGAGTCCCTAATGTCTGTGTGTTCCCAAGACTTGGTTCCCACTTATAAGTGAGAACATACGATATTTAGTTTTCTGTTTCTGCATTAATTCACTTAATTGCATGTCATCCTCGCACAGGGACCATGATAATCTCCATATCGTTCCAGTTGTAGTGTATGTGCTGCTGAAGTGCTCCTACTCTTCCTCTTCCTCTTCCTTCTCCCCTTTCTTTCACTTCTTTGGTCTTATGAGATCGCTACTGATCTTTACAGATATTGACTGTTTAATTTGGGTGGAGGAGATCAAGATGATGTAGATCTTCTATGTGGAATGGGGACTTACGGCACACCTATTTACTTTTTCAGCCGTGTCTACACATAGATATGAGTCATAAGGCTGCATTCCTGTATTTTTAAAATCTTCATCAGCACACCCATGTTCATTGCAGTGCTACTTACAATAGCCAAAAAGGAGAAACAACCCAAATGCCCATTGATGGATGAATGTATAAACGTGATATGTACATACAATGGAATTATTCATTCTTAAAAAGGAAGGAAATTCTGACACATGCTACAATGTGGATGAACTTTCAAAACATTATGCTAAGTGAAATAAGCCAGGCACAAAAGGACAGATATTATATTATTCCATTTAAAGGAAGTACCTGAAATAGTAAAATTCAAAGAGACAGAAAGTACAATAGTAGTTACCAGGGACTGCGGAGAGGGGAGAATGGGGAGTTATTGTTGCATGGATATGAAGTTTAGGATGATGATAAGGTTCTAAAAGTTGATAGTGCTGATGGTTTCATTGTAATATGAGTGTATTTAATGCCACTGAACTGTGTACTTAAAAAATGTTAAAATACTAAATTTTATGTTACATACATTTTATCGTAATAAAATCTTGATCAATATTATACAAATATGAAAAAATTTATGGCTGCTGGGATCCCACTTGGTAATGACAGATTTTGTGTTTAAGAATTAAAACTGGGCTGGGCATGGCGGTTCACACCTGTAATCCCAGCACTTTGGGAGGCCAAAGCAGGAGGATCGCTTGAGCCCAGGAGTTTGAGACCAGCCTGGGCAACATGGCAAGATCCCATCTTTATGAAAAAAATAAAAACTTAGCCAGGCACGGTGGTGCACGCCTGTATTTCCAGCTACTTGGGAGGCTGAGGTGGGAGGATCCCTTGAGCCTGGAGAGTTCGAAGCTGCAGTGAGCAGAGAGACCACTGCAGCAGAATGCCTGGGCAACAGAATGCCTGGGCAACAGAATGAGACTCTGTCTCAAAAAAAAAAAAAAAACAAAGTAAAACTGGTATATCCTCTTTTGTATAACATTTGCAATCGTGGGTGAACTGGAACCCTCTTAATGCTCCTTTCTTGTCGTGATCTAGCAGCCACCATTCATATAATGTCATTTTCTCTAAGAAATCCAAACATCTGTAAACACTGTATTAAGCCGTGTCAATAGGAGCCAGGAGCTTGAGCTCTGGTTTCTGTTTTGATTGAGTCTCTCTCTTCACTTTGCTGGGCCTCAGCTTCTCCATCCATAAAGACTTGGGTCTTGGACTCCATGAGCACAGAGGGGCCCTTTCTGCAGTGGCTGTTGGCTGTGTGAGGGCTGTCCCTGTCATCGCTGATACAGTACACTGCCTTTTGCTGCTTCCAGTTTACTCGTAGAGACTCACTAGAGATGTGAAGAGCAGCGCTCCAGGCCTCCAGGCATAGGTGCAGAGAAATATTGGCAGGCAGAGTGGAATGCAGGCTCAGAATAGGTCTGCGAGCTCAGGATTTCCAGTCTTCTGCATGAGTTTTTACATTGTCTTTGAAGGATTTCTGAAAGTGAAAGCACAGGCGATGTTATCTGTTAAGGTTTTTGCATTTTATCTTCCTCCTAATCTGGACTTTACCTCACTTACAAAATAATATAGCACAGAGCCCGGGGGATGAGAGTAACAAAGAAATAGAAAAGATAGGAGTTCTGTGGGAAGATTGATGAATTCATGTTAAGTATGCAGAAACAGTGGGAAAGTCACTCCACTGTAGCTGGAGACACATGAGGAGAAGAAGAGAGTATTGGAGTGAGGCAGTTATTAAAGGTAAAGCCAGAAGAGCAACCTCAGGCTGTTCTCCCATCAATGTCTTTGGAAAGATAACTGCAGGAGGCAGTGAAAAGTAGAGGGGCAAGTCCAAAAGCTGGTATCTTTGGGCTGATTAGAAATGCCTGATGAAATGTTTCAAAGCCCAACCTGTCTGTCAATAAAAATAATATCAATGACAACAGCAAATCAGGACAGAAATGTAGAAATGACAGTTAAAACATCTCAGCCATGCTCCTTTGTACATGTACATAGGAGAGCTGACTGCCTTCTAAAGCCCCAGGAACTTCTGCTCTTGGGACCTCCAATCCAAAGGGACCATTTTTCTGGCCTCTGTAAGTCGGGGCTGTGATTCTTTTCTAGGCTTATGAAAACTGTGAAAACTGTTGCTCAGATACCAGTGCTGTTCTGAACTTCCCAAGTGGGCCTTTCTTCCTGTCTTTGTAGAGTTGGCTTTTACCATGCGTGCTTTGCATTTGACTTCAAATCTTGTTTAAATTAAAATGATTGTTAAATGACTATATTGACAATCCTCCAGTTGAAGGTTTAAAATCTGTGGGATTTTAGAGGTCTTTATACAGCTCTTCTCACAAGCAAGAGGCTGCTCTGGTTCTCAGTAGCAGAAGAGAAGGTTCCCACCTGGCAAGTCCATTTTCTATCATTTGAGCAGAGAGAGAGTGAGGGAAAGTTGCAGCATTGAAGCTGAAAGGCCCCTCTCTCTTGGTTCCCTCTTAAAAGGAAGCAGGGAGAGGTGGAGTTGGCCTGCTTCACAATCAACTGCGAAAGGTCTTTAAATGTCAAGAATAAAGAAGTCCGGACGAACTCTGCTAAGGTACAATTTGTGGTAAATTGCCTCTCCACCTCCCAATCATGTAATTTGCACTTCCCAGATGGTTAAGGACCATGGTTCCACCAAGCTCTGTGTTCATTAGAACATGGTTTCAAGCTGAGATCTCCACGCAAAGGCTATTCAGTTTCAATTCCAACCCTGCCTCAAATTTTGGAACTTTGGGCAATATTTTTACCCACCTCAGCTTCCCCTTCAGAGAACAGGAAATAATCTACATTGTAGAGTTGTTTGGAGCTGGAACTGGTAACCATGCTCACCAAAGATTTAATATTAGATTTAATATTATACAAATGCTGCCCTCTTTCTCCTGCTCTCACCACATGACTGACATACCTGCCCCCATTTTGCCTTCTACCATGATTGTAAGCTTCTTGAAACCCTCACCAGAAGCCAAGGAGATAATTGGTGCCATGCTTATATAGCCTGCAGAACCATAAGCCAGTTAAACCTCTTTTCTTTATAAATTACCCAGCCTCAGATATTTCTATGCAGTAACACAAAAATGACCTAATATAGAAAACTGGTACCAAAGAATGGGGCATTGCTATAAAGATACCTGAAAATGTCAAAGCAGCCTTGGAACTGGGTAACAGGCAAAGGTTGGAAGAGTTTGGAGGGCTCAGGAGAAGAAAAGATGAGGGAAAGTTTGGAATTTCTTAGAGACTGGTTAAATACTTGTGACTAAAAATGCTGATAGTTATATGGACAGTGAAGGCCAGGCTGATGCGGTCTCAGATGGAAATAAGGAACTTACTGAGAACTGGAGCCAAGGTCTCCTTTGTTGTACTGTAGCAAATAAATTGGCTGCATTGTGTTCATTCCCTAGGGATCTGTGGTAGTTTGAACTCAAGAGTGGTGACTTAGGGTATCTGTTGAAAGGAATTTTTAAGCAGCAAAGCATTTAAGATGTGGCCTGGCTGCTTCTAACAGTTTACACGCAGATATGCCAAGGAGGGGGACCTTAGGAAATAACCCAGGCTCTCAGTTGAGGCTCTGGGAGGACCACACCCTAGAAGTGGAGGCAAAACAGAAGTAGTCTGAGCCTTACAAAGATTTCTAACCAGCCATGAATTAGCTCAGTCTTTGATTGGATTGAAGTGATGTGCTTCTTTGCTGTTTGAAGCCTTCAAGAAGATCAGGTGAGTCCTCTCTGGAAGGAGAGAACCCAGCCTCTAAATTTTTTTTTTTTTTGAGACAGAGTCTTGCTCTGTCGCCCAGGCTGGAGTGCAGTGGCACAGTCTCGGCTCACTGCAACCTCCACCTCCCGGGTTCACACCATTCTCCTGCCTCAGCCTCCCGAGTAGCTGGGACTACAGGCGCCTGCCACCACGCCCAGCTAATTTTTTGTATTTTTAGTAGAGACAGGGTTTCACCGTGTCAACCAGGATGGTCTCCATCTCTTGACCTCGTGATCCACCTGCCTCGGCCTCCCAAAGTGCTGGGATTACAGGCGTGAGCCACCGCGACTGGCCACCTCTAAAATTTTTGAGGCATGATGTGTGAAGTCTAATTAAAAATTACCAAGCATCTAAGAAACAGACCACAAGAAAAACAAGATAATAGACAGAGACCTAAAGGTGACCTAGATGTTGGAGTTTCAGATAGACTTTCAAATAATTGTGATTAATATATTCAAGAATATAGTTTACAGGATGGAGAATTTCAGCAGAGAACTTAAATTTATTAAACAATTAAGTGGAAATTTGAGATCTAAAATATACTTCTGAAATTAAGAACTCAGCAGATTGGACTTAAAGAGAAAATTAGTGAACTGGAAGCAGGTCCATAGAAATATCCAGTCTGAATCATATTGAGTAAAAAGAATGGTAGCTATAATAATGAGAATAAAAGTTATGTGGCTTGTAGTTAAAAGGGTTTAACATGGGAGGATCAGAGAGAGATTAGAGGAAAAATGGGGCACAACAGTATTTAAGAGATAAAGGCTGAGAATTTTCCAAAGCTGATGAAAGACATCAAGCTACAGATTTTAGAAGCATTGTGTAACCCAAGCTGAATAAATTAAAAGAAGCTCACACCCTGCTACACCAGAGTAAAACTGCTAAAAAACAAAGATAAAGAGGCTAACTTTAAAATCAGCTATAAATGAAAGATAGCTGTATTAGTGTGCTCTTGCACTGCTCTGAAGAAATACCTGAGACTGGGTAATTTATAAAGAAAAGAGGTTTAATTGGCCGTGATCCTGCATGCTGTACAGGAAGCATAGTGGCTTCCACTTCTAAGGAGGCCTCAAGAAGCTTCCAATCATGGCAGAAGGCAAAGAGGGAGTGAGGTGTTTCACATGGCAGGAGCAGGAGCAAGAGAGAGCAAGGCAGGAGGTGCTGCATGCTTTTAAACAACAGGATCTTGCAAGAACTCACTCACTACCATGAAAATAGCACCAAGGGGATTATGCTGAACCGTTCATGAGAAATCCATCCCCATGATCCAGCCACCTCCCACCATTGGAGACTACAATTTGACATGAGATTTGTCGGGGACACAGATCCAAACCATATCAGTAGATCATGTGTCTTTTCAAAGATGCAGTAATACAAGCTTATCTACAAAAATTCTATGCTTCAGGTGTTCAGGTGTTCAGGTGTGGTGGCTTATGCCTGTAATTCCAGCACTTTGGGAGGCTAAGGTGGGAGGATTGCTTGAGGCAGGAGTTCCAGACCAGACTAGGGAAGATGGCAAGAACTCATCTCTACAAAAAATTTTAAAAGTAGCCAGGTATGCTGGCATGAGCCTGTAGTCCCAGCTACTTGGGAGACTGAGGCAGGAGGATCCCCTGAATCCAGGAGTTCAAGGTTGCCCAGCAGCTATGATTTAGCCACTGCACTCCAGCCTTGGTGACTGAGACCCTGTCTTAAAAAAAAAAAAAAGAATCAGCAGTCATGTTATTATAATTGATAAATAAACTTAGCAAAGTCTCTGGTTATAAGATCAATATATAAAAATAAGTTACATTTTATATCCACTAATTAAAAAATTAGAAAATAGAAATTTTAGTCTATACCATTTACAATAAATTCAGAAACACCAAATATATAAGAATAAACCTATCAAAATATGTACAAGACCTCTATACAGAAAACTTCAACACATTTGTTAAGAGAAATTAAAGATGATATAAATACATGAGGAGTCAGCCCATGTTCATGGATTAAAAGATTCAATATTGTAAAAACATCAGTTTAAAAAGTTATAGATTTAATGCCATCTAAAAGCAATCTCAATAGTATATTCATGTATGTGTATATGTATAAATTTATGTAGAAGCCAGGTGTGGCGGCTCACGCCTATAATCCCAGTACTTTGGGAGGCCAAGGTGGGCTGATCACTTGAGGCCAGGAGTTCTATACCAGCCTGGCCAACATGGCAAAACCCCATCTCTACCAAAAATACAAAAATTAACCAGGCGTGGTGGTGGGCACCTGTAATCTGAGCTACTTGGGAGGCTGAGGCAGGAGAATTGCTTGAACCCAGAAGGTGGAGGTTACACTAAGCCGAGATCATGCCACTGCACTCCAGCCTGGGTAGCAGAGCAAGACCTTGTCTCAAAAAAAAAAAAAAAAAAAAAGTAAAAAGAAAAAAAAGAAAAGAAAAGAAAGAAAGAAAAAAACCCAGAAAACCAGAGCTGAAAAACTTAAACTACTAGATATCAAGACTCCTTAAAAAGCTACAGCAATTAAGATAGTGTGTTATTGGTATAAAAACAGGTAAGTAAAAAAAGTAAAAACAAAACAACAACAACAAAAAACAGACAAGTAGACCAGTGGAACAGAGGCCAGAAAAAATTATAATATAGACAGTTACTTAATTTATAGCAAATTGCTCATTGTCTTCAAACCTTAGTTTCCTTGTCCATAAAACAGCCTTACTAACAGTGCCTACCACATAAGTTTTAAATATTATATATCAAAAAGATTCTGATATTATGTTAAAGAGGTTAGCATATATGCAAGATACATCACAAGTGTCCAATAAAATTTAGCTAGGATAAATGTTACCACTGTGACCACCACTATTATAATTACTACTACTGCTATTATTACTTTTCATTTTCTCTATTTTTCAATATGATCATCTGGAAGTGAGTAATGAATGGACATCAGATCTTTGCCGGCAACAGGAATGTTTGGAGTTCAACACCAAAGAGCAGGAGAGTGCCAATTCTTAGCCTATGTGGAAAAATAAATCAGGGGGATAGACTTCATGACGCAGTCAAGGTTGACTTAGAAACTGGAATGGAACTTAGCCTAGCACTGGTGTATTCTGTACACACAACTGTGAGAAATTAGTAAACATATATATATATATATATATATATATATATATATATATATATATATATATATGCCCTTTGCAAAAATACAATGTAGAAATGAAGTCATTTACCCCTTCTCTCAACTGAGTCATAACCAGGGATCTGAAAAAGAAGTTTAGACAGAGAATATTCAGAAGTGCGATTCCACAACTTCAAATGAAAAGTTTATTTCATAACATTTTTAGGTGAACTTGGAAGCTCAGTTTGTGACATAGGTCCCAGGTTCTTTGAGGACAGGGAGATCATAACATATTAATCTCCCTGCATGTTTCCTAAAAGAGTGCCTCATATTTCATAAAGGGAATTGCTGCTATATGGTGCCCTGGGTTATTTAGCTGAAGACGTATGCCTTATTCTAGCTATTTAGTGTCTTCAACCCTCTCACAGTCCAGGCCCCATGGCATCTGCACCGTCTTCCTCTCCCATACCCTGTGTCACTCATGATGGCAATACTATATGACCTTCTACCACTTTAAAATATGGCAGCTGGCTGGCATGAGATTATTCTCAGCAGATCTGAGTTCAGTTTCTCACTCTACTCCTTCAATTTGGATGTCTTTATATAAGTTATTTACTCTCTGAGTTTCATCTGTCACAAGATGGTGATGATGGGGATTAAATGAGATAATGAAAGTAAAACTCCACACAGTTTTTTTTTTAAATCAAAGTAAGGGTTGATGTTTATAATAATTATTATTATTGCCTAAGATCACATAGCCAGGAGGCTCACATCCAAGTCTTTCATTTGTAAACCTCGCACACTTTTACACCGTGCTGCCTGTAATTTAGCAAACTAGATGATAAAATTTGGTAATTAGTCTTCCCAACTGGGTCTAGACTTGGGCAGATAACAAGTACAGCTGCCCCAGGACCTTGCCCACTGCATTCTGTAATTCAGTTCGGAGGCACTGCCTGGGAACACCTGCCCCCAACGCTGGCTATTCTTTCATGCACTTGGTCACTGAGAAAACCCCAGTAGGGGCCCCTTTCTGGGGAGGGGAAGGAGGAGGTTGTGCTCTCTCTCCCCTCCAAGTGCTGCCTGTGTTGCCTGGCATTGTGGCAATGTGCATGCCTTGCTGCTCTTCCTGCCCCTGTGAGGAGCTGGCAGCCTCAGTGTGTACTCTTTCCCAGAGATAAGTTAGTTTCCAAGATCAAGTAGGGAACAGTTTGCTTCCTTACTGCTATCTTACTCGCTTACTTCTGCTGCTTCCTCTTTGTGCATTTCTTTTTTTTTGTTTGTTTTTTTTTTTTTTTGAGACTGAGTCTCGCTCTGTCTCACCTAGGCTGGAGTGCAGTGGCGCAATCTTGGCTCACTGCAATCCCCGCCTCCCGGGTTCAAGCGATTCTCCCATCTGAGTCTCCCAAGTAGCTGGGATTATAGGCGCCAGCCATCATGCCCGGCTAATTTTTTTGTTTTTGTTTTTGTTTTTTTGGTATTTTTAGTAGAGACGGGGTTTCACCATATTGCCCAGGCTGGTCTCGAACTCCAGACCTCAGGTGATCTGCCTGCCTCTGCCTCCCAAAGTGCTGGGCTTGGCATGAGCCACCGTGCCTGGCTGTCTTTGTGCATTTCACACGGCTTATACCTCATTGTCTGGTAGAAGTCCAGACTTCCTCCAAGTCCAGACTTTCAACTAAAAAGTGTTTTAGCTGGGCTTAGTGGCTCATGCCTGTAATGCCAGTGCTTTGTGAGGAAGCCAGGAGTTCAAAACCAGCCTGGGTAACATAGCAAGACCCCAGCCCTACAAAAAATAATATAAATTAGCTGGATGTGGGAGCAGATGTCTGTATTCCTAGCTACTCTGCAGGATCACTTGAGCCCAGGAGTTTGAGGCTACATTGGGCCATGATCACACCACTGCACTCCAGCCTGGGCAACAGAATAAAACCTTGTCTCTAAAAAATATAAATAAATAAAAATAAAAATTTAAAAAGTTTTTGTTGGATACCAGCCACCTATAAGGTGTTCCATATATGCAAAGCCTGTCAGAATGGCCCTAACACAAATGTCTCCCATTTTCCCGAAATTGCTAAAGCATTTATTGTCTCTATCAACAATTCTCTAGTCCTCTTCCAAAGTCTTTGTTTGGGATGTGTACATCTTTCTTCCAGTTTGGTTGTCATCTGAAAGAAAGAAATCCTTGCCTCTTACTTCTAGATTTGCATGTTACTTAATAAATTCTGGTTGGCAAGACTTACTGGGACAAAACTGATAGTGACAGCTCAGCTGGAGAAAGGCTCTTCCAATTAAAAGTTCTGCAGTGCCTTCTGTCTTGGATCCTATACAAATAAGTAACTGTCTTTGTGTTCTCACGGTGAATGGCTCTGAACCAGGGCTATGTAAGAGATGGGGACCCTTTTGTCTACCCAGCTCCTTGGCTGACCCCCAGCAGACAGGGACACAATGCTGAAAGTGCTTGCCGAATGAGACTGGGAATGTGGGTGGAGTCCCTCCAATCAGGAATAATGGAAAACTGAATTGCCAAAAGAAATTTTATCCTAATAAAATGAAGCACATGATTTACCTTCCAGGTCCTTCAACTATTCTATGGGAACCCGGGCATTTTCCCATGACAGTATTTTTATCCCTGATGGGGGAGCAGAAAGTGAGCAGACAGTTCAAGCAATGTCACAGGACAACATCCTGGGCAAAGTCAAAACTCTTCAGGTAAGACAGCTTGAGAGTGGAATTACGAGCCATAGGAGGGGCCCAGTTATGAAGGGAAGTGGGAAAAGTCCCGAGCTTGGCCTTGAGTAATGGATTGGGAGGTCCAGAGGTCACTCCTGGTGAGAATTATTGCTTTCTTGAATTCAACTGTATTCTCTGGAAACCTCCTGCCTACCTGCAAGAGCTACACTATCACCACTGCAGCCATCTGCATGACACACCCTCTCCTTTTCTTTCAAATTGTTCCCTCATATTTTACTGGACATGAAAACAAGTACCCAAGAGAAGCTGCAGGACTTGGGGCCAGGCGCGGTGGCTCAGGCCTGTAATCCCAGCACTTTGGGAGGCCGAGGCGGGTGGATCACTTGAGGCCAGGAATTCAAAAGCAGCCTGGGCAACATGGCGAAACACTGTCTCTACTAAAAATGCAAAAATTAGCTGGATGTGGTGGCACACACCTGTAATCCCAGCTACAAGGGAGGCTGAGGCAGGAGAATCACTTGAATCCGGGAGGCAGAGGTTGCAGTGAGCCGAGATCATGCCACTGCACTCCAGCCTGGGTGACAGAGCAAGGCTCTCTCCCCAACAACAACAACAACAACAAAAAGCTATAGGACTTGGATGAGAGGAAGAGTTCCTAACCGTTAAGCATTGCCCATAATCCCTGAATCAGGGCTGACTGTTGACTGAGCGTGTGCACAACACATATCCACTTTCCGAGTCTCTGTAATTGGACAGTGAATGATACGACTCTATTTTTCTGTTGTATTTGTAAATCTCGCCACCCTAAGCCACCTTGTCTCAGAAGAAAATCACAAAGCTCTTAAGCCACTTCCAGTTCACTCTGCAGAGTGGGGCAGTTTTCCTACCTAAAATCTACTCGGGTGGTACCTCCCTAACAATGAAAATATAATAAATAATTATTCACTACATATGATTGAAATGACAGATAATACAGGAAAAGCAAGAAGAGCAGAGGCACTTAGAGCCTGACTATGAGGTCTGCCTAGCTGCTTGGCAGATAGAATTCTCTCATCTGGCCAGGCACAGTGGCTCACTCCTATAATTCCAGCACTTTGGGAGGCCGAGGTGGGTGGACTGCTTGAACTCAGGAGTTTGAGACTAACCTGGGCAACATGGTGAAACCCCATCTCTACCAAAAATACAAAAGTTAGCCGGGCATGGTTGTGCATGCCTGTAGTCCCAGCTTCTCAGGAGGCTGAGGTGGGAGGATGGCTTGAGCCCAGGAAGCAGAGGTTGCAGTGAACTGAGATTGCACCACTGCATGCCTTCCTGGGTGATAGAGTGAGAGCTTGTCCAAAAAAAAAAAAAAAATTCGCTTACCCAAGAGAAATGCCCAAGCAAGCACTTCTCTGAGGCTCTCCAGCTAGCTGCTTGGAGGGTCTCCAGGTTATGAACAGAGGGCTCTGGTCTGCTGGCTTCCACCTGTCTGTAAGTCTACAACAATGGATTAAATGAATGAATCAATAAACGAGCAAAAAAAAAAAAAGGAAAAGAGAACAACTGCCCTCAGTAGCTACTGATATGCTGAAGCACTGTACTCAGTAGAGATCAGCAGGAGATCGAGACCATCCTGGCTAACACAGTGAAACCCCGTCTCTACTAAAAATACAAAAAATTAGCTGGGCGTGGTGGCAGGCGCCTGTAGTCCCAGCTACTCAGGAGGCTGAGGCAGGAGAATCACTTGAACCCGGGAGGTGGAGGTTGCAGTGAGCCAGGATTGCACCACTGCACTCCAGCCTGGCGACAGAGAGAGATTTCCTCTCAAAAAAAAAAGAAAATTATTTGTGAGGTGTTCTTGTTTCTATGGAGCGTAGGCTGTGTATTTTGTGATATTTTGTGGAAATTGTGTCTGGTCACATATTCCACATAACACCCAGCTAAATGTAGCATGTGGCAGACAGGGAAGTAGCCAAGAGACCTTGGAACGACACCCAACTTGCCTAGGTCTTGATGCCTGCTGCCACCGCTGCCCAAAGCCATAGTCCTGCCCTCAGGGCCAACCCCCAGACATGTCCTTCAAATCTTAGCATTTCCTAACTGGCTTCCATTCTTGGTTCTAGCTGGCCGTGCTCTAACACTTTTTATAGAAAAAGCAAGCTGTGACTTCTTATAGGTTGAAGAAGAGGGAAGTATGGTGATGGCCAAAGAAAACCTTGACCCCCCTCCTCCTTACCTTTCCTTCTTCAAGTCTTTTGATTCTTGCAATATTATTCCTAAGAAGTTGTGAACTTCTGGTTCATTGGATCCCCTTTCTAAGAGGAATGACTTACAGATTTCAGTTCACAAAACAGCTGTATTTTATGAGAGCTTTTTAGGAGTTTTTAAAAAATCAGATAAAAATCTCTTGTCTTCAATGATACCTGCTCTGTCACATCATACCACATGCCACTGCCACGCCAAGAAGTGGATTTAGTGTTGTAAAAAAGTATACTATATAATTCTGCAGTATTGGAAAGATAGAAACCCAATAAAAATATTTCTGTTAACAGTAAGGCGTGATTTTAAATAACCTGATGTCATAATTAATAAAATGTAAAATGACTAACTTCCCCGAAGTGACAATTGCATAAACACAGGAAGAAAAATGTGAGTAAAGCAGAATAACTGTTTAATTTGTGTGCGCTCATTTTGACAATATCTATTCAGATGAAGTCTGCCTAGTTTTGCTTCCGCTGCATGGATTCACAAGCTTCCTTTCAGCTCTGTAGTTATACTTTTGAAAACATAAAAGGCTTTGTTCATTCTTTGAGGAGGGAAATGGGGACCATTATCATAGAAAATGTGATTTTTTTTTTGGCGTGACTTGAGATATAACTGAATCATCCCCAAAAAGACTGTGCTTTATTTTTCAGTCGACTAAGCAGTATGTTCCTGGTAAGTCGTAGAAGTGATAGTAACTTTATTAACTTGCATGAATGCTTTGCATTTTTCCATGACAACGTGATGCTGGTATTGATGCTTAGTAAGCAGCCTAAGAGACCGCCCCCTTGTAGATGCCAGCATGGAATGAGAGAATTTAGTTGTGTCTGAGGCATGTATGTTTTTATGTCTGGAATTGTCTTTGTGTATGTGTGTATGTTTATTTTTAAAAAGAGAGAAGTAATGGAAAACACCTATTTGACAGTGTATGTCCTGGCAAGCTGATTAGCCACCATTATTAAGACATTCTTCTGAGATGAGATGTCTACTGGAGTGCCTTTTTTCTCTGTGGCTTAAGAAACTTCCCAGCCCTTCGAGTTCCTAGAGACCCACGGAAGGGTGTCTGTCTGTAATGCCTGCCTTTGGAAAGGCTGCCCTCTAGTGCCTGCACATGGTGGGCTCACCGAGAACTGTCTTAGTTTGCAGGTTGGTATCTCTCCACGGAGTACAGAAGAACTCAATACAGCAAAAACCAGCCTCCCCTTTCCTGAGTAATGTGAATCTACCATCTGCCACAATTTCTGTGGCAGATTTAAAAGAAAAAAATCACTATTTAAAAGAAAAATCACCATTTTTTTTCTAAAGATAAAAATAGTGCACGTGCAGAGTGAAAACAAATTTTAATATATGGGGCAGTTATAGGGACAAAACCAACAGTGGTGTCCTTTGTGAGGACTCTGTACATAACAGAGTCGCTCTGTGGCCAGTAGTGTGAATACCATTTGAATGAGTGACAGAATGCAGTGGAATATAAAGCCAGCCCCACCTGGCTGTATGGCTTTGGGTGAAGTCGTTCAACCTCTCTGGCACTTTCTCCTCCTGAAAACTAAGGGGCATGCACACAAGGGGTGATCTCAGGGCCCCTCCTGCTCTTAAGATCTGCGATCTCTATACAATCACTATTGAACTGCTGTAGCATGGAGCGGCTTCAGAAGCTTCGCACTTCGTTGCATTTCAGCTACAATGACCTTGACATTCCCTACAGCTGCCCACCAGCATGGATCAGGGAGGGTGCCTGTTTGTGTAAGATCAGACCGGGCTGTGAGGTATGTACCAACTGGTGATAAAACTCAGGGGTACCACAGTCTGAGGCTGCAGGTAATTGTTAGGATTATACCACACCTTTGTCAGGAAATGCTTAGTCTGTTTGTACCACGGATTATCTGGTGTAGGAGGGAACACCGCCATCCTGAGTGGCTTGTATCTCCCACCGAGCTGGATTTCACTTACAAATACCAAAGTCATACATTCGGGGATTTTGACACCTTACTGCAGCTGTCAAGGACACAAAGAATAAACACCCGCTCTTAGCCACTTCTTCCTAGAGCAGGATGTCTTTAATTCTGTATGCTTTTTCTTTTTTTTTATTATTATTCATTTTAACTATGGAGATACCTGTAGTTTGCTCAAAAAGACAGCAACTTTACTTATTTATTTTTTTCTGCTTTGCTCTTTAGACATAGTCTGAAGGATAGGAAAATCTAGACACTGGCAGAGAGCTGCAGAATATGGTGTGCTCGGCATTTCCACATTGTAGGAATAAGCCTTATAAATATGGATATGCATTCCTGTAATGTCATTCTCCAGCATTCCACATTACAACAAAATGGTCCAATTTGAATGAATAAAATATAGTTCCTTGTAGCTCACATTCCAGTCTCAACAGTAACTCCATTCATGGCCACCAGCAACATGGAGTGTCAGTTGAGGCACAGATTTCCACTCTCCCTTCTGTTTATACTTCCCATGTGTATAAAGAAGGAGTCTGGAGGCTGGGTGTGGTGGCTCATGCCTATAATTCGAGCACTCTGGGAGGTCGAGGTGGGTGGATCACTTGAGGCCAGGAGTTCAAGACCAGCCTGGCCAGCATGGTGAAACCCCATCTCTACTAAAAATACAAAAATTAGCAGGACGTGCAGGCATGTGCCTGTAATCCCAGCTACTCGGGAGGCTGAGGCAGGAGAATCGCTTGAACCCCAGAGGCGGAGGCTGCAGTGAGCCGAGATCGTGCCATTGGCACTCCAGACTCGGTGACAGAGCGAGACTCCTTTGTAGGAAAAAAAAAAAAAAAGAAAGAAGGAACCTAGGGATATATATTTTTTTTAAAGATGGGAGGAGTAGTAGTTTATCTCTCTGAAAACTTAAAGTCTGGCTTATCTTAACAGTCTGGTTTTCAGTGATTGTTTATTTCATAGTTCCTCTCATGACAATGCCTGAGTAGTGGGCAGAATTAAAGTAACAAAAAAGACACATTTATCCACATAGTCAATTCACATGACACCTGAGATTGTCAAACAGGTGTGAGCAGTAAACTTAATTGTTGATACAATAAATCACACAAAATGTCCTAACAACCAGTCTCCTCTGAGTTGGCTGAAGGAAGCATTCGGAGGAGGTACCACAGGGAGAGCCTGTAGGGGCGAGGCCTTGGCCTTGGCCTTGGGTACCTGAGGACTGAGCACCATGCGTCGGACCCTGAGTCCTGCCCTGGCCTGGGTCCACTGTCTCATCCCAGATGGCTGTAGGGCATGTCTTCGAGGACAGTGCTTCGTCTGGACATAGAAACTGTAGCCCTCCTCTTCGTCACAGCCACCATTCTCCTCTTTCATCGCAGTTTCTCTTCCTAAGTTCCCCAGCCACCAGCCTGAGTTTGTTTTCTCTGGGGGGATTTCAAGTCAATTTCTTTACTAAGATGCACACTTTCATTCTAAAAGGCAACAGCATGATGCTGATTTTGCCAGGATGAACATATCTGTGACATACGTGATAGATACATTCTGCTTCCCTCCCTCCCTCTGCCTCTTCTCCCTCTGCCCTCCCCTGCCAACATCCCCCAGCTGTTGTAACTGCAGCTGGTCTGCTCTTCCTGGGCCCTGCTCCCTCTTCTTGCCTATGCATTTTCTCTGTTCCCTGTCCCTTCCTCTCGAATTGCCTCTTTAATTCTCAACTTCACTTCCTAACATTACTCTTTTCATTTCTCTGCTTTGCACCAGGCACCTTCTTTTTCCTGTTCTTATTCCTTTTTTTTTTTTTTTTTTCTTTCCATGTTCTCTTTTCTGTTTGTAGATATAATAGTCATTCCATCTTTGGACATTATTTCAATTCAGACTGTGATTACATTTTGCCTTATTCTTTTTTTGTCTCTTAAGCATCAGGATGGACCAACATGAGTATTATAACAAGGGCTCTAATGAAGTAAAACAGGCCAGGTGTGATGGCTCATGCCTGTAATGCCAGCACTTCGGGAGGCGGAGGCAGGAGGACTGCTTGAGTCTAGGAGTTCCCGACCAGCCTGAGCAACATAGCAAGACCCCACCCACCTCTACAAAAATTTTAAAAATTAGTTGGGCATGGTGGTGTGCATCTGTAGTCCCACCTATTTAGGAGGCTGAGGTGGGAGAATTCCTTGAGCCCAGGAGTTTGAGGCTGCAGTGAGCTATGATGGCACTACTGCACTTTAGCCTGGGCAACAGAAGGAGACCCCAACTCTAAAAAAATAAAATTTAATTTAAAAAATTTAAAATGAAGTAAAGTTTAAGTATATTCAATTTTTGTGTGTGTGATGATGGCAAAAATCCTAATTAAATGGTATTAGAGTGTTAGGCCAGGTCCTCCTTGGAAATTCATTAAAGAATTATCCTTTCCAGCGGGGTGCAGTGGTTCATACCTGTAATCCCAGCACCTTGGGAGCCTAATGCAGGAGGATCAGTGGAGCCCAGGAGTTTGAGACGAGCCTGGGCATCATGGTGAGACCCCGTCACTACAAGAAAATCTGAAAATTAGCCAGGTGTGGTGGTCGATGCATGTGGTCCTAGCTACTTGGGAGGCTAAGGCAGGAGGATCACTTGAGCCCAGGACATCCAGGCTGCAGTGAGCTATGATCATGCCACTGCACTCTAGCCTGTGCGACAGAAAGAGACCCTGTCTCAGAAAAAAAGGAATTATCCTTTCCACTGTAAGCACAAGAAATGTCCTCATCTCAGCATTGGTAAAAAGCAGACCCTCCCACCAGGACATGTCTCAATCTAAGGGGATTTAGAACAGTTTCCAGTTCTTGGCCAACACTCCTAGAGAAGGCTGGGCTGGGCGGACACAGGAACCATTCTTCTGCACAGGTCCCCACCCCCTCTCCCAAGGCTGCAGGGTGAAATGGGCCTGTTACCTTGTTATTCCATGTCCTCTTGTCTAACTCCATCCATTGGCTGTTCTAACCATGCCTGCTTATTGATTTGCTTAGAGTAGATAGATACTACCTGCCACTTCCTGTTGGACTTGTTTTTAGAAGACACCCTTTTCAGCCTTCTCCTCCCCACAACCCTTCCAGGCTGCTGACGCTGTACTTCCCTTGCTGAACTTGGCTTTTCATGTGTGCTCCTGTCCTGTGAGGCTGGGAGAGCCAGGCATACAAGCCCTTGCCTGGCTGTGCTCCTGACTTGGCATGCTGGGGTCCCCAGGGGGCATGTGGAGGGGACCCTTGGGCTTATCTCTATTATATCTCTGCAGTCTCACTGCCCACTGTGCAAGGCTGAGGGGGAGCTGGGCAAAGGTGGGTGGTTTTGGTACCGCTGAGTTCAAAGGGAGAGAAGACATTTCCCTCAAGGGATTCTTGCGCCAGGGAACATCATTGAAGTATTAGAAATACTCTGCCTCTTTATTTCTGCCCCTGGAAGAAAGAAGTACAAAGTCAAATTTATGAGCACCAGTGGAGTACAATGAAAACAACACTGAATGTTATTTTTAAAAGACCTGAGTTCAGATTCCTTTTGAGCCACTCATTCTTTCCGTAAGCTTGGGCCAGTCACCTCTCTCCACTGGGCCTCAGACATTTTTTGCAAAGTGAGGGGTTTGGAGTAGGTGATTGCTATGGCTTTTTGCAGCTCTGTGGGGTTAAATATTAGCCAGATTAGAGATAAATATCAGGCCAGGTGTGGTGGCTCATGCCTGTAATCCCAGCACTTTGGGAGGCCGAGGTGGGCGGATTGCTTGAGACCAGGAGTTTGAGACCAGCCTGGGCAACTTGTTGAAACCCCATCTCTACAAAAAATACAAAAGTTAGCTGGCTGTGGTGGTGCATGCCTGTAATCCCAGCTACTTGGAAGGCTGAGGTGGGAGGATCACCTGAGCATGGGAGAATCATCTGAACCTGGGAATTCAAGGTTGCAATGAGCCAAAATTGGGCCACTGCACTCCAGCCTGGGCAACAGAGCGAGACCGTGTCTCAAACAAACAAACAAACAAACAAACAAACAGAGAAAGATGAACATTTCAGAAAATATATTCTTTGAGGAATATAATGACTATGTAACCCAAGGACCTAGGTCTAGAGCAGTGGTTCTCAGCTGGGGGCAATTTTACCCCCCAGGGGACTTTGGGCAACTTCTGGAGACATTTTTGCTTTTCTAATCTGGCCTTCCTCTACTTGCAAATACTATTTAATCTTCCGAATTTCTACCCCATTTTCCCCTCCCTTTTCCCTGTCCTTCTAGCCACCACTCACCAGTAGTCAGTCCCTCCCTGGCTTTTCCCCATTTGGTTCCTCTGTCTCCTTTGTCACGGTTAGGTGGCCACAGCAAGGCAAAGAGGACGTCCAGATTGTTCCTATCCTTTATAGGGTTTTAGTATTGATCATGGAAAGACTTGCTGGCCCTGGGGCCTTCTTTGCCTTGGCAGCGACCCAGTGTGGCAGAATGCAATGTTCTGGTTTGGGGTCTCAAGCTAAGGGCTGGTGAGGAAGGCTGCGGAAGTATAAATCTTCAAAGTGAATATGTCCCAAAGGGGCTGGAGAGTTGCACCAACCTTTAGGGTCTTGATTTCCCTCAGTGGTTCCTACATTTCATGTAACTGTTTTCTATAATTTTTTTTGCACTTTTAAGAGACTTTTTATGTAAATGAATTTATAGGTTAATGAAAAATTTTTGTCATAACATATATCCCAACTTTTGGTTCAGAAAATGTGGCCACCATGCCCACTGGGAAATGTTGGGATCTCCATGAAAGAGGTGGCTGGATGAAAAAGCTCATGGCTTGAAGGTGGGAAAGAAAAAAAAAGAAAAGAGAAGAAAGTGGAAAACAAATTAACTTATTACAGGATGGCATCATGGTTTCCTGGCATGGTGTTGAGTCTAGAAATCAGTTGTGCACAAGGTATGCCTCAGTGCTCACTAGACATGCTGGAGAACCTGGTTGTGGTGGTTGTGAACTGCTTCACTGCTTCAGAATGTCTTTCTTCTGTTTCTCTCCAGCAACAGTTGGGCAAGAATATCAAGTTTGGGCAGCGGTCACCCAATGCCATTCCCATGAATAAGGCAAACAGTGGAGAGGCTAGCTTAGAAGAGGATCTGTTCCTGACCAGTCCCATGGAAATTGTGACTCAGCAGGACATCGTCCTCTCAGACGCAGAGAACAAGGTAAGTCTCCTCCAGGGAATGACTTGATGGCTCATAAACCAGGGCAGGACATTGGGCCTCCAGTAACCCTGGGGTCTGCAGCAGGGGAATTAGAGGGAGGAGCTTTTCTCATGAGTAGCTCAGGGCTTGAGGGCACTTCCTGGTAGGTGTCCTGACCTGTAGCCAGTGAAGAGGACAGGGAGGAAGAGGAGACAAGCCCTTTGCAGGCGGTCTTCCCAGTGTCTTTCACTTACCCTTCAAGGCTTATGCCTACCTCTTCTGGGAAGCCGTACCTGGCCTCACCCCAAGCTGTACTGTCTTCTTGTGCCTTTGCTGTGTGTCTTTACCATTTTTCACACGTCTGTTCTCCCTATCTATGTCCATGTAACTGTTTTCTCTCCATCTCTAAACATGGGATTCCTTGAGAACAAACTGGGTCTGACACATCTTTGTCTCCCTAGGACTGAGCCACTGCCTGCTTTGCAGTACTGCCTAATTATTTGTCCAAGTGGACTAATTTAAAGGGAAATGAAAAAAGAAATGCGTAGGGGCTCCATGAGATAGAAGACATCAAACAGGCCAACTTGAAGAGTACCTAGTCTGGAAAGAAAGTCACATTCCAGCACCATCCTGTCTAAATTTGATCTCTTGACACTTTGAGCATATCCTGAAATGAGAGTTCTTCCAAAGCAGCAGAAAAGATGCCCTTAGACCTCTTAGGGAAAAAGGAGCAAAGTCCAACCAGTAGCGAGTCAGGAATTCTCTAGGTGAGGCACTGGGGTTTCACTTTAAAAAAAAAAATGAAAAAACAAACAAAAAAAAAACCCATTCTCTAGGCTCTGCCTATCAAGACCCCTGGAATTTTGTTGGGTGTTATTAAAATGGGCATGTCTCAGAAGAAATCATGCATTATCAACTGATGTGTCATGAGAGTAGTGAGAAAGACGAGTGATTTGCAGAGGCAAGTGAGGAAGGGATGTGAAAAAGGACATTCCTCCCCTGTTGCCCATTGTGACACCTGGCACCCACGCATTGACACCCTTTGTGTGGTAGGTCAAGCAGGGATGGGCCCATCTCTCCCGGCAGCTCTAAAATTGCTCTTCCCAACCTCTCCAGTGCTAGGCAGAAGCAACAGCCATCGCCTTGGTGCAGGGGTATCCTGAGATCTGAAGCAAATGTCCTCACAGTTATTGATGAGCTCATAAGTGCTGGGCACTGTGGCCTGGGGGATTGTTTGTTCAGCAGGCTCTGTCTCAGATATGGGTATTACAGAGGTGAGCAAGATTCTACAAGGGGCCCCCCATCTCTGTAGTTTACACCCTAATGAGAGGGTGTAACAAACAACAAACAAGTCAACCAGTATATAAATAGAATCATTTCAGATCAAGAAAAATGCTGGCTGCACAGAAAATAAAACAGGGTAATGGAAAAGTGAGTAACTTGGTGGTGGAGAGGTCTCTTATTTGGGTGAGGAGTGTAGCAGGACCCTAGTGGGAGCAAGGGGAGGGTAGAGAGAGGTGCCAAGCCGGATTGTATAGACCATGGGAAAAGGGTAAATTCTATTTGGAAGATAATAGGAAGCCTCTGAGTAATTTTAAGCAGAGCAGTGACATAATCTGATTTGTATTTTCTGAAGATTCTTCTAAGTGTGGTGTGGAGAACAGACGGAGGTAGGGCAAGCTGACATGGTTGCTCTGGAAGGGAAGAAAAGACTCTTTTGTAAGAAATGGCAATACAGGATAGATGGTGTCGCAGGGGCCAGGCAGTATGGCTCATACCTATAATGCCAGCACTTTGTGAGGCTGAGGTGGGAGGATCACTTGATGCCAGGAGTTTGAGAACAACCTGGGCAACATTTTGTAGAGACCTCATCTCTACAAAAATTATAAAATAGGCTGGGCGTGGTGGCTCATGCCTGTAATCCCAGCACTTTGGGAGGCCGAGGTGGGCGGGTCACCTGAACTCAGGAGTTCGAGATCAGCCTGGCCAATATGGTGAAACCCCATCTCTACTAAAAATACAAAAATTAGCCGGATGCGGTGGCGCATGCCTGTAATCCCAGCTACTCGGGAGGTTGAGGCTGCAGAATAGCTTGAAGCCAGGAGGCAGAGGTTGCAGTGAGCTGAGATCACGGCACTGTACTCCAGACTGGGCGACAGAGCAAGACTTTGTCTCAAAAAAAATATATATATATAAAGTAAAAAGTTAGCCAGACGTGGCACATGCCTCTAGTCCCAGCTACCTGAGTGGCTGAGGCTTGAGCCCAGGAGTTCTAGGCTACAGTGAGCTGTGACTGTACAGCTGTACTCCAGCCTGGGAGACAAAGTGAGACCCTGTCTCAAAAAAAAAAAAAAAGAAAAAGAAGATACCACTATAGGAGGCATAGTGGGCCATATGAAAGGTACAAATGACCTCTGGGGGTCTCCTGGGCATGCCTAGGACATGGGGGTGTGAATCTTTAGCCTTTTTCTTCTCCCTTTCTGCTGTTTTCTTGGCCCCTCCCTGGTCTTTCACCTTCTCAGCCCAGCTCTTTGCATGTGGAGTTGGTAGGCCTTCTTTCTTCTCACTCATTGCTTAGATGGGGGAGGTGTGGCTGGAGAAGGGGAGAGGCAGCCAGCAAGGCCAAAAGCATTGAGGTTGGAGGCCATGTATGAGACACAGCCCTGCACCCCAGGGAAAGTGGCTGTTGAGCTACTCACATTCTGTCAGGCAGTGGAGAAAAACACAAATGACCGAGACTGGGGACTACCCAGGTGGGAAACACATTGAACTCGGGGAGAGGCTGGTGCACCCTCTGTGTCTCAGGTAGTGCTGGTGGAGTTTGGATATTAGCATAGTCTCCACTGGGACACCTGCTGGCTCTCTGAGGCCAGCTGCACCCCTGTGTAGAGGAGGGGGTGACCCTACCCAGGCACAGACAGTGTCTGGTTATTTGCCCAGAACTTCCTGTTCAGGCCTTTGACTTGAATGCTCTCTTACTGTTCCAGTCCAGTGATACGCCAAGTTCTCTAAGTCCTCTGAATCTCCCTGGAGCTGGAAGTGAGATGGAAGAGAAGGTAATATGATTTGAACTTATTTATTTGGCTTCTTTCCTTACTTAACTTTCATCTTCCCCCCCCCTTTTTTTTTTTTGCGACCTGCTGCCTCATTTTCCATTCATAAATGTTGCCTTCATATATTTAAATTCCTTCAGAATGCCACTAGTGACAGATGTTGGAGCATCTGTTTCCATGGCAAGGCAACTGCTGGAACTGAACTCTGCTCTGAAAACTAGCCATACTCCCAGCATGCCTGTGTTTGGGGTCCTAGAAGTTGGTAGCTTTCCTCAAAGGATCATGTACTTCAAGATCCTGTTAATTGATTGAAAAAGGCATTCCAGAATATCCAGTCTGTAAGGAAACGAGTCCTCTTATATTTAGAGAGGCAAAACAAAAACAAAACAAAAAAGCACTTTAGCATTTCTCTACTTTTATGTTGTTTTTTAAACTTTTCTGTGTCCTTTTTTTTAAACCTGGGACTTTACCTGCAGGAGTGTAAGAACCCTGTGGACTCTTCTCCCCGGGCACCTCTTCTGTAGGAGCCGATCTGCCCCATTGAGGACCTTTCATCTGCACAAGGGGCCAGGCATTCTCCCAAGGCCTGGCAGACAGTATAGGAAGCAGGATCTGCTCCTGAAGAAGGGGATGGCTCAAGACAGTGCTGCCGCCCAGACAATGAGGAAGCCAGCTGGGATAGCTAGAAACAAAGCACAGCACTTAAATCTCAGCATCAAGTGCTTATCTATGTCTTCAATCTGTCACATTTGGCTCCGACTCCTTTTTCTCATGCATCTATTAGGGGATGGAAACAAATGTTTCATTCAGCAATAGCTTAGAATCTCATGCCCATTATAAAGATAACCATAAATAAATGAAAGCTAGAAGGCCAAAACTTGATTTTTCTGTGCTTCTTGTCATAAATTAATATATACTGAGCATCCATTTTGCTTTTAGAGCTAGCTGCTTGGTCTTTCATCTTTTGTGCATATAGAAGATAATTGCAAAAAGCAAGCCCATCTGCTAAACCTCACCACTCCATGCCTACAGCAGAAACAAACAAATAAACCCTGGCCACATCGGAGCTGCTGGCATAGTGCCGCACCCCCTGCCACACTCTAGCAGGAGCCCTTTGCTTGCTGCCAGCCTGTGAATTCTCTGTAGGTACAGGCGTGGTGTCCTACCTTCTAATTCAGTGTGGCCTGTGGGTTCGGGCTGTGTCACGATCTCTCTGATCTTTCCAAATCTACCCTTCATCTGAGGTTGTGTTTTTTTTTAGTGATTGCATCTGTATTCTAGAGCTGCAGGCCATTCCACAATTCATCCTTTGAAGGACCGCACTTGTCCCGGTGGCAGATTTTTGCCGCTCATTTTTCTCATCAGGTCCCTCTTCCTTTTATCTTCTCAGTGCAGTCAGTACCCTGAGACTTCTTTGGAGCGATTGTACCAAAACTTTTGTGTGTGTGTGACAGAGTCTTGCTTTGTGGGCTAGGCTAGAGTGCAGCCTAGCGATCTCAGCTCACTGCAACCTCCGCATCCTGGGTTCAAGCAATTCTCATGCATCAGCTTCCCCAGCTGGGATTACAGGTGTGCACCACCACACCCGGCTAATTTATTTTTAAAGTATTTAGTAGAGATGGGGTTTTGCCATGTTGGCCAGACTGGTCTCGAACTCCTGGCCTCAAGTGATCTGCCCGCTTCAGCCTCCCAGAGTGCTGGGATTACAGGTGTGAGCCATCGCACCCAGCCATACCAAAACATTTTTGTCGATCAGGAATTTCGTGTTCCAGGTATAGATGCTATACTTTATTTTCCTTTATTCCTTCAACAGATATTTATTGAGCACTGACCAAATGAGGTTTGCTACGTGGGTGTAAAGGGTACCCATACAAAGATGAAAAAAGACACACTCCCAGCCTCAAAGGGACTAAGTCCTGTGTAGGAGCTGAGGCATATATGCAGTGTCTGAGAGTTTAACAGTTCTTAGCACAGAGGTGATCTAGGCCAGGGGTCAGCAAACTACTCATTATTTTAGGCTTTGTGACATGAAGCTACAAGTACTCTCCTTTGTGCCACTCTTCCTTCATAGCACAAAAAGCAACCAAAGACAATGGGTGTAGCTGTGGCCCGGTAAAACTCTGATTCTCCAAAACAGGCTGTGGGCAGGATTTGGCCTCCTGGCTATGTTTTGCTAATCTTGGAGCTACTCTGAACCTCATATTAGTCAAAGTAGGAAAATTAGTTCCTAAAAGTTATATGACTTTTACAAGTTAATACCAGTGGACGCTGGCAGAACAAATAGTCAATGTCCTTTGGTTCCAAAACGGGTGTTCATTTCATTTTCTGAGGAGTTCCCTCTGCTCACCTGCATTCCCTGGGCCAGGCTGGGCGAGGCGCACACTGGAACGAGTGCCACCGTTCTGCGATTCCCTGCAGGTTGTCTTCTGATCCCAACTGACTTTCTATTTTAATCTCCCCTACAGGTTGCTCCCGTTAAACCGTCTCGGCCAAAAAGGCACTTCTCTTCTGCTGGCACCATCGAAAGTGTCAACTTAGATGCCATCCCCCTGGCCATCGCTCGCCTGGACAACAGTGCCGCCAAGCACAAGCTGGCTGTTAAGCCAAAAAAACAGAGGGTGTCAAAGAAGCACAGGCGCCTTGCCCAGGTGTGTAGAGCCTGCACGGGCTGACCAGGCAGGTGCCCTTGCCTACTGGGCACTAATTCTACAAGTGGGTTGGCATTGGGGTGGAGCCATGTAAAGACCTGAGAGTCTCCCCATCGGGAACTTGAGTGTGTGGCGGTGTTGGGGAATACACAGGCCTGTTTACTTTCCTCGCCCTTTCTGGCATGAGGCTGGTGGACCTCAGAGGGAGCGGTTGCCTTTTGAGGGGCTCCAGACCCGTTGTGTTTGCTTTGCAGTGGAAAAGTGGTTTAGCCAATGCTCCCTCAGTTTGACTAGGATAGGCTTCCAAGTCACAAGCTCCAGGGGACATTAATGAAGTCCAAGTCTCTTTTTGCTCATCTAATGCTTGAATATTGGTTTTCCTCGTTTGTTCATATTAAGGAAAGGAATTAGGGAATGACAAATAAAGGAGCTGGTGGGGAGGGGGGCGCGGAAACAGAATACACGTCCTTTTCTCCATTCGCACGACAGAGTCTTGCGTGGGGTGACCGATGCCTGAGTTTAGCTATCCCTGAACTTGAGAATACCTGCTTCCAGGTGTTCTTGAGAAATTAAGAGGGTCGCTGGCACTGTGAATAGGAAAAGGAACGACTGTGGGTGGAGAAAGCAAAAGGCTAATTGTGTTTTCCTTTCCAATGTTAGGATCCACAACATGAGCAAGGCGGCCTTGAGAGTCGGCCCTGCCTGGACCAGAACGGACACCCAGGCGAGGACAAGCCAACGTGGCACGAAGAGGAACCCAATCCGCTGGATTCCGAGGAAGAGAGAAGACGCCAAGAAGACTACTGGCGAGAACTGGAGGCCAAGTGCAAGCGGCAAAAGGCGGAAGCAGCCGAGAAGAGACGCCTAGAGGAGCAGAGGCTGCAGGCGCTGGAGAGGAGGCTTTGGGAAGAGAACAGAAGGCAGGAGCTCTTGGAGGAGGAGGGCGAGGGGCAGGAGCCGCCTCTAGAGGCGGAAAGGGCGCCGCGGGAAGAGCAGCAGCGGAGCCTGGAAGCGCCAGGTTGGGAGGACGCGGAGCGGAGGGAGCGTGAGGAGCGCGAGCGCCTGGAGGCGGAGGAGGAGCGAAGGCGTCTGCAGGCCCAGGCCCAAGCGGAGGAGAGGCGGCGGCTGGAGGAGGACGCCAGGCTGGAGGAGCGGAGGCGGCAGGAGGAGGAGGAAGGAAGATGCGCGGAGGAGCTCAAAAGGCAGGAGGAGGAGGAGGCTGAGGGATGGGAAGAGCTGGAACAGCAGGAGGCGGAGGTGCAGGGGCCGCCCGAGGCGTTGGAGGAGACTGGGGAGGGCCGGCGGGGCGCGGAGGAGGAGGATCTGGGGGAAGAGGAGGAGGAGGGCCAGGCGCACCTGGAGGACTGGAGGGGGCAGCTCAGTGAGCTTCTGAACGACTTTGAGGAGAGGCTCGAAGACCAGGAACGCCTGAAACCCGAAGGACAAAGAGAACACTCCGAGGAGCCAGGTATTTGCGAGGAGCAGAACCCAGAGGCCGAGCGGCGAAGAGAGCAGCAGGGAAGGAGCGGGGATTTCCAGGGGGCCGATCGTCCTGGGCCCGAGGAAAAGAGAGAAGAAGGGGACACGGAGCCTCTCCTGAAACAAGAGGGGCCGGTGGAAGCCGCGCAGCCTCCGGTGGAGAGGAAAGAAGCCGCCGCCCTTGAACAAGGCCGCAAGGTGGAGGAGCTGCGGTGGCAGGAGGTGGACGAGAGACAGACCATGCCCCGGCCCTACACGTTCCAGGTGTCCTCCGGAGGGAAGCAGATTCTCTTTCCCAAAGTCAACCTGAGCCCCGTGACGCCCGCAAAGGACACGGGGCTCACCGCTGCTCCCCAGGAACCAAAGGCCCCCAAAGCCAGCCCAGTCCAGCACGCCCTACCGTCGTCCCTGAGCGTTCCCCACACCGCCATTCTGGTCACGGGCGCGCAGCTCTGTGGCCCGGCAGTCAACCTGAGCCAGATCAAGGACACCGCGTGCAAGTCCCTCCTGGGCTTGGAGGAGAAGAAGCACGCGGAAGCCCCAGCTGGGGAGAACCCTCCCCGAGGCCCCGGCGACGCGAGGGCGGGCAGCGGGAAGGCTAAGCCCCGCCAGGAGTCTCCCAGCAGCGCGTCCGCACTCGCAGAATGGGCTTCCATTCGGTCCAGAATCCTGAAGAACGCAGAGAGTGACCCGCGCAGCAGCGAGAGGGACCAGTTGAGGCCCGGTGATGAGTCCACTCCCAGGGGCCGGTGTGATTCCCGCGGGAACCAACGGAAGACTCCGCCAGTCAATGCAAAGTTCTCTATTATGCCTGCCTGGCAGAAATTTTCCGATGGTGGCACGGAGACCTCCAAACAGAGCACGGAAGCTGAAAGCATACGAAAAAGACCCATGCTGGGACCCAGCGAAGAGACAGCCCCCCAGCCTCCTCCTGCTGGTGTTCGCGAGCTCGGGAAGGGTCCGGAGAAGTCGGAGATGCACCGGGAGCCCGCAGACACCACCGAGGGATGCAAATTTGCCAAAGACCTCCCGTCTTTCCTTGTCCCAAGCCTTCCTTACCCTCCGCAGAAAGTGGTGGCCCACACAGAGTTCACGACCTCGTCGGACAGCGAGACTGCAAACGGGATAGCAAAGCCAGACCCTGTGATGCCAGGTGGAGAGGAAAAAGCCTCACCGTTTGGAATAAAATTGAGAAGGACCAACTATTCCTTGCGCTTCAACTGCGACCAACAGGCAGAACAGAAGAAGAAGAAGAGGCACAGCAGCACCGGAGACAGCGCGGATGCAGGGCCGCCTGCAGCGGGGAGCGCTCGTGGAGAGAAAGAGATGGAGGGTGTGGCCCTCAAGCATGGTCCATCCCTCCCCCAAGAGCGGAAGCAAGCCCCTTCCACCCGGAGGGACTCCGCTGAACCTTCCAGCAGCCGCTCTGTTCCTGTGGCCCACCCTGGGCCTCCACCGGCCAGCAGCCAGACCCCGGCTCCGGAGCACGACAAGGCAGCAAACAAAATGCCACTGGCACAAAAGCCAGCACTGGCTCCCAAGCCCACCAGTCAGACCCCACCAGCATCCCCACTTTCCAAACTGAGCAGGCCCTACTTGGTAGAGCTGCTGTCTCGCCGAGCGGGGAGGCCGGACCCAGAGCCAAGTGAGCCGTCCAAGGAGGACCAGGAGAGCAGTGACCGCCGGCCACCCTCGCCCCCAGGCCCCGAGGAAAGGAAGGGACAGAAGAGGGACGAGGAGGAAGAGGCGACAGAGAGGAAACCTGCTTCCCCACCTCTGCCTGCCACTCAGCAAGAGAAACCTTCTCAAACACCCGAGGCCGGGAGGAAAGGTAGGTAGCTGCAGGGTGGGTAACTGCTGCCAGCCGAGGTGTCAGAGCCAGGGCATCAAGAAGAGATCCACACGCAGGTTCATGAGAATAATTTACCAACAATACAGATTTGAAAAAGGAAAGTTTTATTAGAACGCTGCAGAACAAAACCGTGGGGCGCCTCAGTGAGAGGACTGAGTGCCCTGGTGGATTTTCCTTAGGAGCATTTATGGACCTTAAGTCGAGAGCTTAAGGGTAATTGGAAGGGTAATTTGGGCCACATTAGCCACGTAGGTCGTGATAAATGATTACATTTGTGGACATTTTGGTGCCTTAATGTCAGCAAGGGTTGCAAAATGAGTTTTGCCATGACATTCCAGAGATGTCTAGAAATTCTAGTTATAAAAGTTGAAAAGCCTGGAACCAGATGCCTATGTTAGATACTAGGGAAGTTTAATTCTGAATTCCCCAGATAAGGAGTTTTGCCTCTGGATGGTCTGTTTGATGGTCACCAGGTGGTCCTTGCGCTCCTTGTCTGCCTCTGTCCAGCTCATTGACTACGTCACTGCTAGAACCAGAAGTGCCCAACGCCAGAGGCAGCCAGTGGAGCTGGTGTTGGGCACACCTTCATTAATTAGAGGCTGGTGTGGGATTCCCGAAAGACACTCACTCGTGATTCATAGTAAGCCTTGTTACTTCTCATTCTTTCAAATTTGGGAAATGCTGACCAACTCTGCAGTGTGTCTGCAGTTCACTCTTGATAATGATACTTATTTACACAAGCGATAAAAGGTGCCAACAGTTAGATGAATGCCTTTTCGGTTGGCAATAGAAATTGAAATAATAATCCCAACGACTGAAGATGTCATTAACCATTTTGAGGGGGCCTCGCAGTGATGATAAAACTGGAGTGTCCCCTACCAGTGTCTTCACTGTATCTCTGGGCAGTAGTGGCACCATGATGGCAGTTTAGGGGACTTTAGGTGTCTCCATCAGACCTATGGATCCTCTCTATGGGATAATTGACTGTCTCCATTTTATGTAAAATGCTCTGCAAATGCAGCTTGGGTCCCTCCATCCCCCCACCCACCCCCTACCCTCACCCAGCTCACCACTGCAGAGCCCTCCTACAAAGAAATTTTGGAGCAAGCCTTACCTCTGGCTGACCCTGATGTTTCTTCAGATTAAATGTTTGGGCCAACAAAGCTGTCAGTTGGATTAGCTTTTGTGCCCCCAGAGAACCTTCATCTAATACTTTTTCTTTTCTATTATGCAGAGTATAGGAGGTAAAGTATGGGTCAAAGCCAAAAGTTACTCACATTTCCCAGAGAAATTGTCCCCTGAGGTTTTCTTAGGAGGGATTGTTTTCTCCTTTGTTCAAGTATTTAGATTTGGGGCAGTTTTTGCAGAGGAATGATTTGTTTCCTGAGGAGTGTTGGTCTGGTTACTTGCCTTTACAGAAGACCCCATATATCCTTATTTTATTTTATTGTTTATTATTGTTAGTATCTAGAGACAGGGTCTTGCTATGTTGCCCAGGCTGGTCTTGAACTCCTGGGATCATGCATCCCTCCTGCCTAAGCCTCCTCGTAGGTGGGACTACAGGTGTGAGCCACCGCACCCAGCTTGTCCTTTTTTAAATAGTCCACTTGCTTGGCCTGGTTTTCTGGACAGACATGTTCATCAGCAGTTTCTAGACCATTTCTCCCTAATGATTTCTGTTTGTCCTGCTGGATGAGGGGCCCGTTTTTGGTTTTGCCACTAGTGTTTGTGGCACTGGCTTTCATAGTATCTGCAAAGTCTCTCTCACAGCCTCGTCTGCTATGTCACTTGCCTTCTCCAAAGAAGTCATGCTTCTGCTCACTTCCTTCTCTTAGGGCTGTCCCCTTGATTATTATAATTTTCTCCCCAAATCTATCACTGTCCCTGTTTTCTTTCCCAGTGGAGCCAGTGAGGACAGATTCTGGGCTGTCACACTCTGCTATTTGAATTTTTCCTGATTCGATACAGAAATAGCCTGAAAGCAAGGATCACTCTCTCCATTCACTGGGGTTTTGTTATGCAACTTGCTGCTGTAGGCCAGGACTGGCCAAATTTGTCTGACTGAACACCCCATCAGGATAAAAATGTTAGGCAAGGACCTGCAATTTATTTGTTGATTGTATACATGTAGTATCATTGTTAACTAAAACCCCTGGAGCACCAGCTATACTTACACTTAACAACAGTGGATCTAAATCTGCAATTGCAAGTCATGGTGCTATTTTTTATTCTCTTTGGCCAACTTCTTCTTGGATATGATTTCTTCGGAAGTAGCAGGCAAAGAGTTCCTCAGCTCTGTTATTTTCTCTTACTCGTATTATTAGTAGTATATTGTCTGCAGGACTTTCTCTATGCCATATGCCATTTGTCTATTGTGGAAGGGATCATTTAGTTAAAAGGAGATATAAACTCGCCAAACTGCAGAACCTCCCATATGCTAAATTCAAGAACCACTGAGAACAAAAAGCACCCACCACATGCAGCCCCACATAGCCTTCCCAGCTTCCCTGGAGATTCTTTAAACATACCATTTGTTATTACATGGCCTTTGAATATATGGGCTATGGGGTCACTGCCAGTCAGGGTACTAAGTATTAGAAAAGCTTGATTTTGGCCAGACGTGGTGGCTTACACCTGTAATCCCAGCACTTTGGGAGGCTGAGGTGGGCAGATTGCTTGAGCCTACCAGGAGTTCAGGACCAGCCTGGCAATGTGGCAAAACCCTGTCTCTACAAAAAATTCAAAAATTAGCTGGGCATGATACACACCTGTGGTCCCATCTACTTGGGAGGCTGAGGTGGGAGGATTGCTTGAGCCTAGTAGGTCGAGGCTACAGTGAGCTGCGATCTCACCACTGCACTCCAACCTGGGTGACAGAGTGAGACCCTGTCTCAAAAAAAGGAAAAAAAAAAAGCTTGATTTTGTTTTTATCCTTACATTTAAAAATAGAGAAATAGAAATTCTAATCTTTCTTTCTTAACTCCAGTGAATTGCCTCTCACATTTCCTGTGACGTACGCAACCATTTTTGGAGACCAGTGCTTTATAAAGAGGCCTGCATTGCCAAGGCTGGGGCCAGTGAGGACAAATATGTAGACTTGTAGGGTGTTGACTCTGAATCTACCTGGTGAGATTAAAACAGCAATGATAATCCCCATGTGCTTGTACTATAAACACTTTCAGGCCAGGCACGGTGGCTCACACCTATAATCCCACAGTTTGGGAAGCCAAGGCGGGCAGATCACTTGAGGCAAGGAGTTCAAGACCAGCCTGGCCAACATGGTGAAACCCTGTCTCTACTAAAAATACAAAAATTAGCCAGGTGTGGTGGTGGGCACCTGTAATCCCAGCTACTCAGAGGCTGAGGCAGGAGGATTGCTTGAACCCAGGATGCAGAGGTTGCAGTGAGCAGAGATTGTGCACTGACTCCAGCCTCAAAAAAAAAAAACAAACCTTTCATTACACCTAGCATCTCATTCTGAAATTCTAACGTACTTAGGGTGGATAAAACAGAAAAATAGCTTAGTATCCCTTTCTCCAAGGAATGCCCTTTGGGAGTAGTGACTAGAACCCTGTGATCCTTGCTCATCTCCTCAGAACTTGAGGAGGCAACTCAGGTGGACTATGATACGCCTGTCCACTGAGTTTAGAATGAGAGAGAATGGGTTTATATTGGAGCAAAATACATTTTTAATTAGGAATTTTGAACTCCTCAAATAGGTGATGCAATTGACTATCTTTCAAAACCTTGACTGTAATAAGAGATTTTACTGTGTTTGGATGATTTCAACACTAGTCATCCTTTGTGCGACATCATTTACAAAGTTATTTGCATCGTCTCCTTCGGTGCTCACAGCACACGGATAGGTAGGTAGTCTTGGCTCCATCTTACAGACATGGACAGCAGTATCTGAAAAGTTGAGTGACTTGCCTGCTCCCTACAGTGGTTATGATGGCACATGGAGGAGTTCTTTCCTAGACTAAGTGATCTTCCGTTATCACAGCCCCATCATAGTGTGAGTGATGGTCCAGTGTTGAAGCTTCTGAATATATACTCTTTGGTATGGGTGACTTCGCCATCTTGGGTGCCTCACGTGGAGGTGGGGAGGCCCTTCCACCAGCTTCATAAAATAATGGCAGTAACCTTCATGATCCCAAAGCAACCTCTACTTTGGTAGCAGAAGCCTGTCAGGCACTGGCCTCCCCCTGAGGTGGACTCAGTTTATATATAAACCAGATCTGAATTCCACATTGTGGTCTTTCACTGCCACGTCTTGTGCTTCTAAGAGAACATCTTTAATGATTTGGGTCCCTTTTTGTCGCTGAATCCCAGTTGAGCTAAGCCTGGTCAGTGGACATTTCTCCTACCAATTTTGCCAAATACAACATCTTGTCTTTGCTGTCTTTTAGTTTTCTTTGGTATTGGTAGATTTCTGCTGGTCTCTGAGGTTCTGCAGGCAGTTGTGGAGGATAAACGGTTTTATTCTTCTTCTCCCATTTTTGAGAAGTGTCAAGAGAAGCACTTGTGTGGACCTGGGATTGGGGTAAAATGCTGAGATGAAGGAGACCTGCCAAGGCCACTGCGTCCACATTGCACCCAGCTGTTCCAGTACTGCAACCACTATCTTCCCTCCTCCTCCTACCCAGAGATTTCTTTTTTCAAATTAGTCAATTATAAATTTCATTACTAATACTTAAAGGCATTTTGACCCTTCCAGTAAATAATAGTCTAAGTTGTTGGCAGGAAACTGGCTGGTTGTTTTAGTGACCTTCCCAAGCAAGTTCAGATGTAGTGTTTAGCCAGAATCAGAATTCCCTTTGGTATAATAGCTTTCTATAGAAATCATTTAGATCTTGGCAACTTGGTTTTTAGAAGTTTTCTAAAGAAGTGTTACAGGGACCTGGAGTAAAATACAGAAACTTGTTAAGTTTCAGTGTAAAGCAGAATGTTTGAGGTGATGAATTCTTTTTGATTTTCTGGTTAACTAAAGATGAAACAAAAACTCTTTCAAATTCAGTTTTGTTTTAAAATACTTCTAAGAGATGTCAGTCTTATTTTCTCTGTTAGATCATAACTGAATCGTTATTTGATGATTTAGGGATATTGCAGTGCCCCAGGCTCATTATAAATATGAATTCTCTTTGTACAGCATTGTAGATCTAAAGAATATAGAAAAATAAGCAGAATCTGCCCCCTGCCCTTTTTGCTTGAATTTCTAATTTGAATTTATTTTCTCATCACTGCTCTTTCTTTTCATCCTGGAATACGATATAAAATCCAGTTGACTGAGAGCCCTGGAAGTAAGGTTCTGGACTACCAAAGTGTAAACTTCTATTGGATTTCAAAAACAATACTATAGTGAGCTCCTTTCCTTTGAGATAATAAGAGATTCAATAACTGATTATCTCTGAACATGCATAATTTTTACTTGAGGGAAAAGGAGATTCTTGTCTCATAGGCATATAAGAACAGCTCACTTTTGTAGAGTGACCAGGATTTGCCAAGAACTGTTGTAAATGTTCTGGTTCCCAGGATCTCTTTTAATTTTCATGGCAACCCAATAAGACATTATCATCTCCACTTTCTAGATTAGAAAACTAAAGCTTAGAGAAGTTAAGTAGTTTTTGTAAGATCATCAAAGATCAAATCCAGGTCTGCTCAATTTTAGAGCCTAGTACTCAACCTGTCACATGAACCTCCTGTGAGGTATTTACCCCCAATTACATAGGTGAGACAGTCAACCACAAGAAAAACAGAGACGGAAGTCAGAAGGCCTATGTTCTAGCTTCAGAAGCCTGTGTACTAACTGCTGAGTGACCATGGGCATGGCACTTGGTGGCTGGAGTACTCACATCTATTAAATGAGTGCAGTGGACCAAAATCATGGGCTTCCCACAGTGTTCTTCAGCTTCCCCATTAGGCAGAGTAGTGCTCCTTTTTCATCTTTCCAACATTGGAGTTCCACGTAGTATGTTCTTTGAGGGGAAAAAATGGTTCCATGGCTAAAAATAAATTTCATTTAAAGCAATGAATTAGGGCCGGGTGCAATGGCTCACGCCTCTAATCATAGCACCTTGGGAGGCCAAGGCAGGTGGATCACTTAAGGTCAGGAGTTCGAGACCAGCCTGGCCAACATGGTAAAAACCCATCTCTACTAAAAATACAACAATTTGCCAGGTGTGGTTGCAGGCGCCTGTAGTCCTAGCTACTCGCGAGGCTGAAACAGGAGAATTGCCTGAACCCAGGAGGCAGAGGTTGCAATGTGCCGAGATTGCACCACTGCTCCAGCCTGGGTGACAGTTCAAAACTCTGTCAAACAACAACAAAAAGGAATGAATTTAAAAAAGAACAACGAACCAAATACCTATCTGGATGCCCTGGAGGCCTGAGATGTTATGACCCTGGAGATTTATTTGAGTTTTTTTCTAACAGAGTAACTTCTTCCATTTCTAGGGAAGACAAATACCCTTGTTTTTCTGGTGATCAAACATGTTACCTTCCCACCCAGTGGAGCCACTCAGGCATCAGCACAGAGGTTGTGCTAGGAAGGGGCCAGCTGAATATGCCATAGGGTTATTAATATGTCACAAGTTTTAGGGGGTGAGGAACTGAGGTAAGTCCGCAGTTAAGTTCATTGCAAACCGTTCTTTGTCTTATTCCCCACAGAGAAGCCGATGCTTCAGAGCAGACACTCCTTAGATGGCTCCAAACTTACAGAGAAAGTGGAAACTGCTCAGCCGCTGTGGATAACGTTAGCACTGCAAAAGCAAAAGGGGTTTCGGGAGCAGCAGGCGACGCGGGAGGAGAGAAAGCAAGCCAGAGAGGCCAAACAGGCAGAAAAGCTCTCCAAAGAAAATGTGAGTAGCCTGGGCTTCAGCTGTGATTTTGCTTTCCTGAGCTTGGTTCTCTTTTCAGTCACAAGGATACAAAACAAAAGGCTAGCTGGGCTGGTGGAAAGTACTTAGAGAGGGCCAAGCAGTAAATAAACTGACCACCATTAAACCAGGGAAGCGTTTTCAGTGTGAAACTGGGTTTGGTTTGTTTATGCTCTTAGGTTAACCTGATTTGCCATAATCCACGATACGCTTACAACAGTGATATACAAGTTACATGAGAAACACAAACATTTTGCAAGGAAACTGTGGCCAGATGTTATAGTCAGTTTGATGAGGCTCTTCTGGGAAAGTAACTTTCCCTGTTAGGCACACTGGCTCTGAGCTGCCCCCTCACCGGAAGCCGTGGTTGAGCGTACATGGCTCATACATGTAATCCAGCCCACCGTTGGAAGCAGAGGTCAGGGGCTGGCAGGCAGAGGCCCCGAAGGCCTGCAGGGTCAGTCTTTCCATGTCTTAGGTTGAAAACATGTTTCCCATGACTGTCTCTGCCCACGCAGGTCAGTGTCAGCGTGCAGCCTGGAAGCAGCAGTGTCAGCAGAGCAGGTTCCCTGCACAAGTCCACTGCTCTGCCAGAAGAGAAGAGGCCCGAGACTGCAGTGTCCAGGCTTGAGCGCAGAGAACAGCTGAAAAAGGCCAATACTCTTCCTACGTCTGTGACAGGTAGAGAGCAGGTCCATTGCTTTGTAACTGTAGTTCCAGGTTTCTCTTTGTAGAGCGTGCTTTATATCCTACAGTGTAATGACTAGCAGAGCACCTCAGGCATTTCAAAGCACAGGCTATCTGATAACCTCATTCATAAACGTTGACACTGATTAAGCTCATTTGATAAAGACCACCAGGAGCTCACCCACTATCAGTGGTGTGTTGGTGAATATTTAACAGTTAGCTCTTGAGGGGGTAGAGAGACCTCTGTTTGGAGCATCTTCAATTTCTCAGTGTAAATACTCCCACCATGGCCTGTTCAAAGCTATTATACCAATATGATGTCAGCTGGCTCACTACATTTGTGAACGTTTAGCACGGCAGTATGAGCCATCTCCAGCACCCTCTGCCTATATTCTGACAAAGTTGGGTTTATTAACTTACAGAAGAACCTTCTAAACAAGAGAAAAGACAAAATTATAGCAGGACTTGGGGTAAAGGGTGAAGTTTAGGTAAAATTTAAATGGAGTAGCATTTTAATAAGTCAAATCAAAGCCATGGTGTCCATAAAGGAGATAATATCAAGACTGAGCTGAAACGTTTGCTCAGGCTCCTGTTTCCTTCAAAACTACAAAGTTAAGTTAAATGTTTGAAATGTTTGAGGTCATGGATATCCAACTTACCCTGATTGATCATTATACATTATTTGTATGTATTAAAATGCCACATGTACCCCCAAAATATATACAAGTATGGTGTATATATATATCAATTTTAAAAATACAGAAAAGAAAGATAAATGTGGGCCAGGTATGGTGGCTCATGCCTGTAATCCCAGCACTTTGGGAGGCCAAGGCAGGCAGATTGCTTGAGCCCAGGAGTTCGATATTAGCCTGGGCAACATGGCGAAACCCCGTCTCTACTAAAAATACAAAAATTAGCCAGGTGTGGTGGTGCATGCCTGTAGTCCCACCTACTTGGGAGGCTGAGGTGGGAAGATTGCTTGAGCCCAGGAAGTGGAGGTTGCAGTGAGCCGAGATCGTGCCACTGCACTCCAGCCTGAGCGACAGACTGTCTCAAAAACAACAAAAACAGAAAAGATAAATGTGTAAAATGTTGTATCTGAAAACCACTACCAGGAGCTCCGCACCCGGGTTGGAAATGGAAACTGCATCTCTGTGATGGTGACACGTGGCTCAGAAGCTCCAGGCAAAAGTGAGATGGTCTGTTCTCACTGATGTGATTTCACGCAGCGGGTTTCTGATAGTCTGTGGCTTTACAGAGTAAAGTTTCTCAGCACAGTGTCTTTGATGTTAATTAACAACAGCAGTTTTTATATGTTCATAACATGTAAGAGATGTACACATTTAGAAAATATTCTTTATTTGGTTAAAAGGTAAAACGATGTAATGTATCCAACTATCTCCTTATTACCAATCACTTGAAGGATGGATGACTCTGAACAGGCTCCCTACCAGTGATTAATAGGGCATCTCTTTTCCCCACTAGGCTCCACTATTCCCCAAAGGGCGTCTAATCTCTAGACCCAGGCTTTTCTCTGCCTTGGCTACCTGAGGTCAAGAGATATTAAGAGGTCTTACTATTAAAGATATATTTACTACTGGTGACACGGAGGGAAGCTTTATATTTGTTTTTTAGTTTTGTTTGGCATTTTGAGGGAGAGACAGAATCTTGCTCTGTTGCCCATGCTGGAGTGCGATGGCGCCATCTCGGCTCACTGCAGCCTCCGCCTCCTGGGTTCAAGCAATTCTTCTGCCTCAGTCTCCCAAGTAGCTGGGAGTACAGGCACACGCCACCACACCCAGCTAATTTTTGTATTTTTAGCAGAGACAGGGTTTCACCATGTTGGCCAGGCTAATCTCGAACTCCTGACCTCAAGTGATCCGCCCACCTCGGCCTCCCAAAGTGCTGGGATTAAAGGCGTGAGCCACCATGCCTGGCCCAAAGCTTTATATTTGAAAACCACTTTAGAATGCTGTGTAATTTCTTAAGAACCGCAGGCAGGCATTATGTCATTTGATTTTACTTATAGGAATTAAGGGTTCTACCTGTTAGAACCAGAAAGAGAAAGAGTGAGAAAAAGAGAGAGAATGAGTTTCTTTCAAAATAAAGTGAAAGCCCCAAAGTCAAAGAGGTCAAATCTTTCTCTGCCTGATTTCTCAGAAGTACTAAAGGATTAATGCAACTCAAGAGTGGCTCTAGCTTAATAAAGCAAGTCTTTGTTCTGAAGTATTTGTCTTCTCAGTCAGTATTTCCTGAGTTCTAGAAGCATATGTGTAAGCCATTGCCATAGGCACTATTTATGACTCAAAGATAAGACAAGCACCCTCTCACATTAAGAAGCCTATACACTCTGATAAAGTGATACGGTGCAAAGAACTGTGAGACAAGGATGAAAGTCATGGGAGCTGGCAGGATCTGTGAGACTCAGAGGTAGAGGCACCCAGTGGATGCTTTTGTGGGGACGGTAGCTTTTTTTTTTTTTTTTGAAGCAGAGTCTCTCTCTGTCACCCATGCTGGAGTGCAGTGGTGCGATGTCGATTCACTGCAACCTCTGCCTGCAGGGTTCAAGTGATTCTCCTGCCTCAACCTCCCAAGTTGCTGGGATTACAGACACCTGCCAACAAGCCTGGCTACTTTTTGTATTTTTAGTAGAGACAGGGTTTCACCATGTTGGCCAGGCTGGTCTCGAACTCCTGACCTCAAGTGATCCTCCCTCCTTGACCTCCCAAAGTGCTGAGATTACAGGCGTGATCCACCACGCCTGGCCAGGAAGGTAGCTTTTAACCTCACCAGATCCAGTCGGCTGGGTTGATCTTTTTCTTCATGGAATTGACTGGTTATCATGCAGGCATAGCTTCTTTATATAGATTAGGCTTCTGGAAATTCTTTGAAATTAGAACTGACTACTTTGGTTGTTGTAATTCTGTGTGCAAGAGATATAAACACATAGCTTGCTTTCCTTCATTCTCCTCACTGAGGGAGTCCAGGAATTTGCCTCTCTGTGTTTCACTGGGTTTTCTTTTTTCAGTCTCACACTTCTGATAAATCAAAATATGGCTGGGGTGGGGGGTGTTGGAGAGATGTTCATCAAAGGATACAAAATTTCAGTTAGATAAGAGGAATAAGTTCAAGAGACCTAAGAGAGTAGATTTTAAATGCTCTCACCATAAAAATGATAACTGTGAGGTTTTGTATATTTTAATTAGTTAGATTTAGCTATTTCACAATGTATACATATTTCAAAACAATGTTGTACATGACAAATACAGTTTGTCATGATAAATACATAGTTTATCATCTGTTAATTAAAAAGAAAATTTGTAGTGTGGCTGTGAACTTACTTTTTCCTTTTCCTTCAAAACAAAATCCAGTGGAGATCTCCGACTCGGCTCCCCCAGCGCCGCTGGTAAAAGAAGTCACCAAGAGGTTTTCCACCCCGGATGCTGCCCCCGTGTCAACAGAACCAGCCTGGCTGGCTTTGGCCAAAAGGAAAGCAAAGGCTTGGAGCGACTGTCCACAGATTATTAAGTAAAGAGTGACTCTCACCCATCCCTACTGCCAGTTATTGGCTCCTCTCTTGCCCTTTTTATTTATTTATTTTTTATATGGGGTAAAGAAATCAAGCTAGGGAAAAGAAGCATGTTTTATAGGCTCCAAAATAATGTTTAGAAACTGAACTGGTGGTGTTCATTGTAAAGAGTGGATTTGCACAACCCTAGGTCCTGGTGCCTCGAGCTCCTCCTAGTTCTCAAGAGAAAATTCCGTCCACAGGACCACATGAAGCAAAATCTCTAAGCTAAGAACTCGTGAGAGCCTGCCATGCCCATTTCATGGCCTTGCACACACACCCACCCACACACCATTCAGAACATGTACTTTTGCCAACCTTTGGTAATGGTTTTTTGATTCTATGCACTAATTTTCTTTGTCCAAAACATTTACTCTACCATATGTCTGGGAATGTTTATCCTTTCTACAGTAATGGTGAAAGGATCATATCTAGCTAAAAGCAAGAACACCCATTCTCCTGAATGCAGTGAGTAATTGGGAATCACAAGGAACATTCTGGCACCCAACTGTGCCCATCTTAGTTTTCATGAGTTTTCCCCACTCTGAAGCTGTAACCCAGAAGGCACATCCATTCACATTTTTACCGCACTGTGGATTCATAGTGTGGGGCCCTGTTATTCCAATACCCTCCTTAAGGACATGTGAAGCATTTGGCCCAGTTGGCTCCCAGGGAACATTTTAATTTAATGTAGTGAAGAAAGACAATTCTAGATCAGAGCTACAAGTTCACTTTCTGTCTCTGAGAATCTCCATCTAGGGCAGTAGTTCTTATGATGTGTAGGCTCCCTCCTAGGGCCTACTCAATCAGAGCCTGTGGGGACTGGGCCAGGAATATGTATTCTGGCAAAAACTCTTCAGGTCAGTTCTGATAGATCCCAAAGGTTAAGAACTGTGAGAAACACTGATCCTAATGCAATCTAATTTTTCAGACTTCGAAGGGGAGGCTCATTCACTCAAAAAGCAACAGTGAGACAGGAAAAATAATAAAACAACCCCCCAAGCCAGCCATTTATTACAAGAAGCAACAGGTTATTGACATTACATGTTTGAAAATTCCCTTTGGTCTTTAGGGAAAATAAACAGGAAGCCAAGATTTGGAGCCTTTGTAATAAGGACTTCCTGCAGAAAGTCTTTTCTTTACTATAATTGAGTAATTCATATTTAGAGTCACATGTCCAGTAGCATTTCTAATTTTGAGCATTCACCTTGCTACCTTTAAAAAACATCTGAGTTTTAAGTGGCCTTTTTATCATCATACACATGTGCATACAAAGAAGGGACTTGGCAGTTTAAAAGCCACATATATTCACTTTTATTGCCCTAAATTTACATGAAACAGACATACTGGCAAACTCACATATTGCTGGTGCTAACCTTATATTTCATAGTGTTGGCATATTCCCCTTTTCTTAGATTCTTACTCCGAAATATAGGTACACATCCTTTGCTCTGTGCAGAGGGAATTACATCCTTTTTCCTCTCCTACAAAAACATGCTTTATTAAGTATCCATCATTACTTTCCTTTATGCTCGCTCAATATGCAATGTGCTGTTATTCTACCATGTACCTTAAATAAAGGATGATGGCAAAGTTATTTACCATGTAGAAACCATTTTCTTTCTAGAAACAATAGCTCAGCCTCACTGTAGCAGCTGGCATGTGTGGTCAAGTGGATAGTTGTACTCTTGCAAGTTGGATTTAATATCATATATACTGGACCTTCAGACTGTTAAAAATCAATGTAACCTTTTTTTATTGCTATGGCAAGCAATTAGTATTTCACTGCACGTCTTCCATACTAATGTTCATTTCTAAATCTTATATGTAGGCATTTGTTAGTTCCAATGATTTCCTCACTAATATAACACTTTTTAATGGGAATCTTTCCACCTACAGCCCTGGAATGATAATGCTACAGTAATTCTTCTGAATTGACTTTTTCTTTCATCCTGTCAGCTTTGGACAATATCCCAATTATGGCAGGGAACAGGTGGGGAACTAAGATCAGTTACAAAAAGTTGTAGATGTGTCAACTTTGTATTGGCTGGGATATCACTGTGCCCAAACAAAACAGGCGAAATACCTCAGTTAAAATTTTTCCATCAAAGTCTTTAAAAGAAGAGTATACTGAAGAAAGGGCAGTCACAATACTTACTTCTAACAGCTTCTAAAGGGTACATGTTTAACATTTCATTTCAAAATCACCCCAAATTTGCACTAAATACCAATGAAGTGTTATTTTGCTTTAGTAGTCTTCTGAGCAACAAACTATGGGGAATTCTGTAAAAACATATAAAAAGTTCAAGACTTTTTTTTTAAATGAATGATCACTATGTTAAATGCAAACTTTTTTTTTTTTTTATTTAAACAAACATACACTTCTCCTGGCAAGGTTATAGATGATTAACCTCTGTTCATAGACTTATATATAAAACTAGAGGGTTTTTTGTTTACTTTTTTAATTTTTCAAGTGCAATTGTTTCTTACACAGACATTATTACTATTAAATTATCATTTAGCCAGTTATCTGCAAATATATAGTATGTATTGTCTCTTCTTGTGACGTTTAGTTTAATTGCTTATTTTAAAGCAGAAACATTAGTTACAAGTGTCTTACAATATTTTTACCAACAGTAAAGTAGAGACTTAATGAAAATACCTTAGTGTGATTTTAATATAATTTGCATATTTTAGTTGTATAAAGTTTTAATGTAAAATGTCCATTATTGAAGGGAAAAGATCTTTCAATAAAAAATACCCACGAGATCTTCGGCACTGATGGAATTTGATTTCGATGACCAACTGCAAAACAATCTCATTATATTTACATAACTTTTGTTGAACAAGAACAACTTTAAACTGTTTTATTACATTTTTTTCCTAGGTATTTTTAGAGAAAAATAATGAACGGGGGCAAATAAAATGTTTGTCTCAATCCTAAATTGGAATTGAATGGTCTGGGTCTCAGACAAAAGGATTGTACAGCCACCTCACAGCATGGGCTACTCACCAGCAGCAGCAGCAGAAGCAGCAGCTGAGAGCACGTGAGAATTGCAGCTTATGGCCACACATCAGACATACTGACTTAAAGGGCCAGACCCTGGTGAAATGAAAAGTGAGTTAGGCATGTGAGCACTTGCCTTGGCTTCCAGAAAACTAAGTAATCAAGAGAAATACTATTTTGATGCAGTATTTTAAAAAAATCAAAATTAATGCAAAAAAAAAAACCCATTGCAAGATGAGCAAAAGATCAAATTTTTTTTAGTATGTATAACTTGATTTAATTTTATTTATTTTTAAAATATTTTGCATATTTTTCTTAAACCTACGGCACTTAGTATTCCAAGGAGGTCTCCCATCTAAGTACTAACCAGGCTTGACCCTACTTAGCTTTTTTTTTTTTTAATTTAATTTTATTATTATTATACTTTAAGTTTTAGGGTACATGTGCACAGTGTGCAGGTTAGTTACATATGTATACATGTGCCATGCTGGTGTGCTGCACCCATTAACTCGTCATTTAGCATTAGGTATATCTCCTAATGCTATCCCTCCCCCCTCCCCCCACCCCACAACAGTCCCCAGAGTGTGATGTTCCCCTTCCTGTGTCCTTGTGTTCTCATTGTTCAATTCTCACCTATGAGTGAGAACATGCAGTGTTTGGTTTTTTGTCCTTCCGACAGTTTACTGAGAATGATGATTTCCAATTTCATCCGTGTCCCTACAAAGGACATGAACTCATCATTTTGTATGGCTGCATAGTATTCCATGGTGTATATGTGCCACATTTTCTTAATCTAGTCTATCATTGTTGGACATTTGGGTTGCTTCCAAGTCTTTACTATTGCGAATAGTGCCGCAATAAACATACGTGTGCATGTGTCTTTATAGCAGCATGATTTATAGGCCTTTGGGTATATACCCAGTAATGGGATGGCTGGGTCAAATGGTATTTCTAGTTCTAGATCCCTGAGGAATCGCCACACTGACTTCCACAATGGTTGAACTAGTTTACAGTCCCACCAACAGTGTAAAAGTGTTCCTATTTCTCCACATCCTCTCCAGCACCTGTTGTTTCCTGACTTTTTAATGATTGCCATTCTAACTCGTGTGAGATGGTATCTCATTGTGGTTTTGATTTGCATTTCTCTGATGGCCAGTGATGGTGAGCATTTTTTCATGTGTTTTTTGGCTGCATAAATGTCTTCTTTTGAGAGGTGTCTGTTCATGTCCTTTGCCCACTTTTTGATGAGGTTGTTTGTTTTTTTCTTGTAAATTTGTTTGAGTTCATTGTAGATTCTGGATATTAGCCCTTTGTCAGATAAGTAGGTTGTGAAAATTTTCTCCCATTTTGTAAGTTGCCTGTTCACTCTGATGGTAGTTTCTTTTGCTGTGCAGAAGCTCTTTAGTTTGATTAGATCCCATTTGTCAATTTTGGCTTTTGTTGCCATGGCTTTTGGTGTTTTAGACATGAAGTCCTTGCCCATGCCTATGTCCTGAATGGTAATGCCTAGGTTTTCTTCTAGGGTTTTTATGGTTTTAGGTCTAACGTTTAAGTCTTTAATCCATCTTGAATTAATTTTTGTATAAGGTGTAAGGAAGGGATCCAGTTTCAGCTTTCTACATATGGCTAGCCAGTCTTCCCAGCACCATTTATTAAATAGGGAATCCTTTCCCCATTGCTTGTTTTTCTCAGGTTTGTCAAAGATCAGATAGTTGTAGATATGTGGCATTATTTCTGAGGGCTCTGTTCTGTTCCATTGATCTATATCTCTGTTTTGGTACCAGTACCATGCTGCTTTGGTTACTGTAGCCTTGTAGTATAGTTTGAAGTCAGGTAGCGTGATGCCTCCAGCTTTGTTCTTTTGGCTTAGGATTGACTTGGTGATGCGGGCTCTTTTTTGGTTCCATATGAACTTTAAAGTAGTTTTTTCCAATTCTGTGAAGAAGTCATTGGTAGCTTGATGGGGATGGCATTGAATCTATAAATTACCTTGGGCAGTATGGCCATTTTCACGATATTGATTCTTCCTACCCATGAGCATGGAATGTTCTTCCATTTGTTTGTATCCTCTTTTATTTCATTGAGCAGTGGTTTGTAGTTCTCCTTGAAGAGGTCCTTCACCTCCCTTGTAAGTTGGATTCCTAGGTATTTTATTCTCTTTGAAGCAATTGTGAGTGGGAGTTCACTCATGATTTGGCTGTCTGTTATTGGTGTATAAGAATGCTTGTGATTTTTGTACATCGATTTTGTATCCTGAGACTTTGCTGAAGTTGCTTATCAGCTTAAGGAGATTTTGGGCTGAGACAATAGGGTTTTCTAGACATACAATCATGTCATCTGCAAACAGGGGCAATTTGACTTCCTCTTTTCCTAATTGAATACCCTTTATTTCCTTCTCCTGCCTAATTGCCCTGACCAGAACTTCCAACACTATGTTGAATAGGAGTGGTGAGAGAGGGCATCCCTGTCTTGTGCCAGTTTTCAAAGGGAATGCTTCCAGTTTTTGTCCATTCAGTATGATATTGGCTGTGGGTTTGTCATAGATAGCTCTTATTATTTTGAGATATGTCCCATCAATACCTAATTTATTGAGAGTTTTTAGCATGAAGGGTTGTTGAATTTTGTCAAAGGCCTTTTCTGCATCTATTGAGATAATCATGTGGTTTTTGTCTTTGGTTCTGTTTATATGCTGGATTATGTTTATTGATTTGCGTATATTGAACCAGCCTTGCATCCCAGGGATGAAGCCCACTTGTTCATGGTGGATAAGCTTGTTGATGTGCTGCTGGATTCAGTTTGCCAGTATTTTACTGAGGATTTTTGCATCAATGTTCATCAAGGATATTGGTCTAAAATTCTCTTTTTTGGTTGTGTCTCTGCCAGGCTTTGCTATCAGGATGATGCTGGCCTCATAAAATGAGTTAGGGAGGATTCCCTCTTTTTCTATTGATTAGAATAGTTTCAGAAGGAATGGTACCAGTTCCTCCTTGTACCTCTGGTAGAATTCGGCTGTGAATCCATCTGGTCCTGGACTCTTTTTGGTTGGTAAGCTATTGATTATTGCCACAATTTCAGAGCCTGTTATTGGTCTATTCAGCGATTCAACTTCTTCCTGGTTTAGTCTTGGGAGGGTGTATGTGTCGAGGAATTTATCCATTTCTTCTAGATTTTCTAGTTTATTTGCGTAGAGGTGTTTGTAGTATTCTCTGATGGTAGTTTGTATTTCTGTGGGATCGGTAGTGATATCCCCTTTATCATTTTTTATTGCGTCTATTTGATTCTTCTCTCTTTTCTTCTTTATTAGTCTTGCTAGCGGTCTATCAATTTTGTTGATCCTTTCAGAAAACCAGCTCCTGGATTCATTAATTTTTTGAAGGGTTTTTTGTGTCTCTATTTCCTTCAGTTCTGCTCTGATTTGAGTTATTTCTTGCCTTCTGCTAGCTTTTGAATGTGTTTGCTCTTGCTTTTCTAGTTCTTTTAATTGTGATGTTAGGGTGTCAATTTTGGATCTTTCCTGCTTTCTCTTGTGGGCATTTAGTGCTATAAATTGCCCTCTACACACTGCTTTGAATGTGTCCCAGAGATTCTGGTATGTTGTGTCTTTGTTCTCGTTGGTTTCAAAGAACATCTTGATTTCTGCCTTCATTTCATTATGTACCCAGTAGTCATTCAGGATCAGGTTGTTCAGTTTCCATGTAGTTGAGCAGTTTTGAGTGAGTTTCTTAATCCTGAGTTCTAGTTTGATTGCACTGTGGTCTGAGAGACAGTTTGTTATAATTTCTGTTCTTTTACATTTGCTGAGGAGTGCTTTACTTCCAACTATGTGGTCAATTTTGGAATAGGTGTGGTGTGGTGCTGAAAAAAATGTATATTCTGTTGATTTGGGGTGGAGAGTTCTGTAGATGTCTATTAGGTCCGCTTGGTGCAGCGCTGAGTTCAATTCCTGGGTATCCTTGTTAACTTTCTGTCTCGATCTGTCTAAGGTTGACAGTGGGGTGTTAAAGTCTGCCATTATTATTGTGTGGGAGTCTAAGTCTCTTTGTAGGTCACTCAGGACTTGCTTTATGAATCTGGGTGCTCCTGTATTGGGTGCATATATATTTAGGATAGTTAGCTCTTCTTGTTGAATTGATCCCTTTACCATTATGTAATGGCCTTCTTTGTCTCTTTTGATCTTTGTTGGATTAAAGTCTGTTTTATCCGAGACTAGGATTGCAACCCCTGCCTTTTTTTGTTTTCCATTTGCTTGGTAGATCTTCCTCCATCCTTTTATTTTGAGCCTATGTGTGTCTCTGCACGTGAGATGAGTTTCCTGGATATAGCACACTGGTGGGTCTTGACTCTTTATCCAATTTGCCAGTCTGTGTCTTTTAATTGGAGCATTTGGTCCATTTACATTTAAAGTTAATATTGTTATGTGTGAATTTGATCCTGTCATTATGATGTTAGCTGGTTATTTTGCTCATTAGTTGATGCAGTTTCTTCCTAGGCTTGATGGTCTTTACAATTTGGCATGATTTTGCAGTGGCTGGTACCGGTTGTTCCTTTCCATGTTGAGTGCTTCCTTCAGAAGCTCTTTTAGGGCAGACCTGGTGGTGACAGAATTTCTCAGCATTTGCTTGTCTGTAAAGTATTTTATTTCTCCTTCACTTATGAAGCTTAGTTTGGCTGGATATGAAATTCTGGGTTGAAAATTCTTTTCTTTAAGAATGTTGAATATTGGCCCCCACTCTCTCCTGGCTTGTAGAGTTTCTGCCGAGAGATCCGCTGTTAGTCTGATGGGCTTCCCTTTGTGGGTAACCCGACCATTCTCTCAGGCTGCCCTTAACATTTTTTCCTTCATTTCAACTTTGGTGAATCTGACAATTATGTGTCTTGGAGTTGTTCCTCTCGAGGAGTATCTTTGTGGTGTTCTCTGTATTTCCTGAATCTGAATGTTGGCCTACCTTGCTAGATTGGGGAAGTTCTCCTGGATAATATCCTGCAGAGTGTTTTCCAACTTGGTTCCATTCTCCCTGTCACTTTCAGGTACACCAATCAGACGTAGATTTTGTCTTTTCACATAGTCCCATATTTCTTGGAGGCTTTGTTCATTTCATTCTGTTTTCTCTAAACTTCCCTTCTCGCTTCATTTCATTCATTTCATCTTCCATGGCTGATACCCTTTCTTCCATTTGATTGCATCGGCTCCTGAGGCTTCTGCATTCTTCACGTAGTTCTCCAGCCTTGGCTTTCAGCTCCATCAGCTCCTTTAAGCACTTCTCTGTATTGGTTATTCTAGTTATACATTTGTCTAAATTTTTTTCAAAGTTTTTAACTTCTTTGCCTTTGGTTTGAATTTCCTCCTGTAGCTCGGAGTAGTTTGATCGTCTGAAGCCTTCTCTCAACTCGTCAAAGTCATTCTCCGTCCAGCTTTGTTCTGTTGCTGGTGAGGAACTGTGTTCCTTTGGAGGAGGAGAGGCGCTCTGCTTTTTAGAGTTTCCAGTTTTTCTGCTCTGTTTTTTCCCCATCTTTGTGGTTTTATCTACTTTTGGTCTTTGATGATGGTGATGTACAGATGAGTTTTTGGTGTGGATGTCCTTTCTGTTTGTTAGTTTTCCTTCTAACAGATAGGGCCCTCAGCTGCAGGTCTGTTGGAGTTTGCTAGAGGTCCACTCCAGACCGTTTGTCTGGGTATCAGCAGCAGTGGCTGCAGAACAGCGGATTTTCGTGAACCACGAATGCTGCTGTCTGATCGTTCCTCTGGAAGTTTTGTCTCAGAGGAGTACCTGGCCGTGTGAGGTGTCAGTCTGCCCCTAATGGGGGGTGCCTCCCAGTTAGGCTGCTCGGGGGTCAGGGATCAGGGACCCACTTGAGGCAGTCTGCCTGTTCTCAGATCATCTCTAGCTGCATGCTGGGAGAACCACTGCTCTCTTCCAAGCTGTCAGGGACATTTAAGTCTGCAGAGGTTACTGCTGTCTTTTTGTTTGTCTGTGCCCTGCCCCCAGAGGTGGCGCCTACAGAGGCAGGCAGGCAGGCCTCCTTGAGCTGTGGTGGGCTCCACCCAGTTCAAGCTTCCCGGCTGCTTTGTTTACCTAAGCAAGCCTGGGCAATGGCAGGTGCCCCTCCCCCAGCCTCACTGCCGCCTTGCAGTTTGATTTCAAACTGCTGTGCTAGCAATCAGCGAGACTCCGTGGGCGTAGTACCCTCCGAGGCAGGTGTGGGATATAATCTCCTGGTGCGCCGTTTTTTTTAAGCCCGTTGCAAAAGCGCAGTATTAGTGTGGAAGTGACCCGATTTTCCAGGTGCCGTCTGTCACCCCTTTCTTTGACTAGGAAAGGGAACTCCCTGAACCCTTGCGCTTCCCGAGTGAGGCAATGCCTCACCCTCTTCGGCTCACGCAGTGTGCTGCACCCACTGTCCTGCGCCCACTCTCTGGCACTCCCTAGTGAGATGAACCCGGTACCTCAGATGGAAATGCAGAAATCACCTGTCTTCTGCGTCACTCACGCTGGGAGCTGTAGACCGGAGCTGTTCCTATTCGGCCATCTTGGCTGCCCGCAAAAGATCAAAATTTTAAGGAAAGGGCATTGCTAGGAACAATGAATGCCTGAAATCACCATGTATAACCATGAAATTGTACTATGTGGGGGGTGTGATATATGTGTGTTTATTTTATTCTACATTAGTACTTCATTTAAAAATAACTAAGGAACATAATTCAATAACTAGATCCTGCCTTAGAAAACCTTTTGCCATGAATGACAAATTCATGTAATAAAGACTGTTTTTAACCCACCAAGTAAGTATATTCTGTTTCTCCCCCCGGCCCCCCAGCTGGGATCTTGCTTTTTTAAAGAAAAAAACATAAAATTAGCCTAATGTATTAGGGTTCTCCATAGAAACCTAGCGATTAGGAGAGATGATGTATTATGAAAATTGGCTTAAGTGATTATGATGGAGGCTGAGAAGTACCACCATCTGCCATTTGCACGCTGGAGACCCAGGAGAGTGGTCTAAAGGCTTCAGAACCAGGAGCCCTGATGTCCAAGGGCAGGAGCAGATGGATACATCTCAGCAAGAAGACAGCATTTGCCCCTCCTCTACCTTTTCATTCTATTCAGGCCCTCATCAGATTGAACGATGCCACCCACATTGGCACACTGGTGAGGGAGGACCTTCTTTACTCAGTCTACTGATTCAAATTCAAATGCTAATCATCTTTTCCAGAAACAGCCTCACAGACAAACCCAGAAATAATGTTTTACCAGCTATCAATCATCTGAGCATCCCTTAGCCAGTCAAGCTGACATATAAATAAAGTTAACCATCACACCTAATTAAACAAAAGTGCTACTAATTATATTGATGTGTTTTGTTCTCTAACTCCTTGTAAAAGCTTCTGTCGTTCCTATGGGAAGTAAAATATAGTTGTTCTCTAATCAAGTGTAGACAAGTTTCCGTTTCTTAGCCAAAATATAATCTTCTTTAATATAAAATAAGTCCACATGATGTATAATGGTAAAATATTTTCAAATATCTCACATTTGTTATACAAATAAGGACTGTATTTGATTATTTTTGATTGCCACCCAATAAATCCAGACAATAAACATAATTATCTCTACACCCAATAATGAGCATTGATTCCAGGACCACAGGAGAAGAGAAGACTTCTCCAGGAAGTTCATAAACACTTTGCAATTGTCCACTCTGAGATTCCAAGATCCACACTTTCCCATCAGTAGATGCTGCTGCCAGCAACATTTCATTGCTGCCATTGTAGTTATGGAAAGCAAACGGTGTTGCATAGACCCTTGAAGTAGTTTCAAATTTCCACTGCAGGTGACCTTTCATGTTACAACAGTAGATAAAGCAATCATGGGAACCAAAAAATATTTTTTGCTCTGATGGTGAGGTACACGGGGATGAAAAGATTGGTCCACTGGTAGAGAACTGCCAAACCTATAACAAGTAATAAAAATAAATATAATTCATTCATCTAATTGCTCCAATTCTCCCTTAAAGCTCTATGAGGTTCTTAATGCAAATCTAAGAGATATAGGCTATTTGAATGGTAACTATACACAGACAAAATGGCTTTTTCTGAAAAGTAGCACTATCATACTAGACCTCTGTCCCAGTGGTAAAATGTAAAATCTAAGACAAAATATACTGGAGTGTTGTTACTATGTGATTCACTGCCGTGCATAATAAGTAAAATTAATTTTGAACTCCATTCAAGAGTTAGTATTATTCAGAGACACTGAGTTCAAAGGTAAAACTACATTGAGTTTTCAATATTATCTTTTTTTAATTTTTATTTATTATTATTATTTTTTTTTGAGATGGAGTCTTGCTCTGTCGCCCAGGCTGGAGTGCAGTGGCATGATCTCAGCTCACTGCATCCTCTGCTTGCCAGGTTGAAGCGCTTCTCCCGCCTCAGCCTCCCGAGTAGCTAGGCGCGTGCCACCACACCCAGGTAATTTTTTGTATTTTTAGTAGAGATGAGGTTTCACCATGTTAGCCAGGATGGTCTCGATCTCCTGACCTCGTGATCCGCCCACCTCGGCCTCCCAAAGTGCAGAGATTACAGGTGTGAGCCACCACATCCAGCCTTCAGTGTATCTTATTAAAAACTGGGCCAGGCGTGGTGTTTCATGCCTATAATCCCAGCATTTTGGGAGGCCAAGGCAGGCAGATCACCTGCAGTCAGGAGTTCAAGACCAGCTTGGCCAACATGGTGAAACCCCATCTCTATTAAAAATACAAAAATTAGCCAGGTGTGGTGGCACACACCTACAGTCCCAGCTACTGGGGAGGCTGAGGTGGGAGAACCACTTGAACCTGGGAGGCAGAGGTTGCAGTGAGCCAAGATCACACTACTGCACTCCACCCTGGGCGATAGTGAGACCTTGTTTCAAAAAAAAAAAAAAAAATTGAGACCAGTTTTCAATATATCTTCTTACAAACTATGTATCTTCTTTTCCAAATGTAGGAAAAAAGTTAATTGTGCTGAAAGGAAGAGTTTATGGGCAATGATAAACAGTTATAAGTTGTGGCCAGGCATGGTGGCTCACACCTGTAATCCCAACACTTTGGGAGGCCAAGGCAGGTGGATCACCTGAGGTCAGGAGTTCGAGACCAGCCTGGCCAACATGGTGAAACCCCATCTCTACTAAAAATACAAAAATTAGCTGGGTGTGGTGGTACACACCTGTAATCCTAGCTATTCAGGAGGCTGAGGCAGGAGAATGGCTTGAACCCGGGAGGCAGAGGTTTCAGTGAGCCAAAATTGTGCCAGTGCACTCCAGCCTGGGCAACAGAACAAGATTCCATCTCAAAAAATAAAATTAAAGAAAATAAAATTCATATGGAACCAAAAAAGACCCAGAATAGCCAAAGCAATATTGGGTAAAAAGAACAAAGCTGGAGGCATCACAGTAACTGACTTCAAAATAAGGCTAATTTAGCCAAAATGGCACTGTATTGGTATAAAAATAGATCAATGTAATAGAATGGAGAACCTAGAAATAAATCCACGTAGTTACAGCCAATGGAGTTTTGAGAAAGATGTCAAAAATACACAATGGGGAATGGACACCCCTCTTCAATGAATGGTGCTGGGAAAATTGGAGCTCTCTCTACATGCAGAAGAATAAACCAGACCCCTCTCTCTCACTGCATATAAAAATAAACTCGAGATGGATTAAAGACTTAAATTTAAGACCTAAAACTAGTTAAAACTACTAGAAGAAAACATAAGGGAATCACTTCAGGACACTGGTCTAAGCAAAGCTTTTATAGCTAAGGCCTAAAAAGTATAGGCAACAAAAACAAAAATAGTTAAGTGGGACTATATTAAGCTAAAAAGCTTCTGCACAGCAAAGGAAACAACAGAGTGAAGAGACAGCCTGTTGAATGGGAGAAAATACTTGCAAACTATTCATCCAACAAGGGACTAATATATAGAATATGAGGAACTCAAACAACACAACAGTAAACAAATCCTATTAAAAAGTGGGCAAGGGAGATGAATAGACATATCTCAAAAGAAGACATACAAATGGCTAACAGGTATATGAAAAAAACACTCAACATCACTAATGATCAGGGAAATGCAAATCAAAACCACAATGAGATATCATCTTACCAAGTTAAAATGGCTATTACTAAAAGAACATAACAAATGCTGGCAAGGATGTGGAGAAAAAGGAACTTACACTGCTGGTGGGAATGTAAATTAGGGTAGTCATTGTGGAAAACAGTATGGAGATTTCTCAAAAAACTAAGAAGAGAACTATCATATCCAACAGTCCTACTACTATTTACCCAAAGACAAAAAATCAGTATATCAAAGAGACAACCTGCACTCCCATCTCCCATGTTTACTGCAGCACAATTCACAAGAGCAAAGATATGGAATGCACTTAAGTGTCCACCAATGGATGAGTGGATAAAGAAAATGTAGTATATATAGATGCAGTGAAATACTATCAGGCCATAAAAACCAAGGAAATCATGTCATTTGCAGCAACATGGATGGAACTGGAGACTTTTATCTTTTTTTTTTTTTTTTTTTTTGGAGACAGAGTCTCGCTCTGTCACCAGGCTGGAGTGCAGTGGCACAATCTTGGCTCACTGCAACCTCCACCTCCCGGGTTCCAGCGATTCCCCTGCCTCAGCCTCCCAAGTAGCTGGGACTACAGGCATGTGCCACCACACCCAGCTAATTTTTTTTTTTTTTTTGTATTTTAGTAGAGACGGGGTTTCACCATGTTGGCCAGGATGGTCTCGATCTCCTGACTCTGTGATCCTCCCACCTCGGCCTCCCAAAGTGCTGGGATTACAGGCGTGAGCCATGATGCCCAGCCATTGGAGATTTTTATCTTAAGTGAAATTAAGCCAGGCCCAAAAAGACAAATATTGCATGTTCTCACTCATATGTGAGAGCTAAAAAAGTTGATCTCAGGGAGGAAGAAAATGGAATATTAGAAGTTGGGGGCCGGGCGTGGTGGCTCATGCCTGTAATCTCAATACTTTGGGAGGCTGAGGCAGGTGGATCACTTGAGGTCAGGAGTTCGAGACTAGCCTGGGCAACATGGTGAAACCCCGTCTCTACTAAAAATACAAAAATTAGCCAGGCATGGCAGCATGCGCCTGTAGTCCCAGCTACTCGGGAGGCTGAAGCAGGAGAATTGCTTGAACCCGTGAGGCGGAGGTTGCAGTGAGCCAAGATCACACCAATGTACTCCAGCCTGGTAACAGAGCAAGATTCTGTCTCAAAAAAAAAAAAAAAAAAAAAAAAGAAGTTGGGGTGGGTTGGCTAATAAAAAAATAAAAACAGGTTAGTTAATAGGTAAAAACATATAGTAAGAAAAAATAAGTTATAATGTTCAGTAGCAGAGTAGGATGACTACAGCCAACAACAATATGTTGTATATTTCAGAACAGCTAAAAGAGAAGACATGAAATGATCCCAACACATAGAAATAATAAGTACTCAAGGTGATGGACACCACAAACACCCTGACTTAATCATTACACAGTCTATGATTGTAACAAAATATCACATACATACCCCATAAATAGGTACAAATGTCTGTATCAATTAAAAGAATCCAGGGGTTTTATTTAAACTTTCATAATCTCAATAGAAGTTATAATAAAACAGGCTAAAAACTGGTAATATTTTAAAAATTGGGGGAGATGACAAAAGAAGTGTAACAATGTTTGGGTAGAAATCTTTTAAATCTACTATGTCTTCTTTAAAAAATTAAGAAATCCATGGCTTCACAATTAAAATAGAACTACTTCTCAACACCGTGAGTTGAATAATGATGTTTAAAATGTTACTTCAGTTGTCACCATCTGCTTTGCCTTTAAGAAAAGTAAATTTAAAAAATATAAATAGAACTATAGATATATAAAATTTCTAGTTCTATTTTTTATATATACATTTATATATATATAAAAATGTATATATAAAAAATTTCTAGTTCTATTACCTGTTCTCCAAAGTGAGTAAAGCAGAGTAAATTCCCATCTACACAGCCAATACAAATATACTGTGAGCAACATTGTGGGGAAGAGAAGAGTGGTTTTCCACAGGAATGTTTCCAAATAACGTTCCCAGTAGCCTGTCACAGGAAAAAGCAATTCACAGCATTTTATGTCATCCTACTAATCAGTTACCCTTTAAAAAACAAACTCATACATCTCCTAGGGTTAGAACTAAAATAGCAGAAAATGCTGTAGTGGTATGCAGACATAAATGAAGCTGGTATACATATATAAAATTAATCAGTGCTATTTATGAGAACTAGGAAAAAGGCTTGCAATAAAAGCAGCAAAGAAAAAACTAGCACCTAAGAGTTATCCCTGTGATGGACATAAAGTTCTTAATATGATGAAAAAAATTTTGTCAATTTGAACCTGGGAGGCAGAGGTTGCAGTAAGCTGAGATTGCGCCACTGCACTCCAGCCTGGGTGACAGAGGGAGACTCTGTCAAAAAACAAACAAACAAACAAAAAAATACATATATATATATATACAGGAATTTAAATTTTCTTATCTTTCTAGATCTCATGTCAATCATTTTTAATGAATTCCAGTTTGGTGTATGTGGACTACTACAATTAACTGAAAACTACTCAAACTTTCAAAGCTCAAAGCAAAAATTTTACAAATTTAAAGAAAAGTAATAAAATCAATATGTATTATTTTATGCCTACAGGATTTACAGCCAGTAAAAGTCCTCCCAATGTAGCAAAATACAAATGATGTGGAATCAGGTTCAAACACGGAGAGGAAAAGACAGTTCCTCCACATTTTGACTTCCAAACACACTTCTTTCTCTGCAAATAAGAAAACAAATTAATTTGTTCTTGTTGATGGTTAACAAATCCATATAACCTACCCTTCATGATATTATGTCTGTTTAGTTAATATAAGTTTTTATCTTTAGTATAAAGTACATGCCTACTGTGGAGAATCAGATTAGTATAAAGACAAAGGACACTACCCAGAGACAACCAGTGTTAACATTTTAGCATTTTCTCATTTGATCTTTTTGGGGTATGGGTGTGTGTGTCTGGGCGCACACATCTGAGAATATGTGTATATACACACACACGATCTAATATAGCTGAGATCATTCTGAATATATAACTTGGTATCATATTTTGCTCACTGATTTTGTAAAATGATTTAAATATAATTTTAATCCATAATATCCCATATGAACATAAATAATTTCTCTCTCTACCTTATCATTGAACGTTTTTTGGAATTTCTAGGTATTATAAACAACTTAGAAATAGGCATCTTAATGCATATATTTGACTATGTTTCTGATTATTTTTGCCAGGATTTCTAAAAAACGAATTTTATTGGATCAAGGATATGATATTGTTACCTATGGTCAAATCGTTTTCATTAGAGGCCTCACTAGTTACAACCTCTTACCACTCTCATCAGCATTTAATGTTATGATGAATATGTCTTCTAATCTAACACCATTTGTTTATCTCAAGAGTTTTTAATTTTCATTCCTTTGATTATTAAATTCATGAACTATTTATATACATTTACTAGCCGTCTCTTCTTTGGGGTCCTGTGTATTTATGTCCCTTGTTTATTTTTCTATCTGCTCTACATTTGTCTTATTAATTTGTATTTGATCTTTATTTTCATTAATACTTATAAATATAAATGAATTTCCACTTTTTTTACATTTATTTCAAAAATTTTCCCAGCTTAATTTCATAATTCTTACATAACATTTTAATTTTTATGTAATCAGGTCTTAAAACATCTTATTGATATCTTCGTCATTTTTTTCTACTGTCAAGATGATAATCCTAAATTCTTTAATTCCAAAACTCTGAGTAGCACACTTATTTGTGGTAAATTTGGTAATGAAGTTAAAAAGGTCTTAAGATATTAAGACTTAATTAATGCTTTATTCTTCCCAGACCACACAAGCTTGGGAAATAGTTAATACCTGTTCCAAGGCTCAACTACACCTGACAGTTACTCACTCTTCTTCTAAGTATTGAAATTTAATGCTTCTATGCTTATGGTATTAGACTAATGAGGTGAATTTTCTTTCTTTTTTTTTTTTTTTTTTTGAGATAGAGTCTCACTCTGTCACCCAGGGTGGAATACACTGTCACAATCTTGGCTCACTGCAACCTCCACCTCCCAGGTTCACGCAATCCTCCCACCTCAGCCTCTGGAGTAACTACCATTACAGGCATGCGCCACCATGCCCAGCTAATTTGAGGTCAATCCTTACATAAATATCTAAAGCATATGCGTGCTGGTCATGAGATCCAATGTAAATGAGTCCTGTGGTTGGATCCATGGTTGCCGAGCTTTTGACAGCATCTTCAGTAGTAAACATCCAGTATTTTTCTCCACTATTACTTTTCAGAACATAAACTAATCCATTATAACAGCCTACCAAGAAACAAAGCACAAAAGATTTGATATAGATATATTACTGGAAAATAATTCTTTAGCCTACAGCATGCAATTTATATTCAGTCCTCCTCTTATACATAGGCTCTATGATAAGCTCATCTGGCTTACATTTTAGCAATGTAAAGCAGAAACTGAATTAGTAATCACTTATGTAAAATATCTATTTAGTAGGTGTATCTTATCTTTTAAAAGTACTTCACTAATTTTTTTACATACTTATTTTTAAGAAGCGCTTCACTACTGAAAAAATAATAAAGTACACTGTGGTGGAGAGAGATTTTTGACACATCTGGATTCAGATTTCATCACGACTGTCACTGGGCATTTAAATCACCCAGTGTTGCTAAGCCCCAAATTATTCATCTGCAGAATGTGGAGTCATCTACTTCCAGGGTTATTGCAACAATTCAGATAATGTGAACAAATGCCCAGTGCATAGAAGGTGTTTAAGAAGTGCTAACGTTAATAGTCAATGTTCATTGAGCATTTACTATGTGTCAGGCGTTATTCTAAGTATGTTACATCTATTAATTCATTTAATCCCCACAGTGAAGTAAGTACTATTATAACCACATTTTATAGATAACAAAATTGAAGCACAGAGAGACTAAATTACTGGGGAAAAATTACACAGCTCATATGTGGCAAACCAAGATTTGAATCTAAGAAGTCAATCTCCAGAGCCTATGCTCTTAACAACTAAACTGCTTTTCCCAAATTGCTGCTATGGATGAGAAGACAGGGCAGGAGTCCTTGACCTTGGTGTAGCCAAAATAACCTAACTGGAAGTAGAGATGGTTCAAATGTACAAAGTGAAGGTCACTCAAATTCCCTGGAGATCATGAAAATCAGGAGAAGTAGAATTTGGGGACAGCTATTTAGGGCAATTTCATTGATGCCCACTCTCTAGACAGCTCTGCCTATGGCCGCTGCCACTCATTTGAGGCCCAATTCCCAATGTACTTTTTATGCTTTTTTTTCCCCTGGCAGTTATTATTTAGTAGCAAGAGAGTAGTGGCCAGCTCAGAGATGACAAAGAGAAATGTCCTACATAGTAGAGCACCCCAGAACTCACCTGGGTAAAGATTTCTGTCAATTCAGTTTAATTCCAAAAGACAATACAAAAGAAAATCTTTTTGACCTTGGGTTAGGCAAAGATTGCTAAGATGACACCAAAAGCATGACCCATTAAAAAAATTAAATTGGACTTCATCAAAATAAAGGACTCCTCTTCAAAAGACACTATGTCACTACGCTAAAAGAATAAAACACAAGCCCCAGACTGAGAGAAAACATGCAAAACATATATCTGATAAATGATTTATATTCAGAATACATAAAACAATTCTTAAAACTCAATTTAAAAAACTTAAAAATGGGAAAAAGATTTCAATAGACACTTCACAAAAGATACACAGAGAGCAAATGAGGTTTTGAAAAGGTGCTCGTCAGACATGGTGGCTCACGTCTGTAATCCCAGCACTTTGGGAGGCTGAGGTGGGCAGATCGCTTGAGCCCAGGAGTTTGAGACCAGCGTGGACAACACACAGAAGCTCTGTCTCTACAAAAATTACAAACATTAGCCAGGTGTGGTGGTGTATCTGTAGTCCCAGCTACTCCAGAAGCTGAGGTGGGAGCATCACCTGAGCCCAGGAGTTCGAGGGTGTAGTAAGCCATGATGACGCCACTGCACTCCAGCCTGGGTGACAGAGCAAGACGCTGTCTTAAAAAAAAAAAAAAAGATGCTCAACATCACTGGTCACTAGGGAAAGGCAAATTAAAACCACAATAAAATTCCACTCATGATTATTTCAACGGCTATAACAAAAAAAAAGTTAAAGCTGACAATACCAAGTACTAGCAAAAATGTGGTGCAACTGGACTTTTCACACATTGATGGTGGAAATGCAAAACACTTTATCACTTTGGGAAACAATTCAGCAGTTTCTTATCATTCAGGTGTATTACTGAAAGTGTTCTGTAGTATAATTTTCAAAATGCCGTTGTTTAAAGGGGAAGAAGGGAAGAATCACATTCAGATTCAAGTAGATTGCTGCTAGGATAGCACAAGTAGGGAAAGCTATTCCTAAGCCTTTAGTTTGAAAAGCTTTGATGAAGATTCCATGAGCGTATAAAATGAAACCTAACATACTTGGGAGAGTAAAAAGAGAGTTGTAGTCAGGGGGAGATATTATACCCAGGACCCCCATATTCCTAATAGAGTAAAAGTCACCTATACCTTAATGAAACTAAGCAGCAGTTAGTAGCTAACCCTTAATGAGCACTTATGAAAAAATGCTCACCAGGCCAGACATGGTGGCTCACGCCTGTAATCTCAGCACTTTGGGAGGCTGAGGTGGGCAGATCGCTTGAGCCCGGGAGTTTGAGACCAGCCTGGACAACACGCAGAAGCTCTGTCTCTACAAAAATTACAAACATTAGCCAGGTGTGGTGGCACGTCCCTAGCAATGCACCAATTGATTCATAAACAGTTATCTCATTTAATCCTCCCAAAAGCTTGATAAAAGATTCTAGTGTTTTAAAATATGTCCAGGAGGCCGGGTGCAGTGGCTCACACCTGTAATCCCAGCACTTTGGGACACCGAGGCAGGTGGATCACAAGGTCAGGAGTTCAATACCAGCCTGACCAACATGGTGAAACCCCATCTCTACAAAAAATACAAAAATTAGCTGGGTGTGGTGGTATGTGCCTGTAATACCAGCTACTCAGGGGGCTGAGGCAGGAGAATCACTTGAACCCGGGAGGTGGAGGTTGTAGTGAACCAAGATCGCGCCACTGCACTCCAGCCTGGGAAACAGAGCCAGACTCCATCTCAAAAAAAAGAAAAAAAAAAAAAGTACATGAATTCTTTGATGTACTTCCTTTCAAGAGGTGGAGCCTAATTCTCTTCCCCTTGAATGTGGCCTGAACTGAGTTATGCACTTTTTTTTTTTTTGAGACAGAGTCCTGCTCTGCTTGCTCAGACCAGAGTACAGTGGCACAATCACCACTCACAGCAGCCTCAACCTACTGGGCTCTAGTGATCCTCCCATCTCAGCCATCCAAGTAGCTGGGACTACAGGCATGTACTACCATGCCTAGCTAATGTTTGTATTTTTTGTAGTGACAGAGTTTCTGCATGTTACCCAGGCTGGTCTCGAACTCCTGGGCACAAGCGATCTGTCCACCTTGGCCTCTCAAAGTGCTGATATTACAGCTGTGAGCCACCGCGCCTGGCTGAGTTATGCCCTTCTAATTAACAGAAGAAAACAAAAAATGATGGTATGGAACTTGGAACGCTAGGTCATAAAAGGTACTCTGTTCCTCTTTACTTGCTGTCTCCTGGATCACTCTGAGGAATGTTAGCTGCCATGTTGTAAGGGCAGTCAAGCAGCCTAGAGAGAGGCGTATGTGGCAAGAATTGAAGCTTCCTGCCAGAATCAGCAAAGAACTGAGGCTTTCTGCTAATAGTGATGTAAATGAGCTACCTTGGCAGATTTTCCAACCCAAGTCAAGCTTTCAGATGGCTATAGCCACGTGAAAGCCCTGAGCCAGAACTGCCAGCTAAGCTGCTCCTGAATTGCTGACCCATAGAAACTATGAGACAATAAATTTGTGTTGTTCTAGGTTGTTGAGTTTTGGGGTATTTGTGATACAGCAACACATTTTATTATTATTCCCATTTTACCCACAAGGAAAGTGAAATTCTAAGAGGTTCAGTAACTTGCCAAAGGTCACAGAGTTCATAATAGCTATACAGGTAGGTTCAAATCCAGGGACTCTTGACCCCAAGGCCCACAATATTAATCAGCACAGGGTTAACTATAATTTTTGGACAGCAACCAAACCCATCATATTTAGATTTTTAAAAAATTTAACTTGGGCCTATGAAGATTATTGTATGGTAATTCAATTTAACTCCACAAACCTCAAATTCAAAAACTTACCCACCACAATAAAGTTTCCACACTTAGATACACATGCTGAGGATTCAATTCGATCTCCCAAAATCTGTTCCCATTTTACCTTCCCAGAGTAAAAGTCAACTGCCTTCATTCTATGAGAATGGGAACCAATGTACACAGTTGTAGATGACTTATCAAAAGTGGGTATTACAACCAGCGGTGAAGCATCTACACATTTGCCTGTGTCTGACCTCCACCTCACATGTAACTCCATTTTCTGAGTCCCTATCGCAGGTTTCCCCTCTTCAGAAACTTTTGCAACACAGGATGGATCTTTTGACTTCCCAATAAGAACTGGAGAATTTAAGCCTTTCAAATTTTGAATGTTGGTCTGTGAAACTGAGTCAGAAGGACAGGCTGAAGAGCAATGTCCTAACTTTGTTAAAAACCTAGTGGAATTCAGAGACAAAATTTGACTCCCTCTGCTCAGTACAACAAAAGCATTAATCTCATTGTGGCAAGTGAAAGTCATGATGGCTTTCTGATGTAAAGATGTTCCACTGGCTTCCTCTTGATTAATGTCGCTGAGTTTCCTTTTTGTGGCACAACTCTTCCTGAATGTCACATCTTCATCTGGAACCACTGTTTGAAGGATGTGATTATAAATCTCTAAAATGGAACTGCTGAGAATAATTTCCAGAAGCCCAGGTACTGATGTACCAACAAGTTTTTCAATCTCACTGAGGAGCCGGATGGACTTTAAGGAATCTCCACCACTATTTAAGAAGAGTGACTCATCAGGAACCCTCAAAAGATCTTCTGGGAGATTCAGAGTAGACTACAGATGAGAGAATAGAGAAATATGTGACGTAAAGGTCTAAAAGCAAAAGACTTCAACATTTACAGGTAATATATAGAGATGAGAGTACCTACATTAATAATTAGAAATATAGGTCGGGTACAGTGGCTCACGCCTGTAATCCCAGTACTCTGGGAGGCCAAGGCGGGCAGATCACATGAGGTCAGGAGTTCGAGACCATCCTGGCCAACACAGTGAAACCCCACCTCCACTAAAACCACGAAAATTAGCTGGGTGCGGTGGTAGCCACCTGTAATCTCAGCTACTCGGAGGCTGAGGCAAGAGAATCGCTTGAACCCAGGGGGTGGAGGTTGCAGTGAGCCAAGATTGCGCCACTGCACTCCCGCCTGGGCAACAGAGTGAATCTCCATCTCAAAAATAATAATAATAATAACAATTAGAAATATAAAATAAATACTTTTAATAATAAAAATAAAGTTTTAAATTATTTTATTTATGTTAAAGGAGATCACTGTACTACCAATTTTGTCACAAATTCACTCTAAAAGTACAAAATATACTTCCCTTTAGAGCAGTTTTCTTACCCATAAAATTGGGACAAAAACATCTGATTTATTAATTATAAAGCCCACAAGATACCAATAGCCAATATTTCTATAATATGGGAATAATTTGTCTTTGGCTGCTTCATATAAAGCAAAATTACTTTCCAAGAATCTAAAAATGAAGTAGAAGAGACTTTTATCTTAGATACCCTCTATTTTTAGACAAGGCTACACAATTACATCCTCTTTTCAGAACCCTTTAAAAAAGAAAAATCTACATTTTATTTAAGAAAAATTATTAACTTACTGAGATATATTTTTAAACAAACTCTCTCAAGTAGAAATAAATATTGTTACTGAAAGTTCTTTTAGAATAATGATGTAAGCCCTAAGTATAACAGACAACGCACTGTGCTATAGCAAGATTTGGCTATTTTCTCAGCTCTGACAAGAGTGTTACTACATTCCACCGATCCTCTTAGAGAAAAGTTATGTCAAAACAGGCTTTGTCTACTTGTGCCTTTTATGACTACTTCACTTTCAATAAATTTCTTTGTCGGAAACTTAATCTAGTCTTATAGTAGAGAATCTAACCTTCATTTTAATACAAATTGGATAAATGAAGATATACTACCTAACATCTGGGTAGCAATAACATTCTCAGAAAATTTTATCCAACTTGTTAGGATAATAGCAGTCCCTAAAGATATAAAACGACCTCTTTATAATAATAATTTTATAACTTAAAAATTGTACCTTCCACAAATACTGTAATTTTTCCCAAAGGTCCTCTTTCCCACTGAGCTTATTCTCAGACTTCAAGTTTATGTAGTTTAAATATATCTTGTTTAACTCAGAAACATCAATTTTGCCTTAATATAAAAGAGAAATAACAAATGTTTTAAAACATTTTAAAATTTCACTCAAAGCCTTTATATATTCATTAGCCATATACATTTTTCTTTGTACAACACAGAAATCATATAAAGAGTTTGTTGTCAACAATCAATTCTAAAAAGTTGTCTGATACTACCAAGAATATACAGAGAAATAGATGAGAAACAGGTCAGGCATAGTGGCTCAGTCCTGTAACCCCAACACTTTGGGAGGCTGAGGTGGGAGGATCGCTTGAGGCTAGGTGTTCAAGACCAGCCTGGGCAACACAGCAAGACCCTGTCTCTACAGAAAAATTAAAAAATTGGCCTGTAGTTCTAGCTACTCGGGAGGCTTAGATGGGAGGATCACTTGAACCCAGGAAGTTGAGGCTGCAGTAGTGAGCCCTGACTGCACCACTGCATTCCAGCTTGGGTGAAGAAGTGAGACCCTATCTCCAAAAAAAAAAAAAAAAGAAAGAAAAAGGAAAAAAGGAGCTAATATTTATCCAATTTATCTCAATTTCAAGAGTTAAGGAAATAGTTCCATTACCTGAGCAATTACTGCATGTTGAAGTATATATTAAATAAAAATGAAATTGGGAAGGCAATATAATATGGTGATTAAGATTATATATTTTGAAGTCAAACAGTCCTAGACAGACAAAACAAACAATAATAAAAATAAAATTAAAATAAAAAACAGTCCTAGACAGAATATCAATTCTATCACTGTGATAGGTTAATTGTATGTGTCAATGTGGGTGGGCCACAGGGTGCCCAGATTAACCATTTTTCTGACTGGGTCTGTGAGGGTGCTTCTGGATGAGATTAGTAGATGAAACTAATTAAGGACTCAGTAAAGTAGATTGGGCATCATCCAAACTGTTGAGGGCCAAAATAGAAAAAAGGCAGAGAAAGGAAGAATTTGCATGCTTTTTCTTTCTCTTTTTTGAGATGGAGTCTCACTCTGTTGCCTAGGCTGGAGTGCAGTGGCGCAACCTCGGCTTACTGCAACCTCTGCCTCCTGGGTTCAAGCGATCCTCCCACCTCAGCCTTCCAAGTAGCTGGGACTACAGGCGTGCACCACTGCAATCAGCTAATTTTTTTGTATTTTTAGTAAAGACAGGGTTTCACCATTTTGGCCAGGCCAGTCTCAAACTCCCAACCTCAAGTGATCCACCTGCCTTGGCATCCCAAAGTGCTGGGATTATAGGCGCGAGTTGCCGCCCCTGGCCTGCACCCTTTTTCTTGCATCACTGCTTAAGCTAGGACATCTCATCTCCTCCTGTCCTCAAACAGGGATTTATATCATCAGCTCCCCTGATTCTCAGGCCTTAGGACACAGACTGGATACAGCACCGACTTTCCTGAGTCTCCAGCTTGCCAAAGGGAGATATTAGACTTCTTAGCTTCCATAATTGCATGGGCAAATTCCTGACAATAAATATTTTATCTATCTATATATTGGTTCTGTTTCTGGAGAACCATGACTACTATACTAATATAACCACTAACTAGCAAAATGATTTTTGGAAAATTACCTAACCTCTTTTTTTTTTTTTAGATGTTGCCAAGGCTGGAGTATAGTGGTTATTTACAGGCACAAACATAGCACACTGTGCCCTCAAACTCTCGGCCTCAAGCATCCTCCACTTTAGCTTCCCTGAGTGGCTGAAACTACAGGCGCTGACCACCATGCCTCACCTAACTACTTAACCTCTTTAAGCCTTATTTTCTTCATCTGTAAATAGGAATAATACCACCTATCCACAGGATTTTCTGAAGATAAAATGAATTAATTAGACAAAGCAGTCAAAAGAGGGTCTATCACAATAAATGCTAGTACCATTTATAAAAATAAAGATTTATGTTATCATTAAGCTAGTTATGAATACAATTAGTATTATTTGGCACTGAAACATATCTGCTTTAAATTACTTTACCGTGGGATGTAAATGGTAGAGAGTCGATCAATACAAGCTCATCCGGGACTGCATGACTTGGAAGATATTTCTGCAGTTCTTTAAAGATGTATTCTTTTACTGAAGCATCTTTAGACACCATGAAGAGAATTAATTTTTCCTGATTATACCATGTAACTGCACAAGACTCCACTTGCTGAAGCTCTTCAGCAACCTATAAGAGAGATTATCCTAATTTGCCAATGAGGATATTTACAAACAAGCTTCCTAAAAGCTTATTTTTTTAATGTCTGAAATCAAAACAGCTGAATTAAATTTTGGAATATACTGGAGATTTTTAAAAAATTGCTTTGCTACTGTTACTATTACTTGCACATAGGGTTCATAATATTTTTCAAAATAATAGATCCTAAAGCAAAATAAGCCAGTTAAATTTCACAAATATCAAAATCTAATTTGTCACTTATTTAAAGAATAACCATCTCTTCATGCTGGGGATAAGGGGCACCCTGAATTATTCATACCCTTTATTGTAATTCATCACTAACACAAAAATGTCAGGTGTAAATAATAGAGACCCCAGCACAGAAAATTGGTGGTGGCTGCTTCTACTACTTACATATATTAATAGATATTCAATATTTAAATAGTTCTACCTGTTGCACAAGTTCAATGTTAAGACGTTTGCCATGACGTTTGATCTGACTGTCTTTTCGTCCCAAAAAAAAAATCTCTCCATCTTTCACAGTCACAAAGTCTCCTGTAGCTCGCATTGTGCCAAGTGGTACTGTCACTTCATCATCAAGAAAACACACTCTGTTTCTGCCACCTTCCCAAGATATAAACACCAATGTCATAAAAATCCAAGGGAAATATATTAAAAACCATAAAATCAACATCTCCAAAAGTTCAGTGACTAAACTTCAAAATTTAAATATTAAAAGATGGGCTCATTTTAAAATGTTATCTGATAAAATCAGACACAATAAGTTCAGTAAATAAGCAGAGATAAAATGAAATTTATTTCTTAAAATTTATGGAATTAAAAAAATTCTTAGACTACTGATTAAATATAATTTTGGCTATAAATATAAATATGAAGGTCCAAGTTACAGTCTCTAAATTACTTTTATTAATGTGTTAGACATTATTATCTGAAATAATTATTGTAACATTTGGTATTTCATGACTATATGAATGAGAATAAAAATTATCACTGAAAAGCATGAGATAGACAAAAGAAAAAGACGAAAGGAATAAAATTAACACATCAGATCATTTTTCTTGAAAAAAAAATTCCCAATCAACAAATATAAAACAACCTAAAAATACTTGGCCACTGCCTTCCTGAATTGTGAAGCCATTAGTATCTCTGACTTCAACTACTGTTCCAAGAAGTGGAAATCCCAGTTGTACAGGCAATTCACATCTATGAAAATAAGATACAGAGCAGATTTAAAATTTTTCATTTGAATAGAATATTTTCCAATATATTTAAATCATACTGTACCAAATAAAGAAAAAAAAGTTTGTTACGCTCTAATTCAAAGACTGACAAGAGGAAAAGGTTAGGTGGAAAGGTAACCATATATGTTATTCATTACTATTTAGTACAAAAAGTTGCAGCAGTATCTTGGCACCAGCTATAGTAAGGAAGGTTCTGGATTCCCAACTTAAAATATCAGATACAATCGTGTTTCTAAAATTATTACCCCAGCACCTATCAAAAACACTGTCAGTGTTAAGATCCTAGAAATATACAGTCTCTCTTCTCTATATAGTACAATGAAAACCCTTACTTGAGAGTAGAGTTAAGAGTCTTCTCTGGAATCCTATAAATGGTCGCCCAACTTGATACCTCTGTGATACCATAAACATTAAATATTTGTGTTTTATTGCCTTCTCCTCTCCAGCTTCTGAGAACTGTCAATGATGGAAACGCTTCACCACCAAGGGCTAATACTCGAAGAGAAGTAGTGGCTGACAAAACAGTTGACTTGATAAGCTGAGATCCAAATCTTCTAAGCAATGTTGGTGTTGCCTGTAGATACATTAAAAATAATTTATTTATTTTCCTTCACTTCTTTAAAAAGGTAAGCACTGTAGTTATTATTTCAAAGTTAACATTTGGAGCCCACATGGAAATGAAGGCTGTGTTTATCAAATGGGAAATCCCATTTGGAAAACTACTGGTGCAACATTATCTTCTTGTTTTTTTTTTTTTTTTTTTTTTGGTTTTGTTTGTTTGTTTTTTGAGACAGGGTCTCACTCTGTTGATCAGGCTGCAGTGCAATAGCATGACCATGGCTCACTGCAGCCTCAACCTCCCAGGCCCAAGTCATCATCCCACCTCAGCCTCCTGAACAGCTTGGGACTACAGGCACGTACCACCACACCTAGCTAATTTTTAAAATTTTTTGTACAAATGGGGCCTGTGTTGCCTAGGCTGGTCTTGGACTCCTGGGCTCAAGCAATCCTCCCACTTTGGCCTCCCAAAGCTCTAGGATTACAGGCATGAGCCACCATGCCTGGCCCAACATTATCTTCCTAATGTGGGTATCACTTATGCTTTAGAAAAAAACTCAAGCAAAAATATTACTTATATTTCATCATACTGATTACACAAAAAGGTTTAGGATAAAAAGGACAAAATCTATAAAATCAATTTACCTTTCCTTTCTTACTCTGTATAAAAAGTATACAAAAGGGTTTAAAAATGTGCCTAAGTAGCTCTCTCCTCCCGCCGTCCAAGATGCCAAAAGGAAAGGCCAAGGGAAAGAAGGTGGCTCTGGCCCCTGCTGTTGTGAAGAAGCAGGAGGACAAGAAAGTGGTGAATCCCCTGTTTGAGAAAAGGCCTAAGAATTTTGGCACTGAGCAAGACATCCAGCCCAAAAGAGACCTCACCAGCTTTGTGAAATAGCCCTGCTCTATCAGGTTGCAGCGGCAGAGAGCCATCCCTCAATAAGCGGCTGAAAGTGCCTCCTGCGATTAACCAGTTCACCCAGGCCCTGGACCGCCAAACAGCTACTCAGCTGCTTAAGCTGGCCCACAAGTACAGACCAGAGACAAAGCAAGAGAAGAAGCAGAGGCTGTTGACCTGGGCTGAGAAGAAAGCTGCTGGCAAAGGGGATGTCCCCAGTAAGAGACCACCTGTCCTTCGAGCAGGAGTTAACACCATCAACACCTTGGTGGAGAACAAAGAAAGCTCAGCTGGTGGTGACTGCACACGTGGCTCCCATCGAGTTGGTTGTCTTCTTGCCTGCCCTGTGTCATAAAATGGGGGTCCCTTATTGCATTATCAAGGGGAAGGGAAGACTGGGATGTCTAGTCCACAGGAAGACCTGTACCACTGTCGCCTTCACACAGGTTAACTTGGAAGACAAAGGCGTTTTGGCTAAGCTAGTGGAAGCTATTAGGACCAATTACAATGACAGATACGATGAGATCCACCGTCACTGGGGCGGCAATGTCCTGGCTCCCAAGTCTGTGGCTCGCATCGCCAAGCTCGAAAAGGCAAACGCTAAAGAACCTGCCACTAAACTGGGTTAAATGTACACTGCTGAGTTTTCTGTAAATAAAAATAATTAAAATAATAGAAATTTTCCTTTAAAAATGTGCCTAAGTAAAACAATAATGAATAAAGATTTATAACAAAAGCTTTATTGAGATATAACTGACATATAATAAACTATTTTAAGTATACAATTTAATATGTTTTATGTATATACTAGTAAAACCATCACCACAATCAAAATAATGAACATAACTGTCTTAGTTGATTTGGCTTACTATAACCAAAATACTGTAGACTAGGTAAGAAATGTAGTGCTGACGGTTCTGGAGATGGGGAAGTCCAAGATCAAGGTATGGGCAGACTTAGTGTCTGGTGAGTACTCTACTTCATAGATGGTACCTTCTTGCTGTGTTCTCGCATGGTAGAAGGAACCAAAAAGCAACCTCAGGCTTCTTTTATAAGAGCACTAATCTCATTCATGAGGTTCCCACCCTCATGACATAGTGATCTCCTGAAGGCCCCACATCTTAATACCAACAGATTGGGGATTAGATTTCAACATATGAATTCTGGAGAGACACAAACATTCAGATGACAGCAATATTTATCACTCCCAAAACTACCTGTGTACCACTGTTAGTCTCCTCTCCAACTGGACCCCTTATCCAGACAACCACTGATCTATTTTCTGTCGCTACAGATCAGAATAATCTTGTATAATTCCATTAATATAAATTATATATATAATTATATATAATTATGAATAGAAATTATATATTCCATTTATATAAATGGAATCATAAAATAAGTAGCCTGTTTTGGCCTGCCTTCTTTCACTCAACATAATAGATACAATTCATCTATGCTGCTAAGTGTATCAACAGTTTCATTCCTTTTTATTGCTAAGTGGTATTCTATAGTATGGATCAGGACTGGGTTTCACTGTTCCATATAACATTTAGGATCAACTTATTCATTTCTAACAAAAAAGCCTACTGGATTTTGCTGGGAAGTGTGTTTAATTTACAGATCAATTTGGGGAGAAATGCAATCTCAACAATATTAAAACTTCTAATCTATAAAGACAAAATGTTATTTAGGTCTCTAATTTCTATCAACAATGCTTTATAGTTTTCAGTGTACAAATCTTGCTCTTTAGCTTTATTCCTATTTTATTGTTTTTTGATGCTAGTGTAAATATTATCTTAATTTCATTTTTAGATTTTTCTTTAATACATATACATATATATGTACAAATATATATATAGAAATACAATTGATTTTTGTATATTGATCTTCTATCCTCCAACCTGACTAAACTTTATTATTTCTAGTAGTCCTCCTCACCAGCCCCACCCCTCTACAATATTTTCTATATACAGGATCACATCAACTGCATATAAAGAGTTGTACTTCCTCCTGTCCAATGTAAGTATCTTTAGTTTTTTTCCTTCTTACCTTATTGTACTGGCAAGAACCACCAGAATGTTGAAGTGGCAAAGGCAAACTTGCTTGCCTTGTTCCCAATCTTAGGGTCAAAGCATTCAGTCTTTTATCAAGTATGGCGTCATATTACCTGTAGTTCTATTGTAGGTGCCCTTCTTCATATTGGGAAAGTTCCCTTCTATTCCTAGCTTGTTAGGAGCTTTTTAAAAAATCATAAATGGGTGTTAGATTTTGCCAAATCCTTTCTCTGCATCCATTAAGATAGGTATGTGCTTTTTGTTCATTATTCTTTACGTAGTATACATCATCAATAGATTTTTGGATGTTAAACCAAACATGCATTCCTGGGATAAATCCCACATGGTCACCTTTAAATTTACTGAGACTTGTTTTGTGGCTTAGCATATGACTTATCCTATGAAATGTGCCAATGTGCTTAAAAAGAATTCTGCAATCATTGGATGGAGTGTTCCATATATGGCATTTGGTTGATAATGTTGTTCAAGTCTTCGATACTAGCTGATTTCTGTCTAGTTTTTCAATCAATTATTGAAAGTGGGGTATTACAATCTCCAACCATTGAGTTGTCTACTTATGTTTTCAATTTTGTCCATTTTTGTTTCATGTATTTGGAAGCAAGTTTTAGGTGGATATACATGTATAACTGTTACATCTTATTGATATAACAAAGTACTTATTGATATACTGACAATCTTATCCTTATAAAATTGTTATTGTTGCTTGCTTTTTTTTGTTGTTGTTGTTTTTGGTTTTTTTTTTTGCTAGTGCATTTCTTTGCTAGTAACCTGCCTGGACTAAATCCATGAAGTCTGTCTCCCCTCATATATGTGGCCACTGATGTTGCTGCTTAGTTGTTTATTAAAAAATATATGTTCTTCTTTTTATTTTTTGTGAGACAGAGTTTCGCTCTTGTTGCCCAGGCTGAAGTGCAGTGGCGCAATCTCGGCTCACCACAACATCCGCCTCCTGCCTCCTGCCTCCCGCCTCCCGAGTTCAAGTGATTCTCCTGCCTCAGCCTCCTGAGTAGCTGGGATTACAGGCACCTGCCACCATGTGTGGCTAATTTTTTTGCATTTTTTTAGTAGAGACGAGGTGTGGCCAGGCTTGTCTCGAACTCCTAACCTCAGATGATACTCCCACCTCGGCCCCCCAGAGTGCTGGGAGTATAGGCGTGAGTCACCTCACCGTGCCCGGCCTTATGTTCTTTTTTTTTGAGACAGAGTCTCACTCTGTCTCCCAGCCTGGAGTGCAGTGGCACAATCTTGGCTCACTGCAATCGCCACCCCCCAGGTTCAAGCGATTCTCCTGCCTCAGCCTCCTCAGTAGCTGGGATTACAGGCATGCACCACCGTGCCCAGCTAATTTTTGTATTTTTAGTAGAGACAGGGTTTCACCATCTTGGCCAGGCTAGTCTTGAACTCCTGACCTCATGATCCACCCGCCTCGGCCTCCCAAAGTGCTAGGATTACAGGTGTGAGCCACCGTGCCCGGCCGATGTTCTCCTTTTTAAGTCTGAGTTCTTATGAGTCATCCCATGTGTAGAAAGCAAGTGATCAATCAATGATCACTAGACAGACTGTCCAAGTGTGGACTGTCCAAATGTGGAAAGTCTGTCAAGTGAATGGTTGGACAGACAACTTGAAGTTTAATTCAGAAAAATGATTTAAGGTCACAGCTTATAAAATATTTATAAAGTAGAATGACTCTACATCCCAGTAGGTACTTACTGTCCCAAATCTGTATGTGGATAGGGGAGCTCATTCAAAGTTCAGGTCATTTTCAAGCCTGATCCATCTTTTATTTTCTATGGGCCCTTTTCTGTCTCTTATGTGCATGAACACAGCCTCAGGTTCAGTCAGGAGTTGCATCAGTCCTTTGGTCTCTGATTCACATGAGTGCAACCTCAGCCAGGAATATGCTTATCCCACCACCACTGCAATCTCAGGCTAGAAGAGCTGTTGACCTCTCAGGCTAGGGAGCTGTAGGGCTCCCTACTGGCCTACTTCAAGATCATCATTTCCACAGATGCTGCAGCTGGTCATGGGCATTACTGACTATTACAAATTAAGTGAGCCCCTTCAAACAGACAGAATCTGTGTGTTGACTGAATTGGGGTGGGGATGATAGGAGCAGACCCATACCAGAATGCCACGAAGTTCCACTATTTTTACACAAAATTCAGCAGTTTTAAAAAACATAAACATTTCTAAGATTGCTATATGTCTTTGGTTGATTTCCAAATGTTGAAATGATTGTTTTTTTTTCCATTTTGTCCAGCTTTATAGTTGCTTTTTTGGGGAAGATAATCTGTTAATCTCTTCACTTGGCCAGAGCCAAAAGTCACATGGGAATAAAGATTTTTAAATTGTTTCTCTCAATAAAATCCATACGGAGTTGTAACAGACAACCTGAATTTTAATTCAGAAAAATGATTTAAGATCATGGCTTGTCAAAACATTTACATAGTAGAATGACTCTACACCCTCATAGGTACTTATGTCCCAGTTAAGATTCTGGTTTTTAGTAATAAATTATGATGGCAACACTATAAGGCATCCTAAACCATGCTCTTACCTGTTATGCCAAGAAGTTTATCATAATGAAAATCTCTTGTCAAAATAGGGGCTAAAATGGTCCTGGCTCTTCATTTTCACTAAGCCGAATTTCAATGTTGTGGCCTAACTTCTGGTGTTAAGTATAATATCAACTTTGAACTCAATAAATAAACACACATCTATGAATACTCAGCAAAATAAAAAAAATGGAGGCCGAGTGTGGTGACTCACGCCTGTAATCCCAACACTTTGGAAAGCCAAGGCGGGCAGATCACTTAAGGTCAGGAGTTCGAGACCAGCCTAGCCAGGGTGAAACTCTGTCTCTACTAAAAATACAAAAATTAGCAGGGTGTGGTGGCACACACCTGTATTCCCAGCTACTTGGGAGGCTGAGGCATGAGAATCACTTGAACCCAGGAGGTGGAGGTTGCGGTGAGCTGAGATCACACCACTGCACTCCAGCCTGCGTGACAGAGTAAGATTCCATCTCAAAAAAATAAAAAATGAAAAATAAAAAAATTGAAATACTTTTCAGATACTCATAAACTGAAATGCTAAATTGAGGGGCAGAATACAAGTCAGCATCCTTTGCTAGTAAATCATTCTAGACATACAAAAATGAGACTTAGTAGATAATAGAAAAAATAGGGAATGTTAAAATTTCTTCCGAGTTTTTTAAGGAAAAACTCAGGAAAAATGGAAAACATTATTATGCTGACACATTCCTAGGTATCAACCTAATATTTTACTCTAAAATGTTTTACTTTTAGACCATGCATGGTGGCTCATGCCTGTAATCCTAGCACTTCAGGAGGCTGAGGTGGGATGAATTGCTTGAGCCCAGGAGTTCAAGACCAGCCTGGGCAACACAGGGAGACCCTGTCTCTACAAAAGATTTTAAAAATTAGCCAGGCATGATGGCATGCACCTGTGGTCCCAGCTACTCAGGAGGCTGAGGTGGGAGGATCACTTGAGCCCCAGAAGTCAAGGCTGCAGTGAGCTGTGAGGGCGCCACTGTGCTCCAGCCTGGGTAACAAAGCAAGACCCTGTCTCAAAACAAAAAAGTTTTAAAGGGCATCAAGTTTAAATAATATAACTTTGTTACCAAGAGTATGTAAATAAAAAATGTCCAAATATATTTTAGGTTTGTGATAAACCAAAAATCAATCCTTTATTTCCCAAGAAACTCCTTATTCCTGAAACAAATAAAAGAGGTCTTTAATTTCCTCCAAAGCTTAGTCCATTTCACTTTGGAGGCCTTTTTCCCCCCACAGTAACTCAAGATATTCTATTCTTTTCAATTTCCAAAGCTTTAGTAGTATGTGTTTTGACAGCTTTTTTTTTCTTTGTTTGTTTGTTTGTTTTAGACTAAGTCTCACTCTGTTGTCCAGGCTGGAGTACAGTGGTGTAATCTTGGCTCACTGCAACCTCCACCTCCTGGATTCAAGAGATTCCCCTGCCTCAGCCTCCTGAGTAGCTGGGATTACAGGTGTGCACCACCATGCCTGGCTAATTTTTGTATTTTTAGTAGAGACGGGGTTTTGCCATGTTAGCCAGGCTGGTCTTGAACTCCTGACCTCAGGTGATCCACCCACTTTGGCCTCTCAAAGTGCTGGGATTACAGGCGTGAGCCACCGTGCCTGGCCTTGACAGCATTTAAGAGCCCTGCTTCATGTCCAATTAGGTCTGGGTAAGGTTTTTATTTGTAAATAAAATCTATATAAGGAGCGCTTTAGTAAATAAAAAAGTGTATATTATATCAAAGCAAAAATCCTTGATGACTTATATATCATTTGAAAGAAACTGGACTTAGGAGAGAAAAGATGAACCCTGGGGGTGGAGCCAAGATGGCCGAATAGGAGCAGCTCCAGTCTACAGCTCCCAGCGTGAGCGACGCAGAAGACGGGTGATTTCTGCATTTCCAACTGAGGTACCAGGTTCATCTCACTGGGGAGTGCCGGACAGTGGGTGCAGTGCACCGTGTGTAAGCCAAAGCAGGGCAAGGCATCGCCTCACCTGGGAAGCGCCAAGGGGTCAGGGAATTCCCTTTCCTAGTCAAAGAAAGGGGTGACAGACGGCACCTGGAAAATCGGGTCACTCCCACACTAATACTGCGCTTTTCCAATGGGCTTAACAAACGGCACACCAGGAGATTATATCCTACACCTGGCTCGGAGGGTCCTATGCCCACGGAGCCTGGCTCATTGCTAGCACAGCAGTCTGAGATCAAACCGCAAGGCGGCAGCGAGGCTGGGGGAGGGGCGCCCACCATCGCCGAGGCTTGAGTAGGTAAACAAAGCAGCCAGGAAGCTCAAACTGGGTGGAGCCCAGCACAGCTCAAGGAGGCCTGCCTGCCTCTGTAGGCTCCACCTCTGGGGGCAGGGCACAGACAAACAAAAGGCAACAGCAACCTCTGCAAACTTAAATGTCCCTGTCTGACAGCTTTGAAGAGAGTAGTGGTTCTCCCAGCATGCAGCTTCAGATATGAGAACGGGCAGACTGCCTCCTCAAGTGGGTCCCTGAACCCCGGGTAGCCTAACTGGGAGGCACCCCCAGTAGGGGCGGACTGACACTTCACACGGCTGGGTACTCCTCTGAGACAAAACTTCCAGAAGAACGATCAGGCAGCAGCATTTGCAGTTCACCAATATCCGCTGTTCTGCAGCCACCGCTGCTGATACCCAGGCAAACAGGGTCTGGAGTGGACCTCCAGCAAACTCTAACAGACCTGCAGCTGGGGGTCCTGACTGTTGGAAGGAAAACTAACAAACAGAAAGGACATCCACACCAGAAACCCATCTGTACGTCACCATCATCAAAGACCAAAGGTAGATAAAACCACAAAGATGGGAAAAAAACAGAGCAGAAAAACGGGAAACTCTAAAAATCAGAGCTCCTCTCCTCCTCCAAAGGAACGCAGCTCCTCACCAGCAATGGAACAAAGCTGGACAGAGAATGACTTTGACAAGTTGAGAGAAGAAGGCTCCAGAAGATCAAACTACTCTGAGCTAAAGGAGGAAGTTCGAACCAATGGCAAAGAAGTTAAAAACCTTGAAAAAAAATTAGACAAATGGCTAACTAGAATAACCAATGCAGAGAAGTCCTTAAAGGATCTGAGCTGAAAACCATGGCACGAGAACTACATGATGAATGCACAAGCCTCAGTAGCCAATGGGATCAACTGGAAGAAAGGGTATCAGTGATGGAAGACGAAATGAATGAAATGAAGTGAGAAGGGAAGTTTAGAGAGAAAAGAATAAAAAGAAATGAACAAAGCCTCCAAGAAATATGCGACTATGTGACAAGACCAAATCTACGTCTGATTGGTGTACCTGAAAGTGACAGGGAGAATGGAACCAAGTTGGAAAACACTCTGCAGGATATTATCAAGGAGAACTTCCCCAATCTAGTAAGGCAGGCCAACATTCACATTCAGGAAATACAGAGAACACCACAAAGATACTCTTCAAGAAGAGCAACTCCAAGACACAAAATTGTCAGATTCACCGAAGTTGAAATTAAGGAAAAAATGTTAAGGGCAGCCAGAGAGAAAGGTCGGGTTACCCACAAAGGGAAGCCCATCAGACTAACAGCTGATCACTCGGCAGAAACTCTACAAGCCAGAAGAGAGTGGGAGCCAATATTCAACATTCTTAAAGAAAAGAATTTTCAACCCAGAATTTCATATCCAGCCAAACTAAGCTTCATAAGTGAAGGAGAAATAAAATACTTTACAGATAAGCAAATGCTGAGAGATTTTGTCACCACCAGGCCTGCCCTAAAAGAGCTCTTGAAGGAATCACTAAACATGGAAAGGAACAACCAGTACCAGCCACTGCAAAATCATGCCAAATTGTAAAGACCATCAAGCCTAGGAAGAAACTGCATCAACTAATGAGCAAAATAACCAGCTAACATCATAATGACAGGATCAAATTCACACATAACAATATTAACCTGAAATGTAAATGGGCTAAATGCTCCAGTTAAAAGACACAGACTGGCAAATTGGATAAAGAGTCAAGACCCATCAGTGTGCTGTATTCAGGAAACTCATCTCACGTGCAGAGACACACATAGGCTCAAAATAAAAGGATGGAGGAAGATCTACCAAGCAAATGGAAAACAAAAAAAGGCAGGGGTTGCAATCCTAGTCTCGGATAAAATAGACTTTAAACCAACAAAGATCAAAAGAGACAAAGAAGGCCATTACATAATGCTAAAGGGATCAATTCAACAAGAAGAGCTAACTATCCTAAATATATATGCACCCAATACAGGAGCACCCAGATTCATAAAGCAAGTCCTTAGAGACCTACAAAGAGACTTAGACTCCCACACAATAATAATGGGAGACTTTCACACCCCACTGCCAACATTAGACAGATCACCGAGACAGAAAGTTAACAAGGATATCCAGGAATTGAACTCAGCTCTGCACCAAGCGGACCTAACAGACATCTACAGAACTCTCTACCCCAAATCAACAGAATATACATTCTTCTCAGCACCACACCACACCTATTCCAAAACTGACCAAATAGTTGGAAGTAAAGCACTCCTCAGCAAATGTAAAAGAACAGAAATTATAACAAACTGTCTCTCAGACCACAGTGCAATCAAACTAGAACTCAGGATTAAGAAACTCACTCAAAACCGCTCAACTACATGGAAACTGAACAACCTGCTCCTGAATGACTACTGGGTACATAATGAAATGAAGGCAGAAATCAAGATGTTCTTTGAAACCAACGAGAACAAAGACACAACATACCAGAATCTCTGGGACGCATTCAAAGCAGTGTGTAGAGGGAAATTTATAGCACTAAATGCCCACAAGAGAAAGCAGGAAAGATCTAAAATTGACAACCTAACATCTTAATTAAAAGAACTAGAGAAGCAAGAGCAAACACATTCAAAAGCTAGCAGAAGGCAAGAAATAACTAAGATCAGAGCAGAACTGAAGGAAATAGAGACACAAAAATCCCTTCAAAAAATCAATGAATCCAGGAGCTGGTTTTTTGAAAAGATCAACAAAATTGATAGACTGCTAGCAAGACTAATAAAGAAGAAAAGAGAGAAGAATCAAATAGATGCAATAAAAAATGACAAAGGGGATATCACCACCGATCCCACAGAAATACAAACTACCATCACAGAATACTATAAACACCTCTATGCAAATAAACTAGAAAATCTGGAAGAAATGGATAAGTTCCTCAACACATACACCCTCCCAAGACTAAACCAGGAAGAAGTTGAATCTCTGTATAGACCAATAACAGGCTCTGAAATTGAGGCAATAATTAATAGCCTACGAACCAAAAAAAGTCCAGGACCAGGTTGATTCACAGCCGAATTCTACCAGAGGTACAAGGAGGAGCTGGTACCATTCCTTCTCAAACTATTCCAATCAACAGAAAAAGAGGGAATCCTCCCTAATTCATTTTATGAGGCCAGCATCATCCTGATAGCAAAGCCTGGCAGAGACACAACCAAAAAAGAGAATTTTAGACCAATATCCTTGATGAACATTGATGCAAAAATCCTCAATAAAATACTGGCAAACCGAATCCAGCAGCACATCAAAAAGCTTATCCACCATGATCAAGTGGGCTTCATCCCTAGGATGCAAGCCTGGTTCAATATATGCAAATCAATAAACATAATCCAGCATATAAACAGAACCAAAGACAAAAACCACATGATTATCTCAATAGATGCAGAAAAGGCCTTTGACAAAATTCAACAACCCTTCATGCTAAAAACTCTCAATAAATTAGGTATTGATGGGACGTATCTCAAAATAATAAGAGCTATCTATGACAAACCCACAGCCAATATCATACTGAATGGACAAAAACTGGAAGCATTCCCTTTGAAAACTGGCACAAGACAGGGATGCCCTCTCTCACCACTCCTATTCAACATAGTGTTGGAAGTTCTGGCCAGGGCAATTAGGCAGGAGAAGGAAATAAAGGGTATTCAATTAGGAAAAGAGGAAGTCAAATTGTCCCTGTTTGCAGATGACATGATTGTATATCCAGAAAACCCCATCGTCTCAGCCCAAAATCTCCTTAAGCTGATAAGCAACTTCAGCAAAGTCTCAGGATACAAAATCAATGTACAAAAATCACAAGCATTCTTATACACCAATAACAGACAAACAGCCAAATCATGAGTGAACTCCCATTCACAATTGCTTCAAAGAGAATAAAATACCTAAGAATCCAACTTACAAGGGACGTGAAGGAACTCTTCAAGGAGAACTACAAACCACTGCTCAATGAAATAAAAGAGGATACAAACAAATGGAAGAACATTCCATGCTCATGGGTAGGAAGAATCAATATCGTGACAATGGCCATACTGCCCAAGGTAATTTATAGATTCAATGCCATCCCCATCAAGCTACCAATGACTTTCTTCACAGAATTGGAAAAAACTACTTTAAAGTTCATATGGAACCAAAAAAGAGCCTGCATTGCCAAGTCAATCCTAAGCCAAAAGAACAAAGCTGGAGGCATCATGCTACCTGACTTCAAACTATATGACAAGGCTACAGTAACCAAAACAGCATGGTACTGGTACCAAAACAGAGATATAGATCAATGGAACAGAACAGAGCCCTCAGAAATAATGCCACATATCTACAACTATCTGATCTTTGACAAACCTGAGAAAAACAAGCAATGGGGAAAGGATTCCCTATTTAATAAATGGTGCTGGGAAGACTGGCTAGCCATATGTAGAAAGCTGAAACTGGATCCCTTCCTTACACCTTATACAAAAATTAATTCAAGATGGATTAAAGACTTACATGTTAGACCTAAAACCATAAAAACCCTAGAAGAAAACCTAGGCAATACCATTCAGCACATAGGCATGGGCAAGGACTTCATGTCTAAAACACCAAAAGCAATGACAACAAAAGCCAAAATTGACAAATGGGATCTCATTAAACTAAAGAGCTTCTGCACAGCAAAAGAAACTACCATCAGAGTGAACAGGCAACCTACAGAATGGGAGAAGATTTCTGCAACCTACTCATCTGACAAAGGGCTAATATCCAGAATCTACAATGAACTCAAACAAATTTACAAGAAAAAAACAAAAAACCCCATCAACAAGTGGGCGAAGGATATGAACAGACACTTCTCAAAAGAAGACATTTATGCAGCCAAAAAACACATGAAAAAATGCTCATCATCACTGGCCATCAGAGAAATGCAAATCAAAACCACAATGAGATACCATCTCTCACTAGTTAGAATGGCGATCATTAAAAAGTCAGGAAACAACAGGTGCTGGAGAGGATGTGGAGAAATAGGAACACTTTTACACTGTTGGTGGGACTGTAAACTAGTTTAACCATTGTGGAAGTCAGTGTGGCGATTCCTCAGGGATCTAGAACTAGAAATTCCATTTGACCCAGCCATCCCATTACTGGGTATATACCCAAAGGATTATAAATCATGCTGCTATAAAGACACATGCGCACATATGTTTATTGCGGCACTATTCACAATAGCAAAGACTTGGAAGCAACCCAAATGTCCAACAATGATAGACTGGATTAAGAAAATGTGGCACATATACACCATGGAATACTATGCAGCCATAAAAAATGATGAGTTCATGTCCTTTGTAGGGACATGGATGAAGCTGGAAACCATCATTCTCAGCAAACTATTGCAAGGACAAAAAACCAAACACCGCATGTTCTCACTCATGGGTGGGAATTGAACAGTGAGAACACATGGACACAGGAAGGGGAACACCACACACTGGGGACTTTTGTGGGGTGGGGGGAGGGGGGAGGGATAGCATTAGGAGAGATACCTAATGCTAAATGATGAGTTGATGGGTGCAGCACACCAACATGGATGGCACATGTATACATATGTAACAAACCTGCACGTTGTACACATGTACCCTAAAACTTAAATTAAAAAAAAAAACAAATGTAAATATAAACTCCCTCCCAAAAAAAAAAGAAAAAGAAAAGATGAACCCTGACAACACAGCTAAAATTCAGAATAAGAAAAGGCACGTGCCTCACACAAAGGAAAGGACAGCCTGTCAGCTTCTATACCTCTCCTCCTTACTCAAACCAAGTCAAATGTGATCTGCTGATGACATTCCCAATAACTATTGTGAGATAAATAAAATCACCATGAAACTATATGCAATATTTGTCATGTTCTTGGAAAAGAGTAAGTTTCTATCAGTTTCTCAGAAAAATTTGATCCCAAAAAGGTTAAAAACAACTGCTAAAGTAAATTTATCTGAGATTGTGCTAAAACATCAAACAAGGGGATGAGATTTAAAGAGGTAGAATTCATTGACCTGACATAGAAGGAAAGTCTCCTTCCCTTTTAGTAACTATGAATCAAATCTATCAAGGAACTTTGCAAACATTCCGTGAGAAATATGCTCTTTGAATTTTACAGGTAAATAAAACAGTTATAGTAAAATCTTATCTAGATCCACAGAATTCATGGAATGACTCTCTAACAGATGAGAATTTATATCCCCTCACACCCAACAAGCCACACTGCTACACTCGGTTCATATATATACATGAATTAGGATGAAAAACACATTGCCTTAAAGAAGTTCAAAGTATCAAATTTTGTTTTTATAGCAGAAGTTTAATATCCTCTCAATTCTCGTTACCCTGGATAAAAATCTGATAATTTTAGTTTATCAAAATAGAAAGTGGAAGGTGGGCGTGGTGGCTCACACCTGAAATCCCAGGACTTTGGGAGTCCAAGGCGGGCAGATTGAGGAGTTTGAGACCAGGAGGCCAGGAGTTCAAGACCAGCCTGGCCATCATCACAAAATGCTGTCTCTATTAAAAATACAAAAATTAGCTGGGCGTGGTGGTACACGCCTGTAATCCCAGCTACTCAGGAGGCCAAGGCACAAGAATCTCTTGAGCCCGGGAGACAGACATTGCAGTGAGCCGAGGTCATACCACTGTACTCCAGGCTGGGCGAGAAGAGTGAGACTCTGTCTCAATTAAAAAAAAAAAAAAAAAAACAGACAATGGAAACTAATAATTAAGATGCACATATGCACACAGGTATACGAATATAACACACTATGGTCTGAATGTTTGTGTCTCCCCCTCAAATTTGTATGTTGAAATCCTAACTCTCAGGCCAGGTACAGTGGTTCACGCCTGTAATCCCAGAACTTTGGAGGCTGAGGCAGAAGGATCCCTTGAGGCCAGGAGTGAGACTGGCCTAGCCAACATGGTGAAACCCTGTCTCTACCAAAAATACAAAAATTAGCCTGGTGTGGTGGCGGGTGCCTGTAATCCCAGCTACTCAGGAGACTGAGGCACAAGAATCGCCGGAACCCAGGAGGCAGAGTGAGCCAAGATCACGCCACTTCACTGCAGCCTGGGCAACACAGCAAGACTCTGTCAAAAGAAAGAGAGAGAGAGAGAGGGACAGAGAGAGAGAGAGAAAGAAAGAAAGAAAAGAAAAGAAAAAACAAAAGAAAAGAAAAGAAATTCTAACTCTCAAGGCAATGGTATTAGGAGGTAGGGCCTTTGTGAAGTGATTAGGTCATGCAGGCAGAGACCTCATGAATGAGATTAGTGCCCTTATAAAACCCTTTCCATCAAGTGAGGACCCAATGAAAAGACCGCAGTCTAATGAATCAGCGAGTGGGCCCCTCGTGAGAGATCAAATCTCCTGATGACTTAATCTTGGACTTCCCACCTCCAGAACTATAAGAAATAAATGTCTGTTGTTTATAAGCTACCCAGTTTATGGTATTTTGTTACAGCAGCCTGAATGGACTCACACACACAATCAGGAACTATGCTACACTGTCTCATTTAATTCTATTTGAGATGGGTATTATTTCCATTTACAGATAAAACCTGAGGCTCACAGCAGTTAAACATTTAACTAAGATATCTACATATTATGATATGCATATAATATTGCTAATTCTCTAGTACTGTTAGCTACTTACAATGTAGTAACTCAAGGCTTGTGTACCAGTCATATACTTGTGTACCTGCATGACCTAATCACCAGTCAGATACACATTTAAATAACATTTTAAAAGGCCAAATTTCAAAAATACTTGTTTCTGTAGGTTAATGTAAAGTACACTGATGTAAAAATAAGAAAATCTATATTCCTAACTCGATTATAATTTAATTGACTTATACTAGTTTTTCATGAGAAACACAACATACATAGATTTTAAGACAGAAGAGGCAGCCTATCCTTCTCAAATCCAACAAATCTGAGTCAAAGTCAAGGTCCTCTAATTATTATAGTATGCACAAAATACATAATAAAAGAATTTTCTAGGCAGAATTCATTTATCTTTTTTCATTTTCAAATAAACAACAAAAAAAGTCACATCCTGAGGAGACGGCCCTTGATAATCTAACCAGATTATATTAATCCATTGTAAAGAACTACAGGAATACAAAATATTCTCTAAAACACTTAAAATATTGAAAAATGATAAACAAAACGTTCATTGCTACTAAAATGTACCTGCAAAACAGTCACTCTATGATGGGAAAAGAGAACGCTGGCTAATTTTGATGGGAGCAACTTGACGGAAGTTGGTACAATAAGCAGAGAGGCACCACTTGATAGAGCAAGAAATATTTCCACAACAGAAGGATCGAAGGTCAGAGGTGAAGCCAGAAACAAAACATCTTCTTGTGTGATGTCAAAAAGTACCCTAAGGCAAAACAGAATGCAGTTATGAGAAACGTCAAACATTCAGTAAGCACATATCCTAAAAGAGTGTTCATGTGTTTATGATGATCAAGTTTCTGAATGTTGGCCAGATTTTATTCTTCTCTCTTAAATTAGCCAAAATGGTGCTATCAAAATTCAGGAAATCTTCTTTATAAAAGAATTAACAGCTATTTAAAGCAATATCCACGTTTTACCAGACATATTTTATCATCTGTGATGACTTTTGATGTGTCAACTTGGTTTGATTGAACTACTGTCCCCGGAATTTCCTCTCTAGTATGTTTCCTGTTAGGGAAGGAGACAAGGGATATTCTCTTGAGAGCTGAAGAACAGAAGGGAGGCTGCTGCTTAGCAGCACACACGCCTTCTTCAAGCAGTTATTCAATCAAACCCTGTAGTCCCTAATCAGCTGATTTACTTAATCAAAAGGGAGATTATCCAGGGTTGGCTGGATTTACTTGGAAGGCCTTTAGAAGAAGTTTTAGGCCTTCTCTGATGAAGAGGCCCAAACAGCAGCTGGGTCTGCAATTAATCTCCCTTCTTCCCAATCTGATTTCACCTGGGACAGTCTCATGGCCACGGGATTCCAGCCTGCTTGTGATCACCCCTTCCTAACTGATCCCTATGGACTTTAGACTTGCTTAGCCAGGCCCCACAATTGTGTAAACCAATTTCTTATAATCAATCCCTGATCTAACTCCTGGTTCTGCTCCTCTGGCAGAATCCTTATTCTGTCATACTTATTCAATGATGTTTAATAGAGACTTCCGACTCCCCTTTCTATTTAGCATTTTCTTTCAGTATCTGAACAAAAAGCAGAATAAGAATATATGTGGTTAGGCTCTTATACAGCATGGATAGTCATTGTGGAGCCTATGACACTATTTTAATTTGAACACACAGACACCACTACATCTAAAAGCATCTTAATTTCAAAAAAGCTTCAAATATGGTATAAACATTTTAAAAATTATAACTATGTATATGGTGTCTCAGGTAAAATAAAAACTCATTGTGTGTTAAAGGTGTAGGGGCCGAAAGGCTGTGATACCTTTCCTCCCCATCATAAGGCTCACAGCCCACACTCTTATAAACAAAAGACAGTTTAACAACAGAAAAGCATGACAAATTTATTTAATCAAAGTTTTATGAAACATGGGAGGCTTCAGAATGAAGACCCAAAGACCCAAGGGAAAAGTGTCCATTTTAATGCTTAGATTCAATAGAGTGGACAGCTGTGTAGAAATGTGATTCAACAAAAAGGGAATGAGTAATAAACTGAGTGGGAAAATCCAGCAAGGCCTGTCCTTTTAAATTCCTGGCCTCTCTGTGTGGCATTTCTTCCTCCCACGTATAGGGCAGGACCCTTTCTGGAATGAGTCTTATGTTCTACTTTCAGACAAGGTAAGTAAGAGCAATTTCTTTACAGCCAGCTCTTACATATTAAGGTTAGAGTAATATTTCTATATTTCTAGTTTTTTTGTTTTTGTTTTTTGAGAAAAGTCTTGCTCTGTCACACAAGGTGGAGTGCAGTGGCATGATCTCGGCTCACTGCAACCTCTGCCTCCCAAGTTCGAGCGATTCTCCTGCCTCAGCTTCCCGAGTAGCTGGGATTACAGGCATGCACCACCAAACCTGGCTAATTTTTTTGAGTTTTTAGTAGAGACTGGGTTTCAACCATGTTGATCAGGCCGGTCTCGAACTCCTGACCTCAAATGATCCACCCACCTCAGCCTCCCAAAGTGCTGGGATTACAGGTGTGAGCCACCGCGCCTGGCCTCTAGGTTTTATGACTGTCTTTGAGGGAGAGGGGTTCAGTTACTATGGCCTGCCTTGGGGAGAAAGAGAAGCAAGAGAAAGAAGGGCAGGAAAAGGTCAGAAAGAGACTTTACTTCTGAAGTCCTTCCAATGTCCTTCAGTTCAAAGTACTCAGCATGCCAAAGTGCCATACGTTGGGGTATCATTTTCTGAGCCCAACAAAGGCTACCCTCAAACTTCAAGTTTTAGAGGAAGTATTCTTCACATATATTGTCTAGCTTCCTACTTAGGTATTCAGGGGAGAGCAAACTTTCTAACAGGCTTCCAACAAAGCTTAAATTCTGAGAATATTTTTAGTTTTCAATTCTATGAACAAAAATGGGCAAGGTTATGCATGCATACAGTTCATGTAGTTCCATGTAGTTCATTTCACGAAAGCAGCTTAAGATGCATTCAATATAAGAAAAGTTGAAAAAAAAGAAGAGACAGATTTTAAAGGAAGAAAAAAAGTGGAATGCAACAAACATTTAAACATATTACTTGTGAAGCTTAGGCTGGGTATCTAATATACTGTTCCTCATTTTCCCAACCACCATATGAGGCAGGTATGATTATGTGAGAACCTAACTCAGAAACCAAGTTGGTATGAAGATTATTTTAAGGTAAAGACATTTGAGGCTGGGCGCGGTGGCTCACGCTTGTAATCCCAGCACTTTGGGAGGCCAAGGTGGGCAGATACTTGAGGTCAGGAGTTTGAGACCAGCCTGGCCAAGATGGTGAAACCCTGTCTCTACTAAAACTACAAAAATTAGCCAGGCATAGTGGCGTGCACCTATAGTGGGAGGCTGAGGCAGAAGAATAGCTTGAACCTGGGAGGCAGAAGTTGCAGTGAGCAGAGACTGCACTGCTGCATTCCAGCCTGGGTGACAGAGTGAGACTCTGTCTCAGAAAAAAAAAAAAAAAAAAAAAGGACATTTGAGATTCAACAAATGCAGAAACCTTCTTGGAGCTTCCCTTATCTGACTGAAAGCAGAAACTTCAGGGAAATGAGGCTGCCATAAACTTCTTCTTCAGAGTGGTTTTACTCCCAGGAAGGCCATGAAGAAGACAGAAAGACCACTGCACCTGCATACCCAAGTGTTATCACAAACTTTCTTATCTCCTGTTTATTTTCCTGAAAACCCATTTCTCTTTCCAAAACAATTTATTTGTTCTTCCTATGAACAAATAAATTTACAAATACATTTAAATGAACTTAATAAAATGCAATTCCGTTTCTTTTGTAAACTGCTATATGCACAGGAATAAACTTTTTTTCTTAATCTGTCTTTTGTCAGTTTAATTCTCAGTCCCCTAGATACTGCGTCACAGATGGTAGAGGAAAAGCTCTCCACCCCCATTTTAAAATGGAGAAAACTGAAGTTCATGGAGGTTAAGTACCTTATGCAAAGTCAAACAAATCAACTAATTTTTAACTGTTTAAAAAATTGTTATCCTTATCCAAGCCTTTAAATTAATCCCCTGATTTGAAAGATCTATCTAAATTAGATTTCAAAATTTCAATAAAGGAAACCTAGTCCTTCCCTTTCTGGAGCTATCATTCTCTCTGGAGGTAGTGCTGCCTTTTACCAACATATGCAAGAAAACTCAGCTTTGTCTTTTTTTTTTTTAAGACAGAGTCTCGCTCTGTCACCCAAGCTGGAGTGCAGGGTCTTGCAGCTGCCCAAGTTCAATCACAGTTCACTGCAGCCTCAAACTCCTAGGCTCAGCAATCTTCCTGCTTTGGCCACTGGAGTAGCTAAGACTACAGACTTGTGCCACCATGCCCAGCTAGCACTATCTTATTAATAGGTTATTCTGGTAATATTTGGGGAGCCAGCAACAGAGATAAGATTGTTCTAATATGTGTCTGAAATTTAATACTCCCTAGCTTAGTGATCTAAGTCTAAAATAGAAAATTTAACATTACTGTTTTAATTTTTAAATTGACTACTTTAACATTTCATCTCTTTAGAATCTAATTATTTACCACCTCACTTAAGAACCTAAAAGCAAACCAAAAAAAGATTTCTAACAGGCAAATCAATTGAATGAAGTTGAAGCACAAAATAGGTATCAAGAAATTTGTATAATTTAGTCATAAATCAACCCTTCACCCCTCATTAAGCAAATGTTTGCTCCCATTTCACGGACCATTCTTACCACTGCTGGGCCAGTGCCTCTTAGTCGGCTGTCTCTCCACCTCCCCCAGATTCCTTATCTGCTTCATTTTCTTCAAGTTCCCTACATCCCCATCCCCACCTCACCTCCCACACTCTTAGGTATGACTTGGCCTTCTGCTTCATACAAAAGTTAAAACCTACTGGCTTCCTCTAACACCAAGAAATGTATTTACTTTACTATCCTAATCTTTTTGAGGCTATCAAAAAAAGAGGTATTCCACTCAGTATTTTAAATAATGCCATTCCCTCCCATCTAAATGTATCTTCCTCCCATCTAAATGTATCTTACTCCTTTGTTAATACTCCTACTACTAATTCATTATTTAAACCAACCCCTTCTACCAATTCCCCACCCTCAGCCTCTAAACCGCTCATCTTTTTTTTTTTTTTTTTTTTTTAAGATTGAGTCTCGCTCTGTCACCCAGGCTGGAATGCAGTGGTGCAATAACGGATCACTGCAGCCTTGACCTCCTGGGCTAAATCAATCCTTCCGCTTCAACCTCCCGAGTTGCTAGGATTATAGGCACAGACCACCAGGCCCAGCTAATTATTTTTAATGTTTCTTAAAGACAGAGTCCCACTATGTTACCCAGGCTGGTTTTGAACTCCTGGGCTCAAGCGATCCTCCTGCCTTAGCCTCCTAAAGTGTGGGATTACAGGCATGAGCCACTGCACCCAGCCAACCTCTCCCATCTTAAAGACAAAACACCTGTGTCCATCCCAGAATTCCTTCTTTTCCATTAAAACCAGTTTCTAGAAAATAACATTTGACTTTTGTTACCTCTATTTCGTTATCTCCTATTCTCTTATCTCCAGCCTAATGTAATCTATCTCCAATCTTGGGGATTAAGAAGTCACTAAAGACTATATTGTCGATTACAACAGACATCTTTCTCTACCAGCATTTAACCATTTCTTCTTTCCAGGCCTGCATGTGCCATCCAATACCATAGGTCCACTGAGCACTAAGAATATGGCTAGTCCACGTTGAGATGTGTAAGTATAAAATATATGCCAGATTTTGAAGATGATTAGCATAAAAAATGCAAAATATCTTACTAGTAATTTTTATATTGATTACATATTGAAGTAATGTTTTGGAGTATACTAAATTAAATAAAATATATTGTTAAAATTAACTTTGCCGGGCACGGTGGCTCACGCCTGTAATCCCAGCACTTTGGGAGGCCGAGGCGGGCGGATCACGAGGTCAGGAGATCGAGACCATCCCGGCTAAAACAGTGAAACCCCGTCTCTACTAAAAATACAAAAAATTAGCCGGGCGTAGTGGCGGGCGCCTGTAGTCCCAGCTACTTGGGAGGCTGAGGCAGGAGAATGGCGTGAACCCGGGAGGCGGAGCTTGCAGTGAGCCGAGATCCCGCCACTGCACTCCAGCCTGGGCGACAGAGCGAGACTCCGTCTCAAAAAAAAAAAAAAATAAATAAATAAAATAAAATAAAATTAACTTCACTTGATTCTTTTTTCTTCCCTTTTCATTCATTCCATTTTACTTTTGAATATTACTTAAGCATTTAAAATTACATAAAACTTAAAATGACATAAAATTACGTACATGTTTCATGAGGTTTCTATTTCTGTTTCCTCCTTTGATTTTCTAGGACTACACCCCTAAGGTTCACTTCTTCCTCTCTTTCTTGGCAAATTAAGAATGTCAACTTTGGAGATTTCTAATCTCTTGACCACATCAGCAAGTCAAACTCCACAATACTACTACAAGAGTGAACTTAACAAAATGAGAATCTTTTAATGGTTCCCCATCATCTACTGGATTAAGTTCAGCCTTCAACAGGGCATACCAGGCTCCTGATCTTTCACTGTTTCCTCAGCCCTGCTCTGACATTCTAGTAGGACAAACTCCTTCATTCTCATATAACTCTGCTAGTACCTCTGCTAGGAAAATCCTTTCTCCCTTTTTATTAATAATTAAGATGCAAAGCTTCTAATCATATCATTTGTTTGTTCCGTGTCTGGCCCTAGGCTTGGATGAAACAGGTGAAGGGCCTAGTCTGCAGAGAACTAAAGTTCAGATACAGCTGAAACAAAAAAGACTCAATTTACTTCTTAGGACTATTAATTTAGGAACAAGAGTTATAAAACCAAACGTTTTAAAATTATTTTTTTCCCTTTAAAATACAAGGTTTTTTGTTTTGTTTTGTTTTTGAGACAGTCTCACTCTGTCACTCAGGCTGGAGTGCAGTGGCATAGTCTCAGCTCACTGCAACCTCCACCTCCTGGGTTCAAGCAATTCTCCTGCCTCAGCCTCTCCAGTACCTGGTATTACAGGCACCCACCAACACGCCTGGCTGATTTTTGTATTTTTTCAGTAGAGACAGCTTTCACCATGTTGGCCAGGCTGATCTTGAACTCCTGACCTCAAGTGATCCACCCGCCTCAGCCTCCCAAAGTGCTGGGATTACAGGCATAAGCCACCACACCTGGCCTAAAATATAGATTCTGAGAAAGAGTCAAAGACTAGAACTTACCGAAAATGCTGGATATTTGGTACTATACACTTATGAGGCACTCTGACAATCTTCGGTATCCCTGTAGTCCCTGATGTATGTAGAACATAGGCTAAGCAATGCTTTAGCCTCAGATCCATGTGTTCTTCTGCTTTTTCTTCATTGACATGCTCAGAACTTATGCTTTTTATTTTTTCTTTTTCATATTTCTCTTTTCCATCATTTAGCATCAAGTTCACCTCAGTATTTTTCCAGTGAAGTCTGAAGAGCACTAGGTCATTATGTTCCACTGTAAATGTATCATAGTTCAATAATGTTTCATGAAAAGATTTAAATTTCTGTGTGAAATGGGGGACAAAGTTTACAGTATTAGTATGTTAAAAGATATTCTTCTTTATATAGAAGTAATATGAAATACAGTCATCCCTCAGTATCCTTGGGGGAATTGGTTCTAGGATCATCTCAGATACCAAAATCTGAAGATGCTCAAGTCCCTTATATAAAATGGTGCTGTATTTGCATATAAACCATGCACATCCTCCCATATACTTTAAATGATCTCTAGATTACTTATAACTAATACAAAACTATGCTAATTAATGCTATGTAAATAGTTGCTATATTTTTAAATCTGTATTAGTTTTTACTGTTGCACTGGGTTTTTTTTTTTTTCTGAATATTTTCTTTTTTTTTTTCTTGAGACAGGGTCTCACTCTGTTGCCCAGGCTGGAGTGCAGTGGTATAATCTTTATTTTTTTATTTATTTTTTTTTTTTGAGACGGAGTCTCACTCTGTCATCCAGGCTGGAGTGCAGTGGCGCAATCTCAGCTCACTGCAAATTCCGCCTCCCAGGTTCACACCATTCTCCTGCCTCAGCCTCCCGAGTAGCTGGGACTACAGGCACCTGCCACCACGCCCGGCTAATGTTTTTGTATTTTTTTTAGCAGAGACGGGGTTTCACCGTGTTAGCCAGGATGGTCTTGATCTCTTGACCTCATGATCCGCCAGCTTCAGCCTCCCAAAGTGCTGGGATTACAGGCATGAGCCACCACGCCTGACCACAGCAGTGTAATCTTAACTGACTGCAACCTCGAACAGCTGGGCTCAAGCGATCTTCCCACCTCAGCCTCTTGAGTAGCTGGAACTACAGGTGTGCACCAAAACACCCAGCTAGCTTTTTATTTTTAGCAGAGACGATGTCTCACTATGTTACCCAATCTGGTCTCAAACTCCTGGCCTCAAATGATCTCCTGCCTCAGTCTCCTAAAGTGCTGGGATTATAGGCGTGGGCCCCAAATATTTTCAGTCTGCAGTTGGATGAATCCTCGGATAGGAAACCTCTGGATACAGAGGGCCAACTGTATTCATTTACTCATTCAACATGACGTTTTTGGGGAGTGGGGGGAAGTACTTGCTGTATACCCGGGGGTAAAAAGATAAATAAATCTCCAAGAGCAAAGTGCTGTCCTTACTAACTTATTTTCAAAAACACCAGACATATACAAGCAATTATAATGCAATGCGTATGATAATAAAGCAGGCTTGAAATGTTAATGGGAACAGAGAATGCCGAACTCTGCCTAGAAGGTCAGAGATTGCTTCATGGGTAATATTTGTTATAAGTAGCTATTCTCCAAATAATAAAAATGGGCACTTCAGGCAAACAGCCAACATTGAGGATCTGACCTGGGAAAGCTGGTATGTGAACATTAAGCCTTCCAATTAAGGTAAAGAACGGGGTGGGGGAGAGGGAAAAGGTGAGGTGCGTTGTTGATAGGAGATGAGATGCAAATCCTTAATAACCGTGTACACTCAGCACTAAGGAGTTTAGATCTTAACCTGTAAGTGACAGGATCCAATTGAAGGTGGCAATAGCATAGATTAGACTCTATCAAGGACAGAATAATAAATGAGATTCTGCTAAGTGAGAACCATTTAATGAGTCTTTTGCAGTAATTCGGATATACTATATGGTCCTGAACTACTATTCTGTTACAAGAGGAGTGGTTAGAAAGGGTCTATGAGCAAAGAATAAATAAGACATGGTGACTTTCTGGATATAGAGTGAGTCTAAGAAAATTGTTGGGTTTCTGGCCCAGGTGATTTGGTGGATGGAGAAGAATTAATCCAGAAGTGAGTTTGGATGAAGAGATGCTAAACTGAATTTGTACATGTTGAAAGTAAGGTTTCTTTGAATATATCTTTTTAGGTTGACAACAACAGCTTAATGAAATATAACCTAAGTTTTCACATTAAATAAATCAACATAAATAATGAGAAAAAGGTCACAACCCAGAAGCCTACAGTGTTTTCTTTGTGTGTTTAATGTGTGTATGTATTGGGTAGGGGATGTGGTGTGGCCTGTAATATTTGAAAAATTAAAGAACTACATACGCTTCAGATCTAGCTCAAAACCATCCCTCCCCATTAAAATTCTACTATATCTACTAGGTTATGTTTACTTCACTTAGGACAATTATCACACTATGTAGATGTTATAGGTTCAGAAGTATTAACTTTTCTCTCCAACTACATTATAAAAAGCTGGAAGGCTTATATGCTAATGCCCTCCCAATCATCCTGTCCGTAGTGCAAGGTTTCTCAACTTCAACACTACTGATATTTTGGACCAGAAAATTCTTAGTGGAGTGCTGTCTTATACACTGTAGGATTTTTAGCAGTATCGCTGGCCTCTACCCACCAGATGCCAGTAGCACCCCACTTCCATCATTACAATAAAAAATATGTCTAGACATTGCCAATTGTCCCCAGTTGAGAACTACTGCTTTAGTGGATGCTGGGCATACATACAGTAGATGCTTAAAAATACTTACTGATCGTTCCTGTGTTAAATGAAGGAAGAACACTTACACCATCATCAAAATCATGGGATAGGAAGCAAGGTTTTGCTGCGCCCAACTCCTTTTTGGGTTTTGCTATGTCCAACTCCTACTGGTCATAAAGAATACCTTGACATTGACAATTAATACTGATACTCAGCTACCTTTTATAAAATTTTCACTAAGATTGCTAAGAAAAATAAACATCACATCCCCATTTCAGTTTTGCTTACTTATGAACAATGCAATAACCAATTTGAGGAGTAGAGGAAATTTCGGCTACACACTAATAAGTAATTATTTTAAAAATATTTATTAACCAGACCAGGTGTGGTGGCTCATGCCTGTAATCCCAGCACTTTGGGAGGTCGGGGCAGGCAGAACACTTGAGGTCAGAAGTTCAAGACCAGCCTGGCCAACATGGTGAAACCTTGTCTCTACTTAAAAATATATATACAAAAATTAGCCGGGTGTGGTGGCATGCACCTGTAATTCCAGCTACTTGGGCAGCTGAGGCACAAGAACCGCTTGAACCTGGGAGGCGGAGGTTGCAGTGAGCTGAGATCGCACCACTGCCCATTGCACTTCAGCCTGGGTAACAGAGTGAGACTCTGGCTCAAAAAAAAAAAAACCCTTTGAGTCTCTAGAAAGTCCCCCATATACCTCAAGTTCTTGACACTTCTCACACACACACACACACACACACACACAGTTGGGGGGGGTGAAAGCAGGGAATGCATTTAAGTTACCCCAATACAAACTGGCTCATATAGAAAATGGGCAAAAACAGGCTAAATTGAATATATTTTTATAATGTTCTTCCCCTTTAGTAAAACAATATTTTATAAATAATAAATAAACAATGAAGCATGGGCTGCATCTTGCTGAAGATATAACACCAATTCTTGCCCCAAAAACAGAGTTTCTTGGTTATATCTTTGGTTGGCAATCATTTAAAAATAAAAAAACAATAAATTTACTTTTCTGGAAAGATCTCCTCTAAGTACCAGTCTCTTTTTCAAAATGCAAGCTTAGTTATAATTCTTCAGTGTTGCTGACCAATGTAATTGCCATAAATATGAAAGTTCCAAGTATTATAAAATTTTGCAGTATAGGAAATACTTTGGAAAGAGAAATTCAAAACAATGCATAATATATTATTATAAGGCTAACAGATCTGTTCATACTACAGAATAGTGGCTCACAATGGAGTGTGAGGGGTGGAGAGCCCCTCTGGGGGACAATTGGCAATGTCTGGAGATTTTTGGTTGTTATGACTGGGAGGTGCTACTGAGGTCTAGCGAGTGGAGGTCAAATATATTGCTAAATATCCTATAATATACGGAACACTCCTCACAACAATTACTCAACCCTAAAAATGTCATAGTGCAAAGACTGAGAAACCTTGCCACATTTAGCAGACTTAGGAATCCAGATGGGAGAAGGAAGGAATGTTTCAATTGAAATAAATGTAATACAGGCAAAAAACAATTGAAACATCCAGACTTACATTAATTTGTTTTTTTTCAACAAGGATATACTTTAGATTACATTTTTTCATAAAATGAGTTGATAATGACGGTGGTGAATCTGGCTCGATAGGTACATAAGCAGCCGGGACTTGGAGAATTCTAAAGAAAAAAGTACACAGTCAGCATAGAATGTCTGTTGATTTAGTATTTGTTTAAGCATTTCTATTTCTCTATGCACTTTATTTATTTTTTGTAGCAGCATAAAAATGGTTTCCGGAGCACTTTATTGCTGATCAGAAATTTCCAATGTTTTCACTGACACATAGTTGGTAATAAACGCTGTCATTTTAGCCGGGCACGGTGGCTCACGCCTGTAATCCCAGCACTTTGGGAGGTTGAGGCGAGCGAATCACCTGAGGTCGGGAGTTGGAGACCAGCCTGACCAACATGGAGAAACCCTGTCTCTACTAAAAATACAAAATCAGCCGGGCGTCTGCAATCCCAGCTACTTGGGAGGTTGAAGCAGGAGAATTGCTTGAACCCGGGAGGCGGAGGTTGCGGTGAGCCGAGATCACGCCGTTGCACTCCAGCCTGGGCAATAAGAGTGAAACTTCATCTCAAAAATAAATAAATACATAAACACTGTCATTTTATCTTTTCTTAATGAAAATCCTGAGTATTTACTATGTTAAATTCTTATCACTTAATATAGAGAAATACAAGATTTTTTTAAAGTTAAGCATTTTAAGTAGTTTCAGGTATACTTTAAGGACACTAGATCTTTGCACATAGTAAATTCTCAATAAATTTCGTCAATAATTGAGTGAAAGTAAATTTTTGTTGTTGTTTTTATTTGTTTTATAGAGATGGGGTCTTGTGAAGTCACCAGGGTGGTCTCGAACTCCTGGCCTTAAATAATACTCCAGCCTCAGCCTCTCAAAGTGCTGGGATTTACAGGTGTGAGCCACTGTGCCTGGCCAAAAGTAAATTTTTGAACATCTTTTGCTTTATATTTATATAATTAATTTACTAAGACACATATTATAGAATGAATAAACTATTTCTTTGGCAGTTTATACTTACTGCAGAGTTCTAGAATAGAAATCACTATATGAGGATAACATTCTAGAACAATTTAAATGATTGAACATTTTGCAAATATTTGTTGGAATAGTGTCTTCTAATGGGTTCATATTTCAATCTATATCAACTATTATCCAAAACTCTAATTTACTGATTTATTGAATACCTTAGTGCCTCAAATTTCAGTTGCGGACAAAAAACATAGTCATGTTATCTGTGAAATCCTGTTTTCTTTTATCTAACAACAAAGTGTTATAAATTGTTATAATTGTTTTCCTTTAACAGATTAATGAAGCCCTTACATTTTGGAGATACTTATACGTTCTATTAGTGAAAGCTTCTAGTCTTTCCTAAATAAGCTCAGAATAATTAATTTAAATAATATAAAAATAATACTGGGGAAATGCAAACTTCTTTAGTCTCTCTACAATTGACCAAACAATATAGAAAAGTCCAATAGTAAACAGAACAATAACTTGCAATATACTCTATTAAAAATTTACATTAGCTTGGAGTAACATCAAATTTACAGTTCTAAAAAATATTACCCTAAAATCCAAGAGGGTAAGTCTATCCCAGGTTGGCAGTAGAGACCAATTTCCCGAATTCCTTGAAAGTCACAGTGTAACAGCAGAAAATTTGATAATTCAGAAGCAGCATTAACCACAGTCTTGTAGGTGTAGTAAACTGGAAGCTGGTTGTTGCATTCATCAAAACATACAGCTACTCTGTCCATATAACAGGAGGCAGCCTTATGCACCAATTCCTGAAGAGTCATTTCACTGAAGTTTATCTAAACATCAATTTGTAGCACAGAACCCTGTGTATATACAGAAGTGTTAGGGGGAGAGGGAGTTTTAGAGAGCTCGGTGGAGGGACAGGGAAAAACTTCTCTACAATAATATCTCACAAAAATAATTATATCAAAGATATATAAATGAAGAATCTCTGAACTTATGAAATTATGGTAACTTTACTGAGGACAATGAGGTTGAAAATTAACTTGATACATCAACCTATGCTGGGTCAGAGCATCAAAAAAATTTGGGAGGGCAGTGGTATACACAGATGAAAATGAAGCAGGTAAAAATGGAGACTTCTCTCTCAACGGACCACAATGTAAATATGAAATATATAAAAAATTAATCAATAAAATCAAATTTAAAGGACCCCACACTTAATTTTTTTTTACTTTCCTTCAGTAACTGTTACAGATTTGTTAAGATAGAGTAGTCAAAATCTTGTATGGTGACTTTAAAATTACTAATGTGGCCGGGTGCGGTGGCTCACACCTGTAATCCCAGCACTTCGGGAGGCCGAGGTGGGTGGATCACTTGAGGTCAGGAGTTCAAGATCAGCCTGGCCAACATGGTGAAACCCTGTCTCTACTAAAAATACAAAAATTAGCCGGGCAAGGTGGCATACACCTGTAATCCCAGCTACTCTGGAGGGTGAGGCAGGCGAATCACTTGAACCCAGGAGGCAGAGGTTGCAGTGAGCCAAGACGGCACCACTGCACTCCAGCCTGGGTGACAGGGCAAGACCCCATCTCAAAATAAATAAGTAAATGAAATAAAGATAAAATAAAATGACTAATGTAAATAAACTTTGCTTTTAAATTCCAGTAGGAGCTAAACTCAGATGAAAGCAAAATCAATCTTTGACAGAAGAAAGCAAAAAACCCTATTCCTATTCATTCAGTTCTAGACAACTATATATAAAAACAGTGTTTATTACTATACTATTAATATTTTACAGAAGTCATACTTGTATAATTGTCAAGAAGTAAACTCTTCATACTGTATAGTTTATTTTTAAATTGCCAATAAGTTCACTTAGACTGAAAATATAATATTACAACTCAATAAAGCAGTATATCAATGCAATGTTCTCTGGGTTTCTTAATGCAGATTATATTAAAAGATTCGAAACAGTATTTCAAGAAAGAAACACTCGGGATCAACGGTAAAAAAAATTCACAGTGTTTCCTTAAAGGTGAAAGTTATTTTTTTCCCTCTCTGAACTCTGTTTTCCATATTTTAAAGCAATTAAGACTTACCAAGTAGCCTGCTTCAGTAAAGTTTTTGTTTGTTTTTGTGACAGTCTCGCTCTGTTCCCCAGGCTGGAATGCAATGGCGTGATCTCGGCTCACTGCAACCTCTGCCTCCCAGATTCAAGCGATTCTCCCACCTCAAGCTCCCGAGTAGCTGGGATTACAAGTGCGCGCTACCATGTCCAACTAATTTTTGTTTTTGTTATTTTTTTTTAAGTAGACACAGGGTTTCTCCATGTTGGCCAGGTTGGTTTTGAACTCCTGACCTAAGTGATCCACCTACCTTGGCCTCCCAAAATGTTAGGATTACAGGCGGAGCCACCGCGCCCGGCCGAGTCAAGTTTTCTTTTCTTTCTTTTTTTTTTTTTAATTTATTCACACCTATTTGAATTGATTTCCTGACTCAAAATTTTCATTTATATCAACTAATTAACATCAATTAGGAAAAAGAAATCCTAAAGAGAGTAAAATGAACCAATAACTGCCAAGACCCATAAGTTTGAAAATGCTGTGATTTCTAAATATACAGTTTAAACATATAAGGCAACTTTAGTACTTACATTATTTATTTTTAGTAGGCATTTCTATAAATATTAGCTCTTTTTAATGCACAAGATACAATTTTAAGCTTTCCTCAGACATACAATGATCATTATGTAAATATAAGGGAGGCTTTCTGCAGCAGGCGCTTAAATTATGAGGAATGAGTTCATTTCGCAACATACAGGTAGCGCAGAAGGGTACCTACACATCTATACGATAATTAAGATGTTTCTTTCCATTTTCCCAATGGTTGCTACAGACATTTAAGGTAAAATCCATTCTTCTTGTCTCAGGTTTTCATTTTCATTCATTGAATCACAAATAACATTCTCTGCAGTAGAGAATACTAAACTTATTAATGCCCAAATGTTTGAGACCTTAAAAAGGAAAAAAAGGCCGGGCGCGGTGGCTCACGCCTGTAATCCCAGCACTTTGGGAGGCCGAGGCGGGTGGATCATGAGGTCAGGAGATCGAGACCATCCTGGCTAACAAGGTGAAACCCCGTCTCTACTAAAAATACAAAAAATTAGCCGGGCGCGGTGGCGGGCGCCTGTAGTCCCAGCTACTCGGGAGGCTGAGGCAGGAGAATGGCGTCAACCCGGGAAGCGGAGCTTGCAGTGAGCCGAGATTGCGCCACTGCAGTCCGCAGTCCGGCCTGGGCGACAGAGCGAGACTCCGTCTCAAAAAAAAAAAAAAAAAAAAAAAGGAAAAAAAAAAGCAAACTCTGGTAAGCAGATTTTACATGTAAAAGGAATAAATTTACTTGCTACAACTGTAGAAGCTGCTATTTAGTCAACAAAGATCTTAAGAGTGTCAGCAAATTCAATTGCTATGGGGCCTCTCTCTAGGCCACTGGCTGTTTTAAAAATGGATAAATAATCTAGAAACTTTATTTTCCCAATTCCCCGGCTTCTAAATTTACGGTATGCAACGAGTAACAATGCAATTTACAGCTTCCTAAACATTTCTTCATTGCTCTTCGAAACCACTCTAGGGGGTAGCTGAGCGCGGAGCACACTTATTTCCATTTGAATGGAGGGGCGGAGGCTAGTGACGCAGGAGTGTACACACAGGTCAGGGTTAGTCTGCACCACACCAGCACGCCAGACCCCGATGTATCAAATCCGAGGTCAGGCAGTGGTCCTGAAGCTGAGCAAATGTATGTGGAAGCAGGCTCAGGCCTAGCGGCACTTCGCCTCCTTCACACAGACCCCCGCCGGACACCGCGCCCTGCCGCGACTCACTTAGCAAGTCTCGCGGATTAGGTTTGATCGCATTCGGCCCTTTCCCGGATAGCTCGTCGCGGATACTTCTCACAGCGAAGCAGCAGCTCCCAGAAGCCGTAAAGCTATCCCAGAGCGAGGCACCATACGTAAATCTTCCGCGTCGCTACGTGACGTCAGTGCGAGCGACCCCGGGCCGGCTGCGTGGAGCTGGCGCTGCCTCTCCTGAAGCCGAGGCGCTAACTTGAGTGAAGAGGTCTATAGGCTTTTTCACTTTTGGTTATCTGCTCAGGCGCTCCTTGGGGTCGCGCATGGTCTCGGACAGGGTTTGCAAGGACTTCGGAGCTAACCAGTTTGGAGCCATAACCCTTTCGTACTTGCCAAAAAACTCTGGGCAAGACTCTTGAATTTTGAGCCGCAGTATTCTCGTTCATAAGGTGAGAATAAAAACATCACCTAGGGTTGATGTGAAGAGAGATGAAATCATTGTGAAATAGGAGAGTTATTGCTTTCAACCAATGACATTTTCTGGAAACGTGCTGGAGATATGGCTGCAGCAGTGACGCCTGCAAACGACGTTCCTGTCATCATGATGCTGACATTTTAATTGGGAAGCAGATTGAAACGATAACTAAGGAATTTGACAGGAGCATTTAGTAGGACCTGTAAAGAAATTAAAGCAGGTCCGAGGTGGAGTTTTGTAAACTATATGCCTGAATAGAACTTTCTGTTTCCAAGGGAATTGTTACAGTTGGAGACATGTCAATTATTACAATAAGCGTCAAGGGCAATAACAGAGGTGTTTTAAAGCTACTGTCTGGTGGCAGAATAATCGGGATTTTTTTGTTTGGGGGGTTTTAGCCGGGGGAGGGACTGCGAAGACAGCTCTGCATCAAAACAGTACGTGAGAAAAAAGCATAGGACGCTCTCGCAGCCGTAGTTGTTGGTGACAAGAAACTGTGCTTCTAATCTAAGCAAAAAATATCTCCACATGCCAACTATACTTTTCCAAGATGTACCATGGACTACTCAAACTAACACAGCCTTATTTATGTATTTAGGTTGGAAGTGGGCAAAAGTGTATCTTGTCTATGTTTCTATGTTTCTACGTTGGGATGACACCATCATCCACCCAGCCAGACAGTTATCAACCTTCCCACTTTCTTAACCTCTTACATCCGATTAGACCCTATGTCCTCTAGTTCTCAGTCTTGAGACCAGCACCCAGCTGGCTACATCAGAATTGCCGGTGGTGATGTTTTAGAAGATTCCAAATTCCTGGACTCCATCCCCGGAGGTTCATCCCCTAGTTTTCTAGTGAGGGGCCTAGAACCTGCGTTTTTTAAGTGTCATGTTCATCGCCATTACTGCTACTTTAGTTCAGGTCTTCTTGGTCAGCTTTTTCCTAAAACGTTTTCAGTTTTGTTTGCCTCTGATTGACTCTGAATTGCTGCCAAAATGATGTTTTATTATTCCAGTATCATCATCCAACTCTCTGATATTAATGATACCTTTTTTAAAGTTTTTCTTCCCTTGCAGTATCTATTTCCCTCAAGTTTCCTTTTTTTTTCTTCTGTTGATTTTGTGCTCTATCTTTCACATTAGAGGCTTTCCTAGGATGTCTGGTGGTCCTTATCTGCTCATATGTAAGTGGGGGTATATTTAAAAGTTGATTGGAAGCTGTTGAGCCCATGGGACGTTTGTTGAAAATCAAGTGGGAGAGGAGGGGTATGGAGGCTGCGGTATGTCTCAGAATTTAGTACAATTTTCACTTAATTCTCTTTGTTTTAGGTGCCTGATGTCCTCCATTACAGAGACCCCGTTTTACTCCTGAGCAATAAAAAAAGGCTTCAGAATAAGGCGGGGGCCGGGGGTGGCATAAAGGATATAACACTCTCCTAAATGAACTTCCAGTCCTTTTAGGTACCCTCTTCACTTCTACTTCCTGAAGCCAGTTTCTTAGTTTTTTAGGGGGTTCTGTGATACAAATAGAATTGCTTGTTGGTTTTGCTCACTGGGGGTTTAGAATTCAGGTTTTTCAAGTCAACTGAGCCCTTTGCTATTGATTCCAGAATTTCATTTCCATTATTCCTTTTCTTTAATCCTTAAGGGTGTATGACTTTAAAAATCCTGTTACTGTCATTTTCAGGGAGTCTTAGGGAGCAAATGTAGAACACTATGTTTAAGACAGCATTTTTACCTGATAATCCAAGGTGATCATTCTAAAACATATACCAGATCAGTCATAGCATTCTTCTATGAGAATAAGAAGCTTCAATGATCCCTCGTTGCCTGCATAACATTCAGACTCTTCAGCAAGGTAAACAAGAGAGTTCATTTTCTTTCCAACCTGATATCTCACAGCAGGCCACTGCTCCCCCACCCATCTTCCACATTCCCCACACCTGATACTGTAAACTCTAGTCATAATGAAAGGCTAGTAAGAGTTCTGAGAATACAAAGTCCTTATCATGTTTCCACACCTGTTTTGGCTGGGCTCAGGCTGAAATACCCTTCTTTCTCCATGCCTGCTTGATGAAAATACAGCTTAAACATGACTTCCTCAGTGATGCCTTTCTTCAAGCCCTAAAGAATAATTTATCCAGACTCCTCCAAACTCCATCCCACGAACCCATCATACTCTTGGGAGGGGTCATTTGTCATGGGACCTGCAAATTCTGGGTTTGCCAAGAATGTAAGGTCCTAACTGCTCTTTACCTAGATCATTTTTCAGGGTTGTTTGGGATGATCAGTTTCATAGCTGAAGTATTCTTCCCAAAGAGTAGGCTTGCTTCCACTTAACTACAAAAGTATGGAATCCCCCAAACTCAGTATTCCTCTCCTATAATGTAACCCACTGACTGCATGTGCAGACATCCATGGAAGCCCATCTTCACCATCCTGGTGGGACTTGGGGGACATGGAAAATGCATAAACATGAAGTTCTGGCTTCTGCTTTTGCCATAAATTACAAAGTTCTTTGTCACCCAGGAATCCAAGTTTACTGCCATAAAACAGTTAACAGGCTATCTTACTAACTTTAAAATAGGTTTCAATACCAGACCCTTCCCAGACAGCGACATATATTTCTTACAGCATCAGTTGTTACTGTTGCTGCATTATTTCCAAATCTGACCTCCTATACTAAATAGCACCCTTATAGCAGGGATTCATGTCTTAGGCGCTTGTTTCCCAAACTATTTTTTTTTTTACTCAGCTCCATCCACTTACACTGTTCCAGTTGCAGGGAAATATCAAATGCCCACCCTGTACCCTGCTGATATTTTGTACCTTGACTGGCACACTCTACTTATTTTAAGGCTTATCTCTCAGTTGTCAATGTCATTGTTTCCTTAAAAAGTTCAAAAATAATTTGGAAAATCCTTGACCCTACCTGAAACAAGGTTAGGTCCTCCTGTTATGTGCTGTTGTACCACATATCACAGTTGGGATAATAAGGCATTGTGTGAGTTACTCTAAGTGTTCAGCTGCTCAGGAGAAGGCAGAGAGCAAATTAGTGGTTGAGTTTTTCAGGCTTGGTGTTTTGACAGGTGTATTAGTCTGTTCTCACATTGCTTTAAGTAAATATCTGAGACTGGGTAATTTATAAAGAAAAGAGGTTTAATTGACTCGGTTCCACATGGCTGGGGAGCCCTCAGGAAACTTAAAATCATGGTGGAAGGCACCTCTTCACAGGGCACGAGGAAAGAATATGTAACTATGGAAGTACACTGGAAGGCCAGGAGTGGTGGTGGCTCACACCTGTAATCCCAGCACTTTGGGAGGCCGAGGCAGGTGGATCACGAGGTCAAGAAATCAAGACCATCCTGGCCAATACAGTGAAACCGTCTCTTTGAAAAATATAAAAATTAATTTGGCATGGTGACACACGCCTGTAGTCCCAGCTACTCTGGAGGCTGAGGCAGGAGAATCACTTGAACCCAGGAGGTGGAGGTTGCAGTGAACCGAGATTGCGCCACTGCACTCCAGCCTGGTGACGAAGTGAGACTCCATCTCAAAAAATAAATAAATAAATAAAAATAAACCTCACTGTTTGTTTTAACAATAACAAGCGTGGTAAGGGTGGTGTCAGTCCATAAGTTAGATAGGCAGTTGCTAGGCAGATGTCGTTGCAGAAGTATGTGTGTGTGTGTGTGTGTTGTGTTTAAGGTTGTGGTGGCCTTTGTGCAGGTTGTAAATTTTTGTAGTCTTTTGATAGTTCTTGTTATCAACCATATGTACATGAGAACCCTTCCCCTTCATGGCGTTTCCTGGCTCCGTTTGCCAGGGTTTTAATACGAGTGACTCCATTTTGAATCTGACAACTTTCACATTTCCCCTTTTGATCAAGGTCTTTCTCAAAAGCATCACTGATCAATCATCCTGTATTTAGGTTTTGATATCTCTTGGTGCCAGTCTGCCCTCATGTTGAAGGGAGTCACTGGTAACTAGGAATTAGCATCAAAACCCTTTAGCCACATTTGAACAACAAAAGAGGTTTGGAGGGAGTGGATCTCAGGCTAAGTCTACCTGGAGTCCACTGTTAAGTTCAATTCTGTCTGTTCCATAGGCACTGTCTATCATCTCAAAGTGCTGGGAGAGCATTATTCTCTTAGGAGTTGCATTTCTATGCAAATTTGACAAGAAACAGGTATAAAGTTCTTAAAAAAAAAAAAAAGAAAATACAAAGTAACAATCTCAGCATAATAGTTTTCAGCCGTGAACCTAGGCTTAAAGACAACCAGTTGAATAAATCAAATGATCATGAAGAATTAGGTGAGACTTATTATACCATGTGGGCTATTTTCTTATTTTGTGTATATAAATTCCCCAAAGGAATGTATCCAGGTACAGCATGTAGTATGAGCAAAAGCACAGACATCTCTTTGTTTAGCTGGTACACAGCAATCCTATTACTTAGCATTCCATGACTGGCTTGAATTAAAGCAGAGAGAGCTAACTCTGTTTTAAAAAAGACCATTAGTACAATTTGAACAAAAAGTTTACTGAGGATGTTGCCAGTATTACCCCCTGGGTGGACTAAAGGATTTATGAAGTCAGATTCTGTCAAGTCACCCACAATATCTACCGATTGTGAAATTATCCTGCCAAATCAAAGAGGTAGGCATAAACAAGGAAGAATTAAGAGGGGCAAGAGTGTCATTAGGATGGGGAGTTATGTTCCATCATCTTGGGAAAAGCTGCCCACAGTATGGAGATGTTAGCTTTTCATTCTGGTTTACAGTTTTAATGTCTCTGGTTATAGCATTGGGCAGTTTTGTGAACCTTTGGGCATGAGATTTCTCCCTTAAAATTCAGTTAAGTTTGAGCTTGGGCTTTAAGAACATAGCAAGTCTCGTTTTTAGTAATTCTATGGAAGAAAGTTGGATTGGAGGAACCTAGAAGAATTAAAGATCCAGTCCAGCGACCAAGGTTTACCTAGTTGCACAGAAATTTTCTTAACACTGGCAGGTGCCCTACTAGTAATCTTTCTTGTCTGTGACCAGTTTATCCTTAACATGGGAGACTTTTTCTTTGGATACCTTCAATATTTTCAGAGTGGTATTTTCAGAGTGGTGCCTTTCACTTAGTTAATATGCATTTATGTTCCTTCTGTCATTTAATGGCTTGATTGCTCATTTCTTTTAAGCACTGAATAATATTCTATTGTCTGAATGTACTACAGTTTATCTATTCATTTACCTACCCACCCTGACACTTTGAATCTAATCCTGCTCTTCCATGACACTCCCTCTTTCCCCATAGTGCTTCCTAGGAACTTGCCACGATGTAGTGCTTACTTAGTACTGCTTTTCTAATTACTTAATTTGTCCCTCATAGTCAACCAGCAGTTTTGCCTGGTTCATAAGAGATGGCCTATTTATTGAAATGCCTGGATCAGAGAAATAAGATATGACTAGCTGGTGCCAAGAATGGAGCCTGGAAGTTGTCTCCATGCTGTTTACCATAAAGCACTAACTAAAGTCACTATTTAAAAAAAAAAAAAAAAGGACACACATATTTAAACATACTTATTACACATATTTATCAACAAGGCATCACAAATAAGTCACAAAAAGTAGGCTTAGTTTAGTTCACAATATAAATCCCGTGAAAACACATTTTTCATCTCTGCAGTTTATAATACTCTACGTATATGAATTTAAAGCAGTTAAACAACATTTGAGATTAAATTGGTAAAAAAAAATTGTAATTGAATTCAGACTTCAGAAAATTGTGAAGTAAAAGGCCATGATGGAGAAATATTAAGAATCTGTAGAATTACTAAACTGTCACAGTATTATTTTCCTTTACAAAAGCATCTCAGTAAAACAAAAACTACAGAAAACGCAAAGTAAAATCAGAGATTTTGGTTTAGTACTTTCCCTGAGTCTCTTGTTTTAAAAATCAAAGTAAGGCCAGTTCAAAATTGACCCACAGGTCTTGCCTCCTCCATGCTGCCATGGGGAGTACATTTAAGACAAGAGGCTACGCATGTTGAGGTGGTCCCAGGGCTTTATTCAAATGCCAATTTGCCCGTGTCACTGCCACAGGGTTATCTGACCCACTGCTGCATGTGGGCTTAAAGAGCTGTCAAAATTTTATCTTGGCCTGCTATAATATAATATGCGAGACTATATACCAAAGGAAGACAAACAGTTTCAGTTATTAATAAATATTAAATTTCTAAATGGATCTGGACACTATATACATCAAATTATGGTAACATAACAGAAACAAACACTTTTATGTTTAAAAATTCTTACATAAACAAAGGTTTGGGGTCAAGTCATCTTAAACTTCTAATCTCAGATGTTACAAGAAAAAACTTCAAAAAAGAAATCAAATTCATTAGATCTTAATATAGTAGAAAAAAGTGATTATAAGATGATACTTGGACTTGGATTGTAAGTTGATACTAATTCCCCAAAGTGGTTGTCTCTTTGATCCTTAAACAAAACTGGCCCCTATTGTGTCTGTACTTGATCACTTAATTGCAATAATATTTATGTGTATGTGTACATGTATATGTACATCTACATGTATATATGTTTGCAAGTGATCAAGCACTTCATTAAAAAAAGCATATGATAATTAATTAAATTAAGGATAAAGGGATTGTTTGAATCTAAAAATTTGGTTTTTATTTCAAATGTACCAGGTTACTTGCTGAGCTTATAGTATCAGGGCACTAAATACTATGGATCACATTTTCTAGTCAAATGTAGGAAAAACTTTTTCACAGATTTTTACAACCCTTTTTAGGACATCTCAAAGAGAGATGGCAAAGATCTGCCAATTATGTCTCCTTCCATCATAATGAAATCTTAATTAATTGTAAACTAATTTCAAAAAGTTAACAATCATTAGCTTTCTGAAAGCTAACAATCATGAGTTGTCTTAAAATCAGAAGTGAAATGATGGCTCAAATCACAAAAGTATGACACTTATTCACATTCTTATTAATTATTTAATAAGTATCCCATTGCACATGTGGGGAAACTGAGGCACCAGATTATTATTATTTTTTTTTAAAGATTTGTCTACAGTTAGACAGGGAAGCCAAGGTCATAACTACAGCCAGAACTGTAGAGGCTAGACACCTATGAGGTATAATGTATTCTATTCAAACTTTGTGTGAAATGGTATATTTAACTCACCTGTCTTGTTGGCATCACCTCTCCTTAACCCTAACTTCTTGCAAACCCTTTAAAGCATGGACTTGGGAAATGTCAGTGACCACCTGCCTTCTCTGACCAGGTTAAAAAGGCTAGCCAATGCTTGTGTAAAAAAAAGAACACCACATATTGTTGTATTATATGCAATTGGAAATGTTCAGTTATCGCACTTTGGTATCCTTTTCAGAAAAAAAAAAAATCTCAAAACTTATAAACATAAGCATGGCATTTTACATTGTACCAACTGAGTAACAGTAAATAGATGAGGTGTGACCACTATAACTTCTTGACCAACTTTCTATCTTGAAACTACACACATCCAACCCTACCAGCTACCATTCTAATTCTACAGGATATTTTCCAGTGAGACAAGCTGTACAATGACCACTCTTTTCAAAACATTCCAGACCATTTCCATTTTCTTGGATCATAATATCGTGCTTTTTCTCTTTCTGTTTTTTAAACTTTATCCCTTCTTGTACAGATGAAACCAGTCCTTCTACTGACAGATACACAACACTGTTTGCTCCTAAAGAAAGAGGGAAAAATAAAAATGTAATAAGAATTCCTTTAGAAAGGAAGAAACGCGTCAACAGAGAATAGTTACAAACAGAATAATTTAAGCTAGGATAAATTTCTCCTTTAGCCTTTCTTTAAAAAAAAAAAAAAGGAAAAAAAATCAATAAAACTCAGTTCCTTTATTTTTAAAAATTTTAATTGGAATCTAGGGGATAACATAATTTAAAACAGCAGAGGAGGCTTCAAGTCTAGAATGGAATTAGAGGGCTTTGGGAGTAATTTTCTTAATTGAAAAAATGGAATTTAAAGTCAGGAAGATCTAGGCTCAAAGTTAAGCTCAAGTTCACTCAGTTTTCCTAAGTCTATTTTTTCATCTATATAAGATGGTGGAAACATTGCCTAAATGTAGAGTTTTTATGATAATATAGATAATATAGGCAGCATAGTTTCTGGCAAAGTGTGAGTGCTTATAACATGTATGACACCCATCAGGGTGATATTTAAAAATATTTAACCAGTGAGGCATATGCATGACAGGTTAAAAGAAACACCAGCCACAAACAGATGGTGTGGAGGTACCAAGGCACAATGACTAAATATCATGTGTTATTTCCACAGTTTATACATCACCTGATTTTGAAAGGAAGATGTCTTACCCAGGATAACTTAGATCTCGAAGTCTCCTTATCTCATTATTGAATATGAACCTACACAAACTTTTTACCTTGTGATTTGTATCCACATCCAAATTACTCTGTTAGAATCTGATTAAATTATTTTTGTTTTTCTTGGGATCTGACTTTTGGGAGGCTTTAAGTGATTATGATTGCACTTCCCTCCACCTGGAAACCACCTCTTCCTTCTCTGATCTCACCTTGGCTTAGCTCTCCAACACAAGACTCTGTGGTGTCTGCCCATGCCCACTACTCTCACTGTTGAGAATAGTATTCAATATCTGTTTAACATATATAACTACTTTTAACAAACACTGAATACTCCTTTTTACTAAAGGTGTAAAGACTGTCAAGCTTTGGATTTTCTCTGTTAATAATCAAAGTTTATAGAAATTTTAATACTTACCTAGATATTCTGCAAGGTGATCAAATTCTGGTTTATTGGCAATGAGCTCTTCTTTTGTAGGAATGTTTATTCCCATGAAGCATGGATATTTAATTGGTGGTGAAGCTACTCGAATGTGTACCTTGGAAAGAAATCATTGCACACAAGGTTTTTAAGACTATGCAAAATTCTTTCATTGTGCAAATACAATACAAAATTGTTTTGCAGAATATTCAGTAACAACATATGGGTAATAAATTATTCTTTCTACAAAGCTGCTTCTTGGTTTTTTTTTTCTTTCACCTAATCATGAGGAAGTTTCTTTGTCTAGATATCCTACTTCTCATTTGATGTCTTTACATTCCTAGAGCCACTTTTCTCTTGTAATACCAGGTACTTCTGCTTATCCCTTATCTTACCATTTTAAAAAGAAAAATACAATTTACCAGGTTATAACAAAAACCTTACTACTACAACAGAGTTGTTTTTGTCTGTTATTGTTTTTTTTGCCTTTCATCAGGTACGTTTACATGGCTATACTCAGTGTCCACATTTCCTTTTTAAACTTTATTAGAATAGATTTTCCCATTTTTGCTACGCAGTCTTCTTAGTATTTAATGGCTGCATCATATTTCATCACACTGATATATCAATTTACTAAATTATATTCACCAACAGGGAGATATGCCATTTCCAGGTTCTTTGACTTTATTCTTTTTCACTATTGCAATAAATGATGAAATTATGTTAAACTCTTGTATCTATTACATAATTTCCACAGAATTCCAGAGTAAGATGATCATAATCCTAAACACAGGTATAAAAAAGGCTGGAAAATCATAATCCCAATTATCTTGGAAACTTTCTAAATAAACTGGCATGCTGCTTTTCATCCCACTTTCTTCTACAGTGAGATTTTATTTTTGATTTTTCAGAGATGGGGTATATGTTGCCCAGGCTGAGACTTTATTTTTAAATTTACATAACTATTAGTTGTAAATGGCATCTCACTTCTGTAGTATGAGCTACTGAAATAGAATAAGCTTTGAAATCTTAAAATAACTTAATATATCTATATAAAAACATGTACACAATAAATATATACATTTGTCAATTTAAAAAATAAAAATTAAAAAAAAATTTTTTTCAAGACATAAAGTGAGGCCGGGTATGGTGGCTCACACCTGTAATCAAGCACTTTGGGAGGCTGAGGCAGGCAGATGGCCTGAGCTCAGGAGTTTGAGATCAGCATGGGCAACATGGTGAAACCCTGCCTCTACTAAAAATACGAAAAATCAGCCGGGCATGGTGGTGTGTGCCTATGGTCCCAGCTATTTGGGAGGCTGAAGTGGGAGGATCTCTTGAGCCCAGGAGGTGGAGGTTGCAGTAAGCTGAGATCGAACCACTGCATTCCAACCAGGTGACACAGTGAGTCCCAGTATCAAGGAAAAAAGAAAAAAAGGCATAAAGTGATATTAAAATATAACTTGGCCGGGCACGATGGCTCACGTCTGTAATCCTAACACTTTGAGAGGCCGAGGCAGGTGGATCACCTGAGTCCAGGAGCTCAAGACCAACCTGGGCAACATGGTGAAACCCCGTCTCTGCTAAAAATACAAAAATTAGCCTGGCTGCAATGGCACATGCCTATAGTTGCAGCTATTCAGAAGGCTGAGGTGGGAGGATTGCTTGAGCCCCAGAAGCAGAGGTTGCAGTGAGTTGAGATGGTGCCATAGCACTCCAGCCTGGGCAACAGAGCCAGACACTGTCTTTAACAAATACATTTTAAAAAATAATAAGTCAAAGGTATTACACTGGGATTGGCTGCATGTCTTCAAGTAGAGAAAGCAATCAATACTCCATTGATTTTAAAAAGCATTCTATTGTGTGTTTTTGACTTTTTTTTTTTTGAGATCACTTCGGCTCACTGCAATCTCTACCTCCTGGGCTCAAGCCATCCTCCCACCTCAGCCTCCTAAGTAGCTGGAATTACAGGTGTGTGCCACCACGCCCCACCCATTTTTTGTAATTTTAGGAGAGGTGAGTTTCACTATGTCGTCCAGGCTGGTCTTGAACTCCTGGATGCAAGCAATCTGCCCACCTCAGCCTCCCAAAGTGCTGGAATTATAGGCATGAGTCACTGTGCCCAGCCTATTTTGTGTAGTTAGTCTTTGAATAAATTTTGTAAAAATTTTAGGTTTTTTAAAATTTAATTTTATTATTATCTTTTATTTTTGTAGAGACAGGGTCTCACTATATTGCCCAGGCTGTTCTCGAACTCCTGGGCTCAAGCAACCTCCTACCTCAGGCTCCCAAAGTACTGGGATTACAGGCATGAGCTACCTCGCCCAGCCTTAAGCTTTTATATTGAGCTTTTTTAATCTATTAAGGATTACATTTAATGTAAGTGTGGCTGTGACATGTTCTTCAAGTTGCTACACAGTTATTCCTAAACCAAACTGATAAAAAAAGTTAATTTATTATATTGAACATCCATTTTGATTCACTACCCTGAATTGCAATTTTATGCCAGTATCTTATTGTTAACTTATGCTTTAGGATATGTTTTAATATTACTTACCTCTTTTGCACCAGATTCTTTGAGCAGTTTTATTATAGGTGAGATGGTATTGCCTCTGACAATTGAATCATCTACAAGAACAATTCTTTTGCCTTTAAAGTTGTCTGACAATACTCCAAATTTTTTTGCAACACCAAGTTGTCTTAACCTCATGTTTGGCTGAATGAAGGTTCTCCCTACATACCGGTTTTTACACAGCACCTCCACATATGGAAGTCCACACTGATAGAGAAGAAATGAAAGGATAATGAGGAGTAATATACAGAATAGGCAAATATTTTCTCTAGGTTGTGTTGCCGCCACAATATTCAAGTAAAATTTCAAAATAATTTTCCTTTATTATTTGGAAAAAAGGCAAAAAGAAAAACCACTAAACAAAATATACTTGGTGGAAAAACCAATTCATTTTGTGAGGACTCATAATGTTTTTGTCTTAAACATTATTCCTCTGTTTTGAAAGATAACAGTAAGCATATGAAGACATGACAAAGATTAAATCACTGTCAGAAAAATTCATTATCAAAATGATAATTTTTAAAGAAATGAATTAAAATAAATAAATAAAAACCAGTAGACCAATGAGATACTTTTTAGGGATAGGAAGTAATTAACCCATTTATCAAGGTAATCTTTTCTAAAATGTATGCATATTAATTCTTTTAGAAGTTAATAAAGTATCCAAGGTAGTGAATATTGGATGTTATACCCCAGGATTACTACAGTTACACCATCTACCTGGTTATGAAAATAAAGCGTAACACTGACAACATCATGCTAAATGAACATAAACAGCTTTATTATTACCCATACTTAGTAGCAAGCAAATATTCCAGTGACTTGTGAAGATAATTCAAGACGTTTATTTTAATATTAAGTAAATTTTTCCACTGAATATATAGTTGATGAACACCATGGGTTTGAAGTACATGAGTCTACTTATAGGTGGGTTTTCTTCCATCTCTGCCACCCCTGGGACAGCAAGTCCAGCCCCTTTTCCTCTTCCCTCCTCAGCCTACTCAACGTGAAGACAACAATGAGGATGAAGACCTTTATGAAGATCCACTTTCACATAAGGAATAGTAAATATATTTTCTCCTCCTTATGATTTTCTTCAAAGCATTTACTTTTCTCTAGCTTACGTTATTGCAAGAATACAGCATATAATACATATACAAAATATGTTAATCAACTGTTTATGTTATTGGTCAGGCTTCCAGTCAACAGTAGGTTATCAGTATTTAAGTTTGGGGGCATTAAAATGCATACACAGATTTGACTGTGCAGAGGGTTGGCACCTTTAACTCCCAAATTGTTCAAGGGTCAACTGTATATTCATGATGTTATCTTTTTAAAAAGAAGGGTGCCAATTTCTGAACGCTTTAGTGAACGTTTTTTTCTTTTCAGTGAACCTTTTAGTGGTTTTCACTAAAATAGTGCCATTGGATAAAAAGCCTGGAAAATAAAAAACGCTTGTAAACAAACCAACATTAACCACCAAAGCTTCCTTTCTCCTTAGAAATGTTGATGAGTTTCTCTTTATAGGCAAGGGTTTCTTATTCCACAGCTGGGAGAGCAATTCACTGCATGTTAATTAAGAGAAAATACCTTTCCTGCGTAAGCAAGAGCAGCAGGCGTAGCAGATTCTGGAACAGTGCTAACCAAATCTGCATCCACAGGTGCTTCAATCGCTAGCTGCTGGCCACAACGGTATCTTACTGTATAAACCATTTGGTCTGGTGTGTTTGGAAAAGGAGAGAGAGTATTTTTACTTAGCATGATATAACAGTGTTATTCTAAAAAACTAGTGCTAGAATTCTACAGATTGAGTATAAAAAGAAATGCAATATATACAAAAATATGAATGTGAAAATACACAAACTGGGGAACTCAACTGTGTGGTTTTAAAAAAAAAATCGACCTTCATATAGATCTAGAAAATCATAATCCTTACTCCTAACAAAAAACAAAATCCAAGAGTCAAAAGGAAGTGAAAAATAGTGATCTTATGACTTGTGGGCTCAGTCCTATATCCACAACATATAACTATATGCCTTCAAAGAGCCAGGTAAGCCTTTGAGGCAAGAATTGCCATGTTTCAAGGAGATAGCTAAAACATTTATATGAATGTTCAAAGAAAAGAAATCTACTTACCTTCGAACATACTGTCTGGTCTTGCAAAATAAACATATTCAAAGATACAAAAAGCCACTGGGTTTCCTTCAGACCTTGATATAATATCAAGAGTTTGGACATTGTGTCTGGATATTTCCACAATTTCTCCAGGCAAGACTTCACGGTAATATCTTGGGAAACAATGTTAAAGAAAGAAGACTTTTAATAAACTAGTCCTTAAGGCTGATGAAAATATTAATTATAAAGCACACAGAGTACCTTCCCTTAGAGAAACAATTGATTCATTCAATATAAAATCTAGAAGTGACTTTTTAAAGTGGTATGTCTCCTGCAATGATTTCTTTATAATCTCTCTGTAAACACTAAGTTCTAGTATAGAATTAAAAAATTAAGGGCCCTAAGTTGTATTGAATTTTAAAAGAATAAAGTATAAAGAAAACATTTTCTCCTGGCTTACATTTTTCTGTCATAACTATCTCTCATTGAGGAAGTTCTTCCTTTCTAAAATAAGTCTCTATTTTCATATTGTACTGTAAAAAGAGAAAAATATACAAAATAAAGAAAATAAGTTTCATAGTATCTTGAAAGAATGCCAGCTTCAGAATTAGAAGCTATTACTAGAACATTAAACTCAGTGCAACTGCTGAGCATAACATGCATAAGAAAAACCATTTATAAATATTTTCTTGCAGACATCAAAAAGAAAACTTTCAAACTTTCACATAAATAAGAAACTGTCTAAAAAAAATTCTTTTCAACATGGGAAAATAAAATATGTCAAACAAGGTAAAACTTACCTTGCACCAATAGATAAGAAGCTACAAGATTCTGAAGACACCACCCATCCTTCTGTTTCTGATGTTTTTTTCTCTGTAAATCACAAATCAATTCAATTAATGGATTCCAGAAATTTTAAGAGGCTATTTCAATGGAACAGCTAACACTAAATAAATAAGTAAATAAAACTCATAGAATAGCCATTTCTATGACTTTAAGAGCACATGGATCCTCATTTGACTTGAGCCAAAGATAAAATAAATGATCTTCTAAGATTCCTTCTAACATTATGATTTCATGGCTAGAAAAAGATATCTTGATAAAAGTGAAAAGAAACCACTAAAATCATACTGCAGAAATGAAAAAGCTAGGCAAAGGACATGAATAGCCAATTAAGACAGGAAAAAATAGGAATCTCTATTAAAAACATTAAAAGGGATTCATCCAGCCAGGCGTGGTGGCTCACGCCTGTAATCCCAGCACTTTGGGAGGCTAAGGTGGGCAGATCACCTGAGGTCAGGAGTTTGAGACCAGCCTGACCAACATGGAGAAACCCTGTCTCTACTAAAAATACAAAATTAGCTGGGTATGGTGGTGTGCGCCTGTAATCCCAGCTACTCGGGAGGCTGAGGTAGGAGAATCACTTGAACCTGGGAGGTGGAGGTTGCAGTGAGCTGAGATCGCACCACTGCACTCCAGCAGCCTGGGCAACAAGAGTGAAACTCGGTCTCCAAAAAAAAAAAAAAAAAAAAAAAAAAAAGGGGGGGGACTCATCCTCAGGAGTACTCAAAGAAACGTACTTTAAAAAGGAAGAATACATTTATTTTTATTTTTCTTACCTAGCTCCCTCCCACCCATCAACTTTCTATACCTAAAGATTTCAGGGCTTGATAGCAGTAGGACAATAATGGAAAAACACTATGAAATGATATTCCTTCTAAAGTTTATTACCTTTGTCATTTATATCAGACACTGGAATAAGACGACCAATGCATAAGGGACGATTTCCATAAGGATCTCGTACTGCATAAATAACATCTCTGTGCATTATAAGCAGGGAGTATGCTGTGGGTGCTTCCTTCATCAAGTTTTTAATCCTGGAATTAATTAAATAATTGAATGAATAACTTCAGTTATAAACATATGCAAGGCAAAACTCTCCTTACTAGAGCTCTAAGTTTAGTCCAGTTCTCTGCTTACCTGGCTACCCAGTCTGGGGTGTCATCTTGTTCCTGAGGAGGGGTATACGCCAGTAACTGGGTAATCATTTCACTATCAGAACTTGTAGACAGACCAATACCATGACGCAGAAGCTATATAGAAAAAAAGAGAAGTTTAATCATCAGAGGGGAAGCTCCACCCCACCCCAAACCCAGTAGCCAACCATAATGAAAATAAGGCATTCTGTGGATGTCCAGTTACAAAAATCCTGCATCCCACTAATGCAGCAGTCCCCAACCTTTTTGGCACCAGGGACCAGTTTGGTGGAAGACAATTTTTCCATGGACCAGGGACAGGGGATGATTTGGGGATGATTCAAGCGAATTACATTTATTGTGCACTTTATTTCTATTATTACTATACTGTAATATATAATGAAATAATTATACAACTCACCATAATCTAGAATCAGTGGGAGCCCTGAGCTTGTTTTCCTGCAACTAGACAGTCCCATCTGGGGGTGATGGGAGACAGTAACAGATCATCAGGCATTATACATTAGCTTCTCATAAGGAGAGCACAACCTGGATCCCTTGCATGCACAGCTCACAACAGGGTTCATGCTCCTAGGAGAATCTAATGCTGCTGCTGATCTGGACAGGAGACAGAGCTCAGGTGGTAATAGTGAGCGATGGGGAGCACCTATAAATACAGATGAAGTTTCACTTACCACTCACCTCCTGCTGTGTGGCCTGGTTCCTAACAAGCCACAGACTGGTACTAGTCCCTAGCACAGGGGTTGGGGACTCCTGCGCTAATAGTATGTATATACTAATAACGGATGACCATGGCTGGAGGCAATAGGAAATCTAGAAGATTTTCAAGCAGGAAAAATGTGCTTTATGAGATGTACAGAAAAGCTTTTGAATACTAAATCTGAAGGCAAGCAGACCTGAAAGTGGGTAGGGGTTCCCAAAAATTTGATTTGTGGGTCTGACATTTTCTACCCTCAACACTCTTGATGAACTGGGTATATTCCTATAAAAGTAGTACACTACAGTGATAACTTTCAAGCTGGGTTTGTTAGTGATCATAATGGTGGCTACCCATCCTCATTGATTATTACTGATAGAAGAAAGTAATCAACTGTATTGAACAATGAAATGTAGCAGATGTAATAAATATCGCTTGAGTGTACTCTATGATAATTACAAAGTTCTGAGCAGGACTGACCAAGACAAGGGCAGCCCCATGGACATGCACAGATTGAGTCTGAATGGGCACTACAGAACATTTTCAGTAGGGAGCTAAAGGTAAAGATAAAGTTTAGCATCTAGGTAAGTCATTATGTCAGGAAACAGTGAGTTAGTGGTTATCTCTAAGTGGTGAATTTTTAAGAAATTTTTACTCCATATTTATACTTTCATGATTGTCTGAATTTTTAAATGAACTATGTATTTTTTCATTTGGGGACAGAAAAGCACAATAAGGTCATTATAATGCCTATGAACAGGGCTGGACAAAGCTCTAGGAAATGTCTAAAGACAGAACTAAAAAATGGAATGACAGTGAGTGGTACAAAAGCCTGGGTTCTAGATATTTTTGACCCAGCAGTTCATTATTATTAAGCTTCTGTAACTGTTCATCATATGTGAATTGCCCAGCTCTAGAATGCTTATAGGATGGGGTGTGCATGTAACCATCTATTACTAAATATCACCAGGTTCTGAAGTTACCAAGTCAAGGTTATTGGGAGCTAATAAACTGAAGAAACTCAACATTAATTAATGAATGCCTGAATGGATAAAAGGAAGCTACTAGGAATGAATATAAAGACAGGCAGTTAAAAAAAAAAAAAAAGAAAGATGAAATGATGAATGAAAGCATAGGCACAAATTTGACATCATTAGCACAGAAAGCTCCAAACAACATGCTGTGAACCAAGAGTTTAAGTAAACAGTCTCCGTCCCTTTTCCCATATTCTAGTTTCCTGTCATTGTTTCCAATTCATTTTTTCATGTCATCTTCAAGTTTATACTCCATTTTATTTTTATGCTTTTGTGATATGTAAGAAGATTTATATATGTTATTTTTATCCTGGTCTTTCCTGGTACACAGCTCCTAAAACCCTTAGAATTGCCAAAATGATAGGTGTCCTTTTGTATGCTGTTGAGATGACTGGTAGCTAGGGGCTCCTGCACAGCATCAGTATGAGGGCTAGTTGCCAGGGGAATCAACCAGAGGGTTGGAGCTTCCAGCTTCATCCCTGGACCCCCAGGGAAGGGGACAAAGGCTAAAGGTTGAGCTGATCACCAGTGGCTGATGATTTAATCATTCGTGCCTACTTCATGAAGCCTCCATAAAAATCCACAATGACTAGGTTCAGAGAGCTTCTGGATAGCTGAACACTTGGAGATGCCTGGAGGGTGGTGCCCCTGGAAAGGGCATGGAAGCTCCACACTCGTTCCCACATACCCTGCCTTTTCCATCTTTTCACCAGACTGTTCTTCTGTAGCCTTTGTAATATCCTTTATAATAAACTGGTAAATGTATACAAAGCACTTTCTTGAGTTTTGTGATGTTTGAAACCAAAGGTAGTGCTAGGGCTGTTGCAGGAACTCCCAATTTATAACTGGTTGTCAGATGTACCAAAGGCCTGGACTTGCAACTGGCATCTGAAGTGCGGGACAATCTTGTGGGACTGAGCCCTTAACTTCTGGGACTGAGCCCTTAACTTCTGGAACCTGACTTTACCTCCAGGTACTATCAGAATACAATTGAATTATAGGATACCCATTTGGTGTCCTCTGGAAAACTGCTGGTATAAGAAACCCCCCTATTTGGTGACAGAAGTGTGCTGAGTCTGAGAATAGGAAAAATGGCTTGATTTTTCTTATCTCATACAAGCTTTGAACATAGCAACAGAGTTAAAGAGATAGCAAGTCCATAAACTCTAATTTCTCTATGCTTCCATCCATAAATCAACTCTCCCAAATCTCTAAAGCAGTGCATTCAAAAAGTGAGTCTAAAATGCATATTCTCACCCTTGTCTCGAACTCTAGGGGATAGCTTACAATCTGGAATTGTAACAAGTACTCCAGATCATTCTGATGCAATTGTTTGTTGCAGTTAGGTAACAGGTAGCAACAATTAGAAAATGCCCTTTACAAAGATCCTTAACTTTTATTCATTAACCCATCCTAATCATTTAAAAAGGCCTAGGGAAAACAAACAAACAAACGTACCTTTTTCCTTAATCGAGCAGCATTTACCAATTCGCCATTATGTGCCACAGCTATCTTCCCATGAAGTGTTTCAACAACGAAGGGCTGACAATTTTCTAGTTCACATTTTCCTGTGGTGGCATACCTGGTGTGTCCAATTCCAAGATTTGAAACATATAATTTTTTCAAATTGTCTTCAGTAAAGACGTGATTTACAAGACCCATTCCCTTGAGAAATCAAAAAGTGCAACTTAGAAAAAAACAGACTAGTACTGCTAGTAATAAACGCCTCTCTTCTCTGCCCAGCCAATCCAAATAAGACAAAGAAGTACATTTAATATCTCTGTGTTTCAGAATTCTAATCTAAAAAAAAGTCAAAAACAAATAACCTAATTGTAAGAACTGTGAAGCACTTACTTAAAAAAATTTACTGAGGCAAAAGTCACATACCATAAAATTAACCATTCTAAAAAGAACAATTTAGTGGCATTTAATACCTTCACAATGTTGAAGCACTTGTGTTTCATAAGATACTATTCACTAAAACATTTAAGAACAGATGTAGTAAGCAATAAAATTTGTCAAGTATAAAAACTAAAATTTGCATTAAAAAAATCAAAGCATCTTAAAGCATTTAAATAAATGACCCCCTATTTGAGTTGGTCTTAGGCAAAAAAGTATAACTGGGGAAGAAATACATCCTAATTTGACAAATGTTAGGATATAAAGTTGAAAGTGGCTGATCCAAAGAATATTACTTTTGATTGCAAATTATTTATTCAAATCCCCCTCCCCATATTAATGATCATCTGTCTTTGTTATCTTTGTCATCCCATTTCTTTTTTCTTTCTTTTTTTTTTTTGAGATGGAGTTTCACTCTTGTTGCCCAGGCTGGAGTACAATGGCGCAATATCAGCTCACCACAACCTCCGCCTCCCAGGTTCAAACGATTCTCTTACCTCAGCCTCCCAAGTAGCTGGGATTACAGGCATGCGCCACCACGCCTGGCTAATTTTGTATTTTTAGTAGAGACAGGGTTTCTCCATGTTGGTCAGGCTGGTCTTGAACTCCCGACCTCAGGTGATCCTCCTGCCTTGGCCTGCCAAAGTCCTGGGATTACAGGCATGAACCACCGCACTTGGTCTGTCATCAACATTTCTTAAAGTTCAAATTTACCTTGTGTGATTTGAATGTTGGCACCGAACTCCCATCACTAGTCACAATACCAGCACTCTCCTGACCCCTGTGAATATAAAAAGATATTAGCTGTTAAATCTGCCAATTGATTAGCTTCTTGAAGAACTTTATCAAGCATACTTTCTCAACAAGCATCCATGAACTTAGTGTGACAACACATTAAATGCTACTTGTACTAGCACTACTTCTATTGATGATGCTGATGCTGATGATTAGCAATCACAGCAGATGACAATGTAACAATTAGATATCTCATCTAATATTAACTAACATGCCAGGCAGTCTGTCCTAGCATTTTACGTTGTAAAAATAAATAATTTAAAAGCTATTGGAACCCCAAATATACTTTAGGCCTTGAGAGAGATATGACTGTGATCCAAGTCACATATGGTTACAACTTCTGTTTCTCAGATTATAGATTAACTCACTTTCTTATTTTTCTTGTTCTATACAATGACTAGAGAGAATTAAAAGACATCAGAGACAGCCGGGTACGGTGGCTCACGCCTGTAATCCCAGCACTTTGGGAGGCTGACGTGGGCGGATTACAAGGTCAAGGCTGGAGACCATCCTGGCCAACATGGTGAAACCCTGTCTCTACTAAAAATACAAAAATTAGCTGGCCATAGTAGCACACGCTTGTAGTCCCAGCTACTCAGGAGGCTGAGGCAGGAGAATTGCTTGAACCCGGGAGGCGGAGTTGCAGTGAACCAAGATCGCACCACTGCACTCCAGCCTGGGCGACAGAGCGGAGACTCCGTCTCAAAAAAAAAAAAAAAAAAAGACATCAGAAACAATAACCTCCTGCCTTCTCAAGTGATGAGCTTTGTTAAAGATTAACTCCTAGGTGGAGGCGGGTGGACCACGAGGTCAGGAGATCGAGACCATCCTGGCTAACACGGTGAATCCCCGTCTCTACTAAAAATACAAAAAATGAGCCGGGCGTGGTGGCGGGCGCCTGTCGTCCCAGCTACTCCGGAGGCTGAGGCAGGAGAACGGCGTGAACCCAGGAGGCGGAGCTTGCAGTGAGCTGAGATCGCGCCACTGCACTCCGGCCTGGGCGACAGAGCGAGATTCCGTTTCAAAAAAAAAAAAAAAAAAAGTTAGCTTTTGTTTTGTTGTCCTGCTTTGCTAGACCAAATGAAAGAAAACCCATTAACATCCTCTGTAAAAAAATGTTAAATGTACCCTTCCCCAGAAGAACCACCACCTATAACAATCAAACTGCTGTAACTGGGCGCGCTAACCTTGTATAAAAAATGTTGTGATTCTGCTAAAAACTCCTCTGTCTGCCTATAGAAATGAAACCTTAACTTTCCTACTTTGCAATGCTGACTCCATTCCTTGGAGTTGGTGTTTCTGGGTGAGACATCCTCAAACTTGGTGCTTGAATAAACTCTCTCTAAATTAGATTCTGATCCTTTTAATTATTTAGGTCGATAGCATGCGTGATATAATTTGGTTTTCACAACAATCCTATGAAGTAGGTACTATGATTACCATGCCCATTTTACAGATAAACACACTAAAGCAATAGAAAGGAAGTTACTTTCCCATTGTCACACAGACAGCAGGTGGTAGCCAGGATTCCAATGCAGACAATCCAACTGCAGAATTTATGCTTCTAACCTCTACTCTTTATAACCCCTAAATAGGGTTTCAACAGGATGAGTATGTAGATGTAAATTAAAATCTCCAAATATAATAGAGGCAAAATGCATAGTTGGTAACCATTTTTTATGCCTTTCTGCATTTTCCAAATGTTCTCCAATAAATAGCACTTTTGCTATTAGAAAAAAAAATTTTGTTTCTGAAAACCCTCTGCTGACCAGGCACCCTTTCCCATGTCTGTGTCTCATTTCCTGCATTAGTGTTGATTAAGTGGTGATACAGAGAAAAAAGCCAAAATCTAGACTGAAGGTAGGGCAAGACATAGTAAAGACTAAGAGCATCCATACCACTGTGCAGTATAAACTCTCATAAAGGTTCCAACTGCTTTGCCATTTTTAATAGTTCTGAACAAGTGCTATAAATAGTAGATGTTTATTGACCAATTTTTGTTCCAAAGAATATATATCAGGATAGAAACAAAAAGTAAACCTCTTCCATATGTGCCTGTAGACTTTAGTAGCTGTTAATACATTGATTTATTTGGTAAAAAGGAACCTTTTTCAAAATTATATATTGCAATTGTTGCAGTGTTTTATTAACGAGAAAAATGACAACATTAAATATGTTGCCAAGTAAAACTCTAAAAAAACTTGGCATGATCACAGCTCACAGCAGCCTCAAGAAATGATTTTATTAAATGCATTAAATACTGAAAATAGATATGCATAATACTATATACCATATGGGACTAAATAAATTGACTTATGATTTCTTTTATTTAGTGAAATGCTGTGGGGTCTGTAAGTTAACCAATGTTAGAGGACTAGGTGATTCATGTCAGAGGAAATATATTATTAACATTGGCTATAGACCTCTTGGAAAAAGCCTCTGCCAACCATTTTCAAAACAATTTTTAAAAATCAACAATCATTTGGTAAAACAGTAAATTATGTAAGAAAAGAAATACACAAAAAACGGTTTTCTTTCCCTTTTGTCTCAAGGGAAGTTTTTCCTTCAGGCTGAAATGATATAGTTAAGAATCATTTAGATCCAGGCTTCTTTAATCACAAAGCCTGCTTATTTGGCAGTTTCTCAAGTTACTCCCTCAGGCAGCTTGAACCAGTTAAACTACATCCTTTCAGCTCTTCGGAGCTTATTGACAACCAGCCATGTGGTTTCCTAGGAAACAAAACCTTGGCTGGAAATAGTGAATCATTTCCAGGTCACTTTCAACATGGAGAGTGGAGCAGGAAAGCACTGGACTGAGGAGGAGGTTAAAGCTTTGCTAAGTGTCTGGGCAGAAAAAAATATACGAAAACAACTTTATGGAACACTAAGAAATAAAGGAATATTTATTTACATTGCTAAAAGGCTGCAATCATTAGGAGTATACAGAGACTGGAAACAGTGCTGGGCTAAGTACAAAAATCTCAAATATGAATATAGAACAGTTAAATATGCCCATAACTCTGGAGACAGCTCTAAAACTATGAAGTTCTTCCATGATTTGGATGTAATCCTGCAGTATGAACCTGCCACACAATTTACAGAGGAAGATGCAAATGGCAGGTACCTGGAAACGCTCAGCCCAAGTACAGCCCCAGAGACCACTGAAGGTAAAAAAAAAAAAAAAAAAAAAAAAAAAAAGAAAAGTACTCTTGTTTTTCTTTTGTTTTACAGTTTTATGAACTGTAAAAGTTCAGGACTTCTGTGGCCATATGATAAATATAGACTGAAATATCAAGACTGTGGAAAAATAACCAATTTATTATGCTATTTTGCACAAGGTTAAGAATTTTTTTAAAAAGAGGTTAAATATTACCACTTTAAAAAAATCTGTAAAATACAGAAAAAGCACATTACAATGGCACTGACTGCTAGTGCCAACTGCATGTGATATGTTTTTGAAATATGGATTGAGTTCTAAAAATAGTTTAAGTTTTAATTTTATAAGAGTGGTAAATAAGGGGAAAAATATCAAAAACATTGCTCAACTGATGTTTTTCCACAGCTCCAAACAAGAACTTTCTCCTTTATTTAATTTGCGTTTTCCTAAATTTATAAATAAAAGCACATTTAAAATAACTGTTCTACACTATTTCATTACTTGTTTACAAGAACAGCTCCATTTTAACAATGAAGAAGAACAGCTCCATTTTAACAATGAAGTATAATGAAGATTTAGTACATGAAATGATCTGAGACTAAGTGATTTACAGGGGTTTCTTGACGTGCTGTGTTGTTAAACCCAACACTATTTACATAGAATCTACTCATTGTCTGTGGAAGCATTAGTAGGCAAAGGGAGGGAAATCAATGACAGTAATGAGATGTCTACCATAGTCTAAATCTTATAGATGCTATTTCAAGAGCAGAATTATTCAAAAATCTGTAATACCCACTATCTGTGTGTACCATGGGCAAAGCACTAAGTTATATGCGTTTAGTAATGCGAAACCTCAAAAAGGACAGAACTGCAAATAAATTTAACACCTGAGAGAAAACAGTAAATAGTATAATAAAAGTACCAAATGTGAATGGGGTTAAGAGGACAAAGATTACAACTGGTTAACTTAAGTTAGCTATTTTTCATGTTTACAGCTCAGTAACAAATCATTTCATTAAAAGAAGAATCCACCCTGCCTACATTCTTTCCATTTCTGAGATGACACCAAATTCTGAGAAAGCTTTGCAGTTATTACCATATTAAACAGCAATCGCATTATTTTATTCAATTAAACACCTTCGACTCTTCATTATTTAAGTGCTTTAAATATTGATTAATAAATAAGTAAATCACTTAGCTTCTGAAAGTCCCCGATTTTAACCAGGAGTTGGTCTGATGAAGATGTGGGTGCCAATATCTCAACTTCTTAAAGGGATCTTCAGCGCTTTCAGGTACTCCCTTGGCTCCAAACTCCTTCGTTTTCACTCATAAACAGAGGGACTATCCTTACAACATAACTATGCACGTTTAGTTACCTCAAACTCCCAATTCCAAAATCAAACTCTCTATTCTCCCATCACCTTTTTTTTTTTTTTTAGAGAGAGGGTTTCACTCCTGTCACCCAAGCTGAAGTGCAGTGGTGTGATCTTGGCTCATTGCTGCCTCAACTTCCAGGACTCAAATGATCCTCCCAACTCAGCCTCCTGAATAGCTGGGACTATGGGGTGTGAGCCACCATGCCTGGCTAATTTTTTGTGGGATGGGTTTCCCACCATGTTGCCCTGGCTGGTCTTGAACTCCTGGGTTCAAGAGATTCTCCTGCTTCGGCTTCCCGAAGTGAGGCACGATCCACCACATCTAGCCTGAATTTGATCCTCCTACAAATTGCTTCCACCTTAGCATCACTATATTTCCAATCACTTATACAGAAACATTTGAGATATCCTTGATTTTTGGTCAGTCACTAAGTCTTTAAAAAATCTGCTGACATACTGCATAAAATTTTCTCTCTGCTCTATTCTCATTATGACTAACCAGAACTTCATCATGTCTCATATGGAATATTAATGTAACCTCTTTACCGGGCTCCCTAGTTTTCACCCTCTTCCCATATACTTTCCACAATACCACTAGTTGTTCTTTACATTTTTAAATTATAAAATTATAAGCACATTAACATTTTGGTTGCATTAAAAATAATCTTTAAATTATACCCAAGATTAATCATGGTCTAAAATTAAATATTACAATTAATGGTTCCATAATATTTAACTGAGTGTGGGTCTTCCACCCCCATGCAAATGATACTGCAATTAATACCTTTTGTCCATTTTTAGTATTATTACTTTAAGACACAAAGTACTGATTCAGGAGGATATAATTACTTTGGTTTTTTGTTGTTGTTGTTTTTGTCTTGTTTTTGGTTTTTGGTTTTGTTTTGTTTTGTTTTAAGACAGAGTCTCACTCTGTCACCCAGGCTGGAGTGCAGTGGTGCAATCTCAGCTCACAACCTCTGCTTCCCAGGTTCAAGCGATTCTCCTGCCTCAGCCTCCTGAGCTGGGATTAGAGGCGCAACGCCACCATGCCCAGCTAGTTTTTGTATTTTTAGGAGAGACAGGGTTTCATCATGTTGACCAGGCTGGTCTCGAAGTCCTGTCCTCAAGTGATCTGCCCACCTTGGCCTCCCAAAGTGCTGGCATTACAGGCCTGAGGCACCATGTCTGGCCATTACTTTGAAACATTATTTCTAAAACAACTGCTTTCCAAAATAACTGTACTTCACTAGCCATGATAGCGTCCCTTCTGTAGAATCACTGTCATGCAAAATTATGGAGTATTGATGGGAAGAAGGGACTTTCCAAATTTGATAAGTAAATAATGATTTAGGCCAGGCATGGTGGCTCATGCCTGTAATCCCAGCACTTTGGGAGGTTGAGGCAGGTGGATCACCTGAGGTCAGGAGTTCAAGACCAGCCTGACCAACATGGTGAAACCCCGTCTCTACTAAAAATACAAAAAATTTGCTGGGCTTGGTGGTGGGCACCTGTAATCCCAGCTACTTGGGAGGCTGAGACAGGAGAATCGCTTGAACCCAGGAAGCAAAAGTTGCAGTGAGCCAAGATCACACCACTGCACTCCAGCCTGGGCGACAAGAGTAAAACTCTATCTCAAAATAAATAAATTAAATAAATAATTAACGACTTAGGCTAATTTAAGAAACAATGGCCTATAATGATATACAAATTGGTAACTTTTAATTTGCATTTGTTTAATTACCAGTAAGGTAGAACACTTTTCTATACAATTTTACAAACTGACCATTCATGTCAATTGGGGTCTTAGAAATTTGCATGATTTTCTTGCCTTATGATTTATTTGATCTGCAGAATCCAAAAATTTTTAAGGTAATCAAAGTTTTCTCCCTAGGGCTTAGGAAGCCCTCCTTGCACCAGGTTTGATTCATTATGTAATGTTTTCTGGTTTTTCCTATGGCGGAACCAGCAGAATTTTTATTGGTGTGTGATACACGGAAGAAGGGAAGAAAACGAAAGTGCCTTTTCCACTGTTGGGATCAACCTCATGCAAGTGGTAAGGATAGGCCACTTGTTAGGCAGCAAGTAGCCAGGACCAGAGCCATGGCAAAAGACCCAAATACACTTTTGACCAACTCTAAGAGGCTTCATCTTCTGCTAAATCTCATCATCCTCAGCCTCAGAATTCCTTTGGCCTATGGCTGCCAAACCACATTCCTTCAGTGGTCAATTTCCCCTCTATTTCACTCCTCTTATTTTATACAAATGTATCGCAAGTAATGATTTAAGACTTTCACTTTAAAATCTCCAGAGCCTCTGCCTACAGTTTTAGGATTCATGCTGTGGAATGAGCAACTTAAGAAAAAATTATCTGAAGAGGTTGGAGAGAGAGCTTTTCTGTTTCACTACCATCTGTATGTTTGGTCCAGACTCTTTTCTATGGACGTAAATCTGGACTCTAAACCAGGTAATAGAATAGAAACCCTGCCTTTATTTACTGCTCTCATACTCAAGCTCAGGTGTTAAATAACCTGGGCCCTGTTTCTCTAAAGGTAATTCTTACATAACTCCAGATTTTTATTTTCCCTGTTTTCAACCAAATCTAAAACATTCCTCGACAACATTTTAGCCTAAAGCAATTATAAAACCTGATTTAAAATTTTTGACAATTTTTACCTTGAGAGTTTATAAAAATACAACTGTGCCATCTGAAAGCAGTGATGTGCTTTTGTACTTATGTTTATTTTTCATTTGTTTTCCTATTTTAACATAGAAACCCTAATAGAGTTTTTAAGATGATAAAGAGCATATCTTTTCTTTTTCTTCAATGGGAATGCCTGTAAACATAATGGTGAATCATGATTTAAAATGAATATTTATGCCATTAAAATCACACCTAAAAGTTGATATATTAATGTAAAATACAATGCTACTTTTGTTACTCAATAAAATAGAAGTGGAAAAACATTTGGCAATGAAATGATTAATGAGATGAGTAAATTTTTAATTGAGACATTACAAAGAGCAATCAAAAGATACTTATCCGCCTCCCAATTAGTCTGCAATTTCATGTAATTATAATTCATCTTCATGTGTCAATTGAGTTAAAAATCATGTAAACTGCATTCCTTTCTAAGATGTACTTCATCCTCCTCATTTGATCACTTTAAAAAGTAGCCTATGCCTCATTTTATGAAAGCCTATATAAAAGCATCCAAACCATAAAACAAGGAAATCAAAGGAGGAATTCAATTTTTATGGTTGGCATGTTTCTTTTAAATGACATATTCCTTAGTCCATTTAAACATAATTTAACTTCTGGAAACTTTAATATGTATCAATCAATAAATTATATAAGATACTTAAAAACTCTAAGCTATTTGATCATACATGCCAAAAAAACAGCATTTTCTAATTATCTATCTCATTGCAGGACCTACTCTTTTACATTACTGGTATTATTTAGCAAATGCCTACTCTGTTAGAGCACCCAAGATACAATTATAAATAAAACACCACATTTAAAAATTGTAAGGCTGGGCACAGTGGCTCACACCTGTAATCCCAGCACTTTGGGAGGCCGAGGATCACCTGAGGTTAGGAGCTCGAGACCAGCCTGGCCAACATGGTGAAACCTCGTGTCTACTAAAAATCCAAAAATTAGCCGGGCGTGGTGGCAGATGCCTGTAATCCCAGCTACTCATAAGGCTGAGGCAGGAGAATTGCTTGAACCCGGGAGGCGGAGGTTGCAGTGAGCCGAGATCACACCACTGCACTCCAGCCTGGGCGACAGAGTAAGACTCTGTCTCAAAAAAAAAAAAAAAGTAATTTAACTTGAAAACTAACTACAACCATTTCTAAAAACTTAAAAAATTATCAAACAATTCTAGCAGAACTTCAAAATGGACCATGTCAATGGGATGGAAAAAATTAGATTTCTCTTTAAATATACAAATATTTAAACTATATTATACAACTTTATTACAAAATGTCTATCACAAATCTGTTTTCAAGAATATGACCACATTTAGCTAAAGCTATTAGAATTATCAGTCATGTTGTTTCTAAAAGGAATTCTGTTATATTTACAGGTAAAATGTCAATTGCATCAGTAGATAAGGAAGATGTCTCAGGAAATCCTTTACTTCTGGTTTCTCATGTCAGACCAATGGAACTAGGTATAGTATAATGGATGGGACAGAATGAAACTGATCTAATTTCAAACGGAAAGACTGGTTCCTAATCTGAGAAAATTGACAATTTTTCCTGGAAGAAACACTCAGAATTGATTTATGTTTCCCTTTTTGCCAACCCACACTGAAAAAAATTATTTCTAAAGCAAATGATTTCCTTACGAAATTTAAGTTTCCTAGAAATATTGGTTCTCTAATTTCCGAACTTTACTCTTTAAATATTATAAGAAATCTGATGGCTAAACTTACTCATAGTAATGAACATGATCACTTTAGTGTTGAGGCAAGGAATTAAGACAAACAGAATTTTACATCTGAAAGTAAACATCAGAGCCACAACCAGGTCAAGGATAATTTGAATCACCCAATGAATTAAATTCAGTGTAAATCCTTCTTTGCTTCTATTTTTCTTTTCTTTTCTAGTCTCACTCTGTTGCCCAGGCTGGAGTGCAGTGTCATGATCCCAGCTCACTGTAACCTCTGCCTCCGGGGTTCAAGCAATTCTCCTGCCTCAGCCTCCTGACTAGCTGGGATTACAGGAGCGCACCATCACGCCCAGCTAATTTTGTATATTTAGTAGAGACAGGGTTTCACCATGTTAGCCAGGCTGATCTAGAACTCTCGACCTCTGGTGATCCACCCGCCTCGGCCTCCCAAATTGCTGGGATTACAGGCGTGAGCCACTGCACCCGGCCGCTTCTAATTTCTTATTGAAGCTAGAAGCAAAAACCTTACTTCTAACTTACATAATAGAAAAACTTATTTGTAACCCAAATAAGAAAAAAAATTCTGAAAAAGCATTACAAAGCAAAGACATTAAATATTTGTAACCTAAATAAGAAAAAAAATTCTGAAAAGCATTTCAAAGCAAAGACATTAAATACACCATAAAATATCTCAAACAAATGCTATAAAGTTTTTTTAATGACTTAAAACTCATGAACCTGACAAAAGTTATTAATTGTAATATCATTTGTATGATAGGGGCCAAAACCTAAACTCAATTATTACTGAACCATTAATTGTAATATTTAATTTTAAATTATGGCCAGGCACAGTGACTCACACCTGTAACCCCAGTATTTTGGGAGGCCAAGGTGCGGGATCACTTGAGACCAGGAGTTCGAGACTAGCCTGGGCAACACAGTGAGACCCCATGCCTAAAAAAATTATTAAAAATAGTCCAGGTGCAGTCAGTGGCTCATGCCTGTAGTCCCAGCTACTTGTGAGGCTGAGGCAGGAAGGCTCACTTGAGCCCAGGGGTTCAAGGCTGCAGTGAGCCATGACTGTGCTACACACTCCAGCCTGTGCAACAGAGTCTACGAAAAGAAAAAGAAACAAAATAAATTATGATTAATCTTCGGTATAATTTGAAGATTTGGTTTTTTGTTTTTTTTTTTTTTTTTGAGACAGAGTATTGCTCTGTTGCCAGGCTAGAGTGCAGTGGTGCAATCTCGGCTCACTGCAATCCTGCCTCCCAGGTTCAAGCGATTCTCCTGCCTCAGCCTCCTGAGTAGCTGGGATTACAGGTGTGCACCACACACCCAACTAATTTTTGTATTTTCAGTAAATACAGGGTTTCACCATGTTGGCCAGGATGGTCTTGATCTCCTGACCTCGTGATCCTCCTACCTTGGCCACCCAAAGTGCTGGGATTACAGGCGTGAGCCACCGCACCTGGCTGAAGATTATTTTTAATGCAAACAAAATGTTAATGTCATGCATGGTAGCGTGTGCCTGTGGTCCCAGCTACTCTGGAGGTTCACTTGAACCTGGGAGGTTCAGGCTGCAATGAGCAGTGGTCTCTCCACTACACTCTAGCTTGGTGAAAGAAAATTACTTTCTTTTTTAAAAAACTTATTTTATTTTATTTTATCTTATTTTGAGACAGGGTCTCACTCTTTTGCCCAAGCTGGAGTGCAGTGGTGTATTCTCAGCCCATTGCAACCTCCACCTCCCCGACTCAAGCAATCCTCCCACCTCAGCCTCCCAAATACCTGAGACCACAGGCACATGCCACCAAGCCTGGCTAATTTTTGCATTTTTTTGTAGATACAGGTTTTGCCCTGTTGGGAGGCTGGTCTCCAACTCCTGAGCTCAGGCAATCCACCTGCCTTGGCACCCCAAAGTACTGGGATTACAGGCCTGAGCCACCATGCCCAGCCAAAAATTCCTTTCTTTAATAATATTACATCCAATTTGAAACCCTGTCTCAAAAAAAACACAAAGACCAAAGTTAATGTGCTTGTAAGTTTATAATTCAGAAAATGAACCTACTTCTTTTATGAAAATGAAATCTGAGAAAAACACAAGATTGGTTGTCAAAATAACCAATATAAAGTCAAGTACTGTCAGTAATGTAAATGAAGTATAAAACTGTTCTAGAGACCTAATACACACCATGGCATATTAAAGGATTTATAACTAAGTGGAGACATACTGCCTAGGAACAAGGCATTATGAAATTTCTGACACATTTCCCTACCATTAAAAGAAAATACTTCATTTAAAATGGCTTTAGTCTTTCTGTAATTTTCGCAAGGCGTAAGCACTGATTGTTCTGTGTGACTCTTCCAAGCCCTCAGCTCATGAGTAGCCTCAGTTCTCAACCCTGACTACACATTAGATTCACAGTCTGGGGATGAGGGATGAGGCAGGTACCAGAGTGGTGGTTTTTAAATGCTTCCCAGTAGACTGATATATAGCCAAAGGAAATCGTAAGATAAAGAAAAAAGAAAGGAGTTAAATTGTTTGTACCTATCCTATTTCAAAACAAATTATCTACAATGAGCCATTTTCTTAAGTAATTACTGTTTTCTATAGTAAATGCTACACATTTATATATTGAACTTCCACTATACACTGACATACACCCTACATACTAAAGGAGTGGTATGGAAGAGAAAAAAAAGGTATACAGGAAAGATGATCAAAATATGACTAAAAAAACACAACTTTATTAAAGCCAGTAACCGGCATAATAATGGACAGATTTAGGTTCTGTATTTTGTTTCCCCACTGTTTAAGAGAAAAGCTAAGCTATGATTTGTTACTCCATCTCCTATGGAGGAAACTGCTTTCTTTAATAATGTTGCATCCAATTATTTACCTTGTCTGATGTATATAATGCATATATCTTTTACCTCTCTACCTAATGCAGGTATCTCTACGTCAGTATTGGAACCCTCTAATAATACAACTTTTATCCCAACTGTAGCAAATGAAGGAGGAAAGCACTGGACTGTGCCAGAAGTCAGGGCTCTAATAGACATCTGGTCTGATAAAAGCATACAACGACAACTAGAGGGAACAGTGAGAAATAAGAGGATATTTCAACAAATTGCAGCCAAGCTTCAGAAATTTGGAATAGACAGAGACTGGAAACAGTGCAGAACAAAATACAAAAACCTAAAACACGAATACAAGATCGTAAGAACAGCTCAAGATCTAGGCATGACTAAGAGTATGAAATTTTTTACTGAGTTGGATGCTATTCTGGGACCCAATAAAACAGAAAAATCACGAGACCAGGAATCCCAAGATGGAGAACATGTCACAGAATGTGCCAACGTAAAAATGGGAGAGGACCAGACAGGTAGGAAGGTGAAGAAAAATAATCTTAACATCATGTTACATCACACAGGTTCAAGGATCCCTTTTCCAAAATGCCTGGGATCAGAAGTGTTTCAGATTTAGATACTTTTTCAGATTTTAGAGTATTTGCATATACATAGTGAGGTATCTTAGAAAGGGGAGCCAAGTCCAAACATGAAATTCATATGTGTTTCATATATATAGCTTAAAGCTAATTTTATGCAATATTCTTAATAATTTTGTGCATGAAACAAAGTTTTGACTATACCCATCACATGAGGTCAAGTGTATAATTTTCCACATGTAGCATCATGTTGGTGCTCAAAAAGTTTCAAATTTTGTAGCATTTCAGATTTCATATTAGGGATGCTCAACCTGTATTGAGAATGTTCAGTACCATAAGAGGAATATTATATATGTAAGTTAAATAGGTTTCATTACATGCTATTTGACAAGCTAGCTGAATTTATTATGAAACAGATTTAGTATACATTTGATCTTCCCCAGAATAGAAACAGTACAGTTATACAAAAAGGAGGAAATAAAACTGGATTCCCAGAATAAAGTTTAAAATAGATCAATTTTAATAAAGCAAATATGCAACCCCAGATGGCAGAAGTTAAAGTAAATTTTCATACTAATTGTGGTAAAATTGAGTAAAATAGAAAAAGGGCATTGAAGAACTTAGAAAAATATAAAATACATGAGACTTTCTTAGAAGTAGTACATTTCTCTGAGACCCATCATAAATGTCTTTAAAGTATATTTAAACCAAAGGATTGAGATACAGTACATACACACTAAGACATGATAGCATGAAATAAACTGAATGAGTTCTAGACCAGGATTCAGGAAATCAAAGTTGTAAGGCTCTGTGGAAGCTTGAAGTAACCAAGTGTCTTCTCTAGACCAGGGGTCCCCAACACCTGGACCCTTACTGGTCCGTGGCCTGTTACGAACTGGGTTGCACAGCAGGAGGTGAGTGGTGGGCGAGCCAAGCTTCATCTGTATTTACAGACACTCCCCATCATGCACATTATGACCTGAGCTCCGCGACTCCTGTCAGATCAACGGCAACATTAGATTCTCACATTAGATTAGAACACTGGAGCACGAAGACTGTTGTGAACTGTGCAGGCAAGGGATCTAGGTTGTGTGCTCCTTATGAGAATCTAATGCCTGATGATCTGTCATTGTCTCCCATCACTCCCAGATGGGACCATGTAGTTGCAGGAAAACAAGCTCCGGGCTCCCACTGATTCTAGATTATGGTGAGTTGTTTAATTATTTCATTATATATTACAACGTAATAATAACAGAAATAAAGTGCACAATAAATGTAATGCACTTGAATCCTCCCAAAACCATGGCCCCCTCACCCCCTGGTCCATGGAAAAATTGTCTTCCGTGAAACCAGTCCCTGGTGCCAAAAGGTTGGAGACCGCTGCTGTAGACCTAACTCCAAAATTGGGGGGTGTGGACAAGATGGTCTTAAAGACCTCTACTAACCACAGTGTCTCCGGATTTTATTATCTGGCTTAAATGATGAGTCCCAATTGTAAGACAGTCTGCGTCTAGGGAAGAGAGGGGAACCACAGACAGTTAAGACTGGAAATGTTGGTGAGAAATCTCAAAATATTTCGCTGGTGGACAAGAAAGAAACTGGTATGCTAGAGAACTATACATCTCCCCCAGTTAGATGACTACAGATAAAGCAGCCCAACAGCAGTGGCATGATATCTTCATACAGTCATTGCTGGAGATGCAGCTAAAGATGATTCCATTAGTTATGTCAGAAGACTTAGTTAGAGACTCAGATACATACCCAATATCTATAGTGACAAAAAGATGCTTAAGGGTAGGGAATCTAACTAATCATATTTAATATTAGGGTCCCTTTAAAAAGGAAAATACTGCATTAGAGTTTAAAACACAATTCTGGGCCAGGCGTTGTGGCTCATGCCTCTAATCCCAGCACTTTGGGAAGCCAAGGTGGGTGGATCACTTGAGGCAGGAGTTTGAGACCAGCCTGGCCAACATGGTGAAACCCCATCTCTACTAAAAAATACACAAAAAATTAGCTAGGTGTGGTGGCACATGCCTGTAATCCCAGCTACTCGGGAGGCTGAGGAATGAGAATCCTTGGAACCTGGGAGGCAGAGGTTGCAGTAAGCCAAAATCGTACCACTGAACCACAGCCTGAGCAACAGAGTGAGACTCTGCCTCAAAAACAAATAAATAATCTAAATAAATAAAACACGATCCTGAAGTAAATTTAAAAAGCCAATATATATCCCCTTATGTTCATACAGTCATTGCTGGAGATGTAGCTGAAGATGATTCAGTCAGTAATAAGTCAGAAGACATAGGAGATACAGATAAAAAACAAGGTCTTGACACACATAAAATAATATTCTGGTTTTTTTTTTTTGTACGTGTGTGTGTGTGTGTGTGTGTGTGTGTGTGTGTGACAAAGTATATACATAAAATGCTATTATAAGACACTGCTATGGCCTGAACTGTGTTCCTCCCACCAATATTCATATATTGAAGCCTTAACCCCCAATGTGATGTATTTGGAGACAGGGCCTTTGAATGATAACTAGCTTTAGATGAGGTCATGAGAGTGGTGCCCTCATAATGGGTTTTAGATTTTATATCTATATATTAATAGACGCTACCATACCTAAGAAATTATGTTATAACATTATATGAAGTACTGTTGGATCATAACTCAAAACACATAAATGAAAGGTGGAAATAATTAATGGAAGCAATGTTCCCCATCGCTGTTTTTCTCCAAGTGTAGCAGCATCAGCATTAACTGAGAACTTACTCAAAATGCAAATTCTTGGGCCCCATCCAGAATCAGAAACTCTGGTGTTGGGGCCTAGCAATCTGTTTTAACAAGTCTTCCAGGTTATAATGATGCAAGCAAGTTTGAGAATCATTACCCTCTGGTATAGGGCACTAAGGGTTTGGAGGTGAGATTTTGTGCTTGCTACCTGATAGTTTGCCTCTTCTACACAAACCAAAACTGGGGAGGAGGAGATCACCAAGCCCCCAAGCTGAAGTATATCTGTTAAAAAGACCTTGTACCTAGTCTGTCAGTCCAAAGCTTCATATAACTTCACAAAGTGTAAAGCTCAATGTTAATTTAACAAACTAGTTAATCAAATTTCCTATACTCCTGGCAAACTTATTTCTCTGGTTTATCAGACAGGACAGATTCTTAGGTTTCCATAGGCATCACAGCTATGGCCTTTGTCATTAAGAGTTAAAAATCAAATTATGCCAGGTGCAGTTGGCACATGCCTATAATCCCAGCTTCTTGGGATGCTAAGATTGAAGCATGACTTAAGCCCAGGAGTTTGAATCCAGCCTGGGCAACACAGCAAGAACCCATCTCTAAAAATAAAAAATAAAATTTTAAAAAATAAGAAAATCAGATTACTGCATTGTTTAATAAGGAAAAAAGATTTCCATCTAAAAAGTTAAGAGCTTTAGTATTCAGAAGATTTTAGCTTGTTAGTCCTCTGGAAAACTTACTTAAGTACAACCTCAAGATAATTTTTTACATGTAGAAGAAAAAGATTAAGTCAAAAGTACAAGTTTTTTTTTTTGTTTGGCATGTTTGCATGCCAAATATGAAATATTTGGAATATATTTAGAAAATGTGAAACAGGACAAATGCATAGTCATCCTAGAGATTATATTATTTTAAACTGTCACATGAAAATTCAAAGCAAAGATATAAACCCACAAGGATCTCAGCAGCTAAATACGTAAGAAAAAAACTTAAACAGGCAAGGATTTTAGGTACACCTGCAATATATACCTACTGATTCACAAATTGCCACTCCGCTCTTAGGAAGAATGTAATAGAACGTAGTATTGAGGTATAAAAATATGAATTATTTATCTTCAGGGAAAAAAATTCACATGAAATAGTCTTTCTTTAAAACAACAACAAAGTGATGGGTATTTACATGTAAAAACAGAGGTCACTTCATTTTTATTTTTTGTATTTCACTGATGAATTTTTGAAATTGGAGTTGCTATTATTAATAATAGCTCCATATTGTTAACTTTGATATCTGGCCAAAAAACCAGTCCCCCAAAAGTATTCTCTTTCCTATCTTAAATGTATGCTATAAGCCATAAGCTTTTCTTTACTTCAAATGAAAATCCAGCTACAGCTGTAGACCCCTTGGATTCTGAGTATCTAGAGTGGTTCCCAATTTGGAACTTCTGAAGGTTTTGATCTAGCAGGTTGGAGTCAGTTCAGGCACCCGTATTTTTAGACGGTTCTCAAGCATAGCCAGCACTGGAAACCGTAGCTAGGTTATCATGCTCAGACCAGCAGAGGACTGATTCACACAGAAGTTTCAATTTGATTCCATTCAGGGAAGAAAAATTTGCTAATGCCGATAGATTATCACTTAAAAATTAATGACTAATGGAATATGAAGGAAATCAATCACGGAGAAGAATCATAGACTGCTCAGGCTATTCCTATTATGTTAAGTAAAAAGAAGTGGCCCATGAAAATTGAATAAACTAGATCTTTGGATCTAAAACATATTTTATTTTTCTCCCTGGTCTGAAGCATAAGCGAGAGAGGATAAAAGGAATCAAGAAGTTATCAAAGGAGAAAGGACTCTGCCAAAAGAGAAAATTTGTGTTTGACAATCTTATCACCTACCTGTCTCTTCTGAGTAGGAGAAACAAAATTGACTTAATTCCGCTCCAATATCAGCTGCCATTTATATGAGCTGGTATGCCTTATTATCTATGTATTCCCGCAAGCCACTGCTTTCTGGTATAGGACAGTCACAGTTAAACCTATTTTAGGTCAGAGGGGTGGAGTCAAGCATACTTAAATAAGCATAGAAGTTTCATGGTAGTAAAATATATCCTATTAGAGGAGGTCACGCTGATCTTCAGCCTAAAAATCACAAGTGAAATACCTCAATGTTCATCTAAGAATAACCCTAGAAATGCCCATTTTTCTTTTGGTTGTAGCAAAACATATTTCCAAAATTCAAAAAGTTCACAATGAGATGGCCAGCAGGGGGCATTAAGGAATCTACTGTTACCATCTCAAAGGGTACGCTAAGAATTATGTTTTCTTCTAATTCATTTATCTCTTCCAAAAGAAAGAAATTGGAAGTAATTTTCCTTAAACCTGGAATATTTAAACACTTTTGTATATTTTACATGCATTATAATTTGTATAATCTTAGCAGTAAAATTATTACATAAATTAATGCACTTTAGTCATATGAAACACAATACTGAGAACTTTTCATTTTAATCCAATAGTACATCCAGATAGAGAAGAACTTATTACTAAAACTTCAGAAAACCGAAGACTTACAAATGTGAAAAAAGAAAGCTCAGACATAGGTATGCTGCTAATCTTAAATACAGGCAACTTGTTTATTATGAAGTCATGATTTTTCTAATTTGTACTGTTGGTAATATTTTAATAAACTTTTAAGAAGCTGTGGCATAATAAAGAATATATCTAGTTTTGGTCTCCTGTTCCTGGCACAAAGCATCAACAACCTTTGGAACTTCCAGAGACAGAGGCATCTTTGTTGTGTTAATGAGGCTACTCTAGGTGGGTTCCCAGATAGCTTCAGGATAGGGGGTAGTCACCGAAAAAGACCGACCATGTGATGAGGGTTGGAGCTTTGTGCCAGTGTGACCTCCATGAAGGAGAGTGGGGCTGGAGGTTGAGTTCCATCTTGCAGCCAATGACTTAATCAATCACATCATAAAAACTCTGGCTTAGAGGAAGATTTGGAAGCTCCGTACAATGCAGTTCATGTTTCCTTAGTTCCTTTATAACTTCCCACAGACATCACTGCATTAACCTCTACACTTGACTTGTCTTTACTTTTCTATTCTCAAACCTCAGCAACTTTTCTGAGATGTGATTTACATACAATCAAATTCACCCAACTAAAGCGTATAACTGTGGTTTTTAGTATATCCACAGTTATACAATAATCACCAGTATCCCATTTTAGAACATTTTGATCACCCCACAAAGAAATCCCGTATCTGCCAGGCACGGTGGCTAACGCCTGTAATCCCAACACTGTGGGAGGCCAAGGCAGGCAGAACACGAGGTCAAGAGATCAAGACCATCCTGGCCAACATGGTGAAACCCCATCTCTACTAAAAATACAAAAATTAGCTGGGCGTGGTGGCCGCGCACCTGTGGTCTCAGCTACTCGGGAGGCTGAGGCAGGAGAATCACTTGAACCCAGGAGGCGGAGGTTGCAGTGAGCCGTGGTCACACCACTGCACTCCAGCCTGGGCGACTGAGCAAGACTCTGTCTCAAAAAAAAAAAAGAAAGAAACCCCATATCCATCAGTAGTTTAACTGCTTGACCACACCTCTGTAACCCCTGACAACCACTAACCAACTTTCTGTTTCTAAGAATTTGCCTATTCTGGACATGAGTGGTACCCTCCAATATACATTTTTGTGTCTGGCTTCTTTTGTTTCACGGTTCATCCACGTTGTAGCATATATCAGTATTTCATTCCTTTTTATGGCTGAATAATATTCCAATTTACAGATATACCATATTTTGTTTTCCCACTTATCAACTGACAGACATTTGGGTCACTGCCATTTTCTGGCTCCTATGAATACTGTTGCTATGAACATTCTGGTACAATTTTTTTCCCATTTTGGTAAAATATACATAAAATATTTACCATTATACCCATAAGTACGTTCACGTTGTTGTGCAAACATCACCACTCTCCATCTCCAGAGCTTTTTCATCATTCCAAACTGAAACTTCTGTAGCCATTAAACAATAACTCCTCCATCCCAACTCTCCTTAGCCTGTGGTGACCACTATTCTCCTTTCCATCTTTGTGAATTTGACTATTCTAGGTACCTCATATAAGTGGAATCATACAATATTCGTCCATTTGTGCCTGGCTTATTTCACTTATAATATCTTTAGGGCTCCTCCATGTTGTAGCATTTATCAGAATTTCCTTCATTTTAATATTCCATTGTATGGATACACCATTTTGTTTATTCATCCATCGATGGTTATCTGGGTTGTTTCTGCCTTTCGGCTATTATCAATAACTCTGCTATGAATGTGGATGTATAAATATCTGCTTGAGTCCCTGCTTTCAATTCTTTTGGGTATATACCCAGAAGCGAAATTGTTGATCATATGGTAATTTGTGTTTAATTTTTTTAGGACCTGCAGTACTGTTTTTCCACAGCATGTATATGTTTTTATGTGAACATGTTTTCAGTTCTTCTGGGTTTATATGTAGGAGTGGAATTGCTTGGTCATATGGCATATGCTGAAAGTTTCTGAGGAACTACCTGTTTTCCACCATGACTTCACCATTTTACATTTCTATCACCATCTTTTAAAAATTATATCCAACAAGAGTGATTTAAACACATTTTCAAATTTCCATGAGGCACTAGGCATGGTGGTAGGCACCTGTAGTGCCAGCTACTTGGGAGGCTGAGGCAGGAGGATCGCTTGAGCTCAGGAGGTCCACGCCAGCCTCGGCAACATAGTGAGACCCTGTCTCTTAAAAAAAAAAAAAAAAAATTCATAAGGCTGAAAAATTATTCAGAATTAAAACCTAGGAGAATTTAAGATGAGAGGAACTCACTGTTAGAAAGCATTGTGGAGTATGCCTTCCCCCTGTCACCCCCTGCTGCACATCATCACCCCAAAATAATACTGGGTCCACTGCAGGGTCTAAATTGGTAAATTTTAAATGTCATTTTGATATATGAAGTCTAACAGAGAAGATCTCTATTGTGTATTACCTAAAATGCTTCCTTATACCTGAGTTGGTAGAGAATACAGTAGAGAAAGAAGGAAAATGTCTATGCCCACTTCTCACTAAAAGAAATTTAGTAAACACTGGGACTTTCCATATTCACAAATATCCAGTGAAGATCACCTATGATGAAAAGCAGCTAAATTTTCTCACTAATAATGAGAACAGTCTGTCTTATAATTTTTAGAATATACTGTTTGAATATGGACACAAAATTTCTTTTGACTCATATTGAAGTTATTATTGTATTCTTGGTACTTTATGCCATCACAGTTGCTTTAAGTGAATGATAATCAAATACAAGATTTATCTATGTTTGAATAATTATAAATCATGTTGATTTGTAGGTAATCCTTTAGAAGATGCTAAAAGTCATTTACAGATTATAACAGTGAGTAACACAGAGGCCGGAAAATACTGGTGTGACAGTGAGGTCAGAGCATTGATATGGTCTGATGAAAAAATTAAGCGAATGCTTGAAGGGGCCACAAGAAACAAGAAAATATTTGAGGAAATTGCCAGAAGATTAATTAATGCAGTTTGGGATAGACAGAGACCGGAAACAATGTCATACGAAATATAAAAATGTAAAATATGAATATAGCATTTTACAAAGAAAAAATGGCAACCCTCCAAGAAAAATGAGATTTTATGAAGAAGTTGACTGCATCCTAAGAAAACCAACTCTCAGAACTGCCAAATGGAGACATGGTAACTTTGGAATTGACATTAACAAAAAAAATTCTAGACATTCCTCTTTGCATTTTCATTTAGCAAGAGAAAAACTCTTTAAAAATGAAATCCTTACACTATTGTATGCTCAAATGACCCTTAAAAATCATTAAAAATAGGTACCTAATTTAAGCCAAGAGTTTCAACTTTTTTCTAAACCTTGTACCAAAATATTCCTAATTCTTAACTCATTCTTTATTTGTCCATCTGCTTAAGTTTTCTTATTTTAGTATACCTGAATGCTTGAAAACCATTAATGTGTTTCAAATGATGTCACATAATGATTCTTTTCCTGTGTTTTTATTTAAGAATTATTTGAAGGTCACAACAAAAGCCAAGGAACTTTGAGCTTCAAGAGAAAAGCACATGAAGATGGTAAGAGCCAGAGAAATAACAAGTTCTTCCACACAGTGGAAACAACTTGTTGCTTTTTCCTGATAACAGAGATATTTATTCCTGTCCTTGATAAATTAGACTAAATATATTGTTTATGAACTGTATTAGAGCAGAGAATGCTGAGAAATAATTTATTTCATAGCTCACTGAGTGAAAGTTCCTGCAGGAGCTAGAGTTTATATTTTAAAAGAAGAAGAAAGAAAAAAGAGTGAGAGTAACACTGAAAGTAAATGAAAACTTGCCCGGAGTTAGGTAACTGTTTGGTTATCATGGTCCTTTAAATTGTACTTTACAGTGATTGTTGCAATTATTGTTATCAGATGTAAAAAGAAAAAAATCCACAGTTCTTCAAAGGTAGTCAATAATCAATATAACATTTTAATAAGTCTGAAAGTCAAACTCAGAAGCCAACCTAATAATGGGAGCTGTAATTCCAAAATGACCCATCACAGACATCAGAAAAGATAATATAATGCAATATAGCATGTAGAAGAAAGAAAATGCACATAAGACTAATAAGAAAACCTGAGCTCCAGTCTCTCTTTGACCCTAATTCCTAAACACAGAGCAAATCACTGCATCTCTCTGGATCTCTAAAATAATCCAGCTTTAATGCCTTATAGATTTATAATTTATGAGATTGTTTTTTAGTTAACACAAAAAATTGAAGAGTAAAACAAAATTTTACAAAGTAGACACACCAAATCCACCATTCAGGACATAAAACTTACTAGCACCCTAAAAGCCTCCCAGTCATTAATCATCCTTCCGCCCCCATAAACATTATCACTATTCTCACTTCTATCACCATAGATTAGTTTGGGATTCATACTATATGTACTTTTCTTTCATTCAACATTGTTTATGAGATTCACCCATGACTTTACTCACAACAGTAGTCTGTTATTTTTTATTACTGTAGAATAGTCCATTGTAAAAATATACATCCCAGCCAGGTGCAGTGGCTCAGGTCTATAATTCCAGCACTGCCTTGGAGGCCAAGGCAGGAGGATCACTTGAACTCAGGAGTTCAAGACCAGTCTGGGCAACATAGTGAAACCCCCCATCTCAATATTTACTTAATAAATAAACGTATATCCCATTACTTTTTAAAATCTATTTCACTGTTGGACATTTCAGCTGTTTCCAGATTGGGGCTTTTTTGAAAAATTGCATGTCTCTCAATGGACATATGTATGCATTTCTGTTGAATACATACCCAGAAGTGGAAGGCAGGGTCATAGGGCATGCATATATCCAAGCACTGTTCTAAGCACTTTACATATATTAACATATTTAGTCCCAATCACAATCCTATAAGGTAGGTGCTATTATTATACCCAATGTACAGATGAGGAAACTGAGGCATAGAGAAGTCTACGCTCCTGAACCAATAAGGTCTCTGCGAGGGCAGGGACCACATCTGCCCTGTATGGTAAAGTATTCCCAGTGTCTACCACAGTGCCTTAGTAATATACTTAGATGTACATTATTCCTATTTGTTGAGCTTCTGCTCAACAAATACATTTTGAATAAAGTATTAGCAAATAGCAAGAATTCCTTTTCCCCTTATAACCTTTTATCTCAAGTGAACTGAAAAGTGTATTTTTCTATGTCTGGATATAAATGCAAGTCAGATAAAACTCTTGTGCGGTTAACCCTTAGCAGTTTCTCCTTTCAGGTTAAACTGCTAAGGGTTAACCGCACAAGAGTATCATTCTGAACCCACTGAATTTGAACATTAGACCTTACAATATATAAGTCTAGGCCAACAGATGAGGAAACAGACTCAGAAGTTAGAAGACTTGCCCAAGATTAAACTGATGTTACTGGAAAACCTGGGGCTAGATTTCAGTTTGTATGTTAAGGAGCTCTTCCCAATATTGACCAGAATGACCAAGCAGTGGTACTTGGAGACTTTTGGGGGCAGGTAAATTCTGCTTCAGACTAATGCAAAAAGCTAAGTTCTAAAAAAAAAAGTTATAAATGGAAGGATTGAAAACACTTATTTTAAAGCAAGAATCACTGAATTATAAAATAACTAAAATCAAAGACTGGAACAATTTGCAAGGACACTTAAAATAAGTCACTCCCTCAAACCAAAATTTACTTGACTCAGATAAAGGTTATAGATTATGGGAGTATAAAAGTTAAACACTATAGGAATGTTACATATTTGATCATTTTCAGTCAAATATGAAAATCAAAATTAAGTAAGATATTCCCTGCCTTAATTTGGCAGCCCAAAGTAAGTTCTCTGACAATCAAATCCTGTGTTCTCCACAAAACTAAATGAAGATTAACTGGGAACTAGATCCATATAAGTCTGACTGAGTGCATCTCTCATTCTCACAAGTGCCTTTCCAGTGGTAATGTTCTGTACTCTGTTTGCAGAACCAGTGTCTAAATCTCTTAAGAAAAGTGCTCCTGAGATCATTACAAATCAGTTTCCTCAAAGCGTAATAACAGAACCAAAAGATTCTACAGAATGTTTCTGCAGACAGAAAACCCAACTTCATCAGGTAAATCTTATAAATTTTTAGAAGTATGAAAATGTTTGTCATTGTAAGGTTCAATTCCTAACCAGGAGAAGTGATAATTCATTGAATGGAAGGGCATGGTTATCTCCTAATCAAGGAAAGGCTAATTAGCTGATTCATGGCATAAATCTACAGACATTTACTAATTCCTTTTATGGAATCTTCAAATATGTCCAGGCCATTCTAGTCTCCATAAAATGTGACTGTGTTTTAAAGATGAAAATGTTTATTCTAAGAAGGGGTGTCTGGTTTGTTCAGAACTCCGCAAACTACTGAAATGATGTTTTCAGGACCAAAACAGCATTTGGTGATTATATAAATCAGGCATGAACATACCCACACACATGCATGCACAGTTTACAGCTAAGAGGACATGTGAAAATTCCCCTACAGAAAGCAGAGCTACGGAATAAATCTGAAGACAGCCAGAACTACTAAAAACGGGGAGTACATCTGGATGAACCCATCTGGGTTAAATATCCAGTGCATGACTGGCTTAACTAATTGATACTCTATTTATTTTTATATGAAATGGCTAATATACCTTCCAGGTATTCTGTTAACCCCAGGACTAAATGTTTCAGATTAGATTATACCCAAGACAAAAAACTGGACCAAATACAAAACAAAAGTGATAGAAATCTCACCTTCTAGATTCCATCTTCTTAAAGATAAGGTTGGCCAGGCATGGTGGCTCACGCCTGTAATCTCAGCACTTTGGGAGACCGAAGAGGGTGGATCACTTGAGGCCAGGAGTTCAAGACCAGCCTGGTCAACATGGTGAAACCCCGTCTCTGCTAAAAATACAAAAATTACCTGAGTGTGGTGGCGGGCGCCTGTAATCCCAGCTACTCGGGAGACAGGTACGAGAATCACTTGAACTTGGGAAACGGAGGTTGCAATGAGCCCAGATCATACCACTCCACTCCAGCCTAGGTGACAGAGTGAGACCCTGTCTCAAAAAAAAAAAAAAAAAAGGGAGGCCAAGGCGGGCAGATCACGAGGTCAGGAGATCGAGACCATCCTGGCTAACACAGTGAAACCCCGTTTCTACTAAAAATACAAAAAATTAGCCGGGCGTGGTGGGGGGCGCCTGTAGTCCCAGCTACTCGGGAGGCTGAGGCAGGAGAATGGCGTGAACCCGGGAGGCGGAGCTTGCAGTGAGGGGAGACTGCGCCACTGAACTCCACCCCAGCCTGGGAGACAGCGAGACTCTGTCTCAAAAAAAAAAAAAAAATCAAGAAGATAATATATAAGAAATAAATTCCTTCATCAAAAAGGAAAAAAACACAATCAAACCTTTTTGCAGTTGTTTTAAAACTAACCAGTGAGTGAATGAGGGTGAGAAAGTGAAAACAGAGCTTTCTGCAACAGACCACCACTTCTCAGAGTACGATATATATATACATATATACATACACACACGTATTTTATATATATATATATAAAACTAAACTAAAAGAAAAAGTTCTTAGTTTTATTCTGGCCCTTATCTATCAGTTTCGAGCAGCAGATAATTGTATTTCCAAGACATAAGGGAGTGTCATTGTTCTTCCAAGCAGAATCAGTCCTCCCAAAGGATGAGCACTTTAGCTCATGTAAAATTTTGAATTGATTATGGGTGAGAACCAGCCCTCTTTGTGCACCTTAATGATTCTATGCCTACACAAGAGAAATGTTAAATTGTTTTTCAGTAATACATTTGTTCCTCAAAACCACATAATCACATCATTATTGCCCTTATCTGGTATTATTTAATCTTACAATTCTTTCACAGAAAAGCAACTATAGAAAACAGATATATGTAACCAGGAATCAAATGGTATTCATTAAAAAAAAAAAAAAAGAAAAAAAAAACCTATAACCATGAATACCAAGTATTTTCCTAAACTGGGTACTAAAACTCCAACCAGTGCTAACATGTAAGTTAAAAAAAAAAAAAAGCCTCTTTTTCTTCAGGCACACATTTAAAGGGAAGGAGAAAGGGGGATGAAAATTTCTTGAATAACTTTGGCAAAAAAAGTAAATATAGTGAAGTACAGTTCATACATATTTTCTACAGACCACCAGGCAACCCTAAAGACCTCTAGATTCTCCCTCACCCCCATGACAGAGTATCCAAAATAACAACTGTTTTTTTTTTTTTGAGACGGAGTCTCGCTCTGTCGCCCAGGCTGGAGTGCAGTGGCGTGATCTCTGCTCTCTGGAACCTAAGCCTCCCGGGTTCAAGCGATTCTCCTGCCTCAGCCTCCGGAGTAGCTAGGACTACAGGAGCGCATCACCACACCCAGCTAATTGTATTTTTAGCAGAGATGGGGTTTCACCATGTTGGCCAGGATGGTCTCGATCTCTTAACCTCGTGATCCGCCCGCCTCGGCCTCCCAAAGTGCTGGGATTACAGGCGTGAGCCACCGCGCCTGGCCATAGTTTCTAAGAATGTTACAAACTAATGTTGCTCACAACTACCACATAATCAAGAGTTTACTTTCTCCTTGGATTACGTAACTAATTTTCTCAATAAACTTTTTTTAAAAAAAACAAGAAATCTATTATGGTCAACCCACAATTATCCAAGATTGGAGCTACGCAAGTTAAAAATATTCTTTTTGATGCTTCCCACATTCTCAGCTCTTTAGTAAACAAGGAACACACAAAATGTGAAACTGAAATTGAAGTACCTGGGACAATGAAAACAGCAAAAAATACTTCTAATTTAAGTTTGGTGGAGGAAAAGCTAATCTTTTGGAATGCGTTTATACGTGTTGCACCCATTTTGCTGTTACGTGTTATTGCCAAGTTCCTTAACTGTAGTGTAAGTTGTTACCACTGTATTGCCTTATGGAAACTGTAATACTTTCAGTAAGAATATCAAACCCAGGTTTGTTTTTCTTATCCTAGTGTAATAATTTATATCAACTTCCAGTTAAGTCAGGTAGTAAGAAAAGGAAAGATCACCGAAGCAAAGTAATTTTTTTTAACTCGAAAGGATCTCCCAATTTTTCAAAATCAAGTGTATGGATCTTGGCATAGAGACACTACTCCCCTGTCCCCCTTTTGAAGAAGGGAGTTAATTTTTGTCATGTTATTACCAACGTTTTCATTCATTAGGCAAGACGTCTACCAATGAATCTTTTCCAGATGCACTGTTCCCTATGGTTGGCTTATTTCCATTTAATTTATGTGAGATCTACTACCAGTAGTCATTCTCAACATCAACTAGTCATCTTTCCCTGGGTCTGAAGTCTAGCATCCTCAAGTTCCCATAGCGATAACTACTTTCAAACCCATAATCTGCTCAATAGCTCTGCCCTTGCAAACAAAAGCTTGTGGTGGTTGGAGGCCCCGCGCGAAAACCTTTAGGTGTTGAAGGACCTGGACTGGCCGCCACGCCACACTAGCCTATTACAGGAGCAGCCACAGGCTCCGGGAGACTAGAACCCGCCTGCAGTCGGGGAGGAGCCCTGACCCAGCTAGACCAAGCAAACCGGCGGTTTACAAGCTGGCCAGCCTCTGGATGGGTGCACACACCGGGGGGCGGGGAGGGAGAGAGCCCCTAAAAGGCATAAGTGGCTGGGAGGGTGGGCAGGACAGGCTAAAGTTCATGGAAGCGAGGTGCCCCTCGTGCACGCCTAGGCAACCCGGTCGACGCCACAGGCAGGTACTGGCTTAGGTCGGAGAGGTCGGTCCTCCCGGGCCCTCGGGCGCTCATGAGAACGCCGACTGCGGGAAGCGGCTCCGAGAGATGGAGACGCACGCCCCCGCCACCCCCACCCTGTTGCTCACCGGTGCTGCAGCCCCACGAGTCCCAGAGTGATCACATGCGGTACATCCAGCTGCGTGGGCCACTCTCCTGAGGCGATGCACCCGAACACGCCACATTCCTCTCGGATCCCCAACTCCTCCAGCTCCATGTCGCCGCCGAAAGCACGTGGAAGGACCTGCCGCTGCGGCCAAGGTGTAAGCACCAACCAGCTGCCAGCTCGGCCCGTCGAGCTCAGAAGCTCGCGCTCGCGACAGGCTCTTCCTTCCCGAGGGTGGCCCCAGCTACTGCGGCGGCGCGCGCTGTCCCTAGGTGGCGTGGCCAGCTCAGCCCTGCTCCTCCCCCTCCGAGTCCACCAACGAGCGAGGGCGGAGGGGCGGTCCCGCGGCTGAGGGGCGGGGTCACGGATGCTGTAGGGTGGAGCTAGCCTTCCCCTAAGAGCTGCCTGGAAAGCTGTATTTGCTGCACGTGGAAATCTCCGTTATTTTCCAGCACCCAACAGTAGCGTAATGGGAGTAACGGACTTAACCTCATTTCTCTTTCAGAGCATTTAGCCTTCATATGCCCTTCCCTGCATGCTTCCCCCAGGCCGTCAAGACTTGGTACGCTCCAACTTCTGAGTCGCTCCCGCAGCCGAGAAGGGGCCGGGGTATGCGAGCTTCCGCAGAGTGGGGAGGGGCCGCCAGTGCGCGCCACTTTTCGCCTGTCCGGGCACTGCGCCAGCGCGGGGCGGCCCGGAGGCGGGGTCGCGTCTCTGCGCCTGCGCGGCGGGAAGCCAGTGGGGCGTTGTTTCGTCCGATATCCGCGTTTCAGTCTCCGCCCATACCCCTCCGGGTTAGGCGGCTGTAGCGGAGCTCGAAAAGAGTGGCGCAGGGTCGCGCGGCCCCGCCTCCTTCCCCGCCCAGCGAAGCTCTCTGACCACCCCTCTTTTCTAGAGTTCTGCCTCGCTTCCCGGCGCGGTCGCAGCCCTCAGCCCACTTAGGATAATGGCGACAGCTGAGGGTGAGTAACAGGGATCCGGGCCCTTCACGGTCTCCCTGACCCCCAGGCCGTGAGCTCGCGGCCACGTGCGAGCCGCGAAACTCTGTCCCGCCTCCCTGCAGCAGCGCCTCTAGGCAGCCGCGCGGGCGCACACGTGGCCCAGGCGCTCCCGGGCCTCCCCGAACTTTACTGCCTCGGGGATGGGGAGAAGGAGCAAAGTAGAGGAGAACGAGAAATGGCCAAGGGGTGGAAAGGTGCCTGGAAGTATTATTTATAATCAATAGCTATTGCAAAATACAAGCAAATCAGTCTTGATTCGTCAAAACCTGAGTCTTGCTTTGCCCGTTAGGTTAATGACCTTTCTAAGAAGGTTAATAATTGAAACTTTTGAAAGACCTGTCTAGAGGCCGGGCCTGGTGGCTCACGCCTGTAATCCCAGCACTTTGGGAGGCCAAGGCGGGCGGATCACCTGAGGTCAGTAGTACGAGACCAGCCTGGCCAACATGGCGAAACCCCGTCTCTTACTAAAAATACAAAAAATTAGCTGGACGTGGTGGCGCGCGCCTGTAATCCCCAGCTACTCAGGAGGCTGAGGTAGGAGAATCGCTTGAACCCGGAGGCGGAGGTTGCAGTGAGCCGAGATCGCGCCATTGCACTCCAGCCTGGGCGACAAAGCGAGACTCCGTCTCAAAAAAGAAAAAGAAAAACCTGTCTAGGGGGCGTGTGTGTAAGTAGTCTTTGATGCCATGGTGTGTGTGTGTGTGTGCACGCGCGCGTGAAGTAGTCTTTGATGCCACGATAGCTTGGGGTGTGTGTACGTGCGTGTGCGTGTTTAAGTAGTCTTTGATGTCATGGGTGTGTATGTGTGTGCGCGCGCGTGTTGAAGTAGTCTGATTCCATGATGGCTGGGGAGGGGGGCTGTTTTTAGGTAGTCTTTGATGCCATGATGGTGTGTGTGTGTGTGTGTGTGTGTGTGTGTGTGTGTGTGTGTTCGTTCCAGTAGTCTTTGATGCCACGATGGCTTTGAAGAACTCCAAAACCTTTAGGCAAAAAAGTTGCACTATCAGGAAAGATTGTTCTTGCTATTTATGCTGGAAAAAAACAAATGCTGGTTTTTTCCACACACCCAGTTGCTATATGTATAGTGAGGCAAATTGCTTTTGTGGCTGCTGGGTACATTCTTTTCCACATAGAAAGTAACTGAATTCAGATTTTAAAAAGCTGTAGACTCAGGCCGGGCGCTGTGGCTCACGCCTGTAATCCCCAGCACTTTGGGAGTCCCAGGCGGGCGGATCACGAGGTCAGGAGATCGAGATCATCCTGACCAACATGGTGAAACCCCGGCTCTACTAAAAATGCAAAAATTTGCTGGACGTGGTGGCGTATGCCTGTAATCCTAGCTACTCGGGAACCTGAGGCAGGAGAATCACTTGAACCGGGGAGTCAGAGGCTGCAGTGAGCCGGGATCGCGCCACTGCACTCCAGCCTGGCGACAGAGAGAGACTCTGTCTCAAAAAAAAAAAAAAAAAAAAAAAAAAGCTGTAGACTCAGCAAAAAAGATTCAGATGATATTGAGTATCAACTCCCTAGAATCAAGGCAAGGACCAGAATTTTTCTTGCAATCATGGTACCTGTACCTCTAAAATGGCAAATCTCTAAAATCTTTGCTCTTCCACTTCTTTCCATTTGTGTACCGTTGGCAGGTTGATTTTTCTTAAATGTCACTTTTATGGTCTCTAAAAGGCAAAAGTGGCAACAAAGGCAAAAATGGCATCTCTAGAGATGTTAAATCCAGTCTGTCCAGTCTGAAATCCCTTTTCATTCAAATCCTGAATACTGCTATCCCTTCTACCTCTTCAGCCCTAACTTTGATTTTTCTCTCCTGTGAATCCTTAGCTATGTTCCAGTCAGGTTAATTCACCAAAGTTTGTTTTTCATTATATACATTTTATTTATATTATTTTTCCCAGAACATTGCTGGCTAATGGAAATATAATGTAAATTTGTCTTCTATAAGCCACATTTTAAAAAGTAAAATAATAAAAAAAACTGGTGCAATGTGTTTATATATATATATATATATATATATATATATAAAAGGTTTTTTTTGTTGTTGTTTTTTGTTTGTTTTGCTTTGTTTTTGAAATGGAGTCTCGCTCTGTGTGGCCCAGGCTGGAGTGCAGTGGCAAGATCTCAGCTCACTGCACCCTCCACTTTCCAGGTTCAAGTGATTCTCCTGCCTCAGCCCCCCAAGTAGCTGGGATTACAGGCACACTCCACCACACCCGGCTAATTTTTTTTTGTATTTTTTAGTAGAGTCAGGGTTTTGCCATGTTGGCCAAGCTGGTCTCAAACTCCTGACCTCAAGTGATCTGCCTGTCTCAGCCTCCCAAAGTGCTGGGATTACAGGCGTGAGCCCATTTTAATATATTTTATTTAACCCTATATACACAAAATACATTTCAACATGGAGTCAAGATGAAAAATTCTTTAGATATTTTACAATTTTTTATATCGAATGCAGTATATATTTTAACAAATGACATTTCAACTTGTAATAGCCACATTTCTAGTGGCTGCCTTATTGGACAGCAGAGTCCTAGAATTTTCTTATCCTTTGTGTAAATTCTGTGCTTTCCCAGACTCTTAAATTTCAATTCCATGAATCATTTTCAGTCCTCATCAATCTTTCCAGAATTCATCTACAAATTTGTAGCAACCATTTTGGTACTTGCAGGGTATGTCACGTATGGTTGTTTCTTATGTTGTTTCTACCCATTAATTCAAATTCCTTCCCTCTTTAATGACTAAGTAATACAGATTCAACTAAATTAAGGGGAGGGGCATTAGATACAAACTTTGCCCGGGCTTACTGCATATTAATATATATAAATGTTAATTTCTTTATCTGATCTGGGCACTGTTTTTTTTGTTTTTGTTTTTTCTTGAGACGGAGTCTCCCTCTCTTGCCCAGGCTGGAGTGCAGTGGCGCCATCTCAGCTCACTGCAACCTCCGCCTTTCAGGTTCAAGCGATTTTCCTGCCTCAGCCTCCCAAGTAGCAAGGATTACAGGCGTGCACCAACACATCCGGCTAATTTTTGTAATTTTAGTAGAGACAGGATTTTACCATGTTGGTCAGCCTGGTCTTGAACTCCTAACCTCAAGTGATCCGCCCGCCTCGGCCTCCCAAAGTGCTGGGATTACAGGCATGAGCCACTGTTCCCGGCCCACTGTTCTTTACCCTTCCCTCTCTTTTATCCTCCATGATGAATTCTCAAAGCTACTATCTTAAATATCTTGCATCTTTGCCCACTACTCTTTCCTTAGACCAAGACATTTCTTTTTCTTTTCCTTTTTTTTTATTGAGACAGGGTCTCACTCTATCACCCAGGCTTGAGTGAAATAGTGCAAATCTTGGCCCACTGCGGCCTCGACCTCCCCAAGTAGCTGAGACTACAGGCATGCACCACCATGCTGGGCTAATTTTTGTTTTTTTGGTAGAGATGGGATTTTGCCCTGTTGCCCAGGCTGGTCTTGAACTCCTGAGCTAAAGCAATCTGCCCTCCTTGTCTTCCTAAAGTGCTGAGATTACAGATGTGAGCCACTGCACCTGGCCAGACGTTTCTTGTTCAAGTTACTGCAACAGCATCCTAACTGGTCTTCCAAGCTCTAGTTTTTGTTCACTCACCCCTTCCTCCCTTCATTGTCCATACAGAAGCCGTAATGATCTTTCCAAATAGCGTTTTGCTTTAGCACTTAAAAGCCTTATAGCTCTTCTTGGGTTAAAGTCTAAACTCAATCAGCATGGCTTGTGAAACAAGAAGGATGTGTAGCAAAATGGAAGGGAAGTTTTCCAGGCCTAGGAAAGAAGAGATTGTCAGAAGCTAGGGGAAGATTGTATAAGAATTAAAGATGTTGGAGTTCTAGATAGGAAATAGACAAATAAGAGTTTGGAGCAGTAAGCCAGGGCTGTATCTTAAAGGGACTTTTAAACCATGTTAATGAGTCTAGACATTACATTAGGGAGGGTAGAGATTCATCCTCTAAATTAGGTGCCCTACAGTGGCAACTGTTAACTAAATTACAACTACTTTGTTTAATGGTTACCTCCACTAGCTGGTGATGTGGCCCCTGTCCAACTCTTAAGTCTTGTCTCCTGCCATTCTTTAGCTGCAGCCCCCACCCCTTCCCCTGCCCAACAGCAATGTACATATACCCAGAGCTCCAGCTCCAACCAGACTGAAGTTCTGCAATCCACTTTGACCACCTTGTATTTATTCATCAACACTACCTACCCCTTTCTCTCCTTTGGCTAAATTTCGATGATTCTTCAGATTTCAACCTGTCACTTTCTTGTAGACTTCTTTTTCTAATGTCTAGACTAGTCCCATAGTCTGTATTTATTGCATTCTATTATTATGATGTCTTATTTAATATCAGCTCCCCTCAGACTCAGGTCTCTTGAGAGCAGGAATTATTATTTACTGGTACATCCCTTGGCACATGGATACACCGGGAAAATGTTGATACTGAGAGTGTTGTGGAAGTATGAGGGTTGATTTCTCTCTTTCGAAATTTTAAGTTCCTAAACATCTGTTATCTTTACTCTTTCTCTAAATCATCCTTTTGTGTACTTCTTAGGTTTTGTGACCAGCATCAAAATTGGATTCCTTTGTGCTCACTTCCTCACAATTTCTTACAACTGTTAGTGAAGAGAAAGGATTAATGGGGGCAGGGACAGGATTAAGAAATAGAGAGGGATGCTTCCAAATGTGCTAACTTCAATGGGATGGCATGCCTCCTCTTGAATATTAACTTGAAATCAAGAAACTCATCTGGCTGAATGTTCCCATTTTGCCTACAAAAAAGCAAATATCAGCAAAAATCGCATATTTTTTCCTGCAAGATAGTTTAGATACTATACTGTGAGTGTGTCTGTGAAAATACTAGTATAGTTACATTACTTTAAGTGGGTCTTAATTAATTTTAATTCTAGTTCAGTTCTGCTATGAGAGGCAGGTTAATAGTGGAAAGAGCACAGGATTTGATGTCAGAGGAGTTAGGATTTTATCTACCTCTTATATTTCCTAACTGCATGACCCTCAACCCTTTTGATTTCTGCTTTACTAATTTCTACAATTATTTATGTAATTAAAATTCTTCACAAGATCATGTGAATCAAATGTGATGGTATGAGAAATACATTGTAGAGTATATGGTTTTATACAGATGATTTAATTTTTATTAATATTACTTAATCACTGTATATTTACAGATTAATTGTTCTAGGTGATTTAGTCTTCAGCATTCAGGAAGTTTCTGAATTTTGGTCTATTTCCATTTTATTTCCACAGTACTGAACATTGGTAAAAAATTATATGAGGGTAAAACAAAAGAAGTCTACGAATTGTTAGACAGTCCAGGAAAAGTCCTCCTGCAGTCCAAGGACCAGATTACAGCAGGAAATGCAGCTAGAAAAAACCACCTGGAAGGAAAAGCTGCAATCTCAAATAAAATCACCAGTTGTATTTTTCAGTTATTACAGGAAGCAGGTAAGCAGCTCCCTCAAAGTCTCTTCTCTCACCTTCTCTGGTAAGCATGTCGATGTCTTTCATGTGAAGTTGGCATTAATATGAACAACTTGTTTGCAGATGTCTCAAAAGCTAAGTGAATTTAAATCAAACCAAGAACCCTTAAACTTCACTATAACACCTTATTTGGTTTGGGATTATTAGTATCATTGAATTAAAAGGAATCTTAACAAGTTTGCTGTAATCTTTATCTGGCACATGCACTCTCTGTGCAGCTTACCTCTCCAAGGCCATCTTCACTTTAAGGAATTTAACTATGAAGGAAACCCATTTTAATGTTAAGCAGTTCTAACATGAAGAACTGAAATTTACTCCCTGTAATTCTATACAAATGGTCTTTGTTCTGCCTCTGGGAGATAATACAGAATTTCAAATTCCTCTTCCACTTGAAAGCCCTGAAAAGTAGTTGAAGACAGCAACCAAACCTTCTCCTCCTGCCATTCCCCAAGTGAGATATTTGAACTAAAACCCCAGAGCGCCCTCCTGTTCAAAAACTGAATGAAGGCTCTATTTTCAATAGAGAAATAGATTCAAAAGACCAAATGAAGATCAGAACATTGTGTGGTGGGTATTTGAAGCAAAGGGAAGGAAATTAGGATAAAGGGGTTTTCTGCAGGGATTCAGTCAGTTGCTGGTTGGTCTGTAGTATATGAAATTTCAGCTAGGAAAAGATTTGAACTCTTGCCACACAGTGTAAATAGCCTCATTGCTTTGGATCATTCAACCTACGAAACCTTACCTATGAAATAAAAGCTTTTTCTTTATCATTCTTGCCAATTCTAATTTTATAATTTAATAACTTTCCTTACTTTTAATTCCAATATTCCCAGTTGCCCTTTCATTTCTTAGAGTTTCTGGTAGCACTAATCTTTCTTAAATTCAACAGGGGATTTAATGCTTTTGTTTTCAGTTAAGTTAGATGTACGTGCCTTCCACAAAATAACAAGGTAATGTAATTTAAATACATTGTCAGTGCATTCTTGGCGTAGTTTTGTCTCTTCCAAAGTATCCTATTTCACAATTTTGATTAATGTGAAAAAGATTTAATTGCAAACCTGGATTGTCATCTACATCATAAATTCCTCTATGCTGTGAAAGTGAGTGTATTGCTGTAAATTTAAAGGATCTTCCAGAGTTCCTAAGTCACAGAATCTAAGATTTTTATTTCAAGGTTTCTTGATTGGTAGCTTCCCAATGACTGAGGTAATTTCTAAAGAGAGCATCAAATTAATTTTGGGTTCCTTTTGCAATACCGATAAGTGTTCCATCTATTTATTTATTTTATTTTTTTATTTATTTTAAGTCAGAATCTTGCTTTGTTGCCCAGGCTGGAGTGCAGTGGCACAATCTCGGATTACTGCAACCTCCATCTCCTGGGTTCAAGCGATTCTCATGCCTCAGCCTCCCCAGTAGCTGGGATTACAGTTATAGGTGCACGCCACCATACCCGGCTAATTTTTGTATTTTTAGTAGAGACGAGGTTTTGCCATATTGGCCAGGCTGGTTTCGAACTGCTGGCCTTAAGTGATCCACCCGCATTGGCCTCCCAAAGTGCTGGGATTACAGGCGTAAGCCACCACACCCGGCCTGTTCCATCGATTTTTTTTTTTCTTCCCAAGTTTTAACTCTCCCCATTCACTTAAACATTTTTTAAAGTGCTTAACTCTTTAAAATGTTAGCAGTCAGAAGATTACTTTCTGTGTACCCTTGGTAGTTTCACATAGCTACAGGATTATATTAAGTAATGGAAGATAAAGCCTGACTTTTTATTTGCTTATTTAGTGTATTTTCTGAGTGTATTTACACTCATCCCATTATCCATTTCCAGAACTTTATAACAAGTAAATTAGAGTGACTCAGTTGTGTTATGTTTGTCCAGGACTTTCTGCTTTAATTCTGAAGAGTCCTGTGATCAGGGGAACAGGGAAGGATGGTTACCTAAATGAAATACTCCAATAATTATCTTTAAACTACTTTATTTGGCACTTAACATAGCTAAAACTTAACTGGTTCACAGGAAATGTTGAAAGATATTTTCCAGATTTTATGTCTAGTACTATGAAACTAAGTAAACCTGAATTTTTTAAAATTTCTAAACAGACTAGTTTTAGGGTACATATTAGGAATTCCATTAAACCTTATGTAATTTTTACTTGCTTAGTCAAATAAATGCCTTATCTAGTTGGCCATCAGTGGTCTATTTAAAACTGTTTTCTTTACAACCTGGGTTGTGTTCCAAATTAAGGTAGAAAGTAGAGAGGAAAGAGCATTGGAATGAGAATCAGAAAATCAGGATTCTACTTTTCTCATTGTCACTCAGGAACAAACTGTAAAGGACTATATAAATAAGAAGTAATCTTTTTCCGTGGAAATAGTATAACTGTGTTATAACTGTGTTATACAATTTGTGGATTTGGTTTTATTACTTAAAAATTAAAATCTGGCCTTCTTAGTGATGATGAAATCCCAATTTCCTCACAGAAACTCACTATAATTACATTAAGTGTAATACTAGTATATGAAGAACGGTACTACAGTTGCTAAACCACAGATGGGCATCTGGACCAATCTAAAAGAGGGATGGCCACGGGGACATATGTATTAGCTAGAATTACTATTCTAGCTAATATATGTTCATTGTAATCCAGAGTGTGTCAGTGACATAAACATTTTTTAGTAACCTGAATGAGAGTTTTGAGCTTTGTAGACAACTAAGATAAACAATGGGAATTTTTTTCTCACCATGCACAGTCATGGAATTTGCTTTCATATTTAGCAGTATTAGAAGCCATCATTATGTCATCTAAACTGAGTCTGTTTTAGAAACTTTTAGGGATTTTTTGTGCAGAGATGATTACTGTAGCTTCATTATGTGCTTTTGGTTCTCCTTGGGATTGGCGGGGGGATCTCTCTAAGACGAAGTTATCTTTATATTAAAAACAATAAAATTGGATACTACTGTGTCCAGCTTGGTAGACAAATGAGCAAATATGTGACTAATGATTAACAGATCTAAGAGAGAAGAGCTCTTGAAACCAAGGATGTAGTTACCACCCCAAGTTGAGAATTGATTGAAGTCACCTGTCTATCCATGAGCCTGATCATTCATTAAAAGTTAAACAACAGATTGCATCTAATTTTTTTTTAAAGGTTAAAATGACAGTTTTACTTCCCCTCTTTTCATTTTTTCCTTAGGGTTTCTGTTCATGCAACATACCACAATTCTTTCTTTTTTTCATTTGAGTCTTACGAGTCAGATTCAAAGAGAGGGCAGAGGAAATAGTGTAGGGTTTGGACAGTGCGTTTCAAGTCCAGGCTCCATTACCAAATGGCTACATGACCTAGTGTGTGAAATTACTTCTTTGAGCCTCTGTTTTTTTCACTGTAAAATGTATAAATAATAATACCTACTTCAAGGCCAGGCGCGGTGGCTCACACCTGTAATCCCAGCACCTTGGGAGACTAAGGTGGGCAGATCACGAGATCAGGAGTTCCTGACCAACATGATGAAACCCTGTCTCTACTAAAAATACAAAAATTAGCCAGGCGTGGTGGTGCACACCTGTAATCCCAGCTACTCAGGAGGCTGAGGCAGGAGAATCTCTTGAACCCAGGCGGCGGAGGTTGCAGTGAGCCAAGATCACGCCACTGCACTCCAGCCTGTGTGACACTTTGTCTCAAAAAAAAACCAAAAAAACAAAAAAACCTACCTCAAAATTTTATGCACAGTTAAATGAGACAACATATATAAGACACTTAGCACAGTGGAGGATTTCCATAAATAGAAGCTCCCTTCATGTACAGATACACATATAACAGCAAAGATCCCCAATTCTTTCCTGATAATAAAAGTTAGACTAGAGGATTAGGTTGGGATTGGAAATAGTAATGCAGGCTGAAAATAAGCATTATCTCAAACCCATGTAGGTTTCCAGGAGATATTTTAAATCATGTTAATGCTGTAGCATTACTTTGTACTGTGATGTAATAACACTTCCAGGAGAGGCAATACAGCAAAGTGGTTAAGTGGGCGGCTCCTAGAGACAGGGTAGGTTGGAAATCCTGCTATACCTAATACTAGCTGACATTACTACTGTGTCTTAGTGTCCTTACCTGTTTTGTTGATCTTAATAGTATCTTATCAAATGTTATGAGGATTAAACAAAAAAGATGTATTTAAAATGGTTGGAACAATATCTGCCATAAAATAGGCTCCTGATATTTTTTAAAAGAAAATTGTGATAAATACATAAAATTTACCAGTTTGACCATTTTTAAGTGTCCAATTCAGTGGCATTATGTGCATTCACAATGTTGTACATTCATCCCATTATCCATTTCCAGAACTTTTTCATCATCCCAAACAAACTGTGTAGCATTAAACAATAACTATTCCTCCCACTCCTCAGCCCTTGGTAACTTCCATTCTCTTTTCTGTCTGAATTTGCCTATTCTAGTTACCTCATATAAGTCAAATCGTAAGTATTTGTTCTTTTGCATTTTGTGTTTTTCATTTAGCCTAGTGTTTTTAAGCTTCATCCATATTATATAGCATGGATGTATCAGGAATTTCGTTCCTTTTTATGGCTGAACAATACATTGTATGTATAGTCATGTGCTGCTTACTGTTTGAGTCAACAACTGACCGCATCTACATTAAATAAAGAGAAAAATTACACTTATTTTTGATAGAGGTTCTTTGTTGCTTGTAAAGGGTAGAGTTTTATTGTGCCTCAGATCTACCTTTTTACATATCATTTCAATACCTTTTTTAACTTTGGTTATCAATATGTAGGTATTAAAACTGCCTTCACCAGAAAATGTGGGGAGACAGCTTTCATTGCACCGCAGTGTGAAATGATTCCAATTGAATGGGTTTGCAGAAGAATAGCAACTGGTTCTTTTCTCAAAAGAAATCCTGGTGTCAAGGAAGGATATAAGTTTTACCCACCTAAAGTGGAGTTGTTTTTCAAGGTAATTATCTTATGCCTCTGTTTTATGTCTTACTGTAACACGGCAATAAATTTATAATTAGAAACTCTAAAGGTTTAAATATTCAAGCAAAGTTTTTGATATTTTGATATTGCAAATGTCATTCCAAAATTTGTCTTATCTAGTTGCCAATGTCAATAATGTACACTTCCATTAACAATGATAAATCAAATTTTAAAAAGAAAGCATCTGAAAATCTTACCTTTGAACCAAGATGACTAACAGGAAGAAGAGAAAAGTAACATTTAGTTAATTTTTTTAAAATTTAGTTGAAATCTTTTTATATTCTAATACAGGAAAACTATACTAACAATGTCTCTTGTAAGTGAAAATATATAAATAAAGGTTGTAAGAATCAGTGGTTATGAATTTTGTAGGCTTTACTGCTTTTAACCATCTTGATTTATGCTGTTAAGCATAGATCTGCTTGGGAAGCAATATCAGTCTTGCTTTTTAATCAATGAGTTATGTAACTTGTGTGTATTATGATTATATAGATCAAGAATTTATAAAGATATTGTCATGTAAAGTTGGGACACTGCTGAGAATAAAATGAAATTATTTCATTTTTTTCACTTACCTCTTTGTCTGAGGTCTCTTGAATTATCAAATAATGTCCCTAAAAAATTATAGTGCTGTATAAATTCTAATAAAAAGTGAGGTTGGGAGGTTATGAGAACGGTGGTTTTGGAAAGATTTGATTGATTAAAATGTGCTTTGGCCTTCCTGTCATGTCTGATGACTGTTATTAAGGAAAAACAAAAATCACAAACTTAAATTCTGTTTAAATTGGTTTATAGAGGTTAAATTCTTTGAAATACTTTGTGACCTAGAATAAGTTACTCACCTAAATACTTTGAATTTTAAAGTGCTATTGAGAGTAAACAAATTAAGAGTAATAGTTTTTTCTGCTTGCAGGAGCTAACTAGGAAAAAAAAGAGGAGTAATAATTGCTTTGAATTAAGGAGTATCGTAAACAAAAAATTTCTTTAGATGTCTCATTTTGTTGCCCAGGCTGCTCTTGAACTCCTAGGCTCAAGCGATCCTCCTGCTTCAGCCTCCTAAATTACTGGGACTACAGTGTGAGCCACTGCACCTGGATCAAAATTTCTTTTCTTTTTTTTTTTTTTTTTTGAGATGGAGTCTCCCTCTGTTGCTTAGGCTAGAGTGCAGTGGCGCTCTCTCAGCTCACTGCAACCTCCACCTCCCGGGTTTAAATGATTCTCCTGCCTCAGCCTCCCAAGTAGCTGGGATTACAGGTGCACACCACCACACCCAGCTAATTTTTTGTAATTTTAGTAGACAGGGTTTCACTGTGTTGGCCAGGCTGGTCTCGAACTCCTGATCTTGTGATCCGCCCACCTCAGCCCCCTAAAGTGCTGGGATTACAGGCATGAGCCACCATGCCCGGCTGTGGCTAAAAATTTCTAAGGAGTTCATGCTCAAGGTGAAAAGGATGTTGGTTTTTCTGAAAAGTTTAAAAATTTTAGATTGAAGTTAATTGTACTACTATACTTTATTCACAGGATGATGCCAATAATGACCCACAGTGGTCTGAGGAACAGCTGATTGCTGCAAAATTTTGCTTTGCTGGACTTCTTATAGGCCAGACTGAAGTGGATATCATGAGTCATGCTACACAGGCTATATTTGAAATACTGGAGAAATCCTGGTTGCCCCAGAATTGTACACTGGTTGATATGAAGGTACAGATAAAACAAGTACAGATAAAACAACAGGATTTGAAAGTAAAGGTTATAGTTGAGAGATGCTTTCATAAAATAGTTTTTGAAAACTTTGTTGACATGCTGTTTCCAGATTGAATTTGGTGTTGATGTAACCACCAAAGAAATTGTTCTTGCTGATGTTATTGACAATGATTCCTGGAGACTCTGGCCATCAGGAGATCGAAGCCAACAGAAAGACAAACAGGTAGATAATGCTTCAGGTTTTTTTATCCTTTTTGAGATCAAGCTGAGATAGAGGAGAAAGGAGAGATGAGGGGAAAAAGCAAATTATTGTTCCTAATGATATGAACCTGTTTTGTGGATTGCTGTTTATTTTTAAAGATAAATGTCTCTGGTATCCTAATAGAAGAATAATAGGAATAATACTTTACATTTATAAAGCAAATTTCTCATCTGTTATCTTAATAACATTGTCACAACAGTAACAGCAAGTATTATCTTTGTTTGGCTAAATGAAAACTAAGGGTCTTAAGAGGATGGGTATCTTCACAATTACTAGAGTCAGGGACAGATCTGGGACTCTATTCCAAGTCTCCTGCATGTTACCAGGCCACATTTCTGCTCCTATATAAAACAACAGACACTTCTCAAAAGAAGACATTTATGCAGCCAACAAACATGAAAAAAAGCTCATCATCACTGATCATTAGAGAAATGCAAACCTAAACCACAATGAGATACCATCTCACACCAGTCAGAATGGCTGTTTTAAAAAAGTCAGGAAACAACAGATGCTGGAGAGGCTATGAAGAAATAGGAACGCTTTTACACTGTTGGTGGGAATGCAAATTAGTTCAGCCATTGTGGAAGACAGTGTGGTGATTCCTCAAGGATCTAGAACCAGAAATACCATTTGACCCAGCAATCCCATTACTGGGTATATACCCAAAGGAATATAAATCATTCTACTGTAAAGACACGTGCACAGGAGCAGCACTATTTACAATAGCAAAGACATGGAACCAACCCAAATGCCCATCAGTGTTAGACTGGATAAAGAAAATGTGATATACACACACCATGGAATACTATGCAGCCATAAAAAAGAATGAGATTGGCCAGGCGCGGTGGCTCACACCTATAATCCCAGCACTTTGGGAGGCCAAGGCAGGTGGATGACAAGGTCAGGAGTTCAAGACCAGGCCAAGATAGTGAAACCTTGTCTCAAAAAAAAAAAAAAAAAAAAATTAGCCAGGCATGGTGGTGGGCACCTGTAATCCCAGCTTCTCGGAAGGCTGAGGCAGAGAATTGTTTGAACCCGGGAGGTGGAGGTTGCAGTGAGCCGAGATTGTGCCACTGCACTCCAACCTGGTTGACAGAGCGAGACTCTGTCTCCAAAAAAAAAAAAAGAAAGAAAAAGAATGAGATCATGTCCTTTGCAGGGAAATGGATTCAGCTAGAAGCCATCATCCTCAGCAAACTAACACAGGAACGGAAAACCAAACACCACATGTTCTCACTCATAAGTGGGAGTTGAACACTGAAAACACATGGACACAGGGAGGGGAACAACACACACCGGGGCCTGTTGCAGGGTGGGGAGCAAGGGGAGGGAGAGCATTAGGAGAAATACCTAATGCATATGGGGCTTAAAACCTAGATGACAGGTTGATGGGTGCAGCAAACTACCATGGCACATGTATACCTATGTAACAAACCTGCACATTCTGCACATGTATTTAAAATAAAAAATAACAGAAAACAAAATTAGAGCAAGACCCTTTCTATACTTAATATATAAAAATTCTCAAGGCAGTTAATTGTAGTTGCTAGTACAGAAAACACTTAACCTTAAGTGAAAATAAAAGTATACTTTACTATGGAACTTTGTTAGTTTAATTCAGGAAGTGAAAAGATGCATTTTCAGAAGTATCCCTTGCTATACAAACTCTTCATAATCCCTCCCCAAAACTCAGAAACCAAATAGTTTCAGGTAGCAAGAGATACTTGTTTTCTAAACTTTCTATCTTATTTTCTAGTCTTATCGGGACCTCAAAGAAGTAACTCCTGAAGGGCTCCAAATGGTAAAGAAAAACTTTGAGTGGGTTGCAGAGAGAGTAGAGGTAAACCTTCTATAGTAAAACTGTATGTATTATGTGTTTTTCTTCTAAGAAAATCTTGTTTCAAAAGAAAAAAAAATGGGAGAGTATAGTGCTTTTCTTTTCAGTGACTTTGTTTTTTGTTGTTGTTTTTTTTGAGACGGAGTCTTGCTCTGTCGCCCAGGCTGGAGTGCAGTGGCGCCATCTCAGCTCACTGCAAGCTCCGCCTCCCGGGTTCACGCCATTCTCCTAGCTCAGCCTCCCGAGTAGCTGGGACTACAGGCGCTGGCCACCACGCCCAGCTAATTTTTTGTATTTTTAGTAGAGACGGGGTTTCACCGTGTTAGCCAGGATGGTCTTGATCTCCTGACCTCGTGATCCCCCTGCCTCGGCCTCCCAAAGTGCCGGGATTACAGGCGTGAGCCACCACGCCCAGCTCTTCAGTGACTTTGAAAGTGAGGAACACTTTTAGGAAATGTATCAGCTGGGCTATCCTTACTAGGATACTGGAACTCCGTGCTGTTAAGCTGGCCAATACATACCTCCCAGATCCTGTTGGGGAAACCTGGAATCTGTCTCCTCCCTACCCCGTAGGAGAAACCTTATATTTCCTACTCACCTGCACTGCTAGTCAGAGTTCCATTAGCATGGGATGGATGGAACTCTGTGTGACTTTAAATATTCCTTTAAGTTTTATGGTATTACTATAATTCTGGGAGTTGAATGGGGTTTGTGATTATGCAAGGGTCATAATCACATTTGAGAACATTATTCTTATAGGAATATATATTTTGAGTTACAAGCAATTAACTTACAAAGACTTAGAACATGACTTCTGATTTGGCTAATCATACCTTAAAGCTTCCATTAAACAAAGTGCACTAAAGGTCTTAGGATGAAATATTTTGTATTATAATTTCCTGAAAATTAAAAGATTTTGAGTATCTTTACTGTTTATTTTAAATAATTTGTCTGATAAAAATTGAATTCTTTAGGTCTTGATGAAGACCACTTTCCTTTATATATTGAGATTTTTAAAAATAAATCCTGTCTTTTTGTTGTTTGTCTCTGTCTTAAATTTGATCTGTTAAGAAAGAAAATATTGGGCCCAGATATAATTTTACTACAAACTCTAGCTCATTTATTCATTTTTGTTTTTATGTTCTTTTCATATCCACGTATTTTTTCTTCAGTTGCTTTTGAAATCAGAAAGTCAGTGCAGGGTTGTAGTGTTGATGGGCTCTACTTCTGATCTTGGTCACTGTGAAAAAATCAAGAAGGCCTGTGGAAATTTTGGCATTCCATGTGAACTTCGAGTAACATCTGCGCATAAAGGACCAGATGAAACTCTGAGGATTAAAGCTGAGTATGAAGGTAAACCACAAGTAATATGGACATTTCAGGTATTTCTGATTTTGCTAAAAGTAATTACACACTTTAGACTAATAATGCTGAAAAAAGAGCTTTGTCAGTTTTCTAAGGGAAAAACACATGATATACTAGGCTTTCTTTTTTTTTGAGATGGAGTCTCACTCTGTCGCCCAGGCTGGAGTACAGTGGCGCCATCTCAGCTCACTGCAAGCTCCACCTCCCGGGTTCACACCATTCTCCTGCCTCAGCCTCCCAAGTAGCTGGGACTACAGGCGCCCACCACCATGCCCGGCTAATTTTTTGTATTTTTAATAGAGACGGGGTTTCACTGTGTTAGCCAGGATGGTCTTGACCTGATCTCATGATCCGCCTGCCTTGGCCTCCCAAAGTGCTGGGATTACAGGCATGAGCCACCACGCCTGGCCGCTAGGCTTTCTTAATACTCACCTCCAAAGAGCTTAAGGTATTCTAGAAGCTTAGAAAAGAAAGGAGCAGGGAGAAATAATTAAAAATGCAAGTATGAAAAGAAAACAAAGACTAGAATGATGAGAACCTCTGGCATCCTTACCTGGTAAGAAGCCCCTGGAGCATTGCTTCTAATATACTCCAATAGAAAATAGGCCCCCACAGTTACAGGAGGCGGGAGGTTAAAATAGCCGGTTCTCCCGGGAATCTTTAGTTGCCACCCTTTCCTGGGAGGCAGTCAGATAGGAAATTAAAGAACAGTTTCAGAATATAGTACATAAAAAATAATGGTATAGCAGTGATCTAAAATAATGGAGCCCTGGGTTTACAACCAAATGTTTCTCAACTGGAAAAAAATGTTGATTATTTCGTGTACAGGTTGTTGCTATGGAAGTGTAGTTACTAATTTTGGGGGAGTGGGAGGTTGGGGGAACTCAGACTCCTTTGATAGCTAATGAATTCTAGAACTCTTTTCAGAAAATTGCAAATACATACAATTTTGGATTCTAGGTTAACAAATCTCTGCTTTAGGAAACAGGAGGATAATTTATAAATTTATCAAAGAATGAATTGCTTAAGAGATTATGTTAAAAAATGTATCAAAGGGCCTTAAAATTTGGGGGACACTATATTAATTAAACTTTCCTTCAACTCTTGTTTGAAGACGTGTCCCTAAACCCCTAGTTTATATTAACTGGTTCTCCCTGCACCAGTTGAGGGACCACCCAGTCAAGAAAGACACCTGTTCAGATGGTGTCATTCTTCACTTTGGCCAGCCTATACAGCAATAGAAGAGGCCTATGAGCTATTCCCTCACTGACACCCTGCTATCCCCTTTATAATGTAGATCTCAAAAACAACCAAACCGATTCCAGCTACTTTATTACTTGACTTATAGTAAGTGGCAGAGTAACCTTATGTTTTGAATATATGTGTAATAATAGTATCTTTTATGTTTTTTCAGAGAAGACTATTCAAGGACCTCAAGTAATTAAAACATATAGGCCTTAAACCAAAAAAAAAAAAAAACCCTGTCTTTAAATCTGTTTTGAATGTTTAGCATAATTATACTCTTGTCATTTCCCTAGGGGATGGCATTCCTACTGTATTTGTGGCAGTGGCAGGCAGAAGTAATGGTTTGGGACCAGTGATGTCTGGGAACACTGCATATCCAGTTATCAGCTGTCCTCCCCTCACACCAGACTGGGGAGTTCAGGATGTGTGGTCTTCTCTTCGACTACCCAGTGGTAAGATACATTGAATTTTTAAAAACTGTTCATTACAAGCATTTAACAGATGCACAACAGTAGACAGAATAGCATAATAAAATCTCATGTACCCATGACCTAGCTTCAGCAATTAACATCTTGTTGTGTCTACAGCCATCTCCTGCTGGATTATTTTAAAGCAGATCTTAGACGTTATAGTAATTTATACTTAAGTATATGTTTAAGTAATACAGGCTCTAGTTTTTAAATCATAATCATGATATTGTTATAGAACAAAAGGAGCCCACTATCTGATGCATTAGAAACCAGTACTATCTAAGCCACCAGGTTTTTGAGAAAGAAAGGCTTCCTCTTTCAAGTTGACCAACAAGGAGACATGAGTCCAGCTCAAATCTGTGCTGGCTTTAAGGCAGCAATTTTATTAGAAAAGGTTTAGGGGATAGATTCTGGGATTAGTAGGTGATTGGTGGAAGGAAAGGGGAGGTCTAGAAAGTCCTTGGGCATGTGCAGTTATCTCTTCATGTTATTTCATGGATCACGTGTGTAAATTTGGGGGAGTTAGAATGAATTGTGGTGGAAATTGGGCCTGTGACATCAGTAAGCTGGTTCTGTGCAGACTCTAGTTGGCCATATTGTTTAATCTACCATTCTGCAAACTCAGGAATTTCTGTTAGTTGTTGGTATCTTTTAACTCTTGGGGACACAGTTTCAATACCATATTCACACCTAAGAAAGACTAGTGGTAGTTTCTTAAGGTATAATTTTTAGTTGGGGTCCAAGTTTTCTAATTGTCTCATCTGTTTGTTCAGATCCACCACAGTCCTTATATTGCATTTAGTTGATAATCTCTTGATTTTTTAAATATATAACAATTCATCCTCCCTTTTTCCCTTTCATTTTTTCAATAGAATTTTCTATATTTTGGATTTGGCTTCTTACATTTCTAGGTGGTGGTAAACATGCTCTTCCATTCCCTATATTTTCTATAAACTGATGGTGAGATCTGTAATAAAATCAAGTTTAGATATTTTTTTCCCAAGAATTCATGGTATTGATTTTTTTTTTTAAAGTAAATGTGATCATGTTACTTCTGTAGAGAGAATACAATTTTATTCTTAAATATTGGGGATAAGGCTGGGTGCAGTGGCTCATGCCTGTCATCCCAGCACTTTGGGAGGCTGAAGTGGGCAGATCTCTGGAGGTCAGGAGTTCAAGACCTGCCTGGCCAATATGGTGAAACCCCATCTCTACTAAAAATACAAAAATTACCTAGGCATGGTGGTGAGCATCTGTAATCCCAGCTACTCAGAGGCTGAGGTAGGAGAATCGCTTGAACCTGGGAGGCAGAGGTGAGTCAAGATTGTACCAATGGATTCCAAACTGGGCAACAGAGTGAGACTCGGTCTCAAAATAAAAAATTGGGGATAAAAGATAATAACATAAGGAAGTCCCCTTTTGGCTGATGGAACTGGATCACGTAACAGTGTTGTGGTTCGTTCATCATAGTCCAAGATATGATCTGATATTCTGCAGTTTATGAGGGTCAATATTGTTTCAGTAGGAGATTTGCTTTATTACTAAAATCCCTAACTTTTCTCATATCTGTATATATCCAGTCTTGATATGTGTCAAGTATATTAAGTCTTTGAGCCCTCCAACCTGGTCCAGTGGACTGGCTTCTCTCTAGGCATCCTGTACTGCTGTTGTCTTAGGATCCCCCTTTACCATAATTTTGGAGACTCATTTTGCCTTTCTCTAGGCTTGGATCTCCCATGTTTTCCCCTTACTTGGTTTATTTTTATTTTGTTGGAGTACATTCTTGAACTTGGGGGCAAAAGAATACAAAAGGTAAATTTTGATACCTTGTGTATCTAAAATGTGTATATTGAAGCCCTATACTTGATAGTTTAGAAATAGAATCCTATGCTGAAAATCATTTTGCTTTGGAATTTTGGGAGCATTATTACTCCACTGTCTCCTAGCATCCACAGTTGAGGACTCCATTGCTTTTCCACCAGTCTGATTCTAGGTTTCTTATGAATTTTGTTTCTCTCTGGAATCTTTCAGGATCTTTTGTCTGTTTTCATTGTTCTTAAATTTTACACAGATGTGATGTGCTGAGTCTGTTTTCATTATGGACTTTCGGTGAGCTCTTTTAATCTGAAATTCTGATTTCTTAGTCCCCATTTTCCTTGAATTATTTAATTTTCATACCCCTCCATATTCTCTCTTCTCATTTTTGAATTTGAATAAATTTGGGCTTCCCTTGATTTCTATTCTACTTGTTTGTCTTGTTGGTATACTTTCTGGAATATTTCCTAAATTTTACATTCCAACCCTTCTATTGAGTTTTTCTTTTTTTTCTTGAGACGGAGTCGGGCTCTCTTGCCCAGGCTGGAGTGCAATGGCGCAATCTCAGCTTACTGCAGCCTCCGCCTCCCAGGTTCAAGCGGTTCTCGTGCCTCAACCTCCTGAGTACCTGGGATTATAGGTATGCACCACCACGCCTGGCTAATTTTTGTATTTTTAGTGGAGATGTGGTTTCACCATGTTGGCCAGGCTGGTCTCGAACTCTTGACCTCAGGTGATCTGCCTGCCCTGGCCTCCCAAAGTGCTGAGGTTATGGGCGTCAGCCACTGTGCCCGGCCTTCATTTTGGATACAGGTGTTTTTTGTTTGTTTTGACACAGGGTCTTGCTCTGTTGCCCAGGTGGGAGCACAGTGGCATGATCATATCTCACTGGACCCTTGAACTCCCCGGGCTCATGTGATCCGCCCACCTCAAACTCCCAAGTAGCTATGACTACAGGCCCACACCATCACACCTGGTTAATTTTTTTACTTTTTGTAGAGATGGGCACTCCGTATGTTGTCCAGGCTTGTCCTGAACTCCTGGACTCAAGCAATCTTCCCACCTCAGCCTCCCAAAGTGTTGGGATTGGGTAGGAACCACTGCCTCTGGGGTTTTTTTTTTTTTTTTTACACAATGTTTTTATATTTCTTTTGGTTTTTGTTTTCTGGGTTTTTGTTGTTGTTGTTGTTTGTGTTTGTATGTTTTTAAATTTCCAAAAGCTCTTTTTTGTTCTCTGGAGATGATTATAGTCTGTTGCATATAGTTACTTTCTTCAGCTGTCTGGTAATCCTTGGCTGTTTGCGCTTTTAAGAGTGGAATACTATAAAAAACAATTGGAAACTTCAAGTGGGTGGTCCGTGTCAAAATTGGGCTTCACTGTGGGGTGTATCTGGTAGGGATTGTTCTTCAAACAACCCCTCACATTAGTGTCTAGGTATTTTCTTAAGTGTTGACCAGAATTACTCAGAGAACAAAAGTTGTCTGTGCCTGGCGTCCCCTAGTTCAAAGACGCCAAGACTGAAGTCTGTTTTACCTTCAGAAAAATTAAAGGCCTGGCTTGGTGGCTCATGCCTATAATCCCAACACTTTGGGAGGCAGAGATTGGTGGATTGCCTGAGCTCAGCCTAGGCAACCTGGCGAAACCCCATCTCTACCATAAATACAAAAATTAGCTAGGCATGGTGGCACACGCCTGTGGTCCCAGCTACTTGGGAAGCCAAGGTGGGATGATCACTGGAGCCTGGGAAGTTGAGGCAGCAGTGAGCCGTGATTGCACCACTGCACTCCGGATGACAGAGCGAGACCGTGTCTCAGAAAAAAATAATGTTTAAAAAGAAAAAAATTGCTACAGTGCTTTAAAGAGGCAGTTACTCAGGTAGATGGAGTGGGGAAGGAGATTTGAGGACCTAGCTTCTTCTTAGACTTCGAGTCAGTCATCTTCTTCTTAGTCCCTATTCCCTTCCAAAGGTATCTGGTGCCACTAATTTAGTCAGTCACCCTTTGGGGGAGTTCTGTAATGTCAGTCATGTTGCTTCTCATCTTTCCCTGCTTTCAGTTTAGAATTAAGTTTTTTTTTTTTTTTTTTTTTAAATGGAGTTTCGCTCCTGTTGCCCAGGCTAGAATGCAATGGCGCAACCTCCGCCTCCCAGGTTCAAGCGATTCTCCTGCCTCAGCCTCCCAAGTAGCTGAAATCACAGGCATGCACCACCATGCCAGCTAATTTTGATTAAGTTTTCTTGGTCTGCTAACTTAGCTACCACTGTGTTTGCCTTTCAGTTGCCAAAATGTTACTGCTGTTATCTGGCCTTGTGTGTTCATGCCTATTTCCTTTACTGTTTTTATAGGCTCTGAGAATTAAATTTTGTGCCTAAGCTATCTTTAACAAGATGTGATTATACAAATGTCTCAAGCTAAAAATCAGCGGCTACAAATAAAGCTGTAACCAAATTTATGCCAGAGGAATTGTATAGATACCCATGGAGCTTACAAAAGGGGAGCATGATAAGCAAAAAATTGGCAGTTTTTATAGTAGTGTTGTTTCAGGAGTGACAAATAATCTGGAAGACTTGTACATAATGATCACTAGAATTGGGGATAATCTTTTGAGGAGTAGTTTTACAGTAACCTGTGTAAAATCCTGAAGACCGCCCATATTTCTCATCTCTGATGTCATGCTCACTAGATAACTTTTTTTTTTTTTTCTGCAATTTAAGCTATTCTTTTACCAGAAAGGGAGTCCTGGGCAGGAGGCACAGGTTATTTCAAATATTAGAGTGGAGCACTCTACCTAGCGTGCTAACAATAGTGGTTGACATTCTTGGAGCACATACTGTGTACCAGGCAATGCTCTAAGCACTTTATCTATGTTATTAACTCATTGAAGTGTCACATCAGGTAGCTACTAGTTAAAATTCCCTTCTCACAGAAGAGGAGAATAAATTAACGTGAAGTAACTTGACCAATACCACATATTAAGGGGTGGAGCTCCATAAAATAACGTATTAATACAAATTAGTAAATTGGCCTTGTGATTTGTATTTGACTCTGTTCTTGTGGATAATGGGAGTCAAAGAGCCTGATGAATTCCAAGAATATCGGGAAAATCGAGCTTTTGGAACTATAGCAAACACTAGACATAATAGTACCCCTGATTCTAGCAAACACTAGACATAATAGTACCACCTCAAGACACTCTGCCTGAGCAGACATGTGGCCCCTAGGATGTTACTTTTTTATTCTGCTGTCTTGGATCTTATTAATATTTATTTATAACTTGACATTTCCTAAAATTATTCTACGGATTTGACTTTTACTGCTCAAAAATATTAAAATAGTTCAAATGCAGATAGAAAGATTAGCTAGAAAACTGTCAAAACAACATAGCTCAAGTTTGTCTAAGAACAGGTACTTTTGTACTCTTACCTTGACCCTTATTTTGCTTCAGTTGTTCTTCGCCAGGGATTGAAAGGGATAGTGTATGTGAACAGAAGTTTCAAAAAGATAAGTTTCTTTGTAAGTGAGTTCTATAAGAAGGGTGATAGATGATATATATAAAATATCTCTTCATGGCAGGTAATACTGACTGCTTTTCCTCTTGTAATCACTTTACCACTCCGGTATTAAAGACAGTTGTACAGATTCTACTTTAGATTAGAATAATGCAGTAGCTTTTTATTTTCTGTGGCAGGACTGCTCTGAGTATAAAATTTTTTGTAAGGTTGTATTTTCATTACTAATTGAGCTCAATTTTCTGTCTTTTCCTTGCTGAACCAATAGGTCTTGGCTGTTCAACCGTACTTTCTCCAGAAGGATCAGCTCAATTTGCTGCTCAGATATTTGGGTTAAGCAACCATTTGGTATGGAGCAAACTGCGAGCAAGCATTTTGAACACATGGATTTCCTTGAAGCAGGCTGACAAGAAAATCAGAGAATGTAATTTATAAGAAAGAATGCCATTGAATTTTTTAGGGGAAAAACTACAAATTTCTAATTTAGCTGAAGGAAAATCAAGCAAGATGAAAAGGTAATTTTAAATTAGAGAACACAAATAAAATGTATTAGTGAATAAATGCTTCTCTAGATCCATATTAATAAACATGAGCATCTAACCCCTCCTTTCTTAGGCTAGACACCAAGATATTTCAGCCAGCCTTTATCATTCCTCTTACTTTATCCTTTTTCCTTAAGTATTGGTGGTCACTACTATTGAGTTTCTTCCTTAACACTGATTAAATGATCTTAACTCCCTCAGCTAAAACTGGCATTACTGACTCCCAGCTATATTTCTCCAGACTTGCATTTTTTTTTTTTTTTTTGAGACAGGGTCTCACTGTCGCCCAGGCTGGAGTGCAGTGGCGTGATCTCAGTTCACTGCTGCTTTCCCTCCTGGGCTCAAGCAGTTCTCCCACCTCAGCCTCTCGACTAACAGGGACTATAATCTTGCAGCACCATGCCGAGCTAATTTTATTTTTTGTAGAGATGAGCTCTCACTATGTCACCCAGGTTCGTCTCAAACTCCTGAACCCTAGTAATTCTCCTATCTCAGCCTCCCAAAGTGCTAGGGTTACAGACATGAGCCACTGTGCCTGTCTAGACTTGTACTTTCAACTGTCCATTTCTCCCTGTCTGTCCCATGGGCACTCATGAAAAAACAGAATGCTCCCAACTTTATTCATCTTCCAAGCCTGTAGCTCTTGGTATACTCACTGTTGCAAGTCAGAAGCTTGATTTCATCATTGATGTTTTTCTCACGTTTCACATCTCACTCATCACCAAGTCATGTTGGTGTTAATTTCTGATTAACCCTTGAATTTACCGTCTTCTCATCCTCTGTACAAAAGCCTCAAGTGAGGGTCAAATTCAACATTATCCTGATCTAGACAGCCCCCATTCTCAATCCACCCTTTTCCAAGTTGATTGCCCAAGGACTTCTAACAATAAACTCTCTTTTGCACCACAGACTTCTTTGAAAATATACATGCTGTTGACCCTCTCTGTAGAAAACCGCACACATAAAACTTACCAACAGATTTCATTGGTTCTTGGGTTCTCCCGAAGCCTATCCATGGTTTATAGATTAAGAATTGATGAGGTAGCTGGGCACAGTGGCTCACACCTACGATCACAGCACTTCGGGAGGCTGAAGCAAGCAGATCACTTGAGGTCAGGAGTTTGAGACCAGCCTGGCCAACATGGTGAAACCCTGTCTCTACTAAAAATACAAAAAGTAGCCAGCCGTGATGACAGGCACCTGTAATCCCAGCTACTCGGGAGGCTGAGGCATGAGAATTGCTTGAACCCGGGAGGCGGAGGTTGCAGTGAGCCTAGATCATGCCACTGCACTCCAACCTGGGCAGCAGAGCAAGACTCTGTCTCAAAAGGGGAAAAAAAAAATTGCTGATGTGACCCATGAAGGGAACTCATTTTCCTCGTAATTTTGGACTGCCACACATTGGTACCTTTAGTTCTCTGAAGGCCCACGTTTTTATCATTAAGACCTATTTGTTAGCTAGTAGAGCTTTATGTTCGCTGTCCATGAAACCTTCTGTAACCACAGTGACTACAAGTAGTTCTTTCTCTATTGAATTATTAGGTCCAGAATAGAAGATGTCATTGTACACTTTATTTCCCTCACACTGTGTTATGCTCTGATGTGCTATGCTTAGCTATCTGTCAGAGATTAGTAAATTATAAAACTCATGTGTACTACTTAAGTTTATATCTTATGCTAGTTTATAAGAACAATTAAAAGGACTTAGAAGATTAACTTTGGTTTCATGGTCTCTGAAGTCACTGACTGCTATTTCAGCTTGTTTACCCTTACCTAGCATTAAGACTCCATCTACTTCTGTGCAGTATATGAAAATTTTTAAACTTTCATTTAGACTGGTGGATAGGACTGACCATTACAAATTGTCGTTATCAATTTTTTTTCCTTTTTTTTTTTAAGAGCCAAGTTCTCACTGTCTCCCAGGCTGGAGTGCAGTGGCATGATTATGGCTCCCTGCAGCCTTGAACTCCTGGACTCAAGCTGCAGCCTCTCGAGTAGCTGGGTGCATGTGCTACCACACCCAATTATGAATTTCATCATTAGTTTCTTAGTAGAGTCCACATGTCCTCAGTAGTAAGTTCATCAGTGCTAAATATTTGAAGGTATTTCTACTGTTTTGTAAAAGTAACTTAAGCCTACCTGGTCTGCTATCTTTTGAGTATTTATACTTTCTACGGGCTTGTAGGTAAACATAAAAAGAGAAAAAATATCCCAATAATACAGTTTTTAACCTTTTATGATAAAGACATGCTTAGAATTGCTGTTAAGCTTTCTGAGATTTAACCACTGAAACTAAGTAAAAGACAAAGCACTTAGGTAAAGCTTCATTCAGTATCCATTCACCCAATACTGGTTTGATTCTAGGGCCTAGGAAAATAGGACTGAGCAAAGCCCTTGTCCAGATGGAACTTATGTTTTAGAGGGGAAAACAAACCATAAAAAGGTAAACAGTATAAAATCAGGAAAGGATAAATGTATATGAAGAATCAAAATGAGGACGGTGATGGGGATAAGAGGGGAAGGTTTTTGAGGAGAGCAGAGCAATGATGTAAAAGCAAGACACACAGATAGGGAAATAGCTTTCCATACTAAGGGAATGGGAAATAAAGCTGAGTTTTGCCTTGAGGACCTCCAAACATGAGAATTGCTAGAGCTCTGTGAACAAGGATGAGAGTGGAAGACAATATAAGCAAAGGCTACATCACTTAGGGCCTATAGGCCACACTGAAGTGTGACAGGAAAAACTCAGTTTGAGCAGAGGCTTGACATACTTAACATATTTAAAGGTTCTCTGGCTGTTGTGTGGACAAGAGGAGAAGCAGAGATTAGTTAAGAGGCTATTGTAGCCCAGGTGAGGGATGATGTATGATCTTCAACATGTCTAATTTTTTTGTGCCTCAATTTCATGAAATGAAAATGCGACTAATACCACCTCATAAAGTTGTGAGAATTACATGAGTCAATATATGTAAGGCCCATCATGGCACACAAATGTGTTATGTAATATCCATTTGGCAGACTGAAGAACAACAGTATGAATGGAATTCATTCACCATGAGAATTACCTGGAATTCTCTGGGCATGGTAGCTCATGCCTGTAATCCCAGCACTTTGGGTGGCCGAGGCAGGTGGATCACCTGAGATCAGGAGTTCGAGACCAGCCTGACCAACATGGAGAAACCCAGTCTCTAATAAAAATACAAAACTAGCCGGGCATGGTGGCACATTCCTGTAATCCCAGCGACTCAGGAGGCTGAGGCAGGAGAATCGCTTGAACCTGGGAAGCGGAGGTTGTGGTGAGCCGAGGTTGCGCCATTGTACTCCAGCCTGGGCAACAAGAGCAAAACTCTGTTTCAAAAAAAAAGAAAGAAAGAAAATTACCTGGAATTCAATATTGCCATCGGCTGATTTAATTTCTAATATGAAGAAAGGGGCAGTGTGATGTGCCACGGAGCATCCACAACCTGCCATTTCAGCCCAGCCAACCTTAGAAAGCCATTGAAAAGAGTTGTTTTTAATGGTGTTTTTACATCCAGCTTCCCACACCTCAAATACTTGGGGTGGAATTGTTAATCTCACATTGCAGTACAATGAAAATAGTGGAATGGAAATCAAGTTATAAAATGGAGCTAAATATTTCTTCTGCTTGCCTCTGAGTTGATAAGATACCATAAGATACTGTACATGAGGCTGGGCGCGGTGGCTCACGTCTTATTTCTTCTGCTTGCCTCTGAGTTGACAAGATACCATAAGATACTGTACATGAGGCTGGGTGCAGTGGCTCACGCCTGTAATCCCAGCACTTTGGGAGGGTGAGGTGGGCAGATCACCTGAGGTCGGGAGTTCAAGACCAGCCTGACTGACATGGAGAAACCCCCTCTTTACTAAAAATACAAAATTAGCCAGGCATGGTGGTGCATGCCTATAATTCCAACTACTCGGGAGGCTGAGGCAGGAGAATCGCTTGAACCTGGAAGGCAGAGGTTGTGGTGAGCTGAGATCGAACCATTGCACTCCAGCCTGGGCAACAAGAGCGAAAATCTGTCGCCAAAAAAAAAAAAAAAAAGATACTGTACATGGAAGCTTCTCAGGCTAAATCCATTAATATAAAAATACATTGTGGATACTGATGAGATGGCTAATTCTGTCAACTTGACTAGGCTACGGGATGCCTTGATAGCTGGTCAAACAACATTTCTAGGTACATCTGTGATGGTGTTTCTGGAAGAGACTAGCACTTGAATCAGTAGACTTGAGTAAAGAAGACTGCCTTCACCCATGTGGGTGAGCGTCATCTAATCCATTGAGGGCCTGAATAGAACAAAAAAGGGGAAGAAGGGTGAACTGCTGGGACATCCATTTCGTGCCCCCAGATGTTGGTGCTCCTGGTCCTCAGGCCTTCAGACTAGGACTTAACGTTATTGCCTCCCCTGATTCTCAAGCCCTCGGGTTTGGAACTACACTGGCTTTCCTGGGCCTTCAGCCTGCAGAAGGCAGACTGTGGGACTTCACCTCCATTTTGCAGAGCCAATTTCTCATAATCTGTACATATCCTATTGGTTCTGTATTTTTTAGAGAACAAATACAGCCTATTATGTATATATAAGACCCTGGGAATGCAAAGATGAACAAAATTAACCTTCTGCTCTCAATGAATCTTGGAAGTCTCCAGAGGCAGACAATTTCAAAACACCGTATATAGTCTTAATATGGAATTAACAATAGGGTATTGTGAATACACAAAAGTAGGAAGGACTCTGATCTCTAGAAAACAATTGTATACTGTGAATGAAAAAGACTAATTCTCCACAGTCTATACTCAATCTCTCTTACCTTTCCATAATTTTCTTCAGCAAACTTATTACCACCAAACATAGTACATGTTTATTTATTACCCATCTCTCCCAACTAGAAAATAAATGTATTACACTGGGCTGTCTTCTTTGTTGTCAGCTGTATCACAGCAACTGGTGTAATACACGGCACTGGCATATACAAGACAAACACTTGTCAGATGAATAAAAATGCAAATTCCAGGAGGTAGGGGGACACATAACTACATGGAAGTTAGAGGTGAATAGCATGCAAGGGGGCTAGGAAATAAGTATAGAGACCTATGTGAGTTGGGGAGGTGGCAAGCAGAGGCCAGATCACAAAAGCTCTTACTGCTCTTCTTTGGAGTTCGGATTTTATCGTGAGGGTAGGAAAGTGGCATCAGATACATGCTTTAAGAGATCAGTCTGGTTTTTTTCCCACCATGTGAAAACAGAAGATGCCATCTATGAATCAGAGTGGCCCCTCACCAGACAATCTTTCCATCCTTCACAATGTGAGATGTAAATTTGTTATTTAAAAAAAAAAAAACAAAACACCACTATGGTTTGGAAGATTCCTGTTTCAAAAATGGCAGGTTAAGCCCCATATTTATAGGCTGTTTGCCACAAAACTCCATTAAAATGACATAAGAAATAGAAACAAGTCCACAGCAGCAGAATTCTGAGCATTTCTAAAAGCTACAAAGTATATAGGATTAGAATGATATAGAAACGAAAATTGCCAATTCTTATATAAAGTCAATGTTCTAAAAAGTACTACTAGGACAGTGGCTCTTAACTTTTGGGAGGGGATGGTGGATATAAACACCTTTGGAGAATACAGTGGAATCTACATTTTCTCAGAATAACAAAATACAACAAAATTTTGGGTATACCCAATTTTCTCACACAACATTTTGGGTATACCATGTCATCTGGAGCCCCCACCCCCTGAAATCTAAACATAACTGGCTTGAAACCTGTGACAATTCTAGTCAGTAAAAGTCTAAAGCTCTTCTCATGATTTTTACTAATTCACAAGAATTACACCCTCCAGCACCTAGAGTTCAAGCCACCTTTCATGCTCTTTGCATTGTATATACTGGAAGGACCAGACAAAAATATGGCAGGGCACCATATGCCATATCAGGAGCTGGGCAGTTTCTGCCCTCAAGGAACTCAAGATTAGGCAAGGAATGTGAAACAAAAAATGCCAACTATGTGCCAGGCAGTATGCTAGATCCTAGGGATACTGCAGTGAGCAAGGTAAATATGGTTCCTTGGCCTCAGAACTATAGTCCATACAGAGTGAGATAACCCTTAATTATCAGTGCTCAGAAGTGGAGTCCTATAGGGAGTCTCCCAACCTTTTTGGCACCAGGGACCGGTTTCAGGGAAGACAATCTTTCCACAGGAGTTGGACAGCTGGTTTCAGTATGATTCAAGCTCATTACATTTCCCATTAGATTCTCTTAAGGAGTGAGCAACCTAGATCCTTCACATTCCCAGTTCACAATAGGGTTTGAGCTGTGAGAAGCTAATATCACAGCTGATCTGACAGGAGCTCAGGCGGTACTGCTCACTGGCCCACCGATCACCTACTGCTGTGCCGCCCGGTTCCTAACAGGCTGCAGACCAGTACAAGGGTTGGGGACCCCTGTTCTAAGAGGATGCAACCAGAAGGCTGCCCAGTCTGCAAGATCAAATGTTTCCTCAAAGTAACTTTCAACGTATAACCAGAAAGACTGAAAGACAAAAAGTAGTTAGCAAGGCCGGGCACGGTGGCTTACGCCTGTAATCCCTGTACTTTGGGAGGCTGAGAGAGGGCGGATCACTTGAGGTCAGGAGTTTGAGACCAGCTTGGCCAACACAGTGAAACCCCATCTCTACTAAAAATTCAAAAATTAACCGGGCGTGGTGGCTCATGCTACTTGGGAGGCTGAGGCAAAAGAATCGCTTTAACCCAGGAGGTGGAGATTGCAGTGAGGTTCATCCTGGGTCACAGAGCTAGACTACGTCTCAAAAAAAAAAAAAAAAAAAAAAAAAAAAAGCTAGGTTCCTGAGGGACACAGGAAGTAGTAGAAGTTGTAAAGGTCATGACGAGATATGAGTCTGAAGAGCAGGCCATTCAATGAAATACAACATTCACATCAAGTGAATCACTCACATCGTCTTGGTGTGGTGGCTCATGCCTGTAATCCCAGCACTTGGGGAGGCTGTGGTGGGAGGATTGCTTGAGCCCAGGAGTTCCAGACCAGCTTGGGCAACACGGCAAGATCCCCGTCTCAAAAAAAAAAAAAAATCACTCACATCAAGTGTACCCAACAGATATCCATTCCCTTCGTACATCTGAACACATCTTGATATTAACGGTCGCAAGCAAACCCTAATATTTTATATCTCTAGAACAAATATAGTATCCCCATTTCACAATCGGGAAAACAGACTCCCAGAAGCTAAGTAACTTGTTTATTGTCAGACATCTAGTGAGTCGCAGAGCCAGGGAACTGACCACGGGCATTTTCACCCCATTACCCTTCCAGCTTATTGCCGACTGCTCCCGAAGGGAGCGAAAAGGACAGGCAAAGGGTTTCACCAAACCCTTTGTAATGGGAGATTCTTGCCTTCTTACCTTTCCTCACGTTTGCTTCTCTGCCAGAATGTCTTCCCGCACTTTCCCCAGAACCCAAGTTCTCCTAATCATCTTTCAAGATCCCTTTCCCTCAACCACAGATGAGCCGTGCCTATTTCTCCTTCAAATGACTCCCTATGGCTTCTAGTTGGTAGTCTTTTATTTACCACCTCATAGTCCTTTTATTTATATCCCATAAATGATCGTCCGGCCCCGCACCGTGGGACCAGGACGCTGCCTCGACCATGGCGGTCTCCTGGAAACAGGCTGCTTTGAGCCGAAACTGGTGACCGTTTCCCAACCCCGTCCAGGAGTCCGACGCCTCTTTTCTCCAGGCCAACTTCAAGTGAGGTGTATCAACTCTATCCGCACAAATTTCTTGCCACGAGAGCAGAAGATTATGATCTCTGATGCTGCCTTAGGGCTGAAGACACTCCCAACTCGGCGACGCTTAGCAATCATCGACTTCCTCCTCCTCTTGGCTGCCTCGGAGATCCTGTTCCGGGGCAGAGGTCTCCCCGCCCCGCCCCTCGTCTCCTCCAAGATGGCGAGCGGCGGCAGCGGGGGGGTGTCAGTACCTGCGCTGTGGAGTGAAGTGAACCGGTATGGCCAGAACGGCGACTTCACGCGCGCTCTCAAGACCGTCAATAAGAGTAAGTGTCGGGGTGGGCACTGGGGCGGGCCCAGGCCGGCTGGAGGATGCGGCCTGTTTCCGGCGCGCGAGACCACCTCGCGCGGGAGGCACGGGAAGGGGAGACCCCCGAAACCCCCCCGTCTATTGTCCGCCCGGCTCGGGCCCTAGCGCCCGGAAGACGCAGGTCTCACTCCTCGGCTTCACCAGGCCAGCCTGGGGTCCCTGGTTGCTTACAGCCACGTGTACTTCTCTTTTTACCCTCCGCGGGAAGCGAGGGAAGGTTTTAAAGAGACCGCAGCTCCCGGAGTCCATTTCAAACTGTTTTCTTATTTGACTCCTTTGCTGCTTTATTTCACAAATATTCCAAAGTGCCTCCTTTTCTTCTTCGTCTTGAGCGCAGTGATCAGGACTCTATTGCTGAGGGAGCTTGTTCTCTTTGGCCGCTAAAGGGGGAGGAACCTGCTTGGGACACGTAGTTTAGAGGCTGGTGCTAACCAGGTGGAAGCTGTACGGGTTCTACGGGGCGAGAGGAAAGGGCTGGATCTGGATGTCAGGCCTGTCATTCCCATAGATGAGATCTCTTCAGTGTTATTAAGTTAGGAAATATGTGTGTGGAAGCACCAACACTTGAAATAATGTCGGAAGAAAAGTTTGGCCTGTTTTTTTGCCCTGTAAGGGATGATTTCGGTTTTTACCGCCTTTGGTGTGAGGTTTAATTCATCATATTCTTTTGTTCCTTACTACATACCTGGAATATGGCCATGCTGCTTAATGTTCTCGGTGGTGCGCAGTTCTTCTCTACTGAAGATACAGCCTGTGCATGTTAGATTTGGAAATGTAATTACCAAGGCAGGGCTTAGCTGTTCAGAGTAGCAGTAACCTAAAAGGTGTGTCAGTAACATGCAAAGCTATCTAAGTAATTTTCAACACTCTAGTACTGGGTTAACGTGAAAAGTAGTGATTGTGCCCACAGTGCACTTTTGGTGATTTCAGACATTGAGGAAAATAGCTACGAATTAGAATTATTTGATCCCTAAATTTGTTTGAATTAACTCTAGCCTTCCAACCAGTACTGTATACTTAGTATAGTATTTTGCAGGAATTCTTTAATCAGCAAAGATTGTCAACTTGTTTACCAGTATGTTTTCTTAATTGGTAGAAATTCTTGTGATTCTTTGAGAATTGGACTTCTGTAGTTGCACAGGAGCAAGAGTAACTATGATCCTGGTCATTTTAACACCGAACAGTTGTTAGCGTTGAAACTTGCCACCTGAGTTCTTCCTTATACTTTGGTCATCTTAGTTGAAAAGGGGAAATTTTAATGATTTTTGGAAACGTTGCCAGCAAGATAAATTGCCTTTGTATTATACTTTATAAGATTTTTCCAAAATATTCATTTCATATTGTCAGTAACCTTATTAAATAGGTAATGCTTTTCTAATCATTTTGTAGCTAAGAAAACTGAGATTTGGCTGTTAAGTGATATGCCCAATACCTCAAAGCATTTAGTGGCAAGCTTGCACCAAACCTAGGTCATTTGCTTCCAAATTCTACCTGAACTTTTTCCCTGTGAAGTAATGAACTATGTAGAATGTAGCATGCATTTCAAGATGAAATATCTGGAGAAATTGCTTCTTTCTTCTTTATTTCACTGCACTTTTTTGGTACATGTATATTGGGAATCTTTATCTCATTGAAAATTTAATCTATAACTCTCCTTATTGTCACTTCTTAAGTTAAAAGCAAAGATTAGTTGTTTTCTGGGTTTGTTTTGTTTTGTTGCTGTTTCTTCCAGTTGTTCTGACCAATTATTTCTGTTGCAATAAAAGTAGAAATTTAGCTTTCGGAGAGACAGGGTGGGAAAATTTAGTAAAAATGTGAAAAGGAAATGGATTTAAAAATGACTTTTCCTAAAATTGTTCTCTAGTACTACAGATCAACAAAGATGACGTAACTGCCCTGCATTGTAAAGTGGTATGCCTTATCCAGAATGGAAGTTTCAAGGAAGCTTTGAATGTCATCAATACTCACACCAAAGTGTTAGCCAAGTAAGTGATTCAGTTAGTTGCTTGTACAGTTATTAGAAACACTTACTATAGCTATAATCTCTTCCATGTTTTTTCCCAACTATTTGCTGATTTTTTTTAACGTTTTTTTCCTTCCTTTTTTTCCCCCCTTTTGCTTGTCAATAATGTTTCTGAACTGGAAGGAATACTAGTAACTTCTGTTTTTTTCAGCCTTAGAGAGTTTTTTTTTTTTTTTTTAACCACTGTGTTTCCTTTGAACCGCTAAGGAGGTGAACCATAGAGAGTTGTGGGGCATAATTATGAGTCGTTGGAGGATGTAGCAAGAATAACTCAGTCGAAGTTTCTTTACTGTTATACCTAGGCTCCAAAAAAATATGTATTGAAATTAAGTTTGAAGCATATTAATGGGATACTGGTTTATAAGGTGCAGAACAATATATATTATACTTCCTTTTACAAGAGGAGGAGGATATAAAAATTTATATATGCATTTGCCTGTATTTGCAAAACAAACAGTATAAAGAGAAACAATGAATAGTCATTTGTGGGAGGCCTAAGAGGGCGGATCACGAGGTCAGGGGTTTGAGACCAGACCGAGCAATATGGTGAAACCCCATGTCTACTGAAGATACAAAAAATTAGCTGGGTATGGTGGTGTGCACCTGTATTCCCAGTTACTTGGGAGGCTGAGGCAGGAGAATCACTTGAACCCAGGAGGCAGAGGCTGCAGTGAGCTGAGATCGTGCCATTGCACTCCAGCCTGGGTGACGGGGAGACTCCGTCTCAAAAAAAAAAAAAAGTCATTTGTAGGAGGTAATAGGAACAGGTTAGATTTGGGTAGCAGTGGGAATAAAGCCTCTTAGTGTATCTCTTTTTCTTTTTATATTTGAGGCGTATAAATGTGTTAGAGATTAAAAATTAATTGTAAACTTTATTAAAAATAAAAGGGAAATAGAGGCAATGCTGCTTTTCTCCTATTAAATATGTTTGCTAAAATTCAGTCTCTTGATTTTGGGCTATTTTGTGAGAAAAGAGACATTTTCAAAAACATTTTGTCAATGAGTCTTGGATAAAAGTTTTTTTTTTTTTTTTTTGGGAGGAGTCTTGCTCTGTCGCCCAGGCTGGTGGAACCTCCACCTTCCGGGTTCACGCGATTCTCCTGCCTCAGCCTCCCAAGTAGCTGTGATTACAGATGTGCACCACCACGCCCAGCTAATTTTTGTAATTTTAGTAGAGACAGGGTTTTGCCGTGTTGGCCAGGCTGGTCTTGAACTCCTCACCTCAAGTGATCTGCCCACCTTGGCTTCCCAAAGTGCTGGGATTACAGGCATGAGCCACCACACCTGGCTCAAAAATAAATTTTTTGTTAGGTAAGTAAATAAAGGACATTAGCCTTTGCTTTGATAAATATTTTTCCTCATGGATTATGGTTGAAACATCAACAATGAGGTATCACATTAATGTAGATGAATTTTTAAGTGTGTGTATGTTAGTAGTGTTTACCAGTTGTTTGATTACAGGTACTTCTTTTAAGATTTCTAGTTACTGTTTCTTTGCTAATCATTTGTTTCTTAAACAAGTTTAAAGAAATATGGCTTATTGTTTTGTTAATGAATTTAAGAAACTTCTAAAACAACCCATTTAACATCCTTCAGATTATCTTTGTATCTAAGACAATTACTTATTTAGCAGATGAATGATTTCCTTCTTAAATGTTTATTTCAAAAGGCCAATAATTTTAATAACAATATCCATGAAAGAGAGGCTAGGGAAGTTGATATATGCTTAATTATATGTTTGATTGATATACATTTACAAGCTATCTGATATTTAGACAAGTCTCTAACCTTTGTCAGTTTTCTCATCTGTTATCAGGACTAAATCCAGTGTTTAGAGTGGTGTTGTATATAATGGGTGCATTGCATTGTTAGATAATAATCAGATACTGTTTTTTTTTCCTTCTTCAGTAACTCTCTCTCCTTTGAAAAGGCATATTGCGAGTACAGGCTGAACAGAATTGAGAATGCCTTGAAGACAATAGAAAGTGCCAACCAGCAGACAGACAAACTGAAGGAGCTTTATGGACAAGTGGTAATTACTGCTTTTAAATACATGTTGACAGTGATACTGAGTGAGCATGACTACCTCTAGCAAGGAGCAGGGTTGAGGAAACCCAGCCCATCCTGATGCTCCACAAAACTGACCACCAAACCAGTCCTTAAGGTTTGAACATAATTCCTCTTCTTGATCTTCATACAAACAGTTGCATATATAATGTGCTATGAACAAATGACTTCCTCAGGTAATCAGAAAATCAAAGAAAATGAACTAATCTGTTTAATTTTGACTTTTGAGTTAGAAAGATGAAGCACATTGAGCTTGTATATTAAACAGATTTGAAATACTATTTCACTAATATTTTACTCTAAGGATGTCATGATAGATAAGAATTTAGATGATTCTAGCCCATGAAATTGTGAAAATATTTTAAAGTATTTTGAGACATAAAATTAACCCTAATGTAAAATAGGGCTGTTAATGACAAGAGGACAGAAATGTGTATCTTACAGCTAGCAAAACCCTCTTAAAGTTTTTCTTTTTTTTTTTTTTTTTTTAATGGAGTCTCTCTGTTTCCCAGGCTGGAGTGCAGTGGCACTATCTCGGCTCACTGCAGCCTCTGACTCCCAGGTTCAAGCGATTCTCCTGCCTCAGCCTTCCAAGTAGCTGTGATTACAGGCATGTGCCAACTCGTGCAGCTAATTTTTATATTTTTTAGTAGAGATGGGGTTATGCCATGTTGCCTAGGCTCGTCTCAAACTCCCAGCATCAAGTGATTTGCCTGCCTTGACCTCCCAAAGTACTGGGATTACAGGTGTAAGCCACCATGCCTGGCCTCCTCTTAAAGACTTTTAAATGTCAATTTAGGGCAAATAATGTTGTATTGAATGTATTGTCCTCAGGAGGTAGTATGGATTTAATAATACAAATGAGTTGAAGATAGATTTGGACAAATTCATGGATTGTAGGTCTATAAAAAACTTTTAAGGTAAACTGGATAACTTTAGGGTAAATTCTAGCATTTTGAGGTTAAGGACATCAGCCTGTGTCATACATAATGGACTAATTGACCTAGAGTGGCAGTTGTTGTTCTTTGAGCACAACTTGAATGAAATCAGTAGGAATTCTATTGTGTCTGCTTGAGACTCACCTGTGTGATAGCTGGTTTCTGAGAAAGATAAAATGAAGATTATAGCGAACTCCTAGGAAACATTAAGTCTTTTTCTTAACATTTAATTTTGTTCCTATTTTAGTAATCATTTTGTGTTGTGGAAAAATATTTTCATTGTAATTTTAGATCTAGGTAACAGGGTTACCTAGACCTATAGAAAGGTGTTCTTTCACAACCTATTTAGGCACTTTACTAATTTCAAGAAGAAAGGTAAAGAAAATCACTTTTCGCACTTGGGGAGGCCAAGGCGGGCGGATCATGAGGTCAGGAGATCGAGACCATCCTGGCTAACATGATGAAACCCCATCTCTACTAAAAAATACAAAAAATTAGCCAGGTGTGGTGGCGGGCGCCTGGTCCCAGCTACTCGGGAGGCTGAGGCGGGAGAATGGCATGAACCTGGGAGGCGGAGCTTGCAGTGAGCCGAGATCGCGCCACTGCACTCCAGCCTGGGTGACAGAGCGAGACTCCATCTCAAAAAAAAAAAAAGAAAATCAGTTTTCTGGGTCGGGTGCGGTGGCTCACGCCTGTAATCCCAGCACTTTGGGAGGCTGAGGTGGGCGGATCACTTGAGGTTGGGAGTTTGAGACTAGCCTGACCATGGAGAAACCCCATCTCTACTAAAAATACAAAATTAGCCAGGCATGGTGGCGCACGTCTGTAATCTCAGCTACTCGGGAGGCTGAGGCAGGAGAATCTCTTGAACCAGGGAGGTGGAGGTTGCAGTGAGCCAAGATCGCGCCATTGCTCTCCAGTCTAGGCAACAAGAGCGAAACTCCGTCTCAAAAAAAAAAGAAAAAGAAAAGAAAGAAAATGACTTTTCTCAACTGAATCCTGCCTACAGAACCACAATATAGTGAAAATTCATTTTAAAAGTATTTTCAAAAAGTAATTTATTTGAAAGTATGACTAGTACATGGAACTATTTAAAAATTATAAAACATAAACAGTTGATTGTTCATGTTATGCTGAACTAGGATTCCTACTTAGTGGTTCCAAAAAAGGTTTGCATGATATTAAAGACATAACACCATATTTGTCTCTGATTTTTTACTTGCTATTTATTATTCAGTTATACCGTTTGGAACGCTATGATGAATGCTTAGCAGTGTATAGAGATCTCGTCCGAAACTCCCAAGATGATTATGATGAGGAGAGGAAAACAAACCTTTCAGCAGTTGTTGCAGCTCAAAGCAATTGGGAAAAAGTGGTTCCAGTGAGTATCCTTGTGGTGTACCCATACAGTCATGAATTATTATTCATATTTAGTATTTAACTGGTATTTTGTCCCCTGACAGGAGAACCTGGGCCTCCAAGAAGGCACACATGAGCTGTGCTACAACACTGCATGTGCACTGATAGGCCAAGGCCAGCTGAACCAGGCCATGAAAATCCTACAAAAAGCTGAAGGTTGGAAGTTTGTTAAACTTATCTGTAAATATAACGTGCATATAACTTTGTAGAGTATCTTCTAAAATTGCATTTGACTTCTGTGAAATTATTAAATGGAAGTTATTGATGCAGTGACAATTTCTCCAAGTTCCTGTCGTCTTTCTCTCTCTTTTTTTTTTTTATGGAGTGGGACAGAATCTTACCCTGTTGCCCAGGCTGGAGTACAATGGCACGATCTCGGCTCACTGCAACCTCTGTCTCCCGAGTTCAAGCAATTCTCCTGCCTCAGCCTCCCGAGTAGCTGGGATTATAGGTGCGCGTCACCACACCCAGCTAATTTTTGTATGTTTAGTAGAAATGGGGTTTCACCATATTGGCCAGGCTCATTTCACCCTCCGCCTCCCAGGTTCAAGCAATTCTTGTGCCTCAGCCTCCCAAGTAGCTGGGATCACAGGCGCATGCCAGAAATGCCCAACTAATTTTTGTATTTTCAGTAGAGATGGTTTTCGCCATGTTGGCCAGGCTAGTCTCAAATTCCTGTCGTCAAGTGATCTGCCTGCCTTGGCCTCCTAAAGTGCTGGGATTACAGCCGTGAGCCACTGTGCCCAGCTGAAGCTTTTAATTAAGAAAAAAATTAATTTATTAGAGAACTGTGTCAGGTATTAACGTGAACATTTTGACTTTGCTTGTGCATAAATTTTTCCCTGGAAGCTATAAAAGTGATGTAGGTACTGCAGTGATCACTGGGGTGGAAAAAAAGGTGAAACAAAGTCTGTTTTACTGTTAAATATTAGGGGTTAAAATGAGATCACAGTTTACTGTCAAATGTTGAAAGTTAAAATAAGAACAAAGGTTAGAGCCTCATGAGAAGAAAAATCTGTTTAAGAATTATAATTTTTTTGGCTGAGTGCAGTGGCTCACGCCTATAATCCCAGCACTTTTGGGAGGCCAAGGCAGGAGGATTGCTTGAGCCTAGCAGTTCAAGACCAGCCTGGGTAATATAGTAAGCCTTCGTTTTTACAAAAAAAAAATATATATGTGGCCGAGTGTGGTGGTACACACCTGTATTCCCAGCTACTCTGGTGGCTGAGGCAGCAGGGCCTAGGAGGGCCTAGGAGGTTGAGGCTCCAGTGAGCTGAAATCATACCACTGTATTCCAGCCTGGGTGACAGAGTGAGACGCTGTCTCAAAAAAAAAAAAAAAAAAGAATTATAATTTCCTGACCTCAAGTGACCCACCCACCTTGACCACCCGAAGTGCTGGGATTACAAGTGTGAGCCACTGCACCTGGCAGAATTATAATTTCTTGATCATACCCAATGAAGAACATTCTCATACATTGTGGGTTTGAATGTAAGAGTAATACAGACTTTTCAGTGAGCAGTTTGGTGATGTGTAGCAGATTTTAAATTTACCTACCCTTTGATCCAATAATTTCACTTCTAGAAACTTGAGGAAATGATTAGATAAATTTACGTATGTGTCTGTGTGAATGTTCATTGAAGGAATATTCATAAGAACAGAAATTTAGAAACAGCATAAAGTTCTGTACTATTAAAGGATTGGCTAAATTTTACCATAATCACAAAGTAATTACAGTCACTACAACCAATAACATTAAAAAAGATACAGTAATGTAGATCTATGTTTATTGTAACAAAGATATCCACAGGATATTGAATGGGGAAGGGAGGTTTCAAAATAGTATGCACCGTGTCTCACTTTCATTTTAAAATGCAGCTGTGCATTTACATAAAACTAAGCCAGGTATGGTGGCTCACAGCTATAGTCCCAGCTACTTGGGAGGCGGAGGTGGGAGGGTCACTTGAGCCCAGAATTTCAAGGCTGCAGTGAGCTATGATTAAGCCACTGCACTCCAGCCTGGGCAACAGAGTGAGACCTCCAACTTTAAAAACAAACAAAAAAAATATTAAAAAACTAAATAACTGAAATGCTAGTAGTGTTTATCTCTGGGTGGTAGGATTGTTTATTTTTATACTTTTCTATAATTGATTTTTCGCAATTAATATTTACTACATTTGTATTTTTTAATGCACTTTACAAATATTTTTAGCACAGACACAACAAATGAAAGCAAAGTGCCAAAGAGCTGGGAAAGTCAAGAGACTGATAATATATATGTAGTATATTTGATGCTAATGTAAATTTCACAACTGCTTGTTACTACGATTATCTTGGAATCTTCTGCTTAGGAATTTAGATCTTGCTCTTTGGAATAGTGAAAGAAATGGGATTTACCCAGCAATACTACTTTTAAAACAATTTTTCTCCTGTAGATCTTTGCCGCCGTTCATTATCAGAAGACACTGTAAGTATTCCATCATTGTTAAACCTAAATTTTACACTTCTGACTATGATAGATTACTGAGGCTTCATTGTACTATTTATTGACTTTTTTTAGAAGATGGCAATTCATTAAGTAGGAATCACACTAGAAACCACCCTCTAGTATCAGTTATTTGATGAAGTCTACTAGAGTGAGAAATCACAATACAAAAAATTTTGACATAACCTTAAGCACTTGATTATACATTTATATAATGTAAATTTATTCCCCCATTTTAGGATGTAGGACTAAGGTCTTTGAGGACTGGTCTGCTCCTAGGAGTTCCATGTATATTTCTTATGTAGTGACATAATTCAACATTCCCAATTTACACTTTTGGTTTTTCTTTTTAAGTGTAACAATATCTTAAATACAGTTGGTAAGCACTTCCATTATAGAGTCCTTATGTTTTTTTTTTGTTGTTTGTTTTTTACCAATCTCTTACCATTTTTTGGCTCACAACTAATTAGACAATAATTTTCTTTAGGAATTTACGTTTACCGTATCTTTCTGAGTATTCAACATGATTTACATTGAAATATGTCTCTTTTCACATTCATAGTTCTCTCTCTCTCTCTCTCTTTTTTTTTTTTTTTTTTTTTGAGACAGGATCTTGCTGTTTCACCCAGGCTGGATTGCTGTGATATGATCATAGGTCACTGTAACCTCAAACTCCTGGGCTCAAGCAATCCTCTCACCACAGCCTCCTGAGTAGCACCACCATGCCCAGCTAATTATTTTCTTCTTTGTAGAGATGGGGGTCTCGCTGTGTTGACAAGTTTGGCTTATCTCAAACTCCAGGCCTCAAGCGACCCTCCCACCTCAGCCTCCTAAAGCACTGAGATTACAGGCGTGAACCACCATGCCCAGCCCATAGTTCTTCTCTTTAATATTTTTAAGTTTTATCATTTCCTCATCAAACACAACTGCATAATGGGTTTGGAAACAAACATATCTGACTCCTGGTCAGCAGATACTCACCAGGTGAGAGCAGGAGTGTTGGGTCATTAAAGGACTGTTGTCTCCTAGTCTTGAGTATTCATTGTACAGCCTTTTCAGAAGGAAAGGAGAAATGTGGATTAATCTGGAGCATCGGTTAAGAGAGCTACTACTTTAATTACAGAATTTGTTCAATTACAGGATTAAAGTACAGAATTAGTTCCAGCTTTTGAAGTTTTTTTGTATGGTGTTAATTGGAATTTTCTAGTTTTTGAGGTAGAGTTATGGTAGAATAGAGAGAAAAGCATTTTTAAATGTGATTTTTATGAGAAAATTATGTTTCCAGAATTTAGGGATATCATTATAAAAAGATATACTTCCATGCTTGTTTTTTACTTACGTTTTTTAATTCTTGGGCTTTAGAGGATGATAATGATCAATAAATGGTAGTCCTAAACTTGTTACCATGTTCTTCTAGGATCTTTTTGCCTTTTCTTTTTTTTTTTTTTTTCTTTAGATACTTCTTAGAAGTTGAAGTCTTTTTGCTGTTTTCACTTAAACTTCTCTCTTGCTGGCTGTTTCTAAAGAACTGACTCTAAGGGAAAATTTCTGAAATTATGTGTCTTCAGGATTGTATCTCTTTTGAATGTTTGGGTCATTTGGAAAATATGTAGATCAGTTTGGAAAATTTATATGGGAAAAACATTTCTTTCTCTTAGGATGGGACTGAGGAAGACCCACAGGCAGAACTGGCCATCATTCATGGTCAGATGGCTTATATTCTGCAGCTTCAGGGTCGAACAGAGGAGGCTTTGCAACTTTACAATCAAATAATAAAACTAAAGTGAGTTATTAAAAGGAAGTGTCTTTTATAGGGGATGGGGTTCTTTTTAAAGGTTTGTTTGGTTTTGACTGTTGCTTGTTGTTCACAGACCAACAGATGTGGGATTACTAGCTGTAATTGCAAATAACATCATTACCATTAACAAGGTATGGAGTATTTGTGCTTTCCATAGATATATTTTACCCTGAAAGCTCATCACCCTAGTTTTAGTTTTGTTCTAGGATAGCCTAAGTGTTCTTTTTAACATGATGAAAAAAGTCCAGTTGTAGCAAAATCACAATGGATAGTATTACTTAACTCTCCTAATGATAATGATGCTGCAAGGTATACTCAAGTAATAAAACCTTTTGTAGTAGACCCTAGACTTTAAGATCCTCCCCTTTTCCCAGCATCTAATAGTATAGAGACTCTCTCTTTGTAAGAGATATAAATTATTGGGGCTTTTAAACTTTTAAGTATACGCATGTTTTATATGATTTCTTCGTCTATGGAATCTGAATGTGAAAGTGTTCTTTATATAATTTTCTCTCGGGTTTTCTTTTTTTAGGGGGTATGGACAGGTGCTCTTTCTTCTCCCCCACACCCCATCCCATGTAAAATACTATAAATATATATATAAGCACTCTTAACTTAGAGTACTGTACTAATGTCATTAGCCACCATTAGGAACACTCTTTTTTGTTTTGTTTTTTTTGAGACCGAGTCTCGCTCTGTCGCCCGGACTGGAGTGCAGTGACACGATCTCGGCTCACTGCAACCTCCGCCTCCCGCGTTCACGCCATTCTCCTGCCTCAGCCTCCCAAGTAGCTGGGACTACAGGCACCCGCCACCATGCCTGTCTAATTTTTCGTATTTTTAGTAGAGACGGGGTTTCACCATGTTAGCCAGGATGTTCTCATTCTCCCGACCTCGTGATCCGCCCACCTCAGCCTCCCAAAGTGCTGGGATTACAGGCGTGAGCCACCGTGCCCGGCCAGGAACACTCTAATGGAAAAAGCTTTATTTTTCTTTCTTTCTTTTTTTTTTTTTTTTTGAGACTGTCACCCAGGCTGGAGGGCAGTGGTGCAGACATGACTCACTATAGCCCCAGACAGTCCTCCCAAGTACCTGGGACCACAGGTACACACCACCATGCCCGGCTAATTTAAAAAAAAATTTGTAGAGACAGAGTCTTGCCATGTTGCCCAGGCTGGTCTTTAAACTCCTGGGCTCAACAAATCCTCCTGCCTCAGCCTCCCAAATTGCTGGGATTCCAGGGGTGAGCGACCACACCCAGCCTGGAAAAACATTTCAAGGTCACAATTGAAATCCAAGTCAGTGGAAAGTAAGAAAAGTAACATTTGAACATACAATTTATCTTGATATACCATGTGATTTTTCAAGTACCACCTTATTTCTTCCTCTCAATAATCTTTTTAGGTGGTAGTCCTTATCTCTGTAGGAGTATAATCTGAGACTAAAAGTAGTTAAGTAATTTGTATAAGGTCATAGCCTACTTCATAAGAGGAAAAACTTGGATTCAGATTCTAGTTTCTGACTTCAAAGCTTTCCCCTTCTACTACTTAGTGGTTCTTCTCTCCTGTGGCAGAAATGTAGTGTATCTTTGGATGTAGATAATGGCATTAAAAGGGGTAGTAATCATGGGAGGTTGCTGTTGGCCATTGGTATGGTATAGATTTCCAAACATTGATACTAGCCTTTGAATCTTGGCAAAAATATATACCTGCCTATGTTTATGAATTTTGAAATGCTTGTCAGGACAAATTTTTTTTTCCCCCAAGATGGAGTCTCTGTTGCCCAGGCTGGAGTGCAGTGGCACAATCTCGGCTTACTGCAGCCTCCACCTCCCGGGTTCAAGTGATTCTCATGCCTCAGCCACCCGAGTAGCTGGGACTACAGTCACGTGCCACCACACCCGGCTAATTTTTGTATTTTTAGTAGAGATGGGGTTTCACCATGTTGGGCAGGCTGGTCTCAAACTCCTGATCTCAAGTGATCCTCCTGCCTCAGCCTCCCAAAGTGTTGGGATTATAGGCATGAGCCACCACACCCAGCCAGGACAAATTCTTTTTATCTGACATACATAATTGTAGGGGAAGAGAGCATGTGAGATACTAAATATCTCAGTCTGAACATAACTTATACACTGAACTTTCTTTAGTCAGTGGGTATTTCTGACTTTTTCAAAATAGTACTGGATGCAATAGGTAATGAAAAATACAAAGCATCATCACATAGTTTAAAATCTCTTTCTGGTGTTGAAAAAAATTGTTCATGTTTAAATTTTTTGTCCGTATACTTTATAACTATATATTTAATACTACATTTGGTGAACGGAAGGATCTCTGGTTTGGCAAGTTTGAGCTGACCCTTGAAGGAGGACTGTGGTTTGAAGGTTAAGCAACAGCACAAAAAAAAGTACATATGAAGAAATATTTATGATTTGTAGGGGAAAAGTGAGAACACAGAAGAGGGTATGTATTTGCTGGATAGTTTAAAAAGTAGATTAGATTGAACTATATCAGGGCCTTGGAAATCAAGTTTAAGAAAAGTCTGGCAGTGACGTGCACAATTAATTGAAGTATTAAAATTGCGACATGAGAGAACCAGCTAGAAAATACGGTTTCTTTAGGATTGATTTATATGAAAGGCAGTTTCTTGCTGTACATTAAAGTAGTTTCAAATTGGTTTGGAGCTCGACAGTAAGAAAAAGTAGAATTTATTTTAGATTTTTTTCGCTTCCTTTTTGTCTTTAAACTGGTAGAAGACCTGGTTTAAAAAAGCACAGTGGTATCATGTATTTGCAAGTAAATACATTGTTTTACAAAGCTAGAGTATTGTGCACAAAGTAGATACTCACATGCTCAGTTTGTGCTTCTCAGGATGCAATCAGTGTGACTTAGTTTTCTCCCTTTTTTTGGAGATGTATGTGACTTTCAATAATTCTTAATAGGACTTTCTTTGGGCAGATAACACTGTGCCCCCACATGGGAATTTTAGAAATTGAGCTTCTTTATGCTTTTGCTTGGCTAAGAAGAAGGGGCTTTAGGAAAGGAAAAACAGTAGATATGTTACATGAGTATTTTCTGCTAAAAAAAAAATGGGTTCAAAAGTGGTACAGATATGTTTCTGAGGTTTCATGATTGCCTTACAGAGTCACTACAGGCATACCTCATTTTATTGTGCTTTACTTTATTACACTTTGTAAGTTTTTCACATATTGAAGGTTTGTGGCAACTCTGTGTTGAGCATATCTGTTGGCTCCTTTTTTTTTTTTTTTTTTTTTAAGATGGAGTCTCGCTCTCTTGCCCAGGCTGGAGTGCAGTGGTGGGATCTCAGCTCACTGCAACCTCCCAGGTTCAAGCAGTGCTCCTGCCTCAGCCTTCTGAGTAGCTGGGACTAGCGTGTGCCACCACACCCAGCTAATTTTTGTATTTTTAGTAGAGATGGGGGTTTCACCATGTTGGCCAGGCTGGTCCCGAACTCCTGGCCTCAGGTGATCCACCCACCTCTGCCTTCCAAAGTGCTGGGATTACAGGCGTGAGCCACTGTGCCTGGCCATGGTGGTATCATTTTTTTAACAGCATGTGTCCATTTCATATCTCTGTATCAGTATTTTTTAGCATTGAAGTATTTTTAAATAAAGGTATGTACTGGGCCGGGCACAGTGGCTCACGCCTGTAATCCCAGGACTTTGGGAGGCCTAGGTGGGCGAATCACGAGGTCAGAAGATCGAGACCATCCTGGCTAACACGGTGAAACCCCATCTCTACTAAAAATACAAAAAAAAAAAAATTAGCCAGGCATGGTGGCGGGCACCTGTAGTCCCAGCTACTCGGGAGACTGAGGCAGGAGAATGGCGTGAACCCGTGAGGCGGAGCTGGTAGTGAGCTGAGACTGTGCCACTGCTCTCCAGCCTGGGTGACAGAGCGAGACTCCATCTCAAAAAAAAAAAAGGTATGTACTTGTTTTCAGACATAATGCTGTTGCACACTTAATAGACAACAATATAGTGTAAACATAGCTTTTATATGCACTGGGAAACCAAAAAATCTGTGACTCCTTCTATTGTAATATTTGCTTTATTGCGGTAGTCTGGAACCAAACACGAAATATCTCCAAGATATTTCTGTATTTTGAAGAGGAGTGAGTTACTTTTTATTTATCATCTAAATTCTAGAGGGCATAGCTTGTAGAAATTGCCAAGTTAGGTATTTTTGTAGTCCTAATACACTTCAATTTGTGCTGTCCCTTTTTTTCCTTCAAAAAGCTCAAAACAAGCAATTAATAGTGGAAAAATAAAACAAATCTTGTTCTCCATTTCTTTAAAGCAGTTCACTTGTTAAGCCTTTTTATACCTAGGAAGCCTCCTTTGAGAAGGCTTTAAAAGGAGTGGGGGTAGATTCTGGGATAACTATATGTACATGAGTAGATTTGAATTGCAGAGATTCAAAAAGAGTAGATTTGAATTACTTCTGTGAATCAGGATAAATTTATATGCATCTTATTAGCTTAGGCACCCCAATCAGGTAGATAGATTCAAGCTCTCCTGCTGTATCTATATAAAGTTAATAGAAAAAGGAATAAGTTGAAATCTGAGATTCTGTTAATGATAGATAAACTTTTCTTTGTTAGGACCAAAATGTCTTTGACTCCAAGAAGAAAGTGAAATTAACCAATGCGGAAGGAGTAGAGTTTAAGCTTTCCAAGAAACAACTACAAGCTATAGAATTTAACAAAGCTTTACTTGCTATGTACACAAACCAGGTGGGTAATTACCTTTGGTGTCATGGCTAAACCTTTTGTAATATGGTATATGAGGAGTAATAGGGATATTAGTCTAATCTTTTTATAGTTTTTGTTTGTATTTTGTCTTCAACTCATAAATATATTTTTTTGCCTTCCTCAAAATATTATATATATTATTGGCTGGGCACAATGGCTCATGCCTGTAATCCTAGCACTTTGGGAGGTTGAAGTGGGCGGAATGCCTGAGTTCAAGAGTTCGAGACCAGCCTGAGCAACATGGTGAAACCCTGTCTCTACATGGTGGTGTATGCCTGTAGTCCCAGCTACTCTGGAGACTGAGGCACAAGAATTGTTTGCAGTGAGCTGAGATTGTGCCACTTCACTCCAGCCTGGGCAACAGAGAGAGACTGTCTCCAAAAAGAAAAAAAAAAAAGAAAGAATATTATGTGTCATAGATTTTATTTATTAAACAAGTAATTTGCCCAATTTCTTATAAGGGTGTAGGGTTGACACCTTTTAAGGGGAAGAAAACAGTATTCACACCTTTAAATGAGATAACTTTCTCATTACCTTATTTCTAATCTGAATTAAGATAAAATCATCAAAGATGCTAGCCATGATTATAGATTTAAGACCCATCTTTCATTTTTGCTGTGTATAATCACATCAAGTTATAAATGTTAAGGAAGTCAATTCTAACTCCAGTAAGCATTCTAATTCTAATTTTATACTGTTTTAGAGCAGAAGTTTTAGTGGGAGACAGAGAAGCAGTAATTTTTTTTTTTTTTTTTTTTTTTTTGAGATGGAGTCTCGCTCTGTCGCCCAGGCTGGAGTGCAGTGGTGCCATCTCGGCTCGCTGCAACCTCTGCCTCCTGGGTTCACGCTATTCTCCTGCCTCACCCTCCCGAGTAGCTGGGACTACAGGCGCCCAGCACCACGCCTGGCTAATTTACTTGTATTTTTAGTAGAGACGGGGTTTCACCATGTTAGCCAGGATGGTCTTGATCTCCTGACCTCGTGATCTGCCCACCTCAGCCTCTCAAAGTCCTGGGATTACAGGCATGAGCCACCACGCCCGGCCGAGAGACAGTAATGTTTTTATTATTTAGAACTGAGTCAAGTTATTCTTAATAATGTAGCAAAAAATACATATATGCATTTTGTTGTTTTTGAAGCAAATGCTTATATTTGATGTGTTTGATTTTTTTAAACAGTTCTAGAATTTAGGCATCCAAGTGAATGTTTAGAATTTCTCCTTTACTAAAGACTCTTAGAGCTCATAGATTAAATTCAATAAATGGAAACCATTTTCTTACAAGAAAAAATTGAGAATAGATACTGTAAACTGATTCTCTTACCCTAGGCAGTTCTTTGGTTAATATTTGTTTCAACTGATTTTCCCATGTTTCTTTTCTTTCTGGTCATTTAGTGTTTAATTTCATTAACCAGTTTATTTTTCTTGTGGGGGTTGGATATCTTCTAGGCTGAACAATGCCGCAAAATATCTGCCAGTTTACAGTCCCAAAGTCCCGAGCATCTCTTACCTGTGTTAATCCAAGCTGCCCAGCTCTGCCGTGAAAAGCAGCACACAAAAGCAATAGAGCTGCTTCAGGTAAAATAATTACTTGAATGAGGTGTCAGACATTTGCAGCTTTGTTTCATTTTCATTGTGTTGTAATAACCTACTAGCATGTAAATTTAATGGGAAAACTAATCAGAAATGTACCACTACACAAATTTCATTGTCATTTTAGTTAACTCTTGGGTTACAGAGCTTTATATAAATTTCTTTGTGTTATATAAATTTCTATAATGTAAATATTTGTTATAAATGCTGAAGAATGCTGTTTTGTTTGGAGATCTGTTTAACCTGAGTTAGGGGATCATTTAGGCATGTATAATTCCAGAACATACTTAACCTCTTTTGCAATAATCTGATCTCCAGTGAGTTCTACTCCAGAACCTCAATTATGGAGATACTGACTTTGTTTTTATCAACCCAAACCAGCTATTATATTGCATATTTAAATTTCTTGAATATAAACTACATTGGAAAGTTGGACAGGTACAATTAGGATCATCCTGACAGACAAAATTGCCTAACAGGGACACTCAGTGAAGAGACACCGCCCCTTCTCTCCCCACAGCAAAAAAAAAAAAAAAAAAAAATCTATTTAGTAATCTTTATTATAGTTGACCCTTTGTATTCTTGAGTTTTGCATCCAAGAATTCAACCAGCCATGGATTAAAAACATTTTGTGGGGGTCGCCAGGCGTAGTGGCTGACGTCTGTAATCCCAGCACTTTGGGAGGCCCAATCAGGCAGATCATCTGAGGTCAGGAGTTCAAGACCAGCCTGGCCAACATGTTGAAACCCCATCTCTACTAAAAATACAAAAAATTAGCCTGGCATGGTGGCGCATTCCTGTAATTCCAACTACGTGGGAGGCTGAGGCAGGAGAATCACTTGAACCTGGCAGGCGGAGTTGCAGTGAGCCGAGATCACGCCACTGCACTCCAGCCTGGGTGACAGAGCAAGACTCCGCCTCAGAAAAAAAAAGCACATTTTGAGGTTGGAAATGTATGACTGCCTCTGTACTGAACATATACAAACTTTAAAAATCATTACTCCCTAGATAATATAACAACTATACACATAGGATTTACATTGTATTAGGTATTATAAGTAACCTAGCAATGATTTAAAATGTATAGGAGCATGTATGTAGGTTATACGCAAATACTATACTTTTATATAAGGGACTTGAGCATCCTTGGGTTTTGGAATCGGGGGTGGTTCTGGAAGTAATACCCTGTGGCTGAGGGATGATGGATTTCTCTGTTAGTGACTTACAGAAAACTTGACTTCATTGCACTTACTTTTAGAGCATACCTTTAAGAAAAAAAGTGAGTGTTGAATAAAAATTTCCCCAAGTTAAGATTTTGACCTGCAGCCAGAAGTTTAATGTTTTAAAACTGGATTTAAAATCTTATGTAGCTAAGTAATTGTAATGTATACAATTAGTTGTGTAAATTAAATGTGATTTTTTTCCCCCAAACTAAAAAAATTTAGGAATTTTCAGATCAGCATCCAGAAAATGCAGCTGAAATTAAGCTGACCATGGCACAGTTGAAAATTTCTCAAGGTATTATGGTTTTCATCATGATTAAAATATTTTAATGAAAACATGTTTGGAATGATTAAGCAGTTGTGAACTATGTGATTTTAAGTTTTTTTGTGTAATAGTAAAGCATAATAATTACTGTTTCAAACATGCAGCTAGATTGTATGATCTCCAACAGATTTAGTAGTGAGGTAGTTGCCCCTTTTCGTGGATTATTCCTAAATTATTAGAATGATTCTTAATCTATGCCTTGAAAGTTCTGAAGCAAAGGATTCCTCTCTTCCAAAAGACCATACATACTACTCAAATTGCCTGAGTATGTCACATGCAGAAATGCTTATGTCCGTCACTTGGTAATATTTGTACGACTACTTTGCATCATAGTTTTCAGAATTTCTTAGCTTGGCCCTTCATCCTTACTTCATTTTACACTTTGCCACCTATGTCTTTGGGCTTGGGGAAAGGTAATAGAATTTAACGAGAACTGATGTGTTTGAATCTTAAAACTGCCAATGTTTTTGTCTGTGGTTTTCATCTAACTTTGAATATCTAGAGCCATGTTGCCCAGTTTGGTAGTCACTAGCCACATACAGCTATTTTAAGTTTAAATTAGTTAAATGAAATTTTAAATTCAGTTCTTTGATTATGCTAGCCACATCTTAGAAGCTTAGTAGCTATATGCAGCCATTGGCTACAATATTGGACAGCACAGATATAGGACATTTATATCATCACAAAAAGTTCTGTCGAACAGCTCTGGTATAGAATGTGGATTTTCAATGGTGGTGACAATTCTTCACAAAAATCTTAAATATTACAGTGGCTGAAATGAAAATTTTATGAGTTGAAGGAGGGGAGTTGGCAGTTAGGGAAAAAATGTTTAAAATGTCCTTAGTAGGGCAATAATGAAAATAAGGTTGAGACACACTGCTGATCTCCCTCTTATCCAATTCTCACATTTCTTTGCTTTCCTTGTCTCTTTTTCCTTCTCCTCAGCCCTGTCTTCTCTTCCTTGCCCTTTACTTGATCTTTCCTCCTATGTTTAGTTTATTTTTTCAAGGATTATTTATTATCTTGAAATTACTGACAATCTGTCATGGTTTTTTGTTTGTTTTTAAAGACTGGGAATTTTGAGTTATTGAGGTTTGCAGTGAATACAAAATCAGAATTTAACACCATAGGAAATTTTCCATTGCACTCATGTCTACAGTAACATATTTCAAGGCCTTTAGGGAAGGACCCCCACCTTCAAGTTACAGCCCAAAAAAGAAGAAATAGAACTCAACAGACTGGGAGCTGGGAGACTTCTTTTCTGGTAGCAGCTCTGCCATTAACTTTCTTTGTGAGCTTAAGCAAGGTATATTATTTCTTTAGAACTCAATTTCCTTATCTCTAAATGAACAGAGTTCACCATCCCCAAGACCCCAAAGTTTATATGTTTAGCGATGTTACAAAACATGAGTTATGGTTGCTTTCCTAAGGAAAAGTAGTGGGAGGAAGTAAAATTTCTTGTATTTTTTTTTCATAATATGTGTTCTTCTATGTAATGCTGATTTTGTTTATTCTCCTAAGGTAATATTTCTAAAGCATGTCTAATATTGAGAAGCATAGAGGAGTTAAAGCATAAACCAGGCATGGTGAGTTTTAAAAATTACAAAATTGAAAAGTAGTTGAATTGATAATTTGTATGTCTAATGTGTATTCACTTTATTTATATGTCGAATGTGTATTCACTTTAAGGTAGGAGTAGTAATTATAATAGTAATAGTTGTCTGGTATAAATTTAATTTCATTCTCTGCTCTGGTATTGGTTTCTTATTCAGTCAAATGTGCCAGGCACTATTTAGGCCTTATAGTATCACTGAAAACCAACCTCAAATAATCTCAGATCTGTATAGGAATTTCTTAGCCTATATCATTTTCGTCAGTGTGATTTCTTTAAATTAGAACAATTTCATAATTGTGGCCAACAAATTTAGTTTTTAGTTTTCTGATTATTCAAATATTGCAGGTTTCAATCATTAATACAGCTGTGAAAGCATCTTTTCCATAGTAGAAACTAATTCTGTAGTGGTAGTATGTGCATCTTTTGGACAGGGGCTGTTTTATTCATGTTTGCATTCTCATGGCCTCTGTGCAGTTGGCACTCAGTAAATGTAATATGGTAGTGCTTTCCCTTAAAGATTCATATTTTAAGGATCGTGCTATAATTACTTTACCTTAGAGTCAAATACAGTATATGACTGAAAATAAAATGTTTCTAATATTTAATATATGACCACCTTTTACCTTTCAAGGAATGTATCCATTTCATTTAGGTTGCTGACTTTATTGGCATAAAAGTTCTTCATTTTATTTCTTTATTGTCCTTTTAATATCTATAGAACCTCTCTCATTCCTGATATTGGTTATTCATGTATTTTTTTCTTTTTCCCTCTGATTAGCCTGTCCAGAGGTTTATCAGTTTTACTGATTGTTCTTAAAGATCCAGCTTTTTGTTTGTTTCCTTTCTATCCTCATCTCCTACTGCTCAGCATCCCCCTCCCCCTCCACTCCAGCTATGTAGGCCTCCTTCCTGTCCCTCAGCCACACCAGGCACCCTTTTTACTGGCTTCAAACAGCTCATGCCACATGGGATTCATCATGAGAGTTCAGCCGCTCTATGTATGCCTCACTGATCATACACTTAAATGTCCAGCAGTGTCTTATTGTAGAAACATTTCTAAGGGCTTATTCTCAACTTCTGTACTTACCAAACCATTTGTGAACTGGCACTGCTTTAAAGGAAAGTTTTATTTTACAGATATCTACCTTCATATTTGGAAAACACGGTTGTTCATGGTATTTCTAGAAGTAAAGTTAACTATGTTCTCTAAAGGGAGTAGCTTTTATGATAAATCAGGTATTAGCGGAGAGCCTTTATTTGCTATTTCTTCAGCGTTTTTTATTTTCAAAAGCGGTATTCTGGGAGTGAAGGGGGAGTTCACTAATTTATACCTTTGGCTGTGTAGGTATCTGCATTAGTTACCATGTATAGCCATGAAGAAGATATTGATAGTGCCATTGAGGTCTTCACACAAGCTATCCAGTGGTATCAAAACCATCAGGTAAATAAATGGAGTAAAATGTTATGAGAGCATGTTTTTACATAAAAATAAAGATGGAGTAGTGAAAAAATTCAGGCAAACAAGTATTACACGTCACTATTTTAAAAGTGGAATACTATTTAGATTATCAAATGCATTTTTTTAGTATACCAGATCCAAATTAAGTTATTAGAAATAAGCAATGGCTGCAAAATAGAAAAATAGCACATTTATATTTATTGAAGCTCCTTGCTGTATGTGTACATGCATTTGTGTATGTAATCTCAAGAAATAATAATAGTACATGATTGCATATTTAAGAGATCGTCTTAAATGGCTAGAGAGCCCATGGGTGGTAGTAATTAGTACAACAGTAATACATGGAATAGTTGTTTATCATGTCTCTATCTAGTAGGAATATCTTAATTTCCAGTATGGATCTCTGCATGGGCAGTATCCAACTTAAAATTATACATACGCTGTGCAGGTGGCATTTATACTGTTAGTACTGTTAGCAGTGGAGGGGTATCAGTGCTCTGGGAAAGTATTATATTAAATTAATGTTTGAGAACTATGGTGGCATATCTTTAAGATTTGATTATTATAGGGGAATGTTTCCAGTTGTAGACACTAAATAGATATAGGTTGTTTTCCAGATTCATCAATTGGTGATTACTTGTACAATTAATAATTTGTCCACCTGCTTTCCTCTACATGTGTGGATGATTTTGTTGTTTCAGGCATTCAGTGAAACTTAAGATGAGGGATCTAATGCATAGGTGTATTTCTTAAAGGTCTAATGAATATAACTGCATGCACTTGCTAGATATTTAACTTGAAACTTTTTTTTTCTTTTTATTGAAACTGTAGCCAAAATCTCCTGCTCATTTGTCCTTGATAAGAGAAGCTGCAAACTTCAAACTCAAATATGGGCGGAAGAAGGAGGCAATTAGTGACCTACAACAGCTGTGGAAGTAAGCTCTGAAACGTGGAGTTGTAGAAATAACACATTTATTGTTGCTACTTGATATGAGGGAGTTACTTGTTTATATTACTTTCTCCAGTTTTATAAACAGTTCAATAATTTTCTTATTTCTTCTTTTAGACAAAATCCAAAAGATATTCACACCCTGGCACAGCTTATTTCTGCTTACTCACTTGTAGATCCAGAGAAAGCCAAAGCGTATCCTTTTGATTGTTATTCCTTACAGCTCCTCAGTAGCACAATAGATCTCTTCTGATATCTGTGTTTTGACCAGAGCTTTTTCAATTGTAAACTGCAACTAACAAATCCTCCTTTTAACTAGTAAAACCAAAAAATGAGAATTTATTGATCAGTGTGACTGAAAAATGCGGCGATAGATCCAACTTAGGGTTCAGTTTCATCCAGAAGCAAAAATGAAGTCAAAAGGGTATGGCCTCTTTTCCTCCAGGTTCAAGATCAGCAGCAAGGTAAAGAAAAAGCATATTTTATGTGGGTACTTTTGCATGATTCTGAAATGTTATTTTCAGATTCAACTACTTAGGTCACTTGCTTATCTCAAATAGTTACCTGATAAGCGAATTTGGTGCCCTTATTGAGCTTGGATCATATGTGCTACTCTAAATCAGAGTGTGTTCCCAAAACTGAGGTGGGTTGGTGGATGCTAAGCAGTCACAAGTCATAAACTTGATAGTTGTTTTGGAATAGAGTTTGTATTAAGCCACCACCTTGCTCCACATCACTGTGTTAAGGAATAGAGAATTAGATTATGACTCCTCATGTTCTCCTTTCAGAATACTGTATGTACTATATAATTGATATGACTTGTTATTGTATAGAAGATTTAGGAACATTTTTTGCTTTTGTTGAAGGTCATCAAGAAAAGACAGTCTTCCAGTGTCAATAGATACATTGGCAAACATATATATCTATATAAATGTGTGTGTTTGTGTATATTATGTTCCTGAACTCCTGTTCTATCACAGTCTTAGTAAACACTTGCCATCGTCAGATAGTATGTCTCTAAAAGTAGATGTTGAGGCTCTTGAAAATTCTGCTGGTGCTACATACATTCGGAAGAAGGGTGGAAAAGTTACTGGAGATAGTCAACCAAAGGAACAAGGGTAATATTTTTCATTGTAACGTTCTCTAATGCTGATTTTAAATTAGACAAGGAATAAAAAATACATTCTCATAGAAATTTCATGTGAATAAAGTTCTAGTTCTCTTTGTTCCTTTTCCATTTCTCTCACTGTGCCCAGCTCTTTGTCCTTATTTCCTTCCCTTTTCCCTCAGCCCAAAATTAACCTCTGGTATTAATTTAATCTATTATTCCAGAAGTTTTTCTTTGTGTTTACACACACAGATGGTTTACAAATATTTTCTTTAAATTGGTTTATTTATTACTATTTTTTTTTTATTTGTTTGTTTGTTGAGACAGAGTCTTGCTCTGTCTCCCAGGCTGGAGTACAGTGGCACAGTCTTGGCTCAGTGCAGCCTCCGCCTCCCGGGTTCAAGCAATTCTGCCTCAGCCTCCCGAGTAGCTGGGACTACAGGCTAATTTTTGTGCATTTAGTAGAGACAGGGTTTCACCCTTTTGACCAGGTTCGTCTTGAACTCCTGACCTCAAGTGATCTGCCCACCTCGGCCTCCCAAAGTGCTGGGCACCACGCCCAGTTATTTTTTACAGAAGGAGGATTGTATTGTACTTAGTGTTTCCCAACTTACTTTTATTTAATGAGTTTTAGAGATCTTTCCACGTACTAAAATGTGGACCTATTTCATCCTTTTTATGCATAACACTCCATAGGCTGGATGTGCCTTCCTTTACCTTTTAGTTATTGTTGTACATTTAGTACATCATTTAGTATATGATTTCTTTTGCTGATTTGAAGAAAAGGTTAGTCGGCTTCATCTACTTAAAAGAAGTCAGATTTTGACTTGTTTCTTCCATCGTCATCTTAAAAATATAGTTAGCAGAGACCTACAGTAAAATGTTTTAAGATTTTACTTTTGACTCAGGATGAATAGAGCATGGAAAAGATAAAACATTTCCTTAGCTTTGTGACTTTTATAAGTTTTTGCTACTTCCTCCTTTTTTGAATGCCTTTTGAAATCTAAATTTTTCCCTAACTTAAAAAAAACTCAGCAACAATGACTGATTTCTTTCTAACAAACTCTGCATTTCATAAAAAGCATTGTTGTTCTCATAATAACTTCCAAAACTTTTAATAAGGAATTGGAGTCTCAAAGAGGTTACATTGTTCCGAATTCCATTTCATCTTACAATTATAAATTCAGTCTGGGTTCTTAAATGGATTTTCAATTAAAGTATGTTTACTATTTTTTTCTTCCCCAAACAGGGTTGAGTAACTACTAAGGACACGCAGTTCCTTCTTTAGCCTGGCATAGTGGCTCTGTGTTCCAGTTACTGGGAGGCTGAGGCGGGATGATTGCCTGAGCCCAGGAGTTTGAGGCTCCAGTGAGCAGTGATTGCATCACTGCACCCCAGCCTGAGTGACAGAGCAAGACCCCCATCTCTAAAAATAATAAGTTTTTAAAAGTTTTTTTAAATAATCTTTGTTTCTTTTGTTTGTTTGTTTTCTTTTTTGAGACGGAGTCTTGCTCTGTTGCCCAGGCTGGAGTGCAGTGACTCAATCTCAGCTCACTGCAACCTCCGCCTCCTGGGTTCAAGCAATTCTCCTGCCTCAGCCTCCTGAGTAGCTGGGACTACAGGTGCCTGCCATCACGCCTGGCTAATTTTTGTATTTTTAGTAGACAGGGTTTCACCATGTCGATCAGGCTGGTCTTGAACTCCTGACCTCAGGTGATCCACCCGCCTCAGCCTCCCAAAGTGCTGGGATTACAGGCATGAGCCACCAAGCCTGGCTTCTTTCTCTTTTTTCTTAGACAATCATTAAGATATACATTGACTTTTTAAGCTTTTAAGTTTCAGCACAGTATTTTCATTATGCATTATTAATGCTCTTTATTTTATCTTATTAGAAGTTAGTATTTTGTTATACTAACTTGGATGCAAAGGTTTAGTTTCCTTTAACAATACACTATGTGATAGGTTTATGCTAGGTGTTGACCAGAAAATAAATCATGGTACTTGCTCTCAAAAGAACTTGAGCCCTGACATGGTGGTGGCTCATGCCTGTAATCCCAGCACTTTGGGAGGCCAAGGCAGGCGGATTACTTGAGGTCAGGAGTTCGAAACCAGCCTGGACAACATGGTGAAACCCCCATCTCTACTAAAAATACAAAAATTAGCCGGGCGTAGTGACACATGTCTATAATCCCAGCTATTTGGGAGGCTGAGGCAGGAGAATCACTTGAACCCAGGAGGTGGAGGTTGCAGTGAGCCAAGATCTCACCACTGCACTCCAGCCTGGGTGACCGAATGAGACTCTGTCTAAAAAAAAGGAACTTGAATCTAGCAGAAGGAAATATATTTAAACAGTAATTGCAATAAAGATTGCACCTGTTGTGATTGTACAGGGCATAGAGGAGTACACCGGAGGGAATAGTCACTTCTTCCTGAGGACAGTGGGAAGTTAGGAAAGGCTTCATGGAGAAGATGATTGTGTTGACTCTGAGGAAGATGAGGACGAGGTAGGCAAAGGGTGAGCTAAGGCAGAGAAATAAGAAATAGCAGAGAACCCTTGGGAAATTTTAGTATGGCTGTGGAGTATAATTTGTAGGGAGACAATTTAGAATACTATTGCACACTGGGTAAGAGATGAAACACTCAAGTAAGATACAGTATGTTGCATTTCTTATTTGGGGTATCCTGAGAGAACGTTCACAATTGAATGACTTGTAGAATGAATTTTTGGTAGGAATTGTTGTCTCATCTTTTTAGTTCACTGTTTCATATTTCTCGAGTTATATCACATAAGAATATATAGAGAGATGTATTTTTATGTTTTTCTCTTTTCACTAGAGCTTTCAGAATGCTTTTTTTTTTTTTTTGAGACGGAGTCTTGCTCCATCGCTCAGGCTGGAGTGCAGTGGCGCAATCTCGCTCACTGCAGCCTCTGCCTCCCTGGTTCAAGTGATTCTCCTGCCTCAGCCTCCCAAGTAGCTGAGATTACAGGCACGCACTGCCACACCCAACTAATTTTTGTATTTTTAGTAGAGACGGGGTTTTACTATGTTGTCCAGGCTGGTCTGGAACTCCTGACCTCAGGTGATCCACCTGCCTTGGCCTCCCATCGTGCTGGGATTACAGACGTGAGCCACTGTTCCCAGCCACTTTCAGAATGCTTGACAATTATTTTGAAGTGTTAATTTTTATGCCCTTTTTAGTGCCTTTTTTGGTCAATGTACTTAATATAGATTTTACTTACATAAAAAAATTAATAAACTCACAGGTTTAAAATACAAAAGATAAAAAAGTGTAAGAGTAAGTAAAAAGTCTTCCATCCGTGTCTACCCACCTCCCTCCCAGGGCCATAACCAACGTAACTTGTTTTGAATCTCCTTCCAGAGATATTCTTTGCATGTATCTTACCTACACATGTTCTTCTGGCAAAAAATTTATTCTCTAAAGTCTTGCCAAACATAGAGTAACTTACCAAGGGATTCTAGGTAGTCATGCTTGTGCAAATTACTTTTTACATAGACTTAATGTGTGCCACTGAAAAACTTTTTTCAGTGTAAACAGAATCTGTTTTCGAATTGTCACCTCTGTTTTCTAAACTACTTTCCAAAAATTATAGTATCTGAAGCTTAATTGACTTTAACCTGAATCAAATCTTAACTAATTTGTTAGCTTTGGTAAGCTGATACCAAGTCTTAAACCATGTTTATGATAAGTGCCCAACTAACTCTTATAGAGCACTTACTTAATGCTCTATAAATATTTTATCACAAAGATGGTAATGATTTTTTTTTCTCTTTGTAGACAGGGAGATTTGAAAAAGAAGAAAAAGAAAAAGAAGGGTAAGGCATTAAAAAAGTCTTTATAAATTTTCTCCAAAATAAATGTTTGATTTTAGCCCTATATAGAAATATTTGGACATAAATATACTGCCCTCCCTTGTATCTTTGAAAACTTTTTATCTTGACTATAGCTAACATTTAATTTTATTCTATTACTTTAAAGATCGCAATTCACTAGTTTGCCTAAATTCAAATCGTTGCTCCCTCTTTTACTCTGTGACTGTGGACAGGCTATTTAATATACCTGCCAGAGTTTTTCATATGTAAAATGGAATATGATAGTATATATCTTGTAGTATTAGATACTACATGTAAAGTTCTTAGAGTGGTGCCTGGCACAAAAGTAAGCACTTACACATTTTGATGTTTCTGCTACACATAACTACAAAATTCCATCAAACTAGCTTAAGAAAATTTACTGTTTATAAAGTTGGCAGTCTAGAGGAATGTTAGCATCAAGGTTGGTTGACTCAGTATTTTTACCTCTTTGTTCTGCTCTCCACAAAACAGAATCCCATTAGAGTCATATGATGTATATTGTAAACAGTCAGGGCCACATACTTGTCATTTATATCCATCACAACAAAGAAGCCCTCTCCAGACTTGGCAAGTATTTCTCATTAATCTGATTGGGCCAAGCAGGTCAGTGTCCAGCCTTGAATTATTAACCAGGGAAATAATGTGCATTGATTGGCTTGGAGTGTGGCTTTAATCTCTGGAAAAATTGGGTGGCATTACCGTGCTTGATTTTACCTAGTCAGATGTTATCCTTGGAGCCACCCAAGTTCCTGAGGTTTTGAGGAATCTATCATATAAATCAGGTTATTTCTTGATTTTGCTCTCTGCCGTCTTAGGATACAGGTTTCCCAAGGCTTAGCTCAGTTTATTATTACTCCTCCATCTGTTTTCCAGCTACCAAAATTTTATTGACAATATCTTTTCTTCTGTCTTCCTTTAATGTGTTTTATTACCATTTTAGTGGAGTTTGAGGAAGGTACACAAGCTAATGTTTGTATCCATTTCACTATCTTTAACTGGAAGTCTTATTGGTTCTTTTGTCACAGTACTTGAAAATTGGCAAACATTTAATATTTGTTTTGTGCATTAGTAATACTGCAAGGAAACAGCTGATGACTGTAGGTGGTAATAACCTAAAATTTTACTTTCTTTTCTATTTTTATAGTTTCCAGATGAATATTTTTTTAAATTTACAAGTGATATATGCTCATTCTAAAAACAAAGGTAGTTGTTATCTATCATTATAGAGTGGCCTAAAGAGTGTAAAATTCCCTGCCCAAAATTCATGCTCCCGGCTGGGCATGGTGGCTCACGCCTGTAATCCCAGCACTTTGGGAGGCCAAGGTGGGTGGATCATTTGAGGTCAGGAGTTCGAGACCAGCCTGGCCAACCTGGTGAAACCCCATCTCTAGTACAAATATAAAAATTAGCCGAGCAGTACTCATGCGTGCCTGTAATCCCAGCTACTTGGGAGGCTGAGGCAGGAGAATCGCCTGAACCCGGGAGGCCAAGGTTGCAGTGAGTTGAGATTGCGTCACGGCACTCCAGCCTGGTGACAGAGTGAGACCCTCTCCCTGCCCCCAAAAAAAAGCATGCTCCCAGAGACAATTACTTAACTTTTTTATGTGTGTTTATATGTATATACAGAATCAAACGTATCATTAGGTACTCAAAGTTTTTATAAAATTGTTTTGAACATAATATAATTTGTTTGTTTTAATCTTCTACTTTAGACTGAATTGTGAAGAACATTTTTCCAAATTAATAGATGCACTTCACTTTATTTATTTTTTATTTTATTTTATTTATTTATTTTTTTTTTTTTGAGACCGCGTCTTGCTCTGTTGCCCAGGCTGGAGTGCAGTGGCGCTATCTCGGCTCACTGCAAGCTCCACCTCCCAGGTTCATGCCATTCTCCTGCCTCAGCCTCCCAAGTAGCTGGGACTGCAGGCGTACCCCACCACGCCCAGCTAATTTTTTGTATTTTTAGTAGAGACGGGGTTTCACCATGTTAGCTAGGATGGTCTCGATCTCCTCACCTCGTGATCTGCCCACCTCGGCCTCCCAAAGTGCTGGGATTACAGGCGTGAGCCACTGCGCCCGGCCTGCACTTCAGTTTTTAACCAATTGAATAGCTTGCTATAGTTTGGGCATATTATAATGTAATCATCTTCATTGATAGATATTTAAGTTATTTTGCCATCTTAAAGAATATCAGCCCACCCATACCTTGCCCTATCCATCTTTAAAAAAAAAGAAAAGGAGTATCACCGAGAATATTCTGTTCTTAACTTTGTATCTCTTGGGTTTCTGCAGGATAAATTTCTAGAAGTCTATAAATTTCTAATGGTACTGCCAGATTAAATTGCTTTCCACAAAGGCTATACCAGTATACACTTCCCCTAGTATAGTGTTGGTGAGTGCTTCTCACCATTTCACCAACACTGGGTATTACTGCAAGTCTGATAGAGTTTTTTACCCTTCTCATTTTTAATTAGTGAGGGTGAACATCTGTTCAGAAGATGAATGACTTTCCTTTCTCCTAGCCTACCTTAATTATAACTGAGTCCATTTTTCTTTGAGTGGTTTACATAGTGATCAGCAAGAATTCTTTCTATATTAAGGATTTTTTTCCACTCCTCTATTATATAGTTTGTATTTTAAATTTTTTCTTAGAAATATATTTTTTACTAAATGAAGATTTTAACATTTTTTTATAGATGTATCTGTGAAGTTTTTTTCTTTATGGTCTCTGAATTTTTTTGTCATGCTGAGAAATGAGGCCTTTTCCCCCTTCAATAAAATTCAACACCCCTTCATGCTAAAAACTCTCAATAAACTACGTATTGATGGAATGTATCTCAAAATAATAATAACTATTTATGACAAGCCCACAGCCAATATCATACTGAATGAGCAAAAGCTGGAAGCATTCCCTTTGAAAACCGGCACAAGACAAGGATGCCCTCTCTCACCACTCCCATTCAACATAATGTTGGAAGTTCTGGCCAGGGCAATCAGGCAAGAGAAAGAAATAAAGGATATTCAAACAAAAAGGAAGTCAGGTTGTCTCTGTTTGCAGATGACATGATTGTATATTTAGAAAACCCCATCGTCTCAGCCCAAAATCTCCTTAAGCTGATAAGCAACTTCAGCAAAGTCTCAGGACACAAAATCAATGTGCAAAAATCACAAGCTTTCCTGTACACCAATAGTAGACAAGCAGAGAGCCAAATCATGAGTGAACTCCCGTTCACAATTGCTACAAAAGAATAAAATACCTAGGCATACAACTAACAAGGGATGTGAAGGACCTCTTCAAGGAGAACTACAAACCACTGCTCAAGGAAATGAGAGAGGACACAAATGGAAGAACATTCCATGCTCATGGATAGGAAGAATCAATATCGTGAAAATGGCCATACTGCCTAAAGTAATTTATAGATTCAATGCTATCTCCATCAAGCTGCCATTGACTTTCTTCACAGAATTAGAAAAAAACTACTTTAAATTTCATATGGAACCAAAAAAGAACCCATATAGCCAAGACAGTCCTAAGCAGAGAACAAAGCTGGACGCATCATGCTACCTGACTTCAAACTATTGTTACAAGGCTACAGTAACCAAAACAGAATGGTACGGGTACCAAAACAGATCTGTAGACCAATGGAACAGAATAGAGGCCTCAGAAATAACACCACACATCTACAACCATCTGATCTTTGACAAACCTGACAAAAGCAATGGGGAAAGGATTCTAGCCATATGCAGAAAACAAACTGGACCCCTTCCTTACACCTTATACAAAAATTAACTCAAGATGGATTAAAGACTTAAACATAAGACCTAAAACCATAAAAACCCTAGAAGAAAACCTAGGCAATACCATTCAGGACATAGGCATGGGCAAGAACTTCATGACTAAAACCCCAAAAGCAATGGCAACAAAAGCCAAAACTGACAAATGGGATCTAATTAAACTAAAGAGCTTCTGCACAGCAAAAGAAGCTATCATCAGAGTAAACAGCCAACTTACAGAATGGGAGAAAATTTTTGCAGTCCATCTGACAAAGGGCTAATATCCAGAATCAACAAAGAACTTCAACAAATTTACAAGAAAAAACCCCATCAAAAAGTGGGCAAAGGATATGAACAGACACTTCTCAAAACTGCCATTTATGTGGCCAAGAAACATGAAAAAAAGCTCATCATCACTGGTGATTAGAGAAATGCAAATCAAAACAACAATGAAATACCATCTCATACCAGTTAGAATGGCGATCATTAAAAAGTCAGGAAACAACAGATGCTGGAGAGGATGTGGAGAAATAGGAACACTTTAACATTGTTGGTGGGAGTGTAAATTAGTTTAGCCATTGTGGAAGACAGTGTGGCAATTCCTCAAGGACCTAGAACCAGAAATACCATTTAACCCAGCAGTCGCATTACTGGATATATACCCAAAGGATTATAAATCATTCTGCTATAAAGACACATGCACACTTATGTTTATTGCAGCAGTATTCACATTAGCAAAGATTGGAACCAACCCAAATGCCCATCAATGATAGAGTGGATAAAGAAGATGTGGCACATAGACACCATCAATACTATGCAGCCATAAAAAACGATGAGTTCATATCCTTTGCAGGGACATGGATGAAGCTTTAAAACCATCAGTCTCAGCAAACTAACACAGGAACAGAAAACCAAACACCGCGTGTTCTCACTCATAAGTGGGAGTTGAACAATGAGAACACATGGACACAGGGAGGGGAATATCACACACCAGGCCTGTCGGGGGGCGGTGGGAGGCTAGGGGAGGGATAGCATTGGGAGAAATACCTAATGTAGATGACGGGTTGATGGGTGCAGCAAACCACCATGGCACATGTATACCTATGTAACAAACCTGCACGTTCTGCGCATGTATCCCAGAACTTAAAGTATAATAATTTAAAAAAAAAGACCATTTCGCCTGCTAGATTATACAAACTAAACTTTCTCAAATAAATTCATTTCCATTTTAATGTTATTTATTCCCAGGCTTAGAGACATCGTTTAAACAAACTATCTTGAAAATATTATGACACATCTCTCATTTCTTTATAATCGTTATGCAGGAAAATTGCCTAAGAATTATGACCCAAAAGTTACCCCAGATCCAGAAAGATGGCTGCCAATGCGAGAACGTTCTTACTACCGGGGAAGAAAGAAGGGTAAAAAGAAGGATCAGATTGGAAAAGGGACCCAGGGAGCAACTGCAGGAGCTTCATCTGAACTGTAAGTTATTGCTCCACAATTGAGGGCACTTAGAACATACGTTGTTTCTAGATTGACTCAAGGCTATTAGTGAGAATTTGTTAATATAAAGTATGAGAAATGTGATGTATCTTTGATAAATGTTTATACTACACTTATGCAAATGAAAGAAAATATATTGCCTTTTTAGACTAGTTTTTCCTTTAGTTTTTACAATTCAGTCAAATAGTTTTAAGTATTTACAATATAATCAAATATATATTGTGAAATATATATAGTAAAAACTATTATAAAAACTAAAAGTCTCAAGGCAACTAAATACACTGAGTCATTCAACTAAATAAATATCTAGATAAACAGATGTAAATAAATAATATGACTAGAAAGAAGTGTTAGAAGTATTAATACGTTTTACATGGTGGATGACAGGTTATTTTAAAAAATTTTTTCTGGCCGGGCGCAGTGGCTCACGCCTGTAATCCCAGCACTTTGGGAGGCCAAAGCAGGCAGATCATTTGAGGTTGCTAGTTCGAGAATAGCTTGGCCAATATGGTGAAACCCTGTCTCTACTAAAAATACAAAAATTAGCCGGGTGTGGTAGTGCGCACCTGTAATCCCAGCTACTCGGGTGGTTGAGGCAGGAGAATCACGTGAACCCAGAAGGATCACGTGAACCCAGGAGGTGGATGGAGGTTGCAGTGAGCTGAGATGGTGCCACTGCATTCCAGCCTGAGGGACAGAGCAAGACTCTGTCTCAAAAAAATAAAATTTTTTATTTTCTACGCTTTCTAAAACTTGGCATGTGTACCATGTTTTACTTTTCTTCAATAAAAACAGTGAAAATGTTATTCAAAAGAAAAGTCGATAGGGAGTTGGGGAGCTTACCTTAAAAGAAGTAGAAAATGTGTGGGAGATTGTTAAGTGTGATAAGTAAAACCCATGTACATACATTTTTATACTCTTCCTTCGTTGAATATATGAGTGACCAAAAATGATCTGATGATTTCAGGGATGCCAGTAAAACTGTGAGCAGCCCACCCACCTCCCCAAGACCTGGCAGTGCTGCAACAGTATCTGCCTCTACAAGTAACATCATACCCCCAAGACACCAGAAACCTGCAGGGGCTCCAGCAACAAAAAAGAAACAGCAACAGAAAAAGAAGAAAGGTGGAAAAGGTGGCTGGTGATGAGAATATTCTTGTTGCAGGCTGTTTTTAAACTAGTGTCAGTGACACTAGGAATATAATAAAGGTAACACAGCAAGAAGCACAGAACTACTCCCTCTTCATCTCCATATTTTCATAATTTCTTGTGTTTCAAATAGGGAAACATCTTCCTCAAAGTCTGCCTAGTGAGATATGGCCTACTGGTTGCCTCATAGCTTTGTACAGATTATGAGGACTGAAAATAATTGGGCATTTACCCATCTTGGTATCTGTTGTATCCTTTATCTGTGTGTGCTGATTTGATCTTTTTTCAGTTTCACATACCTTATCTAAGGTTTCCCAGGATTTAAACAGAAACTACTTCTATGATTTCAGCTGGAGTCTGAAGATACTTGTTTCTGTTCAAGTCCCACTTTAAATTATGTCTTAGGAGACTGAAAGTGGAATCTTCTGAGCATTCCTAAATATCTGCTTAGAAATATCATGTGATAAAGAGGGACCTTCTTAATACACTGATGTTCTTCACTAAATGGATGGCCACAAGAAAAATAAAGTAAATGTCTTAAATAATTTAACCATAAATTTTCTGTCATGTGATACTGGAATATGGGATACTTTTCATGTTTATATATATATATATATGTATATATATATACATATATATATATATATAAACATGAAATATATATATATGGCTCCTTTGTGCCCCATGTCATTTTCAGATTATGGTAGCATGCTGATACAGCACCATGAAAGAACTCAAGGAAAATATATCAATGTAAGAAGTTCACTCTTAGACCCAGTGTTCTGAGGTCACATGGGTTTGGACTGTCTCAATCAGAAAGATTAATGACTGTTATCAAGAACATGAACATTGGCTTCCTCCATAGAGAAGAAATCAGTATCTGAGTTGCATACCAGGCAGTATTAAAATCTAACAGGTCTGTTTGGCCCATTGATAGATACTCAAATGGTGTCTCCTTCTGGTTATGGATTTTGACCATTGATTACCTTTCTCAATGTAATGAAGTATTTTACAGTCAATTTGTGGTGTAAATGTTGCTCTTGTCTTTCCTTGCTTACAAACTACTTTCACATTGAACAGCTGTGAGACAGACATATTGAGATGCCTGCCCTTGTTAGTATTCATTTTATGCTGCCCAAGATATCATTTAATTTAGACTTAACAAGTATTTCCTTGTGATTATATTACTCTGTCCTTGTTAATAAAGTGCTGCTGTGTTTGACTCTGAACATACTACCAAAACTTCTTCAAAGAGTTTTTTATGAAAGACTTTCCTCCTTTACAAGAAAGAAATGGGGTGCTGCCTTTCTGTTTAGTAAAAGCAGAATTTGCAGTGGCATCTAAAGAGATCTTTTTTAAATAAAAATTATGTATTGTGGCATAATCCTTTTTTTGAGCTCTACAGAGAACAGTCTTTTGGTAATAGTGGCAGGTATTTATTCCTTCTGAATATATACCCCATTATAGGAATAACTGTTACTTATTTAGGATTCCATCATTGAAAATTTTGACCCAAGGCACAGCAGTGAAATTTATAGTTCTCAATTTAGTTGTCATTATTGACAGGCATTGGTATTATTAGTCATTGCTAAGCAACTAAAACTTCATCAGTTCAAATAAGTTTTAATTGTCAAATGAAGTATAAACACATGAACTTTCTAGAAATATTTCCTCTTTTGGATAGGTCTTTAACCAGTTCATATATATACTTTGTCAAATATATGGATGTGTATGTGTACATTTATAAGAACCAGTATGGATACATCCATTCACTGTGGTACATTTTAAAATAAAATATTTTAGCAGTGAATATGGATTAAGGTGTTTTGGGTGTTGGCATTTTATGGAGGACTTCCTGGTTAGTATAACCAAGAATTTTCTTTTAAGCTGAGTATCAAAATTGTGTGTACTGTCCCTCTTAGCAAACCCATAAAACTAATCTAATGGGATTGAGAGAACCCCGTGTAAACTTACTGAAAATTCATCTTGGTGTGTGTATAAACAGAAGTAAACCTTTGAAAAAGTCATTAAGCATAGCAATTCCAATGCTATTGGGAACAGCCAACCTTAAATATCATTGCATCACTCAAGCCTTCTGGAACCTGCTATTCATTGTTCCTTACAAGTCTATTTGAAACAGATACAATGAAGGAAAATAAGTTTATTACATTGAAAAATAATTGTGGCCGGGCACGGTGGCTCGCACCTGTAATCCCAGCACTTTGGGAGGCCGAGGCGGGCAGATCACCTCAGGTCAGAAGTTCGAGACCAGCCTGACCAACGTGGAGAAACCCCATCTCTACTAAAAATACAAAATTAGCCAGGCATGGTGGCTCATGCCTGTAATCCCAGCTACGTGCGAGGCTGAGGCAAGAGAATCGCTTGAACCTGGGAGGTAGAGGTTGCAGTGAGCTGAGATCGGACCACTGCACTCCAGCCTGGGCAACAAGAGTGAAACTCCGTCTCAAAAAATAATTGTGCTGGACGGGTGCGGTGGCTCATGCCTGTAATCCCAGCACTTTGGGAGGCCCAATCAGGCGGATTACCTGAAGTCAGGAGTTCGAGACCAGCCTGGCCAACATGGTGAAACTCCGTCTCTACTAAAAATACAAAAATTAGCTGGGCATGGTGGCACATGCCTGTAATCCCAGCTACTCGGGAGGCTGAGGCAGGAGAATTGCTTGAACCCGGGAGGTGGAAGTTGTAGTGAGCCGAGATTGTGTCACTGCACTCCAGCCTGGCCGACAGAGCGAGACTGTCTCAAAAAATATATAATTGTGCTAAACTGAAATATACTAAAGAGTTCAGTTTAGCAAGATAAAAGGAACCCTCCAGATATTTCTTAGCCAGTTTGAGAAACAATACCACCTTTGAAAAGCCCTTCGTGTGCCTTATTTACCATTTATTAGATAATTAGAAGTGACTAGACTATTTGGTTTTGGTTTTAATACTGAGCATTACTAGCAGCTGTGATCCTGGCAGGCTATCTCCGAATAATTTTTTTTAAAGTGAAATACAGGCCGGGCACGGCGGCTTATGCCTATAATCCCAGCACTTTGGGAGGCAGAGGCGGGGAGGATCACTTGAGGTCAGGAGTTTGAAACCAGTCTGGCCAACATGGTGAAACCCCGTCGCTACTAAAAATACAAAAATTAGCCGGGCGTGGTGGCCCACGCCTGTAATCCCAGCTACTTGGGAGTCTGAGGCAGGAGAATCGCTTGAATCCGGGAGGCGGAGGTTGCTGTGAGCTGAGATCGCACCACTGCACTCCAGCCTGGGTGACAGAGACTCCGTCTCAAAAACAAAACAGGAACTTAAAACAATGGAACCCATTCACGTTCTTCTATTTGTCTTTAATAATCCTGGGTAATAGTCAACTAATAATCCTGGGTAGTAGTCTGGAGACACTCCTAGCGGAGTTTACTCGGGAGAGGGCGGAGAAATACATGACATGAGCAGTACAGGCTCATGGTTGGGAGCTGAGGGAAGGCTGAGAATCCTCCCGGAACCTCTGGATTCTGACGCCCCAGGGGTTCTTCACACAGGCTGGCCGGTCTCGGGATTGAAGCCGGAGACGTCAGACGCTAAGGTTGCTTAGACTGCGGCCCACGTGGAAGGCTCTTAGCCACCCTGCCTGGCCCGAGGTAATCGCGCTAGGGACGCTTTTTCTGCAGCAATGATATACCCCGCCGAACTGTCCCACGTCCTGGTTGGGACCTCTTGGTTTCGCTTGGCTGGGCTCAATCCATCCGTACGCCTCCGCCCTTCCCTCTTTGCGAACCCCTGCGGGTTCAGCGAATCGGCTGCAAGAAGCCCTGCATCCGCGAGGTAAGCGGCGGTTGGCGGCGGTGCCGGGGTTGGCAGCGCCCGCGGGTTGTCTACGCCGCGGGGCCTACGTCTCTGTCGGGCGTGCACCTCGGGAGCCACACCTGGGGCCCAGAGCCACCGCTCAGCACGCGGGCACGCGGCGGGAGGGAAGGAAACCGCGGCGCTGGGGATGGAGAGGGGGAAAGTGAAGAAGAAAGAGAAGGAAAAGGAGACGCAGGAGGAGAAAATCGGAGAAAAGGGTAGGGAAGAGAAAGTGAAAAGAAAGGAGGTGGAGCAGAAAATTAAACAAAAGCAAGAGAAGCAGGAGAGGAGAAAGGGAAAAGAGAAAGAGGAAAAGAGGACAAAGCAAGGGAAGGAGACAAACAAAGAGAAGGAACAATTTAAGGGACAAGAAGAGAAAGGGGAGAACAAGGACAGCACCTTGACAAGGACCCCGCTCGAGCCGCTGGTAAGAGACCCAGTGCCCAGGACCCCTTGCCCCAAGGCTTTTGTCGGCCGTTCAGACCCCAGCGCTGTCTCTGTTACGTCGGAGGCCCCCGACCGCGTGGGAGCGAATGGATCTCAACTGAGGGCTATTTACCTATGGATGAAAGAGATGCGCCAAACTTTGAACGACCCATCCCCTTTTCCCGGGCCCCCTGCCCACCCTAGCCCTTATCGCTACCCCTGTGTCTTAACCTCAGTCGGGTCTGTTGTTGAGGGACAAGAGATCTCGGTCTTCATGGGGACATGGGGAACGGCCCCTCTACTGCCCTTAGATCTGTCCAGCGCGCAACACTAGCGCACAGACCACCTGACCACATTTAGAAACCAGCCCCGAACCCTCCCCACACGCAGGCCCTCTTTGCATTGAATGCGTTCTTTGTCAGAAGGGGCAGGGTTCCTGAACGCAGGAGGTGTTTGGGGACGCTGCAGTTGTTTTCAGACCACCAGTACCATGAATGGATGGCGGAAAAGTTTTAACTGACAGGTCTTAGAAACTTGGCATTATTTGGGTCAGCTGAATGGTCTCTGTGCTCCTGGAGTTCCTGAGCTGGCTCCTTGGCTTAGAGCTGCGCTCTGGTTCTAAACAATTATGAATGATTAACACAGTTGTGTGTGTGTGTGTGTGTGTGTGTGTGTGTGTGTGTGTGTGTGTGTTCTTTTTTGAGACAGGGTCTTACTCTGCCTCTCAGGCTGGAGGGATCCTCCCACCTCAGCCTGGCACCGCCCCCATCTCCCAACCTCAGTGACTGGCACTACAGGCACACGCCACCATGTCCAGCTAATTTTTGTATTTTTGTGCAGAGCTGGAGTTTCGCCATGTAGCTCAGGCTGATCTCAAACTCCTGGGCTCCAGCAATCCGCCCGCCTCAGCCTCCCAAAGCGCTGGGATTACAGGCGTGAGCCACCACGGATTAACAGAGATTTGATCTCTGGTAAAACACAGACTACATAGACTCATATTTGGCTAAAGGAATAACTTTTGACAAAAACGGTGTTCAGAATCACATTTTGTGTCTGAACTGTTTTACAAATTCAGCTTTCCTTAGGAGAAGGTAAATGTGAGGAAGCCTGAATGCAGAATTTCTAGGTAGGATGGGCGTAGGGACAGCAACGTGGTTGGAAAGGGAACTGATATTTTTGTTTTTGTTTTTTTGAGACAGAGTCTGGCTCTGTCGCCCAGGCTTGAGTACAGTGGCGTGATCTCGGCTCACTGCAACCTCCACCTCCCAGGCTCAAGTCATCCTCCCACCTCAGCCTCCCAAGTAGCTGGGATTACAGGTGCACACCGCCGTGCCTAGCTAATTTCTGTATTTTTGGTAGAGATGGGGTTTCGCCATGTTGCCCAGGCTGGTCTTCAACTCCTGAGCTCAAGCGATCCACCCGCGTTGGCCTCCCAAAGTGCTGGGATTACAGGCATGAGCCACTGTGCCCGGCCTGGGAACTGCTTTTAATTCACACTATTTTATAGGGCCTAAGATGACATTAGTCTAGGTACCACTAAGAAAGAAAAAAAAGCCGGCGCAGTGGCTCACACCTGTAATCCCGGCACTTTGGGAGGCCAAGGTGGGTGGATCACCTGAGGTCAGGAGTTCCAGAACAGCCTAGCCAACATGGCAAAACCCCATCTCTACTAAAAATACAAAAAAAGTAGCTGGGCATGGTGGCATGTGCCTGTAATCCCAGCTACTCGGGAGGCTGAGGCAGGAAAATCGCGTGAACCTGGGAGGCAGAGGTTGTAGTGAGCCAAGATCGTGCCACTGCACTCCACAGAGAGAGATTCTGTATCAAAAAAAAAAAAAAAAAATTCTCCCAATCAAAATGTGACATACTCTCAATTGTCAAAGACATTCTAATTTCAGAGATATTAAAATGTGGAATGTGGGGGGAATATGTATCTTAGAATGAATGAAGTATGTTGGGGTAGGCTGAATAGGGCCTCTGGTGAAGACTGACAGGACACAATCCACTCTTGGCTGCCATTTCTTGGTGCCAGTATTGCTTTAAAACATGCAATTTTAAGCCATCCAATGAAGTCTCCCTTGCCCCTCTTCCTTACCTTGACACACTCTCAGAATGACATCATAACATTTAGATGCAAATGAAGGGAATGGAGAAGAGGCAGGGATGGAAGACATCTATGAAAATACAATTTAGTTTAAGAGCCATCAAAGATTTGCTCCAAGAACAAATACGTACATTTTTTCTTTTTCTTTTTTTTTTGAGACAGAGTTTCACTCATGTTGCCCAGGCTGGAGTGCAATGGCGCGATCTCAGCTCATTGCAACCTCCACCTCCCAGGTTCAAGTGATTGTCCTGCCTTACTTAGCCTCCCCAGTAGCTGGGATTACTGGCATTCGCCACCACGCCCGGCTAATTTTGTATTTTTACTAGAGACCGGATTTCACCATGTTGGTCAGGCTGGTCTCGAACTCCTGACCTCAGGTGATCCGCCCTCCTTGGCCTCCCAAAGTGCTGGGATTACAGGTAAGAGCCACCGCACCGGCCTACTTTTTTTCAAATTCTGTTATTCACTATATGGCCTTCATAAATCATGATCTCTGTACAAGTCTTTATTAGGCCAGACCTCAAAATATCTCATTTTCACATAGATGTTTCTAAAAAGAAAGTGGGACAGACATTCTAATGCTGTTTAAGATCACTTTTTTCTAGAAATCTAGTTTAAGTCTAATGTCAACATTTAGAGTTCAAGCAGAACAAACAGAAATGTATACGATTATTGTTATTTCTAAACCAGCGCCATTGAAGACAATTATTAGAGTTTTTTGTGCATAAGAAACTTCTTTAGTAGGATCTTTGAGAAGTAGAATTGAATTCCTATGAGCAGTCTGGCTATATTGTTGCTTATTTATTATTGTTTATGTTAAAGTTTACACCCTGGAAACCACCTTTCAGAGCACCCTGTACGATCTTCACACCAGCCTGCCCTTCTGTCCCTCAGTCATTTGCCATAAAAATTCTAAGGCTAATACGTTGATAGAATGCTTTTTTCTTTTTCTTTTTCTTTTTTTTGTTTTTTTTTTTTGGGATGGAGTCTGTATCACCCAGGCTGGAGTGCAGTGGTGTCATCTCAGCTCCTGCAACCTCCACCTCCCGGGTTCAAGCAATTCTCATGCCTCAGCCTCCCAAGTAGCTGGGATTACAGGCATATGCCACCATGCCCGGCTGATTTTTATATTTTTGGTAGAGACAGGGTTATGCCGTGATAGCCAGGCTGGTTCCAAACTCTTGGCCTCAAGCGATCCACCAGCGTCAGCCTCCTCAAGTGCTGGGATTACAGATGAGAGCCACGATGCCTGGACTAGAATGCTTCTTTCTAAGTTTACTTCAAGTTCATCAGTTTAGTTTTTTTTTTGAGACGTTGTCTTGCTCTGTTGCCCAGGCTGGAGTGCAATGGCGTGATCTCGGCTCACTGCAACCTCCGCCTCCAAGGTTCAAGCAATTCTCCTGCCTCAGCCTCCCAGATAGCTGGGATTACAGGCACCCACCACTGCACTGGGCTAATTTTTTTTTTTTTTTTTTTTTTTTAAGATGGAGCCTTGCTCTGTCGCCCAGGCTGGAGTGCAGTGGCACGATCTTGGCTCACTGCAACCTCCACCTCCTGGGTTCAAGCAATTCTCCTGCCTCAGCCTCCCGTGTAGCTGGGACTACAGGTGCCTGCCACCACGCCTGGCTAATTTTTTGTATTTTAAGTAGACACAGAGTTCCACCATATTGGCCAGGCTGGTTTCGAACTCCTGACCTCAGGTGATCTGCCTGCCTTGGCCTCCCAAGTTCATCTGTTTTTAAAACAAATACTCATTTGTGATTGAAACTGGCTTAATAATTTCTATAACCTTTTCATTTAATTGTGATACTTATATTAGAATTATAAGAGGGAGGCTGGGTGCGGTGGCTCATGCCTGTAATCCCAGCATTTTGGGAGGCCAAGGTGGGCAGATCACGAGGTCAGGAGTTCGAGACCAGCCTGACCAACATGGTGAAACCTCGTCTGTAGTAAAAATACAAATTGCGGAGCGTGGTGGCATGCTCCTGTAATCTCAGCTACTCGGGAGGCTGAGGCAGGAGAATCGCTTGAACCCAGGAGGCGGAGGTTGCAGTGAGCCGAGATCGTGCCACTGCACTCCAGCCTGGGTGACAGAGCAAGACTCCAACTCAAAAAAAAAAAAAAAAAGTATAAGAGGGAAACCTTGCCCTGAGATCTTACAATCTAGTTATTCAATTATGAAGACAGGAGAAATTAATAATTGAGACCTTAGATGCTTATGCACCGAGTGGCACAGTCAATACATGCACCACGGAGGTCCCAAGACCCCAAACAAAATGAATTCAGGTGCAGTCTCCAATTCATAGACACGAATTCAAGAAGCAAAATGAAGTCTGAGAATTGGTCCTGTAATCTATAGCACTGCTCATAAATGCTGATAGTATAGTATTTATTTGATAGACTGATCAGGAGGTGGGGGATAGAGGACGGATGTGAAATTAGTATCACATAATGAACAGCTCATTAGAAAATATTAACTAGTTGGTACTGTTTGTTCTAGACGTATAAAATATTCGTGAAGTTTTATCCCTTTTTTTTTTTTTTTGGAGACAGGGTCTCACTCTGTTCCCCAGGCTGGAGTTCAGTGTGTGATCTCAGCTCACTGCAACCTCTGCCTCCTGGGTTCAAGTGATTTTTGTGCCTCAGCCTCCCAAGTAGCTGGACTTACAGGTGCACGCCACCACACCTGGCTAATTTTTTGTATTTTTAGTATAGATGGGGTTTCACCATGTTGGCCAGGCTGGTCTGGAACTTCTGACCTCAAGAGATCCTCCTGCCTCGGCCTCCCAAAGTGCTGGGATTACAGGCGTGAGCCACCGCACCTGGCCCGTGGAGTTTTATTCTGGTTACAGTTCCAAGAATATTATTGGATTCTGCCAAGACCCAGAAAAATGAGCCCCTGATAGCATGGGCTTATTGATTTATCTTTTTGTTTCACAGGAGAAAAACAAGCAAATCCTAGTGCTGGGCCTGGATGGAGCAGGAAAAACCAGTGTCCTGCACTCTCTAGCTTCAAACAGAGTCCAGCACAGTGTGGCACCCACCCAAGGTTTCCATGCAGTTTGCATCAACACTGAAGACAGCCAGATGGAGTTCCTGGAGAGTAAGCTCTCTGTTCCTTAGTTATAAGATAGCCACATTTTATTGTCTCTTAAGCCAGATATGATGTTAGCAACATTGAGTCCTTGTGAAAACTAACACTGAATCAAATTTTCCTAGACTTTTAGAATGGATGTGTAGTTTAATACCCAGGTACACTGTGGGGGGAATCACTTTTTGCTTTTTTGATACTCTCCTTTTTACAGTAGTGGTGATAAAGGGGAATTTAGAGGAAGGCTTTAGCACTCACTCCTATAATCTCCTGTAATCATCCTTCTTCCCACACTACTGCAAATGAGCATGCAATCTAAGTGTAAGTACAGTGTGCTTGCTTCTCTGCAAATAAAATTATAGACAAGCTCCAAACCTCTTCTTCTAAATAGATGGCAGTCCACAGGCCCCTACTGGATAGTAATTCTGGAGTCACCACCTCTAAATATTACTGTCTCCTGAAGTTGGGTCAAGTCCTCTTGTCTTCTCTTTACACAGTCATCCATCCTCATGGCATTAAATACCATCTATATGCTAATGGCTCCCAAATTTATCTATCCAGCCCAAACATATCCAAGTCCTCTAAAACCTAACAAGGGAAAAACAAAATGCTTGATTTTTCCAATATCTGTTCTTTTTCCTTTAATCTTCTGGTCAGTAAATGGTTCCATACTCATCAAGTTGCTCTAGCCAGAAACCTGGGAGTCACCCTTGACTCCTCCTTTTGCATTCCCACCTCCAGTACACAAGTAAAACACTATGAATTTTGCTATCTCCAACGCATCTCTCAAATTCATTGGTTATATCCTTTGTACTGCCCCTATGCAAGTCGGAACCTCCATCATCTATTACTTAGATTATTATAGTCACCTTTTTACTTTGGCTTTTATCTGTTTACGAAGAGAAGTATTTTAACACATACTTTTAAGTACATCATTTGCTAATTTAAAACTCTTCTGTGGAGATCTCATCCTTGTAATAAAATCCAGAGTCTTTGTTATGACTCATGAGGCTCTTCATAAACTGCCTCCTCCCTAACCTTACCTCACCCCAGGCTTATTGTACTCCTTTCCTTCTCTCCTTTTAAAAGAGCTTTCTTGGGTGTGCCTTCTGTCAGAAATACTACTACCCCTGCTCTTCCCTTGATGGCTTGCTCCTTAGCCTTCAGGTATTAGCTTACATGGCCCCACAAAATCAATCATTCTTTTTTTTTTTTTTTTTTTGAGACAGAGTCCTGCTCTGTCACCCAGGCTGGAGTGCAGTGGCACGATCTCAGCTCACTGCAACCTCTGCCTCCTGGGTTCAAGCGATTCTCTTGCCTCAGTCTCCTGAGTAGCTGGGATTACAGGCACACACCATCATGCTCAGCTAGTTATTTTGTATTTTTAGTAGAGACGGGGTTTCACCATGTTGGCCAGGCTGGTCTCGAACTCCTGACCTCAGGTGATCCACCCACCTTAGCCTCCCAAAGTACTCAGATTCAGGTGTGAGCCACTGCGCCCAGCCCGTAAAATCATTCTTTCTAAGTATGTTCCCCAATGCTGTTTGCTTTCTCCATAAGGTTTTTAATAACATTCACTATTTATTTTTGTTTTTGATCTGTCCACCCAACTAGATGGTAACTTTTGCTATACTTGTTTTGTTCAACAATGCATACCCAATGTCTGGCAAATAGTACATATTCAACAAAAATGCATTAAGTGCCAACTGTGTTCCCGATTTTTATCATGATCATCAATATCCTGAAAAAGAACAGCAGTTTACGCTTGCAATCTTTGAGATTTAAAATGTGTATCTGCACAGTGGCTATATTAAGCCATCAATTTAGGTAAATTTTCATAATGCCACAGGGCAGAGCTTCTAAGGAGGCTTTTTTTTAGGATGCAGCATCCAGTGGTATTCAGTGATATAAATCTGTATGGGCTGTTATGCTGTTGTGTAACACTTGGAGTATGTTGGGGATTGGTGGGAGGTGAAGTTTCATTGTATAAGCCTATTCGTAGAAATGATATATTCACATATAATTTTGCCTATATCTCTTCATCAACATTCTACAGATCATCTCTAAAAAATTCTTGTAGTTTATGCACTAAAAAGTAGTGGCAAAAATAAATGGAGAGATTTCAGCTGCTATTATAGTTTTTGAAGGGCCTTCCTGTGACAAAACCACAAATCCTGGTTAAAATTTATTTTTTAAAGCATCGAAGAACTTGCAACAAGTTAGACAAATTTTCAAGGCTACCTGCTTTACTCTTCCTGCTCTTTCCCTCCTCCCAAAGAAAGAAAAATAAAACAACTCATGAGTTCAAACTGGAGTGGCAGCCACAGTAGATAAGCAAAGAGAAAAGTGGTGTTATCTAGAGGCACATACCAGTATTTAATCTGCAGTGGGCCTGAGACAAAATAGGAAAGAACTAACTAAGATGCCTGCATGACACGAGGGCCCCTGGAAGAGTGCTAACATGCTCCCAGTCAGTAGCTCCCCCAGTTTCTAATTCTGGAGCAAAGCCCCCCAATATTCTCATAAATTAAGATTAATCAAATATGAGTTCAGGCCAGGCATGGTGGCTCACACCTGTAATCCCAGCACTTTGAGAGGCCGGGGCAGGTGGATTACTTGAGTCCAGGAGTTTGAGAACAACCTGGGCAATATGGCAAAACCCCATCTATACAAAAAATATAAAAAATGAGCTGAGCATGGTGGTGCATGCCTGTAGTCCCAGCTACTCTGGAGGCTGAGGCAGGAGGATTGCTTGCGCCCAGAAGGCAGAAGTTGCAGTGAGCCATGATCACGCCACTGCATTCCAGCCTGGGCAACAAAGTGAAACCGTGTCTCAAAAAAGAAGATGACAAAATCTACTGATCAAAACTAGCATTTAAAGCATTTATAATCTTAAATGATTATAGCTGAAAGGAAAATAGCTGAACACTTATAGGTTAAATATGCAATGTAAATTAGGTAAAAGAACAACAGAATAAAACCAAAGAGGGTAGAGGGGGAGATAATAAAGACACGAAGCCAATGAAATTGATGAAGACACAGTAGCAAAGATCAGCAAAGTCAAAAGTTAGTTCCTTGAATAGATAAACAAAATAGACAAATTTCTGGTGAAATTCATTAAGGAAAATCTGGAAACCACATATAAATAATGTCATGAAGGAAAAAGAGCATATCATTGATTAGGATGACAAGAGTATAATACCTGTATTAACAAATTTGTACCAATAGATATAAAGTCCTGGATAAGTGGCAAAAATCCTCCAAACATGTGTCTTAGGAAAATGGACTCAATAAGAAATAGGAATATTGAATAATTTAAAACTTTTAAAGAAATCAATAGCGAAAAATCATCCTATAATGAAAAACACCAGATCAGTTTGTTTATAGGTGGGCTCTTATCAATCTTAATCTTACATAAATTCTTTCAGAGAATAGGGGAAAAAAAGAAATGCTCTCCAACTCACGGTATGAGGTCACTGTATATCCAAACCAGCAAAGATAGTATAAGAAATGGAAATGTAGAAATCTGAACAAAATTGTAGTAAACTAAATTCAGTTAACATATTAAAGAGATAATGTATCACTAGATGAGTTTCTTCAAGAATGAAAGGTTGGTTTAACATTTGAAAAATAGCCAGGTGTGGTGGCTTATGCCTGTAACTCCAGCACTTTGGGAGGCCAAGGGGGCGGATCACTCACCTAAAGTCAGGAGTTCAAGATCAACCTGGCCCAACATGGTGAAACCCTGTCTCTACTAAAAATACAAAAATTAGCCGGGCATGGTGGCAGGTGCCTGTAATCCCAGCTACTCAGGAGGCTGAAGCAGAAGAATTGCTTCAACCCAGGTGGTGGAGATTGCAGTGGGCTGAGATTGTGCCACTGCACTCCATCCAGTCTGGATGACAAGAGCAAAACTCCATCTCAAAAAAAAAAAAAAAAATTTGAAAAAAATATGTCATTCACCACTTTATCCATCAAAGTAAAAAACATAATCACCTTAATATAAGCAGAAAAAAATCTGCTAAATTCAGTTTCCATTTATGATAAAAATTCTTAATAAGCTAAAAATAAATGGGAATTCCTTAACCTACCAAAACCTCAGAAAACTTTACTCCTAAACAGAAAGTACTAAATGTTAGAAGTACTTTCATTCAACATTATACAGGAGGGTCTAGTCAGTTTGAGAAAAAGAAATAAAAGGCGTAAGAATTAGAGAGGAAGAAATAAAACAGTACTTATTTACAAATGATATAATTGTCTTCAAAGAAAGCCTAAAACACCCTTCAAATTATTAGAAATTATAACAGCTTGGCAAGACAACTGTATATAAAAATATAAAATTAATTGTATTTCTGTTATGCAGCAGCATGTAGCCATTTTCAATAGCAACAAAAGATAGGAATAAATCAAACAAAAAAAGTGTCTATCTATAAAGAGAAAATGTGTAGATGTCATTGAAATCAAAAGACCTAAATAGAGACATAATACAGTTTTCATGAATAGGTAGACATTATATCAAAAGAATTAATTCTCCCCAAATTGACGTTTAGATACAATTCAATTCCAATCAATAGCTCAACAAGATTTTTTAAAAAGAGTTTGACAAGCTGAGGCTAAAATTTACATGGGTGAGCAAAGGGGTAAAGAAAGCCAAGACACTCTTGTAGAAATTAATAAGAAGGATGGACTTGTCCTGTCAAGTATCAAATCTTATTATAAAGATATGAAACTAAAATGCGTGGTGTTGGCACAAGAATAAACAAAACGACCAAAGGAACAGACTAGAGAGTCCACTGGGGAAACTATTCAATAAATGGTGCAGGGACCACATGGAATAAAGATGAAATTAGTTTCCTGCCTCCTATGCATACAAATGTATACATCAATTTCCGATGGATAAAAGCCAAATGTAAAAAGCTTTGTGGAGAAAATATAGACTATCCTTATGACTTCAGGATAGAGAAAGATTTTTTAAACAGGATACAAAAAATAATAACCATAAGAAAGATGGATAAATTTAACTACATTAAAATGGAAAACATCTGTTCATTAAAAAGATGCCACAAAATAGGGGAAGATACATGCAACACATCCAAGCAAATGCCTAGTGTCCAGAATATATAAAGAACTCCTACAAATAAAGACAACATAAAAACATTGGCAAAAGACGTGAATAACATTTCACATAAATTAGAAGTGAACATATGAAAAATACTCCACTTGATCAGTAAGTAGAATTCAAATTAGGCAAAAAAAAAAAAAAAAAAGAAAAAGAAAAAGAAATCTGATAATATCAAGTTTTGAAGAGGATGCAGCTGGGTGCAGTGGCTCACACCTGTAATCCCAGCACTTTGGGAAGCCAAGGTGGGTGGATCACTGGAGTTCAAGGGTTCAAGACCAGCCTGGGTGACATGGCGAAACCCAGCTCTACAGAAAATACAAAATTAGCCAAGCATGGTGGCTCGTGCTTGTAGTCCCAGCTACTGGTGAGGCTGAGAAAGGAGGATCGCTTGAGCCCAGAAGGCAGAGGTTGCAGTGAGTGGAGATTGCACCACTGCCCTCCAGCCTGGATGACAGAGCACAACCTTGTCTCAAGGAAAAAATAAAATAAAAATAAAAAGAGGATGTGGATGTAGAGGAAACTTACTGGCTATTAGCTGTTGGCAGAGTGTGTATTGGTACCAACTTCTTTGGAAAACAATTTGGTGTATTTGGCATTAGTTACATGCTTAGATACAAGGAGAAACTCTTGCTTGTATGGACCTCAGGAGACAAATACAAAAATGTTTAGAGCAGCATTGTTTATTGTAGCAAGAAATGAGGAACAACTCAAACGTCCACTGATGTTTAAACTATGTGTGTTAAAACCATATGAGTTACACAGCACTATTTTAACAAATTAAAAACAGAAAATACTTCAAGGAATGACTAGCCTACCTCTATAGAAAGGAAGCCAAAGGAAAGGCAAAGATCCTTTCTTGTTAGCATTTAAAATACTTTTTGTTAAGTTCTTGAAACAGAGGTCCAAAAAGTTTTTCTGTCAAGAACTACATAGGAACTAATTTATGCTTTGCAGGCCACATGCTCTCTGTTGCAACCACTCAACTCTGTCTTGAGAAAGCAGTCATAGACAATATGTTGTATATATATGTCAGTGTTACTATAAAAGTTTATTTCTGGGCACCAAAATCTAAATTTGATATAATAGTCCTGTGTTAGAAAATGTTATTCTGTCTTTTTTTTTCTCCAAAATTTAGACATGTAAAAGCTATTTTTACCTAGCGAGCTGTACAAAAATAGGCAGTTGGTCAGATTTGAACTGTGGGCCATGGTTTGCCAATACTCCTCCTAGGACAAAAATAAAATCCATTGTATATATGTTATTATCATTAACCAAAAAGTTTATTCCGTGAAGAATCAGCAGGATGAAGTAATCAAAAGGCATTTTTTTTTTCTGAAGCAAATATTCCTGAATACCCACAGGATCATATTAACTCAATGCAATATTAAGAGGAGAAGTTACTTCTGGGATTTTGACAAAGGAAAAAAATTGTGCAAGTGAGACTAGCCAATGAATTCAGTTCATTTAAAAATTATTTTAATGTGTATTTTAGCCTACCATCCTTTCCATTCTTAATTATTTTAGTAGCATACTCCCATTTTCTTTTTCTTTTCTTTTTTTTTAGATAGATGGGGGTCTCACTCTGGAGTGTGGTGGCGCAAACACAGCTCATTGTAGCCCTGTTCACACCACTGCACTTCCTGGGCTCAAGTGATCCTCCCACTTCAACCTCTCTAGTCGGTAGCACCACAGGCATGCACCATAGGCATGCACCATAGGCATGCACCACCACACCGGCTCATTTTTTAGTTTTTATTTTTGTAGAGACAGGGCCTCACCCTGTCGCCCAGGCTGGTCTTGAACTATTGGGCTCAAACAGTCCTCCTGCCTCAGCCTCCCAAAATGTTGGGATTACAGGCGTGAGCAACTGCACCTGGCCTTACTCCCATTTTCTGAGCTATAACTGATAAACATGCAGTGGCTGACATGGCTGCTGTGGACAATGGGATCAGGAGACATCCACTGTAGTATTTAGCATCTCTCTGCTGATCCTTTGTGATACAGTTATGAATGAACCACTTGTGATGGTTCTTCTCACCAACCAGTTTACCGCTAACATGCCTCTGGTCACTCTGAGGACTGGGTACACTCTAACACGGTGATATTTTATCAAAACACCTGTCCTGTGTTCAGAAATCTAGATGTGCCCTCCCTGCTCCCTGGGTGGGTGCTTCTGTGATTTTGTGTGTGTGTGTCTTCTTCCTCTACTATTCTCTGTAGTTGGTGGCAGTAAACCTTTTCGGTCCTACTGGGAAATGTACCTATCCAAGGGATTGCTGCTGATCTTTGTGGTGGATTCAGCAGATCACAGCCGATTACCTGAAGCCAAGAAATACCTTCATCAGCTAATTGCAGCAAACCCAGTACTTCCTCTGGTTGTGTTTGCAAACAAACAGGTAAAAATCTGTGCAAATATAAATTGTACTCAAGAGTTTTGTAATACAAGAAATGTATACTTTTAATACCTAGATAGTCAACAATATGCTATATATTTAACTCAGTTTATGTTTATTAGAGCTCTTGGATTATAAACACCTTGAGGGTAGAGACTGTTGTTCATTTTTGTGTCCCTTGTAATACCTAGTATACTGTCTTGTGCATGCTAGGAATTCAACAGATGTGTGTTGAACTTAGTTCAATAAATACATATTGTTAAATTTGATTCAACAAAATATTTGAGTGGCTACCATGTATAAAAAAATCATTTTGCTTTAGACCTATCAGACTGACCTGAACTTATTCTACACATGCATTAAAAATATTAAATATATGTGGAGAATTTGGAACCCTTGTGCACTGTTGGTGAGAATGTAAAATGGTAGAGCTGCTATAGAAAACTGTAACATGGTTCCGCAAAAGAATCAAAAATAGAGGCTGGGCACGGTGGCTCACGCCTGTAATCCCAGCACTTTGGGAGGGCAGGGGTGGGGGATCACGAGGTCAGGAGATTTAGACCATCCTGGCTAACATGGTGAAACCCTGTCTCTACTAAAATACAAAAGATTAGCCGGGCTTAGTGGTGGTCACCTGTAGTCCCAGCTACTCGGGAGGCTGAGGCAGGAGAATGGCGTGAACCTGGGAGGCGGAGATTGCAGCGAACCAAGATCGCGCCACTGCACTCCAGCCTGGGCGACAGGCTCAAAAAAAAAATCAAAATAGAATTCCCTTATGATGCAGCAATTCCACTTCTGGGTATACAGTGAAAAGAATTAAAAGCAGGGACTCAAATTGATGTTCATATGTTTGGCTGTTTTATGTTTCTTTATGTTTTATATTGTTTTGTTTTGTATGTTTTATGTTTTTTATGATATGTTCATAGCAGCATTACTCATAACAGCCAAAAATGGAAGCTACCCAAGATAAATGGATATATAAAATACGGTATGCACATGCAAAGGGATTTTTTTTTTTTAAGGCAGAGTTCTGCTCTAGCACCCAGGCTGGAGTGCAGTGGTGTGATCTCAGCTCATTACCTCCTGGGTTCAAGTGAGTCGCATGCCTCAGCCTCCCAAGTGGCTAGGATTACAGGCATGCGCCACCACTCCTGACTTTTTTTTTTTTTTGAGACAGAGTCTTGCTCTGTCTCACAGGCTGGAGTGCAATGGCGCAATTTCGGCTAACCACAACCTCCGCCTCCCAGGTTCAAGTGATTCTCATGCCTCAACCTCCTGAGTAGCTGGGACTACAGGCACATGCCACCACACCCAGCTAATTTTTGTATTTTTAGTAGAGACAGAGTTTCTCCATGTTGGCCACGCTGATCTCGAACTTTTGGCCTCAAGTGATCCACCCACCTGGGCCTCCCAAAGTTCTGGGATTACAGGTGTGAACCACCGCACCTGGCTACAATGGGATCTTGTTCAGCCTTAAAAGGGAAGGAAATTCAGACACATGTTCTGACATGGATGAACCTTGAGAACATTATGCTAAGTGAATAAGCCAGTCACAAAAGGGCAAATACTATATGATTCCATTTATACGAGGTACCTAGAGTTGTCAGATTCATAGAAATAGAAAGTGGAGTGGTGATTTCCATGGGTTGTGGGAGGGAGGAATGTGTAGTTATCGTTTAATGGATACAGAGTTTCAGTTTTGTAGAAAAAAAGTTTTGGAGATGGATGGTGGTGATAGTTGTATAACAATGTAAATATACTTAATGCCACTGAACTGTACACTTAAAAATGGTTAAGGAGAAAAATTTTGTTACATGTATTTAACACAATAAAAATTGAAAAAAATTTAAACATCTATAATATTGTAATGCTGAAGTCCCTTTCTCAATTGTTAGGTTTGCCAATCATAGAAGAGCTCAATTCCTGACTTTTCTCCTACCACTTCTATGGGTGAACGTATATGGAAGTAAACTAAGTAATTATAAATGATGACCTAAAATAGGAGCCTATGTTAAAGTCCAGTACAGAAGCTAGTCCGGCAGATTTTGACATTTTGCTGGCATTTTAAAAGAGAGGTTGGGCCGGGCGTGGTGGCTCATGCCTGTAATCCCAGCACTTTGGGAGGCCGAGGTGGTTGGATCAGGAGGTCAGGAGTTCGAGACCAGCCTGGCCAACATGGTGAAACCCTGTCTCTACTAAAAAATACAAAAATTAGCCAGGCGTGGTGGTGCATGACTGTAGTCCCAGCTGTTCAGGAGGCTGAGGCAGGAGAATCACTTGAACCCGGGAGGTGGAGGTTGCAGTGAGCCGAGGTCGTGCCACTGCACTCCAGCCTGGGTGACAGAGTGACACTCCGCCCCAAAAAACAAAAAAAAAAAAAAAAGAGAGAGGCTGATGCTTTTATTGTTTTAAGTGGAGCATCTTAAGTACCATAAACTACAAAGATTTAGAAGATCATGGTACATGTAAGTGAGCTGTATAGTATTCCATAGCATTAATATACCAAAATGTTATCATTTTCTTACTGCCAGGAATTTTGAGTTATTTCCAATTTTTTATTGTTCTTAACAGTGCTGCCAGTGAGCCTTCATGTATGTGTCCCTTTGTGGATGTCTATGAACATTTTGCTGGTGGATATACCTAAAATAATTGCTGGGATTTTGGATTTGTACATATTCTGTTTTATTAGGTATCACCAAGTTACTTTCCAAAGATGTTGCACAAATTTATTCTTCCACCAGCAGAATATGACAGTTTTTGCAGCTCTACATCCTTGTCAATACTTGGTATTATCAGACTTTTTCATTTTTGCCAATCTGATGGGTGAACTTGTTTTTTATTATTCTAATGTGCATTTCCTTAACTACTTGTGAGTTTGAACATTTTTTCAGATGTTTATTAGTCTCCACATCTGTAAATTGCCTATTAATATGTTTTCCCAAATTCCTACTAGGGTGTTTATCTTTCTTATTTCAGTTGTAGGAGTCTTTCATATCATTTGGAAAAAATAATTCTTTGTTAGTTATGTGCATTACAATTATCTTTTCCAGCATCTGGTGGCTTATCATTTTACTTTGCTTACTTTTATACAAAAGATTTTCTTCCCTTCCCTCCCCTCCACTCCTCTCTTTTCTTTTCTTTTCTTTTTTTTTTTTGACAGAGTCTCACTCCATCACCCAAGCTGGAGTACAGTGGTGTGATCTCGGCTCACTGCAAGCTCCACCTCCCAGGCTTAAGCACATCAGGAAAAGCCCCACAGGCTCCAAGTGATAGAATTTGATAGGTTCGGGACATGCACAGTGGCCCATGCCTATAATCCCAGCACTTTGGAAGGCCAAGGCGGGCGGAACACCTGAGGTCAGGAGTTCGAGACCAGCCTGGCCAACATGGTGAAAACCCGTCTCTACTAAAAATAGAAAAATTAGCTGGGTGTGGTGGCGCACACCTGTAATCCCAGCTACTTGGGAGGCTGAGGCAGGGGAATCGCTTGAACCTGGGAGGCGGAGGTTGCAGTGAGCCGAGATTGCACCACTGCACTCCAGTCTGGGTGACAGGGTGAGATTCCGTCTCAAAAAAAAATAGGTTCATATGATACAGGAAAAAAAAAAGACACAATATTAGGTTATTTCCAGAGATTTAAAAATGATGATCTTCTAAAACTTAGGGGGAATGCTATGAAATAACAAAAAGCCAATTACAAATGCAATTTTAGAAGTGAAAAAACTTTTACAAAGGACTGGAAAACTATAGCTGAATCTGTGTTATTTATGAAAGGGAATGTCACAGGTCATTTGCTTAAATAATTCTTGGTGTATGAGAGTTAAAGATGTATGTTTTGACCTTGCCATTTCCATCGTAAGGAGGTTTTGGCCCTGGCATGCGGCCTAAGCACAGGCTTCCTGTCTTCCCCCTCTGCCTCTTCCTGTGGGTTTCCCTCTTCCAAGCCTCCCCCATCTCTTTCCCTGTCTCTCCTCTGAACCTCCTTTTCCCACTGCACGTTGTCTGAATCTGTTCCCTCTCCATTCTCTTCTCTGTCTTCCTCTACTCCCCAAAATTGGTTGAGGATTTTTTTGTTCAGTAGAAATAATGAGCACAAAAGAAAACTCACAGTGGCAAGAACTATAATTGGTAAAGTATCATATAGACCTAAAACAATAGATGAATCAAATTTCTGTTATTAAATATAAATAAAAATAATTGCTCCTGTTGAAATAATCTTAGAAGACTAAAAGGAAAATGGAAAAACAAAATTAGTCTGGGTGCAGTGGCTCATGCCTGTAATCCCAGCAGTTAGGGAGGCCTAGGTGGAAGGATTGCTTGAGGCCAGGAGTTTGACACCAGCCTGAGCAACATAGCAAGATGCTCCTCTTTACAAAAGATTTTTAAAAATGAGTGGGGCGTGGTGGCACACACCTGTAGTCCCAGCTACTCAGGAGGGTGAGGCAGGAGAATTGCTTGAACGTGGGAGGCGGAGGTTGCGGTGAGTCAAGATTGCGCCACTGCACTCCAGCCTGGGCGACAAAGCAAGATCCTGTCTTTAAACAAACAACAAACAAACAAAATTAGAAACAGATTGACTGCACCGTTTAGAAAATTAAGGTATTATATTGGCTTAGCTTCATTCCAGAATATACTTTTTTTTGGATAACTCATAAATGCTGGCATAATTCTGATGAAAACCTTTTTATTCAAACAACCTCTGGGCTCATAATAATGGAGTCACAATAGCCTCTATATGAAAATGGTGTGGTCACTGAGAGCAATAAATAAGAGTAATAAATGTGTTTATCTGAAAGGATTGCAAAATAACCAACTTTGTCCTATTCTTATTCCACTCCGGATGAAGGATCTTGAAGCAGCCTATCACATTACAGATATCCATGAAGCTTTGGCATTATCTGAAGTGGGAAATGACAGGAAGATGTTCTTGTTTGGAACCTACCTGACTAAGAATGGCTCAGAGATACCCTCCACCATGCAAGATGCCAAAGACTTGATTGCACAGCTGGCTGCAGATGTGCAGTGACCAGGACTCAGCCCACTGTGCGGCTCACGACTGAGATGTCATCAGTGTTGAATGGCAGGCTTGAAGCCAAAGGTTTCCACCTCAAATAAAAATTAAGCCATTTCCTATTTTCTCAGTGCATGGGATGTATATAGTTAGCCCTCCATATCCATGGGTTCCACATCTGGGGATTCAAGAACTGTGGATCCAAAACATTCAAAAAGTAAACCCACTGAAGAATAATAACACAACAATAAAAATAATACACATTTTAAAATACAATATAACAACTATTTACATAGCATTTTCATTGTATTAGGTATTATAAGTAATCTAAAGATGATTTAAAATACACGAGTAGAAGTGTGTAGGTTATATGTAAATATGCCATTTTCCATCAGGAGCTTGAGCATCCACATTTGCCTGTGAGGATCTTGGAATCAGTCTCCCTGAGAATACCAACGGACAACTGTACAAAGATAATGCTAACATAATAACAGCATCTCTATTTGGATTTTGAATGTTAAAAATATTTGTAAAACAGTGTATTGGGGGTATTGGGATTTTTAATCAACAAAGGTAAAATGAACATTAGCAAGCATTTGTCCCATTTATTGTTTTGCAATGGCATGAAATTTATATGAAATTTTTTTGTGGGGGTGGATAGGGTCTCACTCTGTTGCCCAGGCTGGAGTGCAGTGGCATGATCTCAGCTCAGGTGATCCTCCCTCCTCAGTCTCCCAAGTAGCTGGGACCAGAGGTGCACGCCACCATGCCCGGCTAATTTTTCTATTTTTAGCAGAGATGGGGTTTTGCCATGTGGCTCAGGCTGGTCTCGAATTCCTGAGCTCAAGCGATCTGCCCACCTCGGTCTCATAAAGTCCTGGGATTACAGGAATGAGCCACTGCACCTGGCCTTGAATATATTTTAGTATGTTTTCTCTTTTCAAGTAAAAAACTGGGTGTCTTTCCATTAAGTGGATCTGTTTAACACTATAAGAAATATCAGGGTAGGACAATGAGGACAGTGAACTTTGTCAAACCCCCAGAGAAATAAACATTAACAGTATTCAGAAAGAGTTAGGAAGGGCTTCTTTTCCAGGAGCTTGTTAGACGAGATGAGGAACATTGTGGGGATTTGTTTTTAAAATTCTTAACATTTTGCTTTTATATAGATAAACTTTCTTCACTAGAAAGAGTGATAACTATATTTATTTGCAGACACTCTGTAAATCCAACTTGTAACTATAGTGCCTTGCTTTGGTTTTAAGAAAAATTGTAAAGAGAGTTTGCTCTATAAATCCTTCCTTTTAAAATTTGGAATCTGTGGTGAAATAATACAAATATGGGGTCAGGCGTGGTGGCTCACACCTGTAATCCCAGAACTTTGGGAGGCCGAGGCGGGCGGATCATGAGGTCAGGAGTTCAAAAGCAGCCTGGCCAACATGGTGAAAACCTGTCTCTACTAAAAATACAAAAAATTAGCCAGGGGTGGTGGTAGGCACCTGTAATCCCAGCTACTCGGGAGGCTGAGGCAGGAGAATCGCTTGAACCCAGGAGGCAGAGGTTGCAGTGAGCCAAGACCGCACCACTGTACTCCAGCCTGGGCAACAGAGCAAGACTCCATCTCAAGAAAAATAAACAAAATAAAATAAAATAAAATTTGGAATCTGTGGTGAAATAATACAAATATGGGGTCAGACGTGGTGGCTCACACCTGTAATTCCAACACTTTGGGAGTCTGAGGCAGGAGGATCATTTGAACCTATGAGTTTGAGACCAGCCTGGGAAACATAGTGAGACCCTGTCTCAAAAAAAAAAAAAAAAATCCAAATTTGGTGAAGATAACCCCTCTCAATATTAGCACATAACTGTCTCTAGTTTTAGGTTAAAATAGAACACAATTGAATTTATGCATGCATGTGCAAAATGATGATTGCCCTCTGCGAGATGAGACATTGGAGAGTGAGCCTTTAAAATCATTACCTTTCTCATATCAGCACCACGCCATCATGTTTAATGGTATCTTATCACAGCAGCCACTCAGGTGTCTAATGTTAAACCTTCTTCTTGTCTGGCCTATGGAGGGTGGATCACACAATGATTCGGAATTGTCAGAAATGTTGGATTTTAACCTCTGCCCCAAGGATTACCGCGAATGGACCCCTGGATGAATTCCTTGACTGTCTTGGTCTTGTCCTTGTAAAAAGATCAAGTGAGATGCAGACCACTTCCAGCCCTAAACTCTGATTCTATGTGCTTGTCCCTTCCCTAGGTTTTCTAAGGTGATCAGGGACATAGAGAAGTTTCTGGATGCTTATTTCAAAGATAAGGCCAAAAGCTTTCAGGATGGGGAACAATATCTCTGTTCTTCCCTGTTTGGTCTTTTTAATCTCAGATTCTGATTTTAGATTCTGCATTTTGGCAACAAGTGTTGTGGCTGGAGTTTTTCCTTCAGTGGACAGTTATGGAGTGCCAACATGGCAGTCATTGCTTGACACCAGGGTGAACAAAGCAGGGATTCTGTACTTGAGATGCTCTCAGGCTAACGATGAGGGTTTGTGTCATGGGGGTTTCTAACAGAAATGGCACTAGACAACAAGACAGATTGGCGTATTGTCAGAGAGGCTGCCTGGCTGGTAGCCTGCCCAATGGGCCTAATGGGGTGGCATACGACCTTGGAGACTTTACCACAATCTCGTGTCTGTTGCCAGCCTTCCGGGCTTACAAGCATTCCAGGTTTGAGAAGCTGAGTCATGTTAGAAAGTAGGTTTAGTTAGCACACCAAGAGTGGATCTGCCTTTTCATTCAGTAAACATTTTGGGAGCACCATGTGCCAGAAAATGTGCCAGAACTCTTTCAGCTAAAAATAAATTCAGTTAAAAGGAAATTCAGGCTGGATGCAGTGGATCACGCCTGTAATCCCAGCACTTTGGGAGACCAAGGTAGGTGGATCACTTGAGCCAAGGAGTTTGAGACCAGCCTGGGCAACTTGGTGATACCCCATCTCTTCAAAAAATACACACCAGAAACAAACAAACAACAAACTAGCCAGATGTGATAGTGCATACCTGTAGTCCCAGCTACTTGGGAGGCTAAGATGGGAGGATCACTTGTGCCTGGGGAAGTCAAGGCTGCAGTGAGCAGTGATTGCACCACTGCACTTCAGCTTGGGCAATGGAATGAGACCTTGTTCAAAAAGGCTGGGCACAGTGGCTCAGGCCTGTAATCCCAGCACTTTGGGAGGCAGAAGCAGGAGGACTGCTGGAGGCCAGGAGTTAGAGAGCAACCTAGGCAACATAGAAAGACCCTGTCTCTACAAAAATTTTTTTAACGGAAATTCAACTCAAATTTGTGTGTACCCCCACAAAAAAAGAATTTTTTTTTCTTCATCATCCTGGAAAATCTGGGCATGGGTGGATTCAGGAGTTCAGAAGTTCAAAGATAAGACTGTCTCTCCATGTCCTGGCCCTGCCAACCTCTGCTTGGTTTGATTCTCAGATTCCCTCCTCAGAGCAGCAAGATGACTGCTGTCAACACAAGCCATTCTTATAGCTCATGATCTCAGAGTAAGATGGACCTTCCTTTTCTGAGCAGACATCCATTAAATCTCACGGAGGGATACCAATTGGCTCTTCTGGGGTTGCATATTCATCCTTGAACCAATTACTGTGGCTGGATTGGTCAGACCTGGGTTAGAAGGAAGGATCAGCCCCTTAAACTATACTGAATGAGTTCCCTGCAGAAAGGAGGGGTTCTGCCTTCAGAAGAAGAGGGAAGGGATTCTAGGCAGGAAAACGAAATAATGACAGCTATTCACAGTCATTCACTGTGCTTGGCACAGGGAATATACCAGTAACCAGGACAGAGAATTTCACTGTCTTTAAGGAGCTTACATTCTAGCTGGGGAAATACACAAAAATAAACAAGCAGATGAAATAATTACAAATTATGTTGAAGCAAGGAAATGAAATAGAAAATAATGGTGGGAACATTTTTAAAATTAATATGGGCTGGAAAGACCTCTTTGAGTGGGTAATATTTAAGCTGAGCCCCAGAGGCTAGAAAAGAGCCAGTATGTAAACAGTGGGAAGAAATGGGCTCCACGCAGTGGGAACAGGTGTGAGAAGAGACTGAAATGGGAAAGAGCTTGACACTTTAGAGAAGAGTAGGGAGGCCAGAATGTAGACAGCAAGGGTGGAGTGGCTCAAAGTAGACTAGAGAGGGAAAAAATAACCAGAGTATGGAACACCTTATAATGCAAAGCTTGAGGATTTAAAAAAATGGTTTGGAGTGTTATGATTGGAGGTGATCAAAGGTAAAAGTCAGAAGTTCCACCAGTTCGGAGGCCACTGTAGAATCCAGAGAGATGATGATGGGCCTGGGTGGCCTGCCATGACCTTATCATGATGTCATTATGGTGGGAGTGGGTTGTTATAAAATGAGTCCAGCCCTGGTGCCTCTCTTTCATGTTCAGCCCTCCCACCATGTTATGCTATGCTGCATCAAGAAAGACTCACCAGATGCCACAGCCATGCACTTGGATGCCCCAGCCTCCAGAGCTATGAGAAATAAATTCTTTATAAATTACCCAGTCTCAGGTATTCTATTATAGCAACATAAAATGAACTAAGACAGACTTGGAAAAGAATTCATTCTATGTGATCATTATAATCTTTCCCAATAAGCAGACTCCTTGAGAAGCAAGTCATGTCAGAAAGCTGCCTGTGCCCAGTGCAGTGGCTCATGCCTGTAACCCCAGCACTTTGGGAGGCCAAAGTGGGTGGATCGCTTGAGCTCAGGAGTTTGAGACCATCCTGGGCAACATGGCAAAACCCTGTCTCTACAAAAAAATACCAAAAATTAGCCAGGCGTGGTGGCATGCGCCTGTAGTCCCAGCCACTCAAGAGGCTGAGGTGGGAGAATGGTGTGAGTTCAAGAGGCAGAAGTTGCAGTGAGTCAAGATTGCTCCACTGCACTCCAGCCTGGACGACAGAGCCAGACCCTGTCCCAAATAAAAAAGAAGGAAAGAAAGCTAAACATGAATATTTTGATATACAGTGGCACCACATTCATAGCAAGTGGGCCTAAAAGATAGGCTGTAACAATTGCAGTCTATTGGCTTAGATCCCCTCCTTTCTGCAGTTTTTGAGAAGGCACAGCCTCTATGATGCTCATTCTGTACATTCACAGTGGCCTGAATCCCCCTCTTTCAATTGACATGTTCTTTGGACTTTCGAAGACATTTCATGTAACCAGGGACTACTTTTACTGATTTAAGGGCCATCCTGCCTCTTTAAGGTGGATTTACATAACTCCTCCCTGATTGGTTTAAAGGTTGAGTTAAAACTCTCTGAGAGTAGCTTTATTTCTCCTTCCAAGTTTTGGGGGATATTTCCTGAACTTCCATACAATATTACACACATCTCTATCAAAGTAAGGTTGAAGGAGATTCCGATTCATATACGCACATGCTAGAATGAATCTTCTAGTTCCATTCCAGATAACATTCACAATCCAAAATATTTCTCTTCTAACTTTTCTTAGCATCTATGAGACTAAGTACATACAAGGAATACCCAGTAACGAGCAAAAGGGGTACTTGGGTTTACTAAATATTTTAACAGACAACTTATTCCTCAACACCTCTAGTCCCTTCCCTTGAAAATAAACACATCAGTAAAACTCCACCACTTCTATTCCCCTCTATCACACTGTCACCACCATGAAAATTAGCTGAAAGCACTCCTCAAGGATTGAGAGACGGCCAGGCCACCTATGTTTTTAAAGTCTCTTGGTATAATAAGTGATAAAAAAGAGAGGATGCCAAAAACAGGGTTACAAGAAGTGTGGTATATTTAAAAGATACCACAGTTAACAAATTAATGGACGCACCCACAGAACACAGCACACAGTTGTACTGTTCACAAGATAATTACAGCCCTTTATAAAAAGTAGCTGATAGCATGCTTCAGTAGATAGTGAGCCCTGTAATGAGACACAAGTTGTAGATGAATATATTTTTCTTTTAATCCAGTCAGTGTTTCTTTGTGACTGTGTATAGAACTTCATGTGGAGATAAAGTAAAACATTCAAGTTTGAGACTCTTCTTGAATGTAAGCTTATGTCAAATGTCGCACTGGTGGATCCACCTCCCCCACACCCCCCGCCCCCCGCCCCCGCTCCATTCTGATGGTCGTGCATTTAACTAGAAATTGATGGAAATCAGTGTTAGTAACTGAGGGCCTTAGAATATTATCAGTCTCGGCATCCTCTCCCAGCATGATTAGGGGACAAAAGCCCGTATAGAGATTGTGTCCAGGAACCTCTGGGCACAAGCTCTTTACAGATTGCCTCTGGGGTCTGAGGGGCGCCCTAACTAGATTAGAAACTGACATGTTCTACCCCAGGGCCTCCGCGAACGACAGCAGGCGAGAATCCTTGCTCTGGACACGGGGAACAGGGTCAGCATCTCGTCTCCTATCTCCACCGACCTGTCTCTGGCTTTTCTTAGTCCCCAGATGCGCCCAGAAGGTCCTGGAGAGTGGTGCGTCCCCTTGGCAACCGTACAACGCGCAGGAAGGCGGAGTGAGATGAGGCTGAGTCCGGCCGGGGCGGGGCTGTGTGGGACTAGGGCGGGGCTCGGGGGCTAGACCGGGGCGGGGCTGTGTAGGGCTGGGGCGGGGCTCGGGGCGGGGCTCGGGGCGGGGCTGGGCGCGGGGGGCCCCGGCAGCCCTTATCGTATCGCGCAGAGAGCAAACTGCGCCTGGGCAACCAGTCGGGAGGGTGAGTCCCGCGCGCGACAGAAGCTTCTGGCGCGAATGGAGAACCAAGAGTTTCTAAGTTCATCTGCGCCGTCCGAGGTGACCGATGGGCAGGTCTCAACAGAAATATCCACTTGCTCCGAAGTCTTCCAGAAGCCCATTGTGCTCAGGATTCTCGACACTCACAGAGAGCTTGAGGAGTCCGAGGATCCCGAGAAACACGAGAATCCCGAGGAACCCGAGGAGGTCAGGGAGCAAGACCAGAGAGACGAGTCCGAGGAATGTGATGAGCCTCATGAGTCCTATGAGCCCCACGCTCCCTATGCGCCCCACAAGCCCCGGGACTCCTATGCACCTTACGAACTCCATGGGCCCCATGCAGCCCCCAAACTCCTCAAGGCCCGTGAACCCCGCCAGCTCCGCCACACCCGTGAGCCCCGCAAGTCCCGCGAGGCCAAGGAAACCGAGTTGCTTCCCAGCGCCGCAGTAATGATCTCCCCCTCTCTGATCACCAGAGCCCCGCCACGGCCTCAGCTGTCTTTCCTGGGTGGTAGGTGTTCCCCTTCCCTCGTCCCCTCTCCTGCTTCTCCCTTCCCCTCATTCCCCACGCGCTGAGCACCCACGCCCCATCTAGAACCGGGGGTCCTAAGGTGGAGGTTTGCATGCAAGAGCTTGCCATATTGAAAAGAACTCGTGTCATTTACCTGTTGCTTCGCAGTCATCAGCCCTTGCGTTTCAAGGGACTCAGATGGGAAACTGACACCCTGATAATGAGAGAAGCTGAATCTCTTGTCTTCCACTGCTATCTAATGAGCTATTGTTACCTCCTTTTGAAGCCCTTCTTCATTCGCCTCTACAGTTAGTCATTGCATCCCTCTGGGTTGCACTTTGAATGTTACCCTTATTAGAGCACTTAAGATCTTGTATTTCACCATTCATCTTTCTCTTTAACTAAAGAGAGTGATCCTTGAAGGGAGGATATTTTCGTCAGTGTTTGGCATATGGTCACATGTGGAAACAAAGCATTCATTGAGCAAGTATTCAAAGAGTATGCATCTACAAAGTGCTCACGATATGCTCAGTCCTCACCACCTTCACAAGGTAACAGAGCAGATGGGACTTGGTTATAAACATCCTTGCTCTGACCCCACTCGCTCATTTATGACCCCTCACTAATGACCCAACCCAAAGCAATTATTTGTCCTCATTGGACCGCCAATCTTTTGGGAAACCAATTTTTATCTTATGTTCTCACTGACTGCTCCTTATCCAGCCTCGATTCCATGGTCTGCCATTGCAGTTGCTCCCTTATGTCTTCCACCATTCCATTGGCTCTCTGGTTATCCATCATACTTCTGACAAAACCTCAACCCTGATTAAACCCAGCCGTCCATCTACTCGCTTCCTACACCTCAGCAGTTGACTCTTGCTGTGCAAAATTGCACAGTCATACTGTCTGGTTTATTTCAATTTCATTTCAACTGGTCACTTGGCACTGCCTGGCAAGCTCACTTTATTCCCTTAGTAAGTTGGTTTTCCCAGTCTCTGAAGATGACTAACTGCCTTACTCTCCTCTAAACTTCACACCTTTGACCCCCCCACCCAGCTGAAGACTTTGCCCCATTCTTTATCGAGAAAATAGAAGTGATCAATCATGAAATCCCTTATTTTCTTACAATGGATCTATTGCTTTACCCGCATCTGTACCCATGAATTCTGCCTTTTCTCATATTTCAGGGAAGAATTGTGCCTTTTTTTTTAATGAAAAGCAAAATCCTTCACTTATGCTTTAGATACCACTCTCATTTCCTGAAGAACTTTCTTCCTGCAGTTATCCTCTCTCTTCTACAGCATCAATTTCTCCCTAATTAATCAGTACCATCATACACATATTCTAGAATCTTCCATCTTGAAATAACTCTTGACCCCATGTCATTTTCAGACTCTCCCCTTCCACCAGCATCACCCCCATTTCTCTGTTGTTCTTCATTGCAGAACTTGTCAAAAGAGTTGTCTATACTCACTGACTCAATTTCTTCACCTCTCATTCTCAACACATTTGGTTAGGCTTCTTTCCTCTACTCTCCCAAAACTGCTCTAGTTTACTGCTTTTCTCTCTGCCGCCACTCCTATCATCATGCATGGAGATTTCATATCCACTTGGATGATCCATTTGGCTTCTCAGTTCTCTGATCTCCTCACTTGGAAAGATCTTGTCCTTCACCCCATCGTAGGCACCCACTATCAAAGCCATTGTTAACTGCTCTACCATTTCCAGACTATTTCAAGCACTCTAATCTCTAACCATGTCTTAGCTTTCCAGCTCACTCCTCCATGAACCCCCCTATCAAATTTTCAGCTTAAGGGACTTCAAATCCATTGATCCTATGAACTTTTCATTATATATCACTATCTTATGTCCTGCTGTCTCTCCTCACCTTATATTCCATGGACCAACAATGGAATTACTCCCTTGATTCTCTCTCCCTCTGTCATTCTTGCCTTGTTAAATCGAACCCTTGCCTGCACTTGGAATAACAGATAATGGCAAGAGAAAGGCAAACAACTATGCCAACTATGATAACTGACCTTTAAATCCATGCCCCTGAACTTCAAGTGGGCTCTCAGTGCTGCTTGCCAGTCATACTGTATTTCCACAGTCAATTTATTTTCCAGCTGTCCCAGAAATTATGGTGAGTGCTCTCATTCCTCAACCTTATGCATCCTTTCCTCCTCGCTCTTAGCTGATGATTTCACTTTTTTCTTCACTGAGAATAGAAGAAATTCTGAAAGATCTACATATCTTTCCACCATGAAATCTACCAAAATACCAGCATCTATACATATGTACTCTACATTTTTTCCTGTTAATAATGGATGAAATGTCCTTGCTCTTATTAAAGGCCTTTCCCTCAATCTATATGTTGGATTTCAATCCCATCTAACTTCTTTAAGCTCTTTGCTCCTAAAATTAGCCTCTCTCTCCTGCATCATTGTATTCCTCCTCTGCTGGATCATTCCCATCAGCATACAAACATGTGCAATGGACCGGATGCGGTGCCTCAAATCTGTAATCCCAGCACTTTGAGAGGCCGAGGTGGAAGGATCACTTGAGGCTGGAATTCAAAATCAGCCTGAGCAACATAGTGAGACCTCCTTTCTACAAAAAAAAAAAAAAAATTATTAACCACGCATGGTGGCACATACCTGTAGCCCCAGTTACTGGTAGACTGAGGCAGGAGCATCACCTCAGACTCAGCAGTTTGAGGCAACAGTGAGGTATGATCATGCCACTGTACTCCAGCCTGGGCAGCAGAACAAGACTCTGTCTCAAGAACAAAAACAAAAACTAAAACCAACTAACCAAACAACAACAACGACAACAGCAAAATGCACAATAACTCTTATCTTTAAGAAACCCCAAACCTTCCTTGAACCCCATGTGCCCGTCCAGGTACCATGATTTCTTTGCTCTGCTTTAGAGGAAAAATTTCTCAATTGAATTGCCTGCAAGTCATCATATCCATGTCCTCTTTCCCCCTTTTTCCCCCTTCTCTAGAGAACCACTTACATTTTCATCCCCTCCACTTAGCTGCAGTGGCTTTTGTTGAGGTCACAATGATCGCTGCCTTGTGAAATTCAATGGCTAATTCTTCATCTTCATCTTACTCATTTGACACATTAACCTCTTATTTTCTTAGAAGTCTTCTTTACTTGACTTCTGGGATGCCTCTACCTCTGTTGTCCTACCTCACTGATTGTTCTTTAGTCAGTTTCCTTTGCTGAATCCTCCTCTTCCCAGCCTTTAGGTTGAAGTGACCAATGGCTTAGTCCTCTCAGATTCATTCTTCTAGAACTTTCCTTATTCCCTGGGTGAGGTCATCAGTTCCATGGCCTTAACTATATTCTGGTAACTTCCCAAATTATCTCTAGCCTCAGTTTTTCCCCTAAACTCAAGTTTTATAACCAGTCATTGATTTATCGTCCCCGCTTGAATATCAATTTGGCATGTAAAACATAAGGTGGGCTGGGTGCAGTGGCTTACGCCTGTAATCCCAGCACTTTGGGAGGCTCAGGTGGGTGAATTACCTGAGGTCAGGGGTTCGAGACCAGCCTCGCCAACATGGTGAAACCCCGTCTCTGCTAAAAATACAAAAAAAATAGCTAGGCGTGGTGGCGCATGCCTGTAATCCCAGCTACTCGGGAGGCTAAGGCAGGAGAATCGCTTGAACCTGGGAGGTGGAAGTTGCAGTGAGCCAAGATTGCACCATTGCAATCCAGCCTGCACAACAAGAGTGAAACTCCATCTCAACAACAACAACAAACAACAACAACAACAAAAAAACCATAATGTGCCCACCAATGAAGTCTTCCTGCAGCACCCATATGTGCTCTTCCCTCATTGTTTCCCATTTCAGCAAATGGCACCACCATTTATTTATCCAGGTGCCTAAAAACCTTAGCATCATTCTTGACGCCTGTTTTTCTCTTACACTCAGACTTTAAGCCATTAGCAAATTGTAACTTTGAGCTATATCCTGACTATGGCCATTTCTTAACATTTAAAATGTCATCATCTTTGTAAGCCACTATCATCTCTTGCCTGGTCTAAGGGAGGAGACCACCACGCATATTGTCTTATGCCCAATTTCTGCCTCCAAAGAAAGAAGTAAAAACTAAAAGGCAGAAATGAAATCCACAGGCAGACAGCCCAGCGCCACACCCTGGGCCTGGTCGTTAAAGATCGACCCCTGACCTAATTGGTTATGTTATCTATAGATTACATACATTGTATGGAAAAGCACTGTGAAAATCCCTGTCCTGTTCTGTTCTGTTCTAATTACTGGTGCATGCAGCCCCCAGTGACGTACCCCCTGCTTGCTCAATCGATCATGACCCTCTCATGCAGACCCCCTTAGAGTTGTAAGCCCTTAAGAGGGACAGGAATTGCTCACTCGGGGAGCTCAGTTTTTGAGACATGAGTCTTGCTGATGCTCCCAGCCGAATAAAGCCCTTCCTTCTTTAACTCGGTGTCTGAGGGGTTTTGTCTGTGCCTCGTCCTGCTACAGGTCCACTGCAGTAGCCTCCAGCTGGGTTCTTGTCTTGCACCATCCCCGGTTCATTATACCTACACTGGTCACAGAAGTCCCTTAGAACATAAATTATATGCAGTTCTCTTGCTCTCAACCCTCCAGAATGGGTTCTCACCTCAGGCAGGGTTCTCACCTCTAAGGCAGGGATCCCCAACCTTTTTGGCACCAGGGACGGGTTTCGTGGAAGACAGTTTTTTCAAGGGGTGGGGGGAACTGTTCCACTTCAGATCAATCTATCAATCATTAGTTAGATTCTCATAAGGACCCAGCAAGCTAGATCCCTCACATGCGCACGCGCAGTTCACGATAGGGTTTGTTTCTGTGAGAATGTAATGCCACCACTGATCTGACAGGAGGCGGAGTTGAGGCTGTAATGCCTGCTCCCCTGCCACTCACCTCCTGCTGTGTAGCCTGGCTCCTAACAGGCCACAGACAAAACCAGTCCACAGCCCGGGGGTTGGGAACCCCTGCTCTAAAGTCCTTAGCAGGCCTACAAGGCCCCACTTGATCTGAGCCTGTCACTAACCTCACCTTGAACTTGACCTGATATGTCCATGACATCATGTCCTACTACTCCCCTGTCGGTTTTTGCTCTGCAGGCACATGGGCATCCTTGCTCTGAGCTCAGGATCATTTCACTTGCTTTCTCCTCTGCCAGGGCACTCTTGTTTCAAATAACTTGTCATCTCCTTTTCATGGGGTACCAAAAACAGCATTATTGGCCTGCTCATTTTCTTTGAGACACTTATGGGGCTGCATGATATATCTATTTGTTTACTCTTTTACGTTAAGCTCTTATGGAGGCAGGACCTTTGTCTTTCATCCTTAGTGCCTCAAGCTTGCCTGGAACAAGTCAGGAATTAATTGTTGTTGAATGAAAGATCTCTTCATTTGACCGCTGTGTTACCAAATCCAATGGTTTCTTCTCTATCGTTAGCATTGTCAAAAAGATTCAAAGAGTTAATACCCATAAAGGTCTTAGAACAGATGTGGTACATTGTAAGTGCTCAGTAGATGTTAGCTAGTAGTAGTAGTAGTGTTGTAGTGTTATTATTATTATTACTATTTTGAGATGGAGGCTTGCTGTGTTTCCCAGGCTGGAGTGCAGTGGCATGATCTTGGCTCACTGCAAAGTCCGCCTCCTGGGTTCAAGCGATTCTCCTGTCTCAGCCTCCAGAGTAGCTGGGATTACAAGTATGCACCACCATGCCTGGCTAATTTTTGTATTTTTAGTAGAGACAGGGTTTCACCATGTTGGCCAGGCTGGTCTTGAACTCCTGACCTTAGGTGATCCGCTCACCTCAGCCTCACAAAGTGCTGGGATTACAGGCATGAGCCACCACGCCCGGCCAATGTATTAGTATTATTATCTCATTAAACCTCTAGGCAGCATCTAACACAACTGGCTACTCCCTTCTCGTGGCCTCTGTGACACCATAGTCTCCTAGTTTAGCATCCACCTGACTGTTTCTCCTTCTCAGGCTCCTTTGCTGAACCCTCTCTGAATTCTTGAATTCTTGCGGGCTCTGTCCTGACTCCTTTAAAAAATATTTACACTTTTACCCCTAGGTGGTCATAACCACACTCACTCAAGAGTTTAGCATTTCTATGCTGCTGCCTTCTAAATTTTTATATTCTCTCTCTTCTCTGAGTCTGACACTTACATATTCAACTGCCTCCTGGACATCTCCATTTGCATGTATCATATGTTTCTCAAATTGACTATACTTTTTCAAACAGAAGTCTTGATTTCCCTTCCAGCCTTGTTCTTCCTTCAGTCTCCCCCATCTAAGAAAATATCTTGAAGTTACTCAAGCTAAAGAAAATCTATTCTTCTTGCCTCACCTTCAAGTACAATGCACCCAATGAAAGTTCTATCAGTTTTATCTCAAGAATATTTCCTGAATTTATTAATTTCTGCTGCTAACACACTCACTCCAGTTGTCCAGTTGTGGTCACTTCTCACCTGGATTTCTTTTCTTTTCTTTTTTTTTTTTGAGACGAGTCTCGCTCTGTCGCCCAGGCTGGAGTGCAGTGGCGCGCGATCTCGGCTCACTACAAGCTCCACCTCCCGGGTTCACGCCATTCTCCTGCTTCAGCCTCCCGAGTAGCTGGGACTACAGGTGCCCGCCACCACGCCCGGCTAATTTTTTTGTATTTTTAGTAGAGACGGGGTTTCACCATGTTAGCCAGGATGGTCTTGATCTCCTGACCTTGTGATCTGCCCGCCTCGGCCCCCCAAAGTGCTGGGATTACAGGCGTGAGCCACCGTGCCTAGCTTCACCTGGATTTCTACATGAGTTTCCTGACAAGTCTGCCTGTGTCTACTCTTGTCCCCTGCAGCCCTATGGCTACCGCAGCCAGAGTGGGTATTTTAAAAATGAATCAGATCATGTCTTTCCCTTATAGTCCTTCCTGTGGCATCTCATTGCTCTTACAATAAATCCAAGCTTCCTGCAGCAGTGTGTAGAGCTCCACGGGGTCTCTGACATCCCCTATCACTCGCCCTCATGCTCACTTGGTCTCAGTCATACTGGCTTCCTTTCTGTTCCTCCAAAAGGTGAACCCCTATACTTGCCTGCTTCAGAGTCTGCATCTGTGGTTCTCTCTACCTGGCATGCCTATTTTTTTCCCAGGATTCTCTCATGGCTAATTTCTATTACTGGGTCTCAGCCTGTTTTTAAGAGGTGGGAAAGCTAATCTTTTGTAGGGCTTTTCCTGTCCATGCTACCTAAAGCAGCCTTCCTGAAGTCACATGGTCATGAGACTTTCTCTAAAAAGTTTTCAGACTTTGCTTTAGAAAACATTATTTTAGGCCGGGCATGGTGGCTCAAGCCTGTAATGGTTTGGGAGGCCTAAGCAGGCAGATCACCTGAGGTCAGGAGTTCAAGACCAGCCTGGCCAACATGGTGAAACCCCAGCTCTACTAAAAATATAAAAATTAGCTAGGCATGGTGGCATGTGCCTGTAATCCCAGCTACTCTGGAGGCTGAGGTAGGAGAATCACTTGAATCCGGGAGGTGGAGGTTGCAGTGAGCCAATATCATGCCACTGCACTCCAGCCTGGGCAACAGAGCAAGACTCCATCTCAAAAAAGCAAAACAAAAGAAAAGACTACTTTAAAGCCTTCTACCTTCTCAATTTGTCTTCTAGATTTTCCTTGTCAATTCCAGTAAGTCTTTACATTAATTCCTTTAGTAAAGCTCAACAAACACTAAGTATATTTATATAATATTTACAAAAAGTGGTGTAAACATTGGGCAATAATTAGCACATCCCCGTGCCTCTACTCACTCAATAAGATTTTTCTTCATCCAACATTTATTGAGCGACTACTAAGTCACTCTTCTGTGTCCTATGGAGTGCAAAGATGACTAAGACATGGCATTTTGGTTGTGTGCCAAATTTAAAAAATTTATAGAGTCGGTTCTATTATTCTATCACCTAACAATAGTATCATCACCTAATCATCACTGTTATTGCTGAACTTTATTGAGCGCATACTATGTTTATGGTGTAGGTAGTGAGCTGTAGATGAATAAGACATGGATTCCTTCCTTGAAGAACTATTTCTGTGGTTGGGGAGGCTGAATATATCTACAACAATAACACATCCACAGCATACAAAGTAAAATGTACTGGAGTATCCTACAGGACAAGCACTTCATTTTTCTGAGTTAAGTGGCAACAATAACCTCTTTTTATTTTTTACTTATTTATTTTTTTGAGATGGAGTTTTGCTCTTGTTGCCAAGGCTGGAGTGCAATGGTGCAATCTCAGCTCACTGCAACCTCTGCCTCCCAGGTTCAAGCGATTCTCCTGCCTCAGCCTCCTGAGTAGCTGGGATTACAGGCCTGCACCACCACACCCAGCTAATTTTTGTATTTTTAGTAGAGACAGGGTTTCACCATGTTGGCCAGGCTGGTCTCAAACTCCTGACCTCAAGTGATCTGCCTGCCTCAGCCTCCCAAAGTGCTGACGTTACAGGTGTGAGCCACCGTGCCTGCCTTAATGTAGTGTTTTCTAAAGCAGAGTCTGAAAACTTTTTAGAGAGAGTCTCATGACCATGCTACTTCAGGAAGGCCCTGACTTCTCTCCCTAAAGTAGGCACCCTCTCCTTCTGCCTTACCAGCCACATCACACTGATTTATTTCCTTCCCAGCGCTTACCACTATCTGAAGTTATTTACTTGCTTGTTGTCTGTCTTTCTACCTGAAAGGTAAGCTGCATGACCTTGGACAGGGATTTAAGTTTCTTTATCCTTCTCTATTCCAAAGCTTAAAATGAATGGGTAAAGTCAGCATAAAAGTCATTCATATGGCCATTCCTGAACACTTTCTAGATTCACTCAAGAGTTACTGAGCTCATATTAATAGTAGCTTATGTTCATTGAGTGTTTTAAATATTTAATGTAATCTCATTTTATCCTTAAGACAACCCTTTGAAGTAAGTACTATTTGCATCCCCATTTTACAGATGAAGAATGTGAGACTTGGCATGTTGTCTCCATGCATATAGTGGAGGACCGGCATTCAAAGCCATATCATGGGCCAGGCATGGTGGCTCACGCCTGTAATCCCAGCACTTTGGGAGGCTGAGGCAGGTGGGTCACCTGAGGTCAGGAGTTCAAGACCAGCCTGGCCAACATGCCAAAACCCTGCCTCTGCTAAAAATACAAAAATTAGCCGGGAGTGGTGGTGCACGCCTGTAAGCCCAGCTACTCAGGAGGCTGAGGCAGGAGAATCGCTTGAACCCGGTAGGCAGAGGATGCAGTGAGCCGAGATCGCACCACTGCACTGCAGCCTGGGTGACAGAGTGAGACTCTGTCTCAAAACAAAACAAAAGCCATATAATACCTTCTGATCAGTGGTGAATGAAAAAGAAAGAAAGAAAGAGAGAGAAAGAAGGAAAAGAAAGGAAGAAAGAGAAAGAAAGAAAAGAGAGAAAGAAAGAAAGAAAAGAAAGACAGCCAAAGCCCATCAGTTCGTCCAAAGCCTGTGAACTACTGACGAGATAGGTCAGGCCCCTTAAATGGAAGAAAAGAAGCACCGCTGCTATTTTCTCTGGAAGAGTGGGCTGGGGAACATTTTGGGGACAGAAAGTGATACTGGAATTGTACTACAGGAAAATCAGCCAATGAGGATGGATTGGATGTGTCAACTCCTCCCTACTGTCCCCAAAGAAATGTCAATGTTTGAACACTGCTGTGCCCAGGAGTCATGGCTCCAGTTGCATCCTGGGGATTTCAATTGGAGCATACATTTAGTAGAAGAGGAAACTTGGTTCTGTTGCGAAGAGCACTGGACTAGGAGTTAGGAAACTTGTGATTTACTTTCGGTTACGTCATAGCTGTGTGTCTGTTTCCTTTCTAGTGAAATGAAGTGGCTAGACTGGCCAATCACTATGAACAAATGTTGAGAGTCTATATTTTAATATAACTGCTTAATTTGATATAACAAGATATTGCCAAAGTGCAATTACTGTATATTCTTGAATATAACGACATTTAAATGTTTTTGCCAATTTGAATATATAAACTTTAAAAAATAGAGCTAAAATAGACAAATGTTTATAATTGTATTACAAAAATTTAAATTAAAAAATAAAAGTAACATATTAAAATAAATGGTATAATTTAGAAATATTTATTCCTAATGTCAGATTTCATGGAAAACAGTTTTATTAATTTTTTCACTTGCATATTTGACATCACTAGAGTCATTTTTTGAGTAATTTAATACACTTTTTAAGGGCACATTGTTTTTATTTCTAAGTTATTTGAGATAGAAAAACGTAAAATATTTTTTTATTATGGAAATTTCTTAACATACACAAAATAGAGTATGTTATAATAAACCCCTATGTACCCATTACGTAGTTTCAATAATTAACACTGTTTTTGAATATTGTTTCATCTAGGCACCCCCCAATCCTAATTTTTGGGCATCCTGTAGGACAAATTTGTTTTAAAGAAACTGCCAGATACCATGTCATTTTACCCATAAATACCTCAGTATGCATCTCTAATTGCTAAGGATTTTTAAAAAGCCACATAATTATCATGTCATAATTACACCAAACAAAATTTACAATTATTCTTTCTTTCTTTCTTTTTTCTATAGAGATGGAGTCTTCCTAGGTTGCCCAGGCTGGTCTTGAACTCCTGATCTCAAACGATCCTCCCACCTCAGCCTCCCAAAGTGCTAGGATTACAGGCATGAGCTGTCATGCCCTGCCACAATTATTCTTTAATGCCCACTAAATACATGTTTCCCTAATTGTCTCAAAAACATATTTTTACAGTTGATTTGTTCAAATTAGGACTTAAACAAGAGCCTCACATTGCATTTGGGAGTTAGGTCTTGAAGGAAACCAAAATACTGATGAATGTTAAGTAAAAGACAATGAAAACGCAGAGGAATGATCTGCCTCAGGCTCTGTTTGCCTGGCGGCGGGGACATCAACCCTTCCTTACTGGAGAAGGCACTAGCAGGCAACAGAGAAATCTGGGAACAGATTTTACTATCTTCCCACATTTTCCTGACTTTAAAAAGACCACAACTGCTTTCTCCTTTCTCTGGCCACTGTATAGCATGTATGGCTCTTTGTTAAAATTCTATTTAAGCAAAGCCCCCAAACCACTGCGTTGAGAGAGAAATACTTTTGAACTGAGACCTCTCCTGCATGATGGGTATGGCTCATGTTCATAAACTTCTGCTTGTTTTTCTTTTGTTAATTTACCTTTTTTTTTTTTTTAGGAGAGTGTCTCAACTAAGATCTTAAAAAGGGGAAGAAAATAACTTATGTTTTCTCCCCTACAGTCTGTTTGTCTCTGTTATTCTTCATCAATAGACCTTGTCCTCTCTCCCTTTTAGAAACACCATTTATTTGTCAGGAAAATTCGGTAAAATATCCCATATTGCAGATTAAGAGGCTTGCTTCAACTCAGAATAAATTATTTTTGGCAAGGTTCTTTGATAGGTGGTGCTGAACGTGCTCTTCCTCTAGCATCACACTTTGAGTAAGGCGCATCCTCTGGCTCTCCCACTTGTGGGGAATGTAAGATTGATGAGTGGGTTCAGGTGAGGTCAGCCCTGATCCCTCAACGTTAGTTCCAATCCACCTTTCACCAGATGGTTTCAACAACCAGTCTTGTTCACTGCCTAGATACCATTATTTTATTAGATTCTATTATTTTGTTAGGAGTAAGACAGGGTCCCTTTGAACCTGTGTTTGATGTTGTCACTGGAAATTATCACGAGCCATCAGAACCCATTCATGTCATGTAAAAGTAGGAACTTAAAAAAAAAAATTCATCCTGTACGTGTACTTTTACCTTTACAATACAATCACTATGTGGTTTATTGCGTTTTGTGTTTATGTTTTGCTTTTTTTTTTTTGAGACGGAGTCTCCAGGCTGGAGTGCAGGGGTGCGATCTTGGCTCACTGAAAGCTCCGCCTCCCGGGTTCACGCCATTCTCCTGCCTCAGCCTCCCGAGTAGCTGGGACTACAGGCGCCCGCCACCACACCAGGCTAATATTTTGTATTTTTAGTAGAGACGGAGTTTCACCGTGTTAGCCAGGATGGTCTCGACCTCCTGCCCTCGTGATCTGCCCACCTTGGCCTCCCAAAGTGCTCGGATTACAGACGTGAGCCACCGCGCCCAGCCATGTTTTGCTTTTTAAAATAAAGTTTAGGGCTGGGCATGGTGGCTCACACCTGTAATCCCAGCACTTTGAGAGGCAGACGCTGGTGGTCAGTTGAGGCCAGGAGTTTGAGACCAGCCTGGCCAACATGGCAAAACCCCTTCTATACTAAAAATACAAAGATTTGCCAGGTGTCGTGGTGTGCACCAGTAGTCCCAGCTACTTGGCAGGCTGAGGCACAAGAATCACTTGAACCCGGGAGGCAGAGGTTGCAGTGAGCCAATTGCGCCACTGCACTCCAGCCTGGGTGACAGAGTGAGATTCTGTCTCAAATAAATAAATAAATAAATAAAATAATGTTTAAAGCTTTAGAACAACACCTAGCATTTAGGATTATGAGATTATATTCCCAAGAATAATTACTAAATCTGTTTTGAATTTCTTATTCCTTTCCTTCGCTTAACCTATTAATTTTGGTAGGGAGAACTCTGTACTTTTCCCATTCTAGCATATATTGAGAGAGAGAGAGAGAGAGAGTGTGTGTGTGTGTGTGTGTGTGTGTGTGTATGTGAGAGAGAGAGAGAGAGAGAGTGTGTGTGTGTGTGTGTGTATGTGAGAGAGAGAGAGAGAGAGAGAGAGAGAGAGAGATGGAGTCTCGCTCTCTTGCCCAGGCTGGAGTGCTATGGCCCTACCTAGGCTCACTGCAACAACCTCTGCTTCCTGGGCTCAAGTGATTCTCGTGCCTCAGCCTCCCGAGTAGCTGGGATTACAGGTGTGAGCCACCACGCCCGGCTAATATTTGTATTTTTTGTAGAGATGGAATTTCACCATGTTGGCCAGGCTGGTCTCGAACTCCTGAGCTCAAGTGATCCGCCCGCCTTGGCCTCCCAAAGTGCTGGGATTACAGGTGTGAACCACCGTGCCCGGCCCCAATACGTTTTCCTTGCCCAGTTCTTTGTTGAGAAAATAAAGCAATTGAGAAAGCACCTCTTAAGATGGGTTCTTTTAAGAGCTTGCATATACGGTAACCTTTACTGAAGAATAATTTTTTGGGGAAAATCATGCCTCATACTCAGTCATTTATAGTACTTCACTGGAAACTATTTTTTTTAACTTAGTTTCATGCAACACAAATCAGGAATAAACTTTGAAGAGGCGAAAAAACGTAAAAAAAATAGGGTTCTATTTGGCTTTCCACCAACGTTTTATAATTATGTTGCTCCTTGTATAACACCAGTTAAGACCTCATCCGAGAGATTTTTTTTTTTAAATTTCAACTTGTGTCGCAGTTCGAGTTGCTGGGCTCCGCTAGGCCGAGCCCCGCAGCCCTCCAGCCGCTGCCAACCTGCGCCCCCTGGTGGCCTGGTTGCCGGCCGCACGCGCTCTGGCTCCGCCGTCTGGAGCGCCACCTGGCCCGAGGGCGGGAGGGAGACTGTGGAGCAGTTCCAGACCCGCTTGTGGACCTGCACAACTACGTCATCCTCTGCAACACTGACCAGAAAGCTCAGCAACGGCAGCATTCTCAACAGGAAAGCCCATCGCAGGCTGCGCTTCTGTGTCCCCGAGACGACTGTCCGCAAGGTGGTGGCCAGCACGCCCGGGGCCATCGAGCCTGTCCTATACCACTGAGGACAATGCTGTCCACACAGACCCGCCCGGCGCAGCTGTGTCAGTGTAAATCCTAGTCTGCGGCCGGGCTACTGACATTTGCATGTGATTGACTAATCTATGAGAGAGAAAACAAACACAAGAAAGAAATACATGGTGATGAAGCCCCTGCTCCACCCTCCTCCTAAAAGATTCCACTGTTAGGAACAGCTGGTGTCTTTCTTTCCCTGGTAGAAAGCTCTGATACAACTATGCTAGGCTTTATTATCTATGCTTCCCTTATTTTTCTTACCCTTCTCCTGACTATTTTTCTCTTTCCTTGAGTTTTTCATCTAAAAACAGACATATCCTATTGTAGTCTGTTTATGTAAGCAACCTCAAATCCTTTTAGAAATGAAGGGAGGGTAGAAACACATAAACCAATGAAAATACATGTGAGTACATGTTTACAAAGTAGGTTTAACATTTTACTAATAATTTTCATGGCTACGTGTGGTGACTCATGCCCAGCACTTTGGGAGGCCAAGGTAGGAGGATTGCTGGAGCCCAGGAGTTCAAGACCAGCCTGGGCACCATAGTGAGACCCTGTCTACAAAAAATAAAATTAGCGTGGCTTGGTGGCACACACCTGTAGTCCCAGCTACTCGGGAGACTGAGGCACGAGAATCGCTTGAACTGGGGAGGTGGAGGTTGCAGTGAGTGATGATTGCGCTACTGCACTCTAGCCTGGGCAACAGAGAGACCCTGTCTCAAAAAAAAAAAAAAAAAAAGCAGTTGGAACCCTTAATAGTAAACACTTCCTTAACAATTACTTAAACATTTTTGTTTATGTTTGTTTGTTTGAGACGGAGTTTCGCTCTTGTCCCCCAGGCTGGAGTGCAATGGCATGATCTCGGCTCACAGCAACTTCTGCCTCCTGGGTTCAAGCGATTCTCCTGCCTCAGCCTCCTGAGTCGCTGGGATTACAGACGCCCGCCACCACACCCAGCTAATTTTTGTTATTTTTAGTAGAGATGGGGTTTCGCCATGTTGGCCAGGCTGGTCTTGAACTCCTGACCTCAGGTGATCTACCTGCCTTGGCCTCCCAAAGTGTTGGGATTACAGGCATAAGCCACCGTGCCCAGCCACATTTTTTTTAATTCACAGAAATTTAAGCAGAATCTTAATTCCTAAATTCTTAGAATTAATAATGGATTTCATTTATAGTGCTGTGTTTTGGACACTGTGCAGAGTGCTTTCCTTGTATTATTTAACTTTCCTCTAACAACTTTTTGAAGCAAGAACTCAGTCGTGAAAATACTTAGTTGCAGAGAGCCTAAATAAACTTGCCTTAGATCAGAAGTTAGAGCCAAAATTTCGTTCCGGGAACTCTGATTCCAGAGCCAGTGGTCTCAGCCATTAAATGATATGATAGCAGTTCCCAAACTTGTCTGCTTCAAAAAATGCTGATGCCTGTGTCCCTTCCCCAGAGATTGTGACTTAATTGGTCTGAGATGTGGCCTGGGACTTGTAGTTTGTAAGAGATCTCCAGGTGATTCTAATCTGTGGACAAATTTGGAAACCACTATAACACTGCTTTGCTTGGGACATTAGCTAACAACAGCCACCTGAGAGCTATTTCATCCTGCCAATTAGTGAGATAACCTCAAAAGTGTGTTTTCTAAAATAAAGAGTGAAAACTTTACCTATAGGAGAAATTATAGTATGAAAGAGCAATAGCAAAGAGTTATTCATTCACATTATCAGTACTTATAGATGGTCTTTTAGGACTGATTCAGTTTTTTACTGACTCTCTAACCTGTGTCAGGTCATAAAGCTGAAAGGCAAGGTTGGTAATACATAAAAAGCCCATAGAATAAGTGCTGCAACTTTCATGGGTGACAGCACGGCTGGCTGTGAGGGACATTTTTGTAGACTACTCTCCCTTTTCCCTTAGGTCTGGAACAACAGAAAATATCTGAATTTAAAAGTTCCATTTACTTTTTTTTGTTTAAATTCATAGCCTGCCTCCCACTGGAGTGTAAACTTTTTGAGAAGAGAGACCTTCGTCATTTGTGTTCTCTCCATACTGGCACCATGCTTGCCTATAGGAGCCAAATCACAAGTTCGTTGAATAGTTAATTGTGTTTCCTACAGTGCTCTATTTAAGCCATTGATACACTGAAGTTGTAACCAATAATTGTAACTACCATTCATCTACCATATGCAAGATGCTATACATATATATGTAAGTGATGTACATGTATACACTAATCTTGTTTTATTACTAATTCTCTTTTTTTTTTTTTTTTTGAGATGGAGTTGTTTCTCTCTTGTTGCCCAGGCTGAAGTGCGGTGGTGCAATCTTGGCTCACTGCAACCTCCGCCTCCCAGGTTCAAGCAATTCTCCTGCCTCAGCCTCCCAAGTAGCTGGGATTACAGGCACACACCACTATGAGTGGCTAATTTTTGTATTTTCAGTAGAGACAGGGTTTCACCATCTTGGCTAGGCTGATCTCGAACTCCTGACCTCAGGTGATCTGCCTGCCTTGGCCTCCCAAAGTGCTGGGATTACAGGCATGAGCCACTGCACGAGGCTGTTTATCAGTAATCTTTACACAGACCTATTAATCCTCCTATCTGAGAAGGGAAAACTAAATCCCTGAGAAATTAATTTACCCAAGATTGTACAGTGGAGTAAGCAACAAAACTGAGGTTTGAGCCAGGTCTGTCTGATGCTGTAGCGCACCCACTTTTCTTTACCAAAAACATTCTAGACAATGTTATTTCAAAACTCTTGGATGGGATTAAAAACTCCCAAGAAAAGACTCTGGAGCAATCCATCATTATAAGGCCTATGGGATCACCTACATTTTTCCACATTAAAACAAAAAAACAAAAAAACCCAGCTTATAAACGAGATTTTTCATTAGCTTAACCATTTCTTCTGTTTTGGACATTTCAGGATTACCTAATTTCCCACTGTTAAAGATACCACAATGAAGATTTTTCTGCATAAATCTTTGCCCACACTTGAATTATTTCTTTAGGGTCCATTTCTATAAATAGAATTGGACTAAGACATGTAAACATTACTGACACTATCAAATTATTTTTCATAAAATATACTAATTTAGACTTTTACCAGCAATGCACAGAAGGACTCATTTCATCTTACCCTTCCAACATCTTTATACTTTGCAAAAAAATTTTGCCAATTTGCCAGTTTAAAGAAAAATCTCATTTTTTGCATTGTTTTGATTATAAGCAAGTTTGAGCGTTCTCTTTCTGTTTTTTTTACCTTTCCTGTAGTGCTGATGAACTTTTACTTATGTTAGTTATTAGCCCTTTATATATCTTCATATGTGAATTCTGTTCTCATCCTTTGTCTATTTAATTTTGACACTTACCTTAGTGTTTTTCTTATAATCTGTACATTTATACTCTTCAAATGTTAAGACTATTAACCCTTTATCATATTTATTGCCAAATATTCCTCCAAATTTTTCTGTCATCTTTAAGGTTTAATTTTTGACACAGAAATTTTAAGTATTTTAATCTATTTATATTGTCCTTTATATCTTTTGCCAGCTTTAACTCTAGAAGATTAAAATCCAGGGATCAAGTAGATATTCTCTTATTTCCTCTAATTCAGTTTTTAAAATACTTAACTCCTTGATTTACCTTTGGTTTATTTTGGTACATACTATGATATATTTCAGTTGGCCATTTCCCCAAATATTTTTTTCTAACTCCTTTCTCTTTTAATTTGTGATGCTATCTTAATCATATCTTTGATTCCTGTTGAATCTAATTTTTGCTTTTACTTTTGTTTTCTTTTAGCAAATCCTGTTTCCTGTGACTTTGTAAGGAAATGGTAAGACATAGTTATAGTACTATTTTCACAGACCTAAACTAATAGGCCAGCCAATCTGGATGGGGCAGATTCATTTGACGTGGGTCTACCTTGGGGTTTTCAAAAAGGACATTCCTAGGCTTTCCCTTTGTCATAAGGTCCTTTTCTTTCTTTTCTTTTCTTTCTTTCTTTTTTTTTTTTTTTGAGACAGAGTCTCGCTCTGTTCCCCAGACTGGAGTGCAGTGGCGTGATCTCGGCTCACTGCAACCTCTGCCTCCCGGGTTCAAGTGATTCTCCTTCCTCAGCCTCCTGAGTAGCTGGGATTACGGGCATGTGCCACCACACCCAGCTAATTTTTGTATTTTTAGTAGAGATGGGGCTTCACCGTGTTGGCCAGGATGGTCTCGATCTCCTGACCTCGTGATCTGCCCGCCTCTGCCTCCCAAAGTGCTGGGATTACAGGGGTGAGCCATCGTGCCTAGCTGGAGAACACTTCTATTCACTTAGTTTTTTACTTGTTTGCTAGGTACTTGACTTGTTACTTAGTAGATCTGAACCTTTAAGGGATTTGGGATTCTGCACTGACAATCTTGAATCACAGATTTTGTGAAGCTCCAGTTCAACGTATCCCAATCTCCCTTGCCTCTAATTCAAGTACGGTAGCTAATGACTTTTCAAGAAAGTACCCTTTATGAAAAAAAGAAAAGAAAAAAGTATATGTGTACATGTGCATATAATGCACAACAATAAATGCATCCTGAATACCGATGCTTACCCTTTGTTTGGCTAAGATAGAGTTAGAAGAGGAGACAGAATACAGGTTGAGCATCCCTAATCTGAAAATCTAAAATCCCAAGTGCTCCAAAATCTGAAACTTTTTGAGCATGGGCATAACACCACAAGTGGAAAATATCACACATAAGAACTTACCACAAACTTTGTTTCACACACAAAATTATTTAAAATATTATATAAAATTACCTTCAGGCTATGTGTGTAAGATGTATGTAAAACATAAATGAATGTTGTGTTTAGACTTGGGTCTCATCCCCAAGATACCTCATTATGTATGTACAGATATTTCAAAATCTGAAAATATCAAAAATTCCAAATAGTTCTAGTACCAAGCATTTTGGATAAAAGATACTCATCCTATAAAATCATTAGGGAGAAATACCAAGGGTTCATATCAATGGTTCCTGTAGGTGAAAAGTAAATAATACCAGATTTTATTTTCATCTACTTTTTAAAGAAGTGGGTCAAAACCATTCATATTTATTATTATTGTTTAGCTCATTTACATGTATGGTTATTATTCAGACTTATTTTGTATTTTATGTTTTAATATTTATTTTTAAAATTTTATTGTAGAGATAGATCTCACTACGTTGCCCAGGCTGGTCCCAAATTCCTGGCCTCAGGTGATCCTTCTAACTCAGCCTCCTGAAGTGCTGGCATTATAGGTGTGAACCACCACACCTGGCTGTATTTACCATGCTTCTAGATTTTTCCCCCTTCCTTATTCAGGCAGCAAATACTACTACCTTATTTTTGTGTAATGGTTTTCAGTTAAAAAAAAATAGGTTTTCTCACAAGAATTCTGAAAAGTAGATAGGACAGATATATCAACTAGATTTTACCGAGAGAAAATGAAATTCAGCAAAATTATGTCACTTTCCCAAGGTTGTCAGGTGGCTGAGGAGTAGAGCGGGTAGAATTAACATTTACTGAATATTACCAAGTATCCACTCAAAATACCACAGTACTTAAAATAAATAATGTATGCTGAGTGAGCAAGCTTTCCTGTGACTGGATAGTTTGTGTCCCATAAATTTTTATACTTAAAAAGGCTGTGACGAGTGTGGTTTCAAAAAAGTTTTTCGTTATTGTTATTTCTTACTGCTTCTTGTTTCTCTTTGATCTGTTAATTCGGGGTCATCATGTAAGGAAATTGTGCCATCTCCATTATCTATCCCTGTATCCTTTAAAAAGTTCGTTTTTATGCAAATGTGCTGTGCCTAATTAGCCCGGTATGGTGTCCGTAGTCCCAGCTACTCAGGAGGCTGAGTTTGGGTAGTAGTTCGAGGCTGCAGGGAGCTGTGATCATGCCATTGCACTCCAGCGTGGGGAACATAGTGAGACTCTATCTCTAACAGAAAAAAAAAAAAGGCTGAGAGGTTATACAAATGTGCAACCTTGGTAGCTGCTGACTATTGAGTCCCCTCTCCCCTACTGCCTCCTCCCACGGTGCATCAATCACCACTTAATTAGGAAGGCCATTTCTTCACATCATGCCTTGTATGTGCTGTGTCAGTGACTGAATCCTACCTGACATCAGGGCTAGGGCTTATTCTAAAAGAGTTTGGAGCCCATTAAAGAGCTCAGGCAAGTGTTAGGGGGATGCTTTTCCTTATCACCTGCCTCATTATACATTGAAGCATTTCCTTTGAGTAATTCTCCTGGCCTCTTGCCTCACTCTTTAATTAGACTTTCTGTGGGGTAGGAGTGACATCTGTTTGATAGGTTTGGGAGAGAGAATTGGTCCCTTCTGGGACCCTTTTTCTTTGGGGCCTGCCTGTCTACAGTGATCTGTAAGATGGTGCATCAATCTGTACAAGGATCTTTGTGATCTACTCTCTATCACATAGCAAGTTTAGTCCCTACAGGAGGAGGCCTGCAGCTTTGGGATGTCAGTTCAATTCGGGGGTGTCAGGGATTCAAACTACTCATTTCGATATGGTTTTGTCAACAACATATAGTATTTTTATTCTATTTGTCTGACTCCTGTGCCTATTTTTCAGTTGGTTTCTAAAGATGGTAGACCAAAAGAGTTGTCATGTATTGGCCCCGTCAGACTCCAACCAAGGCCATACACAGTTGTAATATGAGTCACCACAACATAGGTGGTGTATTAGTCTGCATAGGATAGACAATGCTACATTAACAAACAAGACACAGAACTCTCAATGACTTAACACAATAAAAGTTTATTTATTTCTCCCTCCTGCCAGAGTCTAGTGTGAATTGATTGGCCCTCCTCTACCTTGTAGCTCTGCTGTCTAGGATATGTGGCTTCTAGGTCCCTGCAACAAGGAAAGAGAAAAGTGGAAGAGACGCACTAGCTCTTATGTGGTACCCAGTACTCTTGCTGAAATTAGACGTGACAGTTATGTCACTCCAAACAACTGCAAAGGAGGCTGGGAAACATAGGGCAACACATGGACACTTGGAGGGCACAAACTCTCTCTGCTGCAAGTGGATTAAGAAAAATTAGGGAAGGTTCAAGGGAGCAGAGTGAGGCACAGAGGGGATTGAGTGGTACCAAAAGTGTATTTTGCCTATTTCATAGTTTTTCCAAAGCCAGATATTCTGTCTGAAATTTGTCTGTACAATCTCTTCAGAATCCAGTGCCACCAAGCCATCTACAAATGACCTTAATAGACTGATTGAGGTTTTTCCTGTTAACAAGTGTGCATTTTACCTCAGGTCTTCTGGAGACAATATGTTCTTTGGTTGCATAATTTATTGTGTTCATTTTATTATGTGCTATATTAGTAATTCTAGAAGTGAGAATGTTGGGTACAAAGAATGTTTGGATACTTTGAGCCTTTCAGCACTCTTCAAATCACATCAAATACAGCATTGGTTTTAGTTCTTTTTTTTCCCCCCTCCTATGAGCAGGAGTCATCTAATGTAACCACATTTCTTAAGCATTCTCTTTGAATTAATCAGCTGCTATTTGTTAGTTTTTCTTCTAGGAAGAGAACCCCAAATCTTTCAAAGCCTAAAAAGCAATGGGGAACTCCAGACAGGTAAGGCAATATTGTATGGTCCTGTTTGTGATGATTGTGTTCATTACATAAAACAGGTAAGTATTATTTATCCATCCACCTCTACTTAACTAGATCCTCTGAACCAATATTGTCACCTCATTGTAGTCAGCATGTAAAAGGCTAACCCTTGGTCAGTGGTTCTTAAATTTGGCTGTACATTGGAATCACCTGGGGAACTTTAATAATGACTGAGTGCTTTCCCCAAAAATCCTGATTTAGTTGATATGGGGTGTGCCATAGACTTGGGGAGTTAAAAGCTCCCCAGATGATTCTATAGGCGGACAGACTTGAGAACCACTGCTCAGGGGTGTGACTGCACACTCTTTTGAAACTTTTTGTGCATTCTCCAAGTCCAGCTTTGCTGCCTGTATCTCTAAGGCTCCTATCACTAATCCTGATACCTCTAAGCCTCTTATTAGAACACACCTGTCCTCTGGGTCTCCAGCAAGCTGGACCCTTAGTCCTTTCACGCTTGGCCAAGGGACTCCTCTTTTTCTTCTTTGGCTCCTGAGTCAAGCTTGAATATTTTTTGGATCTCCTATTGCTTTTTTTTTTTTTTTTTTTTTTTTTTTTGAGGCAGGGTTTCACTCTGTTTCTCAGGCTGGAGTGCTGTGGTGCAATCATGGCTTACTGCAGCCTTGACCTCCCAGGCTCAAGTGATTCCCCCACCTCAGCCTCCTGAGTATCTGGGACCACATGTGTGTACCACTGTGCCCAGCTAATTTTTAAATTTTTTTGTGGAGACGGGGGTTTCCCTATGTTTCCCAGGCTGGCCTCAAACTCCTGTGCTTAAGTGATCCTCCCATCTTGGCCTCCCAAAGTGTTGGGATTACAGACGTGAGCCACCATGCCTGTCCTATTGCTTTTTTTTTTTTAAACAAAATTAATATACTTTAATTTTTAGAGCAGTTTTGGGTTTACAGAAAAATTGAGCAGAAAGTAGAGTTTCCATATTTACCACCCCTCCCCTTAGTTTTTCCTACTACTAACATCTTGCATTATTGTGGTACAATTGTTAAAATTGATGAGCCAATATTGATATATTTTTACTGATTAAAGCCTATGGTTTACATTAAGGTTCACTTTTTGTGTTGTGCAGCTTTATGGGTTTGACAAATGCATAATGTATCCACCATTATAGTATCATACAGGACAGTTTCATCGCCCTAAAAATTACCTGTGTTCCAACTATTCATTTCTTTTCCTCTTTCCTCCCTCTCCAAACCCTTGGCCACTACTGATCTATTTACTGTCTCTATAGTTTTGTCTTTTCTAGAAAGTCATCTAGTTGGAACTGTACAGTACGTAATCTCTCAGATTGGCTTCTTTTACTTAGTAATATGCATTTAAGCTTCCTTTATGTTTTTTTTTTTGTCTTGATAGCTCATTTCTTTTTAAGATTATATTCTATTGATGTGGGTACTATTTAGTTGTATAGATGTATCATAGATTATCCATTTACCTATTTAAGGGCATCATGGTTGCTTCCAATATTTGTCAATTATGAATAAAGCTGCTATAAACATTCACGTGCAGGTTTTTTTGGTATATTTAAGTTTTTAGCTAATTTGGGTAAATTGCTGGATAATATGGTAAGAGTATATTTAACTTTGTAAGAAACTACTAAGCTCTTCTAAGATGACTGTACCATTTTGCATTTTAACAAGCAATGAAGGAGAGTTCCTGTTGCTCTCCATCTTTGTCAGCATTTGGTGGTGTCAGTGTTTGGATTTTAGCCATTCTAATAGGTGTGTAGTGGTATCTCATTGTTTTAATTTGCAATTCTCTAATGAACTGATGTTGAGCATATTTGCTTATTTGTATATCTTCTTTGGTAAGGTGTTTGTTCAGTTCTTCTGCCCACTTTTTAGTTGGGCTATTTGTTATTGTTGAGTTTTAAGTGTTCTTTGTATGTTTTGGATGCCAGTCCTTTATCAGATACTTGTTTTGCAAATATTGTCTCCCAGTCTATGGTTTAGCTTTTCATTCTCTTAGCAGTGTGTTTCACAAAATAGAAATTTTAATTTTTATGAAGTTCAATTTACTGATTTTTTCTTTTGTGAATCATGCTTTTGGTGTTGTTTCTAAAAACTCATTGCTAAACCCAAAGTCACCTGGATTTCCTCCTGTGTGTTTTTCTATGAAACTCCTGAAAGTTTTATATTTTTGTGTTTTATATTTACATCTAGACACATTTTGAGTTAATGTTTATGAAAGGTGCAAAGTCTGTGTCTAGATTATTTATTTTTGCATGTAGATGTCCAGTTGTTCCAGTACCATTTGTTGAAAAGACTATCATTTCTTTTTTTTTTTTTTTTTTTGAGATGGAATTTCACTCTTGTTGCTCAGGCTGGAGTGCAATGGTGCAATCTCGGCTCACTGTGACTGCAACCTCCCAGGTTCAAGTGATTCTCCTGCCTCAGCCTCCCAAGTAGCAGGGATTACAGGCAGGCACCACCACGCCTGGCTAATTTTGTATTTTTAGTAGAGATGGGGTTTCTCCATGTTGGTTAGGCTGGTCTCGAACTCCTGACCTCAGGTGATCTGCCTACCTCAGCCTCCCAAAGGGCTGGGATTACAGGCATGAGCCACCGTGCCTGGCCAGGACTATCATTTCTTGATTGGATTGCCTTCAATACTTTGGCTATATTTGTGTGGATCTACTTATAGGATCTGTATTTTATCCCACTCATCTGTCTCTTCTTTCACCAGTACCACACTGCCTTGATTACTGTAGCTTTGTAAGTCTTGAAGTAAGGTAGTGTTAGTCCTCTGACTTTGTTCTTGAATATTATGTTGACTATTCTGGGTCTTTTGTCTTTCTATATAAACTATAGAATCAGTTTGTCAATATCCATGAAGTAACTTGCTAGGATTTTTACTGGGATTGCATTGAATATATAAACCAAGCCAGGAATAATTGATATCTTAATATTGAGTCTTCCTATCCATGAATATTGAATACCTCTCCACTTATATAGCTCTTTTTTGATTATTTCATTAGAGTTTTGTAGTTTTCCTCATATAGATCTTTTATGTATTTTTTTGGAATTATGCTTATGTATTTAATTTTTTGCAATGCTAATGTAAATAGCATTGTGTTTTTTATTTCAAATTCCGATTGTTCTTTGTTGGCATACAAAAATCAGTGGACTTTTGTATATTAATGCTGTATCTTGCAACTTTGCTATGCTCTAAAGACTAAGTTTTAAGAGGCTTAAAACTGAAAATATAGTATGCATTAAATTGTCTCTTATTCATGGATAGGAACACACACATATTTATTGAGTAGAGGTATACACTGATAAGAGAGATGTTAATGAATATTATTAGAACTGTCAAAATCTTGGAACACTCAACCCACCCTATTTGAAAACAATAGAAAAATTGGAGACATTATTTGATTAGGGAGTAAAGTTTAGAAAAGTTAAGTAACTTACCCAATTCAACTTGGATTTGAATCTACATCCATTGCCCACAAAGCCTGCTTCTTTCCATTATATCACCCTGTCTATTTTAGAAAGGCACAATTCCTTTGATGGCATGGAAAACCAGAGGCAAGAAGATAATTTGGGGCTATTAAAATAATGCAGGAGAGAAATAGTGATAGCCTATCCTAACACATTGGCCTTAAGGGTTGAGACAAAGGTTAGAGTCAAAACATAGATGGACAGGACCTAGTGACAAATGAATTATAGAAGTCTGAGGAAGGAGTAAAATATGATTTCTAGTTTTCTGTCTTTAGAAATAAGGTAGAAAATGCTATTATGACTGCGAAAGAAAATACAAGAGGGGGATAGGTTTGGGAGGAAGATACATTAGGTCATGCAGATGATTTTGAGACATTCAGTAAGTATCTGGAAATATGGATTTGGCAGTCAGGAGACTACTTGAGAATAACTGGACAGACTCATTTGGGATTTGCCAGTATTTAGTAATAATCAAATAACATTGAGGATGGGCACAGTGGCTCATGCCTGTAATCTCAAGACTTTGGGAGGCTGGAATGGGTGGATCACTTGAGGTCAAGAGTTCGAGACAGCCTGGCCAACATGGCGAAACCCCATCTCTACTAAAAATACAAAAAATTAGCCAGGCGTGGTGGCACGCACCTGTAATTCCAGCTACTTGAGATAGGTTGTGGCAGGAGAATTGCTTGAACCTGGGAGGTGGCAGTTGCAGTGAGCCGAGATTGTGCCACTGCAATCCAGCCTGGGCGACTGAGAGAGACTCCATCTCTAAATAATAAAAATAATAATAATATTGAAGATATTGGAAGCCTGGAGCACGTGCTATTGTTTGAGTTGTGAAAGAAATGCTAAACAGAGAGAGGCCGGGTGTGGTGGCTCACGCCTGTAATTCCAGCACTTTGAGAGGCCAAGGCGGGTAGATCACTTGACGTCAGGAGTTTGAGACCAGCCTGGCCAACGTAGTGAAACCCCGTCTCTAATAAAAATACAAAAATTAGCCAGGCATGGTGGCACGTGCCTGTAGTCCCAGCTATTCGGGAGGCTGAGGCAGGAGAATTGCTTAAGCCTGGGAGGCTGAGGTTGCAGTGAGCTGAGATCATGCCACTGCACACCAGCCCAGGTGACAGAGGTGACAGAGGGAGACTCTGTCTCAAAAAAAAAAAAAAGAAAAGAAAAGAAAAGAAACAAACAAACAAAAAACAAACAGAGAGAGCTGCTAGAAGAGAACCAGGAAAGAGAGAGTCTCAAAGGCCAGCGAAGAAAATTATTAAAAGAAAGATGGATCCTATGAGGAAACATTCAAAGAATTTGTGGTTGGCCAGATTAGACTGGCAAAGAAAGTTTGAAGGCTGATTTCTAAATTCAAAAAGTACATAAAGCATTTTAAAGAGATGAAAGCTAAATAAATGTTATGATGGGAGAGATTATACGAATTTCAGAACAACAAAACTCTGGAAATGGAAATGAGAGCTGTTTTGTGTTTTCTAAATCTGGAAATCTGAAACAGACTAGAGTTTTAGCTGTGCAGAATGGGGTGATTGAACACTGAACCCCCAAGAATCCTTCTAGTTCCATTATTCTAGAATTCTGTGGGTAATTGTGATGGTGTCAGACTTGGTTCTATTTCATGGATCCATCAGACAGGTGTGGTATGGATAAAGATCCTATCCTCTGGGGTCAAGTCCTGGATATGGACCATAGAAGATTACATTTTTATTTTCTTGATATTACTAGCCATGTAACTGCTAAACAGGTAATTTTTAAAATGCTGTCAGTAAAGTGGTACATTATCTGTTTATAATATGCTACTTTAGCCTGTTGGTTAGCCTCCCCACTTCCTGATGAAGTTTACCTCCAAATTTTTCTTTTTTTTTTCTTTTTGAGATGGAGTTTCCTTTTGTCGCCCAGGCTGGAGTGCAGTAGTACGTTCTTGGCTGACTGCAATCTCCACCTCCCAGTTCCAAGTGATTCTTCCACCTCAGCCTCCCAAGTAGCTGGGATTACAGGCATCCACCATCATGCCCGGCTAATTTTTGTACTTTTGTAGAGACAGGGTTTCACCATGTTGGCCAGGCTGGTCTGGAACTCCTGATCGCAGGTGATCCACCTGCCTTGGCCTCCCAAACTGTTGTTGGGATTACAGGCATGAGCCACCACGTCCAGCCACCAAATTTTTCTTGACTGTAGAGTCTCTGCTGTTTCTCACCCCACTGGTCTTTTCCTTCTAACTTACTTTAAGCCAAATATCCTGCTTTGTACATTATCCTCAGTGACTTTTGTTCATACTCTGTGTTTTCTAGTTCTTGTGGCCAAAATTTGTTTTATTTTATTAAAAAAATATTGTGGGTACATAGTAAGTTTATATATTTACTTGTGGCCAAAATTTTTAAGCAGCTAATAATCTCATGAGGGTTCAGTTCTTGGACGGCATCATTTGGACCATATTTTATGCACTTGATTTCATGGTTGTGTCTAAGGTAACCTTTGCTTTGAATTTGAAACTGGATGCAAACCCAGTATATATATACACACATTACCTCAGCTTCCTAATCCCTGACCCTCCTAACCTCTCTCCATCTGAGCTGTTATATTTACCCCTATCCAAAGACATGTTTTTCACTCTGTTATTACCACTGATAATGGCCTGGCCAAATCCTATTGTCGTTTGATTTTTTTCATCCTTTTATGATGTCTAAGTTATATTTGATGCTTTTTGATATATTTTATGGCTTATCAAAATATATTTGGTTTGATATATTTTATGCATCCTTATCTCAAACTCTTCCCCTCTTTGACTTCTATTACATGGTTTTCTCACCTCTACCCACTACTTCTTTCTTTTTTTTGAGATGGGGTCTCACACTGTTGCCCAGGCTGGAGTGGAGTGGTGTGATATTGGCTCACTGCAGCCTCCACCTCCTGGGTTCAAGGGATTCTGCTGCTTCAGCCTCCCAAGTAGCTGGGATTATAGGCATGTGCCACCACGCCTGGCTAATTTTTGTAGTTTTAGTAGAGACGAGGTTTCACCATGTTGGCCAAGCTAGTCTCGAACTCCTGTGGTGGTGCGTGCCTGTAATCCCAGCTACTCGGGTGGCTGAGGCAGGAGAAGCACTTGAATCCGGGAGGCAGAGGTTGCAGTGAGCCGAGATCGAGCCACTGCGCTCCACTCCAGCCTGGGCAACAGAGCAAGACTGTCTCAAAAAAAAAAAAAAAAAAAGAGTCATTTTTTATATTTTCACTAGCAATCAATTTTTTTTTACCATTTTATCTGTATGCTTCTTAACAGAAAACTGTTTTGGGGAAATCAAGATCCTATTCGCCCTGTTTCCCAGGGTGCTTTGAAGGCTCAGCTGACCAAAAGACTTGAGAACCTTGCCCAGCCCAAGGAAGTTTCCTGCCACTATGTACCTAACAGGTTAGTGTCTGTGTGTTATCATGTTACTTTATCAGGAGGTTTTTTGTTGTTGTTTTTTGCTTTTTGAGACAGAGTCTCACACTGTCACCTAGGCTGGAGTGCAATGGCATGATCTTGGCTCACTGCAACCTCCGCCTCCCAGGTTCATGCGATTCTCCTGCCTCAGCCTCCCGAGTAGCTGGGATTACAGTCACACACCACCACACCCAGCTAATTTTTTGTATTTTTAGTAGAGACAGGGTTTCACTATGTTGGCCAGACTGGTCTCGAGCTCCTGACATTGTGACCTGCCTGCCTTGGCCTCCCAAAGTGCTGGGATTACAGGCATGAGCCACCACACCTGGCCTTTATCAGGAGTTCTTAGGGAAAATGGACATAGAGCTTTTATCTAAAAGCCACAAATTGTTCAACGTGCAGTCAAAATTCATTGAGAATTAGGGATTCTATATCTGTTTCCAACCTGATGCTACAGGTAAGCTTTTCCAGAGCAAAATCTGATACTTAACTATTGCAGACTTGTAATATCTTATAATGCTTTGGTTTATGAGGATTAAAAAAAATAAAGTGAAGGTGTTATACAAGGATACTTCCAGAATTAGGAAGACATCTCTTCAAGATATCTTTGAAGAATTCTACAGAAGCCATTATTTTTTCAAGTTAGGGGCTCCAATTTTAGAATTAAAGACACTGTAGAAGTTCAAGAGATATCTGAAATCACCTGTTGCGACTCCTGCCGAGGACTGGCCACTCCCTTCTCTAAGTTCCCCTCACCTTGGCTTCAGTGATACTCTCCGTCCTGGCTTCTCTCCCATCTTCTTCACCTTGCCCTCTCAATATCCTTTGTGGGTTTCTCTTTCTTTGCCATTGTTGCCCAATGTCCTGTCCCTGGCTTCTTTCTCTTCCTGCTCTAAACTCTTCCCAAATGTGGAGTTGTCCTCTCATAGGAATTTTGCTTCCATTCTTGTGGTGGTGACCTCCAACTCCTGTTCCCAGCCTAAACCCCTCCTTATCTCAGAAGTATTGTCTTCCCCTGTGGGAAGGTGCTACAGGAATCTCCAACTCAACAAGTTTGTATCATTTTTTAAAAAATTGAGATGATGTCTTGCTATGTTGCCCAGGCTGGTCTCGAACTCCTGGGCTTAAGCAGTCCTTCTGCCTTAGCCTTCCAAAGTGCTGGGATTACAGATGTGAGCCACTGTACCTGGCCAGCATGTTTGAAACTGAACTACTTTTTATTTTTTTGGAGACAGAGTCTTGCTCTGTTACTCAGGCTGGAGTGCAGTGGCCTGATCTCGGCTTACTGCAACCTCCACCTCCTGGGTTCAAGTAATTCTCTTGCCTCAGCCTCCCCAGTAGCTGGGATTACAGGTGTGAGCCACCATGTCTGGCTACTTTTTGTATTTTTAGTAGAGACAGAGTCTTGCCATGTTGGCCAGGCTGGTCTCAAACTTCTGACCTCAAGTGAGCCACCCACCTGGGCCTTTCAAAGTGCTGGGATTACATGCATGAGCCATCACGCCTGGCCAGACATGCTTTTTAATCTAATGTTGAGGTGGATATTTGCTTCAGAATGATATTTACAGGCTACAATCATTGGTGTATTTATTTACTTGTAAAAGTTTATTCAAGAAGATGAATTAAATAATATTTTCAAATTTCTTAATGAAGATCACTTCATTTTTTTGAACACAAGAACGCCAGTTGTACATGATTAATCTTCTTTCTAGAAAATATAGAAATGATCTTTGCATGTTTGGTGACATTTTATCATTATGTTTGGTGGCATGTTACTATTAAATTTAATTCAGCAAATATTTTGCTACAACAGAATACCTGAAGCTGGGTAATTTACAAAGAGAAGAGGTTTATTTAGCTCATGGTTCTATAAACAGAGAAGTATAAGAAGCATAGCGCTGGCATCTGCTCGGCTTCTGGTGAGGGCTTTTCATGCTACCTCATAACATGAAGAAGAAAGTCAAAGGGAAAGCAGGCATGTGCAAAGAGGGAAAACCAAGGGGCATCCTGGTTTCATAACAACCCATTCTCATGGGCACATTCCTGTTAAAACTAATCCAGTCTCAAGAGAGTGAGAACTCACTCACTACCGAGAATGGCACCAAGCCATTCATGAAGGATCCGTCCCCATGACCCAACACCTCCCATTAGGCCTCAACTCCCAACACCACCATACTGGAAATCAAATTTCTTTTTCTTTTTTTATTGAGATGGAGTCTTCTTCTGTTGCCCAGGCTGGAGTGCAGTGGCGCCATCTTGGCTCACTGCAACCTCCACCTCCGGGTTCAAGCGATTCTCCTGCCTCAACCTCCTGAGTAGCTGGGATTACAGGCGCCCACCACCATGCCCAACTAATTTTTGTATTTTTAATAGAGACGGGGTTTCATCATGTTGGCCAGGCTGGTCTTGAACTCTTGACCTCAGGTGATCTGCCTGCCTCGGCCTCCCAAAGTGCTGGGATTACAGGCATGAGCCACCGCGCCTGGCCTGGGAATCAAATTTCATCATGAGCTTTGGTGGAGGCAAACAAACATATCCAAATTATAGCACGGGGGCAAAGGCAAGCAAGACACAATTACTGTTTTTAAGGAGTTTATCATCTATTACGGGGGATATACAAGGTAGATTAAAGTAATAACCAAGAAGCCTTTGGAGTGGAATAAAGAAGAGATTATATTTACTTCGGAGGGATCAAGGAGGAGAAAAAAGCTGAATTTTCCCTTTCCCTACTCTCTCTTCCTAAAAGTATCCTAAATTTTCCTATGATTTCTTCCAGAAAAAAATAAATAAAATTATGCACATATGTATCTTTTGCCCTTTAAAAAAAAAAAGCAAAAGGAATCTTTAGTGTGTGTGTGTTTATATGTGGTTTCTTTCTGGTAAAATCCTTGATCTTCTCTCCTTTAAAATGTGTTCCCCAGACTTGAGCCATCAGTATATTATCTTCATAAGCTGCCATATTTGTGTACCATTAAATTATTTATTCAGTATTTGTATTTAAATGACATGTGTCTAATAAAACTCAATACCACTCATTCCCTCTAAATTCACTCAAGTGCTACCTAAAACCATTTGGAATACCATTTGCGGTGTGTGTGCATCACATTTGCTTCATATTATTTTAGACTTTTCCCTTATATCTTTATTTTACTTAATTCTGTACTGTATAATAAGAATATATTTTAAAAGGCAACAAAAATCTACTGTAGGCTTACAATTCAGAGAAACTATTTTGTCATATTTTCTTCGTCTTTTTTTTTACTATGTGTGTATTTACATATATAGCCTGCTTAAAGATTTTGAGATAATAAATATAATTTATATAGTGCTTTTTGTGCTTAAAAATCTTTCTAAACTTTTTTTTAGGAAGAGTAGATAATTTATTAAGCAAGTAATTCTTCTATTGTTAGAGATATAGTATATTTCCAATTTTGTAGCATATGTAACATTGTTGTGAATGAACTTGTGCATGAAACTTTCATGAATTTTTAATTATATCCATGGACTTGATTATGAGTTAATTACTGCATCTAAAGATAAGAAGGTTGTTAAGGCTTTTTTTTTTTTTTTTTTTGGAGACAGGGCCTCACTCTGTCACCCAGGCTGGAGTGCGGTGGTGTGATCTTGGCTCACTGCAACCTCTTCCTCCTGGGTTCAAGAGATTCTCCTGCCTCAGCCTCCCGAGAAGCTAGGACTACAGGCACATGTCACCATACCCGGCTAATTTTTTTTTTTTTTTTGTATTTTTAGTAGAGACGGGGTTTCACCATGATGGCCAGGCTGGTCTCAAACTTCTGACCTCATGGGATCTGCCTGCCTCGGCCTCCCAAAGTGCTGGGATTACAGGTGCGAGCCACAGTGCCTGACCTGCTATTAAGGCTTTTGATGCTCATTATGAATTTGCTTTTGGTGCTTGCTGGTTGAATGATTTAAGCTTTCTGCTAAGTTAGCTCTCTGAGGAAAGACTGTTGGGGGAGGGGAAGGAGATGGATACAGGCAGTGAGGGAGCTTAAAGTAACAAGAGAAGGATGAAGATATTATTATTTACCTGCAGTTTGGTTTCAGATAAAATACCAGTTTAAGGTGGCCATTTCTCTATCTCTTTCAATATATAACTTTAGTAAAAAGTTAACGAACTTTTTCTGGAAAGGGCCAGATAGTAAAGTTAGCCACACACTCTTTGTTACAACTACCCAACTCTGCCATTATAGCACCAAAGCATCCATAGACATTATGTACACTAAGTATGTATGTGATGCAATATAACTTTAGAATTCTTGCATCTATGTCCGTGAGGGATATCGATTTGTAGTTTTCTTGTACTGTCTTTGTCTGGTTTTGGTATTACGGTAATGGTGTCCTCATAGAATCAATTGGAGAGTATACAGACTTGGTATTTATTGGTATTTAAATATTTAGTGGAATTCTCCAATGAAGTCGTCTGGGCCTAGAGTTTTTTGGTGAGAAGGTTTTTTAACTATAAATTTAATTTATTTTATAGATATAGGGCTATTCAGATGACCTGTTTCTGAGTCAGCATTGGCAGTGTGTGTCTTTCAGACAGTTTATTAATTTCGTTGAAGCCACAATCTGTGGAATTTTTTTTTTTTTTTTTTGAGACATGGTCTCACTCTGTCACCCAGACTGGAGTGCAGTGGCATGATGTCTGCTCACTGCAATCTCCACCTCCCAGGCTCAAGCGAACCTCCCACCTCAGCCTCCCAAGTAGCTGGGACTACAGGCACGGCACGCACCACCATGCCTAGCTAATTCTTTGTATTTTTAGTAGAGACGGAGTTTCACCGTGTTGGTCTGGCTGGTCTTGAACTCCTGACCTCAAGTGATCCACCCACCTTGGCCTCCCAAAGTGCTGGGATTACAAGCGTGAGCCACTGCGCCCAGCTCATTTATTAATTTCATCTGTTTTGAAATTTACTGGAGTAAAGTTGTTCATATATTTTCTTACGTTTGATATCTATCCAACCTCCTGTGATGATCCCCTCAACCCCTCATTTCTGGTATTGGTAGGTTGTGCCTTCTCTCTTTTTTTGCTGTCATTCTGGCTAGAGATCTATCAGTTTTTGGTTCCATTGATTTTCTCCATTATTTTACTGCTTTTTATTTCATTGATTTCTCCTCTGATCTTTATTATTTCCTTTGTTCTGCTTACTTTTTATTTTATTTGCTTTTCTTTTTCTAGTTTCTTATGATGGAAACTGAGATCGTTGACTTGAGACCTTTCTTATTTTTTCTGATACAGTCATTAGTGTGATGCATTTTCCTCTAAGTATTGTTTTAGCTGCATTCCACAAATGTTGATATTTGTGCCTTAATTTTCATTTAGTTGAAAATACTTTCTAATACCTCTTTTGATATCATGTTTGAGCCATGGATATTAGATGTATATTATTTAGTTTCCAAAATATATGGGGGATTTTCCAGATGTCTTCCTATTGGTTTCTAATTTAATACCACTATGGCTAAAGAACACATTCTGCATTATTTTAGTCCTTTCAAAATTATTGAAACTTTTTTATGTCCCAGATTATGATCTATCTTGATAAATGTTCGGTGTGCACTTGCAAAGGATGTGTATTTTGCTGTAATGGGTAAAGTGTTCTATAAATGTCACTTAGGCCAAGTTGGTTGGTAGTCTTGTTCAAGTTTTCTGTACATCCTTACTGATATTCTGTTTACTTACTTGTTCTATCAGTTATTATGATGGCATATTGAAATTTCTGACCATAATTGTGGATTTGTCTATTTCTCCTTGCAATTCTATTGGTTTTTACTTTATGTACTCTAAAGCTCTGTTATTAAATGCATAAAACTTTAGAATTACAGTTGAGCATCCCTAATAAAAAAATCTGAAATCCAAAATGCTCCAAATCCAAAACATTTTCCGTGTTGACATGACTGGAAAGTTACACACCTGACCTTGTGTGATGGGTCACAGTCAAAACACAAGCACACAACACATAGTTTATTCATCATCCATAAGGGAAAGTAGATGCTCCCAGTCCCCTTTCTGTACTCCCATGCAAGGACATCCATGAAAGTTAATAAAATGGTTCAATGTATACAAACCTTGTTTCAGGTAGAAAATTATTTAAAATATTATATAAAATTACCCTCAGGCTATATGTATTAGGTAGATTTGAAACATAAATGAATTTTGTGTTTAGACTTGGGACTACTTCCAAATATATACATATTTATTCATCAATCCAAAAAATTCAAAATCTGAAACACTTCTAGTCCCAAGCATTTTGAATAAGGGATACAGTTAACCCCTTTATTATTACAAATTGACCCTTTTTTATCATTGGTAACATATGTTTTACTCTGAAATCTACTTTGTCTGTTGTTAATACATATATGCCAGCTTTCTTTTTATTATTGTTAGCATGACATATATTTTTTATCCATTTACTTTTAACCTATTTGTGTCTTTACATTAAAAGTACATTTGTTATAGGCAAATGTTGGTTTTTATCCAATCTGATAATCTCTGTTTTTAAATTGAGATACTTAGATCATTTACATTTACTGTGATTACTAATATGTTGAGGTTTAAAGCTACCAACTTGCTGTTGTTTTCTGTTTATTCCATCTTTTTTTGGTTCCCCTTTCCCCTCTTTGTTGCCTTCTTATTTATTTATTTACTTATTTATTTATTTGAGATGGAGTTTTGCTCTTGTTGCCCAGGCTGGACTGCAGTGGCACAATCTTGGCTCACTGCAACCTCTGCCTTCCGGATTCAAGCAATTCTCTTCCCTCAGCCTCCCAAGTAGCTGGGATTACAGGTGCCCACCACCACGCCTGGCTAATTTTTGTATTTTTAGTAGAAACAGGGTTTCACCATGTTGGCCAGGCTGGTCTTGAACTCCTGACCTCGTGATCCACCTGCCTTGGCCTCCCAAAATGCTGGGATTACAGGCATGAGCCACTGTGCCTGGCCTGTTGCCTTCTTTTAAATTAATTGATTTTTTATTATTTCAGTTTATCTTCTTTATTGGCCTATTCACTATAACTTTGTTTTTTAGTTTTAGAACTTTAGAACTTATAATGTGCATCTTCAACTTATCACAGTCTACCTTTCTATCTTTAATTTATACTACTTAATGTATGATGTAAGATTCTTTTTCTTTTTCTTTTTCTTTTTTTTTTTTTTTTTTTTTGGCAGAGTTTTGCTCTGTCATCCAGGCTGGAGTGCAATGGTGCAATCTCAGCTCACTGCAACCTCCGCCTCCCGGGTTCAAGCGATTCTCCTGCCCCAGCCTCCCAAGTAGCTGGGATTACAGGCATGCGCAACCACGTCCAGCTAATTTTTGTATTTTTAGTAGAGACAGGGTTTCAGCGTGTTGGTGAGGCTGGTCTCAGACTCCCAACCTCGTGATCCGCCCACCTTGGCCTCCCAAAGTTCTAGGATTACAGGCATGAGCTACTGTGCCTGGCCTAGTGTAAGATTCTTATAATGGTATATTACCATTTCCCTACTTCTGGCCTTTGTGCCACGGTGATCATACATTTTACTTCTATAAATCTTACATTATTATTATTTTTGCTTTAAATAGTCAAATCTTTTAAGGAGATTTTTAAAATAAGAAAAAGCGTTTTATATTTACCGGCATTCTTACCATTTCCCATACTCTGCATTCCTTTGTGTAGATCTATTAAATCTATACATTTCATTTTGTATTTTTCTTCTTCCTGGAGGACTTTCTTTAATAATATTTTTTTTTAATTAAGATGGAGTGTCGCCATGTCACCCAGGCTGGAGTACAGTGGTACGATGTTGGCTCACTGCAACTTCTGCCTCATGGTTTCAAGTGATTCTCCTGCCTCAGCCTCCCAAGTAGCTGAGATTACAGGTGCACACCACCACACCTGGCTAATTTTGGTGGTTTTTTTTTTTTTTTTTTTTTTTTTTTAGTAGAGACAGGGTTTCACCACGTTGGCCAGGCTGGTCTCCAACTCCTGACCTCAAGTGATCCGCCGCCTCGGCCTCCCAAAGTGCTGGGATTACAGATGTAAGCCACCATGCCCAGCTTATACTTCTTTTAGTTCAGGTCTGCTGCTGATGAATTCTTTCAGCTTTTGCATATCTTAAAATTCTTTATTTCACTTTCATTTTGAACTGTATTTTTGGTGGGCATAGAACTCCAGATGGACAAATACTGCCTCACTGTCTCCATTATTTCTGATGAGACTTTGACTGTTATTTTGCTTTAATGATTTTTCTCTTTGTCTCTGGTTTTTAAAAATTTGATTATCATATATCTTAATGTTTTTTTCATAATGTTTCTTCTGTTTGGGGTTCATTAAAATTGGATCTTTAAATTTACAATTTTCATCTAATTTGGAAAACTTTCAGTTATTATTATTTCAGATATTTTTTCTGCTCCTCCTTCTTTGCGGGCTCTAGTTGGATGTATCAGACTGCTTGAAGTTTTCCCACAGCACATTGAATCTGTTTCCTCACCTCTGTGTTTTATTTCTCTCTATGTCTTCATTAATCTTTTCTTCTACAGTGTAATGTTTGTCTCACCCAGAGTATTTTTCTTCTCACCCATTGTAGTTTTTAATCTCTAGAGGTTCATTTGGGTATTTTTATATTTTGTGTCTACTTAACATGCTCAATCTTTTCTTTGCCTTCTTGAAAATACGCAATACAGTTACAATAGCTGTTTTAATGTTCTTGCCTACTAATTTTATAATATATCATTTCTGAGTCTGTTTCTAATGATTGATTTTTCTCATTATGGGTCATAATTTACTGCTTCTTTGCATACCTGGTAGTTTTTTATTGGGTACCAAATATTGTGAATTTTACCTTACTGGCTCCTGGATGTTTTTGTATTCCTATAAATATTCTTGAGCTTTGTTTTGGGATGTAGTTACCTTATTTCTAAACAGTTTGATCTTCTGAGGTTTTCTTTTAAAAAAATAGCTTTATTGTGATTAATTCACTTACCAAATAATTTGCTCATTTAAGGTATATAATTTAGTATAAAAGTATAGTGGCTTATGCCTATAATCCCACTTTGGGACGCTGAAGTGGGAGGATCGCCTGCACTCAGGAGTTAAGACCAGCCTGGGCAAAATAGTGAGACCCCATCTCTGTACTGAAAAAATTAAAAATGAAAAATTAAAGTGTATAAATTAGAGTTTGGTAGTATGTTCACAGGACTGTGTAACTATCATCAAAATCTAATTTTAGAACACTTTGTCTTCCCTAAAAGAAACATTAAACTCATTAGCAGTCAGTTCTTACGCCCCTTCAACTTCTCCAAGCCCTAAGTAACCACTAATCTATTTTCTGTTCCTATAAGTGTACTTATTCTGGTAATTTCATATAAATGGAATCTTACAATATGTTGTTCTTTGTGACTGTCTTCTTTTGCTTAGCACAATATTTTCAAGATTCATCTGTGTTGTAGCATGTATAAGTAAATTTGTTTTTATGGCTAAGCAATCTTTAATTGTATGGCTTTGCCACATTTTATTTATCGATTCATCAGTTGTTAGACATTGGCCTCTTTTTACATTTTGGCAAAAGTAATGCTGCTATGATCATTTGTGTACAAGCTTTTGTGTGAATGTATGTTTTCATTCCTCTTGAATATATAGCAGGAGTTGAATTGCTGTTTCACATGATAACCCTATATTTAACTTTTTGATGAACTGCTAGACTGTTTTCCAAAGTGATTGTATCACTTTATAATCCCACCAGTAATGAATGAGAGTTCCAATATCTCCACATCCTTACCAACACTTGTTATTATCATTTTGATAAAGCTGTCCTCCTATGTGTGAAGTAGTACTCATTGTGGTTTTGATTTGCATTTCCTTAATAATTTTTGATGTTGAACATTTTTTCATTTGTTTGTTGGCATTTGAATACCTTCTTTGGAGAAATGTTCATCCAAATCCTTTGTCCATTTTTGAGGCTTGCTTTTAAGTTTTTTTTTTAAAAAAATGGGACTGGTGGCTGGGTGTGGTGGCTCATGCCTGTAATCCCAGTACTTTGGGAAGCCCAGGTGGGTGGATCACTCGAGGTCAGGAGTTTGAGACCAGACTGGCCAACATGGTGAAACCCTGTCTCTACTAAAAATACAATTAGCTGGGTATGGTGGTAAGCACTTGTGGTCTCAGCTACTCAGGAGGCTAAGGTGGGAGGATCACTTGAGCCTGGGAGGTCGAGGCCATGATTGCATCACTGCATTCCAGCATGGGTGATAGAGTGAGACCCTGTCTCAAAAAAAAAGTTACTGGAGATGTCTTTATTCTAGGGATAAACCCAATCCCTATTATACTATCATGCCGGGAAGTGGAAGTCTCTTCTAAGTGTTTTAATTTACCAAAGTATTTACTTTAAAAATATTACCATTTGTATTTCATGACCCAAGGATTTATGCTGTAATACTAAGTGAAAAATTTGAACATAAAACTGTATATATACTGTGATCCTACTTTTATTTTAAAATGTTTATTCCTTAAACATACCAAGATATTTCCCATCCCAAGGCCTTTTTCTCATTTTCTCCTCTGCTTAGAATGCTTTCCCCATTTTTGAGTCACTAAGATGTTTTGATCCGTTAAGTCTCAGCCTAGGTCTCAGCTTTTCACAGAGACCTTCCCTGACTATTCTCTTCAGCATAACTTTCAACATTCTCACGAACCTACCCAGGAAGCCTCTATCTCTGCTGAATAGTTGATGCCTTCATAGTACTCACCACAACTATTTACAGTTATGCGTTACTTAATGACAGGGCTATGTTCTAAGAAATGCATCCGTAGGTGATTTAGTTGTTGTACAAACATCATAAAGTGCACTCACACAAACCTAGATGGTATAGCCTACTACACACCTGAGCTATATGGTATAGCCTGGTGCTCTTGGGCTACAAAGCTGTGCAGCGTGTTACAGAATACCTTAGGCAATTATAACACAATGGTAAGTATTTGTGTATCTAAACATATCTAAACATAGAAAAGGCACAGAAAGCTATGGTATAAAAGATAAGAAATGGTACACCTGAATAGGACATTCACTAAGAATGGAGCTTGCAGGACTGGAAGTTGTTCTGGGTGGGTCAGTGAGGGAGTGGTGAGTGAACATGAAGGCCCAGGACATGACTGCATGCTACGGTAGACTTTATAAACACTGTACACTGAAGTTATACTGTTTATGAAAAAGTTTTTCTTTAATAATATATTCACTTTAGCTCACAATAAGCTTCTTTTTTAAAATTTTTATTATTTATTTATTTATTTATTTTTGAGACAGGCTCTTGCTCTTTCACCCAGGCTGGAGTGCAGTGGTGCAATCTTGGCTCACTGCAACCTCCCCCTCCCGGGTTCAAGCAATTCTCCTGCCTCAGCCCCTCGAGTAGCTGGGACTATAGGCATGTGCTACCACACCCCGTTAACTTTTGTATTTTTAGTAGAGTCAGGGTTTCGCCATGTTGGCCAGGCTGGTCTGGAACTCCTGAGCTCAGGTGATCCACCAACCTCAGCCTCCCAAAGGGCTGGGATTACAGGTGTGAGCCACCACACCTGGCCTTTACTTTATAAGCTTTTTAACTTAAAAAAAAAAACAAAAAACCTTTTTGACTATTTTATAATAACACTTAGCTTAAAACACAAACACATTATACAGCTATCCAAAAATATTTTTTCTTTATATCCTTATTATCATTTTTTAATCCACAGGACTCTGCTTGATATATATCCTTATAACATAAGCTTTTTTTTTCTATTTTAAAATATTTTAAACTTTTAAAACTTTTTTTTTTTCAGAGGTCTTGCTCTGTTGCCCTTACTGGAGTGCAGTCATACTCAGCTCACTGTAACCGCAGCCTCCTGGGCTCATGCGATCCTCCCACCTCAGCCTCCCAAGCAGCTGGGACTACAGGTGTGCGCCACCACACCTGGTTAATTGTTTTGGATTTTTTTGGTAGAAACAGGGCTTTGCCACGTTGCCCAGGCTGGTCTCAAACTCCTGGGCTGAAGCAATCTGCCTGCCTGAGCATGGTGGCTAGCACCAGTAATCCCAATGCTTTGGGAGGCCAAAATGGGAGGATAATTTGAGGCCAAGAGTTCAAGACCAACCTGGGCAACATAGTAAGACCCCCATCTCTAAAAAAAATTAAAAAAATTATCTGGGCATAGTGGCACATGCCCGTAGTCCTAGCTACTCAGGAGGCTGAGAGGGGAGGATTGCTTGAGCCCAGGAGTTTGAGGCTGCAGTGAGCTATGATCACACTGCTCTCCAGCCTGGGTGACAGAGCGGGACCTGACAAAAAAAGAAGGTACAAACAAACATTAGCCTAAGCCTACAGAGGGTCAGGATCATTCATATCACTATCTTCCACCTCCACATCTTGTCTCACTAGAAGGTGTTTAGGAGCAAAACATGCATGGAGCTGTCATCTCCTATGATAAAAGGCCTTTTTCTGAAATACCTCCTGAAGGACCTGTCTGAGGCTGTTTTACAGTTAATTTTTTTTATAAGTAGAAAGAGTACACTCTAAAATAACAATAAAAATACATAAACCCGTAACATGTAGTAAATACATAAACCAGTAGCATAGTTGTTTATCATCACTATCAAGTATTATATACTGTTTAAAATTGGATTTTACAGGGAAGTTAAAAAAAGTATTATGTACTGTACATAATTGTATGTGCTGGTAGGTTTGTTTACTGCAGCATAACCATAAACATATGAGTAATGCAGTGTGCTATGATGTTATGATGGCTACAACATCACAAAGCAATAGGAATTTTTCAGCTCCAGTACAATCCAGTATAATTGTTGTATAGGTGGTTCATTGTTGACCGAAAGGTCATTACACGGTGCTTGACTGTATTTTACATTTGGTATTCTCCCCTTGACATAGAGAACAAGCTGCAAGAAAGCAGTGATTATCCTATTCTCCACTCTCTCCTAGTGAGTGCTCCTAACACAGGACCTGGTGCTCAATACGTATTTTTTGAGTGTATAAATAGAGGGAAAAAAGACTCAAATTATTCCAAGATATTACCCATTACTATCTCTGAATGGTGGACTACTATATGCTTTTTGTTTCTCTCTCTTAAACTTCTTTATTTTACAAGTTTTGTATACTGAATATTTGTCTCTTTTACAATGAGAAAAATGCAGTGTACTCTATATTAAAATAATATTTGAGGCTGGGAGTGGTGACTCACACCTGTAATCCCAGCACTTTGGGAGGCCAAGGCAGGTGGATCACCTGAGGTCAGGAGTTCGAGACCAGCCTGGCCAACATGGCAAAACCCTGTCTATACTAAAAATACAAAAATTAGCTGGGGGTGGTGGTGCACACCTATAATTCTAGCTACTTGGGAAGCTGAGGCAGGAGAATTCCTTGAACCCAGGAGGCAGAGGTTGCAGTGAGCTGAGATCGCACCACTGCACTCCAGCCTGGGCGACAGAGCAAGACTCTATCTCCAAAAAAAAAAAAAAAAAATTTGAGTACCTGCTACATTGACAGCGCTGTGAGACTTGGATGTGTGGATGACTCTGGGAGGAGGAGAAGCACGTAAGGGCAGCAGCAGTACATTCTGTTAATATGCAGCATCTATAAGGAAAAGATATGCAAATATGAAATTTAAAATTAATATACAAGTTGATTAATAGAATCATTTGAATAGTGCTTTGTGAATTATAAAATAACATATACACTTCTCTTGTTTAGTCTTCATAATCACCATATATTGTTTATTTTCTCCATTTTGTAGAACACTTATGTACTTCTAGGTGTTGGCAGCATAAGGCATAAGTATTATGGTCAGTACAGATTTTCCTGGCATTTGGTGGTTGCCATTCCCACCTGAGAGAATGTTGAGTAGCAGTTGTCTCTGGTGTCTTCTTTTTTTTCTATCTCTCACTCACTGCTTGGGCCTTTCCCCTCGGCTCTATTCTCCAAGCACATCTTGCCTTTGTGCCGCTCATTGGCTGCGTAATCACCTTCTTCCCAACCACTGTGGCTCCTTTTGCCTGAGTCTAAGGTCTCCACAGTGTGCCCCATTGTTCAAAGTCACCACTTCCTTCTGTATTTCTAATTCCCAAACTGAACTGCCATTTCCTTCAAAAGGCCAATCCCAGGTAGGGGCTAGAGGTTTCCTGCCTTTTTAAGCTGGGCTATGTGTGGGTATGGGTGTGGGTAGGTGAGTCAGTGCAGTTGGGCAGTAGAGTCAGGGCTGGGCAGCCTCCAGCCCCCTCAAAAGATATGTGTGGTGGTGTAGACAGGCCTCAAGACTGGGTGGTCGCGAGCAAGGGGGATACAGTCTTATATGCAGATTGAGGCTTACAAGACACCAGTTCAGCCTAGATGTAAAGGATGTTTACAGCTGCAACCAGCAGACAGAGGCTTGGGCAGAGAGAGGGATGCAGATCTGTATCTGTGAACGTCCTAAAGGAACAGAGGTCCTTATAATAGAAGCAAAAGTGGGACTGCAATTTGAGTTAACATTGGGTCTGGGGGGGTAGTCAATGTCACTTCCTTTTCCACTGATGATGTATTTTGATAAGGAAAGATTGAAGGGCAGCGTTGTTAAGAAGAACAATGGTGGCTGGGTGTGCTGGCTCATGCCTGTAATCCCAGCACTCTGGGAGGCTGAGACGGGAGAATCACTTGAGCATAGGCATTCGAGGCTAGCCTAGATAATATAGCGAGCCCCCATCCGTACAAATATAAAAAAATTAGCCCAGCATGGTGATGCAAACTTGTAGTCCCCCCTACTCAGGAGGCTGAGGCAGGAGCATTGCTTGAGCCCAGGAGTTTGAGGCTGCCATGAGCCATGATTGTGCCACTGCACTTCAGCCTGGGCAATAGAGCAAGATCGTGCTTCTAAAAATAATAAATAGACAAATAAAAGAAGAACAATATTATTACTTATCCTAAAAATTCATAGTTAACAAGCCCCAATAATGATTATTCTGTGCACATCATCAAGTAGAATGTATTCCTAAACTCAGTTATCTAGCAAAGTATCAATATAATTCACCGTATAAAATAGAAATATAGTAAAAAAATTTATTTATATAGATGCTAAAGGAAGTATTTGGTTTTAAAAGCAGCAAATTTTCTCTTCATCTGTATATCTTTTGGTCTATTTGGAAAATGTAATTGCCAGGCATGGTGGCTCATGCCTTTAATTCTAGCACTTTGGGAGGCTGAGACAGGAGTATTGCTTGAGCCCAGGAGTTCAAGACCAGCCTGGGGAACATAGTGAAACCCCATGTCTACGAAAAAATTTTAAAAAGTTGCTGGGCATAGAGGCACATGCCTGTGATCCCAGCTACTCGGGAGGCTGAGGTAGGAGGATCACTTGAGCCCAGGAGGTTGAGGCTGCAGTGAGCCCGTGTATGATCCTGTCTCAATTGAAAAAAAAAGATGTCTGCTGGGCGCGGTGGCTCATGCCTGTAATCCCAGCACTTTGGGAGGCCGAGGCCGGTGGATCACGAGGTCAGGAGATCAAGACCATCCTGGTTAACACGGTGAAACCCCGTCTCTACTAAAAATACAAAAATTAGCCAGGCGTGGTGGTGGGCACCTGTAGTACCAGCTACTCGGGAGGCTGAGGCAGGAGAATGGCGTGAACCTGGGAGGCGGAGCTTGCAGTGAGCCAAGATCGCACCACTGCACTCCAGTCTGGGCGACAGAGCGAGACTCCATCTCAAAAAAAAAAAGAAAAAAAAGAAGATGTCATTTATTTGAGAAAACTATCTGTTTTGAGTATAATAGAAGCCAGTTGAAAACTTGATGGGTGTAACCGTTTCTAAAGCAATTAATTTCTCCTCACATGGAAAATAGATCATCAATAATAAACTGTCATACCTGCTCCCCTAGGCCTGGGGATCGATGTTGGAAAATACTATGACAATTTGAAATCATGCTTGTTTCGTTTACTTCTTTTCTCTTCTACAACTTGCAGGGCTCAATACTACCACAGCTGTGGAAGAGAGTCTGTAATTTGGGAGATCACTCCTCCTGCATTGTTTAGACAACCCTCCAAAAGGATCCAGAGGCTGTCACAGCCCAATGGATTCAAAAGACAGTGTCTACTAAATAGGTAGAGTATCTTGAGAATCTCTGTAAATCCTAATCTAATTTGGCCAGATGTCTTAGTATTTTTGTTCTAATTTTAGTGTGTGCAATTTCATGAGCTAAGAGTCCACTTGTGTTCCAAAGCATCAGGTAAAAAATCAAATATTTGCAGCTATTGTAGGTAATCAGAAGTTCATCTTCGGTAATTACATTTGACTCACATTGTGGTGAAACTAAAATTTATACTAAACCTTACCATTGTTAGCCAGTTAAAAGGAAATATGCAACTAAAACACCACAGGTTTTTGCAATTTGTGGAATTTGTTCTCCTGTATCTCTCTGACTTTGATACTTTTTCTTCCTTTTGCTTTGAAGGCTGAATTTCTCCTTGTCTTTATAAGACCACTAGGTGGTACATTTTCCATGGGAGCTAAGATTGTGATGTGGTTGTTGCAAAAGCTAATTCAATGTTAGGTTGCATTAGTGGAATATATACAGTGTACAGTTGTGGAGAGGTGATAGTGCTACTGTGTGCTACTTTAGTCGGAACACACTGGACATGTATGTGCAGTTATGTATGTTATACCTTAAGAAATGATAATAAACTTGAGACTATTCAGAAGGTGGGAAATGAGATATTGGGCTCCTGGAAACTATGTTATGTGAAAAATAATTAAGAGAAATGACATGTTTAGTTTAAAAAGAGAATAAGAAAGTGGTGACAGCTGTGTTAAAATATTTAAAGGGTTGACATCTGGAAGAGGAAGAAGAGGTGAAAGTAAAATTACTTTATGTTAATCCTAGAACTAGAAGTAGAACATTGACAGGGCAGCAGACGTCAGCTTAGTGGAGGAAAATCTTTCTGACTAGCTATTGGGTAATGGAAACTGTCCAGTAACGGAAAGTGAACCAGCATTCCACCCTCATCCCTGCAAGTTTTCAAGCCCAGGCTGGAACTGTGACTTTACATGGATTTTAGAAAAGATTCCTACATTCAGAGAAAGGTTGAACTAGACAGCTTGAGTCTTTTGCATCATAGAATACTGCGAAAGAAGGCCCAATTCTTCCCACAGGGTTTCCTCAATTACTTATTTATCAATTCATTCAATAAAATCCACTGTACCAAATACATAAAATTTGGTAGTTATGTATACACATAAATTTGGTAATGTGTCTATAGTTATAAACAAAGGAATACTTTATTGCCACTTCTTGAGACCTCAGTTTGATGTTGCATGTAAATAAAATGCCCTTTAGTTAAAACATTTTGTACTTTTTTAAGTTTATATTTCCCTGCTTTTCTAAGTAGACTTTTCTGCTGCTTGAACATACATGTAACCATTGTTCATTGGCTTAAGCTCTTTATTATGAACATCAGCTATTTTATAATACCTTAATATAGAAAACCTCTCAGGAGCTGTTTAAGTATAAAGCCAAGATTTTCCTTAGGCTAATGGTCTGACTTCTGTGCTTTCAAATTAAAGTACTTAAAGCACTGAAGGATTGGCGAGGTGTGGTGGCTCACGCCTGTAATCCCAGCACTTTGGGAGGCCAAGGTGGGTGGATCATCTGAGGTCAGGAGTTTGAGACCAGCCTGGCCAACATGGTGAAACCTCATCTCTACTAAAAATATAAAAATTAGCCAGGTGTGGTGGCTCATGCCTGTAATCCCAGCTACTCAGGTGGCAGAGGCACAAGAATAGACTGAAAGTAAAAAAATAGGCACAAATAGACTGAAAGTAAAAAAATGGAAAAAGATATACCATTCACACCAGCCAAAAAAGATCTGGATTGGCCATACTGATATCAGACAATATAGACTTTAAGACAAACATTGTTACTAGAGACAGAGAAAGGACATTTTATATTATAAAAGAGTCAGTCCATTAAAAAGGGAGGTGGAGGTTGCAGTGAGCAGAGATTGCGCCACTGTACTCCAGCCTGAGCCACAGAGTGAGACTCTGTCTCAAAATAAATAAATAAATAAAATAAAGCACTGAAGGAAAAAGATTGTAAGCTAAGAATACTCTGTTTAGCAAAGTTATCCTTCGTAACTGAAGCGGAAATTACGATATTCCTAGATAAGCAAAAATTGAGATAATTCATTGCCAGCAGACCTGCTTTACGAGAAATAATAAAGAAAGTATTTCAGACTAAGTGAAAGGACAGTTATCCTGGGCATTATAGTGAGATCTCATCTCTACTAAAAACAAAAAATTTATTGGGGTGTTGTGGTGAATGCCTGTGGTCCCAGCTACTCGGGAGGCTGAGGCAGGAGAATTGCTTGAGCCTGGGAGGTTGAAGCTGCAGTGACTATGTTACTGCATTAAAGCCTTGGTGACAGAGTGAGACTGTGTCCCAAAAAGGCAAAGACATTTGACAATAACTCAAATCCAAATAAAGGGCACAAAAAGAATTAACTACATAGGTAAATATAGAATGTAGCACATTTTATATAGTACATTATAATTACATTAAAATGTAAATATGTATATATTTTTGTTTGTAACTCTTTTTCTTCTACCTGACATAAAAGACAATTGCCTAAAGCAATAATTATAAATTTATGTTGATGGGCATACAATGAATAAATAAAAGTACAAAGGAGCGGGAGGGGATAGAGCTATATAGGAGCAAAGTTATTATATACCATAGGAATTAATTTGGTGTTAGTCTGAACTAGATTGTTGTAAGATGTACAGAGAAACAACTAAGGAAATAATTTTTAAAATGTAATAAAATAAATAACAAGGAAATTTAAATGTCACAGTAGAAAATATCTAACACAAAAGAAGGAAGAAATGAAAGAACAAAGGAACAAAAAATATATAGAAAAAATAGCAACATGGCAGGCATAAATATTACCTTATCGGTAATTACATTAAATGTACATTACATTAAATGTAAATGAATTGAACACTCCAATAAAAAGACAGGATAAAAAATGGATAAAAATTCACTCAACTATATGCTGTCTACAAAAGACATACTTTAGATTCAAATAAACAAATAGACTGAAAGTAAAAAAATGGAAAAAGATATACCATGCACGCCAACCAAAAAAGACCTGGATTGGCCATACTGATATCAGACAATATAGACTTTAAGACAAACATTGTTACTAAAGACAGAGAAAGGACATTTTATATTATAAAAGAGTCAATCCATTAAAAAGACATACAATTATGGCTGGATGCAGTATCTCACACCAGCACTTTGGGAGGCCAAGGTGAGAGGATTGCTTGAGGCCAGAAATTCAAGACCAGCCTGGGTAATATAGCAAGACCTCATCTCTACAAGAAAAAAAAAAGTAAGAAAGAAAGGAAAGATAACAACTATAAACATACATGCACCCAACAGCAGAGCAAAAACCTGATAGAATTCAACAATAATAGTTGGACACTTCAATACCCCACTTTTAATAATGGGTAGAATAACAAGCAGAAGATCAGTAGTGAAATAGAAGGCTTGAATAACACTAGAAACCAACTATATCTAACACATGTCTATGAAACCTCTACTCAAAAATGGGAGAATACACATTCTTTTCAAGTGTACATGGAACATTCTCTAGGATAGATCACATATTAACTCATAAAACAAGTCTCAATAAATTTAAGAGGATTAAATTCATAGAAAATCAATTCTCTGAACCAGTTCAATGAAATTGGAAACTGATAGCAGAAGGAAATTTAGAAATTTAAAAATATGTTAAATTAATTACACTCCTAAACAACCAATAGGTCAAAGAAGAAATCACTTTGATATGAATAAAACTGAAAACATAACATACCAAAGGTTATGAGATGCAGCTAAAGTAGTGGTTAGTGGGAAATTTATAGCTGTAAATGCCTATATTAAAAAAAAAAGGGCAGGGCATGGTGGTTCACATCTGTAATCCCAGCAATTTGGGAAGCTGAAGCGAGAGAATCATTTGAGGCTAGGAGTTTGAGACCAGCCTGGGCAACATAGTGAGACCCTATCTCTTCAAATAATTAAAAAATTAATTGGCCATGGTGGCATGTGTCTGTGGTCCCAGATACTCAGAGGCTGAGGTGGGAGAATCACATAAGCCCAGGTGGTCAAGGATGCAGTGGGCTGTGATTATGTCACTGCATTCCAGTCAGGGTGACAAAACAAGACCCTGATTTTGAGTTTCTCAGAAAATCAAATAAAATGAGAAAACAAACAAATAAAAGCCAGCAAATGAGAGAACCTAGATGAAATGGACAAATTATTATAAAGACAAACTACTGAATCTGAGTCAAGAAGAAATAGACAATCTTAACAGATCTGTAACAAGTGAAGCGATTGAATTAATAAAAAGCTTCCTATGAAGAACAGCTCAGAACCAGATGGCTTTATTAGTGAATTCCATGAAATATTTAGAAAATAATTAACACCATTCCTTCAAACTCTCAAAAAATCAGACACTTTCCAACTCATTCTATGAGGACTTGTATTATCCTGATAATAAAACCAGAAAAGATGATTACCAGATAAGAAAACTGCAGACCAATATAGTTTATGAATATACATGCTATAATCCACACCAAAATACTCTACTAGCAAACCAAATCCAAATGTACATGCAACAATTCATACCAAAAACTAACAAACTGAATCCAGCAAAATGTAAAAAAAATTATACACCATGACCAAATTGGCTTTACCCCAGGAATGTGAGAATATGTTGAGTGCAAAATACAAAAATCAAAGCAATACACTAAATTAATAGAATGAAAAAAACAAAAACTACATGATCATCTCAATAGACTCAGAAAAAGCATTTGACAAAATTCAAGATACTTTTATGATAAAAATGCTAAACAAGCTAGGCATGGAAGGAAACTTCCTCAACTTGGTAAAGGGAATCTACAAGAAACACACAACTAATATAATTAATGGTGAAAGACTGAACGCTTTACCCCTGACATCAGGAACAAGCAAAGTTGTCAGCTCTCACTATTACTATTCAGTCTCATACTAGAGATTCTAACCAGGGCAATTAGGCATGAAAAAAAATAAAAAATAAAAAAAAATAAAGGGCATCCAGATCGGATAGAGAGAAGTAAAACCATCTCAAGTCAGAAATGACGTGATCTTGTATGCAGAAAATCTTAAGGAATCTACATAAAGACTATTAGAGCTAATAAATTAGTTCAAGAAGGTGCAGAATCCAAAATCAATACAGAAAAATCAATTGTATATCTACTATCAATGAACAATCTGAAAGTGAAATTAAGAAAACCAATTTTGCAGTAGTATCAAAAAGAACAAAATTATACATATAAGGAATATTGCTCAGCCTTTAAAAGGAAGAAAATTCCGACACATTCTACAGTATCGATGAACTTTGAGGACACTATGCTGAGTTTAATAAGCCAGTCACAGAAAAGACAAATACTGTATGATTTCACTTATTTGAAGTACCAAAAATAGTCAAATTCATAGTGACAGAAAGTAAGATGGCTGTTGCAGGGAATAGGGAAGGAGGAAAAGAGGAACTTAACATAATGAGACCTCATTTTCTACTAAAAATAAAAAAAAAATTAGGCCAGGCATGGTGGCTTACAACTATAATCACAGCACTTTGGGAGGCCGAGGCAGGCAGATCACCTGAAGTCAGGAGTTCGAGACTAGCCTGGCCAACATGGTAAAACCTCGTCTCTACTAAAAATACAAAAATTAGCCAGGAGTGGTGGTGTGTGCCTGTAATCCCAGTTACTTGGGAGGCTGAGGCAGGAGAATTGCTTGAACCTGGGAGGCAGAGGTTACAGTGAACCGAGACCACATCATTGCACTCCAGCCTGGGCAACAATAGTGAAACTCCATCTCCAAAAAGAAAAAAAATTAGCTGGGCATGGTGGCACAAGCCTGTAGTACCAGCTACTTGGGAGGCTGAGGCTGGAGGATTGCTTGAGCCTGGGAGATCAAGGCTGCAGTGAGATGTGATGGTGCCACTGCACTCCAGCCTGGGTGACAGAACGAGACCCTGTCTAAAAAAAAAAAAAGAATAATTCCAGCTTCCTTTTTTTCATAGAAATTGATAAAGTGATCCTAAAGTTCATATAGAAATGCAAGGGACATCAAATAGCCAAAAACATTCTTGAATAAGAACAAAGTTGGAAGACAGTTTTCTCATTTCAAAACTTACAGAAAAGCTGCAGTAATTAAGACAATTTGTTACAGGCACAAGGATAGACATTTAGAGCAATGAAACAGAATTGATAGTGCAGAAGTAAACCCCTACATTTATGGGCAATTGATTTTTGGCAAGAGTGTCAAGATAGTTTAATGGGGAAAAAATAGTATTTTCAACAAATGGTGCTGTGATAACTGGCTATTTGCATGCAAAAGAATGATGTTTGACGCCCACATCATACATGAAAATTAACTCAAAATTGATCACAGACCTAAATATAAGAGCTAAAACTATAAAACTCATAGAGAAAAACACAGGCATACTTCTCTGTGATCTTGAGATAGGCAATGGTTTCTTAGATATGACCTTTGGTGTCATATCTTAGCTATGACCTTTTGTTGTCATATCTAAGCTCATGTGACAAAAGAAAAAATAAATTGGACTTCATCAAAAGTAACTTTTATGCATTAAAGGACACTACCAAGAGAGTGAAAAGACAACCCACAAAATAGGAGAAAATTATTGAAAATCATATATCTGATCAGGGACTAATATTCAGAATATATAAAAATTATCCTGAAAAATGTACAATAAAAGACAAATAACCCAATTTTTTAAATCGGCAAAGGATTTAAATAGATGTTTACCCCAAAAAGATATACAAATAGACAAGAAGCATATGAAAAGATGCTCAGCATCATTTGCCTTCCTGGAAATGCAAATTAAAATCACAATGAGATACCACTTCACACTTATAAGAATGGCAAGGATAATGATAAGAAATAATAAATCAACAAAAAAAACAGGTTGTTGAGGATGTGGAAACATTAAAACCCTTATACATTTCTGGTAGGAATGTAGAATACTGCAACTGATATAGAAAACAGTTTTTCAGTGCCTCAAAATGTTAAATATAGAGTTATTATATAAGCCAGCAATTAGACTCCTAGACATGTACCCAAGATAATTAAAAACGTAAATTCACACAAAACTGGTACACAAATATTCCTAGCAGCATTATTCATAATAGCCAAAAACTGGCAACAATTCAAATGTTCATCAATGGATATGAATAGATACACAAAATGTGGCAATCCATACAATGGAATATTATTCAGCCATAAAAAAGAATGAAGTATTGATACATCAATCTTCTAAACATGCTAAGTGAAGGAAGGCAGACACAAAAGGCTACATATTTGTATCAGTCTATTTATTTGAAATTCCTGGCCGGGTGCAGTGGCTCACACCTGTAATCCCAGCACTTTGGGAGGCTGAGGTGGGCAGATCACTTGAGGTCAGGCGTTCGAGAACAGCCTGGCCAACATGGTGAAACCCCATCTCTACTAAAAAATACAAAAATTAGCCAGGCATGGTGGTGTGTGCCTGTAATCCGAGCTACTTGGGAGGCTGAGGCAGGAGAATCGCTTGAACCCAGGAGGCGGAGGTTAGAGTGAGCCCAGATAGTGCTACTGCACTCCAGCCTGGGTGACAGAGCGAGACTCCATCTGAGAAAAAAAAATAAAAGGAAAAAAAAAAGAAATTCCGGAATAGGCCAATCCATAGATCCAAATCCATAGAGACTGAAAGTAGATTAGTGGTTCCCAGGATTCTGAAATTAGATAGTGGTGGTGGTTGCATATCTTTGTGAATATTTTAGAAACCACTGAATTGTATACTTTAAAAGGGTAAATTTTATGGTATGTTGATTGTATCTCAGCAAAAAAACAAAACCCAAACTAATAGCCTACCCCTAGAGAGTAATCATGTATTTATTTGAGAAAAAAAATTTTCCATATTAGGCTCGTAGGTTTGTCATTTAATTGATAGGTTTTTGATTAGGGAAAGAAATATGTGGGGAGCAGCCTATGAAAATTGGCCAAGTGGCTGGCAGTTATGACCAGCACTATCTCAAATCATACTACAGAGGAGACTGGCCATTGCAGAGGGGCCCTCAGTGGTGACTGGAATTTTTATTTCAGAGATTTAAGAGGAGGAATTGGTATAGAATGAAGTGTTTTTCATAATGAAGGTCATAACTCATTCATAACAGATCATAAAATCAATTCCAGTTTTTTTATAATGAAATTAAATTAAAATTTAAAAATTAGAGTGCATTGTATAGGATAAGTATTATTTCATAATAATTTTGGTTTCAGATACACAAACACACATTTACATATACTGTATCACAATATAAAATGTAAATTTTTTTTTTTTTGAGACTAGGGTCTCACTTTGTCACCCAGGCTGGAGTGCAGTGGTGCAATCTTGGCTCACTGCAGCCTTGACCTCTTGGGCTCAAGTGATCCTCCCGCCTCAGCCTTGCAAGTAGCTGGGACTACAGGCACATGCCACCACACCTGGCTAATTTTTTTAGTTTTTGTAGAGACAGGATCTCACCATGTTTGCCTGGCTGGTCTCAAACTCTAGGCCTCAAGCAATCCTCCCACCTCCACCTTTCAAGGCAGAGGGATTACAGACATGTTGGGATGCCTGTTGGGATTACAGACATGAGCCACTGTGCTGGCAAAAATGTACTTCTTACTGTGGATCATAGCAAAAAAATTTTAAGAAACACCAATCTGATAGAAAGAGCATGACTGTGGGATAGATGTTCCTAAGATAGAAGCAGTGTATATAATCGATTAGAAGTTGATTGTAGTAATGGAAAATCCAGTTGTTGTTTCTCCATCCAACAGTTATAATATTTCATGTTTCCATTTGCATATAGACCCTTCAGTGATAACTCAGCAAGAGATTCTCTTCGAATCTCTGATCCTTCTCCCCGGATATTACAACTCTCAGTAGCCAAAGGCACAGACCCAAACTATCATCCTTCAAAAAAAGTAAGTGTGCCCTTGTGGAAGAAACAGTTCCTGATTGACTTGTAACATGCTGCCTACCCTCTTTTTCTAGATGTGTTTTCCTTTCTTCCTGTTTATTTTTCCCTCTTATCAAATGAACTTTTCTGACTCTTTCTTCCATGCCTAATGTATCAGTCAGGATTGGATCAGAGAAGCAGAACCACTATGGATGATGTAGAATACAGGATTTATTATAGAGATTAGCCCTTCAGCAACTGTGGGAACTGGTGGAGAAGCCTGTGGAAGGCTGTTATGGCAGCTGGGACTTGAGTCTGGTTATACATCTAGAAGCAATGAGATATAATAGGGGCAAGTCAGCAGTTCCCTGGAATATGTCTATGATAGGGGAAGCCTCTATGGGTTCTTTAGGCAAGGAGGGTCTAACCTCTTCCGATGGAGGAAAGGTTGATTCTAATAGCAAGGGAGGCTCAGCAGTATTTTGGGGTTTAAAGTCCCCAGCTTCATTGGAATCTGCCTATATATCCCCATTCCAATGTTGAAGGCCCCACTCTTGTCCAATCATTGCTCTAACTTTAACATAAAAGACTGTTCAAATTTGGAAATTCAATTTTCACTATAATTCACCCACTCATAAAATTAGATTCTGGGTCTGGTTTTCAGAATGTTCAGCCCTGTGCTATTAGAAGATAAGGCTTTCAAAATTTTAGAGAAGTCATAGAAGCTTTTTGGTTCTGTATGTGGACATTACCGTGGGATTTTATTTTTTTATTTTTTAAGACAAGGTCCCACTCTGTCACCCAGGCTGGAATGCAGTCATGTGATCACAGCTCACTGCAGCTTTGACCTCCCAGGCTCAAATGATCCTCCTACCCTGGCCTGAATAGTTGGGACTACAGGTGTCTGCCACCACAATCAGCTGATTTTTACATTTTTTGTAGAGACAGTTTCCTTATGTTGTTCAGGCTGGTCTTGAATTCCTGGGCTCAAGCGATCCTCCCACCTTGACCTCCCAAAATGCTGGGATTATAGGTGTGAGCCACTGCGCCTGTCCTACAGTTGGAATTTAAAGGCCTGAACTTACCACTTTCTTTTCTCAAGTTCTTCAGTTCACTTAGAAGCAACCAAGCAATCCTACTGCACTTATTTATTTCACTAAAATGTTTGCTTGTAGCAGCTGCTTCATCACCCAAAGCCTTGCTTTCTGTTTTGCCACTGCACGCCATGGACTACAGTGTATTTTTTTTCACCACTAGCAATAGGATCATTAATGCCTTTAAATCTAATCAGTTTGGAAAACAAACTCCAGATAATCTAAAACCAATACAGAGAACCCAGCCTTAAAGTTCTCATCTAGGTGTCTGTTGCTTTATGCCAAACCATCCCCAAACTTAGTGGCATAAAACAACAATGATTTTATTATGTTCAAGGATTTTATGACTGAGAAATTCTGACTGGGCAAGCAGGTATGGCCTTTTCTCTGCTCCATGATGTCTGGGGCCTCAGCTGGGAAATCTGTAATGCCTTGGGTGTCTGAAATGGTGGGGGGCTGGAATCATCTGGAGGCTCCTTTACACTTGTCTTAGTCAGCTTGGGCTGCTGTAACCTAAAACCATCGTCTGGGTAAATTAAACAAAAGATATTTATTTCTCACAGTTCTGAAGCCTGGGAAGTCCAAGATTAAGATACTGGCATATTCTTTTCTTGGTGAGGGCCCACTCCCTGGCTTGCAGACAACCACGATTTTGCTGTATACTCACATGACCTCTTCTTTGTAGGTTCTCAGAGAGAAAGATCTCTGGTCTCTCTTCCTTTTCTTATAATGACACTAATCCTATTATGGGGGCTCCAGTCTCATGACTTCATCCAAATCTAATTACTACCCAAAGTGCCCCACCTCCTAATTCAATCACTGGGGGTTTGGGCTTCAACATGTGAATTTCAGAGGGACACAAACAGTCAGTCCACAATAACACCTGTGTGTGGTGCCCAGGCTGGGATAATCTGAAAGCTAGATAGACTCAGTTGGGAATATCTGTAGGAGTTCCTTCATATGGTCTCTCCATGTGGCTTAGACCTTTCTTGTCAGGAGAGCTGTTCTGAGAAGGAATATACTAATATGGAGTGTCTCAAGGGTGAATATTTTGAGAGAACAGGTGGAAGCTGCATGGTTTTTATGGCTTGGCCTTAGAAGTCACATAACATTACAGCAGTCATACTCTGTTTATTGTTGTAGTTACAAGTCTGGCCAGATTCAAGGGGGCAGCGACACAAACCCCACCTCTCAATTAAGAGAAGTGTCAAAGAATTTATAGGCACTTAAAAAAAACTGCCACACCCAATGATGTAAGCTTTTTAGGTATCCTTGAGCATGGATTTTATATGCAGAAAAGACTGTTTAGAGGTATGCTATAAATAATCAATAGCCTCATTTTTAAATTTTCAAATTTAAAAGTTGATTTTTCTTAGGCTTTTAAGTTTGGCTTGCAAGTTTTATTATTTTATTTATAATTCCAGGAGTTTTTAACAATTAATTTTAAGAGCCCTAAATAATTTTTTTTACATAGCTGCCCCTAAAATGTTTATTTTATAAATTTACCTTTTACACTTTATTTTCATTCAACTTACTCATTTTACAGTGCAAAAACAATTGTACTTTATCCATTCTTCCTTGGTCCATTGATTGATTGATTGATTGATTGATTGATTTCTTCATTCAACTTTTTTCTTTTTTTGTGATTTTTCCATAAGTTATTGGGGTACAGGTAGTGTTTGGTTACATGAGTAAGTTCTTCAGTGGTGATTTGTGAGATTTTGGTGCACCCATCACCCAAGCAGTCTACACAGCACCATATTTGTAGTCTTTTGTCCCTCACCCCCCTCCCACTCTTCCCCCCCAAGTCCTCAAAGTCCATTGTATCATTCTTATGCCTTTGCGTCCTCATAGCTTAGCTCCCACATATCAGTGAAAACATACAGTGTTTGGTTTTTCATTCTTGAGTTACTTTACTTAGAATAATTGTCTCCAATTTCATCCAGGTCACTGCAAATGCTATTAATTCATTCCTTTTTATGGCTGAGTAGTATTCCATCCTATACATTTACCACAGTTTCTTTATCCACTTGTTGATTGATGGGCATTTGTGTTGGTTCCATGATTTTGCAATTCTGAATTGTGCTGCTATAAACATGCATGTGCAAGTATCTTTTTCAAATAAGGGCTTCTTTTCCTCTGGGTGGATACCCAGCAGTGGGATTGCTGGATCAAATGGTAGTTCTACTTTTAGTTCTTTAAGGAATCTCCACACTGTTTTCCACAGTGGCTGTACTAGTTTACATTCCCACCAGCAGTGTAGAAGTGTTCCCTGATCACCGCATCCACACCAACATCTACTGTTTTCGGATTTTTTGATTACGGCCATTCTTGCAGGAGTAAGCTGGTATTGCATTGTAGTTTTGATTTGCATTTCCTTGATCATTAGTGATGTTGAGCATTTTTTCATATGTTTGTTGGCCATTTGTATATCTTCTTTTGAGAATTGTCTGTTCATGTCCTTAGCCCAACTTTTAATGGGATTGTTTGTTTTCTTCTTACTGATTTGAGTTTGTTGTAGATTCTGCATATTAGTCCTTTGTCAGATGTATGGATTGTGAAGATTTTCTCCCACTCTGTGGGTTGTCTGTTTACTCTGCTGACTGTTCTTTTGCTGTGCAAAAGCTCTTTAGTTTAATTAAGTCTCAGCTATTTATCTTTGTTTTTATTGCATTTGCTTTTGAGTTCTTGATCATGAAATCCCTGCCTAAGTCAATGTCTAGAAGGGTTTTTCCAGTGTCATCTTCCAGAATTTTTTTTTTTTTTTTGAGACGGAGGTTCATTCTTGTTGCCCAGGCTGGAGTGCAATGGTGCGATCTTGGCTCACTGCAACCTCTGCCTTCCAGGTTCAAGCAATTTGCCTGCTTCAGCCTCCCAAGTAGCTGGGATTATAGGCATGCACCACCACGCCAGGCTAATTTTGTATTTTTAGTAGAGATGGGGTTTCTCTATACGGGTTAGGCTGGTCTTGAACTCCCAACCTCAGGTGATCCGCCTACCTCAGCATCCCAAAGTGCTGGGATTACAGGCGTTAGCCACTGTGTCCAGCCATCTTCTAGAATTTTTATAGTTTCAGGTCTTAGGTTTAAGTCCTTAATCCATCTTGAGTTTATTTTTGTATAAGGTGAGAGATGAGGACCCAGTTTCATTCTCCTACTTGTGGCTAGCCAATTATCCCAGCACCATTTGTTGAACAGGGTGTCCTTTCTCCACTTTATGCTTTTGTTTGCTTTGTCAAAGATCAGTTGGCTGCAAGTATTTGGGCTTATTTCTAGGTTCTCTATTCTTTTCCATTGGTCTCTGTGCCTATTTTTTTTTCTTTTTTTGAAATGGAGTCTTGCTGTGTCACCCAGGCTGGAGTGCAGTGGCGCAATCTCAGCTCACTGCAATCTCCGCCTCCCAGGTTCAAGTGATTCTCCTGCTTCAGCCTCCTGAGTAGTTGGGATTACAGGCGCCCACCACCACACCTGGCTAATTTTGGTATTTTTAGTCGAGGCAGAGTTTCACCACGTTGGCCAGGCTGGTCTCGAACTCCTGACCTCAAGTGATCTGCCCGCCTTGGCCTCCCAAAGTGCTGGGATTACAGGTGTGAGCCACTGCACCCAGCGTATGTGCCTATTTTTATACCAGCACCGTACTGTTTTGGTGACTACGGCCTTATAGTATAGTTTGAAATCAGGTAGTGTGAGGCCTCCAGATTTGTTCTTTTTGCTTAGTCTTGCTTTGGCTATTCAGGCTCTTTTTTGGTTCCATATGAATTTTAGAATTGTTTTTTCTAATTTTGTGAAGAATGATGGTGTTATTTTGATGGGGATTGCACTGAATTTGTAGATTGCTTTTGGCACTATGGTCGTTTTCACAATATTGATTCTACCCATCCATGAGCATGGGATGTGTTTCCATTTGTTTGTGTCATCTGTGATTTCTTTCAGCAGTGTTTTGTAGTTTTCTTTGTAGAGGTCTTTTGACTCCTTGGTTAGGTATATTCCTAAGGTTTTTTTTGTTGTTGTTGTTGTTTTGGGTTTTTGTTGTTGTTGTTGTTGTTTTGTTTTTGTGTGTGGGGGGGTTTTGTTTTTTTGTTTTATTTTTTTTGCAGCTATTGTAAAAATGGTGGAGTTCTTGATTTGTTTCTCTGCTTGGTCACTGTTGGTGCATAGAAGAGCTACTGATTTGTATACATTAATCTTGTATCCAGAAACTTTGCCAAATTCTTTTAGTAGTTCTAGAAGCTTTCTGGAGGAGTCTTTAGGGTTTTCAAGGTAAATGATCATGTCATGCAAACAGTAACAGTTTGACTTCCTCTTTACTGATTTGGATACCCTTTATTTCTTTCTCTTGTCTGATTGCTTTGGCTAGGACTTCCAGTACTATGTTGAAGAGGAGTGGTGAGAGTGGGCATCCTTGTATTGTTTCAGTTCTCAGAGAACTTTCAACTTTTCCCCATTCAGTATTATGTTGGCTGTGAGTTTGTCATAGAGGGCTCTTATTACATTGTTATGTCCCTTGTATTTTGCTGAGAGTTTGCTGGATTTTGGAGAGTTTTGGAGAGTTAGATGCTTTTTCTGCATCTATTGAGATGATCATGTGATTTTTGTTTTTAATTCTGTTTATGTGGTGTATCACATTTATTGACTTGCATGTGTTAAACCATTCCTGCATCCCTGGTGTGAAACCTAGGTATTAAGTTCAAAATTATGCATGGCTAAAAGGTTCATTCAATGTGCAAGATAAGCAAATGGATTGTAAGGTAATGAAGTACAAAAAGTTCATTCACATAGTTTCAAATGGTACTTTTTGCAGCTACCATTTAAGAAACTAGCACTTTTCAAGTTGTAGTATCGAGGAAGAATATCCACAGTTATCTGAAAAGGCTCTTGGGCTCAATCCATCCTCCTGCTTCAGCCTCACAAACTGCTGATGTCACAGGCATGATCCACCACACCCAGCCTTATGGTTCTTTCTAAGTTGAAAATTACATTAAGGAAAGGAACTGTATCTTATTATTCCTTGTTGGGTCTTACATACTATAATTGACTAAGAAATATTTGTTTAATAAATTGAATAAGTACATGATTATTTTAAGTCTTTTTAGATCATAAGCCTTAATTGAAAGCAATGGTTGTCATATATTTCTTTCATTTTCCCAGAGGCTGAGAGGACAGACAGCTTTATTCACGCTTTAAAATGCTTAAAATGTTTAACTAGTACTTTGTTGTGTCGTACAAAGAGGTAGGATCTTCAGTTTGAATGTTACCTCTACATCTTACTGTGTAAACTTAAATAAATTAATGAATCTCACAATACCTTGGTTTCTGTCTTAGAGAATTAGAAATAAAAATGATACCCGAGGTGATGAATAAATGATTCAATATGTTATGGTTTGATTTGTGTCCCCATCCAAATCTCATGTAGAATTATAATTCCCAGTGTTGGAGGAGGGGTCTGGTGGGAGGTAATTGGATCATGAGAGTGGATATCCCCCTTGCTGTTCTTGTGATAGTGAGTGAGTTCTCAGGAGATTTGGTTGTTAAAAGTGTGTAGCACCTTCCCCTTTGCTCTGTCTCCTGTTCCCACCATGTAAGATGTGCTTCCCCTTTGCCCTTCCACCATGATTGTAAATTTCCTGAGGCCTCCCCAGCCATGCCACCTGTACACCCTGCAGAACCATGAGCCAACAAGACCTCACTTTACAAATTACCCCATCTCAGGTAGGTCTTTATAGCAATGCAAGGATAGACTAATACACAAAACATGTGAAACACTGTCAGTGTTAGTATCATCATCATAATCTTCATCATCAATTAAATAGCACAAAAAGGAATTTGATTAATACACAAAACATGTAAAATTTGACTAATACACAAGACTAATACACAAAACATGTGAAACACTGTCAGTGTTAGTATCATCATCATCATAATAATCATCATCAATTAAACAGCACAGGAAGGAATTTTAACCCACAGTTAAAGCCCCATTTTATTTCGTTATTGATTATATTTTCCTTCAAAGTTTTGTGGTAAGCTTTGATTTTGAATACAAGTAATTTAAATAGAAGACCATGTAATTTGAACAAATTTCCACAATTCAGATAGTGAAGAATAACTTGGGAGTCTAGTGGGGAGACGTATGGTTCTGCTTTTCTTCTTATTGGCTTTGGCTTCTTTTTCTTATCTATTCCAATTAGAAGAGAGACACTTAAATTCACTTTAAGCATGGTGATTTGTGATAATATGAGCCCCAATTCCCAAAGGGCAAAAATAATTATGAACAAAGCTAAGTCACCCTTTATAGCAGGGATCCCCAACCCCTAGGCTGTGGACCAATACCGGTCCGTGGCCTGTTAGGAATCAGGCAGCACAGCAGGAGGTGAGCAGGAGGGTGAGTGACCATCACTACCTGAGTTCCACCTCCCGTCAGATCAGCAGTGGCATTAGATTCTCATAGGAGCGTGAACCCTATTGTTAACTGTGCATGCAAAGGATCTAGGTTGTGCTCTCCTTATGAGAATTTAATGCCTGATTATCCAAGTTGGAACAGTTTCATCCCTAAACCATCCTTTTCCCAACACTGCCCATGGAAAAATTGTCTTCTGTGAAACTGGTCCCTGGTGTCCAAAAGGTTGGGGACCGCTGCTTTATAGCATTCTTTTTTGGTGGGGCTGAGCCTGGCCTCTTGGCTGAGTTTATCATTACCATTTATCTCTGAATCAGTTATTTGCTATTGCCTCAATGTCTTTAGTTTAACAGTTAAGTTCTTGAAAAGCTACGTTGGGGAGCCACAACTTTGCGCGAGTGTCTTGGTTGAGCGCAGCGCCCATTCATTGCCCGCGAGCGTCCATCCATCTGTCCGGCTGGCGGTCCAGCGAAAGGGGCTCCAGGCTGGACGCAGCCGCCACCCGGGGGACCGAGGCCAGGAGAGGGGCCGAGAGCGCGGCTGACCCTTGCGGGCCGGGGCAGGGGACGGTGGCCGCGGCCATGCAGTCCTGTGCCAGGGCGTTGGGGCTGCTCCTGGGCCGCGGGGTCGGGGGCGGCCGCCGCCTGGCTGGGGGATCGGGGCTGTGCTGGGCGCCGTGGGGCCGGGACAGCAGCAGTGCCGGCGGGGACAGCGCCGCGGCTGGGGCCTCGCGCCTCCTGGAGCGCCTTCTGCCCAGACACGACGACTTCGCTCGGAGGCACATCGGCCCTGGGGACAAAGACCAGAGAGAGATGCTGCAGATCTTGGGGCTGGCGAGCATTGATGAATTGATCGAGAAGACGGTCCCTGCCAACATCCATTTGAAAAGACCCTTGAAAATGGAAGACCCTGTTTGTGAAAATGAAATCCTTGCAACTCTGCATGCCATTTCAAGCAAAAACCAGATCTGGAGATCCTATATTGGCATGGGCTATTGTAACTGCTCAGTGCCACAGACGATTTTGCGGAACTTACTGGAGAACTCAGGATGGATCACCCAGTATACTCCATACCAGCCTGAGGTGTCTCAGGGGAGGCTGGAGAGTTTACTCAACTACCAGACCATGGTGTGTGACATCACAGGCCTGGACATGGCCAGTGCATCCCTGCTGGATGAGGGACTGCGGCTGCAGAGGCGCTGCAGCTGTGCTACAGACACAAGAGGAGGAAATTTTTTGTTGACCCCCATTGCCACCCACAGACAATAGCTGTTGTCCAGACTCGAGCCAAATATACTGGAGTCCTCATTGAGCTGAAGTTACCCTGTGAAATGGACTTCAGTGGAAAAGATGTCAGCGGAGTGTTGTTCCAGTACCCAGACACGGAGGGGAAGGTGGAAGACTTTACGGAACTCGTGGAGAGAGCTCATCAGAGTGGGAGCCTGGCCTGCTGTGTGTGCTACTGACCTTTTAGCTTTGTGCATCTTGAGGCCACCGGGAGAATTTGGGGTAGACATCGCCTTGGGCAGCTCCCAGAGATTTGGAGTGCCACTGGGCTATGGGGGACCCCACGCAGCATTTTTTGCCGTCCGAGAAAGCTTGGTGAGAATGATGCCTGGAAGAATGGTGGGGGCAACAAGAGACGCCACTGGGAAAGAAGTGTATTGTCTTGCTCTTCAAACCAGGGAGCAACACACTGAGAGAGACATGGCTACCAGCAACATCTGTACAGCTCAGGCCCTCTTGGCGAATATGGCAGCCATGTTTGCAATCTACCATGGTTCCCATGGGCTGGAGCATATTGCTAGGAGAGTACATAATGCCACTTTGATTTTGCCAGAAGGTCTCAAGCGAGCAGGGCATCAACTCCAGCATG